>NC_000003.12:26260000-27510000 GCF_000001405.40 Homo sapiens
TGATGATGCAAAAACTTGCCAAAGTGTTCTAGTGAAGCCCAGTCTGTATATAGGTTCCTTAAAAATAAGGTCTAGGCCTGCCGGGTTGCTTTAGTCTGTATCTCCTTCTGCAGCTTCTGGCTTCACTTCTCAGGGACTGAGAAACCACATATCCTTTCACACCCTCACACTATGTCTAAACCACTTTTAAAAGAATAGCATAGATGCTTTAAAAATAAAAAAGTGCTGGAGAACTTCCAAGGAACCTTTGTAGCTTTATGGAACAAAGGTCAGGGAAGAAAACAAGCTTTTTCCAGTGTCACAGCCAGGGGAGGTGCTTTACAATAGCAGTGTCTGCCTTGGGGCTCAGCATCTGTGGTTACACTGCAGATATAATAATGTATTTTGAAAAATATACATAAACACTGGCAGGAGGAATCCCCTATAGATAAGAAGATTGCTTTCAGTCACGATTCTTGGCATCTGCCCTCAGAATGGAATCATAGCAATCTGTAATCATTTGCAGAGGCCATTTCCATCCTCTGCCTTCCAAAAGGGTTTTTCATCAAGTGGTAGAAACAGTTTCCCAGTAGATGCAGAAGGTTAAATCTTGCCTTCTCAAAGAAATGGCTGGTAAGGGCAGGGGAGGAAATAGATAATATCATTAAATGGCAAAGCTTGTTTTACCCTGCCATCCCACATATAAAAACACTTAAGCATCCTCTTCAAGTACTAATCTCTGGACTGCCCATTTATTCACTTTGTATTCTATGTCTCGTATTTGTGGTTTTCATAACTAGATATGTTAATCTTTATCAGTACATGTACTCAAATTAAGTACTCTTTTAAGTCAGTTCAATAAGAATAAGCTGAGTCCTGCTAAGTCAATGGTTTTCAAATTATACTGTGCAAAAGAAAGCTTAACTTCTGTGTGCAGAAAAAAACAAGTGAGACTTCATTAAAACTGCAAATGACCTGGCTTCACTTCAACCCACTGAAACTGAATTTTGACTGTGGCCGGTGGTGGGATTGGGAAAGAGAGAAGCCTGAAGGCCTCATAACCTCAAGTTTAATCCAGGTGATTTCAATGCAATTTTTGTACCACACTGTGAGAAATGTGGGACTAAATAATGATCATTTTAATAGCGATCTTCTGTGTCCAAGAGGAAGATCCTACTTAGCATGAAATATTTGAACACTGTAGCAGGAAAGTTGGAGCATGTAGTGAAGTTGTCCGTTTGTGATTTTATTTAGACAGGACGGCATACTCCTCAGGAGATTGGCTTTTGTACTAGTCTTAGTCTGACATTTACTAATGTGTATCCTTGGACAAGTTGCTTAATCTTTTTGAGACTCAATTTCTGTATCTACAAAAATGATGAGATAATGCAGGTAAAGTGGCCGGCATACTCCCTACGTGGGAGCTATTGTTACTGAGTAAGCGTATACAGAGATGAGTGAGAGATTGTTTAGAGCCATACAGGAGAAAAGTCACCTCTTACGGCCCATGATACGAAGGCTCAGGGTTAAGGAAAAAAAAAAATCAAAGTGAGCTGCAAAGCAATAGGGAATTGTGCTTAGTTCTTATAGTCTAACCCTAATGGAGATAAAGTTAAGACTTCATTCATTCATGTATTCAACCCATCAAAACCTGACAGGAGTAACTGGGGGCTTTCTTTAGATTATGCTTTGAATTTTAAATCCAGCCATACATGGAGGTTTAAACAAATAGAACCAGCTTGGTCACCATGGTCAATCATTTAAACAATTTTCTTGCTACCACTTTAAAGTTTCTTTTCCTCTGTTGAGTTTCTTCAAAGCTGAGTTTTAGGTCTTGTCCTCTTCCTATCCTATATACTTCTCCTAGGTAATGCTATCATCAATGCTTATTTTATTAATTACCAATAATCTAACTTCTAAATAACTATCTCCAGGATAGACTTTTCCTCCGAAGTCCAGACTCACATATCCTATTGGTCTGCTCATTTAAAAAAAATCTGAGTAACCCTAAGCCCCAAACTAAACTCACGGTCACCACTCTACAAACTTGTTCACCTTTCCAGAATTCCTTGGCTAAGTTGGGATTTAACTGGACATGTCAGAAAACTAGTAGTTCTCCTTGATATCTGCCTCTCCCTCCCTAACCTTCTTTACCCAGCACAACCAGTCTTCCCTCATGGATTGCAGATTTGTTTATATTTATTTATTTATTTTTCTCTGAGATGGAGTTTCACTTTTGTTGCCCAAGCTGGAGTGCAGTGGCACAATCTTGGCTCACTGCAAACTCCGCCTCTCAGTTCAAGCGATTCTCCGGCCTCAGCCTCTCGAGTAGCTGGGATTACAGGCGTGTGCCACCACGCCCGGCTAATTTTCTGTATTTTTGGTAGAAATGGGGTTTCATGGGGTCAGCCAGGCTGGTCTCAAACTCCTGACCTCAGGTGATCCACCCGCCTCGGCCTCCCAAAGTGCTGGGATTACCACGCCCAGCCGGATTGCATACTTTTTACCTCCAGAGAATAGCCATATATTCATTGCTACTATCCTAGAAAACAGCTACCATCATCTCTTGCCTAGATTTTAGCAATAGTCTATATAGCCTAATTGCCTCCTTCAACTTTGCGCCTTCCCTTCAAAGCTTTCCCACTATTCTGAAAATAAGGACCCAAATCTTTAACATGGCCTACAAAACTGCATGCTTTCTAGCACGTAACTTGTATGGTCAGTCACATCTCTCTACTTTTTAACCCCTTGCTTAATTAACTACTATGCATCCTGTGGATGTCAGCACAAGTTGCTTTTTCAGGACAGTGCTTTCTAATTCCCTTCTGGTATTTTCAGGTTCCTTTATTATATACGCTAACGGAATAGTATTCCATTTTTTTTGTTTTGTCTAATTTATGTGTTCATTAATGTGATTACTTGATTAACATCAGTAGAACCCATTAAACAGTAATCTTCGTGAGAGTGAAAACCATGTTTTTTGTTATTGTTCACCATTATTTCTTTAGTGCCAAGCACATAATAGGTCCACAATAAACATTTATTGAATGAATGTATGAAAGTTTGCCTGTAAGCCCATCTGTGTGTTAGGGCAGAGACCCTACTTAAGTTTCCCTCTGGTCTCCTTGTTGCTGATAATTCTATGGTTATTCTGTGGCTAAGAATACAGTGAGCAGACATGATCTCCTGGGTTCACTGTCCTTTCTTTGTTGCATGGGCATTTAGGGGCCTTTTATTAAGAAAATTGCTTGACAAAGTGAATAGCCACTATTTGGAGAAGGAGGAAGAAAGAAGGATAAAAATAGTCACTCTTTCAGAAAAATATCCAGTGTCCAGTCCTTAACACTTTGGAAGAGCTTTCAGAGAAGAGCATGCTTTAATACAATCATCAGTGACCCAAATTGAATGTGAGCTTTCTTATTCTATGAGATGAAATAGACAAGTGCCTGCACTTTTCATATCTCTTTGCTTTTGTTTTAAAAGAAACCAGCATTCTAGCTAAGGTAGATTTTTACATCTTTTTAATCCATGGCAGGGGAAATAAAAATTGATTCATATTTACTGAATACCTACTATTTTTTAAGACAGTGTGCTATGTTCTTTTGATTAAAAATGGACACTGGTTATACATTAGAGTGATTTTTTTGCAAGTCCAAAGATATTTTTGCATCTTCTGGTCCTCAACGGGGTAAATGGACTAGAGGGAAATAACCACTGGAGGAAAGCATGACATGACATTTAAAAAATTTAGCAATTTGGCCTGGGAGTGAATTAATTATACTGCCCAGTTGGTACTCTGCTTCAATAGTGACTTAGCTTCCAGGGTTCAAGAGTTCGTTTTAATTTGGATATATCTACTGCCAGATCAGCTTTGATTTTGACATCGCAGTTTGGTGAATTTGAAGGTGGTTTCTAACAGAAAAGGTATGAGCAACCAAGAGCTGGTCAGAGGCCAGATCCAGTGATATAGTTTGGGTTTCCACCATTGCAAGTACAGTTGGTGTTTAGTGACCTTTATTAGTTGCTGCCCAAATTCATCTCTGTCAGCTATCCTCTATCACCTGCTGTTATGACATGTGGGGTCTCAGAAACAGCACTAAGAAAGAAGTTTCTATCAGAGCTTCCCAAAGCATAGGTACCTGTTAATCAGTTCCATTTTCAGGGGAGCTTTCAATGAAACCATTACTGTGGCATGAAAATTCAAAGGTGTCTGGGAGAATCTCGTATTGTTTGGGAGGTAGTAGATGGATGAAATAAAATACATAAGCTGCACTGTAACCCTTAGGTCTAATTTGTTTTTAATCTGACCTTGAAGTTTCTTTATATCAAGTCATAAATAACTCCCAGGGCATTTTGCACCAATGTTCACAGCTTATGCTTTTAGCCAATGTTATTAGTATGAATTGTACTTTCTTCCATAGACTCAGAAAACACCCCCAAGGCTCCAAGATACCCCAAATTTCATTAAATTCATTTTTCTGCTTTTTGAAGGAAAATACTGCCATCTTAAAAGAATAGGGATTCCGGTATTTAAAAATGTATGTGCTGAGCAATGTGCTAGGTCTTTTACATATGTTGTCTGATTTACAGGTATTTATATAGAATGTGGTTGTGCAAATAAAACACATTCTGTAAAATTGTACTCTACAAATAGCAGTATAATAGAACAATAGACTTTGGGAAGACCGCTCAAAACCTATTCAACTTTGTAATGCAAACACTTATCTTAATTAAAAAAATACTAGCTTAGTTAAAATAGCATAGAATTCATCTATAAAAAAAGGTAAAGGTGGCTTGATGGACTGAGGCATAAAGAGGGGCGCAACTGCTGAGTTAAGGGAAAATTCCTCGATAACAATTTCAGAGCAGAGCACACGGCAAAACTGAGCCAAGAAGAAGAATGTGGGGGGAAATTAGCATAACATACACTACTCTGTTCCTCTGAGGCTTACTGTACTTAGCTATGTTGGTGTACTTTGCATTCAGTTGTAGTTTCTTAGTGGTGCAAAACCTCATAGGCTGGAAAAAAAGTCTATAAACCAACATGACCTCTGCATTATACTGGCATAATTCCCTGTATAACAATCACACATAAACGAATTCACACTATAAAAATAAGCATTGTAGAAGAGCAGAGGATAATTTTTATAATCTTTTTGGAGGTTGGTACACACACAAACACACACACACACACACAGACACACACACATTTTGTATAACTGAGGGAACCAAGGCCCAGAGGGCTTGAAGAACATCCCCAAGATCATCCAGTTATATAGTAAAGCTAGGTCTCTGGGTTTAGAGCCAGGTTTATGCTTTTCTTCCTCTAAGGGATTTCAGGCATTTTAAATGTTAAAATTCTATGATGCCTTTGGGGAAGAGGATAGAAAATCAACATATAATAAAGGTCCAGTATGTACATTCACACACCAGTCTCTTCAGGTTTTTTGAGGTGGATTATTATTCTCTATAAACAAAAAGCCTGTGTTTCTACCCAAATCACACTCATACTGAATAGCTGATTTGAAGTATTTCGGTTTGTATCCTCTGCCCACTGTACCATTTGGTCCTTCATGGCAGTACAAGGAAAGAGAGAGGAGGGGTGCTTGTTCAATTGTAATTCCAGGACAATATCACTAAACATTAAGATCTTTCCTCCTATGTCACCATCATGCCATCAGAAGGGAGATAATTAGTTATTAAGATGTAAAAAAAGGAAAGCTCACTATAATGTCAAAGGTTAACATTAACAGCCAATTCTACACCCTATTCCTTCAAAATGACCACAAAGATAGCAAATCATCATGAACAACATCCTGTGTCTAGAATCAAAAGATTTGTTCTAGACCTATGATTTGCAAGCTGTATAGTCTTGTGAAACTAAAAAATGACACTGAAATGATAAGAATGAAAGCTTTTTGTAAACTGTGTGGCCTGACTCAAATCTAAAGTACGTATTTTCATGAATCCTCACAGTCTTGTCTTGGTCTCATTAGATATGATAATACCGATCGGTCTCTTACAGCATCAGTACTAAAGTGTAAATTATTTGAGCTGCGGGGATTTTTAAATATTATCATAGAAATTTAAAATTAGAAGGGACAATAACAATTACAGAATTCGGAGGCTTAATTTTGTAGATGCTGAAACTGAAATGCAGCAAAGTGAAGGGTCTTCCCAAAGGTCACCCAGATGCTTAACAATTCCTTGATGAAAGTTTATTCCCTGATATAAATTATCTTTAATTTCTTGCTGAGAGAGGATTCCATTCTTAGGCTTGTCAAAGTTATTCTCTATCAAACAAACTAATGAAAATCAAACTGAACATAATAGACATGTCTCTATTCTTGGACCTCACCTTGTGAAATTGGAAATCTATCCATAAAATAGGTCTAGATCCAGCTTAATTGCCTCTGTTTTTAGCTTCACATTGTCTCTAGAGACTTGAGTCTTGTTTCAGCATCTCATGAAGCTGAAATCAGACAGGTTGAATAATTTGCTTTCTACAAAATGATTGGTTTCTAGTTTCCAGTAGAAATAGGTTCATTGTTTTGTTTGAGAACATTTGGAAGTCAAATATTTGAAACCCTGTGTTATGCAATATTATACCTTTGTATAAAAATAAGATATGGAAAATTACCTAAATACCAAAAAGGATGAAAAGTAGGTCCTTGATTTCAAGGAAGTTTATTTCAGAAACCGTGTATCTGTACTTCTTGTTGAAGCTAAGATAAAGATGGGGAACCTTGTTTTGAACCCCAATTACTAACTTTTAGCCTCAGCTCATTTTTCCTATCACTTATAAAAATCAAGGCAACATCAGCTTTTCCTTAAACACTGAACTGTGTCACTGGAAGTGCCTCTTTCTCTAGATTAATTAGGAAAACTCTTCAGGGAAACAAAACATAATCCTGCACAAATTAGTTCAAAATACTAAAACTGAAAATGAAATGACTAGTATAATACTATAGGACCCTTGAGTACCAGTGAACATTTTCCTCAGGTTTTGATTATACTAAGTGATTTTTTTTTAATCAATCACACACAAAATGAAACAATTCAGATTAAGGAATAAAAAAGAAGCTTCTTGGAGGTTTATAACTTAAGTGCGAATATCCCTAGAAAACTTATCAGAGACAAACTCTGAGAAGCAAAATAATAGCTCTTTGAAAAGGATTGGAACTAATTTTTTTTTTTTAAGAAAAAATGCTGAAAAAAAATCACTAGATATATTTTGCCCTCCTCAATGGGCAAGCAAGTGTTTTAAAATTTTTCAAAAACTACTCTTTCTTATGCTCCTGGAAGGATAGATTGTTTCCTCCAAAATCTAACAGAAGAGTGATGCGATTATCTGGAAATTTCAGGAAAAACTACAATTCCCTTCCCCCCGCCAAAAGTCTACCAAGATAAACAGAAACAAATAAAAATTAAAATTTGGCAAAAATGGAATCCATGGATATGTAGATTTTTATTGGTATTTTGTCTATTGTTATAGAAGACAAATACTTTTCTTACTTAAAGAATCTTGGGAAATTTAACTGACTTCCTAATGCTTGAACAGTACCACATGAATGAGTGGTACAATGCCTCAAGCTCCTAAAAAGCGGACTTTGGCTAAAGTTTAATAGCTCCCATATCATGATATAGTCCCCTGTCTCTTCCTGATTCCACAACTCCACACCCCATACCCCATACACCACAATCCTTGATAATGAAAGCTGTAGGAGAGGATTTGATTTCATTTTGTTTTATTTTGGGATATTTTTCTGATTGTAGTTTTTAATTTTATTTATTTTTTGGAGTGCCATGGTATGATCTTGGCTCACTGTAACCTCTGCCTCCTGGGTACAAGCGATTCTCCTGCCTCAGCCTCCCGAGTGGCTAGGACTACAGGCACGCACCACAATGCCCTCGGCTAATTTTTGTATTTTTAGTAGAGACAGGGTTTTACCACGTTGGCCAGGCTGGTCTCAAACTCCTGACGTCAAGTGACCTGCCCACCTTGGCCTCCCAAAATGTTGGGATTACAGGCGTGAGCCACCACACCCAGTCTTATAGTTTTTAACTTTAATATTCTGAGGTCATAATTTCTTAGCAATCCAGACTCCCAAGTGTTCCTAAATGTAATGCTTTAAAGATGCCAAATTAACTCAATTTTATATAACACATAATGAAACTACACATTCCAGGGAGAGGACTATAAGAAAGTGTGGAGATGAAAAATGGGACTGATATATTCCAAAACAGTTAGTCAAGGCAATGAAAATTCATTAAATAAATCCCAGGTCATTTAGCTAGGCAGGTTTCTGATTGGGATCTAGAGAATGAACTAGAAGAGTAGAATAAAAACCTTTGCTTCTTAAACAGCTATCAACTGCATTACTATATAGATAGTTCTTCTAGACTAACATGTTCTAGATCTCTCTCCCTTTCTCTCTGTCTCTCTCTCTGTCTCTCTCTCTCTCTGTCTCTCATAAGGGATCAGAGGGATGGGGTTGACATGATATTTTCTCAAAGAACACTTTTTGTCTAGCACCCATGTTACCTGATTTCTACTGCTTTGTCTCAGAAGCTTGTCCACAGGAGGCTGTGACTGATGGGTAGAGTATGCAATCAAAAAGAAAGTCAAGGGTTCAGTTATACTATTTCCATAATGATTCTCAGCCTAATCCATACTCAGCACTGACCCTAAATATAAAAGAATGCAAATTGAAGTGATTAAGAAACACTTAGAAGCTGATTTGCTGGTCACTAACATGCACTAAAATGGATCAAGTAACATTTAGCCAAGAACACTAATTCCAAAGCACAGGAAAGATGAGAAAAGTCAGAGAAGCCACATCTATTCAATGAATGGAGTAATTATTCCAGCATCTTCCATGATTGTTTTTTCTTAAAATCATCAAATAAGGTCTCAACTAGAGAATGGAAAATTAAACTTGTAGCACATGTTAGCATGGCTTTTAGCAAATATAAACACATATACAGCCAGATTCTCATTCTGATCTGAAGGTCATGCAAGTCTGTGATTTACCTACTTGAGTTTTTAATGCACAGACTAATCTGGAGCCCTGCATTCCTTTCTCCATGTAGTCAATATTTACTGGAGCCTATTGTTAACCCAACATGAGGCTAAGCATGTAGGGAAAAAAATCGAATGAGTTAAGACTTTGCCTTCAAAAAGTTTATTGGTAATAATAGCACTAGAAAAATAGCTACAACTTCAATTTATCACTTGCCTCTTTTGTTCCCAGCACTGTGCCTGAAGCTTTGCACACAAAGCCTTATTTAATTTTACTGCAACTCTGTGATGTACCTATTATTATCCCTATTTATATATAAAAAACTGAGTCTCAGCAGAATTAAGTGACTTGTTCAAGACGAGGTTTTGTGCCCCAGATTTCCAGGGCCCCAAATCCTGTGCTTTTTTTGTACTATTCCAAACTTCTTTCCTTAACTTTTACTCTAACAGGAAAGATGAGGTGAGACATATGATTGCATGTAAGCAGGTTTTGCAAGCCAGTGATTACAGATGTTGTTCAATTAACAATATTATCTGAATCTCCATAGTTCTGAGTTTCATGTGTCACCAGCGACACTACTTTTATTTGCTGACAAGTCAGCCCTTCTTGTTGCTGACTAGTTGAGGTGAGTGTGTGTTGCCCCATGCCCCTATGGTTCCACAGCTGGGAAGCTGAAATCCTTTCCAAATCATATCAGCCATTGATCTTCTGTAGGTGCTGGAGAGATCAGAATCTGTCTTGCCTGACATTGATGAAATTGTAATACTGGACCTCTGGTTAATGAAATGCATGCTCAGGTACATAGGGAGGAGTTTACTGATGTCTACAACTTCCTCTGAAATACATAAAAAAATTAGATATATTAATGGATGGATAGATGAATAGATATGTGATAAAGCAAATAAAGTACAATGTTATTTGCAGACTCTAGGCCATGGGTATATAGATGTTCAATATAAAATTCCTTCAACTTTTCTTGATATTTATACCTTTTAAAAATAAAATATGGAGGAAAATTACAGTAGTTTCACTGCGCTTCAAAACTAGAGAAACTCAATAGTCAGGTTTGCATAATTTAAAAAAATTTCAAATTGTGGCATATTTGGTTTGGGATAGAAGGGAATCTCACAGTAAGATGTTTTTCCCCCAAAGTATTATAGGAGTGAAAGAATTTTTTCCATCTCTCTTCCAAAGTTTTCATAATTTGAGTCTATAAAACAAACTGAAAATGAACAGATTAACAGGAAAAAAAGGTATACAAATATATTTATGTGCACATGAAGATGAAAGTCATACAGAAAGGGTGAGATCAAAGAAGAGCCAGATGACTGAAGTTTTATACTATCAAGTTCCAGAAAGAATAAGGGTTTGGGACTTCTGGGGGTGGAGGGAGGAGGTGGCATAACAGGTTATGAGAGAGTAAAGGGAGAAAATCATGGCAGGCAAAATCTATCTCGTGAATGCTGATAGAAATCTCGCAGGTAATCTCAGAGCTTCCCTCAAAAAGAAAAGGTGGTGGCCTGTGGTAAAGTGTTTCCGTCAGACATTTAAAGTGTTGGACTTTTAGTTTCTTTCCCTGTGAGTTAATCATTCCTAGACACAAATAAGAAGGACTGAGAAAAACTTTGTTTGCATCTCCTATCTCTTCTCTAATGTAGGTTTACATCTTCTACAGATGCAAATCTCCCCACATAAAACAGATTTCCATGGTTGTTCTTATATTTGCAGCCCCTCTGAATAGACATTTCAAAATAAGCAAAGTAAGTATATTTTGGGGTGAAATATTCTGGTTTCCTTCAGTATATTAATAGTGTTCCACAGTAAGCAGGTCTATGCAAATCTACCCCAAAAAGCAAAGGAGCTGAGAGACTGAAGGAAGAGATGGACAAATCCAGTTTCTTAGAAAGAGAAGCGATGTCTCAGATACACACGAGAAACTGAATTCCTGTACCCACACTCCAGAAAGTATCCTTTATATAGCAAGCTTTTAGATTGAAGACATGTAAAGCTGGTCAGGTCTTTATTGAAAAACTCATGACCACTGAGGAGGTTAGATAAGCATCTTTATGATGGGGTATCTATGCTAAGGGAATTATTTAAAGACCTTGCTGTGAACACTAAATTATTCAGGGGTTAAACATTGGTCCCCCTGGCAGTTTTGCTTCCAGATGGCATCACTCTTACCATGCAACACACTGTTTTCCCAGATATGGTGAATCAATTTCTTTAATTTCCAGATGCAGCCTTTCTCACCTAGGGCACATACTGCCTCAGTGGTTGAGTTGAGGTCAGGTGTCTACATGTGCCACTCTACCATAGTCCACAGTGTTCTTGAACTCTGTTCCTGGTCCTTTCTTACTCTGTCAGCTATTTTAGGGAAAATATTATAAAGCCTCACTGTTTTTTGGTTGCTATAATATACCTTCTATTATGGCCACCCTAGTCTATAAGATATTTGAATATATCTGAATTCCATGAACTGGGAGGGGTTGAGGTCCAAGTGTTCTTGGTAGCAGGGTCCTCAGACACCTTGTAAATCAGTGGTGGTGAATGATTAATCAGAAAGGAGATATTACTATTGGGCATTTGTTAGGAGAATCTGAGTGGCAGTCTTCCCCAGATAAAATAACCTGTTAAGACCAACAGAAAAATGCACAAATAACTTAAAGGGCAATTCACAATAAATAATATTCAAATGGCGAATACATATAGAAAAGGTGCCCAATTTCATCAGTCATTGGAGACATAAAAATTAAAACCACAATGTGAAGCTACAATGTACCCACAATAATATTTAAAATTGAAAAACTAATACGAAATGTTGGCAAGAATGTGGAACAAGTGAAACTCTCATAAACTGCTGGTAGGAGTGTAAATTGGTACAAATAATTTGGAAAACTATTTGGCAATGTCCACTAAAGCAGAACAAATTTGGGGGCTTAGAAAACAATACCCCCCAAATGAAGACCTCAGAAGTGGCCTCAGAAGCAAGTTTCTCTCTGCCCTTCTGCCTTTCTGTCTCTGGTCCCTCAGTCTCCCCCATGGCTAGTCATAGAAACTAGAATCCCTCTCCCCCAAGGTGAGTCATAGTAACCAAAACCCCTTTTGCCCAAAGGCAGCCATAAAACCTAAAAATATTACTCTTAACTTTTTTCTCCACCTTCCAGTGTAAAAACTGACCAAAATTTATCTGACTTACCCTATTTAATTTTAGGTCATAAGATTCCCATTCCAGAGAGGGTCCTGCCCTATAACTAGAAGGAAGTAATGCTGCAAAGAGAGGCCAAGAAGAATCCAGACAGACAAGCCTTGCTAAGATTCTGCACTCCATCTATTAGCCTAAGCTCTTACCCTTTTGGTCCAATCGTATTGCTACACAGCTGTCTATGCTTTGTTGAACCTAAGCATAAAAATGGACTGCTTTCCTGTATCTTTGTGTGTTCATCCTGAAGGCTCCCATGTCATATAAAACTATGATCTAATATGTTTGTGTGCCTTTTCTCCTATTAATCTGCCTTTGTCAGTTGATTTTCAGCAAACCTTCAGAGGGCAGAGGGGAAGTTTTCCAGCACCCCTACAAAATACAAACTCTATTAATAATAATTACATTTTTAGCTGTATATCAATAGAAATGCCCCCATATATTCACCAAACAGAATAAATCATTACACTTTTAGGTATATTTCAACAGAAATGTACCCGTATGTTCACAAAAGACATAATAGGAATGTTTATGGCAGCATTATTCATAATAGCCCCAAACAGAATGAATCTCAAATGTCCATCAATAGTAGAATGGATAAATTAATAGTGCTATATTCATATAATTGAATGACATACAATAATGAAAATGAGAGAACTATTGCTACATGCAAAAAGATGGGTGGATCTCACAAAATGTAACATTGAGCAAAAGAAGTGAGACACAAAAGAGCACGCATGGTTTGCTTCCATTAAGTGCAAAACAACGAAAACTCATCTATGGTGTTATAAGTAAGGGAAGTAGTATCATTCCAATGAAGAGGTGGAAGTAGGAGGTGAATAGTAACTATGAGAGAGTTTACAGTGTTTGTTTCTTGAACTAGTATTAATTGCATGGAAGTGCTCACTTGGTAAAAAATTAACCTGTCCACTTCAGTTCTATACATTTCTAAATATGTGTTATATTTCAATAAGCTTTTGAACATTTTATAAGACTTAGGCCAGTAGTTTTAGGGAAAAAAAAGTGATAAGAATCCAAATGAGGGTACATGCAATCATCAGAAGAGGTTGCAGGATTTAGCTGGCAGGGAAGAGGACATGGAAGAACTCTAAAAGGGCTTTCCCTGCCCCTGGATTTCCCTCAGGGTTGCAATGTGATGCAAACATTTACTTCTCAACCCTTTCCAGCCAGGACTGGCAATGTTCCCAATGTTAACAATGTAAACTTTTGAACACTAACATTTTCATTCATTCATCAAGTATTTATTGGGTGCCAACCATGTACCAAACTCTGTTTGGGGTACTGAGGATATAGCATTGAATAAAGTCCTCTGTTCTGTTACAGCATGTATTCTAATAGAGGAATCAGGCAATAAACAAGATAAATAAGTTTTTATATATAAGGATTTGCAGTGATAAGTGCTGTCAAGTGAAAGGTTAAATAACAGATGCTATAACTTAAACAAACTTAAAGTGGGTTTTATTCTTAGCCAAGCTTTAGGACTAATAGTCTGAAAACACAGACTTGGCACAAACCAAGAATGTGTCCCTGAGTGGGCTACACAAGACACACTATTTGTGTATTTCTCCTACTTAGAAATGGGATAAGGGGGTAGTGAAGCAGAGGTGATAGTCTTGAAATTCTGATTGGTGCTCATAACACTACAGAAAATAAAGTGCTATCTCCCTTTTGGTTGAAATCTTCCAAAGGAAGACTTGGAGACCAAATAATATAATTTGAGGGATTCAAAGAGGACAGGTCACTTTTGTTTAGCATTATATGGTATAAGGGATTAAATTAGAATTCTGAAATGCTCTTATTTGATTCTTCAGCCCTATACAAAGTGCCATCATCTGATTTGTCAGTGAGAATGCAAAAGCTCCTGTATTTCCTCTGGGGAAGTGAAAGGCTCTTGTCTTATGCTAATATCTCTTAATTTCACAGAGAAACAAGATGGTCATTGCAATTAAGATTTTTTCCTTAGGAGCTGTTGAGATGTGATGGCATGTTGTTGTATAGTCAGCAGTATTCATGAGTGGACTTGAGGAGTTGGGCAGAAGAATATTAAATTTGATGTCTGATACAATTTGAATGTGTGTCCCTGCCTAAATCTCATATTGAAATATAATCCTCAATGTTGGAAGTGTGGCCTAGTGGAGATGATTGGATTATGGGGGTGGACTTGCCATTAATGGTTTAGCACCATCCTCCGTGGTACTGTCCTAATGACAGTGAGTGAGTCCTTGTGAGATCTGGTTGTATAGAAGTGTGTAGCACCTCCCCCCTTGTTCTCTTGCTCTTGCTTTCACCATGTGATTTGCAAGCCTCTGCTTTGTCTTCCCCCATGATTGTAAGCTTCCAGAGCACTCTCCAGAAGCAGATGCCAGTATCATGTTTCCTGTACAGCCTGCAGAACCATGAAGCAATTAAACCTCTTTTCTTTATAAGTTACCCAGTTTCAGGTATTTCTTTATAGCAATGCAAGAAAAGCCTAACAGAAAGTTGGTACTGACGAGTGGGGCATTGCTATAAAGATACCTGAAAATATGGACGCAGCTTTGGAACTGAGTAACAGGCAGAGGTTGGAAGAGTTTGGAGGGCACAGAAGACAGGAAGACAAAGGAAAATTTGGAATATCTTAGAGACTTAAATGATTGTGACCAAAACGCTAATAGAAATATAGACAGTGAAGGCCAGCTGATGAGATCTCAGATGGAAATGAAGAGCTTATCAGGAATTGGAGCAAAGGTCACACATGTTAGGCCTTAGCAAAGAGCTTGGCTGCACTGTGTTCATGCCCTACGGATCTGTGGAAATTTGAACTTGAGAGTGATGATTCTGGTATCTGGTGAAGAAATTTCCAAGCAGCATAGTGTTGTACAGTTTAGCTGCACAATAACTGGTCAGCAGCACCTGGTAAGATCCTTGCTATGAGGCTCAAGAGAGTCCATTAGATGATGTCTTTTCCAATAGACGTCGTCCCTTGGCTGGAGATCATGATACTTAAGATCCTCATCTGCTGGAAGAGCCCTGTAAAAAGTCTTTTATCAATTTAGGTTTTTGGAAGAGAAGTTCAGTTAATCCTTGACAGTAACAAAGTTTGGTTCATATAATCCTCCATAATCAACAAGTTTGGTTCATATAATCTTCCATCCAATCTCATAGGTCAACTGGTAATTATCTTATGTGGGGATAATTGATGTTTTCCAAAAGAAGTTGCTCTTAGTTTAAGCAAAATTAATGGAAAAGCCTAGGGCCAAGCAATATGAAAATCTTCTCTTAATTTTTTCAACTGAGATTTTATTATTCTGTTTGTTCATTCCACTAATCCAGAGGACTGGGGATGGTATGCCCAATGAAAATGTTGGAAAATGGACCAGATTTTACAAATTGAATGGACTATCACTCTTGCGAGTTTGTCTATTTCTACATAATTCAAAAGGAATTCTCCAGGAGAGAATTATTCTTTCCAATATTTTTCTATTGCTTGTGCTGTGGCTTTTCTGCAAGCAAATGCTTCAACCCAATTAGAAGGCAAGCAAATCATAACCTGTACATATTTATAGCCTTGGGTTGGAGATAATTGGATAAAATCCATTTGCCAAATAATAGAAGGTCCAGTGGGCAAAGAAAATTACCCTTGAGATCATAAAGAGGCTTCCCTGGGTTATATTTCGGACAAATTGGATATTTTTCATAAAACTTATGAGCTACTGTGGGTTAAGGGTTTTCAGTATTATTGTTTTTCCCAAGCAATCATTTTATCAAGTCCCCAGTGAATGAGCTCATGTTTGTACTATAACATAGATAATTGAAATCCCATAGGTTAAAATAGGTCTGTCATTGAGTCCATACCATAAGTTACAAGCAGGTGAGGGGCACCTCCCACACGCTTGGTTAGCCATATCTGTTTTTCCTCTTTGAGGCCTTTTATTTGTTTGTTGTTGCTGTTGTTGTTGAGACAGAGTCTCACTCTGTCACCCAGGCTGGAGTGTAAGGCCTTTTCTTAAGCCTCTTGGTGCTCCTTCTTGATAGAGCTTATTTTAAACATAGCTACCTCTATAGTTTATCCAATAATTGGTGTGAAAGTGGCCCTTTTTGGCTGCTGCATCAGCAAAGTATTTTCCTTTATTCTCTGGAGAGTCAAATTAGGAATGTTCAGGAATCTTAACAATAGCCCTTTTTACTTTTTTGGTAATTGGATGGCTTCCAGCATGTCAGAAACCAGAGAGCCGTGTTTGATGGGTTGTCTAGAGGAGGTTAAATATCCTTGTTGTTTCCATAACTTCCAAAGTCATAAACTACACCAAAAGAATAATGGCTGTGAGTATAAATATTAGCTGTTTGATTTTTACCAATTGACATACTCTGGTGAGTGCTATTAACTAAGTTAACTGTGATGATTTTACTTAGGGTAAGGGATTGCCCTCTGTGATATTCACCAGGGACACAATGGCATAACCTGCCTGGTATTCCCCAGATTCACCCCTTAGATATGGTCCAGTGAATCAGATAACGTCAGCATTTTCCAGTGGTGTTTCCTATCCTGCCTTGGCATCAAAAGCTCATCTGTTAGTTAAATATAGTCATGAGATATTTAATCAGATGCTTCAGGAAGTTATGTTGCAGGATTATGAGTATTATAACAAGAGATGGTAATATATGAAGCAGAGAACAAAAGCACTTCATAAGTAGCCAATCTGTTGGCAGAAAAGTGTTGTGTATGATGTGAATTCAAAAAATGTCTACAAAATGAGGTACATACATACTCAGGGAAGCCTTCATTACAATTTCCTGCGTGGCTATAACAAACAAGACAATGGCTGATACAGCTTTCATGGAAGTGGTCAACCCTCATGCTACAGAGTAATTGATGACTATAATAACAGTTAGGTCTGTATTGTTCTCTGTGTTTTGGGGTTAGAACACCCAGAATGCTGCCAGGGCTCTCAGGAACAAAAAGAGAAAATGGCAGTTAATAATTTGGATGGCCTACAGCAGGGTGTCTCATAAGATTTTCTTCTATTTCTTAAATAATTTGTCCTTTCATTGTCCAGTATAATAGATCAGGTCAATCTTCCTTTAACAATGCATATAAAGGCTGTGTCATGAGAGAAAAATTGGAGATTCAGCTACAGCAGTAGTCAGCAAAACCTAAAAACTGCCTTAGCTGTCTTAGTTTTTGGAGTGAGGTATGCAGGAATTCCAGTTTTAGTCACTTAGTCTGGATTTATATGTAGTCCATCCTTAGAAATAAAAAGTCTCAAATACTTTACTTCTGTTAAGCAAAATTTGAGTTTCTCTTTGGATACCTTATGACCTCCTTTTTTGCTAATTGTCCCAGCAATTACAGGAAATCATTTTAACAATCTTGCAGGTTGGTAGAGCACAACAAGGAATCATCTACATACTGAAACAAAGTGAAATTTCTTTCAAAATTTAGTTTAGTCAGTTCAGCCCTTAATATTTGCAAAAAATGAGTTGGATTTTTGGTGTAACCTTGAGGCATAATGATTTAGGTATATTGATGCCGTCCCAGGTAAAGGCAAACAAATATTGACTGTCAGAGTCTACTGGTATACTGAAAAAGGCACTACATAAATTAATTACCATGACATGTTCACTGCTTACAGGTATATCGGATAAAAGATTTTAATGGATTGGAATTACTTGGTAATTGAGGATTCATGATATTGTTAATGGCTCTCAAATCTGTACACATCTCTATCCTTTTCCATTAGGTTTTCATACCAGGAAGATGGAAGTATTGTAAGAACTAGTGCAAGAGATATTCAGTCCTTTATCAATGAAATCTTTGATCATTCATTTTATTCCTAATGATACAAGGGATAGTCCACCCTGTATTTATTTTTTATTTTTTTGAGACGGAGTTTTGCTCTTGTTGCCCAGGCTGGAGTGCAATGGCGCGATCTCGGCTCACAGCAACCTCCGCCTCCCGGGTTCAAGCCATTCTCCTGCCTCAGCCTCCGGAGTAGCTGGGATTACGGGCATGCGCCACCATGCCTGGCTAATATTGTATTTTTAGTAGAGACAGGGGTTCTCCATGTTGGTCAGTCTGGTCTCGAACTCCAGACCTCAGGTGATCCACCCGCCTTGGCCTCCCAAAGTGCTGGGATTACAGGCGTGAGCCACTGCGCCCGGCCAGTCCACCCTTTATTAATGAAATTGTTGATCATTAATTTTATTCCTATTGTAGCTTCCTGTTTTAATTAATATTGTTTTATATTAAGAAGTGGTTTATTTGTATCCACCTGTATCCATATTGGGGTGGTTGTTAAATTTTTCCTTATATCAGTAGAAAATTAGGACCATAAATAGTTAGGGATTTGGCTTAAAGAGGCATCGAGTACTTGTCCTGCCTTAATACTTGATGGTTAAATTTGAATGATCATATGATACACATTTTCTGGTCTATCATTTTTTAGTCAATCCTGTTTCAGTCCTTTCCAAAAAATTTCACCTCTTTTAGAGAAGGAACTATAAACACTATAAAAACTTCTGGAAAGTCTCTTTCTATAAAATGTATTGACGTGGAAGGCACCAAAATGAAAGAATAATGTCCATGTAAATTTCCTTACTGGAAAGGCAAAAGTTCTGATTTGTATATAGTCATTGGTTAATTAGATTAGATACTCCTACCATTTGAATTGTTTGATTACTCCAAGGAAGAGCATTCTTTAAAAAGCAAGGTTCACAATATTCAGTATGTACCACATCCCAATTTGTTTGGTGTAATTTAACTATTTCAGCCAATTGTTCATCCAATCCATTGAGGAAAATTGAATTTAGTAAGGAATTGTTCTGATGATCCCTAGACTTTCCTCATTCATTCCTGAATATTGTTTAAATACCTTTCCAAATCTTTTGAAATAGTCCAACACCATTTCATTTGGCTTTTTCCTACACTGTTGGACCTTATGCCAGTCAGTGGTCTTAGGAAATATCTGAGGAATTACTTGTGCTAAACGATTTCCTAATTCTCAAGTGTTCTCTATGTCTTTGGCTGTTTGCCTATGAAAGTCTGTTAGTGGATCTTTCCAGTCAACCTTTGATATCCATTCCTTTGCTTTTCTTTCAGGTACCAACATGTGAACCAACTGACACATATCTGAATAGCCAGGTTCATAAATTCTTACAGTTAGACTAAACCTGAGTAGGATCTGGAGTTGTTTTAGTCAGAGGTCTAAGTTCTCTGATAGTCTAGGGAGTATACACTACTGCAGGTTATTTCATTGGATTAGACTTTTCTCCAAAGGGTTCTGTTAAAACTTCTGTAGCTAATGGGGAAGGGAATAAAGGAGCATCTGAGAAAGGCAGTTCTGGGAGCAAAGGATAAGAGGGTTTTGGAGGAGCAGTAGCAGAAGGAGTGGTAGGAGGAGGAGATGAGACAGTGGAGACTTCTGACAATTTCTCCAGTTGAGAAATGATTGCGGATATTGTGGTTTACCTCCTGTATGAAAGCAATTTTATCATTCTCCTGTTTAAAGCATTCTAAATGCCATTTGAAATAACTATCGTATTCTTTCTGCTTAATTCTTGAGTTGGCGCTTTTCAATTGTGCATGTAAATAAACCAGTTTTGGGATCTTGAATCATCCCCATTTTGGCAAAATTAAATGAATTTCATTCTCAGTATTGTTGGTCCAATTAATGAAAAATTTACAAGATATGGTACCATGACTTTTAGTAATAAATTCACCTGCTGTCTTGGGAGGTGAGGTCCTCCTTCAATTTTAAATGTCTTATTTCCTGTGGTTCTCATTCTTCCTTCCTTCCTTTGCACCAAACTAAGTATGTGTTTATGGTTGAAGCTGTGCTGCCTGTGATCATCAGTCCTAAGGCTCTCACCCCCAAGTTGATCAGCCCTCTTGCATGTCTTGGGAAGGCTCACCTGCCAATGAAGACAGTGAAGGTGCTCCAAATGCTAGGCGACCAACCCTTTATGAGCATCACTTGGAGACATGTCAGCATGTTAATGTCCTTCTACTTACGATGGAACCCTATAGGACTGCCGCAGGTCAGCAGGGGTCCCCTCCAGCACCTCCACAAGATTCTTAGCCATCTACAAACACCCGAGATTCAGGCTATCAGGATCAATGTGGCAGACAACAGGGGTTTGGAAAGTGAAACATTTAGTGATCAAAGAAACCACCACTCTAACCATAGCCATGCTTGGTCAACCTTCCTTTTTCTTTCCTTTCTTCCTAGCAATTTAGAACAAAGCAGTAACAACCCTAAGAAGAATTTAGCAAACCCAGGATATAACTGCTCCTTTTAGTGGCCCTAAAAACAGCTCAGAATAAAGTAAATCTTGACCTCTACTGAAAAAAGCAAGGTCTGAATCCCAGGCAACTCACCATATACACCTAGTGGCTTCCTGGAGAGAATTGGTTAGAACACATTGGGTTTGTTCTGGTACCAAGCTCCAAGCCCAAGAGAACAAGTCCTCCGTGTCCATGGATCTTGCTGGAATCCCACTGACTACTCCATCTGTTGACCAAAAGGCTGTATAACAGGCACTAACTTAAATTTAAAGTGAGTTTTATTCAGAGCCAAGCTTAAGGACTAGTAGCCTGGAACGCAGACTCTGTGCAAACTGAGAATGTATCCCTGAGTAGGCCACACAAGACACAGCAGTTACATGTACTGTTACATAGAAATGGGAGAAGCAGATAGTGAAGCAAAGGTAACATTTTTACAACCTTGATTGGTGCTCAGTGACATTGTACGTAAGAGAAAGGAGAAATATGCTAACATATATAGGGTAAAAGGTTAACGAGCATTTTGATGTCTTTCTGTCTGGTGAAGGATGATTGATTCTACTCTGCTTTTGTGCTTCATTTGATAGTCAAGATTGTAACCAGTACATGTCAGTGAACTATCTGACGGACTCCAGCCTTGCAGGCAGGAATTCCTTTTTAGCTGATAGGCCTACTTTCATTACCCATATGCCCAACCTGCAGCCATGTTGGGCCTCTTCTAAAATTTTTCCTTCAGATTTTCCTTTTTCTGACAGTGTCAAGGAGAAAAAAATAATGATCATAGGAGTGGAGTATGAATCATCAGCAGAAGTGGTAGTTTGTAAAGTCAGATTACTCAGGGAAGTTCTCCAGAGAAGGTGACACTTTAACTCTTGAAGGGAGTGAGGGCCAGCCATGAAAGCATTGCAGGGAGAGTGTTCTAAGCAGAGGGAGTGGCGAGTGCACAGGCAGGTATGGGGCTTTGTGTGTGGGCAAAACCCCAGAGGACCATGTGACTGGCACAGGGCAAGCAAGTGCATGCAGCTGGAGATGATGTCAGCAAGTTTACAAGGTTAAAGCCAGGAAAGCCTTTGACTTTGTCTCTGAGTTGAGTTTGGAGCAGAGGAATGATATGGCCTGGTGTGTGTTATAAGAGCTTCCCTTTGTTACTTCAGCTCAGATCCATGTTCTTGGCTCTCTTGTAAACATAACACCAGGCCAAACATAATTTTTTCCCAGGCAAGGTATAATAGGCTTGCTGCTCAAGTAATTGCAAGCGAGCTGTGTAAGGGAAAGAGATCCCAGTGCTAGTTCCCGGATGGGCTTGGCCCTTGTCATTTTAAGGAAGTTGAGGTGGAATAAGACATGAAGTAACAAGTCTAACATGCATTGCATGAAGGAAATGGCAGATGAGCTTGCTTTGGGTGGAGATTTTAATATTATAATGCAATTATAATGAAGAAAAAGTTACTGAAAGGTCAGCTCTGAAGTTCTTCTTGTCCTCAGGCATCTGGATCTGATCAGTTTCTTATCAGGAATGCCAGTCTTGCTTCAGTGACTTTGGAAGGCATCACTCAAAGAGGTAAATGGTTAGGTTCCTTCTTTTACAGTTAGGAATTCAGCCTGGTCAGCTAAGTTAGGAGAGGACTGTCTTCCTGCTACGTAACTTGTGTCACCATGTGAAGGGAGGAAAAAAGGTAGGGGAGGAAATATACCCAGACATGTAATGTCCATCAAGACTTTGGTTACTGTGTCACTTGTCTGCCAGGATGGAGTCTCTTCCCTATGCTGCGTCAACTCTGATCTCTATTGAGGGGCTACTATAGAGGAATGGGACAGAATCCAGGAGACCTGCTTGACATAGGCAAGACAATGGTGGTTTGTACCAGGTAGTTGCAATTAAGGTGGTGAAAAGCATTCAGATACTGAATATATTTGAAAGGTTGAGTGGAAAGGGTTTTTGAACTGATGAATTAGATATGTTGATGAAAAGAGTCCAAACTCCATAAAATATTTGAAGATATTTATACTGAGCCAAATATGAGTTACCATGGCCCATGACAAAGCCCTTAGGAGGTCCTGAGAACATGTGCTCAAAGTGGTTGGAGTGCAGCCTGGTTTTATACATTTTAGGGAGATATGCAACTTCAGATACATTTAAGAAATACATTGGTTTGGTTCAGAAAGGAGGGACAACTTTAAGTGGGGATGGGAGTGTGGTTCCAGCTTATAGGTAGTTTTAAAAACTTTCCGGGTCAGGCATGATGGCTCAAGCCTGTAATCCCAGGGCTTTGGGAGGCTAAGGCATGTGGATCACCTGAGGTCAGGAGTTTGAGCCTAGCTTGACCAACATGGCTGTATTAGTCCATTTTCATCCTGCTGATAAAGACATACCTGAGACTGGGAAGAAAAAAGGTTTTATGGACTTACAGTTCCACATGGCTTGGGATGCCTCACAATCATGGTGGAAGATGAAAGGCACGTCTCACATGGCGGCAGATGAGAAGAGAGAGCTTGTGCAGGGAAACTCCCCCTTACATAGTCATCAGATCTCACGAGACTTATTCACTATCACAAGAACAGCACAGGAAAGACCTGCCCCCATGATTCAATTACCTTCCACCAGGTCCCTCCCACAACATGTGGGAATTCAAGATAATCTTTGGGTAGGGACACAGCCAAAGAATATCATTCCACCTCTGGTCCTTCCCAAATCTCATGTTCTCACATTTCAAAACCAATCATGCCTTCTCAACAGTCCCCCAAAGTCTTAACTAATTTCAGCACTAACTCAAAAGTCCATAGTCCAAAGTCTCATCCAAGACTAGGTAAGTCTCTTCTGTTTATGAGTCTATAAAATCAAAAGCAAGTTAGTTACTTCCTAGATACAATGGGGGTACAGGCATTGGGTAAATACACCCATTCCAAATGGGAGAAATTGGCCAAAACAAAAAGGCTGCAGGACCCATGCAAGTTCAAAATCCAGCGGGGCAGTCAAATCTTATAGCTCCAAAATAATTTCCTTTGACTCCATGTCTCACGTCCAGGTCATGCTGATGCAAGAGGTGGGCTTCCACAGCTTTGGGCAGCTACGCCCCTGTGGCTTTGCAGAGTACGGCTCCCTCCTGACTGCTTTCATGGGCTGGCATTGAGTGTCTGTGGCTTTTCCAGGCACACAGTGCAAGCTGTTAATGGATCTATCATTCTGGGGTCTGGAGGACAGTGGCCCTTTTCTTACAGGCTCACTAGGTGATGCCCCAGTAGGGACTTTGTGTGAGGGCTCTGACCCCACATTTCCCTTCTGCACTGCCCAAGCAGAGGTTCTCCATGAGAGTCCTGCCCATGCAGCAAACTCCTGCCTGGACATCCACGCATTTCCATACATCTGAAATCTAGGAAGAGGTTCCCAAAACTCAATTATTGACTTCTGTACACTCACAGGCTCAACACCACATGGAAGCTGCCAAGGCTTGGGACTTGCACCCTCTGAAGCCACAGCTTGAGCTGCACCTTGACTCCTTTTAGTGATGGCTGGAGCAGCTGGGATGCAGGAAACCAAGTCCCTAGACTGTACACAGCACAGGGACCCTGGGCCTGACCCATGAAACCATTTTTTCCTCCTAGGCCTCCAGGCCTTTGATGAGAGGGGCTGCCATGAAGACCTTTGACATGCCCTGGAGACATTTTCCCCATTGTCTTGTGTATTAACATTCAGCTCCTCTTTACTTATGCAAATTTCTGCAGCCAGTTCAAATTTCTCCTCAGAAAATGGAATTTTCTTTTCTATGACATTGTCAGGCTGCAAATGTTCTGAACTTTTATGTTCTGCTTCCCATGTAAAACTGAATGCCTTTAACACACCCAAGTCACCTCTTAAATGCTTTGCTGCTTAGAAATTTCTTATGCCAGGTACCCTAAGTCATCTCTCTCAAGTTCGGAGTTCCACGATTTTCTAGGGCAGGGGCAAAATGCTGCCAGTCTCTTTGCTAAAACATAACAAGAGTCACCTTTGCTCTGGTTCCCAAGAAGTTCCTCATCTCTATCTGAGACCACCTCAGCCTGGACCTTGATCATATCCCGATCAGCATTTTTGTCAAAGGCATTCAACAAGTCTCTAGGAAGTTCCAAACTTTCCCATATTTTCCTGTATTCTTCTGAGCCCTCCGAACTGTTCCATCCTCTGCCTGTTACCCAGTTCCAAAGTCGCTTCCACATTTCCAGGTATCTTTTCAGCAACACCCCACTCCTGGTACCAAATTACTGTATTAGTTCATTTTCATGCTGCTGATAAAGACATACCTGAGACTGGGAAGAAAAAAGGTTTAATGGACTTACCGTTCCATGTGGCTGGGGATGTTACAATCATGACAGAAGGTGAAAGGCATGTCTCACATGGTGGCAGACTAGAGGATAGAGCTTATCCAGGGAAACTCCCCCTTATATAATCATCAGATCTTATGAAACTTATTCACTGCCACAATAACAGCACAGGAAAGACCTGCCCCCATGATTCAATTACCTCCCACAAGGTCCCTCCCACAATACTTGAGAATTCAAGATGAGATTTGGGTGGGGACACAGCCAAACCATATCAATGGAAATACCCTGTCTCTCCTAAAAATACAAAAATTATCTGGACATAATGGCACACACCTGTAGTCCCAGCTACTTAGGGGGCTGAAGCAGGAGATTCTCTTGAACCTGGGAGGCAGAGGTTGCAGTAAGCTGAGACCACACCACTGCACTCCAGCCTGGGTGACAGAGTGAGACTCTGTCTTAAAAGAAAATAGTAATAATAATAATTTGCTGGTTGACAATTGGTTGAGTTTACCTAAAGTACTGGGATCAATAGAAAGGAAATGTCTGGGTCAAGATAAAGGATTGTGGAGACCAAAGTTCTTATTTGCAGAGGAAGCCTTTACATAATAGGCTTCTGAGAGAATATATTGTAAAATGTTTCTTATCAGACTTACAGTCTGTGTTATGTTAATGCCACAGAGGTAAAATGAGGCATGTGCAACCCCCATTTCCCATCATGTCATGGCTGGAAACAGTTTCTCAGGTTAAATTTTAATAGATCCCTGGCTGACAAGGAAGTCCATTCAGATGGTTGGGAGTCCTTAGAATTTTGATTTTGGTCTATAGATAAGCAGTAAGATAGAAAGAGAATAGTTTAGGATTAATCTGTTGGGGTTCAGAAAATGATTCCCCAAAGTATGCCACTTGGGCTGAGTACTTCTGAAAACTGTAAGGCCTCAGAAATAAGCCTCAGAATCAAGGTCCCTCTAACCTTGTCTTGTTGTTCCTCCTCACCCCCATGCACAAGGAGGGACTCTTTCTAAAATTTTCTTATATGACCAAGAAAGCTTATTACCAAAAGAAACACAATTTCCTTCCATTCACTCCCTGTTACTTCATTATCTATTGCAGAAAAGAGGATTGAATTCTTCAATCACACCTGGATGGACTTTTCCACAAGATAATGCCTGCATGTCAGGCTCATTCAAATTCCAAAGAGAGTCATTTGTAAGTTAATTTTTGTCTCCCTGGTCCATTCATTCTCCCTAATAATCAGTTACTGCCCCTCAAAAGAATTGTCTATATTCCCCTCTCCTCCCTCCCCTATGAAAAAGGTATATAAGCTTCTGTACTCCACTGGGGCTTAGGGAAATCACTCTGTCATTCTCCCTCACACACACTAAAAAAATTGTATGCCATTTCTTCTGTTAATCTCCTTTTGTCAGTTGATTTTTCAGCAAACTTTCAGAGGATATAGGAGAAGTTTTTCTTTGGCCCCTACAGATTCAAGTGTTTTAGCCTGAACCAACAGCTAGAAGGATAGAATTGGTATTAACTGAGATGCAGAAGACTGTAAGAGGAATACATTTTTGGTTTTTTTTGGAGCTTACAAAAGTGTAAACAAAAAATAACATTCTAAGCCCCCAACAGATCAAATGGACCCTTCTCTGGGGCAAGAACATTTTAAAGTAAACTGAAAAACTAGTTCAGGCCATGGTGGGAGGTGGGGGGTTGGACATCGCTCATATATCCTCCTCCCTTTGGAATTCGGGCGCAACTGACCAACATTAATATTAAAACAGAGATCTTAACACTGACCAAATAGACTCTTTGTGGCAATGTGATACACAAAATGGCAGGTAGTATTCCCTGAATGAAATTGAAGTATTTTATCCTGAAATATATTTCTTTGATGTATTTTAAAATGGCCCTGCAAAGTTGTCATTTTTCCAGAAAATCTACTTTCTGTAGAGAATATGCTTCCCTTTCCAGGTATTTTCCTGATCAAGGAGAGACTAAGAATCCGGCACCAATTTAATGTCTGATAACTAACATCTACCATCTATTCTTTCTGAAGCCTGCTACGTGGAGGCTTCATCTGCAAAAATAAGAACCTTGGTCTTCATAACCCTTTATCTTAACCCAGACATCCCTTTCTATTAATTCCAAATCTTTAGACAATAAGCTAACTCCTTCAACCAATTGCCAATCAGAAAATCTCTGAATTCACCCAGGACTTGGAAGCCCTGGCTGCAAGTTGTCCTGCCTTTCTGGATTCAGCCAGTCTATACGTTTCATGTATTGCATGATGTCTGCTTGTAACTTACATCCCCTTAAAATGTATGTAATCAAGTTGTAATCCAACCCTCTTGGACACATATCCTCAGGATTTTCTGAGGCTGTGTTATGGGCATGTTCTTAACCTTGACAACATAAATTTCTAAATTGATTGAGGCTGTCTCAGATAATTGTGGTTTACAGGAGGGAAGAGTAAAGGGAAATAAAGAGCCCAATTCTATACATTTTGGATTTGAGATGTTTGTTAGACATCCAAATGTACATGTATGTCAAGTAGGTAATTGGATATATACTTCTGAAGCTAAGAGAATGCACCTGAGCTGGAGAAAACAGGGAAGGAGATCAAACAGGAGTAGAAATAGAAATAGGAGGGGATTTAGGAGGTAGTGGTATCCTGCAAGTCATGTTACAAAAGAGTTTCACGTGTAGTGGTGAAGGGAAAGCTTCTCTTTTGCCTTGGGAAGGTTTGCTGAAAAATCAAGTGACAAAAGGCAGATTAATAGGAGAAATGTCATACAAATGTATTAATGTGCACAGAAGAGAATTACAAAATAATTGCTCCACCCCTTCCATAGGGTTCAGAAGGTTATATACCATTTTGAGTGACAGAAAGAAGCAGGGCTTGAATCCTCACAAAACAGGTTATGGGAGAGGGAGAAGAGGGGACCTGGCTAGCAAAGGTGGTCTCGCTAAGTAGACGAAATCTCAAAGGCAGTAGCTCTCAGAGAGAATAGATGGTGAATGTTTTTTTCAAACCTTTGAATGTGTCAGAGTCTCAGTTAATCTTTCCTAGATAGGACAAGGGAAGGCCCTCAGAGAAAGCCTGACTGAGGCTAGTTGTGGTGGCTCACACCTATAATCCCAGCACTTTGGGAGGCTGAAGCTGAGAGGATCACTTGAGGCCAGGACTTTGAAACCACCCTGGGCAACATAGTGAGACCCTGTCTCCACAAAAAAAAAAAAAAATAAAAAATAAAAAAAATAAAAAATAAATAAATAAATAAATAAATTGGCATGGTGGCACATGCCTGTAGTCTCAGCTACTTGGGAGGCTGAAGTGGGAGGATTGTTTAAGCCCAGGAGGTGGGGGCTGCACTGAGCCATGATTGTGCCATTGCACTCCAAACTGAGTAACAAGATAAAGACTCTGAAAAAGAAGAAGAAAAAGAAAAGAAAGGCTGGCTGCATCAGTGCATTTATTATCTGCAGATGCAAATCTCCCCCACAAAAAGACAGTTTGCTGGATGAATTCTCTTGGCAGGCCATCTGAACAGCGATCTCAAAATATATCAAAGAAGTATATTTTGGGGTGAAATATTTTTATTTCCTTCACATGGAGGAGAAAATGATCACCTATCCCTAAGACTTAAACTGATCATTGGATTTAGCAATGTGGAAGGCCTCTGGCAACATTGACAGGCTGAGTTTTGGTGGAATATAGAGGGTTAAAGGAAACCAAAAATATTTCACCCCAAAATATACAAGTTTGACATATTTCAAGAGGCATATTCAAAGGGCTTGCAGACAGGAATAGCCCTAAAAAGCTGTCTTTCGTGGAGAAGATTTGCATCTGTAAAGAAAATCTGCATTGGTGAAATTATCAGCCAAGCTTTGTTTGAGCCTCCTTTCCCTTGTCCCAATCTAAGAAAAATTTACTCAACCAGGAGCTACCATCTACTTTTTTCTGAATACTGCTACCTGTGAGGTTTCATCTACGTAACAAGACCACTTTTGCCCCATGCCTTTCATTTTCCCTGGATAACCTGTCTTGTCTTGCCACACTCCAAGGCCCTGTTATTTCTGTAACCCCAAGATGATATAAAAGTGTCAAGCATCTGGCCCTTCCTTTGGGTTTTCATATTTTGCATGACTTCTGCACACACGTGTGTGCGTTAATAAATTTTGTATGCATTTTCTCCTATGAATCTATCTTTTGTCAGTTGATTTTCAATAGCCTTCAGAGGATGAAGGAAAGTTTTCTCTTGGTCTCTATAGGGTAAAGGTATTTTTGGAGAGGGTTCAAGAAAGAACAGGAGGAGAAAAAATAGAGGCAACTCTTTTAAGGAGTTTCACTCTAAAGGAAAGGAGAGAAATGGGGGATTGCTGGAGGAGTAAGAGGAAAGACAGATTACTATGTATTTTTTTATGATGTGACTAGAATAATGATCAAGTAGAGAAGGAAAAACTGATGATGAAGGGAAGAAGGTAGAATTGCTTAGAGCAGTTATCTTGAGTAGATGAGTGGGACTGGAATGTAAGGTTCAGGGAGCCTTAGCTAGGAGCATAGAAGGTACAATCCAATTACAGGAGAAAAGGTAGATCATGTGGATCCAGATATAGGTAGAAGTGTCTATACATAGTAATGGGAGCTATGAGTAGAAACATACTTAACAAGGTATTTTGGTGTGGTAACTTATGCCAATGTTATGTTTTCTGGGAAATGTTAAAATTTCTGAGAAAAGTTAGTCTTGCACATTATTCAAAGTGTTTTAATAGTCTTTTTGGAAAGGAAATAACCAATAACTGAATATAAGACACTCAGCAAATGTCAAGGGTTTTATAGTGAAACATTTTTCAAAATTTTTTATTTCTATGTGTAAAGATTTTAAAGCATCTTTCCATTTAGAAAACCCAGACAGTATCTCATAATATGATAATTCTGTAGTCAGTATTCTTTGCTTTGAGCGTAAAGGTCAGTTGCATGGAAAAATGTTTTCCGTAGACGCTTTAGTGAAAAATACAAACTAACACATTAGGCTTATATAAATATTTTCCCCTCACATTTATTTATTTATTTTTGCTAACAAAACTCAGACAACACACACACAACCAAAGTTCCCCTTTACCATCATCTGCTGGTCCAGTTTCTTTTCCAGAGATAACAACGGCAAAGCTCTTTTGTTTTGAAGAAGACATATTCTTCTGGTCATTTGCCCATGTCGTTGCACAATACATGTTTATGGTGTACATAACTGTACCTATAAAAATATAGAGTTTTTGTATTCTTTTTAAGTTGGCACCATATATTATATATTGTTCTTCAACTTTGATCACTTGACTGGAAAATCCTGTCTTGGAAGTCTTCCTATGTGAATTTATAGAGAACTATGCCAGTCTTTTCAACAGACTCTTAGAATTCCAGAGTAAGGAAATGTCATATTTTGTTTTAATTATACATCTTTTGGATGTCACATAAGTTGCACCCATAGTTTCCTGTTGCAAACAATGCTTGTCATAATCCCATTAAATAAACCTTACATAACCCTTATTGGGCACTTGTTCAAGGGTTTCTGTGAATATATACATAGATATTTTTACAGATGGGGTCTTGATATATAGCCCAGGCTGGTTTTGAACTCCTAGCCTCAAGCAATCCTTCTACCACATCCTCTTAAAGTGGGAGATAATTGAATCATGGGAGTGTGTTTTTCCCATACTGTTCTCATGGTAGTGAATAAGTCTCACAAGATCTGATGGTTTTATAAGTGGGAGTTCCCCTGAACAAGCTCTCTTGCCTACAGCCATGTAAGATGTGACTTTGTTCTTCCTTCACTTCTGCCATGATTGTGAGGCCTCCCCAGCCATGTGGAACTGTGAGTCAATTAAACGTCTTTCTTGTATAAATTACCCAATCTTGGGTATGTCTTCATTAGCAGCCTGAGAACAGACTAATACAACATGCTTTCATTTCTCTTGAGTAAATACCTGGGAATGGAACTACTAGGCCATATGGTAAGCATACTCTACCAAAACTGATTAATCACATTAATAGGTTGCCATACATATTTTAGTCTGAGTTCTGCAGTGTTGCATGGGACTGTATATTGTCTTATGTTTTCTAATTGCTTACTTAAGTCCTGCCACCTCTCTAAGTCATAAATTTTAGGATGATAAGAGCCACAAATTATTATTTATTTCTTTTTACCATTTTGTTGCTGGAAATATAAAACACAGGGCTCCAGGCATCTAATAAATACTTGTTAGGTTATTATTATGTTTTTATTAATAATACTCCATTTAACACAATGACCCTAAGTTTCAGTCCTCTTTGAGATTAATTTGTAAAGTTGAGATTCACATTGAGTGCACTTCAGGTGGACATAAATTGCAACAGACTCCTTCTTTTCCTTCTGGGTGAATATGTGACTTAGTAGAGCCACCTGGATCATCCTGAGACTCTTGTTGGAACATAAGGAAACAAGTTTCATGTTCCACTGGAGTTGTAAAGTGAAAGGAAAGCAAGCTAGGGTTGCTATTGGTATCTTTGCTACTTGAAGAGACTCTACCCAAAAATAAACTCATCACAGAGGAAAGAGACAAATTTGTAATGACATATTGAGGCACTGATCAAAACATGCCATCAAAAGCCAGCAGTACCTCTCTCCAAACTTTCCATAGCTCATGTGTTTGAAATGAGTTTTATAAGTTGTTTTTGCAATAGTCCTATCTCATAAATTATAATACCTTAGTAGCACCAGTTCCAAATTAGCCATCTACCATTTTAACAGTGAGACATAGCCAATAGATATTTTAGTATCTATCTATCTATCATCTCTCTGAAAGATACTACAGTTATACCGCTGTATACCTAAAACTACTTCTAAAACTGCATTTGACTTGGCTAGTCAATATTTAAAAGTATCAGAAAGTAGGTTTTTAATAAATTAAAACCTGATATTAAAATTTACAGAAAAAGTGTTCAAGCATTATTGCTGTAGTGACACATAATTACAGTGATCTTACATGACAGCACCATTACTGCTGAACAATGTTATAATTCTAGCATGATTGTTGGCTTGTATTTGCCAAATAATTGCTTCAATTATCTGCTTCATATTGACCATAAAGTCTTAACCAGGACATTTATTTTTGCTTCCTGCCTGAGTCACTACTTGGTGATTCCATAGTCACAACCTTACCTTCATGTTGAAGTGTTGGTAAGACTTAGATAATAAATTTTCATCATTATTGTGGCTGAATCATCACTCCATCTATGCTAAGTAATTCTATGGAAACAGTGTAACTGTATTGTTGGGCAGAGAGAGGCTTTCTCATGTAGGGCAGTTATAATTACCTGTTGCCATAGTGACAATGGATGGACAGAGGAGATCTTTCTCAGGTGCTTATTGCTTTCCGGGAAAATTTCCATCAGATTTGATCATTGTCAATGCTGGGGATTTTCCCCAGGTTAAAGGAAAAAAACCTGTCATATTATCAGTTAAAATGGTGTGGCTGGGGGAGAGCTTAGTCCACATCAGTTGCTATAGTAATCTTAGTAGCACATTTGAAATCTGAGTAAAGGTGGCAAAATTAGAGTTAGATCATCCAACAGGAGATGACATTTAAACTCGTAACTCTACAGTATTTTGGAAAAGGAGAGATGGCAATTTCAGGGCCTCCAAATGCCCTTATTTGATTTATTCATATTTGAAAAGTATTTGTGTAACATCTACTTATACATTTACCTCATTTGTCTTAACCCTGTGAGAATTTTTCACATGTGCAACAACATGCATGAATCTCTGAACTATTATATTGAGAAAATGGAGCCAAAGCCAAAGGGCATGAGTAGAATGATTTCATTTATATGAATTTTAACTATAGGCAAAAATAATTTATGGTGATGAAAGTCACACGTTTATACTTTTCTACATTGTTTCTCAACTTATAGGAAAAAGAACTATAAGAGGCTTAAAACCCTACAGTCAGCTTTCAGCTCTGCTATTCACTAGCTGGGAGACCTTAGGTAAATTTCAGTTCTTTCATTTCTAAAATGAAGGCCCTTTCCATCTTTAAGTTTTGTAAGTATTATCTGAAAAACTCCTCTCCCTATCCTTTCCAGGAGGTAGGATTGACGGGAAGCAGGCCAAGGAACTTTGTGGGTGATGGACATATTCCATATGTTAATTGGTGTGCTACTTAACACAGATGTACATACTTGCTAAAACACATTATGCTGTACATTTAAAATCTGTAAAGTTTACTGACAGTAAATGTGCAAGAAATGTAAAAAGAATAACTTTGAGATACTCTTATGACCCACATTTTATTCATGAGACAACTGGGACTCAGAAAATTGGAGTGATGATTTGCCCATGTTCTTCATGAGAGCTGGGAAACCTATCTTATCTCATGAAAGTTGCAATTTTATCTTTTCGAAGGTATCAAGATTTTCACCATAACATTGATTAAGAGCCTAATGCCTCTGTACTTAGTACATTAGTATATTAAAAGAGCTAACAAAATTGAAAAAAATAAGTTTCCCATATTCTGCTCTGTTTATTGCACATTTACATTTTACAGAGGTAACTAGAAATGAGTAACTATTTTTTTTTTCCCTGAAAAGCAAAGACAGAGGGTATCCAGCAGAGGAGGTCATGATTAGGCCATTTAATCAACAGTGTTTTGAGACATCTGCTGTGTAGAGAATTCCAATAGATGTTTTTCTTTAGTGAGGTGAAAAATCTGACATAACAGCTTTCACAGTCTGTGAAATAGAAACTAGAGAAGCACTCCCTAAATAAATCACCTGGTATGTTGTTAGAAACATAAATTCTGATTCAGTGGGTCTGAAGTGAGGCTGTTCATTTGCAATTTTAACAAATTCCCAGGCAATGTTGCTATTGCTGGTCCTTAGACCACACTCTGAGTAGCAAAGATGAGGTCATTACAGCTGAAGTGAAATCTGAAATTTACCTAAGTTCTCAAATGCAAATGGCAAGCTAAAACCAGAAATCATGATTATAAGACACTATAGCTTTTTCCCTTCATATAAATTAAAAAACAAAATGAGAGGGCATATAAATATAAATATGTGGGATCAGGGAGAAAATTTGTTGTGGCCATATATTTAAACTGGTTGTTTAGAATGATCTAAATACAAAAAAATTTGTTCCATTTTTTTTTCCTCCTTTGCTTGCTTATTTATTGTGTAGGGCTAATTCAACATTTGTGATTGTTGCAGTACCTCCTGGCTAAACTATGTTGGAAACTGATTTCATAGGGTTATGTTGTTACAATTCAAACAATATTTATTTTCAATTATTCTTCCTGGAATTCCCTTAGCAGTTGTATTTCAGGGTAGTTCAGCCTCCCACACAATATATATTACCATACATGTTTTACGAATGTTAAATGTGAGGCACACCATGCTTTTCAGTTTGCTGCTGCTTTAATAGCATTCTTTTTTTATTATTATTATTATACTTTAAGTTTTAGGGTACATGTGCATAATGTGCAGGTTAGTTACATATGTATACATGTGCCATACTGGTGTGCTGCACCCATTAACTTGTCATTTAGCATTAGATATATCTCCTAATGCTATCCCTCCCCCCTGCCCCCACCCCACAACAGTCCCCAGAGTGTGATGTTCCCCTTCCCATGTCCATGTGTTCTCATTGTTCAATTCCCATCTATGAGTGAGAACATGCGGTGTTTGGTTTTTTGTCCTTGCGATAGTTTACTGAGAGTGATGATTTCCAATTTCATCCAAGTCCCTACAAAGGACATGAACTCATCATTTTTTATGGCTGCATAGTATTCCATGTATATGTGCCACATTTTCTTAATCCAGTCTATCATTGTTGGACATTTGGGTTGGTTCCAAGTCTTTGCTATTGTGAATAGTGCCACAGTAAACATACGTGTGCATGTGTCTTTATAGCAGCATGATTTATAGTCCTTTGGGTATATACCCAGTAATGGGATGGCTGGGTCAAATGGTATTTCTAGTTCTAGACCCCTGAGGAATCGCGACACTGACTTCCACAACAGTTGAACTAGTTTACAGTCCCACCAACAGTGTAAAAGTGTTCCTATTTCTCCACATCCTCTCCAGCACCTGTTGTTTCCTGACTTTTTAATGATTGCCATTCTAACTGGTATGAGATGGTATCTCATTGTGGTTTTGATTTGCATTTCTCTGATGGTCAGTGATGATGAGCATTTTTTCATGTGTCTTTTGGCTGCATAAATGTCTTCTTTTGAGAAGTGTCTGTTCATGTCCTTTGCCCACTTTTTGATGGGGTTGTTTTTTTCTTGTAAATTTGTTTGAGTTCATTGTAGATTCTGGATATTAGCCCTTTGTCAGATGAGTAGGTTGTGAAAATTTTCTCCCATTTTGTAGGTTGCCTGTTCACTCTGATGGTAGTTTCTTTTGCTGTGCAGAAGCTCTTTAGTTTAATTAGATCCCATTTGTCAATTTTGGCTTTTGTTGCCATTGCTTTTGGTGTTTTAGACATGAAGTCCTTGCCCATGCCTATGTCCTGAATGGTAATGCCTAGGTTTTCTTCTAGGGTTTTTATGGTTTTACGTCTAATGTTTAAGTCTTTAATCCATCTTGAATTAATTTTTGTATAATGTGTAAGGAAGGGATCCAGTTTTAGCTTTCTACATATGGCTAGCCAGTTTTCCCAGCACCATTTATTAAATAGGGAATCCTTTCCCTATTGCTTGTTTTTCTCAGGTTTGTCGAAGATCAGATAGTTGTAGATATGCAGCGTTATTTCTGAGGGCTCTGTTCTGTTCCATTGATCTATATCTCTGTTTTGGTACCAGTACCATGCTGTTTTGGTTACTGTAGCCTTGTAGTATAGTTTGAAGTCAGGTAGCGTGATGCCTCCAGCTTTGTTCTTTTGGCTTAGGATTGACTTGGCGATGCAGGCTCTTTTTTGGTTCCATATGAACTTTAAAGTAGTTTTTTCCAATTCTGTGAAGAAAGTCATTGGTAGCTTGATGGGGATGGCATTGAATCTATAAATTACCTTGGGCAGTATGGCCATTTTCATGATATTGATTCTTCCTACCCATGAGCATGGAATGTTCTTCCATTTGTTTGTATCCTCTTTTATTTCCTTGAGCAGTGGTTTGTAGTTCTCCTTGAAGACGTCCTTCACATCCCTTGTAAGTTGGATTCCTAGGTATTTTATTCTCTTTGAAGCAATTGTGAATGGGAGTTCACTCATGATTTGGCTCTCTGTTTGTCTGTTATTGGTGTATAAGAATGCTTGTGATTTTTATACATTGATTTTGCATCCTGAGACTTTGCTGAAGTTGCTTATCAGCTTAAGGAGATTTTGGGCTGAGACGATGGGGTTTTCTAGATATACAATCATGTCATCTGCAAACAGGGACAATGTGACTTCCTCTTTTCCTAATTGAATACCCTTTATTTCCTTCTCCTGCCTAATTGCCCTGGCCAGAACTTCCAACACTATGTTGAATAGGAGTGGTGAGAGAGGGCATCCCTGTCTTGTGCCAGTTTTCAAAGGGAATGCTTCCAGTTTTTGCCCATTCAGTATGATATTGGCTGTGGGTTTGTCATAGATAGCTCTTATTATTTTGAGATACGTCCCATCAATACCTAATTTATTGAGAGTTTTTAGCATGAAGGGTTGTTGAATTTTGTCAAAGGCCTTTTCTGCATCTATTGAGATAAGCATGTGGTTTTTGTCGTTGGTTCTGTTTATATGCTGGATTACATTTATTGATTTGCGTATGTTGAACCAGCCTTGCATCCCAGGGATGAAGCCCACTTGATCATGGTGGATAAGCTTTTTGATGTGCTGCTGGATTCGGTTTGCCAGTATTTTATCGAGGATTTTTGGATCAATGTTCATCAAGGATATTGGTCTAAAATTCTCTTTTTTTGTTGTGTCTCTGCCCGGCTTTGGTATCAGGATGATGCTGGCCCCATAAAATGAGTTAGGGAGGATTCCCTCTTTTTCTATTGATTGGAATAGTTTCAGAAGGAATGGTACCAGTTCCTCCTTGTACCTCTGGTAGAATTCGGCTGTGAATCCATCTGGTCCTGGACTCTTTTTTGTTGGTAAGCTATTGATTATTGCCTCAATTTCAGAGCCTGTTATTGGTCTATTCAGAGATTCAACTTCTTCCTGGTTTAGTCTTGGGAGTGTGTATGTGTCGAGGAATTTATCCATTTCTTCTAGATTTTCTAGTTTATTTGCATAGAGGTGTTTGTAGTATTCTCTGATGGTAGTTTGTATTTCTGTGGGATCAGTGGTGTTATCCCCTTTATCATTTTTTATTGCATCTATTTGATTCTTCTCTCTTTTTTTCTTTATTAGTATTGCTAGCGGTCTATCAATTTTGTTGATCCTTTCAAAAAACCAGCTCCTGGATTCATTAATTTTTTTGAAGGGTTTTTTGTGTCTCTATTTCCTTCAGTTCTGCTCTGATTTTAGTTATTTCTTGCCTTCTGCTAGCTTTTGAATGTGTTTGCTCTTGCTTTTCTAGTTCTTTTAATTGTGATGTTAGGGTGTCGATTTTGGATCTTTCCTGCTTTCTCCTGTGGGCATTTAGTGCTATAAATTTCTCTCTACACACAGCTTTGAATGTGTCTCAGAGATTCTGGTATGTTGTGTCTTTGTTCTCGTTGGTTTCAAAGAACATCTTTATTTCTGCCTTCATTTCGTTATGTACCCATTTTTATTTCTGTGTTTCTATGTACAAAGCTTTAGGTTAATGTCTACCTAACTTCCAATAGAAGTTGTTGATCTAATCAAGGGTGCATTTGTAATCTTGGAAATGTTACCATAAAGTTACCCACAAATGTGTTGAATGACCACAACACACACACACACGCATGCACAGACAAGAAAGTTAGTTTTTGGTGTTGTGGAACCCATCCTTAAAGATGGCCCCCAATAATCCTTGCCTTCTGGTAGTCATGCTGTTATGTAATCTTCCACATTAAATTAGTCTGACCTATGAAATCAATGGAATGATGAAGAAATGATGGTGTGTAATTTCCATAGACAGGTCATATAAGACAGTCTGGCTTTTGCCTTGTTTCCTTTTAGATTGATTGCTGTCGGGGAAGCCAGCCACCATGTTGTTAGGATGCTCAGTCTGCCCAGGTAGAGGCTTGGCAGATCTTGGAAAGAACTGAGGCGTCCTGCCAAGAGTCCTGTAAATATTATATCAATCTATAAAACTGTCCTACCTGGATTGTATTTCTCTTTGAAAGTGCTGAAGCTTAAAATTTAAATACATAACAGTATTGGGGAATTAAAAAATTCCCTGGAAGTAGATCCTTCAGCTCCAGGCTTTTGAAGCAATCAGTAGTTAATATAGTGTTTGAAAAAAGAAAGAAACTATATTTGGCAGATGTCAGACTTTTGACTTAGAAAGGTAGACTCTGTTGAAAGTCCAAAAAGTTATCTGACTGTGATCACATTCTCTTTGATCTAACCCTAAGAGTTCTTCTGATTTCATGATTACCAGGACCCTATCCCAAAGAAATAAATGTTCTATTGGAGAAATCAAGAAAAAAATGCAACTTAATAAATTGGAGCACTTGCAATTTACCTAAAGAATAAAACCAATAACCTGTAAGATTTATTACTGGGTTACTTTTGTCTGCTCAGTCACATCTTAGCAAGGTCTTAGATTGAAATACTTGGGAGGAAACAGGCAGGGAGGAATATAAATGAATTATATTGAATAATTGATAGGACTTCATAATAAATTGATCTGGTATATAAAGGGGAAGGAAGAATGGGAAACACCTTCAAGAATTTTTGCCTAAAAGATTTAAGAATAATGACACACGCTATTGAACAAAATAGATTACTTGGGAAGATAAGCCAGAAGTTTAGAAATGGGAAAGAGGACAGAGGGCTCTATTTTGCGATGTGTTGAGTTTTGCTTAACAAAAAATCCTGCAAGAAAAAAAAAATGCCTTCTTTTTCTTGATGTTTACTGTCCCCTTGTAGTACATAGTGGTAATTTTTTTTTTAATTCTCAAACCCCGTCTCTGCAAAATAGACAGAGATAGCAAATTTATTTTTTTAAGTATTTATTTTACTGATAAAAAAACTTAGCAAATAAGAGGTTTAGCAATATGTTGACACCATAGAGTCAGGGGTTGTCTGAAATCCAGGTTTCCCCAACACCAAGTTATGGTTCTTTTCAGCTGGGGTGTGCTGTGGGTGTTGCATAGCTTTCTTCTTTGTGTTAGCTGTTGGTCCCATCCCCTGACGTCTGGAATTTATCATTGTTTTGAAATGGGAAAATGTTTGACTAGGTATTTTGGATAAGGTTCTAACAGAGTATCTGTCCCTTTGTGGGACCTGGTAGGGTTTAGGTTTTACCTTCGAACTTCAATGCTGTACGTTCACAAGGACTTGTCAGGCTCTGGGGAACACTATCGATATAGCCAAACTAATAGGAGATTGATTTGTGAAACTAGTGCCAAAGTGTTAATTGACAATTGTGTATATATAATTTAGATAACTAGAACATTCATGTGTCTTTTACTATGTACCACCTTTGGAAGTGAGCTTAGCAACTAAAAAGTTACTTGGTGAGCATAAAATTGGGAGAGACTCTAACTCTATGGAACAAATCATATCTGTTGTGATGCAGTTTGCAGAATATTTCCACTCTGCTGCAGAAAATCCTTTCTCAGCACTTAAAATGTTTATGCTTTTAATATTCATTGTTTTCCTTGCACAGGGATATTCCAAACAGTTATATAGCAAATATTAAGAACTCTACTATGTACCAGTGACTGTACAAGGCGTTGAGGATACAGTAGTAAATAACAGCCAAGTTTTAATCCTCAAGTAACTTACATTTTAGTGGACAATTGAAATCTTGTTAGTTTCCAGGTCTCCTTTTTTTAGTCATCAGAATCTTTTGTCCTCACATCCCTTTCCTGAATGATTTCCAGAATTATAGTTTGCCTTTAATTACCTGCATTTTAAAAATATCTTCTTGATGAAATTTTAGAAAGAGATTAATGTAAGAGATGACATATTTACAAACAATGCTTTTGATCTAGATTGCTTTGGTCACGACTAGATTGGCTTTTATTTCCCTATTTTATAATAATAGCTTTTTATTTTTATTTTTCCATGTGTAGACTGTTATTCAGTTTTAATAAAAAGAAGGCCTAAATGGAAAAAAAATTACAGCTAAACAAATAGTTGAATTACACTTACTCTTTAGCATTAGATGTAAACAAACCTATAGTAGATACATAACAAATTGGATGAATTTTAATTTGACAATAAGCTTCAAGCAATTTACTTGAAAGATATTTGAGGCCAATAGGCTAATTATATGTTGCCTGAAGTGGGGAATATTTCCTTCAGCTGACTTATTGATTTGTTGCCTTTTAACAAGAAATTATGCTGATCTAATTACAAAGAAGGGTTAAAAAAGCTAATAACTTCAAATCTGAGGTTCTCCATAATGGAACAGAATGATTAATGGTCTAACAGAAACAACCGCCCACGAACCTTTTGCCAGACACTTGAAATACCATGTCACTAATGGAGGAGCTTGAAATACTCTGAGTTATTTTTCTTTCTATATGAAAACAATGTTAAAATCTGCTAAATGGTAGAGTAATTGGACCCATGGTGTAAGCAATTACTTATGACCGGGTCTCTAAATGTTGTTTGCTTATAGTCTTTAGTATTACTCAGTTTTTAAAACAAAAATTCTGCTATGCTAAATATATTCATCAATGAATACTATAAAACCTTCTCCAAATACTCTATTTTTAAGTTAGTATGAGAATAATGAAGGAGAACATAATCAATGAATGACATCAGGAAACCTGGGAAGTCAAGGAAGGTCACCAGGTATTCACATAAATTTCCCTCCCCTCTCTCTCCAACAGGAATTATAAAAGAAATGTGCGGCCTATAGTTAGGACCATATACATAGGTATTAAGATTTTCATACAAAACAGTTGAAATGAGGAAAATCAAATAGCATGGGTACTATTTTGACACATAAAATTAGAGCAAGTTGGTGAAGGATGTTAGTGTGAACATTCTTTAGAATATTTTCCAGCCTAGTTCCAGCCCCAAATGTGGACTCACACTTCTTTGTCTTGGAGCAGAAAGAGCTGTGATTTTTGGTTGAGCTGGGGAGTTCTTGGACAGTGTTGAAGCACAGGGTTAAGATGGCTTTCCCGCTGCACCAGAGATTCCATTAATAGTACCGAGGTTGGGGTGGTACTATCAGTTCTTGGTGACTGTGGGAGTGGCTGGTAGCAGTGAACCAGGAACTTAGGAAGGCTGTAGAGAGCAGCCTGACTATCCGCTAAGAATTGAGAGTAAAACTGAGTCAAACTTGAGGCCTAAATATTTTGTTTTGAGGAAGAGAGTTCTATTTTACCTGTTTCAAATGAGAAGAAAATAAAAATAACTTATGATTTCACCAACCCTTCCCTAGAAATAATGACAATTAACTCCAAGGTATACAGAATTTTAAAAATGTTTCTTTCTTGCTAACTGGCTTATTTGCCCTCTAACTGGTTTATTTGCCCTTTTCCTTTAATCCACCCTGTTCCATTTTTAAAACTAAAGCTATATCATGAAATTCTTTCTAAATCATTACTTATTCTTTCACAATATAATTTTAAGTGGTTGCTTTTTTTTTTTTTTTTTTTTTTTTTTGACAGAGTCTTGCTCTGTCACCCAGACTGGAGTGCAATGGTGGGATCTCGGCTTACTGTAACCTCCACCTCCCGGGTTCAAGCAATTCTCCTGCCTCTGCCGCCCAAGTAGCTTGGATTACAGGCGCCTGCCACAACGCCCAGCTAATTTTTGTATTTTTGTAGAGACGGGATTTCACCATGTTGGTCAGGCTGGTCTTGAATCCCTGACCTCAAATAATCTGCCCGCCTCAGCCTCCCAAAGTGCTGGGATTACAGGCGTGAGCCACTGTGCCCGGCCAACTTTTTTTAATTTTAATTTTAGGTTCAGGGGTACATGTGAAATTTTGTTATATAGGTAAGCTCATGTCACGGGGGTTTGTTGTACAGATTATTTTATCACTTAGGTATTAAGCCTAGTTCCCAATAGTTATTTTTCCTGCTCCTTTCCCTCCTCTCACCCTCCGCCCTCTGGTAGATCCCAGTTTCTGTTGTTCCCTCCTTTCTGTTCATGAATTCTTATCATTTAGCTCCCACTTATAGGTGAGAATATGCAGTATTTGGTTTTCTGTTCCTGTCTTAGTTTGCTAAGGATAATGGCCTCCAGCTCCATCTAAGTTCCCACAAGAGACATAATCTTATTCTTTTTATGGCTGCATAGTATTCCATGGTGTACATGTACCACATTTTCTTTATCCAATCTCATTGATGGACATTTTGGTTGATTCCATGTCTCTGCTATAGTAGCATTTTGGTTGATTCCATGTCTCTGCTATCTTTATGGTAGAATGATTTATATTCCTCTGGGTATATACTCAGTAATGGAATTACTGGGTCAAATGGTGGTACTGCTTTTAACTCTTTGAGGTATCATCATACTGCCTTCCACAATGGTTGAACTAATTTATACTCCCACCAACAGCATGTAAGCATTCCTTTTTCATTGCAACTTTGCCAGTATCTGGTTTTTTTTGTTTTGTTTTGTTTTTTTTACTTTTTAGTAATAGTCATTCTGACTGGTGTGAGATGATATCTCATTGTGGTTTTGGTTTGTGTTTCTCCGATGATCATTCATACTGAACTTTTCTTTCATATGCTTGTTGGCCACATGTATGTCTTCTTTTGAAAATGTCTGTTCATATCATTTGCCCACTTTTTAATGGGGTTATTTTTCTCTTGTAAATATGTTTAAGTTCTTTATAGATGCTGAAATTTGACCTTTGTCAGATAGTTTGCAAATATTTTCTTTCATTCAGTAAGTTGTCTGTTTACTCTGTTGATAGCTTCTTTTGCTGTACTGAAGCTCTTAAGTTTAATTAGATTCCATTTGTCAAGTTTTGCTTTTGTTTTGATTGCTTTTGGTGTCTTTTTGAAATCTTTGCCCATTCCTATGCCCAGGATAGTATTGCCTAGGTTGTCTTCCAGGATTTGTATAGTGTTGGGTTTTACACTTAAGTTTTTAATCCATCTTGAGTTGATTTTTGCATATGGTATAAGGAAGGAGTCCAGTTTCAATCTCCTGCCTATGGCTAGCCAGTTATTCTAGCACCATTTATTGAATAGTGAGTCTTTCCCCATTGCTTATTTTTGTCAGCTTTGTCAAAGATCAGATGGTCATAGGTGTGGTACCTTATTTCTGGGCTATCAATGCTGTTCCATTGGTCCATGTGCCTGTTTTTGTACCAGTACCATGCTTTTTTTTCTTTTAATTATTACTTTAGCTCTGTAGTATAGTTTGAAGTTGGGTAACATGATACTTTCAACTTTGTTCGTTTTACTTAGGATTGCCTTGGCTGTTCAGGCTCCTTTTTAGCTCCATGCGAATTTTGAAATATTTTTTTCTAGTTCTATGAAGAATGTCTTTGGTAGTTTGATGGGAATAGCACTAAGTCTATAAATTGCTTGGGCAGTATATCCATTTAAATGATACTGAGTCTTTCTATCCATGAGCATGGCATATTTTTTCCATTTGTGTCTTCTCTGATTTCTTTGAGCAGTGTTTTATAATTCTCATTGTACAGATTGTTCACCCCCTTGGTGAGCTGTATTTCTAGGCATTATATTCTTTTTGTGGCAATTGTGAATGAGATTGTGTTTCTGAATTGGCTTTTGGCTCAACTGTTGTTGGTATGTAGGAATGCTAGTGAATTTCGTATGTGGATTTTATATCCTGAAACTTTGCTATAGTTGTTTATCAGCTGGAGGAGCTTTTGGGATGAGACTATGGGGTTTTATAAGTGTAGAACTTCTCTAAAGTTCCCAGGTCTCCATGTGTGCTTGAGCAGCTGCTCTGCTGAGACTCCACATAGCTCTCTGTGTCAGACTGAAGGCTCTGGTGGAGTGGGTTCATGAGGTGATCTCCTGACCTGAGGGTTACAAAGATCCATGGGAGAAAAGTGGGTTCCCAGGGTAGCACATTCACTCACTATTTCCTTGCTTGGGGGAGCTTCCCCTGGCTCCGTGTTGCTCCCTGATGGGCTTTCGTCCTGCCTTGCTATTCTCCATTCTCCAGGGGTCAAGTTGTTGTAAGTGGATAGGAATGCCTTATTTCTTATTTGTTTCTTGCTCTTCCAAGAGTGGTCCATGGACCAGCACTGATAGCATTTCCTGGGAGCTGGTTAGAAATACAGAGTTTCAGGACCTATCCCTGACTGTTGAATCAGAATTTGCATTAGGATATGCTAGTGATTCACATTCACATGAAAGCTTGAGAAGTACTGCTTTAGTTCATTACCGTTAATTGTCCTTTGATTACTCCTATAGGAGGTACTCCTCAACTTGTCTTCTCAATGGGATTACCAGGGGAGCATCCCAAAACACTGATGTTGTGCCACATCTCTAAGAAATTATGATTTAATTGAGCTGGGATGTGACTTGGGCACCAGAATCATTAAGTGATTTCCTAAGTGATGTGAATGTGCAACCAATTTTAGGAGCCACTGCCATGTACCTTCCATACTAGTTCTGTCCTGTTTGAAAAGTTTTCCTAGGTCTGTATCCTATACTATTTTGAGTTAGTTTTCTTGCCTACCAATTTCATTCTGTATGCCTCCTATTTTGAGGAAATTTCCATAAAATGCTATTTCATTAATGATATATTTTTAATTCCCCAATATTGTTATGTATTTAAATTTTAAGCTTCAGCACTTTCAAAGAGAAATACAATCCAGGTAGGATAGTTTTATAGATTGATATAATATTTACTTTCCTTCATTTTTCTTTTTAATGTTCTTTATTCTTCTTGGCATGGCCAAATTGCTTAAAATCTAACCTGGCTGCATCATTTATCAACCCTTGTTCTTGCCATTGGTTTGTCTTTTTTTTTTGAGACAGAGTTTCACTCTGTTGCCCAGGCTGGAGTGCAGTGAAGCGATCTTGGCTCACGGCAAGCTCCGCCTCCCAGGTTCACACCATTCTCCTGCCTCAGCCTCCCGAGTAGTTGGGACTACAGGTGCCCGCCACCATGCCCAGCTAATTTTTTGTATTTTTAGTAGAGGTGGGGTGGTCTGTCTTTTTGACAGTGTTGTGTCTATTGGTGTTCCTGAGGACTACAGTTATATCAGGGTTTCTTAGTAGTGACATTATTGACATTTTGAGCTGAATAATTCTTTTACATTGGTGGCTATCTTGTGTGTAATCAGATGTTTAGCATTATCGCTGGCCTTTACCCACTAAATGTCAGTAGCATTCCCCACCTTGCCTTTTACTGTACAGGTTGTGACAAAAGTGGTTCCATGTATTGCCAAAAATACCATAGGGGACATAATTCTGTCTAGGTTGAGAACCACTGAGCTATAGGGTTGTCAAGCATTGTCAATGGCTAATAAATACTGCAGCAAGTATATTTTTAAAATATTATTTCACAATTGAGACATTGTTTACTATCTTTATGATAGGTGTGTATTTTTTAATTGATTTTATTCTATACGCTGGTTTATAGATTGTCCTGAGTTTGTGGAATTTTGTTCTTTATTACTAAGACTTTTAATATGAAGGAGTTTACAAATCTAGCTAGCTAGCTAGATCATAGACCAGGGGTCCCAATATTAGAATAAGAAAAAAATTATCAAATGAGTAATCTACTAATGGTCATTGTTTGGAGTGAATTGTGGCTAAAATTACCTTAACTTGAAAACAAGAACACATTTACTCAACATGCTGATCCTTCAGTTCTATTCCCAAGGTTAAGTATATAAGGATTCTATCTTTATTAATGTCCTTTTAAGATGGAGTATATATTAAAATGGTTTTTTGAATATATACTTGGAAGTGGAATTACTGGGTCAGATGGTAGTTCTGCTTTTAGTATTTTGAGGAATCTCAATACCTTTTTTTATAATGGCTGTATTACTAATTTACACTGACAATGTATGAGTTCCCTTTTTTCCAGCATACTCTCCAACACTGATCTTTCATCTTTTTGATACAAGCCATTCTTACAGGTATGAGGTGGTATCTCACTGTGGTTTAAATTGGTATTTTCCTAATCATTAATAATGTTAAGAACTTTCTAATGTTTCTATTGGCCATTTGTACATCTTAAATTGAAGTGGGGGAATCCTATAATTTCTGACACCATGAATGAATTTGGAGGATATTATGTTAAGTGAAATAAGCCAGGCACAGAAAGGCAAATACTGCATGTACTTTTAGATATTAAAGCTAATAAAGTTGAACTTGTAGAAGCAGAGATTAATGATAGTTACCAGAGACTGAGAGGCAGCAGGGTGGGGAGCAAAGAAATTGGAAGTTATTGATCAATGGGTACAAAGTTTCACATGGGAGTAATAGGTAGGTTTCACAATCTATTGCACAGCAGGGTGACTAGTCAATAATAATGTATTATATATTTCAAAATAACTGAGAGAATATATTTCAAGTGTCTCACCATTAAAAAATGATAGGTAAATGAGGTGATGGATAGGTTAATCAGGTTGATTTAATCATATCTCATTGTGTACATATATCAAGACATCACCCTATACCTCATAAATGTATACAGTTATGATGTGTCAATAAAAATAATATAATACATTTAAAGATAAAAATATATATTTTTGTAAAATAAAACAGACCAAGGGCCTGTCACAGATTGTGGGAAACAACAATGAAATACAATGTGTGATCCTGGGTTGGATCCTGGACTAGAAAAGGACAGTTGTGAAAAAACTAGTGAAATTCAAATAAAGTCAGCAGATTAGTTAATAGTATTGCATAAATGATAATTTCATGGTTTTGATCATTGTATTATAGTTATTTAGGATATAAACATTAGGGAAGGTGAGTGAAGAGTATGTGGGAACTCACTATATTTATTTTTCAACTTTTCTTTAAGTCTAAAATTATTTCAAAATTAAAAGGAAAACAAAGCAAAACCAAAAGTACATCTACATTTTTAACATACATTTGTATTTGTATTTCTTTTATTTTATACAAGGAAACCTAGTTAACAGTTTGTTAAATCCTCATAATTCTGGTGAACAAAGACCCTACTGTCACGTGTGTCCATATAGAAGACCACCTAAACAGGTTTTGTGTAAGCAACAAGGCTGTCTATTCACTTGGGTGCAAGTGGGCTGAGTCCGAAAAGAGAGTCAGCAAAGGGAGATAGGAGAGGGGGCAGCTTTATAGGACTTGGATAGGCAGTGGAAAGTTACAGTTGAAGGTGGTTATCTGTTGTCAGCAGGGGAGAGGGTCACAAGGTGCATGGTGGGGAGATCATGAGATCCATTGTCCAGGATGTCATAAGGTCGATTGATCAGTTAGGGTAGGGCAGGAACAAGTCATAATGGCGGAATGTCGTAAGATTGGTTAATCAGTTAAGGCAGAAACTGGCTGTTTCACTTCTTTTGTGGTTTTTCAGCTGCTCCAGACTCCTTGGCCCCTGCAGGCCATCTGGATGTATATGTGCAGGTCACAGGGGTTACAATGGCTTAGTTCTGGTTCAGAGGCCTGATATGGGCATGAACACATTACGAAAGAAGATGGTAGAAGTATAAAGTCAGAAGCACACGTGCTAAGCTTCCTATTTCTTTCTTTACTGATGGAATTAGCTGGAGATAAGATAGATCTTCAGTCTGCCAGTCAGAGGGCATATACAGTAGTAGTCACAGAAGTGAAAATTCAGTTTCCAAAGGGAGATTTCATCTTCCATACACAATTGTATTTCCTTTAAGCTACATTTGGCATGATTCATTTACATTTTTGAGCTGAGATTTTAGTTAAAACATGGCTAAATCCAGCCATAATGCTAATAGTCTTCCATTCACTGAAATAAGGTTGCAAATAGGTGGGAAGAGGTTGAAGTGAAGGTTTTCACAATTGGAAATTAAATCTTGTCCTCCAGATGAAGGGGGCTTTTGTGCAGTGTAGACTGGAAGAAGTTTTTTCTATTATGCTTCACATTTCTAAAGCCAACATTTGAGCAACAGCTTTTCTTTCCCTCTTGAACATTTTGGAAATAAGGAGCCTTTATTTCCATGACGGTTGCCAGGCTCATTTCCCCAGTACTGCCTGATCGTGTGCCTTTCATCGAGTTTCTGTGGGCTGTGTTGGCCTTTGGCAGAATGCTGCTGAATTATCAGGATGTAGCTCAGTGATTTGTCCTCAACTCCATGGAGAGACAAGAAACTTTCCTTGGCTAAATACAAACAGAAAATTAAAAAGGGAAAGTTATTTTATTTCAGGGAACATTTTTTGTTGCTATGGATTTGACAAGACATGGATCCTTCATTTAATTTCATTTTTGTTTGTCCCATTCAGCATTTCTCTTCCATTTATGAACAGTTTTGGAAACTCTAGCAGCAAATGGGCTTGTCCCCAACACTTGGCTTGATATTCTGCATATGACAAATGTATCTTTTCCTATGGAATGCATTCTCTCAACAACCTGACAACTTCAGTTAGTCCACCTTTGCTTTGACCTGAAATAGCTAAACAATTGAGTCAATATAGTTGGATTCTGAATTCTCCAGAAAATGCCTCATTCAGCCCATTCACTTCCTTTTTTCTTTTGCAGGTTATGTAACTGAGTACCTCCACTTTTCTAACAGGTGGTTTAGTTATTTTTTCCCCTCCCTTCTTTTCTCATTTCCCTGGTTCCACACTTCCTACTTAGCCCTTTAGAAATGCAAATATAACCTTTACCTCCTCCTCACCAGACATCCCCTACTGGGCAAGTTCATCTACGTGCTTCAAGAGAGATCTCTTAACAGTAGATTTGCAGACGAAAGCATGCCCTGATGGAACTTTCACCTCCAGGGGTTCGCCTCAGGAGTGCATATTGAAAGCATGCCCACTTGGCCACTTTTACAACATACTTCTGCCCAGGATGGCACCAACTCAACTGCCTGTTTGATAAGGCAAGAGCTAGCAGCTGCCCTTGTTCATTTCCTCCTCTACCTTATAAAAGTGCCCACTTTCTGCTCCAAAAGTGAAGCAGCGTGGCAGGACATCTGTGCATCTTCCCAAAGCTAGCTTTGGAATAAATTCACTTGCTTTGTGTCAGACCTCTCTCTTATTAATTGGACTCTGCATGTGGCAAGCAACTAACCCACATTTCAGTTACGGTTACACTATACAATGCTTCCTACAGTGGTATTGTTATGGTAGGTAGTTAGACATGAGTGGGGCAAGAGAGTCCCCCACCACCCCATGCAGGAATTTCAGATGACCATCAGGTGATGGTCAGGCAGTTGTTAAGCTCTCTCTCTAAAATAATAATTGGTCACAGCTAGTGCCAGGGAAAGGTAGTCTCCCAATAGATAGAAACACCTGAAACTGGTGATCAGCAGCTTCCTGATAAGATCTCAGGACCTGCATAAGTGGGCTCAAGTATGCACATGAAGAGGCAAAATGTCAGAGTTTAACTGGTATATGATCTAGGAACACTTGACTGGTAAGGGGAAAATGCCTCAAGTGAGCATGTGCACAACTCCACTGAACACAGTGTGCATGCTCCTCTCCCAGTTGCTAGCAGGCCACTGTGCATGAGGACAGCCTACCCCAAAAGAAGAATCAGGGTGTAGGATATAATAAATTCCTCTTCAAAGGTTTTAGCCTGTAAATAGATAAGTACAATGATTTCTGAGATCCTCTCCAAAGAACCAATGTATCAGTATATTCAGCTTCCCTGTTCTTTGTTCTTCATTTTAAAGTTTAACTTCCTCGTTCTCTTCATCTCCTTGCCCTGGTTTCAGTAAACAACCCCCTCCTAGCCTCTATCACCTGCTTTGTCCTGAGTCACCCCTGGTCACCTGCTCTGACCTGAATCATCCTGAGTCACCTGTTCTGTAACTGTCCTTCCCACCAAACTACTCACCCTGCCACTCTGACTCATACCCTTGCTCTCTTTAAAATAGCCAATCAGAATTAGCTTAGACTGTGTGGTCCAACCCTAGCCAATAGGTGAATGACACAGCAGTAGGGGCTACCTGCATCAGGAATAAAAACCCCTTCCCCTCCCTTGTTCAGGTGTGCTCTCAGCATTGCTCCATCCACGAGTCACACCCTTCTATAGAAGTAAAATCGCCTTGCTGAGAAAATTAAATTTATGTTTGAGTGCTATTCCTTTTGTGGCACTGAGAATTTATTTTTAACAAGAGGAGAAGGAACACAAGACCCCAGAAGTATGCCAACATATAAAACCCCAAGTCAAAGGTCAAACCAGACACTTAAGTCCTCAAATCACCTGCCTGGACCACTTCCAAGCATACTTTCCTTCCTTTCGTTTCTGTTCTAAAGCTTTCTAATAAGCTCACTCCTGCTCTAAAATTTGCCTTGGTCTCTTACTCTGCCTTATGCCTCTCAAATTCTTTCTATTGAAGAGGAGAGATTTGAGGTTGCTGCAGACCCATAACAATTCACTGCTGCTAAAATACTTTGCTTCATGACTCAGAGACGTTCACTAGTGCTAATAGTATGGGCTTTTATCATAAACATTTTGGGATAAATTAATGCCTATTAGCTGTCTTTAAATATTGGAAAAATTAATCATCATAGCGATCACATAATAATAAATTTGGCATCTTACATTTGTCGGATGCTTTATTCTGGAACAAGTGCTCTGCTACATATTACCACATTTTTGATCTCACAGCAGCCCTAATATAAGTTCATTTGAGTGCCAGCCTCTGTCTAACCACCTTTTCAACTCTGACTGTGGAAACCACAACAAGTAATAGTAATGTGGATCTTCACTTTAGGTATTCTACACAGGGAAGAGAATGAACTTTGTGCTGACATCATCTGCCAGCTTCCCAGAAGCCCTCCCTAAATGTCTATCTGTCTCACCAAATTTTTACCCCACAGCAGGTACTGATACCCAAGTCTCTTTACTTATATATCCCACTCCTCTCCCGCAGTCCCACAGTCTCTCAGGACTATGCCATTTCTAGTTTTTAGTTCTCCCTTCCTTAGTGCCATTTTTATCCTTCCTTCACCTGCATACCAGTTCCTGGGAGTACAGTTTGCCTCAAGGTAAGCATCCTTCCCTCAACCCAGAATTCTGGTGTAAAAAATTATGTACTTTGTTTCACATGTATGAGTAAATGGAGGCAAAATAACTTAAGTAATTGCCTAAGATCACCCAGCTAGTAAACTGCAAATCTGAATTTGAACTAGAATCTGACTAATTACTCTATTCTGTACTTCAAACCCGTTTTCCTTGTAGTCCTATCATTTGTATATTACCTTGTTTATGTCAAGGCTTAATGTCAGGTTTTATGTTTCCCATCATCACTCTTTGGGCAGAGTGATTACTTGGAGTCAGAGCTGAGATGTCCCAAGTGTGCTCAAAGGAGTTTTAAATGGGTTAGAAAAACATAACTGGATTGTTTATTTAAAAAGGAAACAAAACAACCCTTAGGTTATAAAGTTGGAGACAGCATAATTAAACAGGCATCCCAAGATGCAGTCTTTTAAAAGACTTCCTAGACTGGAAGTTCTCTTCTTCATTCACCCACACCACCATTACTACTCTGACAGATCTTCCCTTAGGGAAATCAATACAGTCACTCAACATCTTAACATGTACAGCTGTCACTGGCCCCAGGCCATAGCTTTTGTTTTGCCTTTACCAAGTGAATGATAGTGAATGAATGAAATTGTATGGTTTTTTCTTTTTAATACAATGAACCTCTACTTGACAGACTCCTACGTTTTCCTATATAGGCCTCTGTCTGGTCTGATGGGGTTTTGTGTTCTTTTTCCCTTAGCTTGTTCTTTTCAGAAAAAGCTAGGGTTTCACATCTCACCCCTCTAGTTAGTGGTTCTCCAGCCTGACTTTACGTTGATACCACCCTGGGAACTTCTATAAAATACTGATGCCCAGACCCTAACACTGATCAATTAAATCAGAATCTTGGGGGTGGAGAGGAGTCTATTATGCAACTTCTGGCTTATGTGACCATTATATTCAACTCAGTTCCTAAGTTCCCACTGAGATATGATTACGGGACAGGTAGTTCAGGAGACTACAGAAGAGGTTATACTTTACAATTTCAGCATGGAATTTAGCAACAGTTTGTGATATTCTTGCTTATAATGGAGAGTACATTAATCAGATCTGACATAGTGATATTGAGTGACAAACCACTCCCAAACTTAGCAGCTTACATCAAGAAACATTTATTTCTTGCTCATGGGTCTATAGGCTACAGGTTTGGCTGGTTTAAGCTGAACTCTGCTGTGTGTTTTTCATCAGGCTTCAGATAAGTTGTACTTTACTCCAGGTGGAAATGTGGTTCAAGTCTCTTTCACATGTGTCTCGTCTTCCTTGGACCATCCATTGAGTGCCCAAGGCATCTACTTTTCATGTCAGATCACTATCATGCAAAATCCAAACTCAATTGTTCTTAAAGATCTCTCCTTGTTTCATGTCCATTAATGTGTCTTTAGACAAAGTAATTCATGACCCAGCCCAACATTAATGGGATGGAGACATATACTTTGGCCGCAGTAAGAGAAGAAAGAAGATAAATATTTTCTTAACAAAGTCCACACTCTCATAATGATATGGGTAAGAGACAGAGAAATACTGGGTAGGAGAGGGTTGTTCCCTGGCAAAGACCCCACCCTCAAGCCTGGATACATGTGATCCTAAGTGGGAATAGGCATTCCTGTTTTTGTGCCAAAAAAGTTGCCTTCTGGTACAACATGCCCCCCTATTCTGTGCCCATATAAACCCCAGACTCCAGGCTCCAGAAGGAGATGAGAAGATGAACAGAAGAGCAGAAGAATGGCAGAATGGCATGGCAGAGAGAAGAAAAGGAGCATCTGAATGCCAAGAGGAGTTTGACTGGGTGTGGCCAGAGAGGAGTTCAGCTGCTGGATGATCAAACTCCAGGGGAAGATCATCTTCCCACTTCCTCCCTGTGCTAGTCCCCCATCGATCCCACTGAGAGCCACCTCTTCCACCCAAGAAAACCCCCACATTTACCACCCTTAAGTCTGTGTGTGAGTTGATTCTTCTGGGTTGCTGGATAAGAGCTCCACATACAGAAAGCTGTCACACTGGCCTTCTGCCATTGTGAAAAGGCAGAGGGTTCACTGAGCTGGTTAACACGTAAGCCGTCTGCAGATGGCAAAGCTAAAAGAGCGCACTGTAACACATGTCACACCCACTTAGGCTTTGGGAGTTGCAGGCACACACCTCTAGTTGCTACCATGGGGCCAGAGCCCCAGAGCACTCACCCTGGCTCCTGTGCCTGCCTGTCTGCGTGCTCCCCCAACTCTAAAATGTTTGAGTGTACGGCAGCCGAATGCATAGGCCCCCACCCCTGTCGCATGTTCTGCAAGTGGTTCAGGGAACTCTCCCGTTACGATAAGGAGAAATACAAACTTGTTGACAATCTTAGAACATAATTGACTAAAGAATGACTGAATTTTCAACTATTCTGTAAATCTAAAATTATTCCAAAATCAAGTTTATTAAAAAAGAAACAAAAAGTAAGCTACCATGTGATGAGGGAGACAGCTCTAGTCACTGGAAATGTTGAAACAGAGTATAGAAAATCTCTTGGTGGGAAGTATGTACAATGGACTGAAGCATGAGTCAATTATCCAGTGTATTTACTACATTTATATTGACATGTCACAGAGAGGAGGGGACAGAAAGTATTGTGTATGACAGATTCAATATTAAAAATTGTCATGATAGGTTGCAACCAACCAGGTAAAATATCAAAAGGATAAACATAATGCCACACATTTGGGTTTACAATCTCAATTGCTTTATATATATTAAATAAAAATGTATAGTACATAATTAATGAGTGTATGGTCTATATTTTATTAAATAATTGTTTAAATATAGCGTTCATTAGAATTTCTAAATATCCTTGAGCATCCCGTGGCAGAATTAGTATGCAAGGTATCTTTTGGCCTAAGTCTTTAGTTGGTCATAGAGAACTGCTGGCTGGGGTTAAGACTACTAACAGTAACAGAAGCAGCAGCTAATATTTGTGGAGTGTTTACTAAGAGTCAGTTGTAGCTAAGTGCTTTACATAGATTAGTTCATCCTCAAAAATCCCAGTGAGGTAGAACTAATGCCTTTTCCATTTTACAGGGGACAAAACTGAGGCTTAGTGAGTTAAAGTAACTTTCCTGAGGTCCCACAATTCATGATTGGTATTGCTGAAAGTTCAACTCAGGGTATCTGATCTTATAACCTGTTGGACGTAACCATTACAGTCTATTGCCTGTGCATTTGAACTGGCATGACATTTAAATACTAGTACTTTCCCCAGGAGCCTGTTCTGTGTATTAAGGGACTGCCCCTCGACAACTTGCTATTATGACACATTTTTAGGGTTATCCTGAAATGCTGCTATGTCTATTTTAGATAGATCTTCTCTCTGGGACTGCTCCATAAGTTTCTTACCAGCAAAATATGCTCTAAAAGCTGCCATACATCAGAACTCCTCCCACAAATCTAAGTGACCACCCTCGCCACCACGAGAATCTATTTGAGACACAATCTCATTGTTGCAACTGCCTCCCACTTTGCTATCGATTATTTCCAACTTGCTGGAGGGAGCTAACGGCCAAATTAAAGGCTGGTATTTCCCAATCAGTCATCATTAGAGCTGCATTTATTATAGATAAAGTGACTTTCAGAGCCAGAATGACAACTTTAACAATGAAAAGAAAACATAAGAGCTCATTTTGTAATATGAACATAGCTCTCTTCAGTGAACAGCTAGATTTAGCCTAAAAATGCACTTGCAAATATCCTTTTTGTCTCATGCACAGTTTTTTCATATACAAGCACATCCAAGAAAATGTAAGTTCCAGCACTGCTCTTAAAAGGGGTGTGGAGCCCCGCAGATTTCTGTGTGTGTGTGTGTGTGTGTGTGTATGTTTGTTTGTTTTTTGAACTCAAGGAAGAACTTTAAGTCACCAGTGTGATTCACCAAAGTTGAATGTGAAAAAGGAACAGGGGAAAATGAAAGAACTAACTTGATAGTAAACCTGAAAACAATTACAATTCATACTTTCACTGAAAGTGATTGGACAGAGGGACAATAAGGTTACAGAAAAAGCCAGAAAATAGGATAATTTGTCAAAATGGGTGTAAGAATCAGCACACAAGACTTGGAAGAGAATTTGTTGTGAAAAGCAAGATGTCCCTAAGCAAGTATTGTCCTATTGAAGGGTCCTGAAATAAGGAAAAGAGAACAGAACACATTTTTTTTTCATTATACTTTAAGTTCTAGGGTACATGTGCACAACGTGCAGGTTTGTTACATATGTATACGTGTGCTATGTTGGTGTGCTGCACCCATTAACTCATCATTCACATTAGGTATATCTCCTAATGCTATCCCTCCCCCCTCCCCCCACCCCCCAACAGGCCCCAGTGTGTGATGTTCCCCACCCTGTGTCCATGTGTTCTCATTGTTCAGTTCCCACCTATGAATGAGAACATGTGGTGTTTGGTTTTCTGTCCTTGCAATAGTTTGCTCAGAATGATGGTTTCCAGCTTCATCCATATCCCTACAAAGGACATGAACTCATCCTTTTTTATGGCTGCATAGTATTCCATATTGTATATGTGCCACATTTTCTTAACCAATCTATCATTGATGGACATTTGTGTTGGTTTCAAGTCTTTGCTATTGTGAATAGTGCCACAATAAACATACGTGTGCATGTGTCTTTATAGCAGCATGATTTATAATCCTTTGGGTATATAAAGCAATGGCAACAAAAGCCAAAATTGACAAATGGGATCTAATTAAACTAAAGAGCTTATGCATAGCAAAAGAAACTACCATCTGAGTGAACACGCAACCTATAGAATGGGAGAAAATTTTTACAATCTACCCATCTGATAAAGGGCTAATACCCAGACTCTACAAAGAACTTAAACAAATTTGCAAGAAAAAACCAAACAACCCCATCAAAAAGTGGGTGAAGGATATGAACAGACACTTCTCAAAAGAAGACATTTATGCAGCCAACAGACACATGAATAAAATGCTCATCATCACTGGCCATCAGAGAAATGCAAATCAAAACCACAATGAGATACCATCTCACACCAGTTAGAATGGCGATCATTAAAAAGTCAGGAAACAACAGGTGCTGGAGAGGATATGGAGAAACAGGAACATTTTTACACTGTTGGTGGGACTGTAAAAATGTTCAACCATTGTGGAAGACAGTGTGGCAATTCCTCAAGTATCTAGAACTAGAAATACCATTTAACACAACACATTTTTATAGAATCAAATGAACATACTCACTGGGAGTCATGAAGTAATGTGCTATATTCTCACAAGTTTTTTTTTTAATAAGAAAACTATCAGCAATTACTCAATTTTCAAGAGTTATCTTTCAGGCCTAATGGGAAACAGGCTATTCTAAGATTGTTTGATTAATATATTTTCTGAAATAAGATAGATAAAATGCCTTAAAGAAAGAGAAAGAAAACCCATGGTTTCCTGGAAGGTGATCTTTTAGGTCTTGTTGAATTTACCTTCTACTTCCTGTCCCCCTTGCCAACTTGTTGGGTCTGTCAACTGGAGAATGACAAGGTTCATAAATTTGGAAAGGAGAGATTTATTTCTCTTAAAGGTTTGGAGCCTGTAGGGTGGCCATTCTGAAAGGCTGGGAAACATAGCCTCCAGCAAGAAGCCAAAAACAGAGACTGGAGGGGCAATGAGAGCAGGAATTTATGCTGAGTGAGGTAGCTGAATATGCATTTTCAATAAGCTATAGGAAGAGCCATGAATATTTATGAAAGGAGAAAGTGTGCATATGCAATTAAGCTTCCTGCCCCTTCATGGATCCAATATTAAAAATAAATAGCAGTGTTAGCAGGATCCAAGGGTGGAGTTTTCAGCCTTCTGATTTCAAAATGTGAAGCAGAGGACAAGAAAATGTGTACTGTGCATCCTCTGTAGAATGGCCAGAACCATTCTATGGTTGACCGTCTCTTTTATTTTATTTTTATTGTTATACTTTAAGTCCTGGGGTACATGTACAGGATGTGTAGGTTTGGTATATAGGTATGCACGTGCCATGGTGGTTGGCTGCACCCATCAACCAATCATCTGCATTAGGTATTTCTCCTAATGCTATACCTTCCCTTGCCCCTCACTCCCTGAACAGGCCCCATGTGATCTTCCCCTCCCTGTGTCCGTGTATTCTCATTGTTCAGCTCCCACATATGAGTGAGAATATGCAGTGTTTGCTTTTCTGTTCTTGTGTTAGTTTGCTGAGAATGATGGTTTCCAGCTTCATTCATGTCCCTGAAAAGGACATGAACTCATCCTTTTTTATGGCTGCATAGTATTTCATGGTGTCTATGTGCCACATTTTCCTTATCCAGTCTATCATGGATGGGCATTTGAGTTGGTTCCAAGTCTTCGGTATTGTGAACAGTGCTGCAATAAACATATGTGTGTATGTGTCTTTATAGTAGCATGATTTTTAATCCTTTGGGTATATACCCATTAATGGGATTGCTGGGTCAAATTATATTTCAGGTTCTAGATCCTTGAGGAATAACCACGCTGTCTTCCACAATGGTTGAACTAATTTACACTCCTACCAACAGCGTAAAAGCGTTCCTATTTCTCCATATCCTCTCCAGCATTTGTTGTTTCCTGACTTCTTAATGATCGCCATTCTAACTGGTGTGAGATGATATCTCACTGTGGTTTTGATTTGCATTTCTCTAATGACCAGTGATGATAAGCTTTTTTTCATATGTTTGTTGGCTACATAAATGTCTTCTTTTGAGGAGTGTCTGTTCATATCCTTTGCCCACTTTTTGATGGGGTTGTTTGTTTTTTTCTTGTAGATTTGTTTAAGTTCTTTGTAGATTCTGGATATTAGCCCTTTGTCAGATGGATAGATTGTGAAAATTTTCTCCCATTCTGTAGGTTGCGTGTTCACTCTGATGATAGTTTCTTTTGCTGTGCAGAAGCTCTTTAGTTTAATTAGATCTCGTTTGTCAATTTTGGTTTTTGCTGCCATTGCTTTTGGTGTTTTAGACATGAAGTCCTTGCCCATACCTATGTCCTGAATGGTATTGCCTAGGCTTTCTGCTGGGGTTTTTATGGTTTTAGATCTGAATGTTTAAGTCTTTAATCCATCTTGAGTTCATTTTTGTATAAGGTGTAAGGAAGGGATGCAGTTTCAGCTTTCTGCTTTTGCCTAGCCAGTTTTCCCAACACCATTTATTAAATAGAGAATCATTTCCCTATTGCTTGTTTTTGTCAGGTTTGTCAAAGTTCAAATGGTTGTAGATGTGTGGTGTTATTTCTGAGGCCTGTGTCCTGTTCCATTGGTCCATGTTTCTGTTTTGGTACCAGTACCATGCTGTTTTGGTTACTGTAGCCTTGTAGTATACTTTGAAGTCAGGTCACATGATGCCTCCAGCTTTGTTTTATTTTTTATTTTTTTGCTTAGGATTGCCTTGGTTATGCGGGCTCTTTCTTGGTTCCATATGAAATTTAAAATAGTTTTTTGAATTCCATGAAGAAAGTCAATGGTAGCTTGATGGGGATAGCATTGAATCTATAAATTACTTTGGGCAGTATGGCCATGTTCATGATATTGATTCTTCCTATCCATGAGCATGGAATGCTTTTCCATTTGTTTGTGTCCTCTCTTATTTCCTGGAGGACTGGTGTGTCATTCCCATTGAAGAGGTCCTTCACATCCCTTGTAAGTTGGATTCCTAGGTATTTTATTCTCTTTGTAGCAATTGTGAATGGGAGTTCACTCATGATTTGGCTCTCTGTTTGTCTGTTATTTGTGTAGAGGAATGCTTGTGATTTTTGCTCACTGATTTTGTATCCTGAGACTTTGCTGAAGCCGCTTATCGGCTTAAGGAGATTTGGGCTGAGACGATGGGGTTTTCTAAATATACAATCATGTCATCTGCAAACAAAGACAATTTGATTTCCTCTTTTTCTATTTGAATGTCCTTTATTCCTTTCTCTTGTCTAATTGCCCTGGCCAGAACTTCCAATACTATGTTGAATAGGAGTGGTGAGAGAGGGCATCCTTGTCTTGTGTCAATTTTCAAAGGGAATGCTTCCAGTTTTTGCCCAGTCAGTATGAGATTGGCTGTGGGTTTGTCATAAATAGCTCTTATTATTTTGAGATATGTTCTATCAATACCTATTTTATTTAGAGCTTTTAGCATGAAGCGCTGTTGAGTTTTGTCAAAGGCCTTTTCTGCATTGATTTAGATAATCATGTGGTTTTTGTCATTGGTTCTATTTATGTGATGAATTATGTTTATTGATTTGCATATGTTGAACCAGCCTTACATCCCAGGGATGAAGCTGACTTGTTCGTGGTGGTTAAGCTTTTTGATGTGCTGCTGGATTAGGTTTGCCAGTAGTTTATTGAAGATTTTTGCACTGATGTTCATCAGGGATATTGGCCTTAAATTTTCTTTTTTTGTTGTGTCTCTGCCGGGTTTTGTTACCAGGATGATGCTGGCCTCATAAAAAGGGTTATGGAGGGTTCCCCCTTTTTCTATTGTTTGGAATAGTTTCAGAAGGAATGGTACCAGTTCCTCTTTTGACCTCTGGTAGAATTTGGCTGTGAATCCATCTGGTCCTGGACTTTTTTGGTTGGTAGGCTATTAATTACTGCCTCAATTTCAGAACTTGTTATTGGTCTATTCAGGGATTTGACTTCTTCCTGGCTTAGTCTTGTGAGGGTATATGTGTCCAGGAATTTATCCCTTCCTTCTAGATTTCCTAGTTTATTTGCCTAGAGATATTTATAGTATTCTCTGATGGTAGTTTGTATTTCTGTGGGATGAGTGGTGATATCCCTTTTATCATTTTTTATTGTGTGTATTTGATTCTCCTCTCTTTTCTTCTTTATTAGTCTTGCTAGTGCTCTATATATTTTGTTGATATTTTCGAAAAACCAGTTCCTGGATTTATTGATTTTCTGATGGGATTTTTGTTCTTTATCTCCTTCACTTCTGCTCTGATCTTAGTTATTTCTTGTTTTCTGCTAGCTTTTGAATTTGTTTGCTCTTGCTTCTCTAGATCTTTTAATTGTGATATTGGGTGTCAATTTTAGATCTTTCCTGCTTTCTCTTGTGGGCATTTACTGCTATAAATTTTCCTCTAAACACAGCTTTAAATGTGTCCTGGAGATTCTGGTACACTGTCTTTGTTCTCATTGGTTTCAAAGAACATCTTTATTTCTGCCTTCATTTCTTTATTTACCCAGTAGTCAATCTGGAGCAGGTTGTTCAGTTCCCATGTATCTGTGTGGTTTTGAGTGAGTTTCTTAATCCTGAGTTCTAATTTGATTGCACTGTGGTCTGAGAGACTGTTTGTTATGGTTTCTATTCTTTTGCATTTTCTGGGGAGTATTTTACTTCCAATTATTTGGTCAATTTTAGAATAAGTGCGACGTGGTGCTGAGAAGAATGTATATTCTGCTGATTTGGGGTGGAGAGTTCTGTAGATGTCTGTTAGGTCTGCTCGGTCCAGAGCTGAGTTCAGGTCTCGAATATCCTTGTTAATTTTCTGTCTTGTTGATCTGTCTAATATTGATGGTGGGGTGTTAAAATCTCCCACTATTACTGTGTGGGAGTCTAAGTCTCTCTGTAGGTCTCTAAGAACTTGCTTTATGAATCTAGGTGCTCCTGTATTGGGTGCATATATATTTAGGATAGTTAGCTTTTCTTGTTGCATTGATCCCTTTACCATTATGTGGTGCCCTTCTTTTTCTCTTTTGATCTTTGTCGGTTTAATTTCTCTTTTATCAGAGACTAGGATTGCAACCCCTGCTTTACTTTGCTTTCGATTTGCTTGATAAATATTCGTCCATCCCTTTATTTTGAGCCTATGTGTGTCTTTGCATGTGAGATGTGTCTCCTGAACACAGCACACCAACGGTTCTTGACTCTTTATCCAATTTGCCAGTCTGTGTCTTTTAATTGGGGCGTTTAGCCAGTTTACATTTAATGTTAGTATTGTTATATGTAAACCTGATCCTGTCATTATGATGCTAGCTGGTTATTTTGCCCATTAGTTGATGCAGTTTCTTTATAGTGTTGATGGTCTTTACAATTTGGTATGTTTTTGAAGTGGCTGATAACAGTTCCTTTCTTTTTTTATTATTATTATACTTTAAGTTTTAGGGTACATGTGCACATTGTGCAGGTTAGTTACATATGTATACATGTGCCATGCTGGTGCACTGCACCCACTAACTCGTCATCTAACATTAGGTATATCTCCCAATGCTATCCTTCCCCCCTCCCCCCACCCCACAACAGTCCCCAGAGTGTGATGTTCCCCTTCCTGTGTCCATGTGATCTCATTGTTCAATTCCCACCTATGAGTGAGAATATGCGGTGTTTGGTTTTTTGTTCTTGCAGTGGTTTACTGAGAATGATGATTTCCAATTTCATCCATGTCCCTACAAAGGACATGAACTCATCATTTCTTATGGCTGCATAGTATTCCATGGTGTATATGTGCCCTATTTTCTTAATCCAGTCTATCATTGTTGGACATTTGGGTTGGTTCCAAGTCTTTGCTATTGTGAATAATGCCACAATAAACATACGTGTGCATGTGTCTTTATAGCAGCATGATTTATAGTCCTTTGGGTATATACCCAGTAATGGGATGTTAGACCTAAAACCATAAAAACCCTAGAAGAAAACCTAGGCATTACCATTCAGGACATAGGCATGGGCAAGGACTTCATGTCTAAAACACCAAAAGCAATGGCAACAAAAACCAAAATTGACAAATGGGATCTAATTAAACTAAAGAGCTTCTGCACAGCAAAAGAAACTACCATCAGAGTGAACAGGCAACCTACAGAATGGGAGAAAATTTTCGCAACCTACTCATCTGACAAAGGGCTAATATCCAGAATCTACAATGAACTCAAATAAATTTACAAGAAAAAAACAACCCCATCAAAAAGTGGGCGAAGGACATGAACAGACACTTCTCAAAAGAAGACATTTATGCAGCCAACAGACACATGAAAAAATGCTCATCATCACTGGCCATCAGAGAAATGCAAATCAAAACCACAATGAGATATCATCTCACACCAGTTAGAATGGCAATCATTAAACAGTCAGGAAACAACAGGTGCTGGAGAGGATGTGGAGAAATAGGAACACTTTTATACTGTTGGTGGGACTGTAAACTAGTTCAACCATTGTGGAAGTCAGTGTGGCGATTCCTCACGGATCTAGATCAAGAAATACCATTTAACAGTTCCTTTCTATGTTTGGTGCTTCCTTCAGGAGCTCTTGTAAGGCAGGCCTGGTGGTGAAAAAATCTTTCGCATTTGCTTGTCTGTAAAGGATTTTACTTCTTTGCTTATGAAGTTTACTTTGGCTGGATATGAAATTCTGGGTTGATAATTCTTTTCTTTAAAAATGTTGAATATTGGCCACTGCTCTCTTCTGGCTTGTAGGGTTTCTGCAGAGAGATCCACTGTTAGTCTGATGGGCTTCCCTTTGTGGTTAACCCGACCTTTCTCTCTGGCTGCCCTTAACATTTTTTCCTTCATTTCCACCTTGGTGAATCTGATGATTATGTGTCTTCTGGTTGCTCTTCTAGAGGAGTATCTTTGTGGTGTTCTCTGTGTTTTCTGAGTTTGTATGTTGGCTTGTCTTGCTAGGTTGAGGAAGTTCTACTGGAAAATATCCTGAAGAGTGTTTTCCAACTCGGGTCTATTCTCCCCATCACTTTCAGGTACACCAATCAAACATAAATTTGTTTTTTTCATATACTCCCATATTTCTTGGAGGTTTTGTTTGTTCTTTTTCATTCTTTTTTTCTCTAATCTTATCTTCTTGCTTTATTTCATTAAGTTGACCTTCAATCTCTGATATCCTTTCTTGCACTTGATTGATTCGGCTATTGATACTTGTGTATGCTTCATGAAGTTCTCATGCTATGTTTTTCAGCTCCATCAAGTCATTTATATTCTTCTTTAAACTGGTTATTCTAGTTAGCAATGAGTCTAACCTTTTTTCAAGGTTCTTAGCTTCCTTACATTGAGTTAGAACATGCTCCTTTAGCTCAGAGGAGTTTGCTATTACCCACCTTCTGAAGCCTACTTCTGTCAATTCTTCAAAATCATTCTCTGTCCAGTTTTGTTCCCTTGCCAGTGAGGAGTTGTGATCCTTTGGAGGAGAAGAGGTGTTCTGGCTTTTGGAATTTTCAGCCTTTTTGCGCTGGTTTCTCCCCATCTTCATGGATTCTTCTACCTTTGGTCTTGGATGTTTGTGACCTTCGTATTGGGTCTCTGAGTGGATGTCCTTTTTGTTGATGTTGATGCTATTCCTTTTTGTTTGTTAGTTTTTCTTCTAACAGTCAGGCCACTCTGCTGCAGGTCTGCTGGAGTTTGTTGGAGCTCCACTCCATAACCTGTTTGCCTGTGTATCACTAGTGGAGGCTGCAAAACAGCAAAGATTGCTGCCTGTTTCTTCCTCCGGAAGCTTCATCTCAGAGGGGCACCCACCAGATGCCAGCTAATACTCTCCTGTATGAAGTGTCTGTTGACCCCTGCGGGGAGGTATCTCCCAGTCAGGAGACACGGGGGTCAGGGACCCACTTGAGGAGGCTGTCTGACCCTTAGCAGAGCTTGAATGCTGTGCTGGGAGATCTGCTGCTCTCTTCAGAGCCATCAGGCAGGGACTTTTAAGTCTGCTGAAGCTGTGTCCATAGCCATCCCTTACCCCAGGTGCTCTGTCCCAGGGAGATGGGAGTTTTATCTATAAGTCCCTGACTGGGGCTGCTGCCTTTTTTTCAGAGATGCCCTGCTCAGAGAGCAGGAATCTAGAGAGGCAGTCTGGCCACAGCAGCCTTGCTGAGCTGTGGTGGGCTCTGCCCAGTTTGAACTTCCCAGTGGCTTTGTTTACACTGTAAGGGTAAAACCGCCTACTCAAGCCTCAGCAAGGGTGGACACCCCTCCCCCCACCAAGCTTGAGCGAGCATCCCAAGTCGACCTCAGACTGCTGTGCTGGCAGCGAGAATTTCAAGCCAGTACATCTTAGCTTGCTGGGCTCCGTGGAGGTGGGACCCACTAAGCCAGACCACTTGGCTCCCTGGCTTCAGCCCCCTTTCCAGGGGAGTGAACAGTTCTATCTCACTGGCATTCCAGGTGCCACCGGGGTATGAAGAGAAAAACTCCTGCAGCTAGTTGGGTGTCTGTCCAAACGGCACCCAGTTTTGTGTTGAAACCCAGAGCCCTGGTGGCATAGGCACTGGAGGGAATCTCCTGGTCTGCAGGTTGTGAAGACTGTGGGAAAAGCCCAGTATCTGGGCTGGAGTGCTCCGTTCATCACGGCATAGTCCCCTACAGTTTGCCTTCGTTAGGGAAGGGAAATCCCCTGACCCCTTATGCTTCTCAGGTGAGGTGACCCCTCACCCTGCTTTGGCTCACACTCCGTGGCCTGCACCCACTGTCCAACCAGTTCCAATGAGATGAACCAGGTACCTCAGCTGGAAATCTAGAAATCACCCACCTTCTGTGTTGATCTCAGTGGAAGCTGCCGGCCAGACCTGTTCCTATTTGGCCATCTTGCCAGCCAACTCCCTGGTTGGTGGTCTCTTATCAGGAAGAAATGCTGGTTGGTAGAGAGGGGCAGCAGTCATGTGGTTGGTTGATATTAGTGGTACAAGGGTTGAGTTCTGTTTATCCCTTAGAGAAGAAAACGTAAGGGCAGTTAGAGAGCAAGGGGGTGTCATGAGAGGTGTCTGACCTCCCATCCCAGCATGGCCAATAACTCAGTTTTCAAAGTTACTCTGGGGTCCCCTTGGCCAAGAGGAGTTCTTTTCAGTGTGTTGGGGGCTTAGGATTTCATTTTTATTTCTCAGGCTTCACATCATTTGTTTTTGAATCAATTTCTTATTTAATTTAATTTGCCTTTCATACTTTTCATTCTCAAAGTTCTTTGGGATCTAGGATCTTAGAAAGGTCTCCAAGTTGGAGCTATCTGATGACTTTCTCCTCACTCTCAAAAATGTGTTTAGAATTCATCCCAATAGCCTTGCTGGAGATGAGCTCAGCAAGTGTAGCAATTTGCCCCTCTGTTGTCCTGCAAATATGGTTATCATTGAGTATGAAGTACACCTCAAATACAGGATTGGCTTCTAAGTTAATCAGAGAAGTTCTAGAAGTAGCAGAAGGGGGAACCTCCAGAAGCAAATGCAGACTCTGAGAGTGAGAATACTGTAAATTAGTTGCCTTATGACCTGGGCCTTCCTGCCAGTTATAAATAGTGGATTCTCCAGTTCTTTTAACCCCTGAAGCATCATCTACTGATAGAGAGAAATTCTGCCTGTACTTAAACCATCAATTAGAGTGGGGGCTAAATGTGATATGAGTAAAATAGCTTGCATCTTCTGGGAGGCAGATAATACTTACAGGTTGCGTATTTTAAAAAAATATATAACTGCTTCTTTTTATCACATTTGGACACTTCATATTGCCAGGCCATTTTATAAAAACCACATATAAATAGATAAAAAGGCAGATAGCTAACTGGATACATAGGTAAATTTTTAAATGGGTAAAGCCAAATTCCATAGGCAGTAGTTTTTAAAGATAAATAGGATAAGTTGGTACTCTTAACTCAGAACAAGGGAAATTTGGCTTTAGAAAAATGGTAAGTTTTGTTTTTCTCCAAGATGGAAGATGAGAAGCTTTTAGCATGCCTCAGCAACTTGAAAAGAACAAAATAATGTATAAAGACTAACTCTGAGAACTTTAGTTCAAGAAGGAAAATGGGAATTCACTGGAATAGTGAAGGACTATTCAGACCCTGGGAAGGAGAAGGTGAGTGAGTAGCCCCTGTGACAGGATTTAGCTGATAATTTTGAGTGAAGCCCATGAAAGGAACAGGCAGTTTCCTTCTATGACTCACCTTTTCACTATGGATGTGTGCAACCCAGGTCAAGGAAAAGCACCCTGTTTCTCCCAAGCCCTGGAGCTAACTTGGGGAGAAGCTGAGAGATGGAGAGAAGGAAAGACACCAGGAAAACCTGCAGATATGTTCTCAGACCTGGGGCTGAGGGAAGGCTGCCATTTTTAATCTGGGCTCATACAAAGTCAGACACTGACGACCGGGTAGTAGTGGCCACAACAGGCATTTTAGTCTCAGGCTAGAGATTGTAGTATTTGCTGTGGAGCAAGGGAAGGGACCCCATAACCAGAATTGAGCTTTGAGTGCCCCAGTAACAGGCGAAGGAATTAGGCTTTATCCTGTTACAGGGCTGGAAGTTCTCTCCCGCTCTAGAACTGTTATGACAGAAAGCTGCTTCAGCCAAGGTTTCCCCCGGGCACTGAAACTTGCAACCAGGAACAGTTTTGTGACCTGGAACCAGTCTGCCTGTGTCATTGATGGGCACCATAGCCTACTCCCTCAGTCACTTGGGGGACAGTGCCCCATCAGCTATAAAGAGCAGAAAGAAGGTGAATCCCAGACCCCTGGAGATCTAACTCTCAGCATAGTCTGCCCCTAGGGAAGAGGGAAATGCAGCCTACCAAAGCTCTGTCTGGGTCAAAGGAAACGTGAACATGGGACCAGCTGCCGAAGGTGGCACCACCAAACCCTGATGGGAATGGATGTGGAGAAGGGGTCATCTATTGTTCCCGATCCCTTCTCGAGGCACTGTTCTAGAGTTGGCAGTAGCTCTTCCCATCAGCCCTGGAGGGGGGCATGGGCTGAAAGAGACCACTTCTTGGCTTCTGCAGTGGTTTCACTCCCACTAAAGGTGAACTGTGTGCTGGCGGAGGGTGTTTTTCATGCTTCTCTGTTGCCTCCATGCCCACCCCTACCTTCCAGCTCTTGCTCTTAGGTGCCATTTACTGGAATGCAGCCTGAATTACACCACCAAATAAAAATGTATTGCCACAAGCAACGTCTGAAAAAGCCGCTGCACAAACTTATCTACAACCAAAGAACCTGTACAGAGCCCCGGCACCCTGAGAGCACACAGAAACAAAAATAACAGACCATACACAATATACACCACAATCATACTCCAAGGGAAAAAAAGAATGAAAAAGTCAAGAAGCTCCATCCAATAGTAAATTAAAAACAAAGCATCAGATTCCTCAGATGAGAAGGAACCCACATAAGAACTTTGGAAATACAAAAAAGCAGCGTGTTTCATCCCCTCCAAAGGACCTCACTATCTCTCAAGAAATGGATACTAATGAGAATGAAATATTGGAAATGATAGATACAGACTTCTGAATATGGATGGCAAAGAAAATGAGATCCAAGAGAAACTGAAAATGCAACACAAAGAAGTCAGAAAAGCAATCCAAGATTTGGAAAATGACATAGCTATATTTAAAAAGAACCTACCAGAACTCCTGGAATTGAAAAATTCACTACAGGAATTTGAAATATGATTGGAAACCTCAATAACAGATTATATCAAACAGAAAAAAGAATCTGAGAGCACAAAAATCAATCCTTTAAATCAGCCTACTCAGACAATTTACAGAAAAATGAATTAAAGAGAAAAAAGCCTTCAAGCTATATAGGATTATGTAAATTGGTCAAATCTATGACTTACTGACATTCCTAAGAGAAAAGAGAAAGTAAGCAACTTAGAAAATATATTTGATAATATAATTCAGAAAAATTTCCCCAAGCTTGCTAGACAGATGAATATACAGATACCAGAAATCCAGAGGAGTCCTGCAAGATATTATACAAGATGACCATCCTCAAGGCACATGGTCATCATACTATCCAATATCAACGTGAAAGAAAAAAATCTTAAAAGAAGCTAGAAAAAAAGGCTCATATTATCTATAAAGGGAAATCCATCAACCTAATTGTGGACTTCTCAGCAGAAACATGACAAGCCAGAAGAGATTTGGGGCCATTTTTAGCATTCCTAAAGAAAAGAATGCCAGCTAAGAATTCTATGTCCTGCCAAACTAAGCTTCATAAGTGAAGGAGAAAGAAAATCTTTCTCAGGCAAGCAGTCATTAAAGGAATTTTTCACCATCCCACCAGCCCTACAAGAGATGCTTAAGGGAGTTCTAAACATGGAAATTAAAGAATACTTGCTTCCACAAAAGCATATATATAAGTACGTAGCCCACAGATCTTACAAAAAGCAAGTACACCACAGCCCTCTACAGAATACTACATCCAAAAATCACAGAATATACATTCTTCTCATCTGCACATGGAACATACTTTAAGAATTACCATATGCTTGGTCATAAACCAAGGCTCAGTAAATTCAAAAACTTCAGAATCATACCAAGCATCTTCCCAGACCACAGTGGAATAAAAATAGAAATCAATAACAAGAAGAACTCACCAAACCACACAAACACATGGAAATTAAACAACTTGCTCCTGTGTGTTTTTGAGTAAGCAATGAAATTAAGGCAGAAATCAAAACATTCTTTGAAACATATAAAACTAGAGACATAACTTAACCAAACCTCTGGGATATATGGCAAAAGCGGTGTTAAGAGGAACGTTTACAGTACTAAACACCTACATCAAAAAAATAGAAAGATCTCAAATTAACAACCTAACTTCAATCTAAAAGAACTGTGAAAACAAGAACAAACTAAACCCATGGCTAGAAGAAGAAAAGAAATAACTAAAATCAAAGCAGAACTAAATGAAATTGAGACTCAAAAAGCCATGCAAAGAATCAATGAAATGAAAAGTTGGAAGTCAGACAATAACAAATGCTGGTGAGAATGTGGAGAAAAGGGAACCCTCACACACTGTTGGTGGGAATGTAAATTAGTAAAACTGCTATGGAGAACAACATGGAGGTTCCTCAAAAAACTAAAAATAGAGCTACCGTACACTCCAACAATCACAATGCTGGGTATATACCCAAAGGAAAGGAAAATAGTGTATTAAAGAGACATCTGCACTCTCATGTTTGTTGCAGCACTGTTCACAATAGCCAAGATTTGGAAGCAACCTAAGTGTCCATCAGCAGATGAATGGGTCAAGCAATGTGGCACTTATACTTAATGGAGTACTATTCAGACATAAAAAAAAATAAAATCATTGACAACAACAAGGATGAAACTGGAGGTCATTATGGTAAGTGAAATAAGCCAGGCACAAAAATACAAATATTGCTTGTTTTCACTTATTTGTAGTATCTAAAAATCAAAACAATTGAACTCATGGAGATAGATAATAGAAGGATGGTTACCAGAGGCTGGAAAGGACAGTGGGGATGGGGGAGAAACATGGGGAGGTAGAGCTGGTTAATGGATACCAAAATATAGTTAGAAAGAATGAATCAGACCTACTATTTAATAGCACAACAGGGTGACTTTAATCTGTAATAATTTAATTGTACATTTAAAAATAACTAAAAGTATATAATTGGATTAATTGTAATGCAAAGAAAGGATAGATGCTTGAGGGTATGAATGCCCAGTTTTCCATGATGTGATTATTACATATTGCATGCCTGTAGCAAAATATCTCATGTACCCTATAAATATATACACTTACTGTGTACCCACAAAATTGAAAAATAAAAAAATTGAAAAAATGATATGATAAGATTTGAAAGGATAAATAAGATTGACAGACCACTAGCTAGATTTACAAAGAAAAGACAAAATCCACATAAGTACAATCAGAAATGACAAAGGTTACATTACAAAGACGCCACAGAAATACAAAAGATCCTCAGAAATTACTGTGAACATCTCCATGCATACACACTAGAAAATTGAGAAGAAATGGATAAATTCCTAAAAACACAACCTCCCAAAATTGAACCAGGAAGAAACAGGAATCCTGGACAGACCAATAACTAGTATTGAAATTGAATCAGTAAAGAAAACCTACCAATGAATAAAAGCCCTGAAAGAGATAGATTTATATCTGAATTCTACCAGACATACAAATAAGAGCTGGTACCAATATTACTTAAACTATTCCAAAAAATCAAGGAGAAGCGACTCCTCCCTAACTCATTCTATGAAATTATTGTCATCCTGATAGCAAAATCTTGTAAAGAAACAACAACAATAAAAAAACGACAGGCCAGTATCCCTGATGAACATAAACATAAAATCCTCAACAAAATACTAGCAAACAAAATGCAGCAGCATATCAAGAAGTGAATTCACCATGATCAAGTGGGCTTTATTCCTGGGATGCAAGGTTGGTTCAACATATTCAAATCAATAAATATTATGCATTACCTAAACAGAACCTTAAACAAAAACCACATGGTGATCTCAATAGACACAGAAAAAGCATTTGATAAAATCCAACATCCTTTCATGATAAAAACACTCAACACACTAGGCATCAAAGGAATGCACCACAAAATAACTAAAGCCATCCATGGCAAACTCACAGCCAACATTATACTGAATGGACAAAAGCTGGAAGCATTTCACCTAAGAACTGAAACAAGACAAGGTTGTCCATTCTCTCATTTCTATTCAACAAAGTACTAAAAGTTCTAGCCAGAGCAATTAGGCAAGAGAAAGAAATAAAAGGCATCCAAATAGGAAAAGAGGAAGTCAAATTATGTGTCTTCACTAACAATATGATTTTAAACCAAGACTCTGCCAAAAGATTCTGTCACAAGACTCCTAGACATGATAAAGTACTTCAGTAAAGTATCAAGATACAATATCAGTGTACATAAATTGGTAGCATTTGTATACACCAGTAACATGAAAAGCAAAAACATGAAAGGCATTTCATTCCCATGGGTGGGAAGAATCAATAACATTAAAATTGTCATACAGCCCAAAGCAATATGCAGCTTCAATGCTATTCTTGTCAAACTACCAATGTCATTTTTCACAGGATTAGGAAAAAACTATTCTGAAATTTATATTGAACCAAAAAATACCCTGAATAACAAAGCAATCCTAAGCAAAAGGAACAAAGCTGGAGGCATCCCATTACCGGACAGTAAATATACTACAAGGCTACAGTAACCAAAACAGCATGGTACTGGTAGAAAAATAGATACATAGATTGATGGAACAGAATAGAGAACCCAGAAATAAAGCCACATACATACAACCAACTGATATTTAACAAAGTTGACAAAAATAAGCAATGGGGTAAGGATACCCTATTCAATAATGATGGTGGGAGAACTGTCTAAACATATGCAGAAGAATGAAACTGGACCCCTACCTCTCACCATATACAAAAATTAACTCAAAATCGATTAAAGACTTAAATGTAAGACCTCAAACTATAAAAATCCTAGACAAAAACGTAGGAAATACTCTTCTAGACATTGACCCAGGCAAAGAATTTATGACCAAGTCCTCAAAAGCAAATCAAAAAGAGCCCAAAACTGACAATTTAGACCTAATTAAACGAAATATCTTCTGCACAACAAAACATATCGTCAACAGGTTAAACAGGCCACCTACAGAATGGGAGAAAATATTTTCAAGTTATGCATCTGATAAAAAACTAATATCTAGAATCCGTAAGGAACTTAAATCAACAAAGAAAACCCCATTAAAAAGTGGATAAAAGACATAAACAGATAATTCTCAAAAGAAGACATACAAGTGGCCAAAAAACTTATGAAAAAATGCTTAATATCAGTAATCATGATAGAGATACAAACCAAAACCACAATGAGATACCATCTTACACCAGTCAGAATGGCTATTACTAAAAAGCCAAAAAAATTACAGATGTTAATGAGACTGTGGAGAAAAGAGAATGCTTATACATTCTTGGTGGGAATGCAAATTAGTTCATCTCCTGTGGAAAGCAGTTTGGAGATTCTTCAAAGAACTAAACGGAGAATTACCATTCGACCCAGCAGTCCCATTACTGGGTATATACCCAAAGGAAAATAAATTGTTCTACCAAATAGACTCCTGCACTAATATGTTTGTCAGAGCACTATTCACAATAGCAAAGACATGGAATCAACACAGATGCCCATCAATAGTGGACTGGATAAAGAAAGTGTGGTACATATATACCATGTGATACTATGCAACCATGAAAAAGAAAGAAATCATGTCCTTTTTAGCAACGTGGGTGCAGATGCAGACCATTATCTTAAGCAAATTAACATATAAATAGAAAATCAAATACCATATGTTCTCACTTATAACGTTGAAGCTAAACATTGGGTACACATGGACACAAAGATGAGAACAATAGACACTGGAGATACTGAGAGAGGAGGGAGAGAGGAGAGCAAGTGTTGAAAAACTACTTATTGGTTACTGTGTTCACTGTTTGGGTAACGGGATCATTAGAAGCCTAAATCTCAACATTATACAATATAACCATGTAACAAACTTGCACACGCACTCCCTAAATCCAAAATCTTTTAAAAATGAAAAGTTGAGTAGTAGGATGAAAATAGAAGAGCATATCAGAATGAACTAAAATTAGGAATTTGTGATATACAAAGTTACACATTAAAACTGAAGCCTGGTGAATAATAAAATGTCCCTGATGCTTAAGGCCAAAAAAAGAAAAGCCAAAATAACACCAAAAATCTCTCTATTTAGAAAAAGCAGTAAGAAGAAAGCCTGGGGAATGTGCTGGCAATTATCAATCTGGAAATAAACCTAAATAAATAAATAAGTATAGAGTAGCTTCTGGACGTAGAGCCTATATCTTACAGTTGCTTTCCTTTTTTAACCTCTTGGCCTATAGTGGTGGCTTGCTAAACATTCATTCTTTAAACAAAATATGGAGATGGCAAAGATGATGTATACCAATAAGGATGGAAACTGGATGGTCTAACTATTAATGATAGTCAAAGATATTACCAGAAAAAGGAAAATCAGGTTTTTATAGAAAACTGGCTGGATACAATAAGAAACTAAAATATGGTTGAATAAAATCATTCAGTAGTGCATGAGAGAAAAAAAAGAGATTTTGAGTAGGTCTGGGTGAAAACAGGTAAAAGAATTATGAGTGAGCAAGAAAATTGTTCCCCCCAAAATATACTTTTGTCTACTGAGGTGATTACTGTCCTGAAGGCAAATATGGCATTGGCCAATTGGTAAGAAAGCCTCTTTCAACACAGGCATGGATAAAATGAGTGCATTTGTAAATATCTCATGAAGAATAGCTGCATGAGTGAAATACAGGGAGAGAAGATGGCTGCCCCACCAAGTAACTCAAGGCAAAGAATATTTATGAAAATTACACTAGCATAGTCTGAAAGTGAAAAAGACTACTTCAGTGAAATAGAGGATTCATCATCACTAGGGATATTGGTAGTTATTGAGAGAATTCAGGCATCTGGTGTGGACTGGGTTACTTAGCCTTTGGTTTCCCTCTTGACTCTGAAAGTCTATGGTTTTCTAGTCATCAGTGAGAACTCATTGTTCAGGAGCTCCTAGGTTCCCACCACTCATTTTCAGCAGCAGTGTACAGGCCCCTTCCTCAACTAGTGCAGTAGACACTGCAGCCAATTTAACAACTGTATCACCCCCAGTGATTAAAATAGCCTCAATTTGTAGCATTTGCTGATTTCTGTGATACAAATACTGCCATCATGGCCAGTTTCAAGATACCAGTATGATGTCACTGAACCTACAGCAAGGAAAAGATGCTCACAATTGCCTTGCACAGACCTGTACAAGCTGGCTCCAGCATTTCTCTGAGTACCTTGCTCCAGAATCCATTATATTTTTTAGAAAATTGTGGCCAGTTTCTAAGTTGTTGGTGGCTTCCGGGTGGCTCAGGCAGGCAGACCATGGGGGATGAGAAGAACTCAATGAACTTGTTCTGTCAAACAAACGGTTCATATGCTCCACGCATTTCCACCACTTCTACAAACATCAGTTCAAAATGGTGGAGTTACTGATATGGTTTGTTTGTGTCCTTACCCAGATCTCATCTTGAATTATAGCTCCCATAATCCCCACATGTTGTGGGATGGACCCAGTGGGAGGTAATTGAATCATGGGGGCAGGTGTTCTGTGCTGTTCTCATGATACTGAATAAGTCTCATGAGATCTGATGGTTTTATAAAGGGTAGTTCCCCTGCACATGCTCTCTTGCCTGCTGCCATGTAAGGTGTGCCTTTGCTCCTCCTTTGCCTTCTGCCATGATTGTGAGGCCTCCCCAGCAATGTTGAACTGTGAGTCCATTAAACCTCTTTTTCTCTATAAATTACCCAGGCTCTAGTATTTCTTCATAGCAGTATGACAATGGACTACTACATTACCTCTTCTCATTTCCACACTCACTTTTTAGACTTATCTTTGGTGAATTTCCCCTTGATGTGCATTTTAAAAGATGTAAGTGAAAATGTGTATGATATCCTTGTTGCAGGTTCTCTCCACTCCTCTTTGAAATTGATCTCTGCTTTCCCTAGTTCTCTGGACTTCCTTAGAAAAATTTTAATGTAACTTGTTGAGTTTATTGCCACTGTCCCCTTTGTCTTCTTTGTGCCTTCCATGTGGTCTCCTGTGCTGCTCCCTCTCTCTCCTGCGCAGTTACAGGAATTAATTCTTACTGAATGCTTATCATGAGCCAAACACTCCTCTGAAAAGTTTATTTCTATTAACTCCTCAAATCCTCCTAACCATTGAATGAGGGTGTATTACTATAATTTACAGATTAATACACATGATTTACAGATGAGAAAACTGGGGCATTGAGAAGATAAATACCTTGCTCTAGGTCACACAGCCCCTTAGTGTTACAGCTGGGATTTGAACCCAAATAGGCTGGCTCCAGAGTTTTGACTGTCAGTGGGAAATAGTGGGAAGTTTTCTCAACAATGCTTTCAGTTCTCTGGAGAACAGTGTGTAGGAATCTGACAAATAGTAAAACTACTTCCCTGATAGCTAAGGCAGAAAAAGTGAGTTGCTAGAAGAATGGACCAGATTTAGGGACAACTTTGCCTCTGCTTTGAGGAAGACTGTAGGTTGAACGTATAATATGATTAGAATCTCATGGAAATGAAATGATTTTCTTCTGATCACTTACTTCATTTTATCACCTAAACCCTCACCTGGGTATGGGATGCAGCCTGCCTGATTCACTTCTTGTATTTAATAGGCTAATGGAGGCTCAGAATTTTAATGGTTAGATATCTTTCCAAATTTAAATGCATGTGTAAATGATCAATTTGTCTTATTATTTAATAATAAAACATAAATTATTATTAGGAATGTCACTAATCATTGCGGCAGTTGAAAATATCTAGATTTGAAAACTCAACCAATATCAGTTTTTTATGGGAAACGATTGCTAAGTTCACTGGACAGTTTAGACCAGATCACAGACTCAGGAATTAATCCATCACTGATGGCTTCTTACTGAAAACCCATCTACTTACACAGTATTAGAACAATGAGTAAAATCTCATTTATATATAACTTAGCTCCCTAGCAATGGGACTTATTTGGAGATTTTCAAATAATAGAGAGATAAAACCATTGTTTTCAGTTAAAATTAGGATCAACTGAATATAAAAGAAAACAACACGATCATGACTTAAGCATACAAGATTTCATGTTTATTTCACATAACTAAGTCTGGAGGTGGAGGTATGCAGTTTCATATTGATACAGGAGGTCCATAATTACCAGTATCCTGGCCTCCATCTAATTTTCTGCCCCATCATCCTTAGCACATGGTCATCTCAAGGTTCAATCCATTGAACATTTAGATGTCCTGTTGGTGTGTTGCCATCATATCCAAATACCACGATGAACTAAGTAGCTGGAGAAGAGCAAAAAGGCACACTCTGGCCACCCATCCCCTTTCTGAGAACTCTTCCACAAAGACTCCTCCAACACCTACACTTCCATCTCATTGGCCAGAATGTAGTCACATGACCTCACCTAAATAAAAAGCAGACTGGTATTTTAGCTGGGCACCGTATTCCCTTAAAAAAGATTAAGGTTCTTTGCTTTGGAAAGAGCAGAGAATGGGTAGTGGGTAGGGAACAGGCAACTCTATGACATCAGAAATTTCTGAGCTGCCATAATTAATGTGACATGACTGGTGGACTTTCCTGATGAAAGAAACTCTGAGGATATCCTCCAGAAATGATTTACTCCTTCTTTCATTGAGCTCCATCCACTTTGGCATGTACATATTATTAAGGTACTAATTTTCCACTTGCTAGGGTGAAACTAATGCAGGTTCTTTTTCTTCTAAATGAGAGATAACGGACTCACAAAATGCAATAAAAAATAAAAGCAAACTTTGGTGCTACCACCCAACTTTCCCAAGGCCCAGTGAAGAAGAAAGGGGAGGAACCTCTAGACCAAAGGAGCGCACAGAAGTTAAGCCACGAAAAAAAAGTGAATCTTATTTCCATGAACTGCAGGTTCTCCAGGTAACTGGATCTTGCTTCAGGCCATCAGAGAATGAACACTAATTGTCCTGTGAGTATACATCAGGGCAAGGGCAGGGGAAGCTTGGTAGCCTTATGGTCAAGCTGTCCTGGAGGGAAAGACCACAGAGCTCTCACTTGATGGGACTAGCTGGTATAATCTTAGATCTTATCCAGCATTACCTAATAAGCAACCTCCCAAACTTCTTTGTTTTATTTTTTGCTTTCATATTATTTTTAATTGACACATAATTATACATATTTAAGGGACACAGTGTAATACTTTGATATATATTTATGATGTATAATGATCAAATCAAAGCAATCAGCATATCTATCGCCTCAAACATTTATCATTTATTTGCGTTGAGAACATTCAAAATCTGCTCTTCTATTTGAAAATACATAATAAATTGTTAATTATAGTCACTTTAGAGTGCTACAGAACACTAGATTTATTCCTGCTAGTGAGCTGTACTTTGTGTCCATTAACCAACCTTTTTCTGGTTGATAGACACAAAAGTACCCCCATTACACTCCCCTATTACTAGAAACCACTGTTCTACTCTCTACTTCCACGAGATCAACAATTTTAGCTTCCTCATATGAATGAGAACATGTGACATTTATATTTCTGTGCCTGGTTTATTTCACTTAATATAATTCCCTAAATTTATCCATGTTTCTGCAAATTACAAGATTTCATTCTTTATTATGTCTGAATAATATTTCATTGTGCACACATAACACATTTCTTTCTCCATTTATTTATTGATGGACACTGTGATGGGTACTATGAAATGTCAACTAGATTGGCTTGAAGGGTGCAAAGTATTGTTCCTGGGTGTGCCTGTGAGGGTGTTGCCAAAGGAGATTAACATTTGAGTTAATGGACTGGGAGAGACAGACCCACCCTCAATCTAGGTAGACCTCATCTAATCAGCTGCCAGCGCGGCTAGAATAAAGCAGGTAGAAGAAAGTGAAATGAAAAGACCTACTGAGACTGTCGGCCTTCATCTTTCTCCCATGCTGGATGTTCCCTGCCCTCGAACATCAGACACCAAGTTCTTCAGCTTTTGAACTCTTTGACTTACACCAGTGATTTGCCAGGGGCTCTTGGGCCTTTGGCCACAGACTGAAGGCTACACTGTTGGTTTTCCTGGTTTTGAGGTTTTGGGACTCAGAATGGTTTCCTTGCTCCTCAGCTTTCACACAGCCTATTGTGGGACTTCACTCTGATCATGTGAATCAATTCTTCTAATAAACTCCCCTTCAATATACATATCTCTTATCAGTTCTGTCTCTTTAGAGAACCCCGACTAAGACAGACAGTAGGTTGATTCCATATATTGACAGTTATGAGTAGTGCTGCAATAAACATGGAAATGCAGATAATGCAGATATTTCTTTGACAAACTGATTTCCTTACCTTTGGATAAATACTCAGTAGTGGGATTGCTGCATCATATGGTAGCTCTATTTTTAGATTTTTGAGGAACCTTTCCATTATTTTCCATAATAGCTGTACTGACTTACATTTCTACTGACAATATATAAGGACTCTGATATGGTTTAGATGTTGTGTCGCCTCCAAATCTCACGTTAAAATGTGACCTTCAGTGTTGGAGGGGGGCCTAGTGGGAAGTGTTTGGGTCATAGGAGTGTATCCCTTATGAGTGGCTTACTGCTTTCCCTCATGGTAATGAGCTCATGGCAGTTCTGGTTGTTTAAAGAACCTGGCAACTTACCTCTCTTTCTCTTTCGCTCCTCTTGCCAGGTGGCATGCCACCTTCACCTTCACCTTCAGCCATGATTGTAAGCTTCCTGAGGTCCCACCAGGAACAAGTGCTGGTGGCATGCTTGTATAGCTTGCAGAACCATGAGTCAAATGAACCTCTGGCCTTTGTAAATTACCCAGCCTCAGGTATTCCTTTATAGCAATGAAAACAGACTAACACAGGCTCTCCTTTCTCTGCATCCTTGCTAGCACTTATTTTTTGTCATTTTTGATAATAGATATTCTAACTTGGGTAAAATGATATCTCATTGTGGTTTGTATTTGATTTCCCTAATGATTAGTAATACTGAGCCTTTTTTCATATGACCATTGGCCATCTGTATGTCTTCTTTTGAGGGATGTCTATTCAGCTCATTTGCCCATTTTTAAATTGGATTATTTTATTTTTTGCTTTTGAGTTGTTTGAGTTTTCTAAATAACCTGGATATTAATCCCTCATTGTAGAAATAGTTTGCAAATATGTTCTCCCATTATTCAGGTTGTCTCTTCACTCTTGATTATTTCCTTTCCTGTGCAGAAGTTTTTAGTTTGATATAATCTCATTTATCTATTTTTGCTTTTGTTGCCTGTGATTTTGAGATCCTCTTCATAAAATCTTTGCCCAGATAAATGTCCTAAAGCATTTCACTAGTATTTTCATAGTTTGGGGTCTAGGATTTTAATTCTTTAATCTATTGTGAATTGATTTTTGTCTGTAGTGAGAGATAGGGGTCTAGCTTAATTTTTCTGCATATGGTTATCCAGTTTTCACAGCATCATTTATTGAAGAGACTGTCCCTTTCCCATTGAGTGTTTTTTGAATCTTTTAAAAAGTGAGTTGGCTGTAAATACATGGATTTACTTCTGATTCTGTATTCTGTTCTATTGGTCCATATGACTGTTTTTAGGCAAGTACCATGCTGTTTTTGGTTACTATATAGCTTTGTAGTATATTTTGAAGTCAGGTGGTGTGATGCCTCCAGCTTTGTTTTGCTCAGGATTGCTTTAGCTATTTAGCTACAGGATTTCTGTTTGGTTTTATTTAATGATTTCTATCTCTTTGTTCAATTTCATGTTCATATTGTGAATTGTTTTCCTGATTTCATTGGATTGTCAATCTGTATTTTACTGTATTGCATTGAACTTCCTTAAGATCATTGTTTTAAATTCCTCTTTCTGGCAATTTATTGAATTCTTTTTTATTGGGGACTGTTACTGGAGAGAGATGTTCCTTTGGTGGTATCATATTTCCTTGCTTTTTCATTTCTTCGTGTGCTTGTGTTGATAATTCTACCTGTGGTGGAGCAATTACCTCTTCCAAACTTTCTAGAGTGCTTATATCGAGAAATGTTTTCATCTGCAATTGGGAAGGGAGTGGTGACTCTTTTCATGTAAGTGCAGTGGTATAGTTTCCATGTAGCTTCTTCAGCTGCATTCAGTGTCAGCAACCAGGGGCTTACGCTATAAAAGTTTGTGGCAGCAACCATGAGTGCTGTATTAATTCATTTTCACATTGCTATAAATAGCTATCTGAGACTGGGTAATTTATAAAGAAGGAGGTTTAATTGACTGACAGTTCTGTAGAGTGTACAGGAAGCATGGCTGGGGAGGCCTCAGGAAACTTACAATCATGGCAGAAGGTGAAGGGAAAGGAGTCATGTCTTATGTGGCCAGAGAAGAAGGAAGAGGGAGAGAAGGGGGAAGTGCTACACACTTTTATAAATGAGATCTCATGAGAACTCACTCACTATTATGAGAACAGCAAGGGAGAAATCTGCCCCATGATCCAATCACCTCCCACCAGCCTCCTCTTCCAACATTGGGGATTATAATTCAGTGTAAGATTTGGGTGGGGACACAGAACTAAACCATATCAACAGCATAGGTTGTTCATATCTTCGGTGTCAAGGGCTTTTGGAATTTTATTATCATTTTTTCCACAATTGAGAGACATAGTTCAAGTGATCTCTTTTGGTGTCAGTTCTGACGTAGCATACAAGCAGCTTCAATAGCACTGGGTTCCTGGTGCTAGCACTTGGAGGGCCTATGGGCTGGGGTCCTAGGCTCAGGGTTTCGTGAACCTAGTGTGGCACCTGGGTCTTGTGTAAGGTTCACTCTCTGTGGCAGGGTTAGATGTAGGTTGCCCACAGAGCCATGGTCTGTGTCTCTGAGGCACCCCTAGCAGCTTGAGTCCAAGGAGCCAGGTTGTAGCTGTGATTCTACAGTTGGGGAGAAGGGCACAGTACTCGCCTGACTCTGCAGAAGAAGGGGTGTTCTGGAGGATTGGGCTGGGAGAGGGGTACAGCTACCATTTGGGAACCTGCACAAATAGCACTCAGTGGCAACTTGGGCTTCAAGAGATGAGGTGCCAAGTGATGAGGTGACTCTAGACCCTGGGATTGCGAGGCTCAGCAGTATCCCAGGCTCTGTGAGGCCAAGTGCAGTGGCAGCAAGTACCCCAGAATGGTAAAGCACAGGTGTTATTTGAGCCCTAAGGGACAGGGAACAGCACAGCAATGACTTCACTCCTTAGGGAGAGGGGAGTCTCAGCATCTCAGACTCTAGGGGAGTAGTCCAACTCCAAGGAAGCAGTGTAATAGAGTAGTTTGGCTTGTAGGGCAAGGTGTCTCAGCTCAGCCTCTGCCCTGTTTATGTAGCATGTGGGGTATTATTTCAGGTCAGCCCTGAGATGTGTAGCTGCTCAGCTCAGCCAGGGCACCAATTCCTCAGGGGATGATATGCCACTTCACTTCAGACCTGGAGATTATGACCTATTCTGGGTGGGCCAAGCCCCGCTTCCCTGAATACAGGGCACCACTTCAGCTTAGGTACTGTGGTGCATGACCACTCTGGTAGTCAAGGAACCATTTCTTGGGATGCAGGGCACTGCTTCAACTTGGGCACAGGGAAAGTGTGACTGTTCTGAGTGGCCAAAGTACTGTTTTCCCAGGAGACAGGGTATTGCTTTAACTTAGGCCTGAGGAGAGACAAGAAAGGGTAGGTTGAGTGGCTCCACTTCCACTTGGTCCCACAAGAAAGGAGATAACAACTGTCCAAAGCTTGGCTTAGAGAGGTTGGGCCATCAGGTAGGGGTGCTTTGGCAATGGCTTAACTTCAGGATTGAAGAGGTTCCATGGCTACTCACCCCTGAAGCAAGACACACTCCAGCCATAGTTCCATATCCAAGATGACATAGTGCAGTAGCTGCTTGGGCCAAAGAAGGCAGAGTACAGTGTTGGCTTCTCTGGGGGAGCACAGCTATGAGGACTTTAGACAACTCTCTCAGCTGAGGTTACGACCTCTGAGGATTATAGGGGACCCCAGTGGTAAGGTCTGTAGGTGTTCAAGATATTGACGGGGTTTGTTGGGATCCTCTTCCTTACCTCCTTGCCATAGGGAAAAGTTATTCCTGGTTCTTAGTTGATACCAGTTGGGGCATAGAGTGGTGGAGGCCCAGTGTTTCCTTTCATTCTTGATGTGGCTATTCCAAGCTTCTGGGCTCACCGGAGTTTCTGTTATTCCTTTGATGCACTGTGGTGCTCTCCTTCAGTTATGTTCATTAAAATGTAGCTGTTTATTCTTTATTCTATTATTGTGAAGGGGATGAGTACTATAGGTTTCTAGTAGCCCGTCTTTTTGACATCACCCTCCCCTCCCAAATTTCTTAAAAACTGTTTCTAAAAAGCTGTAATATCCTTATATTTCAACTACACACTTGTGCATACATTAAGATTGCACCATTATATTAAGTTGAACCAGCCAATGTTTCCTATTTAAGGCCTAGATTCTTTAATAAACTTGGGGCATACCATGATCACCAAAATCAATGGTTTGCCAACATGAGCATTTATTTAGACAGGGCAGGGGCACCTAAAGGTATTTTCCTTGACACTTGTACCATTAGATATAGCTGGCTTGTTGTAAAATTTTGTTGCAGTAGATTAGAGGAGAAAATAAAACATGAGATTGTTAGACTTAAGCACATCCAGAAAGCAAATGTGAATACTGATGGCCTGATATCAAAGAATGAGTGGAAAATACATATAAAATGGCCAATGCCTATATCTTTGAAAAAATCATAATATGCTTTTGGAAAAATTGGGCAGATTAAATGAAAATAAGTTTCAAGTTGGATCATGTAGCATTGGGACAAACTGTCAGACTGAATCATCATAACACAGATGTTCAGCAAAAATCATTTTTATTGGTAAACCATAAGATTAAATTACATTCAAAACACATGACTAAATAAAACAGAGAAGTATTTTAAGTATAAGAAAAATTTCATCCAAAATTGTCAAAATATATTTTAAATTATTGTTTAAAGGGGGTGATAAATTCAACCATTACTCATTCACTAAGAGCTTTAGTCTGATAAAACTACTGCAACACAGCAGTTACTTTTAAGGAGCTTTAAAAAATTTACAATGCTGTTAAGTCACATTATGCAGTTCGCAAACTTTCAATGAATATGCTGTTAGGTAGCATCATACTTATTTGGTTGATAGAAACTATTGACCAAATTGTTTAAATAATTTCATTAAAATCGTGGAACACCAACCACGATGGTAGAACTAGAAATCACATCTGTTGAATGACACTTGGGTACATCCTGAATTTTCTGACCAATTTACTTCGAAATATATATCTATCTATCTGTATCAACTTTAGAGAAAAAAAAACTGTTTTTTTTTTCTCTAAAATATGTGAAACGGAAGTCATTATATCTCCCTATGTCTGTTCTTCACTGCCCAAGCTAGGAATCTGGCAGTTTTCCCAAACTCACCTCTTAGACCCATATGTCAGTCACCTACTGCTACTACCTAATACTGTAAGTATGCCACCTGGACAGCTTCTGAACCTATCCCCCAGAGTCTTTCTCCAATATTTTATCTTCTCTTGCCTTGTCTGTGACTCTAACCTTAACTCCTCTTTAGGCTTTTTTCTCTCTTCACTCCATTTCGTTAGATATCTATCTGTATCATTTTATCTTTAACATTATTTTCTCTAGATTCAAATCTAATTACTTTTACTCCCTCACTTGAAAACTTCCAGGGCTCCTTATTGCCTACAAGAAAAAGCCCCGATCTCTTAGTATGAGCTGAAAACTTTTCACCACATTGCACCCTGCCTGCATGTCTGACTATCCTCTGCTATTTTTTCATATGAATGCCCTGCACCCTGTACTCTTATGCTCCTTCCTGACTTTGTACTTGCTGTTCTGTCTGCCTGCCCATGCATCCCTTTTCTATTTCATATGCTCCTATTATTCTTTTTACTCTGCTTAAATTTGACCCTGCTCAAGCATATATTTGTTTGTATAGATTTACTCAAACCTTCCAGGGAAAATTAGTTGTTCTGAATTCTTTGCCTTAGAGTGTTTATCTACCTATTTTCTATTACATATTATAACATATCCTACCTTTTACCCTCTATTTATGCATTTTCCCCCAGACTTAGACCTTTATTCAGCTCAGTATCTTCAGCACACTAGCACAGAAACTTGTACATGGTAGATTTTTAGTAAACATCTTATGAGTGGATTTATCATTTTTCAGTACTTTTGAATAGTGAAGGAAAATGCTTTCTGTCAGTGTTTGTTCCTGTCTTATAGGGGACTTGATTCTCTTTTGAATCATGTGTTATAATTAAGAGTAAATGGCATCCATGTTTCTTCATTCTCAACTTCCTATTATCATCAAGCTGATGAAAGTGAGCTGATACCATTGCTCTATTATTAGCTATGTTCCATAATTGGTCAGGAATTTCACGTTTTATTAACACAAGTTCCTGTACCTTTCCCACTACCATGAATTATTGAGTGTTCAGTATGCATGACTCATATGGCTAGGAAAATTATATTTGGCATGCCTAGAAAAGTCAGACTATGATCTTGAAGTAAGTTAGAATAGAATTAGAATGAGTGAGGTGTATTAAAATATGTAAAATATCATAGTTCATTTTCCTAAAAGGAATCTAGAGACCCCCACATCTCATCAAGTTGTTCTAAATACGACACCTAAAAGTGTTACTACTAGGTTTTTAAGTAGCAGGGCAAAATTAGGAACTGCAAATATTTGGCAGCAAATAATTTCTTTTTAAACATTCATCATAAATGAGCTAATTAGATTTACTCCAGGAAATTTCCGACATGGTTAAAGGCATATGAAAAAGACCAAAGAGAAATAGGGCACATTTGCTAGATCTGGAGTAATACAAATAAAATACAAGTGTGTTAGATTAAGAAATTTCCATGGTATTGCTTTTTAAATTTTTAAATGGACTTTTAAATGTCCAGTACATATATAGTTTACATCTAGGAACTTTGGATGTCCCCTTTTAATCTCTCATAGTATCAGTAAATTGCATTTTTATATAATTCCTGCTGATCTCTTGTAATGTTTATTCCTAGAATGATTAGATGGTTGGTTGGATGGATGGAAAGAGAGATGGATTTTAGATCTCTGATGCTGTTATAAATGGGATCTTTTCTTTTTTATTTTCAAATTGCTTGTAAAGGTGTAGTACATTCACAATTTTATTCACAGTGTATTCACATGTACATAATATAGATTGAAAAAATATTATAATTAATTTGATCTTCCTCAATAGCCCAGACTTATTTATTTGTTGAGGAAAATAAAAACGTCTAATTATTTACATTTAAAAATTTAATCTATTCTATTAATTAAATAGCACTTTTAGTTTTTATTTTATATCTTTTTTAAACAAAAGATATTTTGAGGTAATCATCAATTCGCATATATTTCATATGCAAGAAATAATAACAAGAACTCTGTATACTCTTTTCCATTTTCCACAATGGTAACATCTTATAAAGCTGTAGTATAATATCCCAACCAAGATGTTGTCATTGATACAGTAAGATACAGAATATGTCTATCACTGAAAGTATCACTCATGTTGCTCTTCTATAGCCACATCCACTTCCCTCCCAGCTCCGCCCCCTCCTTAGCCATTGGCAACCACAAATCTGTTCTCCATTTGTATAGTTTTGTCATGTCAAGAATGTCATATAAATGGAACCATATAGTATGTGATATTTGGGGACTGACATTCTTTACTTAGCATTATTCTTTTTAAAAATTTTTAATTTTTGTGGGTACATAGTAGGTTGGTGTATATGTATTTATGGGGTACATGAGCTGTTTTAATACAAGCATGCCATGTGATATAAGTACATCGTGATGCATGGGGTATCCATCGCCTCAAGCATTTATCTATTGAGTTGCAAACAATTCAATTACACTCTTAAATAGTCCTTTTAAATGATATTCCTAATTTCCAGATTTCTCTATCCTGTCCTCTTCCTTTTTTTATCTTTTATTCTTATCTGAGATTTCATTATAAAAACATATGCTCATTGTAAACACTTCCAATAATACAGAAATAAACAATGAGAAACTGGAACTCCGGCAATGTCAGCTTGCCTTATGTATTGCCACAGAAACATTTTTAAAGGACATTTGTATTCTTGTTGGGATGCCTGGGTCAGTTTCTGCAGGTCACTTCAGCAGTCCTACAGGCTGAACCCCAACTGTCCCCGTTGTGACTGGGCAGACGTCATTGTCCGCTTCCTGGGCATTCACAAACCATGCTCCTGGACGAGGACGTCCTCAGTACGATGTGAACAAATGGGAGTATTGACCAAGAACATCTCCATCATTGAGGGAAGGCTATCCCCCATCATCACCCCCTACCAGCCAGGCCCTGCAACCCTGGCCCTTTCCACAAGGAGGGGCTTTCACACTTGCTGTTCCTGATATTTCCAGACCTTCTTCAGAAAGCGTGCTGTTCTTTGCCCATTTTATTTTGTGTTGGAGGCTGCTACAAGGAGGGAGACAGGGAGCACATCCTGTAGGTGAGCACGTGTTGGAGGGGCCCAGGGTGCACGTAGGACAGGCTCTGCTGGGTTAGACGAGGTACAGCCTTAGACCTTGGCTGCCCCCACTTTCCATCACCAGGGAAGAGCAACCCTGAGAAGCTATTGAGTACAACCCTGACTCATGCATGCCCTGGCACTCACGGCCAGGCCCCTTCGCCACTGTGTTTTAATTTTTCAGTGGGTGAAATGATTGTCTTTGTTTCCTCCTCTTTTCAGCTTTAGGGTCCTTATTAATAGGGATTCAAACCAGAAAGTTATAAACACAACTCCTTCATTGCCGTCGAATCCTTTCATGGTTTTCTTTTTTACATACAAAGCTTATAACCTTTATTTTTTCCAACTAGAAAACCAGTTTTTCCAACACTTTTTCCTGAATAAATTATTCTTTTATCATACGCTGAAAACCGTACACGTAACAATCTCACTTCTGGCTTTTGACGCTGGTTCACTGACCCTTAATTACTCCCTAAACAGACCTTTTGGTGATTTTAAGTGGAGGAGGTGGCGTTAAAGCTTCTTCAATTGTAAATTCTCCAGAATCTTCAGGTGGGTCAAGGTTAGAGGTGCCGCCATGGATTGGTAGACGGCACCATGCCAGTCACGGGCTGTGGCCGCCCGGATGTGAACAGGAGAAGAGTCCTCTGGATAGGCACCAGTGCGATCCAGACATACGACTGGTGTGAGACGGCATGGAGTCGGACGCCCTTCCTAGAAAGTCATCATCGGTCCCTGGTGGAGCACATGGGCTCCAGGAACCCATGGACAAGGCTGGTCCCAGCATGTGCACGCAGCTTCCAGGGTCCAGGAGGTGGTAGGTCAGAGGCTGGCTGCCACACAAAGCCCATGAAGAGGCCAGGGCGTCTTGTTCCACTTGGCAGAGACCCCAGGAGGAGCCAAGGGGGCATCATCAGAGCCTGGGGCTCAGGAAGGGTGGCCTAGAGCAGCTGCAGGCCATTGGCCAGGACAGAAGATTGCCAGCGGAAAGCACGAGGCACATGGCGAGGCCCCAGAAAGCATGTACAACTCGGAGTCCTGCATTTGTCGTTTGTGTTTCATTTGGCGATTCTGAAACCAGGTTTTGTTTTTGTTTTTGTTTTGAGATAGAGTCTTGCTCTGTTGCCCAGGCTAGAGTGCAATGGCGCGATCCCGGCTCATGGCAACCTCTGCCTCCTGGGTTCAAGTGATTCTCCTGCCTCAGACTCCCGAGTAGCTGGGATTACAAGCATGCGCCATGACGCCCGGCTAAGCTTTGTATTTTTTAGTAGAGACCGGGTTTCACCATGTTGGTTGGGCTGGTCTCAAAACTCCTGACCTCAGGTGATCCACCCGCCTGGGTCTCCCAAAGCGCTGAGATTACAGGCGTGAGCCACTGCGCCCAGCCGAAACCAGGTTTTGATCTGCACCTCTGAGAGTTGCATCTTCTTGGCCAGCTTCTTTCGCTCCAGGTGGCCCAGGTACTGGTGCTGCTGGAAGACGCCCTCCAAGGTGCAGACCTGCGCTGTGAGGAAGGCTGTGCAGATTCGCGGGGCCAGCCAGGGGTTTGGCTCCTTGCTCAACCCAGCCACAGGCGTCTCTGGCACAGAAATATATGAGGACTTAACCTACTTGATGCTGACGGTGTGAGGAAGCTCCCTTGTGCTGGATGCCTGGCCTGTGCTATGGACGCTCCCCTAGAGACTTAAGCAGGCCTGGAGGTGTGGATCGGCACTGAGCAGCTGCCTGAGAGAGCCAGCCCACTGAGCCAAAGCTGGAGGGCTGGTGTCAGCCATGGGGCAGGACAGAGGAGAGAGGCATGATAGTCAGGTGGGGCTGGAAGGACACAGGATCTGCTCTGTCTTCTTTCTAAAATGACGTGAACCTAGTGCATTGAGGGAAATGAAGCTTATGTAACCCTGTGAAAAGAATAGTGGAGATCCTCAAATGTGTTTTCCTAGGGCTTCATGGTTCTCAAAGGCGATGTCTCTGTTACTTGCTGATTACTGTTCATCCTGCAGCCATTCCCTACTGAAGCTGGCAGTTGGAACTTAGGATCTGTCTCTCTCAGATTGGTGAAGGAAACTGGTAACTCCCAGCTAGTGACCAGATCACACTTTGGCTTCTGCTGACTCCTAAATCTGTGACATATTCACCCCCAGCTTCTTTAAAGTCATCTCATCCCTCACTTTGATTAGTGTCATAGCAAGGATGATGGCTTTCAACTTGACCACCTTCCAATTCTCCTCAAGAGGCTGAAGGAAGTTCTGGATCTGACTGATGCAACCCCCAAATCAGAAAAACATCAGGGCTTTTGCCTGCTAAGTTTAGTTGATGGTTATAATAATGAGAGAGACCACTATTGAAATAGGTTTCCTCATTTCATTAGAGCTCATAGAATTCTGGGGTTGATGATAGAGACAAATCGTCTACAAAATGCCTAGAAAGGAATAGTCCCATCATAGTAGCAAAGCTACACTAAAAATCAGAGTGAATTGGCCCTCAGACAATTTTGAAAGTAAATTAGAGATCATGCAATTCCTAAGACCAAAATAGAAGGTCAGTCCGTTAAAATCTTTCTTGGTCTGAATAACTGGAAAAACACATCTCAAAAAGAATGACTTGCATTACCATCCTCAGAGCTGCTTAATAAAATAACAAGTTGGGTCTCTCTGAAGAAGGACCATGTTATAACATCTGAACTTGGTAATAGGACTTTTCAGTCATCTGCAAGGACACCTGAGATCCTTTACTAATGTGACTGTGCATTCAGGCAAGAGACATATTTAGACTTTGCGTGCAATACTATACATTATTTTATTTTAAAAAATGCTTAAAATTTTTGATTATTTTCGATTAACAAGCAAAAATTATACATATTTATAGTGTAAACACAATGTTTTGGTATTTATATACATTGTGTAATGGCTAAATCAAGCTATTTAACATATGAATTACCTCATATACTTTTTTTTTTTTTGAGCCAGAGCCTCGCTCTTGTTGCCCAGGCTGGAGTACAACGGCTTGATCTCAGCTCACTGCAACCTCTGCCTCCCGGATTCAAGAGATTCTCTTGCCTCAGCCTCCTGAGTAGCTGGGATTACAGGCATGCACCACCACACCCAGCTGATTTTGTAATTTTAGTAGAGACGGGGTTGTAGCGAGAACACTTTAAATCTACTCTTTTGGTAATTTTCAAATATACAACATATTGTTGTTGACTGTAGTCACATGATATGCAATAGATATCTTTTGATTCCTCCTCAATTGTTCCTCCTGTATAACTGAAATTTTGTGTCTTTTGACCAACATCTCCTGAATCTCTCTAATACTCAGCCTCTGGTCAACCACCATTTTTTCTGACTTGAGCATTCATTTGGAATTAATGAGAGTTCTTTGGGATTCCCAATACTTCTGAAGTCCACTGGTCATTGGGAGGCTCATGAGGATCAGTTGATAAATGGAGCTTTGTTCCAAGTCTATCTCATGGTAGGCTTAGCAGGGCCATTATTCAATATTAGATATTTTACAAATTTCCGAATGCATACTTGGCAGGATCCCCATAATGGCTTTCTGACTTAGCAAGAAAAGGCTTTTATAGTACAAAGGATCAAATGGAACTCCCTGGAGTGTTTCTTCCCCATAAGAATTATACCCCAAAGGGATACTGCATCTATGGGAGAGTCATAAAAATTAATGCAGTTAATAAAGATTTGGAAGATAAAATGTCATACTCCCTATCACATCCTCATTTAAAGTCCTTGATTAGCCTCTGCTGAGAGCAGATGGATTTTGGAGTAGAAGACTACTGAGGACTTAATAGTGACTTTAATAATAGAGATTGTTCCAAGTGCGCTTTTTTTTCCTGGAATACATACCCTGGCACCTGTATTTTAGTCTGAATGTTCTACTGAGTTGTGTTTCAATTAATGAATTGTTTCTTCTGCTGTGTCAAGCCTGCTGTAAAAAATCTATTGCGTTTTCTATTTTTGTTGTTGTATTTTTAATTTCTAGGCTTATTTAATTTTTTTGTTTTTGTTTTCTTTGAGACAGGGTCTTGCTCAGTGATCCAGATCAGAGTGCAGTGGCACAATAATGGCTTATCACTTCATTTTTTGTTTGTTTGTTTTTTGTATTTTGAGACAGAGTCTCCCTCTGTCACCCAGGCTAGAGTGCAGTGGCACAATCTTGGCTCACAATCTTGGTCACCGCAACCTCCATCTCCCGGGTTCAGGTGATTCTCCTGCCTCAGCCTCCTGAGTAGCTGGGACTACACCACACCTGGCTAATTTTTTGTATTTTTAGTAGAGACGGGGGTTTCACCATGTTGTCCAGGCTGGTCTCGAACTCTCAACCTCAAGTGATCCACCTGCCTCTGTCTCCCTAAGTGCTAGGATTACAGGCATGAGCCACCACGTCCAGCCAATTAAAAAAAATAAAATTTCATTTGGCTCATAAAGAACTCCAGAATGTATTAATCACAGTTATTTCCAAGTATGTACCTAATTACTTATAACTAGGTAACCTGTGGTTATAGTCTATTGCTTATTTTTTTCCTCAGGGTCTTATTTCATGATATACCTTATTTATTTAACTCTCTACTTTGTGTATGAAAAATTGTGGATGCTCTGGATGATGTTGAGGCAGATCAACTTAATCCAATCAAGGACAGAGCTGGCTCAGCCTAGGTTTTTGTAAGGCTTGGTCTATTTCTGATGTCCTTTTATTTTTAGAATATATCTCTCCAGGGTTTTCGACTGAGAGCCTAGGGACAATGCTACTTGGGAAACAAGTCTGGAATTTGAATTTTTAGCTCATTAGCACCATGAAACTGCCAGAAACATCTCTCTGCATTTCTTAGGCTTTGTGCGTGGAATTTTAACCTCCCTGATTGAATAGCTTGATAATTCAGTAAATGTTTTTGGGGGAAACCAAAAAATGTCACTATTCTGTATTATCTTTCTCTGGGATCTTGGCTCCTCCATTCCTGACTGCCTTTGTCAGTCCTGAATTCTATTTTTTTTTTCCCCAATTCCTGAGAGATTGGCAAAGCCTTGCTGATTTTTCTGTCTCTTTTGAGTATTCATTTGCTTGTATCCCCGGGCTTTCCATTCCTGTTCCATGAGTCAGTAGGTGCTCCAAAGAGAACAGCAACATAGATAGCATCAGCTCACCTCTTAGGGCTTCTTTCTTTCTGGTATTTTGGTTTTCCAAGGCCTAAATGCCTTTGAAGCTCTACAATTGCTTCACAAAGATGTACTTTGAATTGTAGCATGAGTTCTCTAATTCTTGATGAGATCATCGTTTCTACATGCTCCTTTATCAAAGGTAGATGCAGTAATCCTGATTTAGTCTGCAATGGGGCATCACTCTTTTTAGAAATCCTAGGTGATTTTCAAGTGAAGTCCAAATTGAAATACAGTGTTTTTTCTATTTCACAAAACATTCTTTTTGTATTTTGCTGTTTTTTTCTTATCATATCATCTGGGGTCAATTTACATTTTCACAAACTTTCAAATTAATGTATGTACATAGAGTTGAATAAACCTATCCCTTACATTTAATTTTTTTTCTTTTATCTGCAGTTTTTTTCCCATTCTTTCATTTTTAATATTTATATTTGTACCTTTCTTTATGGCTTGATAGCCTTATGTTGGTTTATTTTGTTTTCTAAATATCAACTCTTTGATTATCTCTATTTGATATCAGCTCATTTATTTTGTCTATTTTTTTCTAATTCATTATTTTTTGGTTTTTAATATTGTTAAATTGATTCTTCTGTCATAGTTTTATCTACTTGTTTTCTATAATTGTTTTACTTGGATGTTAATTTTATTATTTTTTATTAATTAATATACATACTTAAGGCTATGAATTTTTCTCTGAATACACATGCAGCCACATCTCATAGGTACTGATATGTACTAGTTTCATTAGCATTATTTTCTTTAAATTTTGAACCTGCAGCTATTTGGCCCATAGTAATATGTCCAGTGGGTTTAAATTTTGAATAACATTGAATGTTTATGAAGAAGGTCTTATTTTAATGGAGTTTTCAAACTGTTTAGAAAGGGACAGTTTCCATAGTAATGTGAAACAGAAATTAGTCCAAGTTTTGAGTAGAAAAGGGATCTACTCACTGTTTAAATAGATTCTGGGTTTTTATTTTAGGTATCCTTCGAAAACTTAGTGCAGTCCACCACTTAAAAATTACTCGTTTAGTTTTGGTTTTATTTTCTCTTCTGAAATAGGAGGGCCAAGAACTAGCCATGGCTACCTAGCAGTTGGGTCCATCATAGTCAAGTGAAGGGGGCCTCAATATCTGCTGGAAGTCTCATAACTTTTTGTCTTTAAAGAACTAGTAAAAATATGATTTGCGGTTGAAAGTCAGGTTTACTTCTCATTATTGTTTGTTTAGTCCTCATCCTTCAGTGACTTATAGATTCTTTGATGATGAATGTTAATTAAAATATATTAGCAAAAAGGAACACAGATTTTTTAAAGGAACGAATAGAGATTACAGAGGGATTTATGAGTGCCCAAGACTTTGCTTTATTTCTCATTAAGTGATTTGTTACCATATTTCTTCAATCTATTTTTTCCTACCAAACCTTTCCTTGTATTTTTAATTGTTAGTATTTACTCAAAATGATTTTGATTGATAACGTACTAAATGACATTACATAACATTTACAGTCGGCCCTTCTTATCCACAGGTTTTGCATCCTTGAATTCAACCAACCACAGATTAGAGATATTAAAATATAAATAAATGTTTAAAATAATAATACAACTCCAAAAATAATACAAGTAAAAATACATATAGCAACTGTTTACGTAGCATTTATATTGCATTAGGTATTATAAATAACCTAGAGATGATGTGAAGTATATGGGAAAAGGTGCATAGGTCATATGCAGATACTACATTATTTTATAAAAGGAACATGAACAACTGCATATTTGGGTATCCTTATGGGGGTGTTGGACCCAGTCCCCCACAGATATTGAGGGAAAACTGCACTACAAACTGAAAAGAAATGGTACTTGGCAGCTATAGAGGGCATGGCACTGGGGATAAGGAAAAGGAAAAAGCCATTGCCAGAGAGAAAACAAGGAGAAAATATATGACTAGCTCCTTACCTAGGAGGAAAACAAAAATAGTTACTGCTTTAATTTGATCTAAGGCAAATCCATAATTGACATTAGAGTGAAGGGCATTTTTGGCTTGTCCCAGGTGATTTCATTTCAGAAACATTTCAACTAGGGCAATAATTCATTACTTTCACTTTCTGAGCTGCAGTCAGAGCTGTGGTCAATGATATCATAAGGAGTGATCCAGAAAACAGAGTCCTTGGAAAAACAAATCTCTCTCTCTTTTTTTTTTTAAGCTATTTGCACATTTAGATAGCCTGTCATTGCACTAATTCCTGAGGAAATCAAATAAGGCAACCACTCAATTTACTCATCAGGACACTCAGGAAGAGGCTGAAGGAGATCTCTGGGTCTGCAGGGAATAGGAAATAACAGTATAAAAAAGCAAAGTGATTGTATTCATCAGGAAAGCTGTATTTGCTGTTTCAAGATCATGTATATAACAAAAAGGAATCTTGCTGTGAGTTTAAGATAGGTGTAAGATTCTATTGGCACAGGAGTCATTTCTGAGGGCCCTCAGACACCCATCCACCAGCTGGATTGCTCTGCTTCCTTTCAATATCTTGGTAGACCAATGCATATGGAGATTATATACCATGTATTAAGAAGCGCATGTAATTATGTCAAGAGTAGAGGTGGTTGAACCTTCAAATTCTGTGAAAGTCTCCTCATTTAAACCTTGGTTTTTTCACTTTCTTCTCTGTCCTTGACATTATAGAATTTGACAGATTCCAGTGAAAGAGGTGAAATGTTTTAAGGTGAAAGGGTGAAAGCACACAGCTAAAAAGTGCTAACCCAAACTATTGGAAGGGAAATCTTTCTGTTTTCAACTAATAAAATTTGCTTCTTCTTTCCCCTCCCCCACTGTTTGCTGGAAAATCCTTTTTCCACATATGAAATTTCTAAAAGTAGATGATAAATTTCCATAGGGCATAGACTGAAGGACTGTATTCTTTCTCCAAATCTCTTCTCTTTCCTGTTATCCTCAGCTCTCCTTCCATGCACATTAGCACCTAGTGTAAGGTATGAGAAAAAGTAAATCAATTGATTTTTCAAATAATCATATACCTTTTACATCCAGATTAGTGTTTCAACCTTCCATGTGACCCTGTGTGGTGCTATAGGTATTGCAGTAGTGATGCCCATGTGAAACCATTTTGGATCCTCCCCTTTATGAACTACCTTATGCTTGTGCAGCAGAGTTTATAAAATCCTTTTAGGTAGCAAAAATCTTCATTGACTCAATATGCATTTTTTAATAATATCTATTATATCTCTGCATCTATTGTAGCTCTGAAATATGCATAGAGAACCTACTACGAACTTGTAATTACGTGGAATGCAAATGTCACCTCCATGGCTTGGACCCCCCGCCCCCGCTCCGCCGCCCCCTGAAGAGTCTAGATCGTGATTTTTCAATGCATCAGAACTTGTTTCTATACTGAAGAGGCAGTGTTTTCTCCCACATGCCTGTCCTTACAACTTTTCTTTAAAAACAAAAAGTTCTATTAACATATTAATTAAACTGTAGTATTATGTAACATATATCAATCATATGATAGATTATACATGGTAAGAATTCCCAGGCAAACTCAATATTTTGACAACACTTCCATTATTTTACTTTAACTTCCTCTTGGCCCCATACTTTAAGATATGTGCAGTTTCGTCTTGATTTTTCTAAGCTTGCCTATTTTGGTCTTTAAGACTTTTGTCAGTCATTATTTTACATACAGCCTTTGCCCACTCACTTCCTGGAGGTGGTACTGGCAAACAGCACATGCTTGTTTTTGGAGATAGACAAAAAACCAAAACAAAAACCACTCAGATTCATTCTAGGCAAACCAACTGTATTAGTCAGCTCTCATTCTGCTAATAAAGACATACCCAAGACTGGGTAATTTATAAAGGAAAGAGGTTTGATGTACTCACAGATCCACATGGCTGGGGAGGCCTCACAATTATGGCGGAAGATGAAGGAAGAGCAAAGGTACGTCTTGCATGATGGCAGGCAAGAGGGTGTGTGCAGGGGAACTGCGCTTCATAAAACCATCAGATCTCATGAAACTTATTCACTATCATGAGAAAAGCACTGGAAAAACCCACTCCCATGATTGAGTTACCTCCCATTGGTTCCCTGTCATGACACTTGGGGATTATGGGAGCTACAATTCCAGATGAGATTTGAGTGGTGACACAACCAGCCAAACCATGTCACTAACATTATCTGGACCTTCTGTAATAGTCACCATAGCCTTCCCGCCTTCTCACTCTCTCTCTCTCTCTCTCCTCCTCCACCCCACCCCCACCCCACTGAAATGCCATTTCTGGTTGTAGGAAACCCAGTCAGAGCCCACAACATGGCTCTCTTCTGGAGTCAAGCCCAGTAATCTCTCCTCAGTTTTTCTGGGTTACACACACAAAAATTAGTGAGACATGTTATCTCCCAGAAAAGCATGTCTTTCTATAATGGATTTGATTTTGAGAGAATCAAATGCCTTTCAAGGCCAAGTCTAGAGAATAATTTAGATGATCAGGCTGAGGAATTTCATCATTTAATTGCGTTTTTTATGTCTAAAAAGCATTATTGTGTTCCAGGCTAGGTATAGAGTAGTAAACAAGTAACATTACATCTATACATATGGAGTTTTTAATTAAAAGAATATGCACTTGTCCCTCAGTGTCCATGGTGGGTTTGTTCCAGGAACCCTTGCAGATATCAAAATCCACAAATGCTGAAGTCTTTTGTATAAAATGGTATAATATTTGCATCTAACCTACACACATCTTCTTATACTTTAAACCATGTCTAGGTTATTTGTAATGCCTAATACAGTATAAATGCTATGTAAATAGTTGTTATAACATATTTTTAAATTTTTTATTGTTATATTGTAAGTTTTTACTTTTTTGAATATTTTCTATCTGTGTGTGGTTGAATCTGAAGATGCAGAACCTATGAATACAGAGAGGTGACTTTACACATACCTAAAAGTTAGGACTTTCAATGGCTTCTGCTTTTCATAGGGCTAAAATAGTGTTCATAATGTCTTTGCCAACCAGTTGTTTACCAGACCACAGTTCTAACACCTTCCAATCACTTTGATTTGTTCATTTTCCCTAGTTTTGAAGGATAATTAAAATAAAGCCAGGCTCTATTTAAGTAGAACTGTTGCATTGGGGTTATAGCTATGCAAGGCAGTTCTTATGCCATTTTGCTTTTTGTTGTTGTTGTTAATGAGGATGACTGTTGGGGTGGCAGGAAGAGGTACAGGAATAATTAAATCTCTACATTTGGGCATTTGTGAACTGAAGTGATTTACCTGGGCATGTAATTGCCTTTTCACTTAACTTATAATTTCTAGGAAGAAATGAGAGAGAAGGAAGCAAATATTAGAGTCAACAGGAATTACACTGAATTTTTGGCTATGTCAACTCTGCTATTTAGCGGAGTATTATTGCACTGATTACCTGAAGCATTAATATTTTCAGATCTGGGTCAGTTTGGATTCTTTGAGAAGTGACCCTGAATTCTGAGTACAAGAGGTTTATTGGGAGTAAATGATAAAAATGGCAGAAACCAGATAGTGCAGGGAGATCTTCAGATGACATGCAGACCTAACAATGATTCAGTCAAGGCTCAACCCAATGGGGAGGTCTACAGCAAAGATTTTCCATAAGAGAAGCCCTGTTTCAGGTGGAAACAGCTAGGCCCTAGACAGCTACTGTGGTCAGTCACTGGCTGGAAGGGCTACAGGAAGAGCAAGGCCTCAGCTTAAGATCCTATGGGCTCCATAGCTGAATGCTGTCAGCTAACTTTGTACCTTACAGCTGAATGGTATGTTCTTTCTTGAAGGGTTGTCCAAGCAGCACACTTCCATGGCTGCCGCAGTCTCAGGTATATCTTTCAGCCTCTGCTCTTTCATCCACTGGGGCAACTGGACCTTGCAGACTTAGGTAGAGATGTCATACAGGAATATGGAGGGTAAGAAATAGTCAAGGCTTGGCTTTGAGTCCTAAAATAGACTTTTGATATGCATGGCTGTGACCAATGTTTGAGATAAAAGTTATATTTATAAAAAGCCTATATGATAGTCAATGAAATGTAGAATAGGAGAATTTTGTGACCAGAGAAAGGTATTGTCACCTTCTAGATGACGAGGAATTGTTCTTGCACATCTTGGTAATTTTTCCATAAAGAAGAAACACTTTTTTTTCTAATTTGCATAATTTTCTTGTACATTAGCAGGGGCTCTGCCAATACACTGCTTTCTGCTGGGAGTCTGAGAAAATCACAGGGACTTAGAAGTCTTTCCATCCAGTCAAGGTACAGATGAGTAGAGAATGTCAGGTGGATTATTTATGATTGTGGGCCTGAAGGATCCTCATCAGGTCTTATACAATCCAGCACAGTGCTGGGAGGTGTAGAAAATCTCCTCCTGAAGTTGAAAGCAGTGCTGAGGTTGTACTAGAGCCAGAAGACCTGGAGAGACCTGAGAGTAGAAAAAGGAGCTTTTCTAGAGAAGTAAGGAACTGAGAGCCAAAGAGCATATGAGAGTTAGTGTATGGCAAGTGGATAAGTAATGTTGACTTAGAGTTCATTTTTCCCTAATGAGTACCTAGGGGACTCAGTGACAGCTCTGGGGAGAAATGGGAAGGATCTTAAATTGATGGAAAAAACTCACATATGTCAAATTACCTAAATTCAGTGAGGTTAAATATATGCCATTCTGAAAAATATGGGACTCAAGTATTAATAGTTGGGTGGGAGAAAAATGACAATATTTACATTTGTTTTCACAGCTTAGTTTTTGACTTGAAAAATTAGAACCTCCTGCACATTAATAAATAACTGAGGTTCCAGGTTGAAGTGAATTGCTTAAGGTATTAGAAATAGTTATATGAAAGTACAGGACTTGGACTCAGACTTTCTGACACCAACCACAGTGTTCTTTAACATACAGCATCCTGCTTTCTTTCTGCAATCTGTTTGGAAAGCCAGCTAGCGCTGTGCAGTGTTTGGCACACAGAAGGTGCTAGATAAATGCATGTTAGTGAATGTTAATTGACTCATTTACTGCATCCATGAAGGTTGAATTAGCTGCACACACGAGGCTGAGAGGATTTAGTCCCATGCTTTAATAAGCAAACCATGACAAGCTAAAGTGCCTTAGAAGAAGGGAGAGGCAGTTGAAACCAGGATTTTAAACCATTGGAACCACTGATCTGTTTACACACATGATGCCAGGATCTCGCTAGTGAATATTACAGAAGCATTTCCACAGCCAAAGTACTGTGCACAGAGCTAGCACCCTGCAAGGACAGCTAGAGCTGAATTTACACCTTTTTTTCAGGAGCATACCACCTACCATTTATTCCAGACAGCAGGCCTCTCAGTCCTGTGAGGCTCTTTCAGCATTCTATCTCCTTCTGCCCCCTTATGTCTACCCCACCACCATGAAGTCTGGGAGCCAGACCAACTTATTTTATATTTCAAAAGCAAAGGATTTAATGTTCTTGCATTGATTCACAAAGTAAATTTCACTTTAATATGCACATGCACACATACACCCAAAGCAAAATGTGCATTTGCTGACAGATTTCTTTTTTAAATTAAAAAAAAATGTGTGTGTTTATTTTTTTAGAGATGGGATCTCACTGTGTTGCCAAGACTGGACTCAAACTCTTGAGTTTAAGTGATCCTCCTGCCTCAGCCTGTTAAGTAGCTGGGATGACAGCACACACCACCATGCCTGGATTGCTGACACATTTTTTAATTTGTAGATCCATTGTAAGAGCAAAAAAAAAAATAGTGTTTAAAATGAGGTAAAACCAGAAAAAATCCAAATGTCCATCAACAGGGGAATGGATAAAGAAACAGGTGCATTTATACGTGGAATAGTACTCAGTAATATGAAAGAACAAACCACTTACACCTACAACAGCGTGAATGAGACTCAAAAACATTACGCTGAGCAAAAGAAGCCAGGAACACAAACACAAAACACTACACTTATATAAGTTTGTGGGACAGGCGAAAGAAATGTTTGGTTAAAAATAATAGAAAATTAGTTGCCTCTAGAGTGATAGTTGCCTGGAAAAGGATACAAGGTAACTTTCCGGAATGATAGAATTATACATTTAGGATCTGTGAATTTTACTCTATGTTAATTATACCTCAAAACTAATAAATATATTGAATTTAAAAAGTAAAGTTCTCAAAAGAGGCTGGAGAAATGGCTGCAAATGATGTTAAGAGATGGCCACGTGGTGATTTCCATTAGCCGCATTGTCTCCAAGATGATATCTACTTTCTTTGGCAATACTGGACTCCATTAATAGAAGTGCTGGATGGTTTTATAGTGGACAGAGATTAGGTAATATAACTCTTTGAATAATTTGTCACTGGCTCTATGGAGAATATTTTAAGTCATTTTTTAAATAAAAAAAGCTCATTGTATATTTTATGTGACAGGGAATACCAGTTTAGAGCAGGTATATGTCATAATAATCAATTAAACATTTAAAAAATAATTAACCCATCCTCTTATTAAAGAAACTCAGGTTCAAAGATTTCAACCTGAAGTGGTGATATTTTAGTCTTGAACGAAATCCTGGTTTTTATTTATGACTTTGCATATGATAGTACTTACTCAGTGGTTGTTATAAGGATCAAATCAAGTGTCATGTATAATAGCACCTTGTAAATAATAAAGCACGACATAAATGTACACCACTTAAATTAATGTGGAAACAACAACAATCAAACTTTTTTTTTATTTTTGAGATAGAGTCTCCCTCTATTGCCCAGGCTGGAGTGCAATGGTGCAATCTCGGCTCACTGCAACCTCCACCTCCTGGGTTCAAGTGATTCTCCTGCCTCAGCCTCCCTATTTGGTGGGACTACAGGCGTGAACCACCACACCTGGCTAGTTTTTTTGTATTTGTAGTAGAGACGGGGTTTCACCATATTGGCCAGGCTGGTCTCGAATTCTTGACCTCGTGATCCACCCGCCTCAACCTCCCAAAGTGCTGGGATTACAGGCATGAGCCACCGTGCCTGGCCAACAATCAGACTTTTTACCTTTAAGTTAGAATAATGCTAGGGATACCATAGGAATAACACATTAAGTAGACATACTGTTCTCCTACAGTGATTTTGACCATTTTAATGTAAAAATTGTGATATATTTACATTTGGCTAGGTATATATTATATTTACTCACCCTCACCTAACGCTCCAGTACATTTCCATTCACCCTAATCTTTAGTAATGATCTACAAAAAAATTAACCAATTATGGTATACATCTTCATTTAAACACTATTTTGACAAGCACCAGGTACTTAGTGTGGGGTTGGTATAGGGGTACAGCATGAAGGGGAAGGATACGTTGGCTTTTTTTTTTTCTTTTTTTGAGACAGAGTTTTGCTCTTGTTGTCCAGGCTGGAGTGCAGTGGCGTGATATCGACTCACCACAACCTCTGCCTCCTGGGTTCAAGAGATTCTCCTGCCTCAGCCTCCTGAGTAGCTAGGATTACAGGCATGCGCCACCACACCCAGCTAATTTTGTATTTTTAGTAGAGATGGGGTTTCTTCATGTTGGTCAGTCTGGTCTCGAACTCCTGACCTCAGGTGATCCGCCCACCTCGGCCTCCCAAAGTACTGGGATTACAGGCGTGAGCCACCGTGCCCAGCCTTATGTTGGCTTTTCTAAATCACTGCCTCAGTGCCTTTCAATGTAAAGTACTTAGATTTTTCATTTTGCTGTGTCCACTCATTTGTTTTCTTCCTCCAATTATTTTATGATGGTTGCCTTTGCTGAAAGTATTTTACTTCGGCTTCACAAAAAAAGAAGTATCAGGTAAGTAGAATTTGGCACCATCTGTTTGGAGCTTAGTTATGATGTATTGGTGCCTTTTTCTAGATGATAAAAATTTGGAAATGCTAAGTGCACATTGAAAGCAATATTGCAGTAATTTAATGCACAGGTGTCTAAGGCACTGCTGGCAAGATGGACAAGATAATTTAAATGCTGAATGTAACTGCCTCGGGCTTTAGGAAATTAAAGAAACCCAGTGAGAGAAGAAGTTTTTCGTTGTAATCTGTATTAATTATCTCAGAATATATTTAGTGCACATTATTTGTTAAATAGATCTAGGATTTTAGAAATAATTGAAGTGGACAGATTTTTGTAATGCCCATGAAAGCTTAGAGGCTGTCCTCTTAAAATATTGTTCAAAATAAAATGCTGCAGAAAAGTATGACTGATAATTTGGCAATAAGGTGAAAGGCACTTTGCTAAAGTGTTTTCAAGTATGGATTCTGGAATTTGACAGACCTCTCTTCAGATATTTATTCTATCACTTCCTTGGTATGTGATCTATAATTAACTACATTCTCTTAAGCTTCAATCTTTAGTCTCTTTATCTATAAAATGGGCATATTAGTAGTAACTATTTCAGTTATTGATTGTTGTGAAACAAAGCACCTCCCAAATTTATTTATTTATTTATTTTTTAACCTTTTTTTTTTTTTTTGAGATGGAGTCTCGCTCTGTCACCCAGGCTGGCCTGCAATGGCACAATCTCGGCTCACTTGCAAGCTCCGCCTCCCGGATTCAGGCCATTCTCCTGCCTCAGCCTCCCGAGTAGCTGGGACTACAGGTGCCTGCAACCACACTCGGCTAATTTTTTGTATTTTTAGTAGAGACGGGGTTTCACCATGTTAGCCAGGACGGTCTCGGTCTCCTGACCTCATGATCTGCCTGCCTTGGCTTCCCAAAGCGCTGGGATTACAGGTGTGAGCCACCACGCCCGGCCTATTTTTTAACCTTTAAGTTCAGGGGTACATGGTTAGGTAAATTTGTGTCATGGAGGTTTGTTGTACGGATTATTTTGTCACCCAGGTATTAAGCCTAGTACCCATTTGTTATTTTTCCTGTCTTACCCCTCCTCCCACCCTCCACCCTCTGGTAGTCCCTAGTGTCTGTTGTTCCCCTCTATATGTCCATGTGTTCTTATCATTTAGCTCTCACTTACATGTGAGAATATGCAGTATTTGGTTTTCTGTTCCTGCATTAGTTTACTGAGGATAATGGCCTCTAGCTCCATCTATGTTCCTGCAAAGGACAAAATCTCATTCTTTGTAATGGCTGCATAGTATTTCATTGGACTTTGGTCCAAGATGGCCAAATAGGAACAGCCCCAGTCTACAGCTTCCAGCGTGAGCAACTCAGAAGACAGGTGATTTCTGCATTTCCAACAGAGGTGCCAGGTTCATCTCACTGGGGCTCGTCGGACAGTGGGTGCAGGACAGTGGGTGCAGTGCACCAAGTGTGAGCTGAAGCAGGGCGAGGCATCACCTCACCCAGGAAGCGCAAGGGGTCACAGAATTCCCTTTCATAGCCAAGCAAAGCTGTGACAGACGGCACCTGGAAAATTGGGTCATTCCCACCCTAATACTGCGCTTTTCCAACGGTCTTAGCAAACGGCACACCAGGAGATTATGTCCTGCACCTGGCTCGGAGGGTCCCATGCCCACGGAGCCTCACTCATTGCTAGCACAGCAGTCTGAGATCAAACTGCAAGGTGGCAGTGAGGCTGGGGGAGGGGCGCCCGCCATTGCTGAGGCTTGAGTAGGTAAACAAAGCGACTGGGAAGCTAGAACTGGATGGAGCCCACCGCAGCTCAAGGAGGCCTGCCTGCCTCTGTAGACTCCACCTCTCGGGGCAGGGCATAGCCAAACAAAAGGCAGCAGAAACCTCTGCAGACTTAAATGTCCCTGTCTGACAGCTTTGAAGAGAGTAGTCGTTCTCCCAGCACGGAGTTTGAGATCTGAGAATGGACAGACTGCCTCCTCAAGTGGGTCCCTGACTCCCCAGTAGCCTATCTGGGAGGCCTCCCCCAGTAGGGGCAGAGTGACACCCCAAAATTTAAAATAACAATTGACTACATAATTATTTGGGCTGAGTTGGTTTTATTTTTTTTTCTTCATGAGGTGTCAGCTTGGGTGCTAGAAAGACAGGTCATTTGGAATCTCAATGCAGACTTAGAGGTGGAAACTGGGGGCCCTTGGTTCTTCTCCACGTGGCTGCTTGGATTACCTTGCTGTTTGGCATCTGAGTTCCTTAATGAAATACTCCAAGAGTAAACAATCCAAGAAGGAGAAAGTGGAAGCTTTCAGGCCAGTTAAGAGTAGGCCCAGAATTGGTAGCACCATTTCCACCATATTCTGTTCATTGATTGTGAAGATTAATGAAATAAAATTTAAGTACTTTACGCAGACCCTAGTTCATAATAAACCTTTATTCAGGTTTTGCTAATGTTGATATTACACCAGTATACAGTTATAACTAAGATTACAGGAAATGGTGTCAGGGCAGCTGGATTGAGACTTAAGAAAATGAAACATATGTAGGCACTATAAATGGAGAGTCTTTAAAGGTCATCTGGTCAACCTAACTCACTTTACAATTCTATAAAAGCAGTCTCAAAGAGGGGCAGGACTTACTCAAGGTTACACAGTTTATGGAAGAGTTGAAACTTAGGCTCCTACCTAGACCATTGTTTTTTAGAGTGGACAAGTTTCTTCCTTTCTCTGGGGCTTCAGTTCCTCCGTCTGTAAAATGGAGACAGCAATAGTACTTCTCTTAAAGTGGTGTTGTAAGGATTTCATGAGTTGATACATGTAAAGTACTTGTTACTGTGTTTTAAAAGTATGTTCGATAACTGATACCACTTCTACATCAATTCTTCTAATATTATTATTTTCATCATTATCATTACTCCATACTGTTTATAGGAGCTGCTTGAGTACATCTTGGTTGGATTGATGTTATTCTGGATTTTGAGTCCAAGTTTTATTTCACACAATATCCCCCCAGAGTAGGAGTCTGGCATTAATTAAAGATGAAATTAATTTTACTACACTCAGCACCCTTGCCAGCTCTGTATCCTTTCTTTTCTACTTGTGAAGAGGCCACATGCTATTCAGTGCACCGAAGGTCTGCCAATTCGTAGTGAAGCTGGTTTGAGTATTTCCTGCAACCTCCAGAGAAACCATCCTTGTGACCTTAAACACAATTTTTATACCAACGATCTCTATGTTAGTAGATGCAGTCTGGAATTAATTATTCAACTGCCTATTTAACACCACTCTTTAGATGTCTAAAAGTCATCTCAAACACCAAAATTGAATTCCTGATTTTTCCACTGAAACTGATTCAGCTTTCCCCATTACAGTTGATGACAACTTTGTCTTTCCATTTGTTCAGGCTAAAAGGTTAGAGGCCCAAAAGCCTTTATATTTGACTCCTCTCTTTCTCTCACACTCTGTCCAGTATTTTAAAGCCCTGTTGCCTCTCTCTCCAAAATATACTCAGAATCTCAAGAATTCTCAGTACCTTCACATATACCACCCTGACCTAACCCATTATCATTATCTCTCTGCACGGTTTCTGTGATAGCTTCCCGGTTAGTCTCCTGTTTTCCCCCTTGCTTTACCCAAAACTTATTCTCAACATGGTAGCTATAGAGATCCTTCTAAAATGTAAGTCAGATCTTTTCACTACCCTGCTCCTCAAACTGCCTTTTTCCTTCTCCCTGTTTTGCAAATTCCTCTCTTACGACTCTTCCTCTCATTGCTCACTTTTTTACAGCCACACCACCTCCCTTGCTGCTCAGCAGACACAACAGGGATAGTCCAACCTTGGTCCCTTTGCTTACCTGATCTTCCAGTTAGGACATTCTTCTACCAAATATCTACTTAGGTAACTTATTAGATTTCTTTCTTTTAGTCTGTGCTTGAAACTCATTTTTGACCGGGCATAGTGGCTCACGCCTGTAATCCCAGCACTTTGGGAGGCCGAGGCAGGGGATCACCTGAGGTCAGGAGTTCAAGACTAACCTGGCCAACCTGGTGAAACCCCATCTCTACTAAAAAATACAAAAATTAGCCGGGTATGGTGGCGAGCACCTGTAATCCCAGCTACTCTGAAAGCTGAGGTGGGAGAATTGCTTGAACCTGGGAGGCGGAAGTTACAGTGAGCCGAGATTGCACCATTGCACTCCAGCCTGGGTGACAGAGCAAGACTCTGTCTCAAAAACAAAAACAAAACAACAACAACAAAAAAAGAAACTCAATTTGTCAGTGCCACCTGTCTTGATCATCCTCTTTTATAATGCATTCTGTTTCTACTATTTCTACCCTACTGTTCTCCACACTTCTCATCCTCCTTTTCTACTCTACTTACTTTTTGTTTTGCCATAGCACATATCACCAGGCAACATACTGTAAAATTTACTGATTTATTATGTTTATTTTTTGTCCTCCTACATTTGAATATAAACTTCACGAGGTAAAATTTATTTACTCTGTTTACTTACAAATATATATTCAAGTGCCTAGAAGAGTGCCTGAAGAGGTAATTGCCTAATAAATATTTGTGGATGAATGAACAAGTTTTAGAGTTTAACTAAAATAAATTGCCATCAAACCAGGAAAGCCGTCTCTAAAGGCTATAATGTCTCTTATCTCATCCACTCATGTGGCTTCCATACAAGTTCTACATAATTACTTCTCCAACAATTCTTCCATTTCTTTTTTCTTTCTCTCTCTCTCTTTCTTCCATACTCCAACTTTAATATATAGCTCCCTACAAAATATTTCCATGTGGATAACCCAAAAACATGAAATTTAACATGTTGAAACTTGAATTCTTAATCCACTGTATTCTCTTCCTTCTCTTGTGTGCACTATCTTGGCTAATGACATCACCATCCATTGAATCATTTAATTCAAAAACCATTGATGTAGAATGTTATTAGTCAGATTGAGGCCTCAGAGTTACTAGAATTAGTCACAAACACAGAAGCAAAATAACACCATTTTTCGGTCACTGTTTCAGATAAAAAGCAGACAAATACTTATATTTAACCATGGCTGCTGAGACGATGCAAGATGAAGAACTAAAATTGTATGCAAAGGTATAATTTTAGTGATGGGCCATAAAATCTCATTTAGGTAAGGAATAAATTGAGTACATGGGGGTATTGTACAGTAAAAAGAGGTTCAATAATTAGATTAAAAGTTAAAGTTGGTGGAGTTGAATAATTGTCAGAATCAAGATACCAAAGTTAGAGAGCTGGAAATATAGGCAAGTTTTTGAAATTTTGATTTTGGAAATGGTATATCTATTAGTAATAAGATGTAAGTTATTATTTACATTATATATTAATGTTATTACTAAATTATTTCCAAGTTATAAACATAGAAAATGAGTGGGAGCAGTATCATGGAAAACAAGAAAATTGGAGTTGAGGATGTAAAAAAATGAAGAGGCTAGAACACTGAGTATGCTATATTTGGGGTTACTGATTTCATTAAGGAGATGACAGACATACTAGCAGAGAGGAAGATAGTAAGCAGGATGCCATTTTTCAGTGGCTCTGAGGAAGTGACTGGGATGCAGTGGATAGCTTTAGACTTCCATAGACCAAGAGTTCACCCAAATTCCTTAAATCTGGTCTCTTCCCAAGATGTATTTATTGATTTTCCTCTAAAATCAGTTGATTTTTCTCCATCTTCTCTGCCGCTGTCTTAGTTCATATTCATGTAATTTCAAACCAGGTTATTACAATAGTCTCTAAATTGTTTTTTAAACCTCTGTGAATCCCAAACAGATTTTTTTTTAAATGAGAAAATTTGTTAAACTAATAAATGAATAAATAGCATTTTTCTTAGTTGGTGATAATATAATATAGCCAACACTACTTATTGCCTCTCCAGAATGCATTGCCATCTTGTTTTTGCTTAATAGCAAAATCTTTTTATTTTTTTCAGGTATCTGCTCTACATTCATGTGCTTACAGGAAAACTAAAACCATTTCCTGTGCAAAGAATGCCAGATTAGGTCATGGACAGTGTTTCTCAAAAAGGATCTCTTGACATTTTAGTTGATACTATTCTTCCTTGTGCAGGGGTGTCCATGCATTGCTAAATATTTAGAAGCCCAGATATGTTCTGCGAAATATCGATAGAGTATCCAGACATTGTGACAAGAAAAATGCCTCATAGTATTATTGTCTAATTGTGAACCATGAGTCTAAGTATGCAGAGAAGATATGGGATCCAATACTGACTATTAAGAAGTAAAGAAAATTGTATTGGGAAACACCTATGAAAAGTTTATTCATATTTTCTGGAAGACCACAGTAAGACACGCCCTTTTCCTCTGGAGTATGTCAGGTCCATGTTGATCACCTTGACTGCTATCTTGCTACCATCCTGGAAATGAAACCATCCTCAAGCATGTTGAACTGGAAGAATACCGAAACCCAGAGTCTTTGTGAATTGCTAAATCAAATGACTCTGAGGTTCATACTATCTTGGGATTTCCTTTTGTATCAGATAACAAAATTTTTCACATTTATACTAGTTTCACTAGGGATTTCCATTACTTATAGCTCAAAGCACCCTAAGTAATCCATATAATATACTGGTCCTTAAACTTACCTGAATAAAAGGGAAATTTTAAACCAGATAGCTTATTATTGTTGAAAGGTAAAACCAAATTTGTATTACAAGGTATTTCTCTCTCTTTCTCCTCCTAATCCATTCAGATAATTGATTTAAAGGCAGAGAAAAAAACATTTGGAAAAAATAACAGGCGGCTTTGTTGCTTCAATCAAATATATATCGACTTCTTTGCTAGAGGAAATGAGAAATAAGCTTCTGTCTCCTACAGCTTATTGGTAGAATCAGTCCTTTGCTATTTCTAGATTGATCCATTATCTTCATTATCTTTCCCCCTCTTTTTTTCTTTAAAAGAAAAGAGGCTGCTTTTTGGGAGGAGCTGGATACAAGGACCAACCAATGTATCAATTTCAACTTTTTAGTGGACACAATGGAGTAAGTCAAAAGGACTTTTTGGTTATCACAAGAAACAAATTCTTTCCAGAGAAGTTCTCTGCATCCATAAGCAGAAGAAAGGAGGCTCCAACCAGTCTTTAGGGCCAATTTCACAGTTCAGGTGTATTTTTGACTCACTAGCTACAGGTAGGAACAATGCACAGCAGAACACCAGAGAGAAAAGTAAAGAGGGAAACTTGGCTGAAAGTAAGGAAGTTTTACAAGGTCAAGTCTTTTTTTCTGAGTGATTCAATGTGTAACTTACTTGAAAGCACTGATGATAGAGTTAACACGTTGTTGCAGGACTTATGCAGAAATAGAAACTGCATCTCTTTGATGTATTCCTTTTGGAGAAGCCTTCATCTAGTAGATCACAGTGGAGGAGAGTTTTAGTTCTCCCAGTCTTGATTCTGTCCCTTGAAGAGGTTAGGAAATAGGGCTGTAAACTTCCTCCTGGAACATGTAAATGAGAGATAAATCTACATTCCTTTGAAGACTGTTTGGATATTCATCAGGCATTCCTGAAATGTAATCACTCTATTTAAACAGCTCTTAGATAGTTGAAATTGCCTGCCAGTAAAAGGAGGAAGTGGGGGGACAGAGAGAAGCTGGCTTGAATTGCAGGGATGAGGGTTTTAGGGATGCTGGAGGTCTAAAACTGTCCTCCAAGAGTCTTGACTATAATCATTCTCCTTCTATCCTTTCGGGCAGTTTCCCAGTGAGCGCACTCTACTTTTATGCAGTGACATCTCCCCGTTTCTAGCAAGCTCTACTGGTAACAGAAACAAACCACGTAATATTCCACTACTGTGATATAATAGGCCTCTTAGCTTTTCTCAGCTTGCTTCAATATTCATCTGAGTAAAACTTAAGTTTTCTAAGTTTTTTTTTTTAAATGATACGTTATCTCCTTCCATTTTTCAAAGGGTTAAAACTGTTTGTTGTCTCTGGTAAAAACTTGTAGTGGATATTTGTCTTTTTCTTTTCTCTCTCTTTCTCTTTTTCTCTCTCTCTCTCTCTCTCTCTCTCTCTTTTCTCTTTCTGACTTCCCAGCAGCTCCTCCTTCTTTCTGTTATTGGAAGGTTTCAGAGCCCACTTCTTACTGTACAAACTTAAAATTGGAGAACGTAGTTTCCTATTCACTCTTTTAGGAAGGACTCAGACATGTGACATAAGCTTAACAATCAGATAAACTTGAACCCAGAGATAGTTACAAAAAGGATGGTAGAGGAGAATCCCTTCTGTTGTTCGTCCATTGGTATACTTTCCTGGCGTGCGCTGCCAGCAGCAGCAGGCTGTGTCTCCTCCCGGCAGCAGGAGGTGCTGTGCAAGGTGAGTCATCCAGTATTGGACTGTAGTTGCTGCCATGCTCACAGGACTGGTTCTGTGGGACGGTTTGACTTATGAAAATGGCTGCCTAACTTACCCTATTTCTTCCTGTTTTCTGAATCCTATTCTTAAGGCTGCTGTGCTCAGGTATATATATGTGGCCATTTTCGACATCTTTTAATATGTACCTCATGATTCATCAAAGTTAATGTTTTCACTGCCTCCTGAATTCATTTTCAAAGTAAATCCATTCCTAGTTCACTATCAGGTGAAGAAACTTTAAATCAGTGGTAATCAACTAGGGATGATTTTATTCCAAGGGGGACATTTGGAAATCTCTGGAGATAATATTGGTTGTGTTTTTCACAACAGAGAGGGTGGTACTGGCATATAGTGGGGAGCACAAGACAGACCCCCACAACAAAGAAATATCTACCCTAGGCTTTATTTTGCTGAGGGTGAGAAACCCTGTTTTAAAGACAGACAGCTGCAAGCTTCTGTTGGTGGCCTGGTTATTTACAGTTGTGTGATCTTGAACAAGACATTTAACCTCTATATGCAGTATCCACATTTGTAAAGTAGGGGTCATGTTTTTTGGAATCAAATGAAAATGTGTAGAAAATATCATGCCAGTGCATAGCAGATGTGCACTGAGTGTTGGGTTGCTTTCTCCCTTCCTGTCTTTCCTTCTTGGTCTTTTCCTATTATACAGAAATGAGTTTGGAAGTTATTTTAAACTCTCTTGTCACCAAAATTCTTCTTTCTATTTTAATCTTGCCATCTTTTGTAATTCAGCTTCACTTTCTCAAGTATCCCCAGGAGAAATTTCTTTTATTAGCTCCCTATGAACCATCAAGCAGTACATATAGTACATAACTTTGTTTTTAATTTCACTATCAATTTTATGTGTGTACATCTCCCACTTAAAGCAACATTTCCTTGAGAGCAGGGCTCACATCTTATGACATCATAGGGTTTAACACTACACAATTGTGCATGGTAGGTGTTAAATGGTTGCTGATATATCTGTTGAATAAAATAATTCATTGGCTAGCCCCAAGTGTAGATATGACGGTTCAACTATGCAATTGTTCTGGCAAAGGGCGATACCTTTGAAGGTATTTCCTGTATCTCACCACTTCCCTTCCACTTCACACTTCATTCTGGCAAATCCTGCTTTGCAAATACCATTTTATTGCACTTTGTTTTGGTAATTAATCTAAGAAGCAAGACAAATTTAGGAAATGGAGTTGCTCCTTCTTGCCTCCTTTTTGCAAAGCCAGGTCACTGTCTGTCCAGGTATGTATATGATACATATAATATGCTCATTTTAACAATGGTTTCCTATTGTTTTATGCAAAGTGCTGATTATAATGGGAATGGTTTTAGGCTAGAGAAAGGAGGGTGGATGGTACCATCATCAATTTGTGTCATGCATGGATGGCTGTTGGTTGGGCTCCAAGTGAATTATAACTACAGTTGAGTTTACCTGATTATTTCTATTGCTTCCTCCACTGTTTGGTTCCAATCTGTAACTCAAGTTTCCTCTGATTTGCCTCTTAAATATAAAGTTACCAATCTGTGTGTGTCTCTCTCACTCTATTTCTGTCATCTATCTTTAAAATCCCTCAATGGAGTTTCACATTTTAGCAGGGGCTGGGAAAGTGGGGAATAAAGTTAAATTTCCTATCTGGTCTTCCCAAACTGCTTTTGGATTATCTATCCAACCCCATTTATAGCAACTTACCATTTCAGAACTTTTCCCTCTAGAAACAGTTATTTTTATATTATGCTTCCTTCATACACAACATACACATGAGCAGACACACACACACATATCTCATGCTGTTATGCAATCAATGCTTTGCTCATGCCATTTCTTCTTACTTGAATACCTTTTCTTCTCTTCTGTGCTCAACTTCTCCCTGCTCATTCATATGCCATTTGCTCTATAACCATCTCTACCATAGGCTTAACTAAGCACCCTAGTTTAGTGCTTCTGCTACTGAAATTATTTTTTTCCCTGGTGCTGAAACTAATTATTATAGAATCTGTCTTCCCTTCTAGACTGTGATGTCATGGAAGGCTCTAAATTCACCAGTGACCAGGGAAAAACAGTTTGTTGCATAAAACTGAACATGCAGTGAAAACCAGGAGTCTGTTAGCTGCATGTTTTTTTTTTTGTGGTAGGATGGTTGCCTAACTTTAAGTGGGAAAATATTATCTGTTATCAATGACCTCTTGGAGTACAGTGTAGAAGAAATCTGATGCCATGATTGATTGGTGATGGGCAGGAGTGCAAGTAGCAGGCTTGTGAATGGAGCCTGTAAATATCAGGCTTTTAGACCCAAGCCTCTGAAAACTGTATATACTTGGGTTAAAATACCATCTTCAAACCCTCTTTCTTTTCTTTTGTAAGTGGTTTATCAGCTATCACTATTGTGACATACATGTAGAAGTGGTATTAATGGGCACTTTGTTTTTTTGCAGTCAAAGGCATCATGTTTTGTTTTTCTGTCCTGGAATCCTGTTAAAATCAAGGAGCAGGTGCTCAATGCTTATTCTCAGAAGCTTATGGGGAAACTTCAGAGAGCTTACTTTGTGTTTTAAGACTAAGCATTTGGAACTACAGAGTGACCCTGAACCTCGGGTGCTTGAGTCCCCACAACAGACCAGGGGAGAAAATGGGGCAGATTTTTGTGTGTGTGTGTGTGGGTCTGTGACTACCTTTGTTGTCCTTTCCCTGCAAAATCTTAAAAGAGGTGAGCCTCTACCTCTACTATCGCCCCACTGTTCAGATGTACTTAATTAGACTAATTTATCAGGAGACAGATAACTAGAGCAACAAGTTATGCTATATCTAGTATGACAAGAGATGGCTATTTTCATATCTTTGTTTAAATTTTCAAGAAAATTGATATAAAGTAGTATGCTATGTTCCAAATTTCTAACTCCAGTGACAGAAATAAAGGAACAGAATGACTCAAGTCTATTACTGCTATGTTCAAATGTAATATTCAAAGCTATGAGAAGGGAAACAGCTTTAACCTAAAAAGGCCAGACCTTGGCCAATGAATGTTTTTTATACCTGGGGAACAGTGCATTCAGAAATGGAAGACATGAGCAAATGAAAAGATTCATGTATCAGTGATGTGCAGGAGCACTACAAGGCAGGGGATGTAAAGAGAAATGAAGCAATCTCTGAACTTATACGCTTATGTTTTAATGGAGGAGTCAAGACATGTACATAATTAATTGTAAAGCAGACTACAGTGTGTATTGTACTAGCAGTGCAGGTAAAATGCTGAGAGAGCACAGTGAATGAATACTGACTTCAGGAGTCAGTATTTATATAATCTTCAATAGGAGAAGGAGGAGAGAAATTGGATTCTGGATTGAATAAATATCTAAGCAGAGATATAGGGGATTTTAGATCAGTTCTCAGACTACTTTCCATGTGCTAAGTACTGTGCTAGGTCCTAGAAATAAAGGGATATGAGTAAAATATAGTTCCTGGCACTGAGGGAGAATATTTAGGCTAGTTTGGATGAAATATTGACATAAAGGATAAGTAGTTAAAATATAGAGTATAATTAGATAATTAAAAGATTTGAATGAAAACAAAGGAGTTGAGTTTACTTGATTTACTTGATTCTTCTTTGCTTATTAAAGGCTTTGGGGAATGGAAGTGACATGATATTTTTTTCTTTTTTTCTTTTTTTTTTTTTTTTTTTTGAGATAGAGTGCCACTCTGTCACCCATGCTGGAGTGCAGGGGTGCAATCAAGGCTCGCTACAGTCTCAACCTCCCGGCCTCAAACGATCTGCTCATGTCAGCCTCTCAGGTACCTGGGACCACAGGTATGCACAACCATACCCAGCTAATTTTTTATTTTTAAATTTTTTGTAGAGATGAGGTCTTTCTATATTGCCCTGGCTGATCTCAAACACTTGGGCTCAGGCAATCCTTCTACTTCAGCCTCCCAAAGTGTTGGGATTGCAGGCATGATCCACCATGCCCAGCCATAATATTTTTATTTGTTTTAATTGCATGTTACCTCTAATGTTACTTGAAACTCTTTAATGAAAGCTATTTAATTATTTAGAAAGTATACTGAAGTATCATTAATTTGGATTCTGTTTTTTTCATAATTCCAACAGGTTTGTATTAAAATTTGCTTTTGCATTTTCTATGAGGAAAGGATTTGATTTTCTAAATGACAAATAGCATAATTGAGATTCTTGGAGGAATATTTTCATTTCAAACTTGTTTTAAGCACTTAAAACATTTGTTTGCATGTCTGTGGTATATTTGCTCATGGTTAGAACTTCATTAATGCTGAGTTAGTTAAAGATTAATATAATTAATGATATAGCCTGGCTCTGTGTCCCCACCCACATCTCATTCCAAATTGTAATTCCCAGTGTTGGAGGAGAGGCCTGGTGTGAGGTTATTGAATCATGGGGGTGGACTTCCCCCTTGCTGTTCTTGTGATAGAGTTCTCATGGGATCTGGTTGTTTGAAAGTGTGTGGCACCTTCCCCCTTCTCTCCCTCTCCTGCCAGCCATATGAAGATGTGCCGGCCTGTCCTTCACCTTCTGCCATGATGGTAGGTTTCCTGAGACTTCCGCAGAAGCAGAAGACTGTACAGCCCACAGAACCAGGAGCCGATTAAGCCTCTTTTTTTTTAAGTAAATTATACAATCTCAGATATATTTTTATAGCAGTGTGAGAATGGACTAATTAATTAATATATCCTATAATCTAGGTTGTAAGTTATTTGATACCGTCATTTCAGAAAAAAACTAATTGGATTGGTGAGTGTTTTAACTTTTATATTATCTTTTGAGATAGAACTATTTTGGGAATTTAAGTCTAGTTTGAAGCTAGGGCTCTAAAATAATCTTATTATTTCACGGGAAAGCCCACATACCTACCACCTATATAACTTCTTCAATAGTAGTAAAAAGCCTGCCAACCAGAAAAAGCCTAGAACCAGATGGATTCACAGCCAAATTTTACCAGCGGTACAAAGAAGATCTGATACCATTCCCACTGAAACTATTCAAAAAAATTGAGGAGGAGGGACTCCTCTCTAATTCATTCTATGAGGCCAGCATCATCTTAATACCAAAACCTGGGAAACAGAACAAAAAAGAAAACTTCAGCCCAATAGCCTTGATGAACAGAGATGCAAAAATCTTCAACAAAATACCAGCAAACCGAATCCAGAATCATATCAAAAAGCTAGTCCACCATGATCAAGTAGGCTTTATCTCTGGGATGCAAGGTTGCTCAACACATGCACACCAATAAATGTGATTAATCACATAAACAGAACTAAACACAAAAACCAAATGATCATTTCAATAGATGCAGAAAAGGCTTTCAATAAAATTCAACATCCCTTCATGTTAAAAACTCTCAACAAAATAGGCACTGAAGGAACATACCTCAAAATAATAAAGCCATCTGTGAAAAATCCATAGTCAACATCATACTGAATGGACAAAAGCTAGAACTATTCCCCTTAAAAACCAGAACAAGACAAGGATGCCCTCTTTTACCAATTTTATTCAACATAGTACTGGAAGTCCCAGCCAGAGCAAACACGCAAAATAAATAAATAAAAGCCATCAAAATAGGAAGAGAGGAAGGCAAACTGTCTCTGTTTGCAGACAATATGACGTTATACCTAGAAAACCCCACAGTGTCTGCCTAAAAGCTCCTTGATCTGATAAACAACTTTAGCAAAGTTTCAGGATACAAAAATCAGTGTACAAAAATCAGTAGCATTCTTACACACCAACAACATCAAGCTGAGAGCCAAATCAAGAATGCAACTCCATTCACAATTGCCATGAAAGGAAAAAAATACCTAGGAGTACGGCTAAACTAGAGAGGTGAAAGAGCTCTACAATGAGAATTACAAAACACTGTTCGAAGAAATCATAGATGACATAAATGGAGAAATACTCTCTGCTCATGGATAGGAAGAATCAATATTGTTAAAATGGCCATACTGCCCAATTGGTTCTCTAGGAACCAATTCCCAGTTCCACCACCAACCAGGTAGATTTTTCCCTGCCAACACACACACTCCCTCCAGTGAATTGTTAAAGCAGCTTTACAGAATTTATGTCAAGATCTCTGATTATGGATGCAGAGGGACCTCCATTCAACTTACTGGCTCTCCTACCACTGGTTGTGCTGTGTGACCTTGGGAAAGCTCTTCATCTCTCTGAATCTCATTTTTATATTCTGCAAATTGGGTCTGACAACTAGCTCATAGTAATTCTTTTGAGGACTAAATAAAGAACATAGATATGAAAGGCACATTGTTGGGCATGTAGCAATTTGATTGTTGATTGTCATTTTAAATGATTATTATTTATGTATTCATCATTAATATTTATTAGTGCTCTCTTTAGGACTTACCAAAATCTATAATATTCTAATTTATTTGTTTTATCCCCAAGAGAACAAAAAATCTTCATTCTTGTATGCCAAGTGGGGCTAATATTTGTAGAGTAAGTTTTACTACCATTGTTATTCTGTTAGTCTATTATTATGTCTTATATGATGACTGTTCTAGGCCATGAGGCCAATGTTACTCATTTATGTATGCTGAGCACCTAGCACGGTGTTTGGAAGTGTTTAGAAACTCAACGTCCATTACTGAGTGAATGAATAAAGAAACTGAAGATGCATTGTCCCAAGTGTCCTTTTAAATAGAAACTTCCTTGGTGACAGAGACAGTGGCTATCTTTGTATCCATGGAACCTAATAGGTGTCCAGTAAACATTTGCTGAATTTATTCTGTTAAAATTGAGAGAAGGGATTTGTGACTTAATTACAGAATAGCAGTGAGCTGAGTTCATTTCTGCTAGCCCTTCTATTTTCTGTCTGCCTTCGTTTATTTCTAGTCCCTATTGTGGAACCTGGCATGAGAATCTATCAACAGGAAGACAAAAGGGATTAACTCAGTAAGAACTGAATTGAGTTCTCAGTAAGACTCAACAACATCCCTTTCTAATTCCTACTCAGCCCCCACAATTGTATCTTGGCAGGTGAGAGAAAGAAATCATATTGTGTTCTTGCTTCCTTGCCCATTCTAAATGTGTTTATGACATGGAAAATCCCAGCATGAAAGGGAGACTGGAAGGGGAAAATAACTCACATAAGGGTAATAAACAGTCTTAGAGGGTGTCAGGGAAGGTGAGATTTGCTTTAATTGGGAGTGGTGGTACTCTAAAGGGTTGATTGTATAGACATGAGTCTTGGGCCTTTTTAAACCCAAGACAGTTTAGCTGACTTCTTACCTCCAAAAAACCTGCTTTTTGATTCACTATGCTGGATGAAAAGGAAGGGAGAAGGTTGACATTGAAGGGAGTTGACTGCTCCTCTCACTGTCTAGGACTATTTCTCTAATTGCTTTATCCATGAAATGGCTCTGCCTTCACCTTCAATGATTAGGACCCATACAATGCTCTCCTGCCAAGATAACACCAGAGGAGCAGCCAACTACGTCCACCAGAGTGGGGAGCCGTCAATGTGAAAACAATCCGCCTGGATTTCTCAACTGGTATTTAACTTGCAATCACTGATTAACTCTCACCAACACTCTCATCCCATTGGCCAGGCAACTTTGTGCAGAGTGCCCTGAACAACACAAGGACTTGGGTTGTAATCCAAATTCTACTAGGTCCTAGGATCACTACTATGGCCTCTTACTAGCTGTGTGACTCTATAAAAGTCACTAAACCTCTCTGTGTCTTACCTATATGTATAATGTCATATTTGCCTGAAGGTGCTGGGTTTGTCTTTTGATGTCTTTTGTGACTCTCAAATTGTCTTGCCATGAAACTGCTTTAGATATTCCCAGCCTAGACTAGTTGTGGGGGTTAAGTGGGAACATATTGGTGATATTCTCACTGTTGACCCCCTTTCCTTTCAAATTCCTCCAAAGACCTTGGTTATAGATAGACTTTTTTCATAGATGTAAACAAACATCTTGTCAGAGCCACATGCGGGTTGTTAAAAACTGGAAAATATAGAAAGGCCTCTGGAGAAATCATTTCACCAGTGCCCTCTTAGGTGGATAACAGGGGACCTTAGAGATGTTTGAATGGCATGTACAGGGACATTCATAACCACATAATCTCACAGCCAGCGACTGAAAACAACCTCAGTGTCCATCAGCAAAAGAGTGGACAATAAAATTGTGATATATTAATACGGCAGAATACTACTTGCCAAAGAAAACAAACTACTGATACATGCAACAATGTGGATCAGTCTCACAGATATTAGGCTGTATGAAAGAAACCAGATGCAAAATGGTGCCTGTCTGATACCATTTATATGAATTTAAAGAACAGGCAAAACTAAGTGATAGCAATGGAAGTCGGAAGGTGGGTTACCTAGGTATAGAAAGTCGTGGATATTGACTGGAAAGAGTTTGGGACTACTGACACACTCTGTATCTTCATCTGGGTGATGGGTACTTGAGAGTTTACATTTATAAAAAAACTACCTATATACTTACGATTAGTGCACTTTATGTATGCTGTATCCCGATAAAAGTGTGTTTATGTATTTATATACACTCATGTAATTATTCAGTGATTAGGAATATAGATAGATAGATGATAGATAGATAGATAGATAGTTTTGGGTTTTGTTTTCTCCCTTGAAGGAAATTATAAAGGGAAACAAAAGGTCTTTTCAGTGAACAAATCCCACAGTGGTGTTACCATCAATAAAAAAATGGCCTTTGGATTTAGATGCCTAGAGGCTAGATTATACCGATGGTTATTAGGAAATTGCTTCTAAGGAAGGCCAACCTCTACTAAATTAATAATCAGTCTTTGGTTACCCTGAAGGTAGAATATAAGTCTAATGAAATTTATTTTGACACAATCAAATTGTATTGACTTCCCAGTAATGGCCTCTGTGCCTCATTAGTTAGCACAGGAAAGATTATAGTAAAGAATCAATCACTAAACTCATTCAGAACCATCTCTTAAAATGTAGAATCCTCTGCTAAAAACACAATAAGCTTGTTAATTAAAACGCAGTTGATGCTTCTCTGTTCTTCACAAAAATATGATTTGATTTATCTGTTCACTCATATGTTAAGGTCAAAGATAAAGAAAAATATTATCATCAGCAATATTTTTAAAAAATCTTTTAAAATGTATGTAGACCTATAACTTTTTTCCTTTTTTGAATGTGAGTGATAACAAAAAACAAAGGATAACAAAGATTTATAACTTATTAATTTGAAAATATACAGATGTGAGCAGCATTGCTGCTGGTTTATTTACATAGTACCCAAATAATTGTGTTGACATGGAAATATTAACGTGTCTAAATTCTCAACTCTATACTTATAATTTTCTAACAAATTATTAAATTTCAGAATTTATTATACATTATGTTCATTCAGGTGAGAAAAAGAAAAAAGAAAAAAGGAACTGACAGGAATTCACTTAATAAGGACCAAGCAAAATAAGGCATGTGTTATTGATGAAGAATTTTTATCTTCAATGTAAATTCTCATTTTAGATTATATTAGAGAACTTGGAGGAAGAAGACAGATGCATGGCAATGTCAGGATTTGCTAAAACGTATGGAGTGCAACCTGGAAACCCACAACTTTTATTCGAGTGGCCAGGAAACATGTTTCTTTCAATCCACCTGATTCTAATAAGATGCTAAAACAAAGGTCATCACGTAGCAAATGGTTTTTCAACAGCATCTCCCAGGACTCTGGGGTTATTTGGAGGGCAAGCTTTCTCAATTCCCTCCACTTTCAAAAGAAGTACAGAGAAAGAAAAAAATGAGAATGCTTTTTTTCTCAGGAAAAAATATGTTGTAGAAATGCTAAGACAACAACAATGTATTCTTTCCAATAAAGACACCTCAGGTTAGTTTCAACACGTTGCATGTCCACAAAGAAAGGAACCACAATTGCAATAAGGATCTGGTACAAGGAAATAATAAAACCATTTTAAAGGTAATTCTTCATTATGTTTCGGTAGGAGGGAAAAAACTTTCCAAGTGGATAAAATACCACTCTTGTGTTTACAAATGCAAACGCTGAAGCCAGGTGGGTAAAGTTACCTGTCTGAGGTCATTGTTTCTCAAACCATCTTTCCCAGACCAGTGACATCAGCATTACCTGGGAACCTGTTAGGAGTGCAAATTGCCAGTCCCCACTCCAGACATATGAAATCAGAAGCTCTGGGGACAGGACCCAGCAATCTGTGATTTAACAAGCCCTCCAGGTGATTCTGATCCTGCTAACATTTGAGAACCACTCCCCTAAGATGTTAGAGAGGAAACTAAAAGTTTTACAGCTAGAACCCACTTCTCCTTGCTGGAAGTCCTAGTGACAAAGCTGAGAATAGAGCCTAGTAGGACATTAAAACTTATTCCTTACAACTCTATGGACAATCTCAGAGAACACACATTATTCATATTACATTAAAGTGGACCTTGCGGTAAGATAAACTCTCCATACTCATAACAATAGTATTGTGGGAAAAAAGCAAAATGAGTCAACTTAGCCAAATCTTTTTAGAAGTGGGAAATGTACCTTAATTTTAGAGGTTTCTCATTGGGGTCCTCAATATTTATGATATTTCTTACACAACATATATTGGCTTCTCTGAAAATCTAAAATGTTTATTCCCAGCATAATTCATCATGCTTCATCAATTTTGCTTTACAAAAGTGTATTCTTTGGAAGGCTTCAGGCCAACTGCCTTGTTTTCCTTGGGTCTGTCTTAGAGGTCACAAATGCAGGCAGGCAGGTGCCCTGAATGAGTGGAAGACAAGCAGTAAAATTGTTGATAACCAAAAACCACAGACCCTATCTGAATGAAGAAGGTCCTCACCTCTGGCCAGTTTTTGCTGTATCAGAATATAAATCCAGCAATTGCCACATCTTCCAGTTTTTTATAGAAACCAGAAATCTGATTTTTTTTGAAAACCCTTGGTTTTTAAATGTTAGCAACAAATGTGTGTTTTCAAATACCATGCAAACTATATAAGATATGCGTGTGGCTCATCAGTTCTTGACCTCTGTTACATACTAATACATAACATATTGTGAATAATTGATGACCAGATTTGTCCAGGGGAGAACTGTCTACCTGGGATTAAGGCAGGTACCTGTTAACTTTAAGAGCATAACCTCGGTTTACAAGAGTTTCCACCAGAAATGTGTGGCCCTGGAGAACATAGAGATGTTATGGTGTGAGTATACATAAGGGTTTCAGGATCAGTCAAACATTATCTTACACTGCTGTGACCTTTACTCCAGCTAGCCAATACTACCTTTTCAATATTTTCCAAACTTTGCACGTCAGCCTGATATTACTTTTTTCTGACACTATTTCTAATGTTACTGTCACAAAACTTTTAAGGGTGTTGAAGCCAACAGGCAGGGTAGAGGTGCTCTGCACTAGGTGCTTCACTTCCAGGTAGGGAGATGGGTGAGGGGAGATCCAATGACTTGAGGGGGGTCAACAATCAGTAATGGGACAATAGTAGATGTGGAAATAGGGACCCCCCTGAGTGTAATTCCTGTTTCTTTACAGCTGACCATGTAACACAATTTGCCTTGAAGGGACAATGGAACATCCAGAGATACAAGAAGTCTAGAACCCTGATTCTGAACACCTCTAGGGCATTTATTGTCAATTTCTTATGCACAAAGTAAAGAGAAACAACAACAACAAATCAATCCAAGAATCCTCTTTCTACTGGAGTGAGAGCCCAATTAAAAGATGATGCTAACTTTCCAAAAACGAAATGCATTATTTAAATTACCATCAATTACCAACCTGTTTATTGTCTTCTATGCCATATTGTTATTCCAAAAAAAAAAAAACAAAATTAAATGCCATATATTGGTAGATGCTGAAATCTAGTATCATCACATTGTAATTCTTGTTACATGAGAAAATATTTTGGTTTATGTTCATTTCCTGATTGGCTAATTTATGTACTTAAAATAGTTGGTCTTACAAACTGCATTTTTCTAATAGTTATTTTATTATTTTTGTTTTTACAACTAACCTTTGAATCATGAAATCTTGTTTATCAAAGTAAGTAATAATCCACTCCAATGTTTTCCAAACTTTTAGCTGGGAAACCCATTCTTCAAGTGAAAGGTCATGAGGTTACCCAATATATAAACAGAACTGAAGCAGCTATGAGATTTCCAGCAATGTTTTCCCCTAATATTTTTTCTTTGACGGTTTTTGCTGCATAAAACTCCACAAGTTCACTAGCTCACATCAAAAAGCATTTGTTCTCATGAGAGTTGGCTGATGTAGACTGGTCTTATCTGGGTAGCTCTCCATTAGGCTGTCATCTGAATTGGAATAAGCTTTGCTCCTTCACATGTCTCATGTAGGTCCAAGATTAAAGGGACAGGCAATACCAAGGAGAGGCTGTTCTTGTGACAGATTATAAAGTGTGAGAGGGCAAGTTCTACAATCATACATATTTTAAGGCTTTGATCACATCATGCCTGCTAATATCTCCTTGGCTGAGACAATTTATATGGCCAACCCCAGAGTCAAGGAGAAGGGAAGAGCACCCTGCTCACCATGAGACCACTGCAGAGGACCTGTATATATAAGTCTGTTCCAGGAGAATGAAAAATTTGAACCATTAATTCAATCATCCACATTATCCTACCCTGTGGTGATCTCAGAGCCAACTTTGTGTAACTCATAAAACAATAACAAGTAGTTACCATGCATTGAATCTAACCACCTCATTTTACAAATGTATAAAACTGAGGTTTAGAGAGACTAACGACTTTTCCATGTCTACACAGCTAGAGACAGGTCTAGAACCCTGATGGACTACTCAAAGTTGAGAACTTTCTCCAGCACAATATAATAGATCAGATCTACCTTCAAAAAATGTCCCAAGTCCCTTGAATTAAATAGAAATGTTGTAAATGTAATTTTGAATATACAAAGATGCCTTTATTTTGCTGTTGGATTTATAAGCCTGTTTAATACAGAAACAGGAAGATGGCTTAGGTACAGTGCAGATAATAGAGCCTTATTCTTCCAAGATCTGGCATTTACTGGCATTGTGGACTTGCACACAGTATTTGCTTCTTTAAGCATCTTTTCTTGCATTTATCAGATAGGATAGTAATGATTCCCTCGATGAATTTTTGTGAGATAAAGCATGTGACACTGAGTAATTATTAGTTCCTTTTCATTGGTTTATCATTCAGTAGCTGAGAGCTGTGCTTTCCTTTTCTTGTGTACTGTTAGGAAACGAATATCCTGTTTTTCAGGAGCATATCTTCCTTACTGAAGACATACATATTATAGAAAATGGACTAACTAATTCTCTACATAGCAAAGGACGAAGAGGTCAGTCTTCTTTGGCCAATTCTCATATAATTTCTAATACGGAATTTCTTACGACACTAAGAAAACTTGAAATAACTGCTTTGAAGTCAAATTCCAGATTCAGTATGTTTGGTAATTACTAATTACTATAAAAATGGACAGCAGAATTCAAAAGGTTTGAATAATTTATCTTGCAGTGGAATTTTTAAAGGCCATTTGGTCAGCAGGGTGCTTATTTGACATGTGGCTGGTGTGCTTTCTCCATTTTTTATTGATGGTCAGGTGGTATAAGCAGAACCTCTGTGACATATTTGTCTTACTCGGATGTTTTCTCACCTTGCACTGCTCTTTCAGCTTCAAGCTAGTATTTATCCTGCCATGAAAACTTGTCTATCTATTTATTAGTCTGTTATAATGCCTATAAACATTAGATTGCTTTTGAGGAACAAATGCCTAATTTGTAAAAAGAAAATCTATTTTAAAAAATTTTCCCACAGTTTCTTTCTGCAAGAATTTTGATAAACATAATTATATTCATAGAATGTATTAATGCCAACTAGGTGTATTGACTTAAATTATCTGGTAATTGAAATAGTTTGTGAAAATCACTTTGTTAATTGAAATAGAAGTCCTGATGAAAATTCCTCTGAATACCTTTCCTCAAAATAAAAATATATGTTTCAATATTTTGCAAACAGTCATGTACTCCGGCTGTTTTTAGCATCTGCTACCCTGAATTATGTGGTTCAAATATAGGTTTTCTTCTACCTGGGAATTTTGGGAGATTCTTTTGTATTCCTTCAGCTCAGTAATAAAACTTTGCAGAATGTTGGGTAGAATGTTATTCAGTGAGTGGTTGAATTGAGTACAAATAATATTTAGAACTATACAGACACTATCCCTGATGGTTTTTGTATTACTGGAAGTAAACTACTATTACAAATTAGAGAAAATGGGAAGGTTTGAATCAGTTTGAATATTAGCACTTTCACATTCACAGTCTACTTCTCCATTCATTTATTTGCTACCTTTCACTGGGCTCATAGGACCCATTTCCCAGTAAGAATACTTCCCCTGGTGTTCTACAATTATGTGTAACAAAAGGGCTTTTATCTCCCAAGTTTTGCTTCTGAACTTGTACAAATAGAACCATATAGCACATCCTCTTTTCTCTGGTTCATCTTCTTCAAAATTTCATTTGTGAAATTCATTTATTTTGTTACATTTAACACTATTTGATAGATTCCTGCTGATGTATAGTATTATATGTTTGACAAAATACCATTTAATTATCTTTTCTATTCTTGATAGATATTTGAGTTGTTTCGGGGTTTTTAAAAAAATTATTGTGGATATTACCAATAGTTTCATTAGGAATATTTTGGTGCATGTTTTTAGCAAACATATGTATGAATTTATGTTGGCTATACATGTAGAAGTGTCAATGTTATGTCATGTCATAAATAAGTTCAACTTCAGCAGATAGTTGCTCTACACACTTTCCAACACTTGGTATTATCAATATTTTTATTTTAAACACTCTGGTGTCTGTGTTTTCTGTATTGTTGGACATTTTCTTGTAAGTCTTGCATTGGATATTTGCATTGTGGTTATTTATTTATTTATTTATTTTGACGGAGTTTTGCTCTTGTTGCCCAGGCTGGAGTGCAATGGTGCAATCTTGGCTCACTGTAACCTCTGCCTCCCAGGTTCAGGCTATTCTCCTGCATTGGCCTCCTGAGTAGCTAGGATTACAGGCATGCGCCACCACGCTCAGCTAATTTTTTTTTTCTTTTTTTGTAAATTTAGTAGAACAGGACTTCACCATGTTGGGCAGGCTGGTGTCGAACTCCTGACCACCTGCCTTGGCCTCCCAAAGTGCTGGGATTATAGGCATGAGCTGTCGCTTCCGGCCAATATCTTTTTTTTTTTTTTTTTTTTTTTTTTTTTTTTGGCTCAGAGAGTTGTTTTTTCACTGATGTCTTTTATTTATTATTATTTTTTCTTTTTTTTATTATTATTATACTTTAAGTTTTAGGGTACATGTGCACATTGTGCAGGTTAGTTACATATGTATACATGTGCCATGCTGGTGCGCTGTACCCACTAACGTGTCATCTAGCATTAGGTATATCTCCCAATGCTATCCCTCCCCCATCCCCCCACCCCACCACAGTCCCCAGAGTGTGATATTCCCCTTCCTGTGTCCATGTGATCTCATTGTTCAATTCCCACCTATGAGTGAGAATATGCGGTGTTTGGTTTTTTGTTCTTGCGATAGTTTACTGAGAATGATGGTTTCCAATTTCATCCATGTCCCTACAAAGGACATGAACTCATCATTTTTTATGGCTGCATAGTATTCCATGGTGTATATGTGCCACATTTTCTTAATCCAGTCTATCATTGTTGGACATTTGGGTTGGTTCCAAGTCTTTGCTATTGTGAATAATGCCACAATAAACATACGTGTGCATGTGTCTTTATAGCAGCATGATTTATAGTCATTTGGGTATATACCCAGTAATGGGATGGCTGGGTCAAATGGTATTTCTAGTTCTAGATCCCTGAGGAATCGCCACACTGACTTCCACAATGGTTGAACTAGTTTACAGTCCCACCAACAGTGTAAAAGTGTTCCTATTTCTCCACATCCTCTCCAGCACCTGTTGTTTCCTGACTTTTTAATGATCGCCATTCTAACTGGTGTGAGATGATATCTCATAGTGGTTTTGATTTGCATTTCTCTGATGGCCAGTGATGATGAGCATTTTTTCATGTGTTTTTTGGCTGCATAAATGTCTTCTTTTGAGAAGTGTCTGTTCATGTCCTTCGCCCACTTTTTGATGGGGTTGTTTGTTTTTTTCTTGTAAATTTGTTTGAGTTCATTGTAGATTCTGGATATTAGCCCTTTGTCAGATGAGTAGGTTGCGAAAATTTTCTCCCATGTTGTAGGTTGCCTGTTCACTCTGATGGTAGTTTCTTTTGCTGTGCAGAAGCTCTTTAGTTTAATTAGATCCCATTTGTCAATTTTGGCTTTTGTTGCCATTGCTTTTGGTGTTTTGGACATGAAGTCCTTGCCCACGCCTATGTCCTGAATGGTAATGCCTAGGTTTTCTTCTAGGGTTTTTATGGTTTTAGGTCTAACGTTTAAATCTTTAATCCATCTTGAATTGATTTTTGTATAAGGTGTAAGGAAGGGATCCAGTTTCAGCTTTCTACATATGGCTAGCCAGTTTTCCCAGCACCATTGATTAAATAGGGAATCCTTTCCCCATTGCTTGTTTTTCTCAGGTTTGTCAAAGATCAGATAGTTGTAGATATGCGGCATTATTTCTGAGGGCTCTGTTCTGTTCCATTGATCTATATCTCTGTTTTGGTACCAGTACCATGCTGTTTTGGTTACTGTAGCCTTGTAGTATAGTTTGAAGTCAGGTAGTGTGATGCCTCCAGCTTTGCTCTTTTGGCTTAGGATTGACTTGGCGATGCGGGCTCTTTTTTGGTTCCATATGAACTTTAAAGTAGTTTTTTCCAATTCTGTGAAGAAAGTCATTGGTAGCTTGATGGGGATGGCATTGAATCTGTAAATTACCTTGGGTAGTATGGCCATTTTCACGATATTGATTCTTCCTACCCATGAGCATGGAATGTTCTTCCATTTGTTTGTATCCTCTTTTATTTCCTTGAGCAGTGGTTTGTAGTTCTCCTTGAAGAGGTCCTTCACATCCCTTGTAAGTTGGATTCCTAGGTATTTTATTCTCTTTGAAGCAATTGTGAATGGGAGTTCACTCATGATTTGGCTCTCTGTTTGTCTGTTGTTAGTGTATAAGAATGCTTGTGATTTTTGTACATTGATTTTGTATCCTGAGACTTTGCTGAAGTTGCTTATCAGCTTAAGGAGATTTTGGGCTGAGACGATGGGGTTTTCTAGATAAACAATCATGTCGTCTGCAAACAGGGACAATTTGACTTCCTCTTTTCCTAATTGAATGCCCTTTATTTCCTTCTCCTTCCTGATTGCCCTGGCCAGAACTTCCAACACTATGTTGAATAGGAGTGGTGAGAGAGGGCATCCCTGTCTTGTGCCAGTTTTCAAAGGGAGTGCTTCCAGTTTTTGCCCATTCAGTATGATATTGGCTGTGGGTTTGTCATAGATAGCTCTTATTATTTTGAAATACGTCCCATCAATACCTAATTTATTGAGAGTTTTTAGCATGAAGGGTTGTTGAATTTTGTCAAAGGCTTTTTCTGCATCTATTGAGATAATCATGTGGTTTTTGTCTTTGGCTCTGTTTATATGCTGGATTACAGTTATTGATTTGCGTATATTGAACCAGCCTTGCATCCCAGGGATGAAGCCCACTTGATCATGGTGGATAAGCTTTTTGATGTGCTGCTGGATTCAGTTTGCCAGTATTTTATTGAGGATTTTTGCATCAATGTTCATCAAGGATATTGGTCTAAAATTCTCTTTTTTGGTTGTGTCTCTGCCCGGCTTTGGTATCAGAATGATGCTGGCCTCATAAAATGAGTTAGGGAGGATTCCCTCTTTTTCTATTGATTGGAATAGTTTCAGAAGGAATGGTACCAACTCCTCCTTGTACCTCTGGTAGAATTCAGCTGTGAATCCATCTGGTCCTGGACTCTTTTTGGTTGGTAAACTATTGATTATTGCCACAATTTCAGATCCTGTTATTGGTCTATTCAGAGATTCAACTTCTTCCTGGTTTAGTCTTGGGAGAGTGTATGTGTCGAGGAATGTATCCATTTCTTCTAGATTTTCTAGTTTATTTGCGTAGAGGTGTTTGTAGTATTCTCTGATGGTAGTTTGTATTTCTGTGGGATCGGTGGTGATATCCCCTTTATCATTTTCTAATGTGTCTATTTGATTCTTCTCTCTTTTTTTCTTTATTAGTCTTGCTAGCGGTCTATCAATTTTGTTGATCCTTTCAAAAAACCAGCTCCTGGATTCATTGATTTTTTGAAGGGTTTTTTGTGTCTCTATTTCCTTCAGTTCTGCTCTGATTTTAGTTATTTCTTGCCTTCTGCTAGCTTTTGAATGTGTTTGCTCTTGCTTTTCTAGTTCTTTTAATTGTGATGTTAGGGTGTCAATTTTGGATCTTTCCTGCTTTCTCTTGTAGGCATTTAGTGCTATAAATTTCCCTCTACACACTGCTTTGAATGCGTCCCAGAGATTCTGGTATGTGGTGTCTTTGTTCTTGTTGGTTTCAAAGAACATCTTTATTTCTGCCTTCATTTCGTTATGTACCCAGTAGTCATTCAGGAGCAGGTTGTTCAGTTTCCATGTAGTTGAGCGGCTTTGAGTGAGATTCTTAATCCTGAGTTCTAGTTTGATTGCACTGTGGTCTGAGAGATAGTTTGTTATAATTTCTGTTCTTTTACATTTGCTGAGGAGAGCTTTACTTCCAACTATGTGGTCAATTTTGGAATAGGTGTGGTGTGGTGTTGAAAAAAATGTATATTCTGTTGATTTGGGGTGGAGAGTTCTGTAGATGTCTATTAGGTCCGCTTGGTGCAGAGCTGAGTTCAATTCCTGGGTATCCTTGTTGACTTTCTGTCTCGTTGATCTGTCTAATGTTGACAGTGGGGTGTTAAAGTCTCCCATTATTAATGTGTGGGAGTCTAAGTCTCTTTGTAGGTCACTCAGGACTTGCTTTATGAATCTGGGTGCTCCTGTATTCGGTGCATAAATATTTAGGCTAGTTAGCTCCTCTTGTTGAATTGATCCCTTTACCATTATGTAATGGCCTTCTTTGTCTCTTTTGATCTTTGTTGGTTTAAAGTCTGTTTTATCAGAGACTAGGATTGCAACCCCTGCCTTTTTTTGTTTTCCATTGGCTTGGTAGATCTTCCTCCATCCTTTTATTTTGAGCCTATGTGTGTCTCTGCATATGAGATGGGTTTCCTGAATACAGCTCACTGATGGGTCTTGACTCTTTATCCAACTTGCCAGTCTGTGTCTTTTAATTGCAGAATTTAGTCCATTTATATTTAAAGTTAATATTGTTATGTGTGAATTTGATCCTGTCATTATGATGTTAGCTGGTGATTTTGCTCGTTAGTTGATGCAGTTTCTTCCTAGTCTCGATGGTTTTTACATTTTGGCATGATTTTGCAGCGGCTGGTACCGGTTGTTCCTTTCCATGTTTAGCGCTTCCTTCAGGAGCTCTTTTAGGGCAGGCCTGGTGGTGACAAAATCTCTCAGCATTTGCTTGTCTATAAAGTATTTTATTTCTCCTTCACTTATGAAGCTTAGTTTGGCTGGATATGAAATTCTGGGTTGAAAATTCTTTTCTTTAAGAATGTTGAATATTGGCCCCCACTCTCTTCTGGCTTGTAGGGTTTCTGCCGAGAGATCCGCTGTTAGTCTGATGGGCTTTCCTTTGAGGGTAACCCGACTTTTCTCTCTGGCTGCCCTTAACATTTTTTCCTTCATTTCAACTTTGGTGAATCTGACAATTATGTGTCTTGGAGTTGCTCTTCTCGAGGAGTATCTTTGTGGCGTTCTCTGTATTTCCTGAATCTGAATGTTGGCCTGCCTTGCTAGATTGGGGAAGTTCTCCTGGATAATATCCTGCAGAGTGTTTTCCAACTTGGTTCCATTCTCCACATCACTTTCAGGTACACCAATCAGACGTAGATTTGGTCTTTTCACATAGTCCCATATTTCTTGGAGGCTTTGCTCATTTCTTTTTATTCTTTTTTCTCTAAACTTCCCTTCTCGCTTCATTTCATTCATTTCATCTTCCATTGCTGATACCCTTTCTTCCAGTTGATCGCATCGGCTCCTGAGGCTTCTGCATTCTTCATGTAGTTCTCGAGCCTTGGTTTTCAGCTCCATCAGCTCCTTTAAGCACTTCTCTGTATTGGTTATTCTAGTTATACATTCTTCTAAATGTTTTTCAAAGTTTTCAACTTCTTTGCCTTTGGTTTGAATGTCCTCCCATAGCTCAGAGTAATTTGATTCTCTGAAGCCTTCTTCTCTCAGCTCGTCAAAATCATTCTCCATCCAGCTTTGTTCCGTTGCTGGTGAGGAACTGCGTTCCTTTGGAGGAGGAGAGGCGCTCTGCGTTTTAGAGTTTCCAGTTTTTCTATTCTGTTTTTTCCCCATCTTTGTGGTTTTATCTACTTTTGGTCTTTGATGATGGTGATGTACAGATGGGTTTTCGATGTAGATGTCCTTTCTGGTTGTTAGTTTTCCTTCTAACAGACAGGACCCTCAGCTGCAGGTCTGTTGGAATACCCTGCCGTGTGAGGTGTCAGTGTGCCCCTGCTGGGGGGTGCCTCCCATTTAGGCTGCTCGGGGGTCAGGGGTCAGGGACCCACTTGAGGAGGCAGTCTGCCTGTTCTCAGATCTCCAGCTGCGTGCTGGGAGAACCACTGCTCTCTTCAAAGCTGTCAGACAGGGACACTTAAGTCTGCAGAGGTTACTGCTGTCTTTTTGTTTTTCTGTGCCCTGCCCCTAGAGGTGGAGCCTACAGAGGCAGGCAGGCCTCCTTGAGCTGTGGTGGGCTCCACCCAGTTCGAGCTTCCCGGCTGCTTTGTTTACCTAAGCAAGCCTGGGCAATGGCGGGCGCCCCTCCCCCAGCCTCGTTGCCGCCTTGCAGTTTGATCTCAGACTGCTGTGCTAGCAATCAGCGAGATTCCGTGGGCGTAGGACCCTCTCAGCCAGGTGTGGGATATAGTCTCGTGGTGCGCCGTTTTTTAAGCCGGTCTGAAAAGCGCAATATTCGGGTGGGAGTGACCCGATTTTCCAGGTGCGTTCGTCACCCCTTTCTTTGACTCGGAAAGGGAACTCCCTGACCCCTTGCGCTTCCCAGGTGAGGCAATGCCTCGCCCTGCTTCGGCTCGCGCACAGTGCGCGCACACACTGGCCTGCGCCCACTGTCTGGCACTCCCTAGTGAGATGAACCCGGTACCTCAGATGGAAATGCAGAAATCACCCGTCTTCTGCGTCGCTCACGCTGGGAGCTGTAGACTGGAGCTGTTCCTATTCGGCCATCTTGGCTCCTCCCCCACTGATGTCTTTTAATGAAGATAATTTATTTGTTTTAATATTTTATTTGTAATTATTTCAGTGTGGTTGTGGATTTTTGTATCAGTTGAAGAAATCATTGCTTCCCCCATCATCATAACATTAGCATCAAAATGTTTATTTTTTTCCCTGTGGGAGCTTTGTCTTTTGACTTTTAACATTTAGGTATCCAATTTTTCTGGAATTGATTTTTGCATAGAGTATGAAGTTTGATTCAAATTTTACTTTTTTGGACTGAATTTCAGTTGACTCAACAACTGTCCCATTTTTCTACTTGTGATTCTTGTATCTTATATGACACTTTCTCAATTACTTTAAAATAAACCTTAATAACTAATTGTACGGGCCCTCTAGCTTTCTAATTTTCCTTCTTTAAGATTGTCTTGGTTATTTTTTGTCATTTGTATTTTTATATATAAATTTAGAATCAATTTCCAAAAACTAAAACAAAAACAAAGAGAAAAACAAATTCCTACCAAGATTTTGATTGTAATTGTCCCAGGTTTATGAAATCAATCTGGAGAGACTTGATGTCTTTAAAATCCTAGTCTTTCAATCTATGTAGCAGGTATATTTTTCTATTTATTTCAGATTTCTTACATTTTTCCCCATATTGTCTTGTAATTCTTGATGTAGAGCTCTTCCACATCATTTGTTAGGTTTATTCCTACGTATTTAATGGTTTTGGGTTATTTCAAATTGTATAGTTTTTAATATTTTTATTTCTATTTATTTTGCCAGAATATAAATACAAATAATTTTGCATATTGATATTCTGTCTGGCCCCATTGCTAAATTGACTAGTTAATTCAAACAGTTGTAGACTCTTTTTAGATTTTCTGTGCAACTATTCATTTCAGTCTGTCCTTTCTGGTTGTTAGTTTCTTTTCCTGGGAAAAGAAATTATTATTATACTGGCTTGGACCTTCCTTTGAATAAAAGTAATAATAACAGACATTTATCTTTTATAATTTCAGGGCAAACACTCAGTGTTTTACTATTAAGCATAATGTTCACTGTGGAATTTTTACAGATGCTCATTATAAGATTAGGTACTTCTTTTATTGATAACTAATGATACATACATTTTAACCCACGGACCCATTTACCCCAACATTCTGCAAGGTTTCATTACTGAGCTGAAGGAAGACAAAAGCAATTATAATTGACTATTTTTTGTACAATCTTTTAATTTACTTACATATCTTCTTTTATAATTGCTTTTTATTCTTTCTTGCATTATTATGCTTCCACTTTAGATCATTTTATTTAGATGTAGTGGACATCTTTAACAACACATTATCTTAGTTTTGCTTATCTGGACATTTATGTATTTCTTCTTTAAAGGACAATTTCACTTCTTACAGAATTCAGGATTGGCAATAATTTTCCACTAACATTTAAAAATGCTGTTTCACTATCTTTTAGTTGCCATTATTTCTGTTGAAAAGTCAGCTATAGTCTCCTTGCCCTCTTGAAGCTAATGTATCTTTTATCTATGGCTGCTTTAAGAAATTTGTTTCCTTTGTTTTTGGGTGGTGTTACTATGATCTTGTTAGTCTTCTTTGTATCTAACCTTTTTGGAGTTTGAAATGTTTTAAAAATTTGTAGCATAATGTCTTTCACCAGTATTAGAAAATATTTGGACATTGTCTCTACAAATTTGTACCTGTCCCATTATCTCTCTCCTATTCCCACATGTCTCCGGTTATATATATGCAGGATCTTCCCATTGTTTGCCATATAGCTCCTATTCTTCTTGCCAATTTTTCATCCATTTTTGCTGTCCATAATTCAGTCTTTGCCTAGAATTAGCAAATCCTTGAAGGAAAAAAGCATCTCATAATACGGTGGCTCATCTCTCTGAAGTTTTCTTTCCTTTGGAATATTAACCCCTCAAGTTCTGATTGAATCACAACCTCTCTTAATGCCTTCAAACATGTTTTCTTCCCTGATTTTGAATTTTGCTTAACTTCTTTTATTGCTTTCAGTAAACTTTGTGCTGTTGCAGTCTACTTCACCATAGCCAGAAGCACAAGTTCCATGTTCTTTTTTAACTAAAAAATTCAATTCCGCCCACATTTATTAAGCCATAAACTTCTACAATTCAGTTGTTCTAAGTACAGGAAGTTTCTCTCACTGAGATTATGCTATTTCTTGTTACATAATATTACACCATTCTCTTAGAAACTTGAGAGAAGTAGTGACAACTCTCTTCTTTGAACTAGGCTTTATTTTGATATTTTTTAAATGCAAAGAGATGGAAATATAAAGAAACTCAGAGATAGAGGCTAGTTAAATCATCTTTATTGTCACTTCTTTTTTCTACCCAAGACATACTATGTCACTAGGATTTGTGCACACATTGCAGGCAAATTGGGAGTTTGGGAGAGAACAATGAATGGTGCTGACTTAGATGTGAGGAGGACGTCCTAACATTTGTTACCTCTCTCATGGCAGAAATGACAGGTCTTGCTCACTTATGTGCTGCTTAATTGGAAACACCAAAGGCCAGTTCCCTTTAAATTATTTCTGAGAAACTTTTTACAGCTAGTATGACACATGTCTGTTAAAGACTTTGTTTTATTAGCCAAACTTTAATAAAAACTACATGTGCTCATTTACATCATGGAATACTATGCAGCCATAAAAAAGGATGAGTTCCTGTCCTTTGCAGGGGCATGAATGAAGCTGGAGGCCATCATTCTCAGCAAACTAACACAGGAACAGAAAAACAAACACTGTGTGTTCTCACTCATAAGTGGGAGCTGAACGATGAGAACCCATGGACACAGGGAAGGGAACATCACACGCTAGAGCCTGTTGAGGGATGTGGGGCAAGGAGAGGGAAAGCATTAGGACAAATACCAAATGCATGTGGGACCTAAAACTTAGATAACAGGTTGATAGGTGCAGCAAACCGCCATGGCACATGTATACCTATGTAACAAAGCTGCACATTCTGCACATGTATCCCAGAACTTAAAGTAAAATAAAAAACAAAAGAAAAAAAAACTACATGTGCTCTTGTCTTTTTGTATTATGTATAATTAATTTCTGGAAGGTGACACATAAAGCCTGGTATAACTTGTTTAATGTTAATTAATTTTTTCTTTTTCCCTAGAGAAATGGGAAAAATAAGTAATTAATTGTCAGGATCAAAGGCTTTTATGGCTCATAAAGGAGGATTCTGACTGGTCTCTCACAAAAACCAATAACAAATCTCAAAGCCCGATGCAAATTTACAGAAAGGGGCTGATACATTTGATTCTTGGTTTAAAGACTCTTCTTTTTAATTTTTTATTTCTTGGCTTAATGTAGCAGGTAAAATATGTTTTCTTATGTAAAAGAAGAACAACTTTCCTGTTTGGTCAAAAATTAAGAAAGTAATACTTTCTCACAGTTTTCCACACTTGCTAATGGTACATATATAAATCAGTGAATTGAAAGTTTTATAAAAATTTCTAGGCAATTGTCATATGATTTATTTCAATGAAAATGGAGAAATGTCTTCTGCCTAAGACGTGCTGTAGTAAGTCCAGCCATGTAGCATGAAGTACTAAAGCCTTTGGTTCGCTAAGAGACAGTTTGAGTTGATGTTTTGACTACCAGGATGGCACACAGCCTTTAAAATATGTACTTAATCAAATAATGGCAATTTAACAAATTTAAAAGAAAAATATTAAATACTGTATTTCATACATCTGTTTTATTTTTCATGTATTTTTACTCATAAAATATTTCAAACATAAAAAGTAGAGAAAATAACGTGACAGGCATCTATGAGCTCTCCCCCACCCCTGATTTTAAAATGTTAACATTTTGCAATATTTCTTTAATCATATACCATAGAAAATATTACACAGTAAAAAAGCAGAACTTTACAATCATATGTGTTGAAGCACTCTTGTGAAAAAGTGGGCACAAGCCATTGTTCATCCACAGGAGAATTCATAAACAGTGAAGAAGTAGATCAATTTTTCCAAGTGTAGAAGAGAAGAGAAGGAAAAAGTAGTACAATGGGATTGTACCTCTATCTATGGCATTTTCTATTTCTACCTGATTGCTTTTTAAAAAGCAAGTTATTAAAGCAATATATATTTATCGTAGAATTTTCAGAACTAGAAAAATATAAAAAGAGGACTATGCCATAAAAATGCTGCCACTCAGAGATAATTATAACTATGTTGATGTAATTCTTTCTCCCTTTTCTAAAAATATATATTTATTTATGTATATATAATTACTCAGTAAATTGTATAGAAAGGTGGATAGATACCACAAACACACATTAGTTAGATTTTGCACAAAATTTTTTCATGCTGCTTTTACCAATTAATATTATTCATGTATATTTTTCTTATTTGAGCTTGATTTTCTAATACGAAGTCTTAATTTTACTGGTCGCATACTTGTATCATTTAGTTATACTATATTTTATTTAACTGTTCCTCTGTGATTAGATATCTGTTTAAATTCTCCATAAATAATTTTGCACAAAAATCTTTGTGATAACTCTTGATCATTTCTCAGTACAAATATCCAAATGTGTAATGAGTCAGTCAAAGGATGTGAATATTTAAGGCTCTTGAGGTATATTACAAAATTGCCCTCCAGAAAGGTTATAATGATAAACAATTTTATTTTCACTTATGAGCACACCCTGTCACTCATCTTAGATAACAATGAACATTTTTTTAGGTTAACTTTGTCTATTTGATAACTAAGAAATCATGGTTTTGTTCATTTGAGTGAAAAATTAGGCAGGTATTGCCATGTAATAAATTGTGACTGACACATTATGAAGTTAGGCATATCTCCATTTTGTAAAGAAAAAACTTGCTATCGGTATATCTAGAGAAAAAAGTTTTCTTTTTCCAATAGGGAGATGATCAAATGCCTGCCACAGAAACTCAAAGAATATTATCAGCTTGAATTGAGAGGTTCCTAAAGGTAGATTATTCTCTAGAGCAAGCCTACTATTGAAGTTACTATTCCTGCAAAAATTCATAAAGCATAATAAAAAATCACACTTGCACTGCCATAGTATGCCAGAGAATCTTGGATGAGGATAAGAGATTGCTCATGGGGTGAGAGAGGCAACAAGAAGGAACAGATATCTGAATTGTCTCACAAGTTGAGGAAAGGTCATCTCCGGAGAAGAGAAGCAGGAAAGCCCAATATGTTCCAAGCAAGAGGAAACTCCTTAAGCATATGTGGGCAAAGAAGGAAGGAGAGGCCCAAAGTCAGAAAAATAAAAGAGAATTTGTAACAAAGGTGTAAACTGTGGACAATTACAGATTGAGAACATGAAGAAAATCAGAACAAACAGATGAATACAGAGAAGTTGCCCTTACTAATATGTCACTTACCAAATCTTTTATACATGTCTCCTCAATGAGTGAATAAACTCATTTTATTATACACAGTTTTTTAATTTAAAAATTTCTTTATAGTGGTATTGACATATCCACACACATACATCTGTATGTGTGACTATATACTTGTTAAGATAATTTTTTTTGAGAGAAAGAATGGGGACACTTTGTCTCCTCATCTCCATTAACCTCTCCTCTCCCTGATAACCCATATTAAAAACATAATAATGTAATAATATGGACCATTCATATTTTTCTCTTTACTCAAATAATAATCCTACGTGTGTTCATGAACACACACACATACATGAAGGCAAAGTAATTATGAATGTTCTTGTTAATTATGAATGTTCAAACGGTGGAATCACATGAGATTATATTATGCATACTTGCTTGCCTCTTGCTTTTCTAATGAAACCATACATAATGAAAAGTCTTCAAGCCACCTGATGTAGCTCTATTTGATTTTATTAATGACAGCATAATAATGTAGAATATGCTGGGCACAGTGGCTCACGCCTGTAATCCCAGCACGTTGGGAGGCCGAGGCGGGTGGATCACGAGGTCAGGAGATCCAGACCATCCTGGCTAACACGGTGAAACCCCGTCTGTACTAAAAAAATACAAAAAATTAGCCAGGCACGGTGGCAGGTGCCTGTAGTTCCAGCTACGAGGGAGGCTGAGGCAGGAGAATGGCGTGAACCGAGGAGGCGGAGCTTGCAGTGAGCGGAGATGTGCCACTGCACACCAGCCTGGACGACAGAGCAAGACTCCGTCTCAAAAAAAAAAAAAAAAAAAATAGAATATGGCATGGCTATGCTATAACTCTTCAGGTGTTCTCCTATTGATGGCTGTTGACCTTGTTCTAGGTTTTGCCTGCTGTGTATGTTTTTACTTATCCATGCTTATATTTTAATGAGATAGTTTCCCAGGTATGAAATGGCCTAGTCAAAGGATCTGTATATTTTTAATTTTAGAATATAGTGTTGAATTGCTTACAATTATAGTAGAAGGTAATACTTCCCCCAACAGTATTTCATTTCTATGTGCAGTTGTCCCTGGATATCCTTGGGGGTTGGTTCAAGAGCCCTGGGGATACCGAAATCTGTGGAAACTCAAGTCCCTGATATAAAATGGCATAATATTCTATATCCTTCCACACATCCTCCTGTATACTTTAAATCATCTCTAGATTACTTTTAATACATAATTCAATGTAATGCTTTGTAAATAGTTGTCATATTGTACTATTTAAGCAATAATGGCATGGAAAAAGAGTCCAAACATGTTTTACTACAGACACTTTTACATCCAAATATTTTCAATCCACAGTTGGTTAAATCCACAGACACAAACCCTATAGATACAGAACCCACAGATACGGAACCCTTAAATACTATATTTGGAAACCTGTATGTGTTTACTTTTGTATATGCATATGAATATTTCATATTTAAATTATCTTTTTACTGTGGTATGGATTTTTTACATTTTTATTCCTTAAAACAAATCTGCTAATGGAAAGCTCTAGGGATAACTGAGATACCCTTTTATCCCCATTGAAGAGGAGGATTTTTGATTCAGGTAAAGCAGCCACAGTTGAACTATGGTATTGGAGTTTGTGCTTTTTGTGGGAGGAACGAGGTAGTTTAATGTCTCTTTTTTCTGGTGTAAATGCCTCCTCTAGGCTACTTCTGTTGCTTAGGGAAGCCTGTCTTTTGGGTTAATCAAGTTTCCTGTTTGAAGCACATAAAACTCACTGGAAAGCAAGCCCAGAATCAGAATGGGGTCTTGGGGAAAAAATGCCCATGACCAACGGTGCATAATAATCACATTTTTTGTTTGTTTTCTTTTTTTTTTTTTTTTTATTATACTCTAAGTTTTAGGGTACATGTGCACATTGTGCAGGTTAGTTACATATGTATACATGTGCCATGCTGGTGCGCTGCACCCACTAATGTGTCATCTAGCATTAGGTATATCTCCCAATGCTATCCCTCCCCCCTCCCCCGACCCCACCACAGTCCCCAGAGTGTGATATTCCCCTTCCTGTGTCCATGTGATCTCATTGTTCAATTCCCACCTATGAGTGAGAATATGCGGTGTTTGGTTTTTTGTTCTTGCGATAGTTTACTGAGAATGATGGTTTCCAATTTCATCCATGTCCCTACAAAGGATATGAACTCATCATTTTTTATGGCTGCATAGTATTCCATGGTGTATATGTGCCACATTTTCTTAATCCAGTCTATCATTGTTGGACATTTGGGTTGGTTCCAAGTCTTTGCTATTGTGAATAGTGCCGCAATAAACATACGTGTGCATGTGTCTTTATAGCAGCATGATTTATAGTCATTTGGGTATATACCCAGTAATGGGATGGCTGGGTCAAATGGTATTTCTAGTTCTAGATCCCTGAGGAATCGCCACACTGACTTCCACAATGGTTGAACTAGTTTACAGTCCCACCAACAGTGTAAAAGTGTTCCTATTTCTCCACATCCTCTCCAGCACCTGTTGTTTCCTGACTTTTTAATGATTGCCATTCTAACTGGTGTGAGATGATATCTCATAGTGGTTTTGATTTGCATTTCTCTGATGGCCAGTGATGATGAGCATTTCTTCATGTGTTTTTTGGCTGCATAAATGTCTTCTTTTGAGAAGTGTCTGTTCATGTCCTTCGCCCACTTTTTGATGGGGTTGTTTGTTTTTTTCTTGTAAATTTGTTTGAGTTCATTGTAGATTCTGGATATTAGCCCTTTGTCAGATGAGTAGGTTGCGAAAATTTTCTCCCATGTTGTAGGTTGCCTGTTCACTCTGATGGTAGTTTCTTTTGCTGTGCAGAAGCTCTTTAGTTTAATTAGATCCCATTTGTCAATTTTGGCTTTTGTTGCCATTGCTTTTGGTGTTTTGGACATGAAGTCCTTGCCCACGCCTATGTCCTGAATGGTAATGCCTAGGTTTTCTTCTAGGGTTTTTATGGTTTTAGGTTTAACGTTTAAATCTTTAATCCATCTTGAATTGATTTTTGTATAAGGTGTAAGGAAGGGATCCAGTTTCAGCTTTCTACATATGGCTAGCCAGTTTTCCCAGCAGCATTTATTAAATAGGGAATCCTTTCCCCATTGCTTGTTTTTCTCAGGTTTGTCAAAGATCAGATAGTTGTAGATATGCGGCATTATTTCTGAGGGCTCTGTTCTGTTCCATTGATCTATATCTCTGTTTTGGTACCAGTACCATGCTGTTTTGGTTACTGTAGCCTTGTAGTATAGTTTGAAGTCAGGTAGTGTGATGCCTCCAGCTTTGTTCTTTTGGCTTAGGATTGACTTGGCAATGCGGGCTCTTTTTTGGTTCCATATGAACTTTAAAGTAGTTTTTTCCAATTCTGTGAAGAAAGTCATTGGTAGCTTGATGGGGATGGCATTGAATCTGTAAATTACCTTGGGCAGTATGGCCATTTTCACGATATTGATTCTTCCTACCCATGAGCATGGAATGTTCTTCCATTTGTTTGTATCCTCTTTTATTTCCTTGAGCAGTGGTTTGTAGTTCTCCTTGAAGAGGTCCTTCACATCCCTTGTAAGTTGGATTCCTAGGTATTTTATTCTCTTTGAAGCAATTGTGAATGGGAGTTCACCCATGATTTGGCTCTCTGTTTGTCTGTTGTTGGTGTATAAGAATGCTTGTGATTTTTGTACATTGATTTTGTATCCTGAGACTTTGCTGAAGTTGCTTATCAGCTTAAGGAGATTTTGGGCTGAGACGATGGGGTTTTCTAGATAAACAATCATGTCATCTGCAAACAGGGACAATTTGACTTCCTCTTTTCCTAATTGAATACCCTTTATTTCCTTCTCCTGCCTGATTGCCCTGGCCAGAACTTCCAACACTATGTTGAATAGGAGTGGTGAGAGAGGGCATCCCTGTCTTGTGCCGGTTTTCAAAGGGAATGCTTCCAGTTTTTGCCCATTCAGTATGATATTGGCTGTGGGTTTGTCATAGATAGCTCTTATTATTTTGAAATACGTCCCATCAATACCTAATTTATTGAGAGTTTTTAGCATGAAGGGTTGTTGAGTTTTGTCAAAGGCTTTTTCTGCATCTATTGAGATAATCATGTGGTTTTTGTCTTTGGCTCTGTTTATATGCTGGATTACAGTTATTGATTTGCGTATATTGAACCAGCCTTGCATCCCAGGGATGAAGCCCACTTAATCATGGTGGATAAGCTTTTTGATGTGCTGCTGGATTCGGTTTGCCAGTATTTTATTGAGGATTTTTGCATCAATGTTCATCAAGGATATTGGTCTAAAATTCTCTTTTTTGGTTGTGTCTCTGCCCGGCTTTGGTATCAGAATGATGCTGGCCTCATAAAATGAGTTAGGGAGGATTCCCTCTTTTTCTATTGATTGGAATAGTTTCAGAAGGAATGGTACCAACTCCTCCTTGTACCTCTGGTAGAATTCGGCTGTGAATCCATCTGGTCCTGGACTCTTTTTGGTTGGTAAACTATTGATTATTGCCACAATTTCAGAGCCTGTTATTGGTCTATTCAGAGATTCAACTTCTTCCTGGTTTAGTCTTGGGAGAGTGTATGTGTCGAGGAATGTATCCATTTCTTCTAGATTTTCTAGTTTATTTGCGTAGAGGTGTTTGTAGTATTCTCTGATGGTAGTTTGTATTTCTGTGGGATCGGTGGTGATATCCCCTTTATCATTTTTTATTGTGTCTATTTGATTCTTCTCTCTTTTTTTCTTTATTAGTCTTGCTAGCGGTCTATCAATTTTGTTGATCCTTTCAAAAAACCAGCTCCTGGATTCATTGATTTTTTGAAGGGTTTTTTGTGTCTCTATTTCCTTCAGTTCTGCTCTGATTTTAGTTATTTCTTGCCTTCTGCTAGCTTTTGAATGTGTTTGCTCTTGCTTTTCTAGTTCTTTTAATTGTGATGTTAGGGTGTCAATTTTGGATCTTTCCTGCTTTCTCTTGTAGGCATTTAGTGCTATAAATTTCCCTCTACACACTGCTTTGAATGCGTCCCCGAGATTCTGGTATGTGGTGTCTTTGTTCTCGTTGGTTTCAAAGAACATCTTTATTTCTGCCTTCATTTCGTTATGTACCCAGTAGTCATTCAGGAGCAGGTTGTTCAGTTTCCATGTAGTTGAGCGGCTTTGAGTGAGATTCTTAATCCTGAGTTCTAGTTTGATTGCACTGTGGTCTGAGAGATAGTTTGTTATAATTTCTGTTCTTTTACATTTGCTGAGGAGAGCTTTACTTCCAACTATGTGGTCAATTTTGGAATAGGTGTGGTGTGGTGCTGAAAAAAATGTATATTCTGTTGATTTGGGGTGGAGAGTTCTGTAGATGTCTATTAGGTCTGCTTGGTGCAGAGCTGAGTTCAATTCCTGGGTATCCTTGTTGACTTTCTGTCTCGTTGATCTGTCTAATGTTGACAGTGGGGTGTTAAAGTCTCCCATTATTAATGTGTGGGAGTCTAAGTCTCTTTGTAGGTCACTGAGGACTTGCTTTATGAATCTGGGTGCTCCTGTATTGGGTGCATAAATATTTAGGATAGTTAGCTCCTCTTGTTGAATTGATCCCTTTACCATTATGTAATGGCCTTCTTTGTCTCTTTTGATCTTTGTTGGTTTAAAGTCTGTTTTATCAGAGAGTAGGATTGCAACCCCTGCCTTTTTTTGTTTTCCATTGGCTTGGTAGATCTTCCTCCATCCTTTTATTTTGAGCCTATGTGTGTCTCTGCATGCGAGATGGGTTTCCTGAATACAGCACACTGATGGGTCTTGACTCTTTATCCAACTTGCCAGTCTGTGTCTTTTAATTGCAGAATTTAGTCCATTTATATTTAAAGTTAATATTGTTATGTGTGAATTTGATCCTGTCATTATGATGTTAGCTGGTGATTTTGCTCATTAGTTGATGCAGTTTCTTCCTAGTCTCGATGGTCTTTACATTTTGGCATGATTTTGCAGCAGCTGGTACCGGTTGTTCCTTTCCATGTTTAGCGCTTCCTTCAGGAGCTCTTTTAGGGCAGGCCTGGTGGTGACAAAATCTCTCAACATTTGCTTGTCTATAAAGTATTTTATTTCTCCTTCACTTATGAAGCTTAGTTTGGCTGGATATGAAATTCTGGGTTGAAAATTCTTTTCTTTAAGAATGTTGAATATTGGCCCCCACTCTCTTCTGGCTTGTAGGGTTTCTGCCGAGAGATCTGCTGTTAGTCTGATGGGCTTTCCTTTGAGGGTAACCCGACCTTTCTCTCTGGCTGCCCTTAACATTTTTTCCTCCATTTCAACTTTGGTGAATCTGACAATTATGTGTCTTGGAGTTGCTCTTCTCGAGGAGTATCTTTGTCGCGTTCTCTGTATTTCCTGAATCTGAACGTTGGCCTGCCTTGCTAGATTGGGGAAGTTCTCCTGGATAATATCCTGCAGAGTGTTTTCCAACTTGGTTCCATTCTCCACATCACTTTCAGGTACACCAATCAGACGTAGATTTGGTCTTTTCACATAGTCCCATATTTCTTGGAGGCTTTGCTCATTTCTTTTTATTCTTTTTTCTCTAAACTTCCCTTCTCGCTTCATTTCATTCATTTCATCTTCCATTGCTGATACCCTTTCTTCCAGTTGATCGCATCGGCTCCTGAGGCTTCTGCATTCTTCACGTAGTTCTCGAGCCTTGGTTTTCAGCTCCATCAGCTCCTTTAAGCACTTCTCTGTATTGGTTATTCTAGTTATACATTCTTCTAAATTTTTTTCAAAGTTTTCAACTTCTTTGCCTTTGGTTTGAATGTCCTCCCGTAGCTCAGAGTAATTTGATCGTCTGAAGCCTTCTTCTCTCAGCTCGTCAAAATCATTCTCCATCCAGCTTTGTTCTGTTGCTGGTGAGGAACTGCGTTCCTTTGGAGGAGGAGAGGCGCTCTGCGTTTTAGAGTTTCCAGTTTTTCTGTTCTGTTTTTTCCCCATCTTTGTGGTTTTATCTACTTTTGGTCTTTGATGATGGTGATGTACAGATGGGTTTTTGGTGTAGATGTCCTTTCTGGTTGTTAGTTTTCCTTCTAACAGACAGGACCCTCAGCTGCAGGGCTGTTGGAATACCCTGCCGTGTGAGGTGTCAGTGTGCCCCTGCTGGGGGGTGCCTCCCATTTAGGCTGCTCGGGGGTCAGGAGTCAGGGACCCACTTGAGGAGGCAGTCTGCCTGTTCTCAGATCTCCAGCTGCGTGCTGGGAGAACCACTGCTCTCTTCAAAGCTGTCAGACAGGGACACTTAAGTCTGCAGAGGTTACTGCTGTCTTTTTGTTTGTCTGTGCCCTGCCCCCAGAGGTGGAGCCTACAGAGGCAGGCAGGCCTCCTTGAGCTGTGGTGGGCTCCACCCAGTTCGAGCTTCCCGGCTGCTTTGTTTACCTAAGCAAGCCTGGGCAATGGCGGGCGCCCCTCCCCCAGCCTCGTTGCCGCCTTGCAGTTTGATCTCAGACTGCTGTGCTAGCAATCAGCGAGATTCCGTGGGCGTAGGACCCTCCGAGCCAGGTGTGGGATATAGTCTTGTGGTGCGCCGTTTCTTAAGCCGGTCTGAAAAGCGCAATATTCGGGTGGGAGTGACCCGATTTTCCAGGTGCGTCCGTCACCCCTTTCTTTGAGTCGGAAAGGGAACTCCCTGACCCCTTGCGCTTCCCAGGTGAGGCAATGCCTCGCCCTGCTTAGGCTCGCGCACGGTGCGCACACACACTGGCCTGCGCCCACTGTCTGGCACTCCCTAGTGAGATGAACCCGGTACCTCAGATGGAAATGCAGAAATCACTGTCTTCTGCGTCGCTCACGCTGGGAGCTGTAGACTGGAGCTGTTCCTATTCGGCCATCTTGGCTCCTCCGTTTGTTTTCTTAAGAATCAGAAACACTTGGCTGGAGGTGTTTTCCCTAAAGACAGAGGCTAAGGTTCCAATGCTATTTACTGCCACATGTAGACTGGTTTTTCTATGGCCAAGGCTGCTTTACCCATTTCCATTATCTGCTTTCTCTGTAGAGTCTTGAATTTGTGACCTGTGCCTTAGCACTTAGTGCTGATTCTTAAAATTTAGAAAAAAAAAAAAAAGATTTTGTGTCCACATGGATCACATAAGTAAAAAAAAATTCTTAACAAAGTTAAGAATAGTCAGATTATCTAGGTGTGATGATATTAGAAACAGTTGAGATACAAACTGGGTAGAGAAATAAAATTAGATTTTTCTTAAGCAGATCACCTCAATTTTGGATAATTTTCTATTTTCCTTTCATCCTCTTACTGGTGGAGTTTATCTCTGTGTATCACCCGATTATTTATGTTCTTTTATATTATTTTATTTCTTCCTTCCTGGGCTCCTTGGTATTATTGGGGTGGAGGAAGTGAAGAGAGAAAGGAAGGAAGGAAGGAAGAAAGAAAGAAAGAAACAAAAAGAAAGAAAGCAAGAAAGAGAAGGAAAGATGGAAGGAAGGAAGGAAGAATGAATGAGGTCCCCAGTTATGGGAGTGAAGACTGCAGAGATCAAGACCACCTGAGTTATATTCTATCAGAACATCTTCAAAGTTAAAAAGTATTACCAAAAAGAAGTTAAAATTACCTCGTTTCTGTGGAAGTGACGGTAAATTTCAGGTATTAAGGACTTTTCAGGCTTCTGCTTTTCTAGTAATGAAATGTTTACTTTATTTCTCTTCTCATCTTTTTTAATGATCTGTGTACAGACTCGAGACTTTGGCTTTGATACATTTGAACATTAGAGTGAGACAATATAATTATGATTAGGACATAACAAACCCCACAATGAATTTTGTCCATTGTAAAGCAAATAATCTCCTTCACTTCAGTTCTTGTCTTTGCATGTGTGTGTTTTCTGCTCTAAAATGCAAGTAAATCAAATTTTCAGTTAAAAAATGTCTCTAGAATTCCAAGGAATATAAATAAAAATTTCTGAAGAGAATTAGTTCATTGGAGAAAGAAAGTAAAAATAGAAATTAAAATAGGAAGCCAAAACCTCAAACAAAACAAGTTAAAGAGACCTCCTGGAATAATTGTCATGTTGTAGTATAATTTGTAATAGTAATTTTACCTATTCTCCCCAAAATAACCCACTAAGAGCTCAAAGTAATGTTCCAAGATTATAGACTTATTAGTCATGTAGCTTTCGAAAGTGGCAGCCATCTGCATAAAATCTTAAATCTGACCTCTTTCCAGGTTTCCTGAAAGATATGTTGAAGAAGCAATGTTTCATGCACTTGCGCACAATTTATCCTATATCTGTGCAGTAGTAGGCAAGAGCAAATTGCATGGGTTGCACCCTGGCTCTAAACTGTTTTTCAGTTACATACCCTTGGACAATTAATTTCTCTGTGCCTCATTTTCCCCATCTTAAACACAGCTGTCTTTCCACCATCTCATTTCCTTTCCACAGTATTCCTGCTATGTACTAACGTGTATCTGGCATGAGGGCAATAATTATTATTTTATATTGTTGACTAGTATTGCTGAGTTGAGTAATGCACTATGATTTGATTTTTTATACTTTTATTTTCCTCACAAGAACAGATCAGCTAATATTCAAATTATTGCATTTCTTATAAAATTACATTGTTTTGATATTTTAAGAGTATGAAGGAATTAAAGGCACAGGCTATTTTAAAAGTACTGTATAGAGAAACATAAAACAGATATGTAGGTGCCCACCTCTTACAGTTAATGAATATACAATATAAAATATTGGGAATATGGCAAGACAAAGGAGAGACAATGTTGAAGGTCTATTCCTTGGGCTTTTATATGAATCATCACCCCATATTACCCACGTTTTTGATGGTGGCAATAATCTCTGTCTTGGTTAGCAACTATCTGGGGCTGGTGGCACAGGCTGTAAAGGAATTTACCAAGACAGTCGTAGATAAAGAAAGGCAGATTTACTAGAGAAAATATGAAAATACGTTGCCAGGTTGCAATGGGCAGCATAGCAGAGAAGCCTGTCTGCAAATAGGCAGGGGCTAGAGGAAAGGTTTACAGGCTTGTGCTGGAGGAGGCTGAGTGCAGAACAAGGTTGTTGTGTCTGCCAGTTACTTCTCAGAACAGTTGATTATTGTTCTTCCCCATATGGGGCTCTCCCACACCTGGGGTCCCTTTCTTGTTGTTGCTTACTTATCTTTTCAGGACTCCACAATCTCTGTAAATCCCCAAGGAGTGGAGGGTTCATTAGCTTACATCTGATCATTAGTAACATAATAGCCGTTACTCCATGGGTCAGGGATCCAATGTGGATGCTGCCCATTAAACTAAGTATACTTCCTCTCCTGGGAGCAGGGACATAATACTGTAATGTATCTGTGGTAACTTTGGACCCACCATTAGGTGGGCTTGGGCCAAGTTTCCATCTATCACCTGATTTCTATAAGCCCTTTCTGACTGGCGGACCACATTGGCATTTAGGGTCTCCAAGGATTAGCATAAATTCAGTGTCAATATCTGATAACCCCTAAAATGTCAGGCTGTTTTCCTTTTTTTAGAGCACAGTCAATCTAGTAAATGGTTACATGGAAGTCCCTTATGGAAAAGCTTAGGGAAAGAGTCACAATATACATGTTTTGTCAGGCTGTAGGATACTTTCTCAGTGAAGAGGCTAGGAGTCTGAACTAGTCTAGTTCTGAAAATTGGTAAGAGGCCAAATCTCTGTCATGGTAACGTGAGTTAGATTTCTTCCCAGGCAACCAAAAGTATTTCCGTCTATATATGTCAAGCAGTACTTTAATAGTCTAGCAGTCTATTTCATCTTTATGAACTCTCTAATTGATTAGTCATTATCTGCCCATTTACCAATAGAGATGAGAGACTCCTTCATAGCTACCAAAAAAGTCCTTCACCACAGGTTGATAGCCTTTAATTTCTCTTTTTCCCCATGTTTGTTCTCTAGGACCATAATGAGCCAGATACTAGGTTATCTATTTTCTATTTCCTGCAGAAAAAAATGAATATGCATATCTTGCATATATGAATAACTAAATTCCAGAACCCCACTTTGAAGATTCGGTCATTGACCCATTCTTAGTACTAATTACAATATCCGTCTACACAGATAGCATGATCAAATGGGATAATGTAAGGAATTTAATAAACAGACAATTTACAAAGATGTGGACAGTGTATGTGTGTAGGGGATCAATAGTTGTTCAGTTTGGTAGTATTGAGGCGGTATCATTGGGGCTTAAAGATTTGGGGTATAGAATTTCAGCCAATTGCCATGTTATCAGAGGTTGCCTTACCTCTGCTTTCTACCTGTGCTTTCCACAGTTCCTGGAGCGTTAAATGTGGGTCCTCTTAAGAGTTCCTGTAGAACAAACTTGCTGTCTTATCACCTGTATCTTTCAGGACAGGCAATTAAACCAGAGACGTGTGCATGTTGTTACACTGGTTAGCACTTTTCCACTGTTGGTCCATGTCCAAATTCTTGAACCCTTTCAGCTACAATTGAACAGAAGCTGAGAGTCTTCTCCCAGCCTCTGTTTTGGTTGTATAGTAGCATCTTTTTAAATTCCGTGTGTGTGTGTGTATGTGTGTGTGTGTGTGTGTGTGTGTGTGTGTGTGTGTGTGTGTGTATTTGGTCAACTGGCTATGCCAAGTATGGCTTTAAAAAATAAAAGCATTTGTTTTGGAAAATGTGGTTTAATTATATATATATTTTAAAACATATAATTGGCAATCAACATAGATTTCTTATAATTCTTTAACTTAATTCTGTTTATATTTCAATTCTGTAAAATCTTGAGGCAGGGGCACTTTAAATGTTTAGTAATGTATTTGTAAAAAGTGAATCCTGTTCTTGAGCTCATGGTACATCCTTGTGAAGCATATTTTTATTCTTTGAACAATAGATCAAGCTTAGCATGATATTTTCAGTTTGACAAGAGATGGGGTGCTTTTCTAACCTTTTCTGTCTCCAGCAAGTAATTGGGAAATCAAAGTAAAACTGTGTGTGTGTGTGTGTGTGTGTGTGTGTGTATATACATGGGTGATTGATTACATTATAATTACATTTCTATTACATTGAATACATTCAGAAGCATTCAGCTTCTATAATAATATAAACTGGTAATGGAAAGACAATTATTTTATTCATGCCCTTACTCTCCAAATGGAGATTATCAAATATCAACAATATCCATTATAAGAAAAAAGTGGTTATATAACCTATATTATAAATGTCAAATTGTCATATTAGTAGATTATTTTAAAGAAAAGCTTAAATTTTTCTTTAGAATAAATTTTCAAGAAAACCCAGTGAAAGTCACTAACTTACCAATCAGTGACAAAAACAAAAACCTAGCTGCCAAAATAGCATAGACATTTGAGCTAGTGTTCTAATCTTTTAATGTTTATTATAGCTCAAAGGGCTCTGAAATAATTATTCCTTTAGTTTCAGCAGAAAAGCTGGGGAAAATGGGATGGAATTATGTATTCTCTCAGATAGTAACAAATAAACCATAAGATACTGGTGAATCCAGTGGAGAAGACACATTGGGCAATAAAATCAAAAGCAACATTACTTTTCAACTGTTGGAGAAGGCTTTAGCACTAAGATATTACAACATTGTGAAATAAAAATAACCAAAATGATCTATATGTGCAAATCTGTTGCACTTGGTCTGAAAGAAGCAAGGTAAGTTTCTTCTTGTTTTTTTATTTTGATAAAGTAGATTTGGTGATGAACTAGCTCGCTGTGCAAGACTTTTTTTTTTAAAGTTTGCATTTGAAAAACAAGAGCATTTATGTAACCTGATTTCCTGGGTTTTCACATGAAAAAAAGGAGACCTATTGATGTCTCATGATATTATCCAAAACTTCAAGACAAATGTATAGCAGAATTTCTTTATTTTATTTGCTATTTATTTGCTTACGTACATATTTGTATGCTTATTTACTTATACATTATTTCATTCAATACACAGAATTTGGGGCTTAGCATCTGGAAGCAATTAAGCCACTCTGGGGTGCCATACATAGACCCTGTTCCCAGGAAGTTCGTTGCTTAGTGTGTGAGATAGACATAAAAACATGATTTCACCCAATGGATAGGTTTGATGATTATTGGTTAGACTGTATACATCACAAGGAAAATAATAATATTATCTTGTTTCTCATTATTGTCCTAGTGCTTAGTGTGCAAAATATTGAATATTTACTAAATACTTAGTATTAGATCATTTAAGGCAATTGATAAATATTAAATGCTAAAGACAATATATAGTATTAATGGAAGTATAATGGTGGAGCATTTCAACCTACTTATGAGGAGTTGGTGGATGTTTCCTAAGGAGGTACACACTAAGAGTTATTCAGATGACTACATGTATGGGCAATGTTATACTCAGAAGGCATCAGAAGCGAAGGAACAGACAAATCAGGCAACACATACATCTCAGAAATGGTAGCCATGAAGAGTAAAGCAGAGTGATGGAAGCTAGAGAAAAAGAGATTTGATAATGAGGGGACTGATTGGATTGTTAAGAAACTTATGAGCAACGGGAAGTCATTGGAAGTATATTAATCAACTTTTACTATGTGATGCTGCATGACAACCTCAAAATCTCGATGGCTTACAACAACACATATTTTTTTCTTGCTACTTTACATGTTGGTGGCTTTTGGTTACATGCAGTGCTTCTTCTCATGGCTGTGAGTTTAGACCTGCTCCACATTCCAGGACGCAAGCTCAAGGACCGGTCTCTAGCATATGTCCTTCTCATGACAGAAGGCAAAGAAGCATAAATACGCAATAAAATTTACAGCTTCTTCTCGGCACATCTGCCAAAACAAGTTGCAGTGTTGGCCTGGCGGGATGGCTCATGACTCTAATACCAACACTTTGGAAGACGGAGGCAAGAGGATCTTTTGACCCCAGGAGTTCAAGACCAGCCTGGCAACATATTGAGACCCATCTCTCTCCAAAAAAAAAAAAAATTAGCTGGACATGGTGGTGCATGCCTGTAGTTCCAGATATTTGGGAGGCTGAGAGAGAAAGATAACTTGAGCCCAAGAGTTCAAGGTTGCAGTGAACTATGATGATGCCACTGCACTCCAGCCTGAATGAAAGAGTGATATCCTGTCTCTATAGGAAAAAACAAAAAAAACAAAAAAACACAAACCCACAAAAAACAAGCTACAGGTTAAGTCCAACATCAGTGGGGTCGAGCCTGTGGTGTAATTCTTTTTATAGGAGAGAGATAAAGAAGTGTGAGTGGATTCTGAAATCTATGGATTTCAGAAAATGGCTTTGTGAATTGTAGCTGACACAATTTGAAAGTAAAACATGGAAATCCCTGAGTCATCATTGACTTTCAATATTTCATCAGGGAAAATGAAGGTCCGAGGTAATGTACATTTTACATTGCAGGCTATCTGTGCTCATCATTCTCAAGGCAAATTTGAGAACAAAACATTACATTTCCTTGAGTCTGTACCCTGTAAAATACTTTCACATACTGTCATTGCACATTCAGTTACGCTCAGAAAGAGGTAAAGTTCACAAAAAGGCAATGCTTTTGTGAGGACTTCTCAGTCATTGGTGTTCATCTGGTCACTGAGTGATCAGCTGCCGCGTTGAATCCCCAGGTGGGAAAGAAAATAGCAAGGAGCAGTGGTGTGATTGTTCTCAGTAGGATGTAGAAAATGTCATGACCCTAGGCTAATATTATGAAGAAACGCGTTAGAATCAACACTGTGTCTCACTAAATCTTTTTCTAAAATGTGTATCTGTTTGTTTCTCTTCCATTTTGCATAATTTCTATTTAAATTCCTAAATAGTGTTCGATTACTTAAAAATGTTTATTGTTAACAGTCATTTATATTCTATCTTAAAAAGCAGCACTATAGTATGGAGAGAAGTGAATTAATTCATGAGAGTTTATGGGCTTTAGAATTTAATGAGCCTGGTGTATGTTCTTGCTCTTTCACTAGCTTTCAACACATTCTAAATCTTTTTCTTGAGCTCTCAGTTTCATCATCTGTAAATGGGTAATTTATTTATGGAACGTCACACAAACTTATAGAGGCACACTTTACCCATGAGGAACGGTATTGCATAAGAGCCTACAGGCAGGTTCTGGAGCCAGACTGACAGGAGCTGAATCCCACTTCTGCCATTTACTAACTGTGTGCTCTAGGAAAATTTACTCCATCTGTGTCTCAGTTTTTTCATCTGGAAAGTGGGTTTTTCATAGGGCTTTGTGAAAGAGTGAGTGATTCAATACATGTAAAGTACTTAGAATTGCGCCTGGCATAGAGGAAGGGTTCAGTATATCTTAGCAATTATTATGAGCAGTTAAGTATCTTGACTCCAGGTTTTTCAGTTTAGATATACTTACCTGAACTCGGGGAAAGATCTTAACTCTAAGGCCCTAAAACATAGATATATTGGTTTGCTAGCCTATGGAAACCTATTTCAGGTAAAAGTCGAATTAACCATACACAGGCATTACAAATAATATCCACATTTCTAACCCCATGACATAACTAGTTACTCACCCTGCATAAGTGTCTATTTGTGAGGGCCAACACCTTACTGTGAGGGTCTTAAGTAATCAGAACCATAGGGGCTTGAGAGCTGTGTTCAGCCGTAAAGACCTCTTCACTGGAAAGGATAATCATTTTAATTGTTGAAGAGACTCTGCCTGTTTAGGACCTTCTTAAAAGAGGGATTTCTCCCAGCTACTCAGGAGGCTGAGGCAGGAGAATGGCATGAACCCGGGAGGCAGAGCTTGCAGTGAGCCAAGATCGTGCCACTGCACTCCAGCCTGGGTGACAGAGTGAGACTCCGTCTCAAAAAAAAAGGGATTTCTTTTTTTTTTTCTTCCCTTTCTAAATTTTAATTTTATTATATTCAGTACACCCTCATTGGTGAATAGCCATGCTAGGCAGGCAATGTGAAAGGAGCGAACACCTCTGTTTGAAATGGGCCTTGGGAAGTAAGAAGTGAGAGAGGCAATTAAATACAAATTCTGCCATCCAGCTTCTTTTGACACTTTTCATATTTTGTATAGAATCTGCCACACACTGGGAGTTTATTAACTGCATTAAAAGGCCACAAGCTCTTCCATGTAGAACATTTCTATACCTGAGGTATTTGTCACCATCTGACTACTCCATCTGGCAAAAACAATCCTCTTAAACTCTGTGTCTTTGACTAAGCCATTCATGATTACATGAAGGAGAGGGCTGGTCATCCATACCATCCCATTATGTTAAAAAACTGTTCTTCCTTTTTTTTTCTAGGCTGCTTTCAGGATTTGTTTCCCTCTTTGGCCCATTATAAAAAAAAATGTTGATTTTTTTTTAATTTCAACTTTTATTTTAGATAAAGGAGGTACATGTCCAGATTTGGTACATGGAAATATTGCATGATGCTGAGGTTTGGAATATAGATCACATTATCCAAGTGGTAAGCATAGTACCTGACAGGTAGTTTATTTTTTAACCCCCGCTCCATTTTCTAGTAGTCCACAGTGTCCATTGTTCCCATATTTATGTCCATGTGTGCTCCATGTTTAGCTTCCACTTATAGGTAAGAACATGAGGTATTTGGTTTTCTGTTCCTGTGTTAATTGTCTTAGGATTATAGCCTCCAACTCCATCCATATTGCTGCGAAGGACATGATTTCATCCTTTTTTATGGCTGCATAATATTCTGTAGTGTATATTTTCCATATTTTCTCAGGTCACTGCAGCCTTGAACTTCTGGGCTCAAGCAATCCTCCCACCTCAGCCTCCTGAGTAGCTGAGACCACAGGCGTGCACCACCATGCCCAGGTAATTTTTGCATTTTTGGTAGAGATAGAGTTTTGCTATGTTGCTCAGGCTGCTCTCAAACTCCTGGGCTCAAGCAATCCTCCCGCCTCAGCCTCCCAAAGTACTGGGATTACAGGTGTGAGCCACCATGCCCAGCCCAATGTTCTATATTTTCTTTATCCAATCTACCATTGATGGGCACCTGGATTGATTCCATGTTTTTGCTATTGTGAATAGTGCAGCAATGAACATATGAATGCATGTGTCGTTTTGGCAGAATTATTTATTTTTCCCCTTAAAATTCATTTGCCACCTTTATTCCAGAATCACACGTTTCCAAATAAATGAGCATATAAAAATACACACTTTTTAGTAAGACTCCAAACACCTGGTTTCAGTCTTGTGATCTCTCAAACTATGAATCAGTATATGCCATCCTGAAAATTGGAAGATTAAAGAATATGAAGCAGTTTTTAGCCTTAATTTGAGAAATTTTTCATGTTGATTTTATTTCTTTCTTTGAAAATAGAGCAAAAGACCCGAGTGTAGAGAGTGAATCTGTTTTTGGTTCAAAATACTTGTTGAGTGAAATGATAATTTTGTATCTTTCAGGAGAACCCAACCAGAAAGCTGTTCTGATTAATTAAGCTTCCTTCTCTAAATAGTTAAAGTGATTGAGTCAGTTCTGGTGGGTTAAAGCCTCTGTGTAAGTCAGGATAGGTTAGGCAATGCTGCAATAACAAGCAACATCAAAATCTCTGTAGTTTAATATAACAAATGTTTATTTCTTGCTCTTCAAAAAGACCTTCTGAAGGGTTTGGTAAATCCCAGTGCAGCCACCTTCTATGCAATGGCTCAGTGTTTCAGGATACTTTCATTTGGTGGCAGCTTTATTTCAACACATGCTGACATGTTCACTGTAACAGAGGAAGAATATGTGAAGAACTGGATTATAATCAAATCTATTGGTTAGAGCTGGTTACATGGCCCTACTTACTGCACAGAGGAGTGGGGAAGTATAACACATTAAGAGAGAGCAGGAGAACTAGACATATTAGAAAGGTAATATCTGCTACCCATCCCCACTTATGCCAAGGACTTAGGCAGAAGTAATCTAATAAGAGATAATTCACCTTTTGCTATTGCTATCTTGGGCAAATACACCCAGAGAAAGCTTGCTGTGCAATGGTGGACAAGAGTGGAACAAGAGTACTAGTAGGTCTGAGCTGTGCTACAGACTAAAGCTATTTCAATATTATAGCCATTGCGTTAGGGGGTCACTCAGAGACCCAGCCCTACTTGTACAACACCATTGACATGAGAGAGAAGGAGCCATTACCATCAAGTCTGCCTTAAGCCATGTCCAGCCTACTATACCCTCTGGTCTCCACTTGGGGCTGGGGCTTTGGCATGTTATTGGAAGGAGGGTTGGCTGGCCCTATTTCTCTCTTCTCTCCTTTGACCATAAACCTACTGAGTATTGTCTTTTTGATTGTATGTATTGTATTACAGAAAGCTGAATTCAGTTGAACCTCACAGAATGGCTGGGAAACAATAAAGTATGTTGTAAATTATTAGAATTAACTCCCCAACAGTCAGTCTTGGCCTCAATCCTATTTGGATTACAAAGAAGTACTAAAAGGTGCAAATCTTTTACCTTTCAATTACAGCTATAAAGCATTAAGACATGTTTTCACTAGTTTCATTATTGATGGGGATACAAAGATGAACTTGGTAGAGTCTGTTCCCTTAATATGACCACAGTGAAGGGCAGAAGCAGGTACTCTCAGTACACATAATTAGTACAAACAGAGGACAAGTTCAAAATCCTGAGCTGGTGAGAAAGGCTGAATTATTAACTGGAGGGAGGAGGTGGGAGTAGAATCAGGGAAGACTTCACAGTAAGGAATGATTGGATCTGAGTGTTGAAGGGCAAGTAGAATTTTAAGCACGGAGGCCTGAGAATCAGGCTGGTCTTCCCATGAAAGACACTTCTCTCAGGTGTCAGAACCAGCAACTAATTTGTTTTTGTCTTGTAGAAATAATGAAGCTCATACCTTATTAGGTTTTCTTCTTTATCTTTGCTTGGAGGAAGTGCAGATGCAAATGTGGGTCTGCACATGTACAAACAACTGTACATGTTTTAATGGCATGAATTTTTACCTCTGGTTTATTTTTTTTTTCTTACCATCTCTCTCTCCACCTGTTTCTTTTAGATCCTCTTGTATATTTCTCTACAAGTTAGTTACCTCCAAACCCTTTTTAAACAAACATCAAAAGAAAGAATAACATGGTATTTTGTAGAATTCTGCATGGTTTGCTGTTTTTGGAAGGGAGGGTGAAAAAGGAAGAGGCACGATATTTCATTCATCAGCATATCATGGGGGATGGATTGGAGAATGTGAGGCTAGAGCCTGGGAAGAGAGTTAGGAGTCTTTGTCATTTGTAGAGATAATAAAGACTTGTATCAAGACTGCAGCTCTGGCAGTGTAAAGAGAGAATTAGATTCAAGATATAGTTTGAAGACATACTGTGCAAGACATGAGAATGGCTTAAATATCAAGAATAACTTCCAGATTTATGGCTTGAGTTACTGGGTAGGTGATAGGGCCATTTACTAAAATAGAGAACAGAATAAGGGGGAAAATACAGTTCTGAAAGAAATTCATTTGGAAATATTCAGCTTGCAATTTCCATGGGAAACCAAATGGTGAGTTTGTAGCACAGCTGAAGAACAGACCAAAAGCCAAAGGAGTTGAGGATGCTGTTCAGATCAGAGTTGAGGTGAAGATAGATCATCAAGTTCAGGTTCAGAAAGGAAGGATGCAAAGTGAAAAGGGGCTGAGAGCAGAGAGACTAAGAGAAAATTGTGGAATTCAAGAGATAAAATTGTATTTGGTGTAAATGGAGAAATAGTTGAGAAAGAAGGATGGAACGCTGTGGTCAGACTATGCAATTTAAGAACATTACAGTTGGTCCAGGATGTGGCCCTAGAAAAGAGTTGCTCATGGAGATTGCAGGTGATGATTATTGTGGTAAAAGAGGTTAAAGGTAAAAATGGGGGTAGGGTGACTTGATTTGAAGAAAAGATTGCTATGTATGTATTGAGCACGTGAGAATGATCTACAGGGTATTGGTAGCTGGAGGTATGCACAGGTAAAGTGCGTTATATCCAGGTGTCAAGAGATTCAAGTGAGAAGATTTCATAGGTATATAATGGCAAAGGATTCAGTATCAGAAGTGGGGTTAGAAGTTTGCAAAGCCCCTTTTCAATTAAAGCTGCATAAAATAGGTGGAACTCCACCATTTTAGATAATGAAGAATGATGGGAATGATTCTTCTTGCCTGGATGCTTCACAAAACTGGTATGTAGATAAATGAGATAAGATATATGAAAACGTGAGGCTGGAGCACAAAGCTGGTATGTAGATAAATGAGATAAGATATATGAAAATGTGAGGCTGGAGCACAAATGTGGAAGGTATTGATGACATTGAACTAAAATTAAATCCCCCACATTGATTACCCTTCTCACTCATAGTTGGCTGATTGGGCCTTGAAATTGTTTCACAACTCCAATCATGACCAGAATGAACACTCGTTGCCAGGTAACCCCAGGAATCATAGCAGTGTGCCAGGCTGTTCATGATGCATCAGTATAAACATAGACCACTAACTGAATATGTGGTTATTGAGTAAAAATAATAATAAAATTTACATGGATATATGAGAGAAAATAATTTAAAATTTCACTTTTGTGTTTAAAGTAAAGCAAGACTTTATAGATATTTCAAGATTGATGTGGATACTTTGGACTACCCCACCATATTTTTGGGGATTATACTTTCTCTTCTCACTGACTGCCAGCATACCAACTAGTGGAAAGGTGTGAACATTCATATTCACATACTGCAGATGCTGAAGGCAATGCCAAGAGACAATGCCAAAAGTTGTTCAATGAAAGAACTGATGATATAAATGAACTTCTTGAAGTACTGATATTGAAATGTCCAGTAATAATTTGGAAGTGTGTCTGGGAAGTTTGTGGAAGACATCAGTAACATTTCTGCACATACCCATTAGAAACAACTGAAAGGTCTGATAATAGCAGGGTAACTAAACAAAATTATAACTCATCTTTATAATGGAACCTTATTAAAATGATGATGTAGACATATATTCAATTATATGGAAGCAAAATACATTAATTTTTAAAAGGTTGCTACAAAAGAGTATTTCATATGAATCTAGTAATTATTGACATAACATATTATATGTCATATTCATGAGAAAAAATCAGGAAGTATATATATATAAAGATATATTTGGTTGTTTGTGACTGGTACAATTTTTTTGTGTAATTTAATTATGTTTCTTTTTGTTCATCCGTATTTTCTAATTTATCTACAATAAGCGCATATCACTTGTGTGCTTAGAATAATAACAAAGAGAAAATAAATAGAATATCTATGATGAACTCACCATAGCATTGAGTTCCTGAAAGTCATTTCAGGAAAAATGGACGTTTACTTATAGTAGGTGAGTTAAATCAGCCATTTTTCTGTACCCACTGTCTCATAATCCTATCTGTGAAACTGCCCAGCCAGCTTTCGGATGGTTTTTGGCCCTATAGGTATGCTATTCCCTATTGACCACATTCTTACCATGCACTGCAAAATAGACTAGGCTATAATACCCACTAACCTTTGAACGTCATGGATAGCTTCCTGTTATCTAATGCAAATTTGGCTTTATGTTCATATGCTATTATTATTATTTTGCTCTGCTTCTGCTTTGAGTCTTGAGGGGAAGTTTCCAAGCAGCTTTGGAAAGAGAAGCTGCTGTCATTTGTGAATGCAGTTAATTAGAATAACATTTGCTTTTAAGTATTCAATATTTGGCACGGTTATCAGACCTAAAGGTTATGTTGTTCTATCAGATAAGCTGGGTTCCAAGGGATGTCTGTTGTCTCCCCAGACTGGTGCTGACTAAATATAGGAATCCAAGGTGGATGAGAATAATTGCCTTAGATATTAAATCTCCACATTATAATAATGAAGCTTATTTAAGTCTTTCATGGCATTATTGACTGATGGATTTCCTTTGTATGGACAATTCATTACTCAAAAAATTTCTTGGAAAGTGCAGGAAGTAGAGGTCGATTCCTTTGAGCACACTGGGAGCTACCATAAGTCAAGGTAGTTGCTTTAGAGGGGAAGTTAGCCCAGTTGGTTGGGCAAAGGCTATTTGATTTCTGTCAGGGCCTGGTATGCAGTCCAAAGTGGCTGGCAAATTAAACTCTCCAATTAAAGGAAATATCCTCCATAGAGAGCACAAACCCCACCCCTACTCCCCATGCTAACAATCAACTGAATCTGTCAAACTGAATTCCTCAAAACGTATTTGTCTATTATGGGAAATAACCTCTCTCCTCTTTTTAAGGACTTGCAGATGTACAGTGGCCAAGGTTATGTCTTACTTTGTGTCCTGCATCAGGTGGAAATAGGGTGAGAAGCTATTGTTTTACTCATTAATATAATCATCCAGTTTAGACAGGGGGACGGGGTGGGTTGGGAAGAATGTGCATTTTTGATGGGGGCTTGGGAGAGAGGCATGAGGACATCAGTGTCAGAAAAATGCCTTCTGCCTCAGGCTGAATTTCTAAGTTATTTTCTCCCCCTGAGAAACTAACATGTATTGATAGTTTCATTTGGAGACTGTAGTTCATTGTAAGAGATGAAAGATGCATGAATAAGAACAGTGATAATGTTCAATGGAGCTCAGGCTCATGAATAGTTTTGAAAGAAAACCCTGGTTGCTTTGACAGCTTCATTCATCATGTCTGGAGGAGGAATTGTTGTGTTCTGGGTGACTTCTGCTTCAGATCTGTGGCTTAAGGAAACTGTTTCTCCTTTTCTTATGAATTCCTTTTCCTCAGTTCCTAGCCTGGTTAGGGGTTGAGAGAAAGCCTAAAAGCAAACTACTTGTTGCTTGAGAATTTGTTTTTAGTCCCTTTAACTATGTCAGAATTTCTGAGGCCAAAGATGCCACATTTGAATGGCCTTGAACTTGGCCAGTCCCACATTTGTTAAATCGAGCTTCTATTCTTCACTGCAGGCCTTTCCCTGCAGGTTGGAGGTTTGAAAGTTTGATATCTGTTTTATTCAGTAAAACATTTATTGAGGCTGGTATATCCTGAAGATGGTAGGAAATTATCCAAATCTTGGTCTCCGCCAACCCCAAAGAAGTAGGTACAGGCTGATTAGCCCTGCATCCCAAATTCCAGAGTCCCTTCTGCTGCATTCTATTGATTAAAGCAAGTCAACAGGCTCAGCATAAATTCAAATGAAAGGGATTGCACAAGACCGTTAATACTAAGAAGCATATTTTATTGGGGCCATCACTGTGACTGAAACCACAGTTACTGTTGTCACTATGGAGCATGTGCCATTCTTACTGGGCAGAATATTCATGCTAGGCCACCAGGCAGCTTATAGGCAATTGCCTATCTCTTAGGCAGCAATCTGACTCTGGATTCATCCACTGTGGCAAAGGTGGTTGGGGTCACCACCATAAAATCTACATTAAGCATGAAAACCTACACATAAGGCAATCCTCTTGGCAGCTTTTTTCTTTTTTTCTTTCTTTATTTTTTTCCAGATAGGTATTGTTGGCATAGCAGGTATTCAGCATTTCATGAAATTCCTTAATGATGACAATGAGTCTGACCTAAGAGAATATTTAGATTCTGTTTTACCAGGATTCAGAGGTAATTGACTGCTGCAGATTTTTTTTTTCATGTGGCCAGAATTTTTATTGTGGCAATAACTATAGTTATTGCTGCTGGTTTTCACTGCTTCAGGGCATCAGCAGGAAGGAAATATTGGCAGGACCTCAGAATCCTCCTCCTATGACTTTTTCTAATTCAGATCAGTTTATTGACACATATAGCTGAAGTGATTCATATTAACAAGCCAACTGGTAACAAGGTAACTTAATTTGGCGGGGACTTGAGGTCATACTTACATACACTCTAGAGCAGTATTCTCAGTATTTTTTTCCATGGTTGTTTAGGTTAAGTATTACCTATATTCCTGCTATAGAATTCCCAGTACGCTGATTGTGGCTCCACCTCTTTCTCCCAGAGGAAGCCATATTAGAATGAAAATATGAGAGAGTAAGATTAGAAAAGGAACAACCCCTCTTTGATTTATACGTTATATTTTTTCAAACAGATTGTTGCTAACCTCTGCACTACAACTATTGCTACAGGCAAAACAGTGTACCAGTTGAGAGGATGGACTTGAGTCAATTCTCCTGCATTCGATTGTATTTCAATCATTTAAAATGGTGCTTTTCAAGCTTCAGTGTGCATAGAAATCACCAGGGAACGTTGTTAAGCTGCAGAGACATACCTGGCAGTTCTAGGGCAAGGCCTGAAAATCTGCACAGAGGATGCTGATGATGCTGGTCTAAGAATCAGACTGAGATTAACTAAATTTATTTAACAAACTGTGTTGAACTCTAAATATGATTGTCTGGAGAACTTGGGATATACGAGTGGAAAAATAAGGAGGAAAGAACAAAGAAAAAAACCAATTACTGCTTTTAGGGTACTTCTATTTCAGCAGGAGAAACAATCAATAAAGTGTAAGATAATAAATAAATACGCTATGCTAGGAGGTGTTAAATGCTACGGGGAAAAAAAAGTAAAGCAAAAGTAGGTTGTCAGGGCTAGTTTTTCTTTCACACTAGCCTGTCCCCACACAATATTTTGTTCTTTATTCATTTGAGAAATAAATACTGAGGACCTCGCATGTGCTAGGGACTACCTTAGTTACTGGGAATAAAAGAGGTCACTGAAGGAAAGTGGTCTCCACCCTCACAGAGCTCAAACGTCTCCTATCCATCACCAGTCTGACACTACACTGATCATAAATAAGTCCTTCTATACATAATGTCCTTGCATGCCATGGTAGGCAGCGTCTCAGATGGCCCCTAATCATCCCTGCCTCCTGGTATGTTATTCCCTCCTCTTGAGTGTGGGCTGGATCTAGTGTCTTACTCGTAAAGAATGGAATATGGCAAAACTAATGGAATGTCACTTGGAGATTAGGTTATAAAAGACTGTAACCTCTGTCTTGCTAACCGTCTCCGGCTCTCTTATTTCCGGTGAGAGCCACATAGCCAATAGCCTATAAGGATCTGAATCCTGCCAACCACCACATGAATGAGATTAAAAGTGAGTCTTCCCCTGGTGGAACCTTGAGATGACTATGGCTTCTGCGACATGTTGATTACCCATTTGTAGGAGACCCTGAGTCACAGAACCCAGTTCTGCCTGGAGTCTTGACCCACAGCAACTGTGAGATAATATATGTTTGTTGTTTTAAGCCATGACGTTTTAGAGTAACTTGTTACACAGAAATAGATAATGAATATACATGTTTTCACACACATGCTGCCTCCTCCTTTTACTCATTCAACAAACATTTATTGAGGATCTACTAAAAGCTAGATTCTTTGCTAAGTGCTGGGAAACAATGGAAACAAAACACATGTAGTTCTAGCCTGATATCCTGGTGGGGGAGGTCAACTTAAACATGTTAACTTATAATTTAAAAATCAATATAAATATAATTTACAATCTTACAAACTGCATTAGGTGCTTGGGAAGAAACTGAAGGTGGGGCTGAGGTTTGAAAATTACAGTAATAATGGTGGAGGTAAAGGAAATGGAAAGTCTGCTGTTGAGATGGAGCTGGAGGTGACCTCTTGAGGTAGAGACTTAAGCAACGTCTGGATGGATGGAAAGCAGACAACCATGTAGAGAATGAGAGAGCAAGCAACTTATGCTAAAGTTCTCAAGCAGGAATGAGCAAGATGTTTCAGACCCCGGGGTATGGGCTGTGTGAGAAAAGTAGTACTAGAGTACCAGAAAGAGAGGCAAGGGCTAAATCATGCAAGGTTTTATAATCCATGGAAGAGAGTTATGATGTTGTCCTGACTGCACTGGAAATGCCTTTGAAAAGTTTTCCAGCAGAACAACCACATAGTAAAATGTATACTTTGAAGAGTTATCCATGCTGCCATGTGAGGAATGGATTAAATGGGACAAATATGGGTATGGGGAGATCATTAGGGGCTGTTTTGACAGTCTAAACTAAAGATGATGGTGAAATGTGCTAGGCTACTGAAAGTAGAGGTGAAAGGCAGTGGATGTGTCTAACATAAACCCTTTCCAACTTGTGCTCCCACCCACCAGGCCAGACTAATAGTTACTTAAGAATCATTTTAGACATTATCTCCTCCAGAAAACTGCTCCAGACATACCAGATTGGACTAAACCACTGTCCTGTAGGTAACTCAACCTTGGAACTTAGTAAAATTCTAATAATAATTAAATACATATTTATTCCCATAATAGGTCTTTCTTTATTAGACTTCCAGGTCTTCAGAGAGAGAAGTACAGTTCTACCTTCCTCTTCAGCACTGCGGCCCGATGCTGGGCACATAGTAGGTATTCAAAAAATGCTTACTGAACTGATTTGAGACATTCTGTGTCCCTCATTGTTTGAGACCATATATGGCTTCCACCCTTCAGATGGAAACCTGCTTCTCTTCTTCAGGTTATTTAAATAGTTGTCCACTGTTGAATCTTGGAGGTGCTACATTGAGGTTTTCTTTTGTTATATTTTCAGTTCCTCTTACATGACAAATATAGAAAATCACATATATATTGAACATTTTGACCATATTCTCTATAAACATTTATAAAAAGGGCAGAGTTAAACATCTTGGGGGAAACTGTGGTTTTGATCTAGAAATGTGTGTATCTGTTTATGGAATCCCATGCAGGAAGGTGTGATAGAAGAGAAACATAAGAAGAAAAAGTCTGCCACTTTCTCAAAAGGTTTTAGCTTCTGCTAGAAGTTTCTCTTCTCTCTTCATAGACTTCTCAATCTATATCCCTAAGGTAGCTCCTGTGTCATTTTTTTGTCCCTGACAAAACAAAGCAACACTTTCACTAAGCCAAATCCCCTCAAAATAAGGTTATTAATGCACCAAACTTACATGCAAAAATCAGCAGAACGTGGGCATGACATGTCTGAATGTTTGCTGACCATTAATTTAAATTCCAGAAGATACCTCCCAGGACTGGGTTATACCTATGAATTTATCATTTTCCCCATGTCAACTATGTTGATTATTCTTACCATTAAACAGGAAAATGTGAAACATAATTGATAATATATCACATTAAATTTTGTGATTATCAATTTGTAACAAGAATACATGGTGATGGAGGAGAGATAAGGCATGACTAGAGGCACAAATACATTTTCAAAAATTTTCTGAGGCTATATGTAAATATATGTAGAGGATATTTTGGTGACTTGCTTTCAATGAGTCTTGTTTATTAATAAATCCTTCAGCAAGGCAAAGGAATCTTGATGATGATCTGTAGGCAGAGAACCTATAACATGTCTCTACCAGCCCTTCACATATCTGAGGGCTGGAGGAAAGGTAGGTAGGAGTAAGGCATATAGATCAAGACACTCCCCTGCCATTGCTGCCCACCAGTCTCAATATCTAGGACATCTGGTGTATACTCATTTCACTTAATGTTGTTCTTTTCTCAAGTTAACCCTGTCTGTTTTGCCATTAAACATTTTTTTATCCAATCCCCAGAGGAAAGCAGTCTAATAGACTCATCACAGGAAAGTGTTTTTGATTGAAACAAGAATAGTAAATATCACTTATTGAATCTGGACAATGGTTCAAAAATTTCTACTAATCATCACAGTAAAGATATAATTGTTTATCCTTAAGCTACAGCTAAGGAAACTGCAGCTTAGAGACACTTAATAACATATTCAAAATTATATAGTTAGTAAATGACAAAGCCAACGGCATTTGAAACCAGGTCACAGGACTCTAGAGGCCATGTTAATGAGACCACCACTATAGGATAATTTTAGGAGAAGGAAAATATTTGAGGCATGAAAAGTTAAACTAATGGCAATTATCTTTAATGATAGAATTTCAGACATTGTGGCAGATGGATGTAGAGAGATTTCTTGGGAAATGGTAGACAGAGAGTATTTAAAATCACAGTATAAAGGCAATTGCTATATCTGTTTAAACATAATTTTGGAAACAAACAATGTAAGAGAGAAATCAAGCTTAGCAACTTTTATTCTCTTTTCCTATATCATTCTCCCCTTGTCTCCACCGTCTACATAGAGGTTGAATGTGGACAAATGATCAGTTTTCTAATTGAACTAGTTGTCAAGATTTTATACTATGTTAATTATACATAAAGATTCTTATCTCTGGTTTCTCTAAAAAGCTGGGAAATCTAGCAATACTGAGCATGCATTTCTTCACAACAACAAGAAGCCAGACCTGAATAATGGCTGGGATCCATGGATGAGGACTATGTTTTGATTCATCAGTCTGCCTGGCCCACTGCCCTCATTTGTGATACCTGCCTTGCAGGACTTTTGCATGCAACCTGCACTGCTACACACAGCTGCCTACCTTCTGTAGACATTTGAGCGCCCTGACCTTTCTACTGTTATTAATGCATCTAATGTGAGATCAGTCTATAAACATAAAATTTTGGCAGGCAGGGATGTGTCTGAAATGACAATTGTATTTCAGTGGTCATTTACTCAATGGTTAAAGCAATGGTTTTCAGACTCTGCCGTTCATCAGAGTCACCTGGCCAGCTTGTTAAAACAGATGAGAGGGCTCCGGCTTCAGAGCTTCTGATTCACTGAGTTTGGACTGAGCTCAGAAGTTTGCGTACCTCACACAGTCTTAGGTAATGCTGATGCGGCTGATACAGGGATCACACTTTGTGAACCACTGCTTTAGGGGAAGCATTTTTATGACTGTGGACTGGATCATGATAATATTAATACTCTGTCTTCTGCCACTTTTGGTTCCTTCCTGTGTAATTTGCTTCCCGATTTTTCTTGAATATATATATATTTTGCTTTTCACCAAAATAAAACACTTTTCTCTCTTTTATCTTCCTGGAAATTCTCCAAGGCCACAGTTAACAGCTGTTCCTCTGGAATGGCATAGAGACAGGTATATGGTCCTGATGACACATGGATTTCCTTTCCTGCCTTGTTTTTATGAGGGTTTTTCCTCTGACATGTTCAGTATCATGGTCATAAGGAATTTGTGACTGCTGTCCAGATGCCCCCTACACTGAGGCCAATACCAGACAGATTTGAAAATGAAGGGGTTTTCTACTTCCAACAGATCGGAGTCCATATCCATATCTTCTGCAAATCTATTTTTACTACACAGATGGCTGGAATCATCCAGAAGAGTCACACTTTGAAATTTAGAAAAAGTGAGCGTATTGTAAGAAAAAATAGTTTGGCAGGTTTTTTTTCTTCTGGTCATTTTCCACTGTGTGTATTTTTTCCCTATATATTCCTTCTCATATTCTTAATGATCGCTTTTAAGCTACTTTCCCCAAATATGTGGCTCATTCTTCAAGCCTCTCTCTAAATAAATTGCAACATATGCTATATGCAATTCATATCGTTCTCAATTCATTTCTAAAAAAGGGACACAGGACAGCACAACTAGGAGGCATTGAGAAAAAGTAAGCCTTATGTGGAGTGGACGTCCAGTTCCAGCAGTGAGAAGTGGACAGAAGTCTGTGTAGCCAGAATCATTCGTGTTGATTTCCTATTTTCTTGGCTTGCACAGAGGTTGTAAACATTTCCTTCCTGGTAATGACCTTTCAAGTTCTTATGACATTTAATAGATGATTTTTTAAAAAAGAAGAAAAGGAAAACCACAGAGGCATATTTGTTAAGGGCTTAATTTAACAGAAATGCTTAATTAGAGGAAGGTGGGCAATGACCAATATGAGGAAGGTACACCAACACTGATTTTTTTAAGGAAATAGCCATCGTTTTTGGTCAACAATATCTCTTTGGTTACCGTTGCACGTAGGCACAGAAGGAGCACCTGCTCTAGGAAACATGGGAAACAAAAGGCAAACATACATTAAATAGAGACATTAATTGGAGGATGTTATTTATTAAGCACCAACCTTGTACCAGGTTTCATATAAATCATGGGGTTATAGTCTATCAAAGTTACTTCAATTTCCATTTAATTATAAAGGTGTATGTTCTTGTAAGAAAATCCATTATGTAACCATTAAATTTTATGAAGCAGAGGATTTAGGTTTTGATTGTTCACTTTGAAAAATGATTCTGAGTACAAAAATATTCCTATAAATAGAGAGTTCAACCTAGTGCATTTAACTTTTTATTTATAGATCATTCGCTGTTTAACAAAAAGTGGGACAGGGCAGAGACTTGAAGCTAAGTCATTAGGATTTCAAAATGAAGATAAAGAATCTCTGAAATCATAGAGTAAGTTTCTGGTGACTTACGATTTAGGTTACAAAGGCTGATTTATGCAGTGCTTTTCAGATATACATTACTGGTATATCTGAGTAAGGCAAAATGTAACTTGAATTTGAAAGTAAGAAACCATTTAATGTGGTATTATTTTCCAATGGACATGAAGAAATAAACCTTTTCTCAAAGTTTTCTCCCTATATTGCTCTTCCATCACTTGTCAAGCATAGGATCTACTTTTAGTTATATGTAATTTCACTTCAGGACATCATTAGCTGCATTTTACTTATGTTAGAAAAAGGCTCAGGATGCCTACACTTCCTTTCTTTGAAAAAAAAGAATAAGATATATCAAGGAATTGATATCAAGATAGGAGAATTCTTATAATGTGAGTTGAATGGTCTCAGTAAAGGTTCCTCTTAATACGTTTCTAATAAGAATTAAAGAGTAGAAAGAGGGCGAAGGGGCAAATGACTCCTGCCTAAAGGCTTTTTGCTTTCTTTCATACAGTGAATCAGTTACTAAAGAAAATGCTAGAATGGTTCTAAGAATCATCCAGATCCTCAGTCTTATTTTAAATCATTACCTAGTGATAATGATTCTACCAAGTTTGAAACCAGGCACACGAGAATGGAAGTGAACAAAACAAATTGGTGGCCCATCCATCTCTAGCTTTGAGTTAGCAAAGCTACTTCAAATTGCTTCTTTTCTCACTTGAAGATCTGTTTTTTGTTTGTTTCCTTTCAACAAAGCTATTCAAGGAAATGCAATGATTCCATGAGAACCCAGCTTGGTAGCTCAGCTTTTGGTTATTAATATAGTTGGTGCTGTGATGAACCAAAAAGCACAAAGTGCAAAGTGTTTCCCAAGATGAGACAAATGAATCTTCTTCCAAGAAGATGGGAAGCTCTGTGTGTGTGTGTGTGTGTGTGTGTGTGTGTGTGTGTGTGTGTGTGTGTGTGTGTATGAGAGAGAGAGAGAGAGAGAGAGAGAGAGAGAAACAGAGAGAGAAAGGCAATTTGTTAAAGGATATCCCAGTGGTCTTCATTTTCCTATATGGCTGACAGCTTTATTTAATTTTGGAAAGTGTTATTGAGAGATGTTTATTGGTGTAGATCCAGTATTTTGCTTTTTGAGAGAGTGGTTAGAAGCTTTTTATTCTATAGTTTTAGAATACCAGCTATCTCTGCATATCACTGCCATTCTGTTAGATAAATGACAATTATTTCTGATTTTATGAGCTGTTCCTCTTACCCTCAAAAAAGTGCTCTGTAGCATATAGATTTGTGTTTAAAATAAACAAAATAGAAATGAGACTATCGTAATACGTGCAAAAATAATTGTATAAACCCAGGTATCTCCAAAATGAAATAAGTTATTTCTCAACCTACACCACAGATACAGAGATAGAACATGAATTTGTATTGTTGCCAACTTTGATCTCTCTTTCTGGGAAGAGTTAAGTGTGTGTTTTAACAGGTTGAACCCTTCAGACTAAGAATTGGTAACAAATTCTTGAATATTGTTCTTCAGATTCGTTTTCAGCTTGCTCCCTGGTTTTAGCTCAAACAGTGGCTCATCCTGTTATACTTACAATGAACTAAAATAATTTCTAAGATTATGCCTCGAGTGATTTACATGTACCTTTCAGTTGTGGGCGTTATCCTCTAGTATAAGCTTTTTGGCTAAATGAAGTTTAAGTATCTATAATCCCTCACTCATTTTATTCCCAAAGTAGAGTGTGTTCATGTAGACAGTAATTGAACCATATTTTCTGAAAATGAAGTCTTGTAGAAGATATATGAATAAACCAGGTCCAGGTGAATATGCTTTCCTTCTAGCTTTCTCCTTTCCATTCATTCTTGCTACATGCTGTGTCTGTAGATTGTCTTTCTTCATATTGGAGCAGTGGTATTTTAGGTGGGGTCAGGGCTTTAGTTATAAGGAGGCAGAAAAAAAACCTTAGTCTGAGTTTGTTGTCAGCTTCCCGTTTAAGCTAGCTTCCATCAAAGAAGAGGGCTTAAAGCACTAACAATGAAATATAACTTTATCTTTTTAAATTTGGGTGTTTATTTTTGACTCTAACAGCCATCTCTTTGGAGAAGTAATTAGCTTCTTAGTAAAGGGCAAATTTCAGGTTGCCTTATATTTTAGCCAATACCATTTTAGTAGGCAGAATCATGATCTCCTATAGATGTCTTTGAGTATTCCTAATCCCCAGAACTTGTAATGAGCTATATCACACGGCAAGAAGGGATTCAGATTGCAGATAGAATAAAGGGTGCTAACCTTAATTAAATTCAAACTAGTGAGATTACTTTGGATTACCTGGTGAGCCCACTGTAACCACAAGTGTCCTTAAATGAGGAGGAGAAAGGCAGAAGAGGTAGAAGCAGAGAGATAATATTGTGGGAAAGACTGGCTTTGAAGGTGGAACAAGGCCACCAGACAAGAAATGCAGGTAGCCTCTAGAAGTTGGAAAAGGCAAGAAAATGGGTTCCCCCCTAGAGCCTTTAGAAAGAAAGGCCTTGCTGCCAGCTCCTTGATTTTAGCCCAGTGACACCTGTGTTGGATATTGGCCTTCCAAAATTGTAAGATAACACATTTTCGTTGTTTTAAACCACTGAGTTTGTGATAATTTATTACAATGGCAATAGAAAACTATACAACTATGAGGTATCATCTTAATCCAATCCCCAACCCAAACTCACTTTTCATATCTAACATGTTTGAGTAGCCCTTTTTGAAACAATGTGCACCAGTTACCTAGGATTCTAATGTCCTTAGTCAACTTCCTTTTTTCAACTTCACTTCCTCGGAGGGACCTCTTTTCATTTTTTACTTTAGTCAATAAATAACTCAATGTGAGAGACAAAAAATGAAATATTAACAGGGTAGAGGATCCCATTGTGGAGTAAAGAAACTTTATCATTTAGATTGGGTTGTTTGTATGTGTGCACGCACACAGAATTTCATCAATCTAAATGATGTAACAACACAAATTTGTGAAGAAAAGTCCCATACATTTTCTATAGAAGTTGATGATTTTAAAACAAAATATAGAAACATAAAATGAATTATGTTGCCCTCCACCAAAAAAAAGGACAAAGACTGAAAAAGTCCCATTATACCAAGAACTAGTTCAGGTCAATGAACTGTGGCTCACACGAAGGTCTTCTCGAAAAACAGCTGTATTTTGGGGGTCTTGGTCTAAAAATATCTGGCCAACAATTGCATTTGTAACTTCATTTGATATAGCACTCTGGCAATAAAGTTCCCCTTGTTTGGCTGGTAAATATTTTATCCCATAAAGCCTTGAATTTCAATAGGGCAATGATTATGAGATGAATGAAGCTTCAATACTTTAAAAAATATTGTATTTACACAGCGTGTTGTTTATAAGTTTTATAATTATTGTGATGCTTTGTTTATGCTTTGTGCAGATGTTTCTTTGATTCTTAGGATAATGGCTTATTACATTTATAAGTTTGATATATGAATTTATCCAAGGTTTTTAAATGCTTAAATTTTACTTTTGAAAGTTGTTTTTTCTTTCAGATACTTGAAGTGTTTGGACATATTAAGTTGTGTGATTTGACATGTTTAAGGAGTCTGTTCAACTAAGTGTGTAAATGGTTTTAATGCTTCCCAAACAAGATCTCCTAAGATCTTAATCCTTTACATTCATAAACAAATTGATCATTAATAAAAAAAAGCTTTTGCTCTTATATAAAACTACTATATTTTTTAAAAAGTAAGATTTTAAAGCTGATGCTAGAAGCTAAAGAAAAACTAAGTTTTGAAAGTAGTTACATTTAGAGTTTAATTATACGTTAAAGAGAACTAACCACAAATAGATATTCATGCTGTTAACCACCCCCGAGCCAGAAATTAAAAACCTTAATTGACAATTCATATGAGACATTTGAAGGAAGAAAGACATTTTGATGAATTTCAAGGATTCAACATTCATTCAGCACATTTATTGAATGCTTAGGTGTTAGGCACTGTGCTGAACACAGTGCAAAGGGCTTAAAGCAATGCTTGACGTACAGGATATGTTCAGTGAGTAAGGGCTGCTGTTGTTAATAGAAGCCACCTTTGGATCCCCAGTACCTAACAGTACTTGAATGTATATACGTGCATGTTTACATTAAGTGTATCTGTCTATACCTAGGCCTGTGTCCACGTCCATATCCATATCTATCGTTTTGCATCTAGCAAGTTTTTTGAAAGAGGGACTAGAAATACAAGAGTATGAAAACTAGTAGAGATTTAAGGAATTCCTTTGTTGACTCACAGTAGACACATGCATGCGGGTGTCCACACATGTTCAAATCTGGTATAAACCTAGAAACAGATTGTGACCAGTCTTTTGGAGGGAATGTGAAAACAAATCTCTGAAATAAGCAGTTAAAAATTAAAACAAACACCCACTTTTCCCTCATTTGGCACACTTTTTGATAAGTAGGAAATGGAGGCCTGGGACATGAGGTGACTTGCTCAAGAGCCCTCAGCACAATTCCAGTAGTAAGATTTCTGCCTTATGCTTTAGCCAGATTCTGGTAGTGATAACCCTACAAGAGATAATCTAAAAAGCATTAATCTAGAAACAAACAAACAAACAAACAAACAAAAAATGCTTCACTCATCTTTGTTAAGTGATAGGGCTCTGCTTTGCAGCTGCAGAGATCCTTTCCAGTTCGATCAACTTCAAGCTGAAGGGTACCTGTTTGTGTACAGGATAACTGGCCACTTGAATTCTAACCAAGTACTCCGAATTTAGTAAGTGAAACCCATTATGTCTATAAATAACATCATCATACTTGATAGTACACTTCATTCCTGTTATTGTTTCTACTTCAACCAATACATTGTTGAATGTACTGGTACATTATACAATACCTACAATACAATACATATTGAATGTATTGGTACATTGCACAACCAATACATAGTCCTGTTGAAATATACTGTGGTCTTTTTGAAACTATCAGAACATCAACCTCTAATAAATGCTGCACTCTCTTTACAGCCTTGCATTCAGCATCTGAAACAGGGCCAAGCATCATATACTGAAGGAGCAGGTTTGTTTGCTATGGTATTTGTCAATCTCTAAGTTATTTAGGCCTGAAATATCCCTGTTCCCCTTATAACCTATTCTAGTTCTATCTGTGTGAAGGTTTTAACCCTTTTTTGAATGTATTTAAATATTGACTTAATACTAGCTTTTGAGTATGAGTCTGAAAGTTCACCATCTGCTAAATAAAACGCAAACTTCTATGTATTTCCCCAAATGCTACTTTATCAAGTTCAAGGTGGTGATTCCTTTAGTATATAGATTATTTCCTTTCCTTTTATCCAAAAGACGGTCTATCTTTAGATCTGTTTTTAGTTGTTTCCTTCACTTTTAGCGAGTCCATATCCACATTCTTCTGAGCCTAACTGGAGTCACAAAATAGAAGTCAGCATTGTTTTAGAGTTTAGATAGCTCTCTTAGATGTGCTTACATTATTTCTATTTAAGCCACTTTGTTTTCCTTCTTGAGAAATGCTTTGAAAAGTTTAAAACACTTTCACCCCTATAATTTTGGCTCAGTTTTTCAGAGTACTAAATAAGATGCATGAAGGTGAATGCTTTTTTTCCCCTTCATTTCTTTTATTTTTTTTTAAAGATATATTCTGCCTCTTCTTTCATTTGTACAATTTCCACTCACTGGGGGATGTAAGCAGTTTGTATAAGCTTTTTTTTTTTATCTAACCTCCATTTTATTATTCTTTTCTTTGACAGTTTTATGTCCTTACTACACTTCTACCTTCATTTTTCCCTTTTTTGATTTCAGTAAAATCTAAATGTCATCATCTCATAAGTATATTTTTCTCAGTGTTGTCATGACTTTTAATCCAGCTGAAAATTTCTAATCCATGAAGCGTCTCCTGTGTGAATATCTGGGAATAAGAATGAAGGGTTAGTTAATTATAAATAGCCCCTTCTGTTCAAAGTTCTGTAAAACCTGGTTTAAAACTTTATCAAATGGTTTCATACCAAAATAGAAAGTCTTGTGTTTAATCAAAAGTAGAGTAATATTATTTTTAATTTAATTTATAAAGCTTAACAATTTCATGAAGCTAAGATGTTCATAGTAGAGATATAGACTATAGTAGCAGAGTGTCCATTACAAGTACAAGGGCCTGTGGATTCACCTTTCTGAGAAAACTTTGTCTTTCTGGAGAAAAATACACATCAGCCATTTAAGATCTGAACCTAAGAGTCATTAAAATTTCTATAAAAAATGCTCAACCTTACAGAAAATTAAAATGAGATGTAAGACATTGGAAGGGTTCTCTTCAGGAAATCTCATGGAAAGGTACCAATGAAGAAAGAGGGATCATTCTCTTAAGAAGAACATGCTTTTCCATGTGAATGTGTTTAAAAGATGCATTCTAGACAAGTGCCTTGTGACTATGAACCAGAACTACTAAGGAAATGGTTAACAGGTAAATTCACACTTTCTATGAAAATTTGAATTACAAAAGATTAGCTTTGAGAGACAAGGAACTAAAATTTTGTGAACTAGTCAGGTGGAAGGGAAAAAAATCTCTCCTAGTGAATGAATAGTCAGAGGGAAATGATGCTACAAAACAAGGAATAATTGTTGCCATAGCACATGTCTCGTTCCTGCTCTGGACTATGGAAGGGAATTGATATAAACACTGAATATAGAATATTCCCAAGGTCTTGTAAGGGATTAGCATAAAGCAGTTATAAGGACTATCTCCCCTTTAATGTACCCTGTCTAATGAATTGTTCTCATGTAAGGCATCGTGTTACAAATGGATGTTAGTTTTGGTTTACTTTATACTTTATGGTTTACAACGTGCCTTCACATAGTTTTTCCTCATTGGAATCTTACACTAGCTCTGGAAATAGGAAAAGCAGTTGCCATGTGACAGATGAAAAAACTGAAGCTCAGCGAGGTTATGTGACTTCCCATAGTCATACACTTGACATAGGCCAGTGCTTTTATTAAAATCTTAGGCTCTGATTCCTCACTTAGCTGCCTTTCCACCAACATCCTTTTCTTAAAATAGTTACTGTGGAAAGACTTAAACTCAAGGATCATGCACGAGAGATAAAACGAAAGACCAAAGAAAGGACAACATTTCATTATTGTGAGGTTCCTAGCGGCGATATTTCTTTACATCTGGTGTTGAAAAACTATGGCCCAGTGCCAATTTAGCTTACCACCTGTTATTGTAAATAAAGTTCTATTAGAACACAGCTATCTCCATTTGTTTATGAATCACCTTTGGCTCCTTTTGATCTACAACAGGAGAGTAACCTGTGACAGAGACTGTATGACCTGCAATGCCTAAAATATCTACTCTGTGACCCCTAACAAAATACATTTTTCAGCCTCTGCTCTAAATCCCTAGTAAATAGCGTATCATAGCATCAAGCTTATTATATTAGTTAATATTTACATTTAAGGAAAGCCCTTTAATTTTTATAGTACAAGTCCGTAAAAATGTTTTCTGATTTAATTTACTGAATCTTTGAGGCTCTAATTCTGGAAAATGTTATAAATATGCATAATTTATGGTCATAATGAGAGAAAATACTTCTAATGATCTGCCTTCAAAACTCAAACTGATAAAATGGCATCAAACATCACATGACTAGAATTAATAGAATTTGGAATCAAACATGAGGAACATATCATTTACTGGCTGATTATAAGTTACAGGATGATTTTTCCTTATGCATTGTTGTCCTGGGTCCTTTCAGGACAGAGCCAGCCATCATTTGCCTGCCATCATGTGGATGACGGCACCCCTGTGGGATTCATTTCCCTGCTGTGTCCAGATCAGATATTCTTATGAACATTAGCAACTAGGACAGATTTTTATGGTTATATATGATTATTTCTAACACCCAAATTTTGTCATTTTTAAAGTCGTAAGCATCAGCATATAGTCTGCCTTAACTTGTATATATAACTTTTTACCTTCTTGAAGACAATAACTATTTCATATTTGTATGTTCTTTAGTGGCATCTGCTTAGAGTCCATTAGTCTAGACAGTTCTCCATGAACAGGCTTGGAGAGCAACATTAACTTAGAATGTTCAGATGAAAACATTCTGTTCTTTGCTTGGTCTGTCAATCTCTGTTGGCAGCCGAGAGTTTCCTCCTTTATAGCAACAGAGGAAAAAAATAAAACAATTCCGAAGCATTTTGGTCCTTTCTTGATTTGGAACTATGAAAATGCTAGTTTATCCAAATTACTCTGTGAATTGTTATGTTAGAAGATAGTCCCTCTGCCCTAAAGACAGTCTATAGAACTGTAACAGAATTCCAATATATGAATAGAGTCAGGGAGGCAATTTGATGAGCAGGCAAAGTTGGACTCCTGCTTTCTTTGCCTTCTCTTTCTGTATTTCTTTTATCTCAATAGCTTTTCCTCCCAATTCCACCTTCAACTGCCTAGCGCTTGTGTGCTTACCACATCCCTTCTTTCCGAATGAAAAGTGGATCTGGGAATTTTAATAAAAACAGTCTTGGTTATATAATTAATTAGTTTTCTAAGAAACATTTCAACAAAATAATAAAACTTAATATATTCCTTTTAAAATAAAGCAAACAATCATAACAAAAAGTTTAATACAAAGTTATGAACCATTAAGGAAATATTTTGGGGACTGCTAATTACCCAATGGCAGCAATGTTTTAGAAAAAGAAGTTCTGGTTTTCTATAAATTGTATGACCACAGTGACTCCCTATGCATGAATGAGAATCATTCCATGTCTGGGTTGGTGGATAAGAAGATATAAAAAACCAAATGGGGCAAACTAGAATGGATCAGAGCCTGGAGTCTAGATTATAACAAAGGGTCTGACTGATACTTAAATTAACTCACAACAAAGTTAGATTTACCTGTACCTTAAAACCACAGGACAACACTGAGTCTCAATGCCAAGAGATTTCATGGACAGAGTAGTTTCAAACTACACCCATAGGTGCCAGGTTTTAAATTATAAGTAGGCAGGCTGTGTCTTAGCATCCTTGAGTTCTATTCAGACCGGTAAGGAGAGATATACAGCAAGTCACAAAATAAGAGGTCTACAGGTGTGTGCCAGAGTCTGGCTCTCTCAGAAAAATCTGGACGCATTCCCTTTGAAAACCGGCACAAGACAAGGACGCCCTCTCTCACCACTCCTATTCAATGTAGTATTGGAAGTTCTGGCCAGGGCAATCAGGCAAGAGAAAGAAATAAAGGTATTCGATTAGGAAAAGAGGAAGTCAAATTATCTCTGTTTGCAGATGACACAGTTGTGTATTTAGAAAACCCCACTGTCTCAGCCCAAAATCTCTTTAAGCTGATAAGCAACTTCAGCAAAGTCTCAGGATACAAATTCAATGTGCAAAAATCACAAGCATTCATATACACCAATAACAGACAGAGAGCCAAATCATGAGGGAGCTCCCATTCACAATTGCAACAAAGAGAGTAAAATACCTAGGAATCCAACTTGCAAGGAATGTGAAGGACCTCTTCAAGGAGAACTACAAACCACTGCTCAACAAAATAAAAGAGGACACAAACAAATGGAAGAACATTCCATGCTCATGGATAGGAGGAATCAATATTGTGAAAATGGCCATACTGCCCAAAGTAATGTAGAGATTCAATTTTATCCCCATCAAGGTACCAATGACTTTCTTCACAGAACTGGAAAAAACTGCTTTAAATTTCATATGGAACCAAAAAAGAGCCCACATAGTAAAGACAATCCTAAGGAAAAAGAACAAAGCTGGAGGCATCACACTACCTGACTTCAAAGTATACTACAGGGCTGCAGTAACCAAAACAGCATGGTACAGAGATATAGACCAATGGAACAGAACAGAGGCCTCAAAAATAACACCACACATCTACAGCCATCTGATCTTTGACAAACCTGAGAAAAACAAGCAATGGGGAAAGGATTCCCTATTTAATAAATGGTGCTGGGAAAACTGGATAGCCATATGTAGAAAGCTGAAACTGGATCCCTTCCTTACACCTTATACAAAAATTAACTCAAGGTGGATTAAAGACTTAAATGTAAGACCTAAAACCATAAAAAACCCTAGAAGAAAACCAAGGAATACCATTCAGGACATAGGCATGGGCAAAGACTTCATGACTAAAACACCAAAGGCAATGACAACAAAAGCAAAAATAGACAAATGGGATCTAATTAAACTACAGAGCTTCTGCACAGTAAAAGAAAATATCATCAGAGTGAACAGGCAACCTACAGAATGGGAGAAAATTTTTGCAATCTACCCATCTGACAAAGGGCTAATATCCAGAATCTACAAATAACTTAAACAAATTTACGAGAAAAAAACAAACAACCCCATCAAAAAGTGGGCAAAGGATATGCAGACACTTCTCAAAAGAAGACATTTATGCAGCCAACAGACATATGAAAAAATGCTCATCAACACTGTTCATCAGAGAAATGCAAATCAAAACCACATGAGATACCATCTCATGCCAGTTAGAATGGCAATCATTAAAAAGTCAGGAAACAACATGCTGGAGAGGATGTGGAGAAATAGGAACGCTTTTACACTGTTGGTGGGAGTGTAAATTAGTTCAACCATTGTGGAAGATAGTGTGGCGATTCCTCAAGGATCTAGAACTAGAAATACTATTTGACCCAGCAATCCCATTACTGGGTATATACCCGAAGGATTATAAATCATGCTACTGTAAAGACACATGCCCACGTATGTTTATTGTGGCACTATTCACAATAGCAATGTCTGGAACCAACCCAAATGTCCATCAATCATAGACTGGATAAAGAAAATGTGGCACATATACACTATGGAATACTATGAAGCCATAAAAAAGGATGAGTTCATGTCCTTTGCAGGGTCATGGACGAAGTTGGAAACCATCATTCTCAGAAAACTATCACAATGACAGAAAACCAAACACCACATGTTCTCACTAATAAGTAGGATTTGAACAATGAAAACACATGGACACAGGGAGGGGAACATCACACACCGGGGCCTGTCGGGGTGTGGGGATTTGGGGGAGGGATAGCATTAGGAGAAATACCTAATGTAAATGACGAGTTGATGGGTGCAGCACACCAACATGGTGCATGTATGCCTATGTAACAAACCTGCACATTGCACACACGTACACTAGAACTTAAAGTATAATACAAAAAAAGAAGAGAGATAAAAGAAGGGAAGTTGCTTCAGGTACATATGTTGCATATGCCATCCAAAAACCTAGTAGCATAAAAAACCCTTCATTATGCTCATGAATTCTATGGATCAGGAATTTAGACAAGGCTCAGCAGGAGTGGTTTGACTCTGCTCCATATCTGGGGCCTAATCTGGGGAAATATAAACATTTGGAGTGATGTCACAGCTAGGGCTTAGTATCTTCTGAAGGCATCTTGATTCGTTATATTCATCAGTGTGGAACCTATGATTTGATGACTTAGGAATGCTTGACTCAGGAAAGCCTGCTGATGAGAGCATATGCACATGGCCTTTTCATGTGACCCGAAGTTTTTTAGAGCATGGTAGCTTCAGGGGAATTGGACTGTTATGTATAGGTTCAGGGTTACAAAAGTTAATGTCCTTGCAAACAAGGCGTAAGCTGCATTACCTTGTATGATCTCGCCCACTGGTTGTAAGAATCACAAGGCAGCCCAGAATTAAGTGGGGGTGAGGACAGACTCCATCTTTTAATGGAAGGAGTGCCTAAGATTTTGTAAACAGGCCTACAATTTCCAGCTCCTTGAAACGTTAGCTCAAACTTTGAGAAAGCAAATCAAGGCTCCTAGATTAACCACAATTTAAGAAACCTCCCCCAAGGAGATAATGCAAGTTATTCTCCATTTTGATAATTTTTTATTTCTAGGCAGAAATTATCTTACACAATTCAAACATTACAGAACAAAGAAGACAAAATTTTCCCTTAATGCTGTGAACAAGAGGAACCTAAAACTTTAAGAAGCAGTTTATGATCTACGATGGGTAAGAAAAGGAACATTTTTTGCTGACTCACCTTACATCTAGAAAAACCCATTTTACACAAAGGCTGAGGTGTTCCAGAAGGGGAAACATAGAGCTGTAGCTAGGGAAGCTGGCAGATTGTCAAGGTGAGAGGATCGCAAGAATATAAAGTGAAGCAATCTGCTGGGAGCAATATTCATATTTGTACATATCACTGGGGCAACTAACGCACCCCTACCTGAAATCACCCAGAACTTGATTCCTTTTTAGTTACTATATTTCAGTGAAAGATTCAGATTGCTGGGACCTGACTCTTGCAGTTTCTGGTAGTCAAGGTAACATTTGTTGTTGTTTTTCAGAACAGCATACCACTCTGAACCATAAATCTGTAATTAATCCTCCAAAACAACTCGTGATGATGAACTGTTTGGCATTATCAATTTCTGTTTTCCTCCAGGTGCCAAATACATAGAGTTCTTAAAATGTCTCAATCAATCAAAATACTACTTTGGAATATTTCCTTTCTCTTTGAGTTTTCTTTTCTCTTATCATCTTTCTAAAATGGTGAAAAGGAGATGAATGAAGGTAAAGAAAACAATTCTGACATCTGGGGAATATAAGAGAAACACACTTAATTTTCAAAATTGAGTCTTATAATTGTAGCTTATGTTAGTGACGGGGTTTTGTATGTAAGTGATAGGCATATGGCAAGTTTGAGAAGGGCAAGTCCCTGATGTCATGTGTCCAAAATGAGTGGAAGTAAAGAAGAAACACTTGTCCCAGATTATACTATTGCTCAATATCGAAGTCAGTTAATGATTACCTGGCCCTATTGGAATACACAGAGCTGGAGCAATTTCATCTGTAGGAATTATTTGGGCTTCTGGCTTAGCAGATGTAGAGGGTCTTCTGAGATATGCAGATTCTTAAAAGAGTTGAGGGTCATTTTTACTGGGGAAAATTAAAAGAGCAAACAAAAAGTAATGAGAATTGAAGAAATCGCCTATTCTCACACCTAGGGTGTAATATGACTGCTTAATCATCATTCAGGTGGATGTTCTCATTACTTTACAAGAAACAATCAGGACTGCATGACCACCAGCAAGGTTAGGCTTTAAATAGTAAATGTGAAGGATGCCAGAAAGTAGATTGAACTGTATTTCTATGCTTCACACACCACACATACACACACACTTCCTCACTTTTGTTAGTCTGTTAGGATCTCACAACCCAGCACATATGGCCTACCCCAGTGGGTCAAGCCAACTTTTATCCACCTGGATCAGATTACACAACCTTCTTGTTTACATTGCAAGAACAAACTTGTAACACAAGTATCGAGCCCAGAAAATATCTGTCATCTTAATTTCCAGAAGTTAACTATGGAAAACATATCGGCAATTTCTTGGCGGTTGGTTTGGATTGAGGTTGGGAAGAAGCAGCCACTGCTTTAGGATTTTCCTTAGAGATAATAAGTGTCTGCTATGTGCCATAGTATGTGGTGAGTGATTTAATACACATTATCTCATTTAATTGAGGCATTATAGAGAAAACTGAGGCTCAGAGACATGCAGCAAATTCTGAAGGTCACACAGATCATGCAGCAAAGCTGACTCTGGGTCCAAGGAATTCTAACTCCACCTCAGGAGCTCCTTAAAGCAGTGTCCCTGTCCAGGATTACCTTCTCACTTTCACCAGTCTGTTTAGGGCTCATCCAGCATATGCTGATTTTTCCCTCCTCCATTCTTGTGGATGTGGGCCTATACCTCTTATTCACCTATACCTCTTATTAATACTGTTATTAATATAAAACTACATAGTTTATTCATTTTAACTAATAGTATCCTATCATATGACTGTAAATGCTTCATTATCCATTTCTCTAATGATACTAACTTAGGTGGTTTTCAACCTGCACTGTATTGCCTGCTTAATTTTTTTAACTTTTGTTTTCAGAGAAAACTAAAACAATCTTTAAAATTTCAGAGAATAATGTGAAAAACACCATTGTACCAAATACTCAGAATTAACTTTTATTTACTTTTTATAATATACTTGTTGGTCTTGTAAAAAATGAAGGATGCACCAATAAAGTTGATCTCTGTGCCTGAACTTCAGTCCTACTTCACTCTTTCCATTCCTAGAGTGATTCATCACCATGAGTTTGACATATATTCTTCCAGTACTTGCTTTTATACTTTTACTTCATATACATTTTTCCATAAATAGTACATAGCATTGTGTGTATTTTTTTAAATTTACATACTCTCATACAATGTATTTTCTATAATTTGCCTTTTATCATTAATATCTTTTAGGGATACACTTATTAATATAAAATTACATAGTTTACTCATTTTAACTAATAGTATACGATCATATGAATTTAAATGCTTCATTTTCCATTTCTCTAATTATACTAATTTAGGTGGTTTTCAATTTTTGGTTGCATAGAACATGCTTCTACATATTCTCTTATTTTAATGTATAAGTTTTCTCTAGATTATATTCCTGAAGTTGGAATTACTGGGCTGTAGGATATGGTGTTTTCAATCTTACTAGATCTGCCAAGTTTTCCTCTAAAGCTATTGTACCAATTTATTCTCCTTCCAGAAGTGTAATGTGAGAGTCTTCATTTCCCCACATGCTAGCCCATGCTTGGAGTTGCCTAATGCTAACTATCTTTTAATGAGGTTGTTTATATCCTTAGTCAGTTGTCAGTCTCTTACAGGAAGCATACTGTATTTACATCTGTTGATGTCCTTGGGGTTCTACCGGTGGCTAATCCATATTGCATATACATCTACACCTCTCTGAATGAAATTGCTCATATTGTCTTAGAATATCTTAAATAAGGTAACTTAAAAACTCCACAGAATAGGATGTAAATTATTTGCTTCAGAAACAGAAATGAAATAACTCATAGGTTGTTACAATTCAGACATTACAGAATTCAAATTCTATAATTTGATATTACAAATGAGATAACTCATAGGCTGTTACAACCAAATTAAGAACATTTAATTATCATAATTAATTAGTCAAAAGTTGAGCTCATGTACTCAAGTGATTTGCATGGGTACCTCTTCATTTACATCGGCTGTAGCTGATGGTTTTATAATAGAAGCAGTTTTCTTTCTTCTATACCATTCTACCCTCCAGGGTATTATTTATTTTTAACTGGGTTTTTTTTTCCTCTTGTTTATTCATGTTCCCCCTCTCAACTTTATTCTCCCAATCAGTATGTAAAAATATTCATGTCTTCATCATTAAAAAAAGAGTTCTTCACTTTCATATGGTCACCAGCTTCCCTGAATCTCTCACCTTTGCTCACTACCCTCACTACCAAACTTCTCTAAATCATTTCCTCCTTCTCAGTGTAGTCCTTTCTGGCTGTGATTCCCATCACTCCACTGAATCATCTCTTACCAGTAACTTAATATTGCTCAATACAATGGCCATCTTTGTGGCCCTCATCTTACCTGATCTCTGTGCAGCGTCCTAATTGTTGACGCCTCCCGCCTTTTTGAAACCGTTGCTTCCTTGGGTCCTGGCTCTGCCTTTCCAGTCTCACTTTCTATCCAGTTAAATATTGGAGTTCTGTAAGATTCAGTCTAAGTCCTCTTTCTACTTCACTTTATAGCTTCATTCTTAGATTAACTCATGCAGGGTTATGATATAGATTACCGAAATGCAGAGCTCCAGCCAAGATTTATCTGCATTCTAGATCTAGGTATATAATGATTTTTGGATAAACCATTGGGATTAGGGACCTCAAATATAATATTCCCTAAATAAAACTCATGTTCATTTATCCATACCTACTCATGCCTCTATTAGTGATATCATCACCATTCATTTGGTATCACGGGCCAATAAAGCTAAAAGTTATATTTGCCTCATCTTTCCTTTCTTACCCTTACCATATCCACTGCACCCTATTGATTTCATTTCCTTTGCATTGCTCATATTTGTCTACTTTGCCTCACCGCCCCCCTGCCACCCCTACCCTTGTCCATCTTTTTCACCAGCTGTCACAAAAGTCTCTAAACTGGTAGTACATGCTGCTTACTCTCTTTAGAATTGTATCAGCATCCTTTTGCTGCTGTAACAGATTACAGCAACTTAATGTCTTAAAACAACACAAATTTATTATCTTATTAATCTGGAGTTCAGAAGTTCTAAAATCAAGGTTTTGGCAAGGTGGCATTCCTTCTGGAGGCTCTGAGGGACAATTTGCTTCTTGGCCTTTTCCAGCTTCTAGCGGCCACTGTGTCCCTTGGCTCTATCTAGCCCTTTTCTTGACAATCCCTACTATCCTTGTTTTATCATATCTGACCCTGAACCTCCTGCCTCTATTTTTCTTTTGAGACAGTGTCTTGATCTCTTGCCAAGACTGAAGTGTAGTGGCATTATCACAGCTCACTGCAGCCCTTGCCACCCAGACTCAAGCAACCCTCCTACCTCAGCCTCCTAAGTAGCTGGGATTGTAGGCATGCACCACCACACCCAGCTAATTTTACTATTTTTAAAAATCTTTTGTAGAGATGGAGTCTCACTATGTTGCCCAAGCTGGTCCTGAACTCCTAGCCTCTTATAAGAACCCTTGGGGTTACTAGGCTATTCTCTTATTTCAAATTTTTAACTTAATGTACCTGCGAAGTCCCTTGTGCCATGCAGGATAATGCATTCACAGATTCCAGGATTAGGATGTGGACATCTTAGAGGGCCATTATTCATTTTCCCATAGGAATATTCCTCCCCTCCACTCTCCTCCCTCCTCAATTTGTTAACCTTCAGTGTTACTTCAGATTTTAGTTCATATGTCACATTCTTGCCCTTCTCCCTTGGAGTCAAGTTTGTCTCTTAGAAGTGTGAACATCCTTTTCTCATTTGTGTATTTACTTAACTCACGTCCACCCAGCTCGCCAGTGAGTAGGCCTTATTAAAGCAGCAACACATTGATTTTCTCACTAATTTGGTTCCACACCCAGCAGAGTACCTGTTAACATTGGAGGCTGTGGTTTTTAAAACCTATAATTGGCTCTGCAGTTTTGATTTGGTTTGTTACAAAACATGATTTTCTTTTTTTTCCCTTTGATTTGAGGTAAATAGATTTACAGAAAAAAAAATCCTTTTAAAAGGAGCTCAAACAACTCAATAGCAAAAAAAATCTAAATAATTTGATTAAAAAATGGACAAAAGATCTGAACGGACAGTTCTCAAAAGAAGACAAATGGCCAAGTATATGAAAAAATGCTCAACATCACAAATCATTGGGGAAATGCAAATTAAAACTGCAATGTGATATTATCTCACCCCAGTTAAAATGGCTTGTATCAAAAAGACAGTAACATATGCTGGCAAAGATGTGGAGAAAGGGGAGCCCTTGTACACTCTTGGTGGGAATGTAAATTAGTACAGCCTCTATGGAGAACAGTATACAGGTTCCTCAAAAATTAAAACTAGAACTACTGGATGATCCAGCAATTCGATCACTAGGTATATATTCAAAAGAAAGGGAATTAATATACCAAAAATAATTCTGCATGCCCATGGTTTTTGTAGAAGTATTTACAGTAGCTGAAATATGGAATCAACCTAAGTGTACATTAATGGAAGAACAAATGAAGAAAATGTGGTATAGAAATCTAGTTAAATATTATTCAGCCATAAGAAAGAATGAAATCCTGTCATTTGTAGCAACATCGATGGAACTGGAGGCCATTATATTAAGTGAAATAAGCCAAGCACAGACAGGCAAATATAACATATTCTCACTCACACGTGGGAGCTAAAAAATACGGATCTTATGAAGGTACAGAGTAGATTGGTGCTTACCAGAAGCCAGAATGGTGGGGGGCATGAAGGGGAGAAAGAATACAAATGTATTTATTAACACTGAATTTTACACTTAAAATTGCAAAGATAGTAAATTTTATATGTATATTTTACCTCAATATAAAAAGAAAAAAATATTTCCAATTAAAATTTTTTCTTATAAAGTTATTTATAATTCCAAAAAACATAAAAAATCCTCTTGTGAAAATCTGAATAATTAATTATATTTAAAAAAAACAAAAGTTTTGTTTGATTAGAAAGTAATGCAGAAGAACAGAAGACTTTTCAGTGTTAGTTTTTAGAATCCCACTTTTCTCCTCAAGTTTATATATATAAACCTCCTTTATTAAGATAAATGATACATGACATTATTACAACTTGAGCACCATTGACCATTACAAAAGTTATTTATTTCTCAAAATTTGCTTGTCACAAATTGAAATTTTACTCTGTTTCCCACAGTTATTTTTAACACTTGACTATAGGAAATATAATTTCTTTAAGGTAATTATTTTGAAATCTGACCAAAACACTCGATGACATTAAATATGTCTTTGGTGAAAACAATAAAGAGTGCAATTTGTAAAAAAGAGAGTTTTCTTTATGAATAATTAATTCAGCTGGTAAATAAGAAAACAGATGCGGAAATTCAATGTGACTTTTTTTCCAAAGGAAAAAGAGTGGTTGGGAAAATAATAAAATGTATTGCTTGATCAAAAACTAGGATCTGTAGGCCATAAAATCAGAGTAGATAAAAGGCATACTGAAACCATGGAGTAGAACAAGAGAAATAGGAAAAGCTTTTGTAGATGTAACCACTGAATGAAACTTCTTTTTGGAAAATGGTAGATTTGGAAGTAAAGGTGCCTATAAAATAAAAGATTATTTCATCAGTGGGTGAATTGTTAACCAAGAACATCTGAAAGTTTAGGGTCTAATTGGGAGTGATTAGCACAATGTGCAAAAGCTCTGTATGTGGACACATGGCTCATGGGAGATAAATGGGTAGTTTTAGAGAGGCAGAACAATTAAACGCTGATTGAAAATAAATTATCTTCAAATGTATTAAATAAAAGGTACCCATCTCAAGAAGCTCAGTTTGGTTAAACAAACATTTATTGAGTGCCTATGACTGCATGCTGGCTGCTTTGTTAGAACTGATAAGAACAAAAACCTTAAAGTATAATAATAATAAATTAAAAAAATAAAAGAACAAAAACCAAGCAAAGCCAATCGGATTCAACGAGACTCAATTCCAGTATTTTTGTTGGAACCAAACATTAAAGATAACCATTTCTGTACTAGCGAGACTCCAGTCTCTCAATTTGAATAGCATATGAAACATGACCTCAAATTGTAAATTGTGTAACAGAAAATGTTAAATTGCATGTAAATACATGACCACATTTATAAAAATAACGTTTTTGAACTTTGTTTTACCATTATGGATTGCCAGCACTGACCAAAATATAGACAATTATAGACACTAAATAATAGATAAAATTTACCATTTTGGTTTACCTGCACCTTTATAATTTCCTACTTTTTCTCCTATTATAAAAATTCCAAATGAACATCCTTTGACCTTGACATTTTTCCCTAAGTATAATATTTTCTTAGCGTACATTTTAATCAGTAAATCAAAAGATGAGGGCATTTTAATTTAATCAATAGATCAAAAGATCAGTACATTTTAGGATATTTGAGAAATACTGCTAAGTTGCTTTCCAAAAAGGGTCTGTCAATAACTTACATAGCTATGAGGAATATGTAAAAGAGTCTTGTGTTGCTTTTCTGGAACTGAAGAATGCTCTGTCTATTCACACATATGATATGGGGGGGGGTGTGTGTATGTACATGTAAAAATCTTATTCATTTGAAAGATGAAAATGTTATCTCATTTAAAGTTGCATTCATTTGACTATTAATGAATTGAAAATGTTTACACAGTTTATTAGGTACTAACACTGTTTTCTTTTAAAATTATTCATTCTCATCCATTGTTCATTTTCGAACTGGAAAAAAAATATTTTTCTTATTTATTTATTTGACTTCTGTAAATAGTAAAGACCTTCCCAATATGTCTGTGGTATAGATAAAAATATTTTTCTAAAATATGACGGTATTTTAATGCTTTAAGTTCCATTATAAATAAGAAACTACTAGATTGTGTTGTATTATATTATATCTAAAGCATGAAACATAATTAAAAGTGAAGGACTTGTTGAATTTCATTCATTTCTGTCAAACAAATGATATGAGGTACTACTGAAAGCTTCCTCTAAATTTTAAAATAGATTATGTCACACAAGAAGAGGTTTTCAATCCCTGTATATTATTTTTAGATTGTATGTGTTGAATCCCTAATTTTTAAAGATGAGGAAATTAGTACCTAACCTTTAGTTGTTGCTTCTTTTCCTCTATCAATTCAATGATTTTTGTTGTTTATATTAGTATTTTGTATCATGAAGGTTAATAAAACATCCTCTTCTGTAACCATAATTTCCAGTTGTCTAATCTTAATTTTATATTTAAATGAATTCATTATTGTCACAAATCTTTTAATTTCTTCACGGTTTTTTCATTTTTGATTATTACTTTTGTTTTTTACTATATTTTCATTTCCAAGTAGTTTTTCAAGAAAGATTCATGAATGCTATATTTCCTGTATTCCTGTGTATTTGAGATTGTCTGGCTTTACGGACAGATCAGGTAAATAAGATTCTTAGGTCTCTCTTTTTTTTTTTTTAACTGTAAAAATGAGGACATAAACTCATGGTATTGAATGATGACTTAGATAAGTTTTGCACATAATTTACATTTTCAGTTTGAATTTCTCCGTGATTCTTTTAACTATCAAATTTAACAGGTCCACCAAATAGATGTTGTTTATTTCTGTTAATTTTATCTTATGACACAGTGAACACTTTTATCAGATGATTAAATTTTTACCTAATTTCAAAAATTATGTATTTTATATATACAATTTGCATATATTTTCTTTTACGTTTTTCCCATTTTTTTCAGGAATATCATTATTTGTATGTTTTTTTCCTATCTTCTATCTTTTGTTTTCCTTCTAATCATTAATAATAAATCTCTTCATATATCCCATTTTAGTCTGTGTGATTTTCTTAATCCTGAAATCCAAGACAGATCTTTGTTGTATTTTCTGACATTTTTTTCCTTTATTTTGAAATTTCTTATAGGGCTTCACGGGTTGAATTTTTTTCTTGTGGCTCTGTTGTTTCCTTGAATGTCCTTTAGCTTATTTAGCATCTATTATTTACTAAACACCCAACTGCCTTAAAATTTTTTAGACTATGTAGACTAAGCTGTCTGAATTATTATTCTGTTTTCTGGGGATGGTTCCACTTAAATTAGCCTTTATACTATTTCTTTATGTTACTTTTTATGTTAATTCTCTTTTCTTTCTTTGTCTCTCTCTTTCTCTTCCTCCCTCCCTCACTTATATCTTTCCATCACCCTCTCTCTGGTGTATGACAAGGTGGTATTATTATTCATATATCAAATCTAAGTTATGCATTCTTTTCTTATGCCACCTTTTTCTTTAAGCATACTACAGAAAAGGGTGAGAGTAACTTTCTGCTTTATTTGACCTTTACTTCTCCTCTATAAAATACGTCACCTCTCTGGAGGTCATGTCTCCTCTTAGTGCTATATATTTCAAACACCACTGTTGGTCTTACTCATCTTAAGTCACAGCCTCTTCATAATGTAGCCTCAGGTCACGCCACACTCCCCGCTTTACCTCACCTCACCTACAGCCATTTTATTCAACTATTTCAAGATTGTCTGTGTTCCTCACCTCTGCAGGTTGCTCCATTTCGTGGCTTAAAGCTGGGTCTCTATTACTATACCCCAATGTCTCTAGACTGTCCCACACCTACACCTTTCCATTCTAGAAAACAGATTTCCACCAGATGGCCCTTCAGGGCTGCAACACTCACTTTAATAAACATGTTTATTTTTTCTAAATTATAAGAAAGTTTGTGTCAGCTTTTGTTATCATGCTTCATTATAATTCAAATTTTACTATAATACTATAATTGGGATGTAATCTAAAAACATGATTTGAGTTTGTGAGTTGCTCTGTATGATTTGGCAAATAAGTTCCTTTTCTTTTTTTCTGTTCTTTTCGTCTTTTTAGAAAAAGAGAGTAAAAATATTATCTAAATAGAACTCTACTAGTACTAACTACAAATTCTCAATCTTTTTCTTAATTAACTAATCTGGTTATATCATTTTTATAATTTAAAAATAATAAAAATGATTTTAAAATTAGGACAAATTTTTCTTTTTTAATCATTAATCACAACTTCAGGGTTAGCCGTGGGATAAATCATTGTTCCAGGTGTTTGAAATTTAGAAAAAACATAATTTATGGTTTATAGATTAAAATATAAAATATAAAGAGAATTAAATCCCAAAGGTTTACTGAGTCTTTTTGAAAGGTTACAAATCTTATTGGAAATGTTACTGAGAATTATTTTTTGAGTAAAAAATGGAAAGGTCATTGCCATTGTATAAATGTTTGTATAAAAGGTTGGGGAGGATAATTAATTAAGATTTTTCTTTATTAAGCCATAGAATAAAATAGCACTAGAAAGTTGTGACAGAAAAAACAACTAAACCTCAGATTAGTCCCCTAAGGACTAAACTCTGCACAACTCCTTGTTCCAAATTCCTTCCCACGGGGCCTGGAGACCATCAGTCTTGCAAAACAGGTCATTTTGGCCCAGTATATTGTATGTGCTCTCCCAACCCAACTCTGGCACAGCATCACATAATAATTAGCAGACTTCTTATTTTAACTAACATATGTTAAAATCAAACTTAAACATTCTTTTCTACTGACTCCAAGTTTTCTAGACAGAGTCTCTATTCCACCTGTAATCTGTAAGACCCTGCTTCAAGATATCTTGCCTTTTTCAGCCAAGCTAATGTATAACCTCCATGTATTGATTTATGACTTTGCCTATAACTTCTGCTTTCTTAACATTTATACAACAGAATTGTAGTCTGACTGGCTTAAGAGCACATTCTCAGGACTTTTGGGTTTGTGTTTTCTCTGGGCCACAGTCACTTCTATTCACTCAGAATAAACCTCTGAAATATTTTACAAAGTTTGTTTTTTTAAATCTACACCCCTATTGTGTCATTGTTTGGGAAATTATTTTCTAATAAAAACATGGTTAAAAGTATAATAGAGAACTGTTATAAAGACATTCCACCAATTTGATTGTACTGGTGATAAAATGATTCCTACACCAGTACAAATTACGTCTTGCAAAACATTTTTAGTTATAGTTTTACTTCATGATGTACTTATTATAGTTGCTATTTTTATTTTTAAATAATTTCAATGTAGATAGGAAATGACAAAAAAGATCTTCTTTTGATTTCAATATTTCAGGTAAACTCAAGAGTCAAATTAGTGAAAAATGTATCAGTGACATTATCTCCCAGAGGCAATTCACTCACAAACCAGTATCAATGGCCAATCAGGTAAATCATGCCTCTGTTTTTCTGTCCCAAGGAGACAATATGGGAGCTAACAGTTACTATTAGCAGGAATAGCATAAAAGAGACATGCTTTGGGGTTATCAGAAGGAAACACGTTCTCCTTTCTCTCCCGGGAGAGCAGAAAGTATGAGTGTCAAAAAATGAACATCTCTTCTCTTCTGCTGCTGCCTGGATATTTATGGGTGTGAGACTGTAAAAGTTTGGACAGGCAGTAAATACTCTGTCCCGCTTGAGCTCTGTTTTTTTCAAGAAACAGTAATTTAACATTTTAGGAAAGAATATGTCAGAGCATGAGAAAAGAAGAAAAGCAGACTGATTTTGAGGAAAATGAGATAGATGCATTCTTTGCACTTCAACGTATTCTATGAAGTGAAACTACATCTGTTTCTAAACAGTCCCTCAAACCACAAAGCAGTTGAAGGTCAGAAGAATGAAAATAGCAACCGAATAGATAGTAGACACATCTAAAAATTGGACTTTCAGAAGGCTCTAAACAAAGTCAAAAGACAGCTATATAAAAGATAATTTCATATTCCTTATATAAACTACATTGTGTGCTATTCTGAAGTAGGACAGTTAGTTCAGTTAACTAAAAAGTACTATGACTATCATAAAAGCCAAGTATAGATCAAATATTCTCATGAATATAATATATGGTCAACCCAAATAATGAAATCAACACGGTTTATCCTTTTTAGTTGGTTCCAAAGACATTTTAAAACCTTGCATTTCTTCTAAACTATACTGATTAATATTTTATTGCATTGATGAAAGTACATCAAGATTTCTATTTTCAGAATATTAAATTTCTATTTGCAGAATATTTCAGAATATTAAATGAAACATTAATATTTAAGCATGTATGTTGCCTCTTATCCTAAAAAAACAAATACAGCATTTAGTTTAAGAATCCCATTTTACAGCTGTAAAACCAAGATGCAGAGATGGTCAATGCTTTCCTCATTCTCCTAACACCGAGATCTAAATGCTCCTATGTCATATTGCCTAGCACAGCATTCCCTCTGTGTGAGAATAGTACATGGTTGGGCATACTGGATGCTATGCTAAGAAAAGAATAAAGACTATGGATATAAAAACATGTCTATACCTCTAAAAGTTATAAGTATATAATTTCAAACTTTGGTTGCTTGTCATTAGCATCCCTTCTCCAATGCCACAGTTTGCCCTCTTATTAGCCAAAGGTTTCCCCTCTCCTGAGCCTCATGACCTCAGGGTTTTCTTCTTATATGACAGGGTAGGTAACGGCCTGTGAGTTTTCAATGTTACATTTGTAACTGAAGAAACTGACCACCAAAGGTTTAAACAATAAAGACATTTATTTATCCCACAGAGCAAGAAGGTGCCTTTTAGATATCAAAGTAGAAATGTCAAATAGGCATCTGGATTTTTCAGAAGGGATCAGGGCTGGAGATATGGGATGGAGTGAGATGAGATTTCATAGATAGAGTGAGTAGAGGAGAAAAGGAGAGGGTATACATTGTATCCTGGTATATATTGTACTCTCCCCATTATTTCCCTTCTCTCTTCTTGATCTCTAAGTATTGACAGTGGCTAGGACTCACTGGCTAGCTCCCAGTGTAAAATGGAGATAATACTTAGAATCAAGAAAAGAGATGGGAACTAACTGGGAGAGTACAGTGTGTACCAGGAAAACCAGCAGAAGTGATGTCTTAGAAGATATTTCAAGAAAGGAGTAGTCTACTTTGTCAACTGGTATTGGAATGTCAAGAAAGCAGTGCGGTAGTACAATATCTGTCCTTTCTTTTAAAATCCTTTAAACTTAATGGGTTACTTTGAATATTGGCAATTTTAATGACCCTAGCTCTTGATTAACAGAAAAATGTTGAGGTAGTGATGAGTTTCAGATCCCATCCCCTAAATGATAGATTAGATTAGATTAGATGACATAGACAGATAGATAGATAGATAGATAGATAGATAGATAGATAGATAGATAAAAGCAAAATCTGTCAGTACATATGTCAGGTAGAAATTTTTCTTACTTAGCAGCATGCAGTAAAAGATAGTGAGAGATTTCTGGACTAAATTAGAAGAACAAATTGAAGAAATAAATATGAGGAGGGAGAAAAGAGCAAAGGCATCCGGAGAAACCTTTTTCTTTGGACTTTCTAGATGCAAATTACCTGGGCTGCTACATGTTAAGTACTGTGCCGGTTTTGTTACAAGTTCAAGCTATATTTCATTAAAACAAATTTTGGTACATCCTCCAAGACCCAAGGATGCTAATAATAACTAGGTTCTTAAACATTTCTCCAACTCAAGATCTGTTATCACAATCTCTGTGGAATGAGAAGAGAATTTGAAATGTACTAAGCATGTAAACATGTGCTACCCTCCAGTTATTATATACTTTCACATACATTGCCTCAATTAATCTGGAAAGAGCTTTGGGAAGGGGATATCACCAAACCCTTTTAGAGGTAAAAATAAACTGTGTTTCAAAGAGGCTAAGTAGTTTGTCTGAGGCCACACAACTAGTAAGTACCAAGGCTAAGGTTGAAACGTAGATTTGATTCTAACTGCAAGACCTTCCTGCATCCAGGGGAAAGGGGAGCCTAGAATGTGTATTTGATCTTCTCAGCGTGCTTCACAATTTAAGGATGTGTGCAGCAGAGCATACCAGGGGCCCCTTAGGTGTTCAGGAGGGTGTAGGGTCTATTTAGAGGTGAGGGTGCTCACAGGCAAGAGATCTTAACTGATGACTCATGGAGATCGATGTGGGGCTTCAGTAGAGAGCCAAAGAAAACAAGTACAGATAAGACTTCCCAAATACACTGGAATCATGGGTCTGGAGGGAAGAGGGTATAGGAGGGTAAATAATTTTTCCTGTCTTCAACCCTTTGGTGTCTATAGATTTTACTTCTTCTCTAACTCATCCTACAGCTTCAGGAATTTCCCAAAGAACTTGTGGACTTGAATGTGTGAGCCAGGTTTGGGGGCAGTGAGTCTGTGGTTTTGGAAGCTTCATAAATCTCAAAACAACACCTTAATGTGACAACATATATGCGTTTAAAAAGAAAATAAAATTTCAGTACCTTCCAAATGTATTATGCCAAAGGGAAAAGTTAAGCCCTGAAAGCTGACTCAGGTAATGTGACTGCTTTTCTTCTCTGGTGGCTGGTCATTGCTTTCTAACCTTGGTGTTGACTTGTTATACCTTAACCACAGTCCCCATTCTTTATTCAAATCTCAACCAAATGATGTGGAGATAGAGATCCCTGTGACTGTTACCTCTTTCAATATAATGTTAAACAAGCCCCTTAGAGTATAATTAATAGTAGCCAATCAAATCTTGTAACTGTATGTTAGCCTTTCTATGAAAATGTAATTCTGTTCAGCACCTCCATTTTGCCTATATATATGATCCTCATTTTTCTCCACACTGGGAGCACTAATCCCCATTTTTTAGTGTAGGTCTGCTCCCCAGACAGCTGCTTTCACACTTTTCACACTTGGATAAAGTCTCTTTAAATTAGATTCTAACCCTTTTGATTGTTTTAGGTTGACATATTCAACCTTTAAGAATATATACATAGATTAGGTTGATGCAGAAGTAGTTGCAGGTTTTGCCATTGCTTTTAATTACTTTCAATTACTTTTGCACCAACCTAATATGTATGTGTGTGTGTACACATATGTATTTTTTTTTTTTTAAGACAGTGTCTCTCGCTCTGTTGCCCAGACTGGAGTGCAGTGGCACAATCTCTGCTCACTGCAAGCTCCCCGTCCCCGGTTCATGCCATTCTCTTGCCTCAGCCTCCCGAGTAGCTGGGACTACAGGCGCCCGCCACCACGCCCAGCTAATTTTTTGGATCTTTAGTAGAGACAGGGTTTCACCGTGTTAGCCGGAATGGTCTTGATCTCCTGACCTCGTAATACACCCACCTCGGCCTCCCAAAGTGCTGGGATTACAGGCATGAGCCACCGCGCCTGGCCCACACATATGTATTTTAATGGATTGAATTGTGTTCCCTCAAAATTTATGTTGAAATCTTAACCCCCATTACCTCTAGAATATGAACTTATTTGCAAATAGAGTAATTGCAGATATAATTAGTAGGATGAGGTCATTAGGGTAAGTTCTAATGCGTCATGACTGGTATTCTCATAAAAAGGGAAAATTTGAACACAGAGACACACATACACACAGAAAAATTCCATGTGAATGTAAAGGCTGAAATGCTTCTGCAGGCTAAGGAATACCAAATATTGCCAGCATATGTGTGTGTATGTAGACAAATATATATATTTGACATATATATTATATATATATATACACACACTGTATACTGTATTTTTTCTGATCAGTTTCTATTGGGAAGTTCCAGCTTGTCAGAAAAACCATCTCACCCTATAGCCTGGTTATTATGACTTTTCAAGAATTCTCATGAGTATGTGTTTATTCAACTTTTTGTCAGCTTCCCAGATCAAAATGAAATGGTAAGCAAATATAATATAAATTTGAAGCCACTTTTTATTATTTTTATTATTTTGGCTTATGTATTATATTATAGCTGAGTGATAAAAGCCAGAGTGATAGGAAAGGGGTTGTGTGTGACTCAGAGAGGACACGCCAGTTTTCTCGCTGATCAGGTCAATTCTTCATGAAGAATAATGTGCTCAGTGTGAGCAGGCACTTATCACTTTCATCAAGAGTAAGACTGGCTTCCCAGCTTCCCCCTGGGTGATGGAAATGATAAACAATCTTCTACAGGGCAGGCTGTTTATTACACACAGGCACATTCACAAAACACTTGGTCAACTATCTTGGAACAACATAATTGGACCAGCTGTCCATTCTAGTCTTCAAAAGTTTTCTGACACAGGAGGGCATTCTGTTGGCAAAGTCACAAGTGATGTCATTCACACCATAGTCTCAACATTCAGCATCTGATTGGAGGACTTCTGGTGAATGTGATTCTTTCTTACTGTTTCTCAGATTCTCAGAAAAGTATTATAAATCATATTATTTTAGAACTGGAAGTTTTAATCTCTTTAGGGGCCCATACATAGACTTCAGATGGATATCTGTACCTTCACAGACATGCACACTATTTGGCTTTATGCTGTTTTTTTCCTTTTGCTGATAGTCATCACAGATGACATGCCAAGGATGTATTTTTGTGAACACCACACCTTAAAAGCACCAGATATCCCAAGTGTGTGTACAATGTACTATCTTAGGCAAGAAAACCACTCCGTGTTGTAAAAATACTGTAGCACATACAGGTGGCTGGATCACACAGTCAATGTCCAGCTCTGTTGACCAAAAACAGTAGTCACTGAATTCATTAAGAATCTGAAGTCCGTTAGAAGTTCGGATAAATGGAACTTTATTTATGTCTGTATTTAAGAACTTCTGTGTCTGACAGAAAATAGACATGATTGTAAGCTATTGTCATTAATGAGATGCCCATGAGTCAATGTCTTGTCAGAATTCATCTCGGTTTTACACTGGGAGCTAGATTTAAAATAGTGTAGCTATCTATACATTGATTAGATTTATCAAAACTGTAAGTATTCCTTGAAAAAATATGGCAAAAACACTTTGCAGAAATTTTCTTATCGTATAAATAACAGACCCTGAGATACAGAGTCAGACATTATTTATTATTGTTATTTGATTTTATTTTTCTGAAGTTGCAATGGAAAGGACGGGACTATAAATCTCTCAGGATGGAGTTAGATCTTATCTAAGTTGGGAGAACAGAACTGAGCTAGATTTTGGTACTATCCAGCCTAATGCTTCTTTGAATAATTTTATTTTGACCATTTTTTCAGTTAGCTATATCTTTATGAACATTAAAAAATGGCATTTTGAAACATTAATACAATTAGACACAAATGAAAATTGAGAAAAATATTAGCTTCCTGAACAGTAGCAAGAGCATTAGTATCCCAAATCTAGATAAACCCCTAAAAATAAATATAAAAAATATCACCAGCATTAACAAGGCCAATAAGATAGGCAGTTTAAAGAATGTACACAATTGAATGATAATTATAGGACAAAACTTCTTTAATAAAGAAGTTTTAAAAACTCAGGTATTATTTTTATATATAAAATTTGGAGGTTAAAAGTTATAATACTAAGTGCTGCAGAAGGTTTGAAGAAGTGACACTGTCATAAATGAGGTTGATAAAAAAGTGGCACTATTTGTTTGAATGGCAATCTGGCAACAAATCACAAAAGCTTTAAAATGTGCATACGTCTTGAGCAAGATATTACATTTAGAAGAAGGTAACTAAACAAATCTTTAGGAACTTTGTGAAAAGGATATCTAGTAGTATAATATTTATAGTCACAAATGCTTAAAAATCTTTTCAATCTTCAAAAAAAGGGATTATTTAGTTGTGATACTATGATACTATCAAATAGTGGAATATTAGGCCACTTTTAAAGATATAAATGTGGAATAACTCTCATAATATAGACAGTTTTTGCTATGTTGCCAAGAAATAGAAAATAGATTACATACCATAAAATTGTGATCACATTTTTGCACACATTCATCTATCTATGTATCTACAAAAATGGAAAAAAAAAATCTAAAAGTAATACATTAAATGTTAACAGTGGTTATTTGAAGATAGTGGAAATGTGAGTTTTTTGAGTTCAATTTTGCTTCTGTTTCTTCTACATTTTTTATAACGACCATGCATTATTTGTAAAATGGGCAAAGATAAATAAAAATATTTCACATATTTTTCTTCATTCTTTGAGCATTGGCAAACTAATTAAGAATGTCTGCATACTACCATGTAAGTGGGTTCATGTTGAAGAGAAAAATATTGAAGCACTTTCTCTTCCTCAGCTTCACAGAAAAGTAGAGTTTTGACCGTTCATACAAAGTAGAATAAACAAGTAAAATTTCAAGAATCTTGGTAATATAAACATTAAACAAAACATAACGAGTGGATTGGAAATAAGAATGGGTCCAATCTGTTAAAGTAAGATTTTTCAAGTGCCTGTGAATGCTGATTTAATCCAGGCAACGTATACCTGGATAGTTTCATCAAAGAGAGAAGTGTTTTATGGAAAATGATCCTTTCAGATTAGATTTTTCTTGTACCTATCACCTTATCCATTGTTACATGGCCAGTTGAAACTTTATATGAAGTAACTAAGCACAGAATTACTCCTGTAGCTAAAAAGCAGAGAGAGCAAGAATTTTACTTAACCATAGCAACATGAGAGAAACCTTTCTTTTCCTTCCCATAAATTTAAAACCTTCTGCAGATTTTGTGACATTGGCATTAGTTGATGCTTAAATCGTCCTGTGCAGACTTTAGCTGAAGTCATTAGCAATGTTTTCTCCCTAGCAGCCATAAAGCTTTGAAGAGGTAGAAAGTCTTTGATCAGTAAGAACTTTGCCAAGTATGATTTTAAAGGATATTGAATACTCCAGTTGTTCAAAGCAAGGTTATTTAGAGTAACCTTAATTCATTGTGCGAGATTTTCAGAGTATGCCCCAAGGGGATATGCTGCAAACAGGTGTCCCAAGAAAGGTTTCTCTTTCTGGTTTAACCCTGGTCTGGTATCTTGAAACCAGATTTGGAATATGGATTGCCAAAGAGTCCTGATGTTCTCAAACTTGAGTTTTGGAAACAAATGATGGATTAAGTCTTTGTAAAAGACAGATATGGGAAATGTGAATGTGTGGCAATAATTTGCTCAACTTTTAATCTGTTCTTTTTCTAAGGACAGATAAAATCCTCACTTAGAAATTTCTATGAAACATCTATTAGATGTTAGTTTTTTTTTCTATTTATTCCCTATGCCATTAAATATTCAGCAAAAGTAATTGGATAAAACCATGATTATATTCAAATGATAAATATTTTAGCAGCCAACATTTGCTATAGTCTTATCTTTGTTTTAGAAAATGGAAAGGCAATAAAAATCACCCATTAACCTTTTGTCCAGAGATGATTACTTTTAAAATTTTTATACAGTCTAATCAATGTATATTTATATACCTATAATAACATTTTTATAAATTGGGATCAAGTTTTACATACTGCTTTAAACCAGAATTCTTACTTTCCAATCAATAAGCTATGAATATTTAAAACATGTCCTGAAGTATTATTTGACAGAAAAAATGTCTATATAGTATTTCTTAATTTATTCAAATCCTGTAGTCTACAGATATGTGAAGAATCAGTGATCTAAGTGTCTAAATACAGCCTAGATACAGTGATTAGTAAGATGTAGTCTCTGATCTCAGTCAGTTCATATTCTGTCAGTGAGAGGGCCAGAGAGGGGTAAACAGAAATAAAGATACCTAGTATAAGACATAGCAGGAAGAGAGAAATCTAGGCCATATTCATGGAATACTGAGGCACAAAATGGAAGCATGGATTTGGAGGATCAGAAGGAGGGTATTTTAATGGTCAACATGATGATAGAATGCTTCTTACCCCATGGAGTTGTGGTCAAGTTCAAATGCCTTAAAATCTATAAACTGCCTAGAATAGTGCCTGGCATGTACAAAATGCGCGATAAGGTTACAGTATTGTTATTGTTGCACTGTTGTTGATAGTATAATTACATGGCAACTTAAAGAAAATGCTGACTGTGATGCCATCTGCTCAAATCCTTTTCCCATCTCAACCCCAAAATTCAATAGGCCATGCAGTTTGTATAGCAAGTGGGCCTCAAGACTCAGCCACTCTGTCCAGTAAAGTCAAGAAGTCAAGCTGTCTGCCATCTATTAGGTCTCAATTAACATTTCCTCTATAATTTCCAGTTGCCTGAAATGATCCAAGAAGCCATAAACTTGATGAGAGTATTTAATTACTTCAATAAAATTGGCCCGTGGTCCTCTGTGCTAGTTTAATAACTACATTTCCATGCCTTTGGAATCACTTACAATATGCGTTTTAAACCAGTGACATTTATTTTCTTTTATTATTGTTCCCATTCTGTTAATATGTGTTTATCTTATTTCAGTCTCTGTGGCCCTGAAATAAGTACTTATTAATCAGGAGTCACTTAAAGACGGATGTGCCTTTTTCTGCATTAAGGAAACTGAAAGAACAGCAAGCAGCCAAATACACATAGGTTTCTCTCCTCTTAATTAAAAGCTGGTTTGTACATATAATTCCTTTCTTGGCATATTATGTGGAAGTATTAAAATTAGATGCAACTAGGATGGAGTAATTATAGGCACAACTACAGCTTCATAAGGGTTTCATTTTAGGGACTTTACTCAGCTGCAGATGACAAGTTAATATACTGTGACTAGTTATTCACTAACTGACTCCTGCAAATTTATGGAACTAAACCTCCACATGCAGAAACTGCAGTCTTTCCTCCTGACTTGGGATGTCAAGGGACCCAAACAATCACTACCTTAGAAAACATCTTCAGGTCTGTGCCTTGACTGGCTTTCCACCTTGCTGAAGTCCTTGATGTGTATCCTGAAGATGTGTTAATACATGACGCAGTGTAAATTCTGAACTGCAGTACATGATGGAGTTAGAGGTTAGGGGAAAGAGGCTTCCTGAAGCTGCAGAAAGTATCCCTATAAGCACAAAAATGTAAGAAACACTGCTAGAAGATCTTCTAATGTAAGTGGACCTGATCTCTAGGTGAGACATTGTTTGACAGTAAAAACCCTCACTATCTGAGGGGACACAGTATAGGAATTCTTTGCCATAAGGCCCCCAAGCCCAATATTCCCATTCTCTTAACTAATCTTTTTATAGGGCAACTCAAAAGGTGGAAGGCATCTTTGGGGACAAATATATTGGGTGTTTGGTGGGGACTCTAGGAACTAGATCCTACACCAGTATTAGTGATTTCTATGAACCCCTTAAGCCCTGCCTGCTGCATCTTTGGGCATCTTGTTTCTTTTGCTGGAATTAAGCAATTGGGGTGGTACTGAGCAGCTCAGGGGGAGTATGAGCAAGCCAGGGATTTTTTTTTTTTTTTTTTTTGAGACAAAGAGTCTCACTCTGTCACCCAGGCTGGAGTTCAGTGGTGCGATCTTGGCTCACTGCAACCTCTGCCTCCCGGGTTCAAGCGATTCTCCTGCCTCAACCTCCCGAGTAGCCGGGACTACAGGTGCGTGCCACCATGCTCAGCTAATCTTTGTATTTTTAGTAGAGATGGGGTTTCACCATGTTAGCCAGGATGATCTCAATCTCTTGACCTCAGGATCCGCCCGCCTCGGCCTCCCAAAGTGCTGGGATTACAGGCGTGAGCCACCACGCCCGGCCACTAACGATTCTTATAGCACCATAACATGAATATTTGTATGGTTACAACTTAGTGTAAGGAAGAGTAGATACCTTCTGCTCCAACCTTCCATTATATAGGAGAGATCCAGGGAGGAGAAGCCACCTGCTCCAGGATGTATAATGTTAGTACCTAAAATGGACAATAAATTTAGTTTTTCTTGTCTCTGGTCCAGTATTTTATCCATTGCATTAGACTGACTATAAACCAAAGAAAATTTCTCAATGTAGACTCCCCTGAAAATGGCTCTTTTCTCTTCCAAATAACTTTCTTTACAGTAAAGACTCTTCCTTATGAAACAGGAAATAAAAAAACTTGGGGGAAAATGGGACATATAAAGTGGAGTACCAGGATTCTTTTTAGGAGAAAAAGAAGCACATTTTATTGGTGATCAACCAAGGTAATGAGCCTCTCTGAAGAGAGATGGTGTTCAGGACCAGACCTCTTAATGGGGCCAGTGAATAATGTAGGATGGTGCTGCCTTGGCTTAAAAAAAATAAAATGTAAAAGACTTCATTGTGTTCATACTAATAGGAATTAGATGCCCCATGACCAAATCCAAAAGTAAGCAAAGGCTTGGTAGAATTTTTTCTCTATCAGTAAGGAGTCAATGACTGTGCTCCATTCTTGGCTGAGGCACATGGCAAAAATTCCAACCATCATACTTTTGTCATGGCTTAAAAATTGGTTGTCTTCAAAGATAATTCGAGAAATTCAATAGAATTCAATGTCAGCACATAAATAAATCAGTTTTAGTGAGCTCCACAAACAGGAAATACTTGGCATGTATAATTTACATGAAAGAATCTGTGCTGCTACATTCTATGGAGTCTGATTTATTGTCTAGATCTTACACCTGTTTAATTATTATATTTATTTCTCAAATTTGGAGAGTTGTGGTATGGTGGTGGGTCCAATTAAATAGCATATCTACCTGAAAAATTTGGCCAACATAGATTTGGAACCACGAACATTAAAATAGCAGGAAGTGGCTTTCTATAAAATTCAGAGTCATCGCAACAAATTTTCCGCTCCTATCTTATCAAATCTCAGGCACCTGCCCATGAAATTGGCAGCAGAAAGATTTTTGTACTGCCAGTTACAGGTTTCTCATCATCTTGCCAACTTGCTTTGTCTCCACAACCTGGCAAAATATAGCTATTGGCAGGAAAGTGAATATTTGAAAATGATTACAGTATGTGGATTTTTTTTTTGTTCCATAGTGTTTAATGAAGTAATTTAAGCACTATTTTAGCACTAAGAATAGATCTGCTTTCTACATTATAATATGCAGCATTCTCTGTAATTTGAGCCCTCTGGTCACCAGTTTCTCAAATAAAGAAATAGAATGGGGTCTTTAATGAACATTATCCCTAACAAAGATAATTTAGCAAAATATTAATGACCTCTGTATTTTGTAATTCCTTGGCCATAATCTTCTTTTTAGTTAAGCAGAGGCATTCTATTACCTGCTGCTGTAGTTGGAGGCAGAGAGCAGAGAGGTAGGGTGGTTATATCAGGAGTACAAAGAGAAAAAAAAAAGAGTTAATCTTGAGCTTCTGAAAGAAAGAGTTAATCTTTATTTGGACCAAAGTATGATCCTTCAGAAAGACAATTGTCCTTAAAGCTAGACTTTCTTTAGGAAAAGAAGAATATTCGAAATATCTCAAGCTTTTCCAGAACCAGGTCTTCCATAAAGTGTAAAGAAGATACCCTGCCTTCCTATGGCAGCTGTGGTAGTTAACATGTTGTCTAGGGTAACAGAATATTGCATATAGGAGATGTGACAGACAAATCCACTTATTCTGTTTCCAAAGGAATGTGAAGAGATGAAAGGATGTAAGGTTGTAGAGTACAGGGTGGGAAATATGAGAAACCCTGAGAGGGACTGGTGTTAGATAAGGGAAATAGAAAAGATGGGGATTTTTTAAAAAATTCCCTTTGGGAGATCCAGAAGATAATAATTTCATAGACTCTCATCAACTATATCAGGCCATATCAAGGTAAAATTGGAAGTACCAAAGTTTCAGCTTTCCTGAGCTTGGCTTTATTCTCCTATGACCAGTGGTCATCAGAAGGTGACAGCAGCAGCAGCAGCATCAGTACCAGGTTCACCTGAGAACATGCTAAAAATGCAGATTCTTAGACTTCACACCAGACCTAGTGGGCGTCCAGCAATCTGTGTTTCAACAAGAATTCCAGAGGTTTCTGATGCACCCTAAAGTTAAAGACTACTGCCCCGTGACCTGAATTTAGATTTGAAAATTTCCACAGGTCTCCAGAGGCAGATACCAAGGAGGCTGAGTGGAGTCACGTAGCCCTGCCTTGTGGCTTACTGAGGTGAGAGGAAAGGGGGCCTGCAGGTTGGAACATCTAGGCTAAGAACTGATGCAGAATGCACGAATATTCAGAGGCATTTCTAATACCAATTAGAACAAAAGACAGGCTGATATCATCAGGACATACTACTGAACCTTGAGCCAGCTGGGAGAGATCAACCTGTCAGTGTTAGATATAGCTGGCAATAGGTTATACATCAAGCAATCTACCAGACAAGGGGCATCTTCTCAGAGAGATACCTGAGAAAGCAGACGACATGCAGCAATCCCAGAAATGTTCCACTCCCAACCATGAAGTCCCACTAGTGACACCTGTCCCACCTCACTCCCAGACACCCAAATGCCATCTAGGAAAAGGGCAATGCAAGGGGAAGAATGGTCAAAGAAGAGGCCTGATAAAGGGTTCAACGTCGAAAGACCGAATGTCTATACTAAAAGGAAACAATTGAACCAGAACAACTTGGAACTTCATTAATTGGCAAGTCTGAGTTGTTCCCATTCCTCACAGGGGTAATGAGGCTTCTAAGGAAGTTCAGAGCAGTATTAGAGAATAAACTATGTATCAGAAAGCAAAGAGAATAAATGATGTGTTGGAAAGCAAAATGCGTACATGAATCTGTAACTTTTGCAACTTGTAGGGCAATGCTTACATTTTTGCTACCCAGAATGCTCTCTAGGAAGCAAAATATGTCATTAGAGAAATGATAGAATGAAATAATTTTAAGTGACTAACTATGCTCTGTGGCAAGTGCCTGTTGTCCTAGCTACTCAGGAGGCTGAATTGCTGGAGGCCAGCCTGGGCCTCCCTTTTTTTTTATTTTTTTTATTTATTGAGACTCTGTCCCTAAAAAATAAAAACCATTAAAAAATAATTTAAAAATAATAAAGAGATCTTAAAATTGTGATAATTACTCATGAGATTTTTACAGTTTGCCCTTGGCAAATTCTCCTTTATCTTCTGTCTCTTATAGATAAACCATCAGGCAGATTTGTCAACAGAGGCTGGAGTCAGCCCTCAGGTAGAGGCTTCTGGCAACGTTAGAATGGTGGGCAAATTGGAAGGGGTCAGCCAGGAATTCCATATTTAGAAACTCATTTAAGCAGAATTATATGATGAACCTAAAATAAAGTGTTATAAAATAAAAGACAAGAAAGCAATAGATTTCTTTGTTACTAAGATCAGTCAATCCGCACTGGGTTTTTCAATTACTTCAATGTCAAGAGCATGATCTTGGAAAATTACACCAATGTACCTCAACTGGAAGGTGTTAAAAGCTCTTTAGAAATGTTCCCAGGCAGTGTATTTAAATATTTATGAATAATTTCTATAAATGACTGCTGGCCAGTTATAATAATTAAATGTATTCAGATGATATAATAATCTTCCCATTGCCTGAAAAAGTGCTGACTGTATTATACCCTGAAACCACCTCTGCTCAGTATGCTGACCTGATTTTTTTCTTCCTGGAAAGATTAACTTTCATTTTTACTTACTTTAAAAAAAACCTAATTAAAGTATATCTTCTAGACAAGTAAAATGAACAAATCTATATGTGTAGCTCAGTAATTTTTTACATATGTATCCATATATATAACTACCACTCAAATTAGGTTATAGAGCATTTCTAATACCCCAGAAGGTCACGTGTCCCCTTTTAAGGCAATAAATTCATTCCTAAGCCAACTATCATTCTAACTTATATTACTTTTGATTACATTTTCATTTTTTGAACTGATATAAGTGGAATCAAACAATAATGATGTTTTTATGATTGGTTTCTTTCACTCACAAGTCTGTGAGAGTCATGTATGATTTTGCATTTGGCAGTAGTTTGTTCTTTTTCATTGCTATGTAGTATTTTACAGAATGAATGCATCACATTCTCTTTTGATAGATATTTTGGTTGTTTGCAGTTCTTGACTCTTAGGAATTAAACTTCCACTCATGCGTGGGTCTTTGGTGAATATAAGCATTCATTTCTGTTGGGTACACACTCAGGAATGGAATTGATGGATCACAATATATATGTCTACTTAGCTTTAGTAGGCACTCAGATTTCCAAAATAGTTGCACCACTTTAATTTCTTACCTCAAAAGCTGGCTTTTTAGATGAGGGAACATACACTGTATGCTTTCAAGGTAGATCTTTCTCAAGTCTTACTACCTAAGGATGGTTTCTTTATAATTATTTAGACAAGGTATAAGTGCTCTGGAGAGAACAGTATTTAACTTATCTTATTCATTTTTAAATTTAGCTGTGTGTATGTCCATCAAGGAAAAATGGCCTGTGTAGAAAGCAATTGACTGGGAGACATCTCCCAGTAGGGGCTGACAGACACCTCATACGGGAGAGCTCCAGCTGGCATCTGGTGGGTGCCCCTCTTGGATGAAGCTTCCAGAGAAAGGATCAGGCAGCAATCTTTGCTTTTCTACAGCCTCTGCTCGTGATATCCCAGCAAACAGGTCTGAAGTGGACCTCCGGCAAACTCCAGCAGATTGCAGCCGAGGGGCCTGACTGTTACAAGAAAAACTAACAAACAGAAAGGAATATCATCAACATCAACAAAAAGGACGTCCACACCAAAACTCCATCAAAGAACAAAGATAGATAAAACCACAAAGATGGGGAGAAACCAGAGCAGAAAGGCTGAAAATTCCAAAAACCAGAATGCCTCTTCTCCTCCAAAGGATCACATCTCCTCACCAGCAAGGGAACGAAACTGGATGGAGAATGAGTTTGACGAATTGACAGAAGTAGGCTTCAAAAGGTAGGTAATAACAAAATCCTCCGAGCTAAAGGAGCATGTTCTAACCCAACACAAGGACACTAAGAACCTTGAAGAAAGGTTAGACGAATTGCTAACTAGAATAACCAGTGTAGAGAAGAACATAAATGACCTGATGGAGCTGAAAAATGCAGCAGGATAACTTCCTGAACCATACACAAGCTTCAACAGCCGAATCGATCATGCTGAAGAAAGGATATCAGTGATTGAAGATTAAATTAATGAAATAAAGTGAGAAGACAAGATTAGAGAAAAAAGAGTGAAAAGAAACAAACAAAGCCTCCAAGAAATATGGGACTATGTGAAAAGACCAAATCCACATTTGATTGGTGTACCTGAAAGTGACAGGGAGAATAGAACCAAGTTGGAAAACACTCTTCAGGATATTATACAGGAGAACTTCCCCAACCTAGCAAGGCAGGCCAACATTCAAATTCAGGAAAAATAGAGAACACCACAAACATATTCCTTGAGAAGAGTAACCCCAAGACACATAATTGTCAGATTCACCAAGGTTGAAATGAAGGAAAAAATGTTAAGGGCAACCAGAGAGAAAGGTCAGGTTACCTACAAAGGGAAGCCCATCAGACTAACAGCAGATCTCTCAGCAGAAACCCTGCAAACCAGAAGAGAGTGGGGGCCAATACTCAACATTCTTAAAGAAAAGAATTTTCAACCCAGAATTTTATATCCAGCCAAACTAAGCTTCATAAGTGAAGGAGAAATAAAATTCTTTACAGGAAAGCAAATGCTGAGAGATTTTGTTACCACCAGGCCTACCTTACAAGAGCTCCTGAGGGAAGCACTAAACATGAAAAGGAACAACTGGTACCAGCCACTGCAAAAACATACCAAATTGTAAAGACCATCGATGCTATGAAGAAACTTCATCAACTAACGGGCAAAATAACCAGCTAGCATCATAATGACAGGATCAAATTCACACGTAACAATATTAACCTTAAATGTTAAAGTGGGCTAAATGCCTCAATTAAAAGTCACAGACTGGCAAATTGGATAAAGAGTCAAGACCCATCAGTGTGCTGTATTCAGGAGACCCATCTCACATGCAAAGACACACATTGGATCAAAATAAAGGGATGGAGGAAGATCTACCAAGCAAATGGAAAGCAAAAAACAGCAGGGGTTGCAATCCTAGTCTCTGATAAAACAGACTTTAAACCAACAAAGATCAAAAGAGACAAGAAAGGGCATTACATAATGGTAAAGGGATCAATGCAACAAGAAGAGCTAACTATCCTAAATATATATGCACCCAATACAGGAGCACTCAGATTCATAAAGCAAGTTCTTAGAGACCTACAAAGAGACTTAGAATCCCACACAATAATAGTGGGAGACTTTAACACCCCACCATCAATATTAGACAGATCAACGAGACAGAAAATTGACAAGGATATCCAGGACTTGAACTCAGCTCTGGGCCAAGAAGACCTAATGGACATCTACAGAACTCTCCACCCCAAATCAACAGAATATACATTCTTCTCAGCACCACATAACACTTATTCTAAAATTGACCACATAATTGGAAGTAAAGCATTCCTCAGCAAATGTAAAACAACAGAAATCACACAAAAAAACTGTCTCTCAGACCACAGTGCAATCAAATTGCAACTCAGAATTAAGAAACACACTCAAAACTGCACAATTCCATGGAAACTGAACAACCTGCTCCTGAATGACTACTGGGTACATAACGAAATGAAGGCAGAAATAAAGATGCTCTTTGAAACCAATGAGAACAAAGACACAACGTACCGGAATCTCTGGGACACATTTAAAGCAGTGTGTAGAGGGTAATTTATAGACTAAATGCCCACAAGAGAAAGCAAGAAAGATCTAAAATCAACACCCTAACATCACAATTAAAAGAACTAGAGAAGCAAGAGCAAACACATTCAAAAACTAGCAGAAGACAAGAAATAACTAAGATCAGAGCAGAACTGAAGGAGATAGAAACACAAAAACCCTTCAAAAAAATCAATGAATCCAGGAGCTGGTTTTTTGAAAAGATCAAGACAATAAGTAGACCTCTAGCCAGACAAATAAAGAAGAAAAGAGAGAAGAATCAAATACACACCATAAAAAATGATAAAGGGGATATCACCACTGATCCCACAGAAATACAAACTACCATCAGAGAATACTATAAACACCTCTATGCAAAAAAAAACTAGAAATCTAGAAAAAATTGATAAATTTCTGGACACATACACCCCCCTCCAAGACTAAACCAGGAAGAAGATGAATCTCTGAATAGACTAATAACTGGTTCTGAAATTGAGGCAATAATTAATAGCCTACCAACCAAAAAAACTCCAGGACCCAATGGATTCACAGCCGAATTCTACCAGAGGTATAAAGAAGAGCTGGTACCATTCCTTCTGAAACTACTCCAATCAATAGAATAAGAGGGAATCCCCCCTAACTCATTTTATGAGGCCAGCATTATCCTGATACAAAAACCTGGCAGAGACAAGACAAAAAATGGAATTTTAGGCCAATATACCTGATGAACATCGATGTGAAAATCCTCAATAAAATACTGGCAAACTGAATCCAGCAGCTCATCAAAAAGCTTATCCAACATGTTCAAGTTGGCTTCCTGCCTGGGATGCGAGTCTGGTTCAATATGCGCAAATCAGTAAATGAAAGCCATCACATAAACAGAACCAATGACAAAAACAACATGATTATCTGAATTGATGCAGAAAAAGCCTTTGACAAAATTCAACAGCGCTTCATGCTAAAAACTCTCAATAAACTAGATATTGATGGAATGTATCTCAAAATAATAAGATCTATTTATGACAAACCCACAGCCAATATCATACTAAATGGGCAAAAACTGGAAGCATTCCATTTGAAAACCAACACAAGACAAGCATGCCCTCTCTCACCACTCCAGTTCAACATAGTATTGGAAGTTCTGGCCAGGGCAATCAGGCAAGAGAAAGAAATAAAGCATATTCAATTAGGAAAAGAAGAAGTCAAATTGTCTTTGTTTGCAGATGACATCATTGTATATTTAGAAAACCCCATTGTCTCAGCCCAAAATCTCCTTAAGCTGATAAGCAACTTCGGCAAATTCTCAGGATACAAATTCAATGTGCAAAAATCACAAACATTCCTACACACCAATAACAGACAGAGAGCCAAATCATGAGGGAATTCCCATTCACAGTTGCAACAAAGAGTGCAACAAAGAGAATAAAATACCTAGGAATCCAACTTACAAGGAATGTGAAGCATCTCTTCAAGAAGAGCTACAAACCACTGCTCAATGAAATAAAAGAAGACACAAACAAATGGAAGAACATTCCATGCTCATGGATAGGAAGAATTAATATTGTGAAAATGACCATACTGCCCAAAGTAATTTATAGATTCAATGCTATCCCCATCAAGCTACCACTGACTTTCTTCAAACAATTGGAAAAAACTACTTTAAATTTCATATGGACCCAATAAAGAGCCCGCATAGCCAAGACAATCCTAGGCAAAAAGAACAAAGCTGGAGGCATCATCATGCTACCCAACTTCACACTATACTACAAGGCTACAGTAACCAAAACAGCATGGTACTGGTACCAAAACAGATGTATAGACCAATGGAACAGAACAGAGACCTCAGAAATAACACAACACATCTACAACCATCTGATCTTTGGCAAACCTCACAAAAACAAGCAATAGGGAAAGGATTCCCTATGTAATAAATGGTGCTGAGAAAACTGGCTAGGCAAAAGCAGAAAGCTGAAACTGGATCCCTTCCTTACACCTTATACAAAAATGAACTCAGGGTGGATTAAAGACTTATATGTAAAACCTGAAACCATAAAAACTCTAGAAGAAAACCTAGGCAATACCATTCAGGACATAGGCATGGGCAAAGACTTCATGACTAAAACACCAAAAGCAATGGCAACAAAAGCCAAAATTGACAAATCGGATCTAATTAACCTAAAGAGCTTCTGCATAGCAAAAGAAATTATCAGCAGAGTGAACAGGCAGCCTACAGAATGGGAGAAAATTTTTGCAATCTATGCACCTGACAAAGGGCCAATATTCAGAATCTACAAAGAACTTAAACAAATTTACAAGAAAAAAACAAACAACCCTATCAAAAAGTGGGTGAAGGATCTGAACAGACACTACTCAATAGAAGACAATTATGCAGCCAACAAACTTATGAAAAAGTGCTCATCACCAATGGTCGTTAGAGAAATGCAAATCAAAACCACAATAAGAAACCATCTTATGCCAGTTAGAATGGCGATCATTAAAAAGTCAGGAAACAAAAGATGCTGGGGAGGATGTGGACAAATAGTAACGCTCTTACACTGTTGGTGTGAGTGTAAATTAGTTCAAACATTGCGGAACACAGTGTGGCGATTCCTCAAGGATATAGAACTAGAAATACCGTTTGACCCAGCAATCCCATTACTGGGCATATACTCAAAGGATTACAAATCATTCTGCTATAAAGACACATGCACATGTATGTTTATTGCAGCACTCTTCACAATAGCAAAGTCTTGGAACCAACCCAAATGCCTATCAATGATAGACTGGATAAAGAAAATGTGACACGTTTACACCATGGAATACTATGCAGCCATAAAAAGGGATGAGTTCATGGCCTTTGCAGGGACATGGATGAAACTGGAAGCCATCATTCTTAGCAAAGTAACACAAGAAGAGAAAACCAAACGCTGTATGTTCTCACTTGTAAGTGGGAGTTGAGTAATGAGAACACATGAACACAGGGAGGGGAACATCACACACGGGCCTGTCGGCGGGTGGAGGGCTGTGGAAGGGATAGCATTAGGAGAAATACCTAATGTAAATGATGAGTTAATGGGTGCAGCATACCAACATGGCACATGAATACCTGTGTAACAAGCCTGCACGTTGTGCACATGTATCCCAGAACTTAAAGTATAATAGTTAAAAAAAAGAAAGAAAAGAAAGAAAGGAGTTTTAACTGCTCCAGACCCGGCAAAACTATGATTAGGTATCCATGTCCTTCGGTAGATTTTTCTCTACATTGAGCAATATGCCAGATCAACTCACCTCTCAGTTTCTCCAACCCTAAATGATGTATTTTTTTCTTAAATGTTTATTTTTATTTCATATTGAAAAGTAGATATGTTCATTGCAGAAATTTCAGAAAACACAAGAAATCATATGGAAGAGGATTACCCATAATCTGACTGTGGATATTCTGATTATATGCTTCCAGAATTTATTTACACATGAACAAGTTACAACTATAGTTATATATACATCTTGTGAATGTATCCAAGTATTTGCTTGGGATAAATTCCAAATTTTTAATGTCTAGGTTAAAGGAGGCATGTATGTTCAATTTTAACACATATTACTGAAATGCCTCCCTGAAGGTTATTCCAATGTACAAACCCAGCAATAAATGAGAGTGCAAAATTCCCCAACTCCCCAGAAGTTGGTTGCAATACTTTTTTATTTATCATCTAATTATTGGCCTCTGATAGTTCCCATTTTAATTAATATTTATTTAATTACAAATAAGTTTAAACATCCACACCCATTTGCACGTATTACTTTGTAAATTGCTTGCTCACCTTTTTAGCCCATATTTCTTTTGCTATGTGAAAAATTTTATATGTAGGAAATCAATTAACTTTTTTTGTGCTATATTTGATTTAACCATTTATTTTTATTTTTGGCAAATTAGTATTTCCATTATTCATTCATCTCTGTATTCTTCAGTAGAATGTTGTGTTTTTTTCTGACAGTCTTCATAATTCGTGTTACATTTAATCCCTACATATTTTGCATAATTGTTGCTAATCTGAATTCAATTATTATTATATTACATTATTGTTAGATGTTAATTATTTATTAAAATATTTATTATTGATATATATGAAATCTACTGCTACTAATTTACGTCTGTGGTCAGCATTTCGACTAATACTTATTAGTTTATACAGTTTTCAGTTGGTTGCCTTGGCTTTCCCAGCTAGATAATCAAGTTATATGCAAATAATGACAATTTCCTTATTTTCAGTATTTATACTTTTCACTTTTTAATTTTGCTCGATCACAGGGAACACTTCTAGAATATTGTTAAATAGTAGTGGTGAAAATGGACATCTTTGTCTTTTTCCTAATTTAATTCATTTTACTATTTATCTTAATGCTGCATTAGATTTCAGTTACAATGTTTTTTAAAAAAATCATATTAAATTATTTTTCGTTTTTTAAAAGATGCTTACTATAGATAATTATTTTTATCAAAGCATATTAACATGTATTGATGTAATGTTATGAGTCTTTGCAGAAATAGTAAGTCAATTTGTATAATTAGAGCTACTTATACTGAATTATTCTTGCATTCAAAGCATAATCTCTACTTTGTCACTGAGCATTTTTCCTTTCATATACTCAGGGATTGATATGCTAATGTTTGCCTGAAAACTTTAGACTTTATATTCATAAGTAAGGATATTGTTCCATAGTTTTCTTGCTTGGTAATCCTCTTAGGTTTTTCTGTCAGTTTTCCTAGCTTGGTAAAATAACTATGATCATCTCCATTCTTTTCTCTATGCTGTGAACATTTTCTATAGTAAATGACATTTCTATTTTCTTCCAATAATACCTTTATTGAACAATATTATATGTCAGGTATTGGGGACACACTCATGAATCATAAAACTACAATGCATCTTTGAAAATAACTTACAGGCGAGTCTATTTCCTGAAAGTTTGAGAGAATTAGTCTGGCCCCCTTTTTGGAGGATGGAGGAGGGCATGTACTTTTTGACAACATTTCCGATTTCTTACATTTTAATGGATATAACCCAGTTTTCTACTTTTATTGTTCATATTTTCTTGGAAAAATTTTCATCTCTCAGAAAGTTTGATATTGTCTTTTAATAGATTAATATTCCTCTGTGATTATATTCCACTTACTAACTTAAGTGTTTCAAAATCCTTTTTTCCCCTCTGATGTAATTGTCATATAGTATTTATTATTAAATCTGGAGCAAAGAACAAATTACCCTGCTATTACCACATAGTCTGTTTTTGTCACATAATTGGTAATGTGACAAGAAGAATTGCCAAATCTGAGAGGAACTCATGAATACATTGAAGATAATATTTTTCTTAAATTGTGGAAAATCACTATGTTGTGTGACCTTGGGCAAATAAATTACTTGCCTGGGACTCAATTCCTGAACCTATTACTTGAGAAGAATGTGAATTTCTCAAGACCCGTAGGCATGTTTTCTGAATCTGACCCAGGCACTAGGACGGTGGCTCTGATGTAGCAGGCTTTCAATAATAATTTGTTGAATTGAATTTTCTGCTGGAGGGCAAGGAGCTTGATTAGATGACTTGTTGAGGTACGCGCCAATTCTAAGAGCTACCATATTACATTAGAAGAACAATTAAAATGATGAAAAGAAATTATTGTCAAAGAATTAACGACATCGCAGAAATATAGAGGCCAGCTAGGGTTTTCCTTTTTATAAATCATCTAGCAGCAGCTTCACTCATTCCTAATTTAGTCATTTACCAGCCACATTCTTGGAATAATATTTAATTCTTTTATTCTGAACTCAATAAAGCCATTTGTTTTAGCTATTATTTTATAAGGAAAAATGAAATAGCTTAACTGTGTGACCAAAAACCAGTAATTCATTTGCACATCATGCTTAAATCAGTGAATTTTCTCTTACCAGTGTTTTTTGTTTGTTAATTGTTTTTTCCAAGCCCAGCTCACAGTGTGTGTTGAAGTGGATAATTCACATGGTTCTGAAAAGAGATAAAGGAAGAAAAAGATGTCACACGTCAATACATTCACGGTTCCCTATTTAATATAAATTTGAGAGTGAACTTGACGAATTATGAAAGTAATGCCTATTTCTATGTTATTCTCTCTTAGTAGCACGTTGATCCTTGACCATCTTTGTGTTTCTGTTTGTTTCTCCTCATGGAATGTTTTCCTTCACGTCGAAGGCTGCATTGCCAAAAGCAATGCCTAATGCTTTATTTTAGGATTTCCATTTATTTTAGCTATGCATGGTAAATATTTTCCCTTACAATCATCCATAATGAATAACTGTATTATCAACACTAGATTTGGAGCAAGATGTGGCATAGCAGAATCTCATGTAAACAATCACTCACTGAAAATTCCATGAAGGTATAATCGTTTCGAAAAACTGTTAAGTACTATTATAATCTTGTAAAGGGCAATGGTCATATTAGACAATAATTCTTAAGTTCTAGATTGTGGGGATCTTACAGACCTGTTACATATATGAAAGTTTAAAAAACAAGATCATCTAATTTAACTCTCATTGGGTAATCATATTTATTTTTAACTATTATCTGATGAATTATCTTAATAGAGGCTCTAATATTGAATGTACTCCTACTTTGGATCCAAGACCACTTCACCTTACAATATACTACAGTGACTAGTAAGCAACTTGCTAATTGTTTTCATCCAGATACCTCCCTCTCCAAAATTAAATCGGTTTTCTGTTTAAAGTAAAATAAATGCATGTGATTGTCTATATGTCTCAGTTGATTAAGCACAATAAACACATTCTATAAAACCTTTTCTAGAATCTTTTTCTGCAAGCAGCGATAAATAAAAGCATATAATTCGTGGACTATAGTTAATAAAATTTTATCATATTAGAGATTTTGTTAAATAAGTAGATTTTAGCTGCTCCTCTCACAAAAAAGTAACTATGTGAGATGACAGATACGTTGATCTGCTTTGATACAGGAATCATTTAACTATCTCTATATATATCCCATAACATCACGTTGTAAACCTAAAAAAAAACCACAATAAAATTTATTTAAAAACAATAATAATAAAAGACATACATTGCTTCATCCCAACTTCCGCTCTGAGCAAAAGTAGTCACAGTATCTTGGGGATATGCTGTTAATTACTGAGGAAAAGGGACTCATCCAGTGCCAACCTTACTTCTAGTGAGATGGATTCACAAAAACGTTAGGGTAAAAACTCATTTCAGCTATCAATACCTATTCTATAAAGAAAAGGAGAGGTACATAACATCTGAGATTTCTTCTAGTTCAGATGTTTAGGAATCCATGAATTCGTTTCTGTGAATTCTCATAACTGATAATCTTACTTAGAGTCATGGTTGAGGACAATAAAAGTAAACTATGACCTGAATGACAAGGAGATTTGAGCAAAAGAGCAATAGTTTGATGATGCTGTGAAAATGTATCATCGTTCCGTGAGGTTTTGGATTCTTTAGCTTTTGTTCAAAATTGATGATGAGAAATATTTATGCATGGCAGTGAACTGAAGAGGCATAAATCAAAAGGACTTGGTGAACCTTGAGTTTTCTGATTTTCATTATGTGAAGAAGCATGCAAAGTACTTTAAAACTGAGTTCTTCCACTCACCTTCTTCGAATGTCAGTGCTCACTGATAGACTTCAATGATTTTACTGTGTACCATGGCCAGCAGAAATTTCATGTAGAATACTATCTTCAGAAACCGCCTTCTGAAGCCCTGACACTCCCCTCTTTCCTCTGAGTAATTCAAGGTATGATGGCACGTCAGCATGAAAGTGAGTTTTCCATTTCATTTCTTCCTAAATTGAAGCTGTTTGATAAATGGCGTACATGCCACACAATGATGTATACCCACACTGTGATGTTTGACAGAAAGCAATTTTAAAGCTCTTACCTTTGCATTTCATATACTTATTTTCCAGGTTACCTTGGAAAGTGACTAGGGTATCATACCATATACATTCTAACACAGGTTTGCATGTACATTTCAGATAGGAAGAAGGTGAGAGTTGAGTTTGTTTTCCAGTTATAAAAAACAAACAAATAAACAAAAACCACTTGTCCACCATATGACATCAAATTTCACTACACACTTTGGGTTTAGAAATCCTTTTATTGGAAATTAATTTTGCATATTTAAAAATAGGACCGAATTTAAGCATCACACCAATATCTTTCATTACATGATAATGTCATATATAAAACAGTTTATAGTTTGATATTGGGTAGGTGCAAAATTAATTGTGGTTTCTGCATTGAAAGAATGGCAAAAACTGCAATTACTTTTGCACCAGTCTACTATTACTTGGCTGTTATCTTTCAAAAATCTAATTTGGAAGACTATCAACTCATAATGATGAAAGGGTACATGAGTTTCCACTTTATAGTAGCACATACTTTTCTTATATTTTTGGGGTTTCACTTGTCAGATTTAACCTTTTCTAGTGCCTTAGTAGAAGAAAATTACCTACCAAGTGATTGGTGATGAAATCTCATAAATGACAGCTAATTGTCAGCTATTGATTTCAAAACAGTAAATTTATGCTCAAGTAATTTTGTTTGCAAATTTAATATGACTGTGTCATTCTCTCATTCCTTTTTTTTTTTTTTTTTTTTTTTTTGAGACGGAGACTCAGTCTGACACCCAGGCTGGAGTGCCGTGACGCGATCTCGGCTCACTGCAAGCTCCACCTCCCGGGTTCCACTGTCATTCTCTCATTTCTATTAATTTTTCCGATTAAAAAAAGAGAGACTGTTTGTGAAGTGGTAAAGTCAACAGAAAATGCAAACACAGATGTACGATACATTGGTGTTTAGATGCAAAATAAGGCAATTTTTGCTTTTTAAATTCTTTAAGCACTATTTAATTGATAGGAAATAGAAAAACTCCTAGCTGTGATGGAGGGCATTAGAAAGGGCTCTCTACAATCTCTGCAGATTCCTCTTAACAATGTAGAAGAGCTAACATAATGAAGTGAAAAATGAGACAAAACACATCCATGTCCAATTCTATTTCTGCCATTAGTGGCTGTATCATCTTGACCAAACAACTTTGGCCTTTCTGAGCTTCAGTTTCTGACTGTGTAAAATTGGCACGGAGATACCTACTAGGTGGAGTTGTTAAGATTTAAAAGCGATGAAATTTATATGTTATGCCTGACTTAGCGGGTGCTCAATAAATATTATTCTTTTCTCATATTTTCCAATTATTAATACTAGAATTTTCACCAACAGAATTTTTTAAACATTTTAAGTTACCCAGAGTCTTCTAATAGCAACAGCTACTGGAAGCGGCAAGAATTTAACCCTAATCAGCTTAGAAATTATTCTTCCTTTTTTGAAGCGTAATAGCTGGTTACTTAAGTGGGTGATTATATGACGGAGGTGAAACAGATAAAGCTATAACATCATATAACTGACCATTTATTGATACTTTTTCATTATCAAAAAGATATATGTTAATTTTAGGAAAAGATACAGAAGTAGAAAGAATTTTGTTTTTAAAGTTATTTCAGTTCTGTGGTCCAAAACCCATACTGGCACTCTCCTTTTTCATGCCATGCTTTTGATTTCTCCTCATTTACATTGCCCTGGCAATTATTTCTCTTCTTTAGAAGTGAGCTTCAAATCAAAATAAGATTATTTTCTCCTTGGAATACAAGACTTCGGCTAGAATATAAATTCTGTGCTGAATAATAGTGTGTTAAATCATTGCTATCTGAGTTAGTGAGCCATTCAAATATTTTTGTTTTCATGCTTATAAGAAATGCAAAACTATCGAAGAGTTAGACTTGGTCATTAACTTAGCTGGTCCTGCTAGCCATCCTATATTATCAATAGCCATAATTCAACCAATGGTGAATATAGCCAGCCTTGCTACCACTAAAGGACCTTGGAATCTTTACAAGGTGGCTTCAGAGCAGTTTTGAGAGAGTTTACAAGGAGATAATGATGATGTGTTAAATTACAAGCCAAATTTTGAAAGGAAGGTTTAAAATGTTAATACTGTCAAGGATTGAATAATCTTGAATTTGAATCAAAATTGTTTCTTTAGCCTTAATAGCATTAAAAAGATAACATTTAAACATATGGGTCTTTCTATGATGATTTTGGGAGAACCGTAGATTCTAGATATTAATTACTTCCTGTTCTCTGCCTATGGAAACAACAACAAAAAAAGCAGAAATAATATATTTACTATTTGTGAATCCCTATTATAGGATAAATGATATACATCTGGGTGGGGGCTTAGAAAAATTGTTCATTCTCAAATAGATGATAATATTTTTACTTGTTTCTTCACTTGTGTTATTAATAATATTTGTTTTATATAAACTGATTTTATTAGCTTGTTTACTTTCTCTGATAGAAAAGCAATACATGTTCATTACAGAATATGCAGAAAATACAGAAACTTTTAAGAAGAAAAATAAAAATAATTTCTTCATTTGATGTAACAACTACCTTTCTGTTACTATGTTTCCTTTTCTACATTTTATGTTACTGATTGTTTTGGGTTATTTTTAAATAGTTGATTTTATATTAATATATGACTTTATAATAGGATATTGTTGCTAAACTCTTTAACACATATATTTCTTTTTTATTATTATACTTTAAGTTTTAGGGTACATGTACACAATGTGCAGGTTAGTTACATATCTATACATGTGACATGCTGGTGCGCTGCACCCACTAACTCCTCATCTAGCATTAGGTATATCTCCCAATGCTATCCCTCCCCCCTCCCCCCACCCCACAACAGTCCCCAGAGTGTGATGTTCCCCTTCCTGTGTCCATGTGTTCTCATTGTTCAATTCCCACCTATGAGTGAGAATGTGTGGTGTTTGGTTTTTTGTTCTTGCGATAGTTTACTGATAATGATGATTTCCAATTTCATCCATGTCCCTACAAAGGACATGAACTCATCATTTTTTATGGCTGCATAGTATCCCATGGTGTATATGTGCCCCATTTTCTTAATCCAGTCTATCATTGTTGGACATTTGGGTTGGTTCCAAGTCTTTGCTATTGTGAATAGTGCCGCAATAAACATACGTGTGCATGTGTCTTTATAGCAGCATGATTTATAGTCCTTTGGGTATATACCCAGTAATGGGATGGCTGTGTCAAATGGTATTTCTAGTTCTAGATCCCTGAGGAATCGCCACACTGACTTCCACAATGATTGAGCTAGTTTACAGTCCCACCAACAGTGTAAAAGTGTTCCTATTTCTCCACATCCTCTCCAGCACCTGTTGTTTCCTGACTTTTTAATGATCGCCATTCTAACTGGTGTGAGATGATATCTCATTGTGGTTTTGATTTGCATTTCTTTGATGGCCAGTGAAGGTGAGCATTTTTTCATGTGTTTTTTGGCTGCATAAACGTCTTCTTTTGAGAAGTGTCTGTTCATATCTTTTGCCCACTTTTTGATGGGGTTGTTTGTTTTTTCTTGTAAATTTGTTTGAGTTTATTGTAGATTCTGGATATTAGCCCTTTGTCAGACGAGTAGGTTGCGAAAATTTTCTCCCATTTTATGGGTTGCCTGTTCACTCTGATGGTAGTTTCTTTTGCTGTGCAGAAGCTCTTTAGTTTAATTAGATCCCATTTGTCAATTTTGGCTTTTGTTGCCATTGCTTTTGGTGTTTTAGACATGAAGTCCTTGCCCATGCCTATGTCCTGAATAGTAATGCCTAGGTTTTCTTCTAGGGTTTTTATGGTTTTAGGTCTAACATTTAAGTCTTAAATCCATCTTGAATTAATTTTTGTATAAGGTGTAAGGAAGGAATCCAGTTTCAGCTTTCTACATATGGCTAGCCAGTTTTCCCAGCACCATTGATTAAATAGGGAATCCTTTCCCCATTGCTTGTTTTTCTCAGGTTTGTCAAAGATCAGATAGTTGTAGATATGTGGCGTTATTTCTGAGGGCTCTGTTTTGTTCCATTGATCTATATCTCTGTTTTGGTACCAGTACCATGCTGTTTTGGTTACTGTAGCCTTGTAGTATAGTTTGAAGTCAGGTAGCGTGATGCCTCCAGCTTTGTTCTTTTGGCTTAGGATTGACTTGGTGATGCGGGCTCTTTTTTGGTTCCATATGAACTTTAAAGTAGTTTTTTCCAATTCTGTGAAGAAACTCATTTGGTAGCTTGATGGGGATGGCATTGAATCTATAAATTACCTTGGGCAGTATGGCCATTTTCACGATATTGATTCTTCCTACCCATGAGCATGGAATGTTCTTCCATTTGTTTGTATCCTCTTTTATTTCATTGAGCAGTGGTTTGTAGTTCTCCTTGAAGAGGTCCTTCACGTCCCTTGTAAGTTGGATTCCTAGGTATTTTATTCTCTTTGAAGCAATTGTGAATGTGAGTTCACTCATGATTTGGCTTTCTGTGATATTTCATCATCTATTGTTATTGCCTTGAAACATTAGTTGGTGTAATCATGGTATACATTTATTTAATCATTTATTTTTTAAAAATACTAGACTGTTTACTTTTTTCTCTTCTTTTTTAAACATTATAAGTTATATGGTGATTAGCATCTATGCGCATAAAATTTTTTCTGATTCTCAGTTTCTTCTTTTTAATAGATTTTTGGAAATTATTGGGTCAATGAGCACAAATATGTTAAGGCAAATTGGATTCCCAAAGGATTATAATGGTTTACCCTCCTGTGAGCACTTTGCAATTGTGTTTTTTCCACTCTGTGGCTGGCTTTGATATGTGTGGTGATTGTTTTTCCCTTCCTATTTAAAAAGTCCTTGAATAGATTTGATGACCACATCATTAACTCTTGGTTTTCAAAAAGGTACAGTAAAGCCCCAAAATTGAGGAAGGCACATTTGAACATCATCGAAAAAACTGTATTTAGGAGCTGAGTGTTAAGAATAGGTGAGAGTAAGGATTACACAGATTCAAAATGCACAGGTTGCTAGGAAGAGGTAAGATATGTAAAGAGTACTTTTATATTTCTGGGCCAAAAGATCTAGGTGAGGTGACAGCATTTATTGATATGGAAAAAGAGTTCAATCATCTAAGTTGATTTTTAAAGAATTTCTATCTTCTAGATAAGAAAGTTCTTACAGCTCCACTAATAATTTGTAGGATTATGATTCCTTCATGGTGCCCTAAATAATCTCAAGAAAAGGTTAAAATGGACAAATTAAATACTATAACATTTATTCTTATTCATTTTCAAAGATGGCAGAAAATGAAACACAAATAATTATTTGCAAGTAGAAGCTACTTTATGAACTGGATAAGAATACAGTTCACTTGATCTTTAACAAATGTTGATTTTCATACAAGTATGATTCAGCACAGCCTTGGCTCATACATTCTTTATTCATGAGCTCTGGAAGTGCAGCTCAATATCTCTTGGATGTATATAATTACAAATTAAAACATACCTCTTCCTTTTCATTTTGGTGGAACCCTAGGGAACTACCCTCCTAAAGTACCCTGCTACATACATCAAGGTCTACAGAGGCTTTCACATTTATGCTTGAACCAAGGAGTATAACAATATTTCATTTCCCACTGATGTGCTGTGAGGTGAAAAGTACACTTGGAAATGGTGGGCTGAGAGTAATAATAATATTAATAATTGATGTGTCTGCAGTTCATTTAATCTTTAAACTCCACAGCTAAGTTGTCATATCAAATTATATAAATTGCAAATAAAAGACCTTTGCACTGATTTGCACATCAAGGTAAAGATGCAACTTGGAAAACCCTGAGCTGATTTATTATTCAGTTGCATGGTCTACAGCAAAGCTTGCCAGGCAGCTGAGATTGAATTTCAGGTGTGTGACAAAGAGTTCTTTCAATCAGGCCTTGAGACAACCAGGTGTGGCCCTCAAGCTGATCATCTCAGATCCTGAGCAACCTCCTCTGGGGCTTGAGCAGTGTCTGAAGGCAGATCCCATGGTTCTGCAGCCAGTGAGAATGAGTGACTTCCAGCATCTGCTGCTTTGCCCTCATATGCGAATGTCATCAAAGAATGATGCCAACAGCAAAGCACTCTGTGGTTTGTGAAGAAGGAATCCATGGTACTGTTAAATGAGTTATTTCAGGTGTTCAAGGATGGCAACTGGCATTCCAAAGCCAGGAGATGGCAGGAAGGTGATGAGCAAAAGAGCTGGGACTTCTGATGGGTCCAGCTCCAGGCAGCAGCCCTGAACCTCTATGATTGATTTTTTGTCACTTCAGTTGGATGGACCCTTTTAGTGGAGTCCAAGCTAGCTGCAAGTGACTACTATAGTTATGTGTATACTTGAAGCCTTATTATTTTCAGATACTTGTTATAAAATGCTTTGATGAGAGTCTACAACAATTTGCATTATTACAAAAAGTCTACATTACATTTTTCAATGAAGGAAAGTGAAGAACTCTTGATTATTTCAATATATTTTCAACTCTTTTCAACTTTGAAGTTATAAATGTTTTACTTTTCCTATCATCAACTTATACAAACTCATTTTCAATATAAACTCAATGATATAAAGAGATTATCACTAAAACATTTTTGATCAAGAATGACATGTTAGCCATTTTTACCATAAAGTTTGATGTAAAAAATTATTTTCCTACACACACTGTTATGGGTTGAATTGTGTCTCTCAAGTAGATATGTTGAAGTCCTAACCTTCAGAACCTGTGAATGTAAACTTTTTTTGGAAATAGGATCTTTGCAGATATGATAAAGTTAGGAAGAGGTCATATTGGATTAGAGTGGGCCCTAAATCCAATGACTGGTGCCCTCATAAGGAGAAAGAGATTTGGAGACACACACAGGGATAATGCCAAGTGATGACTGAGGCAGAGAGTGGAGTGATGCATCTACAAGCCAAGGATTGCTGACAACCACCAGAAGCCAGGAAAGGGCAAAGAATGATTTCTCCCTAGAGCCTTTAGAAGGTGCATGGCCCTCCCGACACTTGATTTTAGACTTCTCTAGCCTTTAGAACTAAATCAATTTATGTTGTTTTAAGTCACCCAGTTTTTTCTTACAACTCTAGGACACTAATACAGACATACTCTCCAGTTTTTCATTACAATAAAAAATACTTTATTTCAAAGTTTTACATTATTGTTCTATTTAATATCTCCTCAATTTTTGTGTTTCATTTTAAAATTTTTATATAATATGAAAAATGTAATATATTTTTTACCAAATTCAGTATCATTGTCCCCCAAATCCTCTCCAGTTTCTCAGTAGATGTCAGATAGTTATTATAATTCTCTGTATGTGAAAGATGTAAAAACAATGAAGAAATATGTTTCTAGTACTCATAAAGAAGGTATACTCTGAGTTAATTGTGTGGAGTATTCTGTGTTTATAGGTTCAATTTAATTGATAGTTCCAAAGTCTTCTCTATTCTTGCTGATTTTCTGTCTAGCTGTTCTATCCGTTTGGTTGGTTATTTTGTTATTTATATCCAGAAGTATCTCAAATAATTACATTTTTCTTATGGGGTTGTATATTAAACAATCAACAAAGGTTTACTGAAATTATAATAGTATCATCAACATTACTACTAAAACAAGTTGCACTAACCATTGCTTTAGCTTTCTTAGAACTACACTGTTAGATTTTGTGCCTTTGCAGCTGAAAGCCTCCAAGAGCTATAAACTGCAAGTGTGTAACATAAAATTTGATTTACGTAATGGCTTATGAAGAATAAATAATGCTGAATTGTTTCCGCATCTCTTACCCTGAGAGATGATCAATGAGCATGTGAGGTGGAGAATACAAGACAGCTCTTACCATGTTACTTTGGGAAGCTGATTTTATGATGATGCCATTAACTGATATAGAGAGAAAATTACTGTTCTGTTGTACATGTACTAATTCTAGAAGGAGATGCTCACGAGTTTTAAAATAGCCACGTTTTTCTAACTTTGGAAGTATGTTGAGGATGGAAGCTTGTTGTAAGAATCTGCCCAAGTTTACTTCTTTACAAAACACCTCTCCTGTTTGTGCTGTAACTCCTTACATATACAGCTACCTGAGTAGTTTCATTATTGTTCCTATCTTAGCCATTTCTGGAGACTGGACCTGGCTTTAATATCCCTCGATGATCCAAATGTCTCCTGAGTGCTCATGGTACTTGATGCTACCAGTGTTCCTTTCCTATTACCCTGACCTTAACATATACAAGTCAGTTCTTTGTGCTTCTGTTTTATCATCTGCAGAATATTAGGGTTTAAATAGATAAGTATTGGGGTCCCTTACTTTTATGGTTCTGCATTGCTTTTGTTTCTTCTGTTGCTTATTTAGACTCTAAAATCACATTAAGATGACTCTAAAATTAAGGTATCTAAATTATGATGACCATTTCTTTCTCTGAACTTTAACCCCAGAAATTGCTATTATTCATGACTTGTTTTTCAGTTGTTTTGGTCCATTTTGGCTACAACGTTCTAAGCCATAAGCACCAACCTCATATGTTTTCAAAGGCCAGGCAAACAACAATAACGAAACTGAGAGTAATATGGAAATATTGGACTTGAGAACATACCCTGACAAAAGCCAAAGATAATGTGATATGCATACTAAGAAAACAAATTCCAGGGATTGCATTATTTTTGTAGGCTGGAATTTTGCAACTTAAAAATATAAAATTTAGTTCTTTCCTAGAGCTGTTTTTCTTAAGCCTGTCACCTTTGCTATTTGTTTAGACCATCCTGATGCCCCTCCTCTGAGGTCAATGCTGTAGCTACTCTGGAAGGGACACCTATAGATGTTGAGATTGAGAACTTGGAACCTTATTGACTTCCCCACTTAAGTGGCAATGTCATGCATCTTCCTTGCCGTAACAGCAGATTCTACTATAACAATCTTCCATTTATTTTCATCAACTATTATGTTACCTCCTGTGAAAGAAATGCTAAAAGCACTAACTTTTTTTGATATCTTTCTCTGTTCTTATATTTACTCAGCACAATGGTTTAAGTCATAACCAACATTGAACTCTGGCTTTTATGCTATTTATGTAGTCAGTGCCCATAAATGTATCTTTATGAACCACAGCCTAAAGCTACCAGGCAGCTTCGCTCTCAGAAGGAAATAATAAAAATATTTTCAGCTGATGCAAATAAATGGCAATCATGGACACTGCAGAAGATAGTTGAGAAATTCCCAAACTGAAAAGCCTATACCAGAGGAGTGGTTGCGAGGAACTGAGATACTCGCTGTGGCCACCTAGTAGCCCAGTTCATAATGACACCCTTTACTCTCATGGAGAAAGCCTGTTCCCAGAGTGTTACCCGGGTGCATCACCAGTTTAAGAGCACTCAGTGAGTCATTCATAATGTCAGTCCTTGTCATGATTAAAATGTGAGCAAAGATAAGTTTGACTGTCTACTCCAATGATCTTCTGAGATTTGATGAATATTAATTTGTCGAGTCTTCAGTCATCAAAAATGTCAATCTAAAAATCCCTCTGTGTAAAAACAGCCAAACAGTGAGCATCGAATCTATGTAACTGGGGTTGGGGGTGTTCAACACTGGGAAGGAGCTCCCTTTTATAGCCTGCTTCTGATATGACACAATCAACAAATGATCAGTTGCAGTGGGAACCAAAGGTAGGTGGGGCAATTCTTTGTACTTTTCCCCTTCATCCTTTTTTGGGTGGGGTGGGGTGGGGGGTTTATTCTTTTATTTTCTTTTTATATTTTCTAACCTATAAAATTCAATAACTTATTCATTCACTAATTGAGTAATTAACTACCAAACAATTATGTTATTATCAACTTCCAAGGTTTCCCCCCCATTCTCTGATTTCTAGGATGAGTCTCCTTTTTGGATACTTAGACTTCCTTCTGGTGAGCCAGAACCATGGCTGACCTTAGCTCACAGATTTTTTCTTTCCTGTCCCCAACTACAGAAGGGCTATGGAACAACTCAAATAGCAGCTACTAACAAGTCCATAACTGAACAGATGGTTCCTATTGCATAAAAATATTGTCTAAATGGCCCTGACCACTGCTTTGCAGCCTCTTTTCTTCCCACTTTGTCCTTAGCTCCCTCCCACCAAAACTGCCTAGACTGTCCTGAAGCCTAAGAGGCTAGATCTCTTTCCTCAGCCTTTAAACACCAGATGGCTGTTCCTAATGGAAGGCTTTTAATACTGTTTCTAAAACATGTTACTTACAGCCAGCAACCCTATTTCAAACAGACGACAAAACCAGCCAGCATAATTTGATCCATTTTTCCTCTTCTTTACCCTATCCCAGATATAACTATCTCTGTAGCTCTCCTCTAGGCCCCCCAGAGGCTTAGGATAGGAGATTAACTCTTCCACTTCTATAAATCTAGTCTCCCTGACCATATGGATTGTACCCCACTCTGTCTACTCACAGACCAAACTCCAACTCTTAACCCCTTATTTTCCAATAACTTCTTTCCTTGTGGCCCCTTCCCATTTGCCTTCAATCATGTATACTTCTCTCCTACATAAGAAACATGTAAATTCCTTTTCTTGCTCCCCCAGCCCACCATTCAACCATTCAATTGTCCTCTTTATTTTAATGCAAACTCTGAATATATATATATATGAGTATATATATATATACTATATATATGTGTATATATATATACTATATATATGTGTATATATATATACTATATATATGTGTATATATATACACATATATATGTGTGTGTGTGTGTGTGTGTATATATATATATATATATATATATATATATATATATATACAATTTTCTTGTTGCTTTCCTGCTTTGACACTGTCCCTCCCACTACCATCACTGCAGAAACTACTCTCTATAAAGATACCAAGATCACCTCTTTTGGTCAAATTCAAAAATCACCTATTGTTTCTTCTTGTTTCCCATTCTCTGCAACCTGTTGAACTTACAGATTTTTGTTGATATCATAGAAGTTAGAGCAGATGTAACAGTCCTTGGATAATTTGAGGAGAAAAATACAGATAAAGAAAAAGGAATGGCCTTCCATGGAGTGGGTTAGTACCTGTCATGGCATGTAGGAAAGACTAAGCAGGCATCCATTTATTCTGCTTTTTGCAGCAATGTAGATCCATACTCTTGTCCTTGGAGTAAGAACTTAAGACTTATTTATTTGTTTAGTTATTTTTAGTTATTTATTTATTTTTGAGACAGTCTTGCTCTGTCACCCAGGCTGGAGTGCAATGGCATGATCTTGGCTCACTGCAACTTCTGCCTCCTGGGTTCAAGCGATTCTTTTGCCTCTGCCTCCTGAATAGCTGGAATTACAGGTGTGCACCACCATGCCCAGTTAATTTTTCTATTTTTTTTTTAGTAGAGACAGGGTTTCAACATGTTGGTCAGGCTGGTCTTGAACTCCTGACCTCGTGACCTACCCACCTCAGCCTCCCAAAATACTGGGATTACAGGCGTGAGCCACTGTGCCCGGCCTTAAGACTTATTTTATCAAATTTGATGCCCTATTGCAGCATCCTACTGCCATAACAGAGTGAACTCAGTATTGACCATCTGCTTTCTGAAAGCTCTACTCCCTAGCTGCTGAGGCTTTAGGTCTCCAACTATATTCCTGGCAGTTTTTTGTGTTTCATATCCCTATCCCTGTTTTAGTTTGCTCTTGAGTTTGGCTTTATGTTTAAGGGCCTTCTGGTTCTCATGTGTTAGACTGAGCTAACTATCAGACTGGGCCACCACAAAATGAGGAACTCTAAGCAAATAAATCACTGAGACTGGGAGTGCCCAAGGAAGAAACACTGGCATGATATTCTCCTCTGATAGTTGCCTGCTGCATGTAGAACCTGCTGGCCCACTTTGGCATTGCTATTGGACTGAGGATTGAAGTTTATACATCAAAATGATGAAGCACATGTTTTTGTTGACTACTTATCCTTCCCATTGAAATATTAAAAGAAATACAAAAATATAAATAAGGCATTATTCGCACTAAAAAATCGGAAAGAGACTATAAACAGATCAGAACCTTGAGGGATTTCTGAAAAATGTAAAGCAGAAAAGATTGAAGTGAGAATGAAAAATCAATTTACAGGCAAAAGATAACACCACCAAAATAAAAATAAAAAGTTTCTGATCAGAATCCAAAAGCTCAATGTCAGAAAACCCAGGGTTACAGGTGGAGAGTGAGCTTGGACTTGTTATAAAGTGACTAATCAAAGGACGAAAACAAAACAGAAAAAACCAAACAGACAAAAACCTCTGCAATACTCTCAGAGTTGTTTTCTAAGTCTCAGTTCTAAGCTACAATATTCGTTCTCCATGTAAAAAGGGAGATCTGCCTTTGGAAATAGCTAGAACGAGTTTGTGGTCCAGAAACCAGAGCTTTGCTCCAGGTAACTTCTAGCACCATGACTAAACAGACTCTCCACACCTGAAAGGGAGACCAGCCTCCTCTCACTTCCTCCACTGCTCCCACTCTGCTCACATTCCCCCATGGTCTGGATGATTGCAAACATCTCCTTACTAGTGCCCCTGCTTCCACGCATGTTCTTCTAAACTCTATTCTCCCCAGAGCACCCAGTGATTCTTTTAGAACATGAATGATGTCATGTTGCTCATTCGCTCAAAATCTCACACACATTCCAAAGTTGTAATAGTGACCTCTAAGACCCTATGCAATCAGCCAAAGCAAGCTAATAGACTGTGTGGTTTTTCACTCTATCAGAACGTACTTCTGACAGTGAATAGTTGTACCGATCAAAGTTGAAAGTTGTCCAGGAAGATATGAAGAACAAAAGGAGATCAGAAAATTGACAAGAGGGTGATTAAAGTAATTGACCCTAGAATATACATTGTATTGGGAAAAAACATAGGAAAAAATGGACTGAAGTGACAGGGGAGTTGCCTAAAATGATAACCTGAGTTAGAGTGAAGTATTCCAGCCTTGATTAAATGGAGAGTGATGGGGAAATGGCAGCCATGAGCAAAGCTAGAGGAGCCACAGTAGTAGGGCATGGAACTTAAAGGAACTGGGGTTTCTCCTAGGGCATGGAGGAGTGATGATCTGGAGTCATCATTGTGAAACAAGGAGGGAAGCAGCCCAGACTCCGGTGTGACTGATGGATGAGATTGGAGAGAGGTGTGATTTAAGAAGGCTGAAGAGAAAACAATACCGTCAAGGATCACTTTGGTTTCCTTTAAATTAAGAAACTGGAGGGGCTGTTTAGGAAAAAGATTAAAGAAATTGATGAGATTTTAAGGAGTGCTAATTTTAGAAAATTGGATAAAAGGATTTTGGAGAGAGAGAAGATATTTTAAGTGAAAAAGCAAGTTTTAGTAAGTAGGTATGATACCGAACATATACATTTATATAAATATTATATATGTGTATGTCAGACCTTATATCTATATGTGGAAGGACATACAAACCAAAGTCCTAACAATCAGTGTTGGGAAGCCTTCATTATCAATGATTTATAATCCTGATTTTTTTTTTTTTTTTTTGAGATGGAGTCTTGCTGTATTGCCCAGACTTCAGTGCAGTGGCGTGATCTTGGCTCACAGCAACCCCCGCCTCCAGGGTTCAAGTGATTCTCCTGCCTCAACCTCCCAAATAGCTGGGATTACAGGCACGTGCCACCACACCTGCAATTTTTTTGTATTTTTGGTAGAGATGGGGTTTCACCGTGTTAGCCAAGATGGTCTTGATCTCCTGACCTCGTGATCTGATCTGCCCACCTTGTCTTTCCAAAGTGCTGGGATTACAGGCATGAGCCACAGCGCCCGACCCTGCTTATACTTTTTTTTATTTTTAGCTGCTATCATGTATTACCTTTGCGATCAGAGTAAATATAATAGAATGTTTTCTAAAACGTACCTGAAGCAAATCAGAGTAAATAATTATTGCGCCTTTCGCAAATGTAGGGAGCATCATGAAGCTGTCACAGAATTTTAAAGAGCAGGTGCTAAGAGCGTATACTTCTAGGGGCATGCTTACCATTGGACTGAATGATGAGAGTTTGGGGATAAAATTATTTTGTGGGAGGCAGTAAAGTTCAGTGCGATTATACTTTTAAATAAATTTTATTTTCCTTTTTAAATGAGTCAGGACATCACTCAACTTTCTGAAATGTAAATTTAGCAGTTAAAGATACGGTTTTTCCTAATTCTTAGGTTGGGGCAAAAGTATGACAGAAAGTCGGGATTCAATTCTTTTCTCCACCCCTTACTAATTTTGTGACAATGGGTAAATCACTTGATTTTTCTAAATTGCAGTCTCCTCATCTGTAAGATGGAGATAGTAATAGCCACCTATAGGTTTGTTTCTAATAATTAAATAAGACTAAGACTGTGAAGTACAATGCCTGGCGAAGAGTAAGCCCTCAACAGAGGGAGGCTCTTGTTAGCTATTCTTACATGAATTAAGTTTGAAAATGTCTTCAATACTGTCAATTCCTTGTATAATTGTATTACATTTGCAAAAATTTGACAAAAATATAAGCAGAATCAAGCTGTAACATGCAAAAAGTTATGCAGTTTGTCAAGAAAATCATTGATCTACTTCACTGATAATTATTGCCTTAAATTAAAAAGACCTGAAGCTACTCAAACATTTTAAAATCTGGTAAATGTTATCTTAAGTATTCATGTTGGTATTTTCTAGATTAAAATTTATCCTCTTTATAACCTTTCTTTATCACATGCTAGGTGTTACAGTATTTTTCTTGCTAAAAAATGTGAAAATGAAACCAGAGACATTTTCAAAAGCCTGCTTTCTGCTCAAAAGAGACTTTCTTCAAAACTGAAAGCTATAATTCATTGTTTATCTGGGAGAAATTATGAATACTGCCAAATTTTCGGAGATGGAACAGTGAAATTCTGCCTCCAAATCTTCAAACACTTCAAAGGCAAAAACATAGTTTTCAGAGGAAAAGAAAAATTCTGAAGAAAACATATCATGGCAATTTCAACCGTTCATTCATTTTTTCAGTGTCATTATAAGAACAGCATAAAATTATTTGTTACTGTGCATTGGACCCTATATTGATGACTTCAAATGTATGTTTCCAGACAATGTTCATAGCAAAATTAAATAAACCTTGGAATGACTGCTGCAATGGAAGAAGCTGCTACATGAAAGGAATTTTTACAGGCAATACAAACATAAACCCCAAAGTGCAGTTTTACATGAATGACATAAAATTCAACTTGTGTGTGTGTGTGTGTGTGTGTGTGTGTGTGTGTGTGTGTGTGATCATACCCAGTACTCGCTGGTTTTTATTTAATGTAGCTTTGAAAAAAAGTCTTGTATCTGTCTCTTGGTAATTATATATTGTTTTGACCTGACCAATCACCACAACAAGCATAGAATGCTGATTTTTTAAATCTATACTGCCTAAATATTTGTTATATAATGATATCTGGGATGGCAGACATAGATTCAAAGCTCTTATCTATTGAGAATAAATTGTTTTTAAAAAGTATAGAAAATGAACATTTTTTCATATTAATAAAAAGAAAGAGATAAATATGAGAGAAGAGCAAAGCAGACATTAATAATCTGTTAGAGGATTTACTTGAGTTTTGGAGTTATTTCACGTAACAAATAGGTTTTCTCTTGATTTTCAACAAAAATGGTATTGTTTGACTGATGTACTGGCTCCATGGATCAACAAGAGAAAGTCCAATGATTAATTAGCTATGTCTGTCATGGGTAAATATGACAAAGTAGAAACAAATGTGCCAAGAAAAGTTTCCCCTGTGATTCTCAAAGTGTGGTCTCTGGAGCATCAGCTGCACCTGAATACCTTTTAGACATACAAATTATCAGGACCGACTCAAATGTACTGAACCAAAACTGTTGGGACTAGGGCCTAACAATCTGGTTAATATGCCCTCCGGGTGATTCCAATGCATGCTAACTTTGAGAACTTCTGGGTTAAAGAAGTATCAATCATGAAACTACCTAAATTTATATAATTATCCAAAACAGCATTGTTTTTGTTTCTTAGCAGAAACTTCTCATTATATTTTCCATTAAAATCATTTTGTTGACTTTTAATTTTCCTGTGCCCTATTTTATTAATCCTTAAACACAAATTTAAGGTAATTTTGGAGTGGCATGTGTTAAAATTTGTCTTTGGCACCTTATGGCAAAGTGTGATATTTTAGGCTGATAGACATTTTTTACATTCACCACAAAGGGCAGTGTTACAAGAAAACTATTGGAAATGACAGAAACTGCATGGAGTCAGGGAATCCTAAAAATGAGTGAAGTACCTGAGATGAGGAGAAATGAAATAGTAGGAAAGGGTTTTGAAGCATACCCAGAGAGTGGTTCTGACAACTATTAAACTCCTTTGTTATCTCACTGCTAACAAACTACTTCCAAACTTTAGTGTCTTAAGCTAAAGCCATTCTGCATGCTCAAGATTCAGTGGGGTAGAAAGTGGGACAGAGCACAGCAGGAATGGCTTGTCTCTGCTCCATGTGATATATGCTGGGGCTAGAATATTCAAGATTATTTCTTCATTCAGATGCCTGGACCCTCAGCTAGGACAGCTTGAAAAGCTGGGGGCTAGCCAGGCCTCAATCTCTCCAGCAGGTTGGACAGGGCTACCAAGTGGAAGGAGGCAAAACTGCCACTTGAAGAAGGGGCCCCAGGCTGGTACAGAATTAATCTCCCTGTATTCTGTCCCAATTCAAAAGGTTAGAGAAATAAACTGTACATTCCAATAGAAAAATGATTTGTTGCCGTCTTTAACTCACTACCCTAATGATTAAATTCTGTTTGAATATTTTACTGAGTATTTTGAGAAAACAAAGTAGACTCATTTTGCAGAAATTGCTTTATGTCCATATTTAATGCAATATAAACACATTAAACACTTCAAGACCATAATTGTATCTTTCTTAATGTTTGAATTCCCATTTCCTAGTACTGTATCTGGCACACTGTAAGCATTGATTAAATGGATACTGAGAGAATAAATACATTTGTGAATAAGGATATGTCCATGTCAGCTAGATTATGCAAAAAATAATAATAACCCTCAGGCTGTAATTTCTATTGTTATGATTTCTTTCTAGTTTGTTCTTGATATCTTGGCCATATGCCAATACAGCTACTCTCTAAGAGAGTCCTGATTTGTGGGGAAACTGTCAGGTGAGGCACAACAAGGAAGTGAAACCCAAAATGCATAAAATAGAAGAAATCTATTACTCCCAGGTCCTGGGAAGTTTAGGGGTGTCAACAGAAGGCTGACTGGAACCAGCAGGTGAGGACCAAGAGAGCAAGAAAGACAGACACCAAGCGAAAGAGAGTGAAAGGATTGTGAGACTATTTATTCCTTAGGCTTCGCCTGGGAGCTGTGGATTGTCTAGTCTAAAGAAAACGTGCCTGAAGCGGGAAACTTAATTACATGACTCTGTTGTTGACCATTAGGTTTTATCATTTAACTATGAGATGTGTTAGATTTTGAATCAGTGAGATGAAGAACAAGTACGCTATATTGCAAACAGCCACACAGGGAAGTTTTAACTAGGCCAAAGGTGACAGGGTACAACTGGGTTTCAAGAAAGTTATGCCAGCCTAAAAATGAATGCCAAGGCAGCAGCTACATTGAACAAATTTATGACACCGTACATCTTACAGCCTGTCTGACTTGGGTGAGTTAAAGCTCTGCTTTAAATTGCCATCATCGTAGGACCCAGAATGAAGGAGCAGGCACACTTTGCGACATTGTGAGCTTTGTGGAAGATGGAAAAGAGGACATGGTGGAAACCCAAAGGCTCTGAAGGCTTCTGTTATAATTGGCACACATCCCTTTTGCTTACATCTCATTACACAAAGCAAGCTGATGACCAAGCCTGATATCAAACAGACCAAGATGTATATTCTTCCTATAGGGAGGAGGAATAAATATTTTAAATAATAACATTATCCATTATGAAAAGATATCTATAGTGATAACATAGACATTATTGCTGGTTTTGTTTTTTCTGAACAATCACAAGCTTGCAGAAACATCATCTCTTATACAAATTATTAGCATATGATTTTTATATAATATTGTTGTGTATATGCTTTAAAAAGAATTCTCAAGATTAATTCATTTCTTGAAAGAGAATTTTGACACATAGCATAATCACAGCAGAATAAGTCTATTAAACTGGGACACTCATAGATAGTGAAAAATTGCGAAGTTGATCCTAAAGGCAATCTTTTTGTTGAAGTTAACAGAAAAATAGAAAACAAATGTTAAAGTCTCCCATTATTATTGTGTGGGAGTCTAAGTCTCTTTGTAGGTCACTCAGGACTTGCTTCATGAATCTGGATGCTCCTGCATTGGGTGCATATATATTTAGGATAGTTAGCTCTTCTTGTTGAATTGATCCCTTTACCATTATGTAATGGCCTTCTTTGTCTCTTTTGATCTTTGTTGGTTTAAAGTCTGTTTTATCAGAGACTAGGATTGCAACCCCTGCCTTTTTTTGTTTTCCATTTGCTTGGTAGATCTTCCTCCATCCTTTTATTTTGAGCCTATGTGTGTCTCTGCCCGTGAGATGGGTTTCCTGAATACAGCACACTGATGGGTCTTGACTCTTTATCCAATTTGCCAGTCTGTGTCTTTTAATTGGAGCATTTAGTTCATTTACATTTAAAGTTAATATTGTTATGTGTGAATTTGATCCTGTCATTATGATGTTAGCTGGTTATTTTGCTCGTTAGTTGATGCAGTTTCTTCCTAGCCTCAATGGTCTTTACAATTTGGCATGATTTTGCAGTGGCTGGTACTGGTTGTTCCTTTCCATGTTTAGTGCTTCCTTCAGGAGCTCTTTTAGGGCAGACCTAGTGGTGACAAAATCTCTCAGCATTTGCTTGTCTGTAAAGTATTTTATTTCTCCTTCACTTATGAAGCTTAGTTTGGCTGCATATGAAATTCTGGGTTGAAAATTCTTTTCTTTAAGAATGTTGAATATTGGCCCCCAGTCTCTTCTGGCTTGTAGACTTTCTGCCGAGAGATCTGCTGTTAGTCTGATGGGGCTTCCCTTTGTGGGTAACCCGACCTTTGTCTCTGGCTGCCCTTACCATTTTTTCCTTCATTTCAACTTTGGTGAATCTGACAATTATGTGTCTTGGAGTTGCTCCTCTCGAGGAGTGTCTTTGTGGTGTTCTCTGTATTTCCTGAATCTGAATGTTGGGAGACTTTAACACCCCACTGTCAACATTAGACAGATCAATGAGATAGAAAGTTAACAAGGATACCCAGGAATTGAACTCAGCTCTACACTAAGCGGACCTAATAGACATCTACAGAACTCTACACCCCAAATCAACAGAATATACATTTTTTTCAGCACCACACCACACCTATTCCAAAATTGACCACATACTTGGAAGTAAAGCTCTCCTCAGCAAATGTAAAAGATCAGAAATTATAACAAACTGTCTCTCAGACCACAGGGCAATCAAACTAGAACTCGGGATTAAGAAACTCACTCAAAACTGCTCAACTACGAGGAAACTGAACAACCTGCTCCTGAACGACTACTGGGTGCATAACGAAATGAAGGCAGAAATAAAGATGTTCTTTGAAACCAATGAGAACAAAGACACAACATACCAGAATCTCTGGGACACATTCAAAGCAGTGTGTAGAGAGAAATTTATAGCACTAAATGCCCACAAGAGAAAGCAGGAAAGATCCAAAATGACACCCTAACATCACAATTAAAAGAAGTGGGAAAGCAGAGCAAACACATTCAAAAGCTAGCAGAAGGCAAGAAATAACTAAAATCAGAGCAGAACTGAAGGAAATAGAGACACAAAAAAACCCTTCAAAAAATTAATGAATCCAGGAGCTGGTATTTTGAAAGGATCAACAAAATTGATAGACATCTAGCAAGACTAATAAAGAAGAAAAAAGAGAAGAATCAAATAGACGCAATAAAAAATGTTAAAGGGGGTATCACCACCGATCCCACAGAAATACAAACTACCATCAGAGAATACTACAAACACCTCTATGCAAATAAACTAGAAAATCTAGAAGAAATGGATAAATTCCTCGACACATACACTCTCCCAAGACTAAACCAGGAAGAAGTTGACTCTCTGAATAGACCAATAACAGGCTCTGAAATTGTGGCAATAATCAATAGCTTACCAACCAAAAAGAGTCCAGGACCAGATGGATTCACAGCCGAATTCTACCAGAGGTACAAGGAGGAACTGGTACCATTCCTTCTGAAACTATTCCAATCAATAGAAAAAGAGGGAATCCTCCCTAACTCATTTTATGAGGCCAGCATCATTCTGATACCAAAGCCGGGCAGAGACACAACCAAAAAAGAGAATTTTAGACCAATATCCTTGATGAACATTGATGCAAAAATCCTCAATAAAATACTGGCAAACTGAATCCAGCAGCACATCAAAAAGCTTATCCACCATGATCAAGTGGGCTTCATCCCTGGGATGCAAGGCTGGTTCAATATATGCAAATCAATAAATGTAATCCAGCATATAAACAGAACCAAAGACAAAAACCTCATGATTATCTCAATAGATGCAGAAAAGGCCTTTGACAAAATTCAACAACCCTTCATGCTAAAAACTCTCAATAAATTAGGTATTGATGGGATGTATCTCAAAATAATAAGAGCTATCTATGACAGACCCACAGCCAGTATCATACTGAAAGGGCAAAAACTGGAAGCATTCCCTTTGAAAACTGGCACAAGACAGGGATGCCCTCTCTCACCACTCCTATTCAACATAGTATTGGAAGTTCTAGCCAGGGCAATTAGGCAGGAGAAGGAAATAAAGGGTATTCAATTAGGAAAAGAGAAAGTCAAATTGTCCCTGTTTGCAGATGACATGATTGTATATCTAGAAAACCCCATCGTCTCAGCCCAAAATCTCCTTAAGCTGATAAGCAACTTCAGCAAAGTCTCAGGATACAAAATCAATGTACAAAAATCACAAGCATTCTTATACACCAATAACAGACAAACAGAGAGCCAAATCATGAGTGAACTCCCATTCACAACTGCTTCAAAGAGAATAAAATACCTAGGAATTCAACTTACAAGGGACGTGAAGGACCTCTTCGAGGAGAACTACAAACCACTGCTCAATGAAATAAAAGAGGATACAAACAAATGGAAGAACATTCCATGCTCATGGGTAGGAAGAATCAATATCGTGAAAACGGCCATACTGCCCAAGGTAATTTATAGATTCAATTCCATCCCCATCAAGCTACCAATGATTTTCTTCACAGAAATGGAAAAAACTACTTTAAAGTTCATATGGAACCAAAAAAGAGCCTGCATCGCCAAGTCAATCCTAAGCCAAAAGAACAAAGCTGGAGGCATCACGCTACCTGATTTCAAACTTTACTACAAGGCTACAGTAACCAAAACAGCATGGTACTGGTTCCAAAACAGAGAAATAGATCAATGGAACAGAACAGAGCCCTCATAAATAATGCCGCATATCTACAACTGTCTGATCTTTGACAAACCTGAGAAAAACAAGCAATGGGGAAAGGATTCCCTATTTAATAAATGGTGCTGGGAAAACTGGCTAGCTATATGTAGAAAGCTGAAACTGGATCCCTTCCTCACACTTTATACCAAAATTAATTCAAGATGGATTAAAGACTTTAACGTTAGACCTAAAACCATAAAAACCCTAGAAGAAAACCTAGGCATTACTATTCAGGACATAGGCATGGGCAAGGACTTCATGTCTAAAACACCAAAAGCAATGGCAACAAAAGCCAAAATTGACAAATGGATCTAATTAAACTAAAGAGCTTCTGCACAGCAAAAGAAACTACCATCAGAGTGAACAGGCAACCTACAAAATGGGAGAAAATTTTCACAACCTACTCATCTGACAAAGGGCTAATATCCAGAATCTACAATGAGCTCAAACAAATTTACAAGAAAAAAACAAACAACCCCATCAAAAAGTGGGTGAAGGACATGAACAGACACTTCTCAAAAGAAGACATTTATGCAGCCAGAAAACACATGAAAAAATGCTCACCATCACTGGCCATCAGAGAAATGCAAATCAAAACCACAATGAGATACCATCTCACACCAGTTAGAATGGCAATCTTTAAAAAGTCAGGAAACAACAGGTGCTGGAGAGTATGTGGAGAAGTAGGAACACTTTTACACTGTTGGTGGGACTGTAAACTAGTTCAACCCTTGTGGAAGTCAGTGTGGCGATTCCTCGGGGATCTAGAACTAGAAATACCATTTGACCCAGCCATCCCATTACTGGGTATATACCCAAAGGACTATAAATCATGCTGCTATAAAGACGTATGCACATGTATGTTTATTGTGGCACTATTCACAATAGCAAAGACTTAGAACCAACCCAAATGACCAACCATGATAGACTGGATTAAGAAAATGTGGCACATATACACCATGGAATACTATGCAGCCATAAAAAATGATGAGTTCATGTCCTTTGTAGGGACATGGATGAAATTGGAAATCATAATTATCAGTAAACTATCGCAAGAACAAAAAACCAAACACCGCACATTCTCACTCGTAGATGGGAATTGTACAATGAGAACACGTGGACACAGGAAGGGGAACATCACATTCTGGGGACTGTTGTGGGGTGGGGAGAGCGGGGAGGGATAGCTTTAGGAGATATACCTAATGCTAAATCATGAGTTAATGGGTGCAGCACACCAGCATGGCACATTTATACATATGTAACTAACCTGCACATTGTGCACACGTACCCTAAAACTTAAAGTATAATAATAGTAAAATTAAAAAAATAAAAGAAAAGAAATGTTAAGTCCAAGTCAATAATGTGGTCTGCTTTGACAGCTACTGTCTGAAGCTAAATTGGCTTGAAGGGATATGTCTGCAGCAAGGGTCAGGCCTGTTGGTGTAGACAAGTTGGTTTGATTTTTAAGTTGCCTTTGTGCCATTCTGGTTTCTATGAATTTCAGCTTCGCTGTGAATGAAGCATTTCCCCAGAAGCCCTGGGGAAATATTCTGCATGATGCTTGGTGGTTTCAGAAATGGTGGGGACTAATGAAGGATGTCACATGAAATTGATCTGAGCTTTGCTGAGGCATACTTTGCTCTGTTTTTAAATGCATGCAGTGGGCTATTATTTGGGGGAATTTATCTACCTATGACATTTATTTCCCACAGGTTTAAAAAAGGGTCTGATTAGCTTCAGAAAATATTTTCAAAGGATTAGACCAAAAGCTGCATGTAACCTGGAAACACGGTAGATCATTAACAAATTTCATTTCTTGCCAGATAAATTTACATTCCTTTTCATTTTCTACTTTTGGTTCAAAGGCCACAGTGCCTGGAAAGGAAATAGTCTCTCTAATTGCAGATGTTTGTGCCTGCCCAATTACTGCCTTGCCTGTTGCTTTCAAAAGGGAAAATGCAGTTCTGCCAGCCAGAGAACATATTACTACTCTGAAGTTGGTTGGCAGGTTAGTTTACAGATTAACATTTCGTGGATGCATATTTATGGCCTAGAATCCCAAGTACTCACTTTATAATAGAGCATGTAAGAGAGAGATGATAAAGTGGCACAACCCAGCACATCATCCCCATGGCAACTGTATCACAATGAAAAGTTACTGCTGGTGTAAAGACAAAATGCTTTTTTCTGTGGTGCAAAATATTACCTTCAAAATCTGCAAACTGGGAAGAGACTCAGATGAGCTATTTCTCTCTCCATTTCTCTTTTTCTTTCTCAATAGTTTTTTTTTTTGTCTTCTCACCTTTTCACCAACTTATCCTCTTTTATGTAGCCATGAATTGCCAAGGAAAATGGATATTTTTTTCCTAAACTTTTTTGTCATCCTTAAACTTAAGAGTCACAAACGCACTTTAAATAATGCAATTATCAGATAGTAAGGAGGCCATCTCTGAATCACATGGACAACCTAAAGGTCTGGGGCTTTTAATTTCTTCGCAGTGCTTTGATCCTCCAAATAATGTGTTCTGATTAAAAACACAGAGGAGTATTTGCCTAAAAATTGCTCTGCACCTCTATCACTTGTCTAGGTGAATTGTTCTGAGCCATAAAAGGGGAAAAGCTTTTATTCATATTGGTAAAAAATGACTGACCAGTTATGTGTATCCAGCATATAGGTGAAAGAAACTGATACTATGAATCAAGTCTTATTTCCCCCTCACTAGTAAAAAACACAAGTTTCTTGTCCAACATTGCAAACTATGTGTGGAGAAATTGCCAGTTTCCCTAAATCAAAAGCCAGAAGTCTCCCTTAAACTTGATCCAACTCCTTTACATACTAAATGGCTATTTCTCTTCTAAGTGTGTGGTTATTTCCCTACTTTTCATATGTTAGGAATTCAAAATGCCCCTAATTTCAGATCATGTTTTGAATCTATTATCTTTTTTATGTGTAGAAAGGGGAAAGAAAAAGTCCCTTTATTGTTGCAACTATATAAATGCAACTATATATACAACTACATATATATGCACTTATGTCAATATTTTTTGGTAATGTCCACCAAAGGCCTCATGTTTTCAATTTGCTAAGTGGATACTAAAAATTAGACAATAACAAGTCAATTAACAGCATTGCCAAGCACTAAATATTTGGCCAGAAATTAATGGTATGTTTGCTTCCACATTTCCAAATTCATCATGAAGCTTGCTAATCACTTTATGGTCTTCTTTCATTGAGCACAGACACAACCTCAGAATTCTTTTTAACTCAGTTCTCAAAGTAGCCACTATCAATTAATTGGAACTAACCCACAACGTAAAAGCCTATTTTCTATTCCCAAACAAAATGATACATTGACTTAAGAAAGGCAATACAGCACTAGGTTAAATCCCTGTCGAAAGTGTGACTCAATTAATACGATTTCAGCTGCATGAAGAAAATTCAAGCCTTTGGTATTAGATACAAATCCAAAGGAGTCATGGAACACAGCAACAAATAGAAGTCGCTCCTACCGTAGGTGGTAGGCTCCTCAAGGGCAGGGTACCTGAATTATTTATCTTCAGATTCCCAGCTCCCTCTCCAATAATTTGAAATGGTTGGCCTGAATCAATGCTTGTTCAGTTGAATTGAAATTCCAGAGAAGCAGACAAAGATAACATGGTATATATAGTCATTCATGAAAATAGGTGAGTACTAAGATAGACATGAATCAAGTGACTCTTGATTGAAGCTGTTTTCCCAGTTGCATCATCTATGTTATTTCTTTTGTCTCTTCTACCAATTCTGCCTCTTTCTTTGCCATAAGGATGCACACACTTGAGCTCAGGAGTTCAAGGCTGCAGTGAGTTATGATCATGCTACTACACTCCAGCCTGGGTGACAGAGCAACCCCTACTCCCCCATAAAATGGATGCACATATGACCTATTTAGCCTAATCTTAGAATCTCAATCCCATGGCTATAGGGATAATGTCCAAGGGATAAGCATACCATCTAAACAAGATCAATCGGGTGCTTCACTGGGATTTTTTAAACTGGAGTCTACAAAGAGAAGCCTTCTTTCTCCTCTGGTCATTAAGCTATAAAGACAGTAAATCTTCCAGTTAACAGACCCTGACTAAAGAGAAAAAAAAAAACAAACCTAGTATGAGATGGTGAAGCAAATAGAAAGAAATAGTTAAGGGCCAAAGAGAGCCATGAGGAATCTGTTTTTTACTTTTCTGAGCCCAGAAACATCCATGTCCTGTTCCTGGTTTGATCCTGCTGGCTGACACCTCCTTTTTTTATAAGCTAGTTTTGATTAGATTTCTATTTCTTGCATCCAGAAGAGTTCTATTTAATGTAGTCAACCTTGTGGTTGTTTATCAAGTGGTGTCCAGCAAGTGTGTGAAGTATTTAATCAAGGAAGTCCAGAAGTTAACAGTATCTGAAGAGCTTTTTAGACAGGCCAGTGGCTAGACTAGAGAGGTGGGAAAGAAGAAAGCAGGACCCTAACTATGTAAATGAGGCTTAAAGAGAGAACATCAGTGTTTGAGAGGACCGTCATGAACAAGACAGCACCTTGAACAGAGTGTTCTATCAGGCAAGTTATCAAGAGAGGCATTTAGATGCCAAGGAGCTGAGTTAGAGGCTTAGGCACATCTCAGAACAAAGAGAATCCTATCCTAAGACCTGAATAGTGATGTCAGAGCAGGACTAGACACAGAATTTCTTGATGCTTTTCTGCTCAATTATTGACTTCATTGTTTTATTCACTGTAGGGTCCAGTAACAGAGCTGCGCTCAGCCTAAAGAGGTACCAAGTCTGGCAGAGGACTAAATGGAATTGGTTTTCAGAAATCCCACCCCTGAAGCTACAAAGCCTCTTCCATTAAAATGAGGGCACTAATTGGGAAGAAATGGGATCCGGAAAAGTGGAATGGAAACATATGAAAAGATCTTGATAAATCTGGGGACCTTCAAACATAAAATTCTGTGGACCTCCTTTAGTAGCAGAAGTAGCCCTTCCATTCTGCCTAAGGAGCTCAGCCGTCATTAGCCTAAAGATCTGTAATAGCCTCCCTTGGCAAGGCACTGCTTGTCCTCTCCAGGAACTACCCTCATGACCCTCTTTGCTTTCAGACTTACAATTAGACTCAAATCCCAGCAGAAACCAAAACATGAGGTACAGTTACCTACAAGGAGGCAATGCACATAAAGAACTATGTGTTTTTTTCTGATTACATCGACAGAAATTTGAGTGACATTTGTAGGAATAGACATTTAGAATATGGGATTGTGGTGGAAGTGTATAAAATTGGGTCAGGCTGAATTTATTGATGTGGGCCCACTAAGCATTGATTCTGGATTAAATATTTTATTTCAAGGGGCTAGGGATGACTCTAACATTTGATAGGAGAAATATACTAAAATAGGGACCCAGTGATGTTCTGCACTAAATAAAGTCAAAATGCCAAAACTGTCTTATTATACAATAGAGAGAAATATTCAAAGACTTAGAGTGATTGGACCGTTAGAATGGAAGTATCAGGTAAGACCTGTGCATTCATCCTAAGAGGGCACAGAGGACACAACTTTTCCCATGACTCTGAGAAATAAATTTGTGATTCATCCTTGAAAAGCTTTGTGATGGGTCATAAATTATGGTAGGAACCACTATCTTGGACTGGTATCTCTAAAGCCAGTGGGGATAAAGGGGTTCTGGGGTGTCAGTGGTCAAGAACAAGGTGGGTCTAGTTACCATAGTGGATAGTGTAGCCAAAGTAGTAATCGTAACAGTCGTAACAGTCTGACCCACAGAAATCCATAATATTAGCCAGCAGATCATGATGTTTCTAGAGAAGAAATAGATGGTATCTCAGAAGGATAGTGGTGAAAGGAACTCTTTCCATGCACAGAACTTTGAACAATATACTGGGTTGTTCATTTTCCTGGAAAGAAAATAGCCAGAGGTATGAATCTCTATCAATTTGTGGGCTGTGTCCAATAGTTGGACTGAATGAGCAAGGACTTGGAGGGAATATAATTAGTAAATTGATGGCAAGGAGGTTTGGTTAAGATATATGTGGATAGATCTTTCCAAGTTGCATAGCATTATAGAGTGTTAAGATATTCGTGTCCCATGTAAATGGTCACTAAAGAGTGACCTCAGTAAAGGAGAATTTTAGAAATCAAGCGGATGAGACGACCTATTCTATGGATACCAGTTAGTGTTTTATCCTGGAAGCTCTTGTCATTACCCAATGGGCTCATGAGGAAAGTCACCATGGTAATAGAAATGGAGGTTATATATGGGCTCAGCAACATGGATTTTCGCTGACCAAAGCCAGTGTGATTATGGTCAGTGTTGATTTCTTTAAACAGTGCTGCTTCTTCCACGATGGAAGTTATCAAGTGTAATCAACCTATCATGCAGTAGCTGGCTGATCACCCCAAAGAAAGGAGTTGTATCAGCTGCTCAATACTGGCTTTGCCAAAATTTAAATGTTAAAACCCTAATGCTAATGTGATTATATGAAAAGGCGGGAAATTTGGGCAGCAATTAGGTCATGAGAGTGGAGCTCTCTCAAATGGCGTTGGTGCCCTTATAAGAAGCGACTAGAGAACTAGCTAGCTGTCTTTCTGCCATGTGAGGACAAAATGATAAATTGATTGTTTACAATCCAAAAAAGAACCCTCACCAGAACCTGACCATGCTGGCACTTTATTCTTGGACTTTCAGCCAGTAGAACTGTGAGAAATAAATTTCTATTGTTTATAAGCCACTCATTCTGTGGTACTTTGTCATAACAGCCCCAACTCAAACAGTGTGTATATGTATTAAAAGGTATATATGAATGCATTTTTGTGTATATACATACATAAAAATATGTTTTCTTTCCCATTTTATTACTTTGTCATCTAACGTAGCTAATAATCATAAACTTTACATCTCAGTTGTTAAGTTACAGCATATCAAAGGAGAATGAAAAGACTGAGGATCACACAATAACTTTGCATCCTCTTTTGGAGAAATGACTAGCATGATTTTGGTGTTTGCAGGATATTTGTATCATATGAGGAAATAATTTCCTTGTTTATTGTCTTTATTTGGAGATTAAATATGGCTTAAGAAGATGTGTTTAGGTGTCAAGTTGATAAGTGGTGGTGTGTGATGGCTTTTTTGATGTGTTGACTTGGCTAGGCTATATTATAGTTCCCAGCTATTCAGTCACATATTAATTTAGGTGTCACTGTGAAGACATTTTGCAAATGTAATTAGAGTGCCTAATCAGTTGACTTTAAGTAAAAGAGGTGATTCTGGATGATCTCGGTTTACCTTAAATTTGGACTGAGGCTTCTCCAGGAGAGAGAGGGAGAAAGAGATAGAGGGAAAGAGAGAGAAATTCCACCTGCAGACATTTGGCTCATTGGCTTACACCTGTAGGTTCCAGTCTTTCTGTGATCTTTCTTTCCTGGATGCCTATCCTACAGAGCACAGAGTTTAAACTTTTGGACTAGCTTAGCCAGTTGCCAAAAAGATATAAGCCAATTTCATGTAATAAATATATTTTAAAATATACAACACAGATATGCACATATGTATATGTGTGTATGGGGTGTGTGTGTGTGTGTGTGTGTGTGTGTGTGTGTGTGTGTATCTCCTACAGGTTCTGCCTTTCTGGTTAAATCCTGACACATAGTTTGGGGAATTCCAACCTTGGCCTCACAGAACAATGTTTAGAAGAGTGGGTTTGAAGCTAAGAGAAAATATGGTAACCAGCATATGGAGTTTTCCATGAAGGGTGGATTAGTGATTCCATAACTGCACAAACAGAGGTGGGCTTGGAGAGTGCTGGAAGCTTCCTCTTTTCAGGGGTCTGGAGGAGAAAGGCCCATGTAGGTGACTGTAATGGAAGTCCCTTCACTCTAGCCATTTAGAAGCAAAATACATGACTGGGTAAGGGTATTATGTGGTTTGTGTGGCCTGGGAGAGAGAGCTCAGTATCTAAAGGACTGTGGGGTGGGCAGCTGGACCTGTGGTATAGTCCAGAACTTCCAAGGAAAAAACCAGCATAGCATAGGGAAAGAGAGATATTCCTTGCTCCGTCCTTGCTCAGAGGGCCATGGGAAGACAGCCCTGTGATAGAGGGTGTTGGCTCCCAGGCCTTCCAGAGTCCTCCAGGGCAAGTAGTGCCCCAGGGCCTCTAACTTCTTTCTATTCCCTGCCATGCTGCTGACAGTGATGGGGTTCACAGGATCAGCAACTATATCAGGATTCATGGCAAAAGCTCTTTATGAAAGTAGTTCATCTGATCCCCAGCCTCACCAGCAACATTGCAATAGGGACTAGCCTAAAGTAGTATGGGAAACCTGGATATAGAAAAAGAATTGGGGGGATATTCTGGGAGTAGGATGATACTGCCAGCACATTCTAAGACTCTCAGAAATATTATACCCTTATTCCAGTTATTTTAGTAATTTAAAAAAAACAAAACAAAACAAGAAATAAGAGTCACAACTTCAGTACCTGCAAGGCAGGCAGGTAACATCAATGAATGAAGTGGATCAGGTTGACTTAGCTAGGCTATGTTCCCAGCTATTCAGTAAAACACTAATTTAGGTGTCACTGTGAAGAGATTTTGCAAATGTAATGAATGCTGACAAACAAGAGAAAACGTGCTCCATCTAAAAAAGGAGACACCATATAGCTCTGGCCTACTGAAGCCAGGAGGGAGCTTAGCCTACTGCTGCCAGATCTTCTGATTTTAAAGAGAAGCCGGAGAAAATCCAGATTTTGATACATCTTCCAATTTCTTAATGTGCATCACTTTTTTCAAGTACTGTGTGATTCATATAAAGTACATCTGTGGGCACCTGTTTGCAATCTCAGCTCTAATCGTTAGTGAAATTGGAGTAAAGCAGAATTAGCTTAATCTCATTTCCTTCCCTTTCCTTTTCCTCCTTCCTGTGGTGCTCTCCAAGTCTGTCTGGTATGTAATCCTTTAGTACTTTCATTTCTCCAACTAAGAGATTCATTGACTGGTCGTCTCAAATCATATTACAAAGTAAGTAAAAGAGGAAATATCCCTTCTCGTTTTAACAGCTATGAAACCTGAGGCAAGAAACCTCATAGGTAAACACTGAGACTTATTCAACGCACTGAGTTTAAAAGGACTTGGTGATAAATTTAAATGCAGCTTGATGTTTTAAGAGTGTATTTTTTTAAAATTTTTTTGTATGTATTTTTGGGTTTTTTTTTTTCAGTTTAATGGCCTTCCAGCAGCACCCAGTATCATGCAAATTTAAATCAGTTTTTAAGGGTAGCACTTAGAAAGCAATTATCTGAAAGTGCATATTTTGATATGGCATCATTGAACACTAATTAACAACTGGCTTACTGAAGAAGCTGTCAATTCTCTTTTATCTATGAAATATGCTACCTAAGTTCTGCAAACCTGATCCTAGCCTGCAGTGAGCACCTTCCTAGATTCTTTCCAAAAAGTCATTTTGAATCTGCATCCCGAATCTATCTGTGGGTTGCGCTGATTTCAAAAAAAAATAACCAAGGAATTTCAGGTAAGGCCCTGACAGAGATGATTATCAGTTAAGTTACCTGCTTTTAAAATATTTTCTCCCAACATGAATTTGAATATTGGCAGCTGTTTAGAAGGATGAGCTATTTCAGACCAAGAAGCATGGAAAGTAAATTTACCCCTGTGGCTGCTGGCCATAGAGAATAGGAGTTCAAATGGATTTTCTAAACTGTGCAAGGAATAAAAATTTCTTGTTTTTGTTTCGTGTCTGAATGTTTTCCATGAAACTAAAATCGAACACAGAGCAGTTAAAAAGAAATCTGAACATTTTCCTACAGGGGATTTTTGAAATGGATTACTGCTTTTCCTAAGGAAAAAGAAAAAGTAAAGTGTAGAGCTAAAGGTGGGAATTTTACAAGGTGATAAATTCAAGTCCAAGAAGACTAAGTCGTGAAAATTATATCTTCTTTCACGTTTAATAATGCATGGATCTTTCTATTATAAATATTGATGAAGATATTTATTTTCAGATTACAATGTTACTAAAGATATATATATATATACTAATTTATTTATTAAATATAGCAAACACTAGGTTGCCACAAAAGCAAAATGAAACAGAGGAAGTGGCTTTTTATCTAGCTAATTGAGACAAAAACCATCCTATTCAAGGAAAGAGAGATTTGCATTCTCCAAAACCCATTTCAGTAGTTCCCATTGATCATACGCACCGGATAATAGCTAATTTCTTCATTTTTATTTGCCTATTTGTTTCAAATTATGTTGAGTGGTGTCAAAACAGGATATTGTTTGGGCAAACACAGAAGCCAGTTCATCTGCTGCTCTTCGTGAGTTCCTTGCCCTGCTCTCTCTGCTTGTGGAGATCAGTGTCCGGTTATCTACACACATCATGGCAGGTTGCTTATGATGTCTTCAGTATTCCAGTAGTTCCTGTCACAGTCCTCAGGTAAGCTCAGGGCACCTAAGACACAGATAAATGAGGAGCAGCATGAATTTTCTTAATGAGGATGGGAAAGTCAGAACACTTGAAGTTTGTTCTTTTCCTGTCTACTTTCTGAGTGTGCCACCTTTATTTTTTAATATCTGTGTATCTACCTGTGAAAGAGCTACGGAAAAACAAAGTTGGTATTCTTTTTTTGGGGGGGCGGTGGGGGAGTGGGGACGGAGTCTCGCACTGTTGCCCAGGCTGGAGTGCAGTGGCATGATCTCGGCTCACTGTAAGCTCCAACTCCCGAGTTCACGCCATTCACCTGCTTCAGCCTCCCGAGTAGCTGGGACTACAGGCACCCACCACCACGCCCGGCTAATTTTGTTTTTGTATTTTTAGTAGAGATGGGGTTTCACCATGTTAGCCAGGATGGTCTCGATCTCCTGACCTTGTGATCCGCTCGCCTCAGCCTCCCAAAGTGCCGGGATTACAGGCGTGAGCCACCAAGCCCGGCCCAAAGTTGGTATTCTATATGAGAAAGAACTTTGGCTTCAGATAAGTAGGCAATCCTGACTCAGCTATTTATTGATTGCATGAAGTTCGGTGATACATTCAATCACTCTAGAGTCAGTTTTCTTTTTGTAAAAGTGGGTCACTGCATCATACTACCCTGGGGATTGTGAATTGGCCAGCAGAAATTTTTGCTGCTTAGCAGGTAGTCAAAAAATAATAGCTACTACTATCATTATTAAAACTGGCACCTAATTTCATTGTTTTCATTATCCTTCCCTGCCAGCATTACTATGGAGCAGGCAGGTATTTTATATAAAAAGATCTGGACATCTTAAGTAATATAATAAAAAGTACTAGTTGTAGTACAACTAATTTTCCGCAATTTAAAATACTTTTAAGTTTAAAAGGGTTTCTGTATTTACTATTTCATCTGATTTTTGAAAGCCTTTAATAATTTGGGAAAATAGCATTATCCTTATATGTCAGTTGGCCTTATTGCATAATAAACCATTCCAAACTTAGTAGTTCAAGTCAACACTATTTTATTGCTTAGATTATGTGGGTCAGAAAATTTAAGTTGAACTCAGAGGAGAAATTTCATATCAGTTAACCTCAAGATGCTTAAAACACAAGTAAATTATGTTGGCTGAGCATCACCGGGGCTGGTACAGCCAAGACGACCTCACTCACAGGCCTAGACTTTGATTGTTATATAGATACCTTGGTTCTCTTCCACAAGGTCACTCTCTCCACGTGGCCTCTCTCTCCAGTAAAATAAACTGGTTCCAAAAGAGCAAAAGCAGAAGCTGTTAGGCCTCTTAAAGCCTAGGCTGGAACTAACACAGCATCACTTCTACTGAATCTTCTTGGATAAGGCAAGTTATAAAGCCAGATTGAAAGAGAGAGGAAATAGACTCCACTTCTTAATGTGAAAAATAGCGTGTGTGTATAGAGGAGTGGGTGGAATGATTGGCAGCTACCTTTGCAGACAATCTGCCCGACCTCATTTTACACAGGAGGAAACTGAGGCCAAAGGAAGTTAGGCCACTTGTTTAATGTCACACAGTCAGTACATGGCAGAACTTGAATAAAAACTCAGTTATTAAAGCCCAAGCTCAATGGTGATAAAGAGGTAATGGTGAGAATACTCTTTGGAAAATAGTCAGAGGGAAGGAGACAGTCAACACTGAATAGCCCAGTTGTGGAGGGATATAGATACTTAGAAAGACTGCTATATTTCACTGGTTGATGATACTGGAATGGAAGTTATAATACTGCCCATCAACTGGTATTAAAGTGTTCACAAGATGACAGCCTGTAGGATTTGGAATCGCAGTTAACCCTGACTTCTGGATTCTAATCAGCACAGCCACATGGTCAAAGTCCATCACTTCCAGTGTCATTCTAGAGAAGGATTTCATTTAAATAATGTATATTTTGCTTCCCAGGGATGAACAGTGTTGCTTTATTCTTCTATATTCAGAACTGCAAGTGTTTCCTGAGGTTCAGCACTGTATTATAACTACTCTATATTTTGGGGAAAAAAACAAGCTTAAAATGTGCTGAGTCTTAAACTGTTCATGGAATATTAGTTTGATCATCAAGCAGACATTACTGTAATTTTTCCTACTACTTCATTTCAAACAAACCAATTATTCCAAGTAAAAAAAAAAACAAGAAAATAAACAGAAAGATGAGAGTGGGGTCCCTGGTTTGATAGTCAGGAAATTCAAACAGGGACCAAATGATACAGGTCTTATCCCAAGAGGTTTGGGGTAAGCACTATAAAATAATTGAGATATCATTCTGAGTTTTGGCTTTGATGGCTACTGAGGCATATGTGTCATGGATGGCCATTGGGCATTCTGTGGTGCCACAGTGAACACTTCCTTTTGGAAACAGGCTCAGGACACCTTGGCCTTGACCTCCTCAAAGCGACAACCAGAGCCCAAAGCAGTGTAGAGATAATATAAAGGCCCAGCTATTTGAACTATATAAAATTATATTTTCTCTTCTCTGAAGTAACTCCTGATTAAGTAGTTATGATGTACAGACTCTTAAAACAGTCCTAATTAATATAGTTACATGTGGACAAAGGAGGTGTTATTGCTTCCTTGGCTCCCAATCCCCTGCTAGGACATTCAGATGTGTCCCCTATGAATGAATGTGACTGAGGATGGGTAGGATGGTCAGGGGCCCTCTCATAATAAGCCTGGGCTGCTGTTGTACCTCTGCTAGGTGGCTTATGTAAGAAAGTGTCAGGATGTAGGGTTATATCTCAGGATATCATCCAATGAGCAAGAAAGCTCACCTGACCACTGCCACCCAGTATGTGACAGGTGCCAATTGGATTGTCCTTTTTCCCTGACTTCTATTACCCAAGCTAGAGATTGGCCTCTCAATCATCTATCAGCTTCAAATTTACTCCATTGAAAGCTGAGACTTACTTCTCTTCAAGTTACTTACTTCTCAGATTGCTGGATTAAATAAGGCACATGCTTTCTGGCTCAACTGCTTTACTTTTCCTTCTGAAATTCTTTTTGATTTTATTTCATTATTAATTTAATTGTACTAATGACTAAAACTTTCCTCTACTGAAAATTTGTCACAAATATAGACAGCACCTTTTAATGTTTAATGCTTAAAGCACTACTTTAAACATCTTGAATATTTTCAGCTCTTCATAGTTCTCACTTTCCATTTTTGTCCTCACAGTCAACAGCTTTGTTAACTATTCCTTAAGGAAACTCCTATGCACACTCCAAATCAACTCTCCCCAGGGAAGAGGGGCTCTGAGGCCAGGGCCAGGCCTGTGTCCCAGTGACCAGGTTCAGACTTTAGGACAGGGCATCAACAGCTACAGGTTGTCATGTAATAAACTCCAGGGGTAGCCCAGAACACAGTTCCTCAGAGAGGAAGCAAATCTCCTCATAAAAAGCTCCTCTTTATTGAGAATGTTCTACTTTCCAGGCACTCTGCTGCACATTTTATGTACACAATCTCAGTGAATCCTTACAACAACTGTGAGTATGGTGCCATACTGATTTAACAGATGAGTAAACTGAGGCTTACTGTGTCTAAGTAACTCTTGCTCCTTAAAGGACCTGGGAAGTAGAGGAACTCGGATTTCAGTCCAGTTTTGTCTGACTCTAAAGTATTAAGCTGCATCCTAAATATAATATACAAAACAAAAAACAGGTAGTTTATCAGAGCCTCCAAACCTGTGTTAAAAGAGCTGAGCACAAATGGAGAATTTGGTGTCAGGTATGAGCAAAAGTTTGAAGTAGAAGATAGGAGGAATAACCTGAATAATTCCCCAGCAAAATTCTTGTAGTAATTTTGAAAGAGTTTCCACAGCTTGTCCTGGAATGGGAGGGCTTAAGGGTACAGTTCCAGAATTAACAGAACCCTTAAGAGAATTCAGTAGTGCAAAGCGCCACTGCCAGAAAAAGCCCAGGGGAGTACACTGGAGACGTGTGGATGTCTTTCTCTAACAAGTTCTGAACACTCTCCATCTTCTTTTGGGCCTAGCCACCATTAATCTTTGCATTATAATTCCAAAATTTTGTAATCTGTGAAAGGAATTACTTGCGTATATTCTTTTTAAAATTTTTTATTTCATTTTTATTGACAAATAATGTGTATATTTGTGGGGTATAATGTGATGTCATGATACATGTATAGATTTTAAAAATTTGTATAGATTTAGGGGTACAAGTGCAGTCTTGTTGCATGGATATATTGCACAGTGATGAAGTCTGGACTTTCAGTGTAGTCATCACCAAACTGGTATACATTGTACTCACTAAGTGCTTTCTCATTCCTCACTCCCCAACCCTCCCACCCTTTTGAGTCTCCAGTGTCCATTATTCCACACTCTATGTCCATATATATACATTATTTAGCTCACAATTTTAAGTAAGAACATATAGTGTTTTACTTTCTGTTTCTGAGTTATTCCATTTAAGATAATGGCCTCCAGTTTCATCCATGTTGCTGCAAAAGACATGATCTTATTCCTTTTATGGCTGAGTAGTATTCTATGGTATATATATATACCACATTTTCTTCATCCAATCATCTTATGGACACTGAAGATGATCCCCTGTCTTTGCTATTGTGAATAGTGCTGCAGTAAATACTTGAGTATAATTATCTTTTTGTTATAATGATTTCTTTTCCTTTGGGTAGATACCCAGTAGTGGAATTGCTGGAATGAATGGTAGTTCTGTTTTTAGTTCTTTGAGAAATCTCTTTACTGTTTTCCATAGTACATGTATACATTTTTGAATTCCAAAATTCTACTTTAGCAATGACAACAAAGATAAAAAGGGCATACTCTTACAACATAATACACTTTTAATTTATGTAAATAAAATTTTATAACATGATAAAAGAATTTTGAACCCAGAAATAATTTTATTCTTGGAGAAGGGATATTTTACACAATACTAATTATGATAAATAATATGTATCAAGCACTTACCATGTAGCAGATTTTGTGCTGAGTGCTCTACATCATGTCACTTATTCTTTTAAAAAAATTCTTGTGGGTACATAGTAGGTATGTATTTATGGGATACATGAGATGTTTTTATACAGGCATGTAATGTGAAACAAGCGCATCACTGAGAATGAGGTATCCATCCCCTAAAGCATTTATTGTTAATGTTACAAACAATCCAACTACACTCTAAGTTATTTTAAAATGTAAAAATAAGTTATTATTGACTATAGTTATACTACTATGCTATCAAATAATAGGTCTTTTTTTTTTTTTTTTTTTTTTTTAGATGGACTGTATCTCTGTCACCCAGACTGGAGTGCAATGGAGTGATCTTGGCTCACTGCAACCTTCACCTCCCAGGTTCAAGGGCAAATAGTAGGTCTTATTCATTCTTCCTATTTTTTTCTACCCATTAACCATGCCAGCCTTCCCCCCTCCCCCCTACTACACTTCCCAGCCTTAGGTAACCACTCTTTTACTCTCTATGTCCATGATTTCAATTGTTTTCAGTTTTAGATCCCACAAATCAGTGAGAACATGTAATGTTTGTCTTTTCTATGCCTGACTTACTTCACTTAACATAATGATCTCCAGTTCCATCCAAGTTGTTGCAAATGACTGGATCTCATTCTTTATGAATGACTGAATAGTACTCCATCGTGTATATGTACCACATTTTCTTCATCCATTCATCTGTTGATGAACACTTAGATTGCTTCCAAATCTTAGCTATTGCAAACAGTTCTGCAACAAACATAGTAGTGCAGATATCTCTTTCATGTACTAATTTCCTTTCTTTTGTGTATGTATCCAGCAGGGGGATCGCTGGATCATATGATAACTCAAGCTGTTCTCCATAGTGGTTGTACTAATTTACATTCCCACCAAGTATACAAGGGTTCCCATTCCTCCATATCCTCTCCAGTGTTTGTTATTGCCTGTCCTTTGGATCTAAATCATTTTAACTGAAGTTAGCTGATATCTCATTATAGTCTTGATTTGCCTTTCTCTGGTAATCAATGACATTGAACACTTTTTAGTATGCCATTTGCCATTTGTATGTCTTCTTTTGAGAAATGTCTATTCAAATCTTTTGCCCATTTCTTGTCAGATTATTAGATTTTTTCTTACAGAGCTGTTTGAGCTCCTTATATATCCTGGTTATTAATCTCTTCTAGGATGGGTAGTTTGCAAACATTTCCTCCCATTCTGTGGGTTGTTTCTTCACTTTGTTGATTGTTTCCCTTGCCGTGAAGAAGCTTTTTAATTTCTTTTTTTTTTAGAGTTGTCAGAAATTTTTATTTATTTTAAGAAGTAACATTGGTTATTGATTAGACATATATCATTATGGTTTAGAGTATGAGATATAGTGTCCAATGTGGTATTATTAGTTTAATATATATCTACTTGTGGCAATAGTGAACAGTTTCAAGAGATGAATACATAATTTAAATTGGAGAATGACATAACTGCACTTTCATTTCAATGTCTGAGTTTGATAACCAAAAGGACTTGCATTTTTAGATAAAAATTTTCTATTCCCCAAATCTCAAGACCTGGATACAAAATGTAGAGCTGCAGATTTAGGGCCCGAATGGCTGGAGTAGCAGCAGGTGTTACCTACACATTTGTGAACATTTTACCAAGATAAAAAAGGGGAAAGTGGAGATTCTCATGTCTGCATGTGTACTCAATGAACACGTTACTCTGATCAGGTTTGTGGGCCCCATGGTCTCTGAATCAGTTTCAGGGCTGAAGATAACAAGAGTCATTGAGATAAAATCATTGATTGTTGCCCAGTGAAGTTGGTAGAAATTTGGTCTAGTTTCTCTAGAAGTGACTGTAGAGGACTATAGATACCAAATAGGCAGAAATACAGTTCTGCCTGCATATTTAGGGGACAGCATGCACTTTGTTGCACAAGTGTGAGTTGACTGGAAGTCTGAGAGGGAAAGTCCCCTCTAGAGTAAATTCTGGTTGGTACCTCATGTGTTTATATCATGTCTGGTAATTATAGATAGTGTTTGGAAAAAATAATTAAAAGAATTTTCTCCAGCCCCAGAAAAACTCCACGGTAGAACAGAAAGAAAACTGTTTTATGTGACATGCGTCATAGTCAATCTGCTTAAGAGACTGCAGAGACAGAAAGATGGTCACCAAAATTAGTCCACAAGTAGAAGAATTTCCAGCACCATGTCATACATAGTTCATCCTAAATTCACATGGAGATTGAAGAGGCCATCTGTATATGCTAATTGTTTACATTCAATAACAAAAAAACTTTTCACATCTTCATAACAGGAGGTAGTTTAGCTTGAAGCCAGGTACTTGCTGAAGGTAGGCTTTCACTCTGCTACAAAAATGGTTGAAAAACATTCTATCCTTTTGGCTATTTACATTTTAGAGCAGTGGCTCTGTGCTCCGTGGCATTCAGCTACAGCACTTGCTTGCTTTTTCCTGGTTGCTAGTGTCCTCTCTTGACCTCTATCATCTGCCACTGAGGCACAGCCTTGAGCACAGCTCAGTTTATGTGAACCACATTTCCCACAGCAGCACTCTAGTGTCACATCAGAGAGGAAAGCCTGAGCTGCAGGAGAGCCTGCAGGCCTTGTGAGTAGAATTGCACCTTCACAATAATGGGAATGTGACCAGTGTTTCAGCCCGTCTATTGATGACTTCAGAACAATTAGCATAGTTATGTGTAGTGTTTGCAGACACTACACATAACAATACATTCATATACATTAAACAGTATTTTCTTTTTCTTTTCTTTTTTTCTTTGAGACAGAGTCTCACTCTTGCCCAGGCTGGAGTGTAGGGGCGTGTTCTGCTCACTGCAACCACTGGGACCCAGGCTCAAGTGATTTCTCCTGCCTCAGCCCCCTGAGTAGCTGGGATTACAGGCACACACCACCATGCCTGGCTAAGTTTTTGTATTTTTAGTAGCGATGGGGTATCACCGTGTTGGCCAGCTTGATCGTGAACTCTTGACCTCAGGTTATCCACACACCTCAGTCTTCCAAATTGCTGGGATTACAGGCATGAGCCATAAACAGTATTTTTTACAATAGTATGAATATAAAGCCACAATACTTACTTTGAATGAATCACTTAAATGGTTATTTTAATATTGTTATTTACACTTTTGAAATATAAACTGTTTTAACTGAAGTATAGTTAAATTTTTTTAAATGACATATACATTACTACTAGTTTATTAAAATTATTTATACTTAGATATTTAATCTAATACCCCAAAAAATTTACTACCAAACTGTTACACTTGATATTGGTCTGACATGTTTATTACTTTATTCAATAGGGATAATTATAAGTAAACACAATTTTAGTATCTTTTATTTCACTCAATTGGAATGCTGCTATTACAAATGAAATAAAGAGGCTTTTAAAATATTTTTCTCCCTCTCCCTTTCCCTCTCCCCCTCCCTCTCCCTCTCCCTCTCCCTCTCCCTCTCCCTCTCCCTCTCCCTCTCCCGTCTCCCTCTGTTGCCCAGGCTGGACTGTACTGCTGGTGGGAAGCTTTTTAATTTCATTAAAAAGCCATAACAAATGGACAGATCCCATCTGTCCATTTTTGCTTTGGTTGCCTATGGTTGTGGGCTATTGCTCAAGACATTTTAGCCTAGACCAATGACCTGGAGATTTTTTCCCGTGTTTTCTTGCAGTAGTTTTATATCTTGAGGTCTTAGATTTCAGTCTTTAATCCATTTTGATTTTATTTTGTATTTGGTGAGAGACAGGGGTCTAGTTTTATTCTACTCCATATGGATATCCAGTTTCCCAGCACCATTTATTGAAGATATTGTCTTCCCAGTGAATGTTCTTGGCACTTTTGTCAAAAATGAGTTCACTGTAGGTGTGTAGATTTGTTTCTGGGATCTCTATTCTGTTCCTGTGTTTATGCCAGCCAATACCATGCTGTTTTGGTTATTATAGCTCTGGAGTATTAATATAATTTGAAAGAAGGTAATGTGATTCCTCCAGTTTTGTTCTCTTTGCTTGGGATAGCTGATATGGTTTTTCTGTGTCCCCACCCAAAACTCATCTTGAATTGTAACTCCCATAATTCCCACTTGTGGTGGGACAAACCAGATAAGAGGTAATTTAATTATAGGGATGGGTCTTTCCTGTACTCTTCTCATGATAGTGAATGAGTCTCATGAGATCTGATGGTTTTAAAAATGGGAATTTTGTCGGGTGAGATGGCTCACGCGTATAATCCCAGCACTTTGGGAGGCCGAGGCGAGCAGATCACAAGGTCAAGAGATAGAGACCATCCTGGCCAACATGGTAAAATTCCGTCTCTACTAAAAATACAAAAATTAGCCAGGCATGGTGGCATGTGCCTGTAGTCCCAGCTACTCAGGAGGCTGAGACAGGAGAATCACTTGAACCCGGGAGGTGGAGGTTGCAGTGAGCCGAGATCGTGCTGCTGCACTCTGGCCTGGTGACAGAGGGAGACTGCGTCTCAAAAATAAATAAATAAATAAATAAATAAATAAATAAATAATAAATAAATAAATATGGGAATTTCCCTGCACGAGCTCTCTCTTTGCCTGCCACCATCCATGTAAGATTTGACTTACTCCTCCTTGTCTTTCACCTTCCACCATGATTGTGAGACCTCCCCAGCCATGTGGAACTGTAAGTCCAATAAACCTCTTTTTTTTCCCAGTCTCAGGAATGTCTTTATCAGCAGTGTTAAAACAGACTAATACAGTAAATAGGTACCAGTAGAGTGGGGCATTGCTGAAAAGATACCCGAAAAGGTGGAAGCGACTTTGGAACTGGGTAACAGGCAGAGGTTGGAACATTTTGGAGGGCTCGGAAGAAGACAGGACAATGTGGGAAAGTTGGAACTTCCTAGAGACTTGTTGAATGATTTTGACAAAAATGCCGATAGTGATACAAACAATAAGGTCCAGGCTGAAGTGGTCTCAGATGGAGATGAGGAGCTTGTTGGGAACTGAAGCAAAGGTAACTCTTGTTATGTTTTAGCAAAGAGACTGGTGGCATTTTGCCCCTTCCTAGAGATTTGTGGAACTTTGAACTTGAGAGAAATGATTTGGGGTATCTGGTGAAAGAAATTTCTAAGCAGCAAAGCACTCAAGATATGACTTGGGTGCTGTTAAGGCATTCTGTTCCTTTTTTCTTTCTTTCTTTCCTTTTTTTTTTTAGACAGAGTCTCACTCTTTCACCAGACTGGAATGCAATGGTGCAATCTCGGCTCACTGCAACCTACGCCTCATGGGTTCAAGTAATTCTCCTGCCTCAGCCTCCCAAGTAGCTGGGATTACAGGCGCCTGCCACCATGCTTAGCTAATTTTTTTGTATTTTTAGTAGAGATGTGGTTTCACCATGTTGGCCAGGATGGGCCTGATCTCCTGACCTCATAATCCACCCATCTCAGCTTTTCAAAGGGCTGGGATTACAGGCGTGAGCTACTGCACCCACCCTCAGTTTTATAAGGGAAGCAGAGCATAAAAGTTCAGAAAATTCGCAGACTGACAATGCGATAGAAAATTCCATTTTCTGAGGAAAAATTCAAACTGGTTGCAGAAATTTGCATAAGTAACAAGAAGCTGAATCTTAATCCCAAGGACAATTGGAAAATAGTCTCCAGGGTATATCAGGGGTCTTCATGGCAGCCCATCTCACCAGAGGCCCAGAGGCCTAGGATGAGAAAATGATTTTGTGGGCCAGGCCCAGGGTCCCTGTGCTGTATGCAGTCTAGTGACTTGGTGCCCTGCATCCCAGCCACTCCAGCCATGGCAAAAAGGGGCCAAGGTATAGCTTAGGCCATGGCTTCAGAGGGTGCAAGCCCCAAGCCTTGGTAGCTTCCACATGGTGTTGAGCCTAGGGGTGCACAGAAGTGAAGAATTTAGGTCTAGGAACCTCTGCCTAGATTTCAGAGGATGTATGGAAATGCATGGATGTCCAGGCAGAAGTTTGCTGCAGGGATGGGGCTCTCATGGAGAACCTCTGCTAGGGCAGTGTGGAAGGGAAATGTGGGATTGAAACCCCACACAGAGTCCCACACCTAGTGGAGCTGTGGGAAGAGGGCCACTATCCTCCAGACCCCAGAATGGTAGATCCATCAACAGCTTGCACCATGTGCCTGGAAAAGCTGCAGACACTCAACACTAGCCTGTGAAAGCATCTGGAAGGGAGGCTGTACCCTGCAAAGCCACAGGGGTAGAGCTGCCCAAGACCATGGAAATCCACCTCTTGCATCAGCATGACCCAGATGTGACACATGGAGTCAAAAGAGATCATTTTGGAGCTTTAAGATTTGACTGCCCCAATAGATTTTTGACTTTCATGGAGCCTGTAGCCCCTTTGTTTTGGCCAATGTCTCCAATTTGGAATGGCAGTATTTATCTAATGCTTGGACTCCCATTTTATCTAGGAAGTAACTAACTTGCTTTTAATTTTACAGGCTGATAGCCAGAAGGAACTTGCCTCATCTCAGATGAGACTTTGGACTGTGGACTTTTGAGTTAATGCTGAAATTAGTTAAGACTTGAGAACTGTTGGGAATGCATGATTGGTTTTGAAATGTGAGGACGTGAGATTTGGGAAAGGGCCAGGGACTGAATGATATGGTTTGGCTGTGTCCCCACCAAAATCTCATCTTGAATTGTAATTTCCACAATTCCCAATGGGAGGGGCCTGGTAGGAGGTGATTGAATTATGGGGGTGGGTCTTTCCTGCACTGTTCTTGTGATAGTGAGCGAGTCTCATGAGATCTGATGGTTTTAAAAGTGAGAGTTTCCCTGTACAAGTTCTGTCATTGCTTGCCACCATCCATGTAAGATATGACTTGCTTCTCCTTGCCTTTAACCTTCTGCCATGATTGTGAGGCCTCCCCAGCCACTTGGAACTGTAAGTCAATAAATCTCTTTTTCTTCCCAGTCTCAAGTATGTCTTTATCGGTAGTGTGAAAATGAACTAGTACAAAAGCCTTGGCTATTCTGGGTCTTTTGTGGTTCCATATAAATTTTAGGATTGTTTTCTCTATTTATGTGAAGAATGCCATTGGTCTTTTAAAGTGGATTGCAATGAAACTGTATATTGCTTTGAGTAGTACGGACATTTTGACAATGTTGATTCTTCCAGTCCATGAACGTGGATTTTTTTTTTCATTTCTTGCTGTCCTCTTCAATTTCTTGCATCCATGTTTTATACTTTTCATTATAGAGATCTTTTGCTTCTTTGGTTAAGTCAATTCCTAAGTATTTCATTTTATGTGTGGCTACTGTAAATGGGATTACTTTAAAAATTTTTTTTTCAGATTGTTTACTGTTGGCATGTAGAAATGCTAATAAGTTTTCTATGTCGATTTTATATCCTGCAACCTTACTGAATTTTTTAATCATTTCTAATAGTTTTATTGTAAGGTCTTTAGATATTCCCAAATATAAGATCATATCATCTGCAAACAAGGATAATTTGACTTCTTCCTTTCCAATTTGAATGCACTTTATATTTATATATTTCTTTTTTATGAGTGCGCTAGGTAGGACCTCCAGTACTATGATGAATAACAGTGGTGAAAGTCAGCATCTTTGTCATGTTATAGATCTTAGAAGAAAGGCTCTCAGTTTTTCTCCATTCAGTATGATCCTAGCTGTGGGTCTGTTGTATATGGCCTTTATAAAATTTATTCCTTCTATATCCAGTTTTTTAGGGTTTTTATCATGAAGAGATGTTGAATTTTATCAAGTGCTTTGTTGGCATCAATTGAAATGATCATGTTTGTTGTCCATTCTGTTGATATGATGTATCACATTGATTGATTTGCATATCTTTGCATCCCTGGAGTAAATCCCACTTGATCATGAGGAATAATCATTTTAATATATTGTTAAATTTGATTTGATGGTATTTTGTTGAAGATTTTTGCATAAATATTTATCAATGATATTGGCCTGTAGTTTTCTTTTTTTGATGTGCCTTTGTCTGGATTTGATATCAGGGTAATACTGGCCTGACAGAATGAATTTGAAAGTATTCCCTCCTCCTCTATTTTTCAAAGTAGTTTGAGTAGGATTGTTATTAGTTCTTTAAATATTTGGTAGAACTCAGCAATAAAGCCATCGGGTCCCGAGCTTTTCTTTCCTGGGAGACTTTTTATTATGGCTTTAATGTTGTTACTTATTTTTGGTCTGTTCAGGTTTTGGATTTCTCCCTGGTTCAATCTTGGTAGGTTGTATGTACTTAGGAATTTGTCCAATTCTTCTAGATTTTCCAATTTATTGGCATATCATTGCTTATATTAGTTGCTAATGATCCTTTGAATTTCTGTGGTATTTGTTGTAATATTTCATTTCTGATTTCTGCTTTTATTTATTTGGATCTTCTCTCTTTTTTCTTAGCTGGTCTGATTAATGGTTTGCCAATTTTGTTTTCTTTTTCAAAAAAACGATCTTTTGTTTCATTGATTTTTTAATATTTTTTTAAATTTCAAATTTATTTATGCTCTGATATTTATTATTTCTTTTCTTCTACTAATTTTTCATTTGGGTTGCACTTGCTTTTCTAGTTCTTAAAGATGCATCATTAGATTATTTACTTGAAGTGTTTTCTCTTTTTTGATGTAGGCATTTATAGCTATAAGTGTCCCTTTTAGTACTGCTTTTGCTGTATCCCATAGGTTTTGATATATTGTATTTCCATTATCATTTGTTTCAAGAAAATTTTCAGTTTTCTTCTTAATTTCTTTATTGATCCACTGGTCATTCAGGAGAATATTGTTTAATTTCCATGTATTTGTATAGTTTACAAAGTTCCTCTTCTTTTTAATTTATAGTTCTATTCCATTGTGGTCAGAGAAGATGATTGATATTATTTCAGTTGTTTTGAATGTTTTGAGACTTGTTTTGTCACCCAGCATATGGTCTATCCTAGAGAATAATGCATATGCTGAGGAAAGAATGTGTATTCTGCAGCCACTGAATGAAATCTGTAAATATTTATTAGATCCATTTAGTCTATAGTGCAGACTTTTTTTGTTGATTTTTTATCTGGAAGACCTCTTCACTGCTGAAAGTGGAGTGTTCAATATTCCAGCTATTATTGCATCATATCTCTCTCTTTACCTCTGGTAATGTGTACTTTATATATCTGGGTGCTCCAGTGTTGGGTTCTTATATATTTAAAATTATTATATTATCTTGCTGAATTGACCCCTTTATCATTATATAGTTACCTCCTTTGTCTTTTCTTATAGATTTGGTTCTGAAATCTGCTTTTTCTGATATAAGTATGGCAGCTTCTGCTCTTTTTTGGTTTCCATTGGCATGAAATGTCTTTTTCCATATCTTTATTTTCAGCCTATATGTGTCTGCATAGGTTTAGTGTGTTCCTTTTAGGCAATAGATCAATGGGTCTTGTTTTTCCATCCATTCAGCCAGTCTATGTCTTTTGATTAAACAGTTTAGTCCATTTATATTTAATGTTATTAGTGATAAGTAAGGACATATTCCAGCCATTTTGTTATTTGTTTTTTGGTTGTTTTCTGGTCTTATCTTCCTTCTTTCTTTCCTTCCTATCTTCCTTTAGTGAAGGTGACTTTTCTCTGGTGATACGATTTAGTTTCTTGCTTTTTATTTTTTGTGTCTCCATTGTATAATTTTTGGTTTGAGGTTATGATGAAGCTTGCAAATACTATCTTATAACCTATTATTTTATGCTGATAACAACATTGTTTGCATAAACAAGCAAACAAACAAGCAAAAAGAAAATGAATAAAATGCTACACCTTAACTTTGTCTCCCAGCTTTTAAACTTTTTGTTGACTGACCTTTCTTAAGACTGAGAATGTCCTGAAAAGTTGATGTAGTTAAAATGTTTGATTGGTTTATCATTTAGTCTTTCTACTTAGGATAGGAGTAGTTTACGCACTGCAGTTACAATGTTATAATATTCTGTGTTTTTCTGTATGCTTATTATTACCAGTGAGTTTTGTACCTACAAGTGATTACTTATTGCTCATTAGTGTCCTTTTCTTTCTGACTGAAATACTCCCTTTAGCATTTCTTGTAGGACAGATCTGGTGTTGATGAAATCCCACAGCTTTTGTTTGTTTGGGAAAGTCTTCATTTCTCCTTCATGTTTCAAGTATATTTTCACTAGATTTACTATTCTAGGGTAAACTTGTTTTTCCCTCAGCACTTTAAATATTTCATGCCACTCTCTCCTGGCCTATAAGGTTCCCACTGAAAATTTTGCTTCCAGATGTATTGGAGCTCCATTGTATGTTATTTGTTTCTTTTCTCTTGCTGCTTTTGGGTTCCTTTCTTTATCTTTAATCTTTTGGAGTTTGATTGTTAAATACCTTGAGGTAGTCATCTTTGGGTTATATTTGCTTGGTGTTCTCTAAGCTTCCTGTACTTGGATGTTGGTATCTTGCCCTAGGTTTGGAAAATTCTCTGTTATTATCCCTTTGCATAAACTCTCTACCCCTATCTCTTTCTCTACTTTTTAAGGTCAATAACTCTTAGATTTGCCTTTTTGAGGCTATTTTCTAGATTCTGTAGAAGTGCTTCATCGTTTTTTATCCTTTTTTGTTGTCGTTGTCTCATCTGACTGTGTATTTTCAAATAGCCTGTCTTCGAGCTCACTAATTCATTATTCTGCTTGATCTGTTCCACTATTAAAAGACCCTGATGCATTCTTCAATATGCCAATAGTATTTTTGAGCTGCAGAATTTCTGCTCGATTCTTTTAAATTATTTCAATCTATTTGTTAAATTTATCTGATAGAATTCAGAATTTCTTCTCTGTATTATCTTATATTTCTTTGAGTTTCCTCAACACAGTTATTTTCAGTTCTTTGCCTGAAAGGTCACACATCTCTGTTTTTGCAGGATTGGTCCTTTCTGCCTTATTTAGTTCATTTGGTGAGGTAATGTTTTGCTAGATAGTGTTGATGCTAGGAGATGTTTTTCAGTGTCTGGTCATTTAAGAGTTAGGTATTTATTATAGTCTTTACAGTCTGGGCTTATTGGTGCCCATCCTTCTTGGGAACGCTTTCCAGATACTTGAAAGAACATGGGTGTTGTGATCCAAACTATGTATCCTTTAGGGGGCATCCCAAGCCCAGTAATATTGTGGTTCCTGAAGACTCAGACTCATAGAGGTCTTTCCTGATGGTCTTGAACAAGTTCTGGGAGAATTCTCTGGGTTACCAGGGAGAGACTTGTTGTCTTCCTTTCCTTTCCCCAAACAAACAGAGTCTGTCACTCTGTTCTGAGCCATCTAACATGAAGAGTGGAGTGACACAAGAATCCCAGTGGCCATCATCACTATGACTGTGCTGGGTCAGACGTAAAGTTAGCACAGCACTGGGTCTTGCCCAGGGCCTGCTCTAATCACATCTTGGCTACTATTTTTATTCAAGTCCCTGGGGCTCCACCATCATCTGGTGGCAAAGCCAGCCTGGCCTGTGTCTTTCCCTTTAGGGTGGCAAGATCCCCTCATCCTTCCTACTCTTCACTCTTCTTTCCAAAGTCAGAGAAGCCTTACTCTCTAGCTACCACCATCCCAGGCCACAAGTACTGCCAGACTACTACCAATGTTCCCTTAAGCCCCAGTGGCTCTTAAATCACCTTGTGGTTAATACTGCCTGGCCTGGGACTCATTCTTCACCACAGTGGGCTCCCCTCTGGCCCAGGGCAGGTCCAGAAATGCTGTCCAAGAGTCAATTCCTGGAAACAGGAACCCCAAGAGCCCACTTGGTGCTCTACTTACCTGTGGCCATGCTAGTACTTTTAGCCAGCAAGCCTTATAGGCTTACCCAAGGCCCTCGACATAGAACCTGGGTATCACTGCTGGTTATTCAGGGCCCAAGGGCTCTTCAGTTAGCATCTTCATAACGTTGTCAGGACTGAGACTTTTCCTTCAGTGCAATGGGTTCCTTTCTGACCTAGGGTGTATGTAGAAATGTCCTCTGGGACCTATGGCCCGGAAAGGAAGCCTCATGACTCTGACCAGTGCCCTATTCTGCTATGACTTATCTGGTATCCAAAATGCAAGACGATATCCTCTTTACTCTTTTCTCTTCTCTCCTTAAGCAGAAAGGAGGAGTCTTTTTTGGAGTCAAGAGCTGTGCAGGCAGGAATTAGGGGAGGTGTGATGCCAGCACTCTCTTGGCTTCCCCAGCTGATGTCTCAGTATGTTTTGTGTCTCCCTGCAACCATCCCCTCCCACCCCAGTCCACTGTCTCTGGGAATATTTCAGTACTAGGACTTGCCTAAGTATTGCAGTACGTATGGCCTAGGCTGCCTTTCAAGGTTATTTAGAGACACAAAGCACTATAGCCCTCTGCGGTGAGGTTTGTGGGAACTCAGGGTCTGACCATTGGGATCAGGGATTCCCCTCTAGCTAGGGCTGGTTTAAATACTCCTTCTGCCGGCACGAGTCAGTTGAGTTTGGTCCAGTTTTTCTTTCTGCTCTAACAGGACAGCACTGGGTTCAATGCCTCACAGTTTCTGTGATATCCCTCCCCCAGTACCCAGAGAAGCTCTCCACATCACACTGCCACTGCTGGCATGTAGGGGAGTAGTGATGATTATTAGAGATTGTTTTTTATAAATCTCTTCAGTTTGTCTTTCAGCAATGTGGTTAAAACTAGATCCTATGACTGTTCACCTGATTTTTGGTTGTTATGAAGTTTTTTTTTTTCTATTTTGCTGGTTGTTAAATTGGTGTTCTTGTGGAAGGAAAACTTGGTGGAGTCTTCTATTCTGCCATTTTGCTTTGCCTTGTTTTTTATGTCATTTATTCTTATGTGCAATCCAATGAGGTAACTGCTAGCCTCATTTTACAAATGGAGAAACTAAAGTCTAACAATGGGGCTAAATCTTTGGATTCTAATAGGCATTATCCTGATACCAATTAAGTTGTATTCTGTTAACAATACATTTATTTCCCTTAGTCTTGGAAGTGATTCTCCTTACATCTCTCTATATCAATGGCTCCTAGATAGAAGGCTCATAGTGTAGAAATTTAAATGACCTGTCATCAAAACCTGCCTGGATGCTTGTCTTCTTATTTTATTTTCTTCCGTAGCACTGCTGTGCAAACTTCAAGTGCGTACAAATCACCTAAGTATTTTGTTAAAATGCAGATTCTGATTCAACATATCTGGGGTGTGGCCTGAAATTCTGCATTTATGACCAGCCCTCAAGTGGTTGGTATGTGGCCAAACACTTCAAGTAGCAAAGATTAGGGCTTTGTTATTGTCTTAATCTGTTCAGGCTGCTAAAACAAAATACCATAGACTGAGTAATTTATAATCAACTGAAACTTATTGCTGACAGTTCTGGAGGCTGAGAAGTCCAAGATCAAAGCACTATAAGATTCTGATGAGGCCCTGTTCCTTGTAAATGGCACCTTCTAGCTGTGTCCTCACATAGTGGAAGGAGTGAACACGGCTCTTCAACCTCTTTTATTAGAGCATTTCTATGGTTTGAGTGTGTCTCCCAAAGTGCATTTGTTGAAAACTGAATCTAAGTTGTTGATTAGTTATTGCAGGAGTGGGTTCCTGATAAATGGATGAGTTAGGACTCTTTTCTCTCCCTGTCTCAAACTGTCTTGTCCTTTCACCTTCCATCATGGATGACACAGCAAGAAGGCCCTCACAAGATTCATTCAGCCCTCTTGACCTTGGACTTTACAGTCTCCAGAAATGTAGGAAATAAATTTATTTTCTTTCTAACTTACCCAGTTTGTGGTATTATGTTATAGGAACACAAAACAGACTAAGACAGGCACTAATCCCATTCATAAGAGTAGAGCCCTCATGATCTAGTTGCCTCCCCAAAATCCCACCTCTTAATACCACCACATTTTAGATTATGTTTCAACTGAAGATACAAACATGCAGATCCTAGTAGCTTCACACTAGCAATGTTGAATTAATTCTGGGTGTCACTGAGGGCAGCCCCAGCTTAGGTTGTTGGGTGGGTCCCTAAGTGTTACATACAAACCTTGTTAAGACATGGGAATTCGGACTAAGAGGACAGCATTTTCTGGAGATATCTATTGGCAGATGAGGAAGGGGAAGATTTTACTCTCCTTGCTCTCCAGTAGCAGCTACAGGTTTGAATTACCGTGCTGCTACAAGCTTACTTTAGAATGTTTACATCAATACCTGGCTCCAGGGTTATTTTTGTTCTATTGGGCTGGTGATTAAGTGCTATTGTAAGATTAAGAGTTCACAGCTACATGGCTGGTATTGGTAAATAAAATATTTCTGATGATTATTTTTAGCTTTTCCTGAAGGCTAAATAGAGACCAGGTGCTTTATATTAATGTCAGTGACAGCACAATTCTGCACAGTGAATACATAGAGAGAAGCAAGAGCAACTTGCCTCATTTTATACAACCGATGTGCTTTACAAAGTTATCTTTAACTTGAAATTGTGAATATAAGTATAATTTTTCCAATGACTTACACCATGATTTCAGATTAATCTTATATTATTTTTATTGCTGTATAATAGGCAATGAGCCTTAGCTTATTTTTCTCTTTTTTTTGTATAAATAATTAACCTTGAAAAAAGTGTCACCTTGCTTGAGAGATAATGTACCCAAGAAGGTCAGCAATACAGTATTGCACACATACAATCACACACAGCACACAAAATTCTAGGAGATGGTTTCTTTTTTATTTTTTTAAATTAAGATCTATAAACTGTTGCTTATCTTTAAATTACACTTAATAAATTCTTCCTAGAGATCAGATCTTGACAACAAACTTACAGTATAAAAGAATAACACGTAGTAAAAAAATAATTTTTCTCTTTTAGATATGTTTTAAGTTCTAGGATACAAGGGCAGAACATGCAGGTTTGTTTCATAGGTATATACATGCCATGGTGGTTTGCTGTACCCATCAACCTGTCATCTACGTTAGCTATTTCTCCTAATAATCTCCTTCCCCTAGCCCCCCAGCCCCTGATAGGCCCTGGTGTGTGATGTTCCCCTCCCTGTGTCCACGTATCTCATTGTTCAACTCCCATTTACGAGTGACAACGTGTGGTGTTTGGTTTTCTGTTCCTGTGTTATTTTGCTGAGAATGATGGTTTCTAGCTTCATCCATGTCCCTAGAAAGGACATGAACTCTTCCTTTTTTATGGCTGCATAGTATTCCATGGTGTATATGTGCCACATTTTCTTTATCCAGTCTATCATTGCTGGGCATTTAGGTTGCTTCCAACTCTTTGCTATTGTGAATAGTGCTGCAATAAACATATGTGTGCATGTGTCTTTATAGTATAATGATTTATAATCCTTTGGGTATATACCCAGTAATGGGATTGCTGGGTCAAATGGCATTTTTGGTTCTAGATCCATGAGGAATCACCACACTGGTTTTCACAATGGTTGAACTAATTTACACTCCCACCAAAAGTGTAAAAGCATCTCTATTTCTCCACATCTTCTCCAGCCTCTGTTGTTTCCTGACTTTTTAATGATCGCCATTCTAACTGGCGTGACATGGTATCTCATTGTGGTTTTGATTTGCATTTCTCTAATGACCAGTGATGATAAGCTTTTTTTCATATGTTGGTTGGCCACATAAATGTCTTCTTTTGAGAATTGTCTGTTCATATCATTTGCCCACTTTTTGATGGGGCTGTTTTTTTCTTGTAAATTTGTTTAAGTTCTTTGTAGATTCTGGATATTAGCCCTTTGTCAGATGGATAGCTTGCAAAAATTTTCTCCCATTCTGTAGGTTGCCTGTTCACTCTGATGACAGTTTCTTTTGCTGTGCAGAAGCTCTTTAGTTTAGTTCGATCCCATTTGTCAATTTTGGTTTTTGTTGCCATTGCTTTTGGTGTTTTAGTCATGAAGTCTTTGCCCATGCCTATGTCCTGAATGGTATTGCCTAGGTTTTCTTCTAGGGTTTTTAATGGCTTTAGGTCTTACATTTAAGTCTTTAATCCATCTTGAGTTGAATTTTGTATAAGGTATAAGAAAGGGGTCCAGTTTCAGTTTTCTGCATATGGCTAGCCAGTTTTCCCAACACCATTTATTAAATAGGGAATCCTTTCGCTATTGCTTGTTTTCATCAGGTTTGTCAAAGATCAGATGGTTGTAGATGTGTGTTGTTATTTCTGAGGCCTCTGTTCTGTTCCATTGGCCTATATATCTGTTTTGGTACCAGTACCATGCTGTTTTGGTTACTGTAGCCTTGTAGTATACTTTGAAGTCGGGGAGCGTGATGCCTCCAGCTTTGATCTTTTTGCTTAGGATTGTCTTGGCTATACGGGCTCTTTTTTGGTTCCATATAAAATTTAGTGTAGTTGTTTTTTTAATTCTGTGAAGAAAGTCAGTGGTAGCTTGATTATAGCATTGAATCTATCAATTACTTTGGGCAGTATGGCCATTTTCACAATATTGATTCTTCCTACCCATGAGCATGAAATATTTTTCCATTTGTTTGTGTCCTCTCTCATTTCCTTGAGCAGTGGTTTGTAGTTCTCCTTGAAGAGGTCCTTCACATCCATTGTAATTTGTATTCCTGAGTATTTTATTCCCTTTGTAGCAATTGTGAGTGGGAGTTCACTCATGATTTGGCCCTCTGTTTGTCTATTATTGGCGTTTAGGAATGCTTGTGATTTTTGCACAGTGATTTTGCATCCTGAGACTTTGCTGAATTTGCTTATCAGCTTAAGGAGATTTTGGGCTGAGACAATGGGGTTTTCTAAATATACAATCATGTCATGTGCAAACAGAGATAATTTGACTTCCTCACTTCCTATTTGAATACCCTTTATTTCTTTCTCTTGCCCGATTGCCCTGGCCAGAACATCCAATATTATGTTGAATAGGAGTGGTGAGAGATGGCATCCTTGTCTTGTGCTGGTATTCAAAGAAAATGCTTCCAACTTTTGCCCATTCAGTCTGATATTGGCTGTGGGTTTGTCATTAATAGCTCTTATTATTTTGAGATACATTCCATCAATACTGAGTTTATTGAGAGTTGTTAGCATGAAGGGGTATTGAAGTGTATCAAGGACCTTTTCTGCATCTATTGAGATAATCATGTGGTTTTTGACATCGATTCTGTTATTATGATGGCTTACGTTTATTGATTTGCATATGTTGAACCAGCCTTGCATCCCAGGCATGAAGCCAACTTGATCATGGTGGATAAGCTTTTTGATGTGCTGCTGGATTCGGTTTGCAAATATTTTATTGAGGATTTTTGCATCGATGTTCATGAGGGATATTGTCCTGAAATTTTCTTTTTTTGTTGTGTCTTTGCCAGGTTTTGGTATCAGGATGATGCTAGCCTCATAAAATGAGTTAGGGAGGAGTCCTCCTCTTTCTATTGTTTGGAATACTTTCAGAAGGAATGGTACCAGCTCCTCTTTGTACCTCTGATAGAATTCAGCTGTGAATCCGTCTGGTCCAGGGCTTTTTTTGGTTGATAGTCTATTAATTACTATCTCAATTTCAGAACTTGTTATTGTTCTATTCAGGGATTTGACTTCTTCCTGGCTTAGTCTTGGGAGGCTGTATGTGTCCAGAAATTTATTCAGTTCTAGGTTTTCTAGTTTATTTGCATAGAGGTGTTTACCATCCATAGATGGTAGTTTGTATTTCTGTGGGATCAGTGATGATACCCCCTTTATCATTTTTTATTGTGTGTTTTGATTCTTCTCTCTTTTCTTCTTTATTAGTCTGGCTAGCGATCTATCTATTTTGTTAATCTTTTCAAAAAACCAGCTCCTTGATTCATTGATATTTTTGAAGGTTTTTTTGTGCCTCTATCTCCTTCATTTCTGCTCTAGTCTTAGTTATTTCTTGTCTTTTGCTAGCTTTTGAATTTGTTTGCTCTTGCTTCTCTAGTTCTTTTAATTGTGATGTTAGGATGTCAATTTTTGATCTTTCCAGCTTTCTCCTGTGGGCATTTAGTGCTACAAATTTCCCTCTAAACACTGCTTTAGCTGTGTTCCAGAGATTCTGGTACATTGTGTCTTTCTTCTCATTGGTTTCAAAGAACCTATTTATTTCTGCCTTAATTTCATTATTTATGCAGTAGTCATTCAGGGGCAGGTTGTTCAGTTTCCATGTAGTTGTGTAGTTTTGAGTGAGTTTTTTTTTTTTATTATACTTTAAGTTTTAGGGTACATGTGCACAATGTGAAGGTTAGTTACATATGCATACATGTGCCATGTTGGTGTGCTGCACCTATCAACACATCATTTAACATTAGGTATATCTCCTAATGCTATCCCTCCCCCCTCCCCCAACCCCACAACAGGCCCTGGTGTGTGATGTTCCCCTTCCTGTGTCCATATGTTCCCAATGTTCAATTCCCACCTATGAGTGAGAACATGTGGTGCTTGGTTCTCTGTCCCTGAGGTAGTTTGCTGAGAATGATGGTTTCCAGCTTCATCCATGTCCCTACAAAGGACATGAACTCATCATTTTTTATGGCTGCATAGTATTCCATGGTGTATATGTGCCACATTTTCTTAATCCAGTCTATCATTGTTGGACATTTGGGTTGGTTCCAAGTCTTGGCTGTTGTGAATAGTGCCGCCATAAACATACATGTGCATGTGTCTTTATAGCAGCATGTTTTATAATCCTTTGGGTATATACCCAGTTATGGGATGGCTGTGTCAAATGGTATTTCTAGTTCTAGATCCCTGAAGAATGGCCACACTGACTTCCACAATGGTTGAACTAGTTTACAGTCCCAACAACAGTGTAAAAGTGTTCCTATTTCTCCACATCCTCTCCAGCACCTGTTGTTTCCTGACTTTTTAATGATCACCATTCTAACTGGTGTGAGATGGTATCTCATTGTGGTTTTGATTTGCATTTCTCTGATGGTCAGTGATGATGAGCATTTTTTCATGTGTCTTTTGGCTGCATAAATGTCTTCTTTTGAGAAGTGTCTGTTCATATCCTTCGCCCACTTTTTGATGGGGTTTTTTTTTTTTTCTTGTAAATTTTTTTGAGTTCATTGTAGATTCTGGATATTAGCCCTTTGTCAGATGAGTAGATTGCAAAAATTTTCTCCCATTCTGTAGGTTGCCTGTTCACTCTGATGGTAGTTTCTTTTGCTGTGCAGAAGCTCTTTAGTTTAATTAGATCCATTTGTCAATTTTGGCTTTTGTTGCCATTGCTTTTGGTGTTTTAGACATGAAGTCCTCACCCATGCCTATGTCCTGAATGGTAATGCCTAGGTTTTCTTCTAGGGTTTTTATGGTTTTAGGTCTAACATTTAAGTCTTTAATCCATCTTGAATTAATTTTTGTATAAGGTGTAAGGAAGGAATCCAGTTTCAGCTTTCTACATATGGCTAGCCAGTTTTCCCAGCACCATTTATTAAATAGGGAATCGTTTCCCTATTTCTTCTTTTTGTCAGGTTTGTCAAAGATCAGATAGTTGTAGATATGTGAGTTTCTTAATCCTGAGTTCTAATTTGATTTCACTGTCATGTGAGAGACTGTTTGTTATGATTTCCATTCTTTTGCATTTGTTGAGGAGTATTTTACTTCCAATTATGTGGTAAGTTTTAGAATAAGTGTGATGTGGTGCTGAGAAGAATGTATAGTCTGTTGATTTGGGGTGGAGAGTTCTGTAGATGTCTATTAGGTCTGCTTGGTCCAGAGCTGAGTTCGAGTCCTGAATATCCTTGTTAATTTTCTGTCTCATTGATCTGTCTAATATTGACAAGCTCTTCTTGTTGCATTGATCCCTTTACCATTATGTAATGCCCTTATTTGTCTTTTTTGATGTTTGTTGGTTTAAAGCCTGTTTTATTAGAGACTAGGATTGCAACCCATGCTTTTTTTTGGTTTCCATTTGCTTGGTAAATATTCCTTCATCCCTTTATTTTGAGTCGATGTGTATCTTTGCATGTGAGATGGGTTTCCTGAATGGGTCTTGACTCTTTATCCAATTTGCCATTCTCTGTCTTTTATTTGGGGCATTTAGCTCATTTATATTTCATGTTAATATTGTTATGTGTGAATTTGATCCTATCATTATGATGCTAGCTAGTTATTTTACTTGTTTGTTGATGCAGTTTCTTCATAGTGTTCATGGTCTTTACAATTTGCTATGTTTTTGCAGTGGCTGGTACTGGTTTTTCCTTTCTATATTTAGTGCTTCCTTCAGGAGCACTTGTATGACAAGTCTGGTGGTGACAAAATCTCTCAGCATTTGCTTGTCTGTAAAGGATTTTATTTCTCCTTTGCTTATGAACCTTAGTTTGGCTGGATATAAAATTATGGATTGAAAATTCTTTTCTTTAAGAATGTTAAATGTTGGCCCCCCACTCTCTTTTGGCTTGTAGGGTCTCTGCAGAGAGATTTGCTGTTAGTCTGACCAAATTCCCTTTGTGGGTAACCCAACCTTTCTTTCTGGCTGCCGTTAACATTTTTTCCCTTCATTTCAACCTCGGTGAATCTGATGATTATGTGTCTTGAGGTTGCTATTCTCAAGGAGTATCTTTGTGGTGTTCCCTGTATTTCCTGAATTTGAATGTTGGCCTGTCTTATTATGTTGGGGAATTTCTCCTGGGTAATATACTGAAGAGTGTTTTCTAACTTGGTTCCATTCTCCCCGTCACTTTCAGGTCCACCAATCAAATGTCGGTTTGGTCATTTCACATAGTCCCATATTTCCTGGAGGCTTTGTTCATTCCTTTTCATTCTTTTTTTCTCTAATCTTGTCTTCACACTTTATTTCATTAAGTTGACCGTCAATCTCTGATATCCTTTCTTCCACTTGATCGATTTGGCTATTGATAACTTGTGTATGCTTCACGAAGTTCGTGTGCTGTGTTTTTCAGCTCCTTCAGGTCATTTATGTTCTTCTTTAAACTGGTTATTCTAGTTAGCAATTCTTCTATCCTTTTTTCAAGGTTCTTAGCTTCCTCGCATTGAGTTAAAACATGCTCCTTTAGCTCAGAGGAGTTTGCTATTCTGAAGCCAACTTCTGTCAATTTGTCAAACTCATTCTCTGTCCATTTTTGTTTTCTTGCATGTGAGGAGTTGTGATCCTTTGGAGGAGAAGAGGTATTCTTGTTTTTGGAATTTTCAGCCTTTTTTGTGCTGGTTCTTCCTCATTTTCATGGATTTATCTACCTTTGGTCTTTTACATTGATGACCTTCGGATGGGTTTTTGTGTGGACATTCTTTTTGTTGATGTCAAGGCTATTTATTTCTGTTTGTTAATTTTCCTTCTAACAGTCAGGCCTCTCTGCTGCAGGTCTGCTGGTGTTTGCTGGAGGTCCACTCCAGACCCTGTTTGCTGGAGCATCACCACTGGAGGCTGCAGAACAGCAAAGATTGCTGCCTGTTCCTTCCTCTGGAAGCTTTGGCCTAGAGGGGCACCTGCCAGATGCCAGCTGGAGCTCCCCTGTGTGAGGTGTCTCTTGACCCCTGCTGTGAGGTTTCTCCCAGTCAGGAGGCACAGGGGTCAGGGACCCACTTGAGGAGGCAGTCTGTCCCTTAGCAGAGCTCAAGCACTGTGCTGGGAAATCTGCTGATCTCTTCAGAGCTGGCAGGCAGGAATGTTTAAGTCTGCTGAAGCTGCATTCACAGCCTCCCCTTCCCCCAGGTGCTCTGTCCCAGGGAGATGAGAGTTTTATCTATAAGCCCCTGAGTGGGGCTGCTGCCTTTCTTTCAGAAATGCCCTGCCTAAAGAGGAGGAATCTAGCAAGGCAGTCTGGCTACAGTGGCTTTGCTGAGCTGTGGTGGGCTCTGCCCAGTTCGAACTTCCTGGGGACTTTGTTTGTTTACACTGTGAGGGGAAAACCACCTACTCAAGCCTCAGTAATGGTGGACATCCCTCCCCAAACTGAGCTCAAACGTCCCAGGTCAACTTCAAACTGCTGTGCTGGCAGCGAGAATTTCAAGCCAGTGGATCTTAGCTTGCTGGGCTCCATGGGGGTTGGATCTGCTGAGCTAGACCACTGGCTCCCTGGCTTCAGCCCCCTTTCCAGGGGAGTGAATGGCATCTTGCTGGCATTGCAGGCGCCACTGGGGAATGAAAAAAACTCCTGCAGCTAGCTCAGTGTCTGCCCAAACAGCAGTCCAGTTTTGTGCTTGAAACCCAGGGCCCTGGTGGCGAAGGCGCCTGAGGGAATCTCCTGGTCTGTGGATTGCGAAGATCACAGGAAAAGCACAGTGTCTGGGCCAGAGTGCACCATTCCTCAAGGCACAGTGCCTCACAGCTTCCCTTGGCTAGGGGAGGGAGTTCCTGACCCCTTGCACTCATGGGTGAGGCGATGCCCACTCTGCTTCAGCTCGCTCTCTGTGGGCTGCATCCACTGTCTAACCAGTACCAGTGAGATGACCCAGGTACCTCAGTTGGAAATGCAGAAACCACCTGCCTTCTGGGTTGATCTCGCTGGGAGCTGCAGACTGGAGCTGTTTTTATTGGCTATCTTGCCAGTGACCAGAGATGGTTTCTTTATCTGCCAAATAGCAGGGTCCTTTCCACCTTCATGAATCTGTAATATGATTCTATGACAATGTATTTTAAGCTATTTTTTTTTTGACAGAGTCTTGCTCTGTCACCCAGGCTGGAGTGCAGTGGCACTATCTCGGCTCACTGCAACCTCCACCTCCCAGGTTCAAATGATTCTCCTGGCTCAGCCCCCTGAGTAGCTGGGATTACAGGTGTCCACCACCATGCCCAGCTAATTTTTGTATTTTTAGTAGAGATGGGGTTTTGCCATGTTGGCCAGGCTAGTCTCAAACTCCTGACCTCAGGTGATCTGCCCCCTCAGCCTCCCAAAGTGCTTGGATTACAAGTGTGAGCCACTGCGCCTGACCTATATTAAACTTTAATGTGCGTAATTCACTTAGGTATCTTGTTATAGTGCAGATCATTATTTAGTAGGTCTGGTTTAGACCCAAGATTCTGCATTTCTAACAAGCTCCCATGTGATGCCAGTGATATTGGTGCATGGGCCAATGCTCTACTAAACAATTTTGATTCTTCTTTCCTCTTCAAGAAATTAAGAATTTCTTTATAGAAACAGGGACATATACACTTAGAAGAGTTTTTATTTAAGGAAGCTCAGGTGAATCTTTATACATTATGTAAAATATGTATCATAAGGCATATATCTGCCTTAAAAATATATTATTTTTACTACTACGTATTGATTAGAATGGCTACTTTTTAAATTAAAAATTGATAACTCAAATTGCAGGGAAAGATATGGAGGAATAGGAACTCTCATTCATTGATGGTGGAAATGCAAGATGTTGCAACTACTCTGGAAGATCGTTTGGCAGTTTCTTCCAATGATAAAAATAGTCTTATTGTATGACTCAGCAATCATACTCCTAAGTATTTGCTGACTTAAAAACCTATGTACACACAAAATCTGCATGCAATGTTTATAGCATCTTTTTCTTAATAACCATCTAAAACTGGAAGCAACCAAGATGTCCTTCAATATGTGACTTGATAAACAGTAGTATGACATTAAAATGGGAAATTAGTTGTCAATAAAAGAAAAGATCAAGGCCATGCAAAGACATAAAGATGAATGCATATTGCTAAGCTAAGTATACCAGACTGAAAAGGCTACATGTATTTTTCAGTTTACATGACATTCTGAAAAGGCAAAACTTAGACAAGGTAAACAGATCAGTGATTGTCAGTGGTTTTGGGAGAGAGATTCAATGAGCAAAGCACAGGAGATGTTTTTAGGGAGGTAAAGCTATTCTTTTTCATACTATAAAGCTAGATACATGACAGTATGAATTTGTTAGTATCCATAGAAACTTATGGCATAAAAAGTAAACGTTAGTGTATAAAATTAAAAATTATAATATGGGAGGTTGATGTATCCAAGTATGGAAGGCAAAATTTTTACAAATGACTCTAACTGTATGAAAGTGTATGCTGCAACCTCACTATAGAGGGTAAGGAAGAGGGTGCTGAACTAAGCAACTCAGGTAATGATTGAAGTCTGCACAACTAAGGGCAAAAGGAACTATACATAAACACTGTGCTCTAGTGATAAAGTTATTTCCCATGAGTATATGGGTTAAAAATTACAAAATTGCTATGCATGTATACTAGAATCGACCAACTAAGTAAACTAATGGCAGATTGCAGTAGCCAGGTTCTTTATTATGGGAGCAGGAATTTACAGATAAGTAAGGGAAGGAGACTATAGTGATTCATATAGTAATGGATTAGAATTGGAGACATCAGCTATCTATATTAAGCTAAACATGAGTTTAGCTTATATTTAGCTTAATAAAGATATAGATGGCTACATATCAAAATATTTATAAATATGTATATATACACAGATTAGTACACATACATATTTCCTTGTTCAATCAGCTGATAGGGCCTAGAAGCAACAAAATCCTAGTAGCAATGAACAAACCTGGAACCAAGATCTTAGTTTACCCAATAAAAGGACCCAGGGGTTTTAGAAACATGGCTGATTCTAAGACTTGGACAGGAAATATGGAACATAGCATTGAGAATCCGTAGTCCTAGCAAGTTAGGAAGTACCCAAAACAAACGAACAAAAATATTATCAACAGCAACCCGCACCCTCAACAATGATAGTGTTAAAGGAGCACAGGAGTCAACTAAAGACCTCTGAATAGTTAAACCTGGAACTATTTGAGCAAATTAATTGATTAAATAGTGTTGGGTTATAATATAGAGTGTAAAACAAATATCCATGAGTCCATGTGACATAAACAAATGATTGAATAAGTAAATGGGGAGAATAGAAAAATACCCTAGGTAGAATAAATTCAAATAACTTATATAGGTCCTCTGCTATCAAGGGAGTGGAGTGTATTTCCCCACTTCTTACATGTGAGCTGTACATAGTGATTCCTTCCAAAGAGTATAGTTTGGAAAGGTAAAAACAGTGAGTAACTTAACAGCAGAGAAACCCAATAAACTAGCCAGATGATCAAGGTTGATATCAACAGTAACAAATCATAGTAATTGCACTTCAATATAGTATGATAAAAATTGCACTTTACTACTGTGGTCTTCTTCCCCAAAACGCATAACTCGTCTAATCATGAGAAAAACATCAGACAAATTCTAATTGAGCAATAGTCTATAAAATAAATACCTCACCAATGCCCTAAAAACTGTCAAGGTCATCAAAAAATATCATAGCTAACAAGAGCCCAAGGAGACATGACAACTAAATGTAATGTGTGATACTGGAACAACAAAAATAAGCTCATTAGGTAAAAACTAAAGAAATTGGCATGAAGTATAGATTTCCATTAATAATAGTGTACCAGTATTAGTTCATTGATTGTGACAAATGTACCATATTAATGGGAAGACTGGGTATGTGGTAGATGGGAACTCTCTATGCTATCTTCCAAATTTTAATACATTTAATTTAAATATACTTTATCTGACCAAGTATTATCAAATTTTTCCCCAAATGGAAACCACGGTTTGTACCCTGTGCTCCCTCCATTTTCTTCCTGGTTATAGCTAAACATATGCTGACCCACACGTGTGTTATAAAGTCATGTGATGAACAGGTTAGATTTCAAGTAATTATTTTAATAATTTGAATTAAAAAACAGAATGAGTTTGGCAATGAGCAGCAGAAATGAAGGGAAAAGGAGGTGTAGCCAAATTTATTTGAAAGTAGAAGTTATTAGGGAGTCAAGAGGATCTGCAAGAGCAAATGAAAAAATCAATAGGAAGGGAGAGAACCAAATGCACAACAAGGAAAGCAGATATGCTCTGAAAAAAAGACCAGGTGGTCCATGAAAGAGGGAGACACCAATCTTTGGATCTGCCTCAATTTCCAGCTATTTTCTTGCCCAAACTCTGCCTTTATTTTTACCACAAAACCTTCTTTAGGCTGGGCATGGTGGCTCACATCTCTAATCCCAACAGTTTGGGAGGCTGAGGCAAGCTGACTGCTTGAGCCCAGGAGTTTGAGACCAGCCTGGGAAACATGGCAAAACCCCATCTCTACAAAAATTAGCCAGTGGTGCACTCCTGTAGTCTTGGCTGCTTGGGAGGCTGAGGTGGGAAGATCACTTGAGCCCAGACTGAGCTAAAATAAGCCATGATTGTGCCACTGCACTCCAGCCTGGGTGACAGAGCCAGACTCTGTCACAAAGAAAGGCAGAAAAGAAATTAAGAGAGAGAGACAGAGGGAAGGACGGAAGGAAGGAAGGAAGGGGAAGGGGAAGGGGAAAGGGAAGGAGAAGGGGGAGGGGAAGGGGAAGGGAAGAAAGAAACTGTCTTTGTCTGGTGATCTGGGGTCTGATGTTTGCATTATACTTGCCAAAACCAAATAAGATCATTGTGGGGCTGAATTTTATAGATACTTTTTGTTCATATTGAACTCTTATTTCTACTCTCTCTATTGAGTAGAGATAGTAGTCTCCCAAAGACTGCTGCCCTTGGATAATAAACAGACTCTGATCATTTATTAGCCAATAACTCTAGAAGTTGTCTAAGACAAGGGAACTAAACTCCTTATTCAATCCCCTGGGATAGTGTTTCTTGGGCAGAGAAGGGGCTTGCAGAATACTTGGAGTTGGGGGATAATTATATAATAGCATTCAGTTGCAATGGATTCTTGCTGGTAAATGTTAAATTATCATTCTTGAGCAAGTGTTCTCACAGAAGCATAGACTTGCAGTATATCATGGCTCATTTTTTAGTGAAAACAAGTAAATGATTATGAAAAACTAACTAATATGCATGATTGTACCCCAGCTCCCTATAACCCTTCCCTGCTTTTGGCTGGAAATGTTAATTCATAACTGAGAAATCACAACCAAATAAATGAAACTCTTTGAGAGAACCATTCTTCTTCTTTATTGCAGCATGCTGAAATCTTCTTTATGGAATAGCTCAAGGAAGCACAAGTAGCAAATCAGATACTTTTACCACCCCTGAGAATTTTTTAAGCTCCCCATGAATCTGAAGCTAATTTACAAGTTTTGATTGTTCTCAATCTGAAATGAAGCTCAGGTAGGTTAGGCAAACGGTCTCACTGGCCCAATTTCCTTCCATTCCACATAGGCAACATCCTTCCTATTTGGAGAGTATGTTGATAATGTTTTGTCACTAATGATTCTGGCCTGCTGAGAGTCCCTGAAGACAACAATGGTTTTTAAAGGGAGTTATAATTGTTAGACTTTGCTAATGCTCCTTGAGATCCTTGTTGTGCCACAGCAGTTACCTAATATTCCCCAATATCCCCATAGAGAATTAAACCAAAGCCTTCTGGTGCCATCTGGTATAATAACTGGAAAACTGAACAAAACCTTTAGTATGAAGTTGCAATGCAATTACAGTCTAACCTAAGGAAGGAAAAAAGGAACAATAATTTAATCAAGAACAAACATATTTTTTAAAAGTCTTTCTATCCAAAACTTTGTTAGTGAGAAGAACATAAGCATCAGGAAAATCATAGTCTCTGACCTCAGTGAACTCACAATCTAGCGGGAAAAGCAGAAGCATAAAGTACAAACTAAGCACAATCAGAAAAGCTGCTCAATTGTGTTCAGGTGACAGGGGCCTAGGGATAAAGCTAATAAGAAAGGACTAATACTTTAGGAATAAAGAATGGGACAGAGAAAGCATTCGAGATAAGATAACACTAAATTTGGGACCAACAGATGAGTAGAAGTCTTCCAAGAGAAAAGACCAGGGAATGATATTCTAGGGAAAGGAAATAGAAAAATCAAAGATATGGAAGCATAAAAATGCTTATATGTCAGGGAAAAGTTGGATAATATCATAGGGCTAGAATAGTTCTACTTGAAGTGTGATCCATGAACCAGCAGGATCATCACCTGGGAGCATATTAGAAATGCCAATTATCAGACCACAATTCTTATTGCCTGAATGAGACTCTCTGGAAGAGGGATTTAGCAGTCTAATTTAGCTCTTTGGGTGATTCTGACACAGGTTTGAGCAGCACTGGACTGAAACACTAACTGATTTTGGAGATGGACTACGGGGAAGGGGAGCAGGGTAGATTGGAGGTGGGGCCATGTCTTGATGAATCATGGTCATTAATTAAGCATAATTAAGCTAACTGAAAATACAATGAATGAAATAAATGATTGGTTTTGAATAAATAGCACCATGTCACCCAAAAATAAACATAATATCAGGATGTGAATGTCACAGTGATGATCCAAGGACGATAACTAACTAGATGTGTCCACCTTACAAGACAGAGCAGAGCTAGCTGAAATTAAATGTTGAGAGAGGGAAATTGTAGAAGTGGCTGAAATATCCACTATAAAATATATTACAAAAGAGATGTGAATTGAAATAAAACTAGAATTTATCTTTCCTTTGCCAATTTTTCTCAAGTATTCCTTTTATTCAACATGTGTTAAATACCTACTATATGCTAGGTACTTTGCCACATACTGCGGACATAACCCAAATGTGATGGTCCTTGGCCTCAAGAATGTTATCATCTATTGCAAAATGACTATTAGCACTTATGGAGTGCTTACAAAGTGCCAATCACTGTCTAACATTGGAAATAATCTTATTTTCTGAGCAACATCCCTGAGTAACTTACCTGAGTCTGTTTGATTCCAAAGCTTACATTCTTTTTCTAATACCATGTTGTTTATTTGCATATGGCCAGAGGAACTTCATTATTATTATTAACAATGTTACTAAATACTTCTCTAGTCTAAATGGATCAAAGTTGCTATACTATTGATAGGCCAAGGCCCTTGATGATGGACATGCCATGTATTCCTGCACGACTGTGAAATTCATTTTCGCCTCTTCTGGATATGATAAATCTTGTTTCTCCCCATTTGAGCAGGTTGGTGTATCTTCTTCACCATTTTTGGCTTTGCTGACTCTTGGATCTCTCCCATAGTCATTAGTAGAGTGTTCTCCTTCTCTCTAAAACCCTATTTTGACACCTTGGATTCTCCTATTCCCCTACCTACTTAACCTCCCCTAGGATAATGTAGATTTTAGAAATAGATAGGCAAGCTTAAAAAATCAGACTAGAGGTATGGGTAATCAAACAAAATCAAAGTGTCCAGGTGGTCAATACCCCCATGTTGGAGAAATACAGGTGAGTATGCTACACCCGACTATTTTTTAGAATTTAAAAGTCTTGATTGGATTTGCTGCATCATAATGGGACACATCAGGAGGAAGTTTGTATCAATATACATCCACTGGCATATGGCAGGTACCAGTGAGAAGAATTCACCTCAGATTGTGGAAGGCAGCCCCGCTCAATGGCACATTGGACCAACAGGGAAAATAGGAGCATGCAGCAGGTAGTTGAAGCAGGTAGTTTGTGTTGGGGAGTTCAACATGCAGTAGTTGAATGTCTCAAAAGGAAAATCAGAATTCCAGGTATTCACTCATTATCAAGGTATGTATAGTGGATCAAAATTAAAAGTTGATTCTGATCCTCAGAAAACCAAGTATAAGATAACATCAGAAGTAAAAACTAATAATGATGGCAGTGCCCAGTTCAACATCGGAAAATTCTAGGAAGAACATAAAAACAGAACACATGTACAGGGGTAAGTGTTGGAGGTAGAAAAGACCAGGAACTAAGGCACAGAGATATTTTGAACACTTGATGAAGAAATTATTTGGCAGAGGAAGCCGGAGGTGTCTCAGCAGTCTCAAAGGTCTCAAAGATTCCTGGCACCTTCATCTTGTATAATTATTTCCAGTCAATTCTGCTTCCAAGAGAGGGCCAGAGATACTGTAGAGATAAAGCAACTGGATCTGAATAAAATGATGCAAGGAGAGGTAATTTGCCTGTCTTTAAATCTGACTTATTTCTTCAGAAATATATTTATTTGTGCACATATGTATAAATATACATGTTTATAAAGATACAAGTATTATTTAAATCCACTTAAATTGATCTTTTTCTAGTTTCATTTCTGTGTTAGATGCTAATCATGTGGTTATGGTGACTTCCCTTAAGTGCCTTGCAACAGACTCTGCTCCAGGAATATCCTGACACTTACATGCAAGTAATCTTCTCTTAGGGCTTTCGATGCAGCCAGCTGAATGAAACTTAGTGACTCCAATCAAAGCCACATGGAGCAAAAGAACCATCCAGCTGAGTCCTGCCAGGAATCCTGACCTACAGAATTGTGAAAAATAATAAATTATTATTCAAAGCCCCTTAGCTTTGGATTGGTTTGCTAGGAAGCTGTGGGTAATTTTCTCTGTTACACTAAGTAAGAATGCAATAATTTTTAAAATTTATTTTTATTGTATATATTCTATGTGTACAAAATGATGTTTCAATATACATATACATAGTGATATGATTATTACAAGTAAGCAAATTAATATACCATTACCTTCCATAGGCAACTTATTTTTTGTGGTAAAATCATCTAAAGTCTACTCTCTTAGCACATTTTCATTATACAATACAATATATTGTACATAGTCCTTTTGCTGTAGACAATAGTACAATTGTATGTGGTACTTAATATGGTTAGGTTTTGTGTCCCTATCCAAATCTCATTTTGAATTGTAATTCCCATTATCTCCATAATCAACATATGTCAAATGAGAGACCAGGTGTAGGAAATTGAATCATGGGGGCGGTTTCCCCCTTGCTGGTCTCGTGATAGTGAGTGAGTTCTCATGAGATCTGGTGGTTTTATAAAAGGCTCTTCCTTGCGCGCTCGGCACTTCTCCTTCCTGCTGCCTTGTGAGAAGCTGCCCTGCTTTCCCTTCACGTTCCACCATGATTGTAAGTTTCCTGAGGCCTCTCCGGCCATGCTGAACTGTGAGTCAATTAAACGTTTTTCCTTTATAAATTACCCAGTCTCGGGCAATTCTTTATAACAGTATGCAAATAGACTAATACAGTACTCCTGCTGTATATTAGATCTCTAGATTTATTCATCCTACATAGCTGCAATTTTGTCCATTTTGACCTAACATCTCTCCATTTTCTCCCCCTCCTTGCCCTTGGTAATCACTGTTTTACTTTCTATTTTTATATATTTGACTGTTTTCTTTCTTTTTTTTTTTTTTTTACGGAGTCTCGCTCTCTCTCCCAGTCTGGAGTGCAGTGGCGCGATCTCGGCTCACTGCAAGCTCTGCCTCCCGAGTTCACACCATTCTCCTGCCTCAGCCTTCCGAGTAGCTGGGACTACAGGCGCCTGCCACCAAGCCCTGCTAATTTTTTTTTTTGTTGTTGTATTTTTAGTAGAGACGGGGTTTCACCATGTTAGCCAGGATGGTGGTGATCTCCTGCCCTCGTGATCCACCTGCCTCGGCCTCCCAAAGTGTTGGGATTACAGGTGTCAGCCACCGCACCCGGCCATATTTGACTGTTTCTTAGACTTCCACATGTAAGTGATCTCGTACAATATTTGTCTTTCTGTGTCTTGCTTATTTAACTTAGCATAATGTCCTATAGATTAATCCATGTTGATTGCATTCTTTTTCAAGGCTGAATAATATACCTTTGGATGGATGGATAGATAGATAGATAGATAGATAGATAGATAGATAGATAGAACAATTTCTTTATCCATTGATCCATTGATGGATACTTAGGTTGTTTTCATATCTTGGCTATTGTGAACAATGCTGCAATAAACATGGGAGTGGAGATCTTTCTATGAAATGCTGACTTTATTTCTTTAAGGTATATATCCAAATAAGGAATTGCTGGGTTATATGGTAGTTCTATTGTTAATTTTTAAGGAACCTCCATAGTGTTTTTCACAATTGTGGTGCTAATTTACATCCCCACCAACAGTGTACAAGGGTTTCCTTTTCTCCACACCCTAGCCAACACTTATAATTTCTTATTTTTTTGATAATAGCTATCCTAACAGTTATAAAGTAATATCTCATTGTGGTTTTGATTTGCATTTACTTGATTATTAGTGACACTGAGCAGATTTTCATATGCCTGTTGGCTATTTGTATGCCTTCTTTGGAAAAATATCTATTCTGGGTTTTTTGTTCATTATTAAATTGATTTTTTTTTTTGCTGTTGAGTTGTATGAGTTCCTTAAATGATTTGAATATTAACCCCTTATCAGACATATTGTTTGCAAATATTTTCTTCCAATACACAGGCTGCTTTTTCATTTTGCTGTTTCCTTTGCAGTCTTGATTGGGGCCTTACAATGAGGAAGACTTAACCATGTGTATTGTGGGGTAAAATCACTATAGGAGGGACAAGTACAAATCTCTAGGAGCAGAAAAAAGTTTGAACTGTTCATAGAATAGAAAGCAGGCCAGTAGGACTAGAGCACAATGAGTGAGAAGAATATTGAGAAATGAAGAAGGAGGAGGAAGCAGAAGCTAGATGCCACAGGGCCTTTTAGACTATCATAAAAGGCTTGGGGTTTATTCTGTAAGCAATGGGAAGCTATTGATGTATGCTAAAGATGATTTAATATTTTTAAAAGATCCTTTTGGCTAATGTGTGGAGAAAGAATAGTGGTGGTCAATGTGGATGCTGAGAAGTCACTTAGAAACTATCATAGTGCATCAGGCAATAAATGATGATTAGTTGACCTAAAAAGCTGGCTGTGGACCTGGAGAGAAGTGAGCAAATCAGAAATGTATTTTGAAGGTAGAATGGATAGAATGTAGTGATTGATTAGAAAGGATAGTGAAAAAGGGGAAATCAAGGTGAGTGGATCACCTGAGGTCAGGAGTTCGAGACCACCCTGACCAATATGACCAATATGGTGAGACCCTCTTTCTACTAAAAATACAAAAATTAGCCAGGCATCGTGGTGGCATGTGAGTGTAGTCCCAGCTCCTCTGGAGGCTGAGACAGGAGAATTGCCTGAACCCAGGAGGTAGAGGTTGCAGTGAGTTGAGATTGTGCCACTGCACTCCAGCCTGGGAATCAGAGTAAGACTCCATCTAAAAATAAATGAATCAATAAATAATTGCTAGATTTGGGGTTTTAATGAAGGAACCACCTAAGAGAAGAAGCAGGCTTATGATGAAGGATGTGAAATTTTTTCCAGAGCTCTGCTTTTAGTTAAAGTTTGAGATAACCATATAAAACCTACTGGGATCTTAAGTATATGGTGAAGAAAAAGATCCTGGTTGGATTCATGGGAATGGATAAGATCTCTTAGAGAGATAGAGAAGAGGGAGGTACTAGATCAAGCCCTGGGACTCAGTGATCCAAAAAGATTGGGGTGATAAAGAAGAACCTGCATAGGACAGTTGGAAGGAATAGTTTGAGTAAGAGGAAAATAAAGAATCTAAAAGAAGAGTGTCTCAAGATAAAAGGAAGAATAAACTGTTGGCTGCTGCTGAGAGTAAGATAAGATGTTAGAAAAGACATTTACTTAACTTGGCAACCTGGAGGATGTTGATAGCATTGTGAAGAACAGTTTCCTTCACTGAAAAGTATAGAACTATACAGAACAGAAAGTACAGACAAGTATCGGAAATTTTGGTTAGAAAGGAGAGAGAGGTTAACAGTTTCAGAAAAAGATGGAGATCAAGGGAGGGTGTTATGGTTGTTTCTTGGCATAAATTTGTTTATCAAAATAATGCATACTATTATTTTGAAATATTAAATAATCTTAATAAACTTAGCCTTTAAAAAATCCAGCAGTTCTCTGACCCTAACCAAGAAGCAATCATTTTTTACTCTGTTATCTGTTTCTTCTTGTCCTTGCCATTATATTTCTAAACTGTTAATTTAAATAAGCAGCAGGTCATTGGCCTGAGGCTGCCTCTCCATACTTTGATTTCCTCTGTAACAAACCACAACCTACTTAGTACAAACTGAAAACCTAATTAGTAGTGAAAACAAACAGTTGAGCCTCATCCAATCATAAGCAGCCAAGCTTCAGCCAATCACAGGCAGCCAACTGATTAGCCCATGGTCAATAAGGGAAACACCTAGCTTATCTCTGTGGTTTGGATGTGGCTTGTTTCCTTCCAAATTTGTGTTGAAATTTAATTATTATTGTAAGAGTATTAAGAGGTGAGACCTTTAATAGGTGATTAGGCCATAAGAGCTCTGTTCTCCTTAATGTATTAATGCCATAATCACAGGATTGGGATTGTCATCTTGAGAGGGGGTTTCTTATAGAAGGACAAGTTCGGCCCCCTTCTTGCTCTTCTCTTTTGTCCTCTCTTGTTCTTCCACCTTCCACTATGGGATGATGCAACAAGAATGCCCTCACCAGATGCCAGCCCTTTAATCTTGGACTTGCTGGCTTCCAGAAGTATGAGCCAAATAAATTTCTGTTTATTATAAATTACCCAGTCTTCAGTATTCTATTATAGTAGTACAAAACAGACTAAGACACTAATCAAGCTATTTCTGTACTTCATTTCCATGTTCTGTTTATAAATAGTCACTGCCCATGTTGCAGAACAGAGTTCTCTAAACCTCTTTTGGCTCTGAGTGCTGCCTGATACATAAATTGTTCTTAGCCCAAATAGACTCTGTTAAATTTAATTTGCCTAATTTTTTAAACAAAAAAATACACTTAGGTTATTATTTCTCAGTTTATTAAGACATTTTCTTTTCTTGCTGTAAAAAATTAAAAGTTTTTTATTTTTCACTTTACTGACCAGGAGCAGTGGCACATGCTTGTAATCCCAGCACTTTGGGAGGCCGAGGTGGGTAGATCACCTGAGATTGGGAGTTCAATCTGACCAACGTGGTGAAAGCCCATCTCTACTAAAAATACAAAAATTTGCCAGGCATGGTGGCACACATCTGTAATCCCAGCTACTCAGTAGGCCAAAGCATGAGAATTGCTTGAACCCAGGAGGCAGAGGTTGCAGTGAGCTGAGATTGTTCCACTGCACTCCAGACTCTGGAGTGCAATGGAGCAAGACTCTGTCTCCAAAAAAAAAAAAAAAAAAAAAAAAAAAGTTTTTTTTTTCCTGTTCTTTTAATGATACATGCTAGAGCAGAGATTAACAAGTTTTATCTGTAAAGGGCCAGAGTTTTTAGTCTTTGTAGGTCATTTTTTCTTAGTTACTTTCTTATAAGAAACACAACTATTTAATTCCGCTATTGTATTTGCTTTCAAATACAGAAAATGCATGCATGAGTGAGCATGGCTGAATTTTAATAAAACCCGTATTATACATAGGGAAAACTCAAAGTAATTAACTAACTTGTCCAATGTCAAATAGCTCCTAGGTTGTAAAGCTGGAATTTGAACCCACCATCCATGCTCTTAGGCACAAAGTCTGCCTCCTAAAAACACTCTCCAAACTTTTCACATTACCAAAGATTACATAAATTTTGAATACATTATATAAACTTTGAACATTATATAAATTTTGAATACTCACGCCTTTGATAATGGACCTTCTCTCAAATGCACTTTGTCTTGTGCCTATGTGTTCACATTCCTCTCCATCATAGCCCACCTCCATCTACTGTCAAGTGTGTTGTGATTATATTTCAGGCAGTTTTGTACCTCTTGTTTTGTACTTCAGCTTGTACTTCTGTACTTTCTATGTTACCCCAATGTGCACAGCCTTTTCACACTGTGTTGGAATTACAGAGACCTGTGTTTTCTCTAACATTAGACCACAAGATCTTTGAGGTGAGGGACTATGCCTTGTGTACTGTACTGCTGACAATGAATCAGCACCTGACATGTGGCAGGTAGTTAATAAGTTCTAAATTAAATGAGTCTAAGTACAGTAGGGAAGATCTGTGCCCTTCCAATTGTGTTGTAATCAAGGGTCAAACAACAAGTGTTGGATTCACAGAGGAGAGACAATTTGTTCCTAATAAGGGATACTGAAGAAAGCTCCATGGAGAGTTTGATGTTTCATGATGATTTTGGTGGTGAGAGGTGGGTTTGAGGTGCCATTGGCAGAGTGCGTAAATTTAAAGCCTAGAAAATGCAAATGATAGTCAGGAAACAGAAAACTTCTATGTGTCTAAAATATAGCATATGTAGGAGCAGCCTAGAAAATGGAGTATGTTCTAGTTTATAGGGAGATTTGAATAATCTAAGTGGGATTTTTTTTATTTTGTAGGCAATAAAGAGGCAATGAAGGATCTTATTGTATAAATGAATGAATATACATGAAGTTATTAGAATAGTGCTTAATGCATTCAAGTTCACAATAAAGATTAACTAACATTATTATTATGATTTTGATCAGGAATATATAAGTATTTGTGATTATATGAAAGGAGGATAGGCATTATCGAGTAGGGGGACCAGCTAGAATGCCTATATCAATAGCTACAGTCTGACTTGTGTCAACTGGACTGTAGGAACAGGCAGCAGTAGGGGCTGCTACTATATCCCCACAGAAGATAAAATATCCATCACAATCCCAGAATTGAAAAATGAGCAGGGAAAACCAAGGATGAAGCAAGAAAGCGTGGTCAGGCAAGACACCACATGTGCTAGAGTCCTCCAGCTTGGAAACACCATTGTGTGCAAGATGCACTGTGCATTTATCCCTCAGCTAGTGCTTGGATTATCCATGTGTACCTGACTTGGGCTTGAGGATGGATTTCATTATAACTGTGCTGAATTTGGGATAATGCTTTCAGAATCCAGGAAAGTGAGATCAAATGTCTAGCAGATACCTTTCTTATCCTATTCTTCACTAATTAACATAAACAGCAATTCTGACAATACCAGCTCCTACTCTCAACTTCCCCAAGCTCAGCCTCCATCCCCTTCATTCCCAAGCCCAATCTCTCTCTGTCCTCCCCAAGTCCAGTCTCAATCTAATAAACCAAAGTAGACAACAGGAAAAGAAAATCTGTAAGACCTACAACTTACCCTTTCCCTAAGAACACACTTCCCTTGCATAGGGGATGTTTCTCTATAAGCTTCCTTAGTGTCTCTTTCTTCTTTAGTATCAGGCTTTGAATTTCCCACGCCCTGAAGTTTGGAAGGGAGTTTTTTTTGAGATGAGGTCTTTCTATGTTACTCAGGCTGGTCTCAAACTACTGAGTTCAACAAATCCTCTTGCCTTTGCCTTCCAAAGTGCTGGGATTACAGGCATGAGCCACCATACTCAGCCTGGAAGGGAATTACTTGACCCCATTCTCCAGACATGAATCCTGATTGACTTAAGATAATCCTCCTATTCTGTCCTCTCCTGTAGTTATTGGATCAGAGATGAGCAAATGGTCCAGGTCAGGTCAATTAGGGACAAGTTTTTCTCTTTCCAGAAGCATCAAAGTATAGCCCCCAAATGCCCAGTCATTGTATGACCACAGAAGGAAAGGAACCTGTAATGAGAAGTCAGAACCTGAGTCCTTGCTTCAGTGGTAGATAAGGCCAGGCTTAAAGCCATTTCTGCCAATGACTTGCCAATTATAGCAGATAAAATCAAAGCAAAACTAACAAGGTAACCATCTTATAACAGTTTAAATACTGCTTTCTATTACTCATAACCAAAAAGTTCTAATTAATATGTCCTGGGATCTCTGATTGCCTCAGTCACTTGCTTGGATCACCTGAAGTATACTATTATCTACCCTCTCTGCCCTCCAGAATAAACACATGCAGTTGTGACAGAGAAGACATGTTTACAGGCAGCTTGGAAATATAAAGTTATGGGTAGGTTATAAATACCATAACAACAACATTATCCCACACAGTGGGGGATAGTGGCAACCCTGAGTCATCATCTGCTTTACAGTTAAAGAACTGACAATTTTTTCTTCATTGAATAAAACCCAAATACTTTCTTAACTACAGATAACATTTTAAGTTATATTTTAAAGTTCTTCCACTAAAATAATGCAGTTTGAATGATTCAAATCTTCAGCATCAATTCAAGCAACATGTAACCAATAAACAATTAGTTTACCCACAGGCTTTGTTGATCTGTCTACCTAATTGTATGACAAGCTCACGTTGGGTGGGCAAATACAACTGCTGCCCAGGGGCTTTACCAAACCTTGTATTTACCTAAACTTTAATTTGGAAGACGTGATGTTACTACTAAAAATCGCTCTCTACTTCTCCTCCCCTTAAAAACAAACTAATAGATAAATAGACCAACTTTAAACCTATTGTGGGGACATAATTCACAAAAAAGCACAGAAATCCTGTAATGGGAAAATTTATCCAGCACTACAATATTGATGACAGTCTAATTTGCTAACATTTCTCATCACTTCATTATAGTCTAAATCCACAAGGTGCTCTTCTTGAAGAATATTTGTTTCTGGATCAACTTTGAATATAAATTTAAACCCTATCCAGATGCAGGAATACTAAACCTCACACAAAGGAATGCTCACTAGGATTGAACCCACCAAATAAATGACACATTGGGGGAATTTGCTTCTGATTTGGTGACAGAGATTTACTAGATAGATAATTATTTAACGTTATCTATGTAGAACCCCTTGGGGAAATAAAAATGTATCTCCACAGTAACCTAGCGAAATTTTGTACCAGGAAGTCTAACAGAAGTGTTAGTGTAGTGGCTAAGAAATGTGTTTCTAATCTTTTTGACCCCTTTGGACTCCTTCAGTCATCTGGTAAAGCCAGTGGATTTCTTCTTGGAACAATTTTTTTGAATCCATAAAATAAAAACACACAGTATTACAAAGGAAACTCATTGTATTAAAGCACAGTCATCAAAATATTTAAAAATTGTGATTATTATTTTTTTATTAATGAGTTAAATAATAAGATCTAGCAGCATAGTTGATAATTACTGTAATTTCAAAGTGCTGACAAGTATAAACAATATCTCATGATGTTTGTAAAAACTAATGTGATGGGAAAATGGGTGTTTCAATTGTGACAAAGTTGCAGATACTACTAATACAACTGTGGGTTTTTATCTATACTCTTAGTGAAAGGAAATACTAAATTTCACTTAAAAGTAAGTACAAATGAAGATGCAATAACTTTTCCCATGAAAGTTTGTGGACTTCCTGAATTCCAGGTTAAAAATTACCATTCAAAGAGCATGGGCTCTGGGATTAATTCACTGCCCTTCTAATTTTGTGGACTTTAAATCTTTGCGGAGTGGGGGTCCTAGTCCCTGTAATAATTGAATTAAATCTATGGACACTGTAAACATTAAAATGCGCACACCCAAACACAGGGATATTTTGCATATCATCCGGTGATGGTGGGATATGGAATCCAGGTTAACAATCTTTGTGCTACAAGGTAGGTATCATACTTCCTAGCTTGTTTATTCAACTGCCTAGCCATAGAAACAAGTGTTTTCAGATGAAGATGATGACAGTGATGAGAAAGAGGATGAAGAATATAAAGGTACTGAATGGCCTTATTGGTAGATAGTAGGGACAGTAGCAGGCAACTGTAACTGATTTGAGTATTCAGGAATTAAGTAGAATTTTCTAGAGGAATTTAATCTGTGATCCGTGCAGATACAGTGGATAACATATAGGTTATCTATGTAAGACATTTACTGCTTTTCCCTGCTGGGTGCCTATTTATCTTTCATCAGATATTTACACCTCAGTTTTCCTTTGGAGAACAAACTCCCTCACTCCTCACCCCCATTCTTAATCAATGTCATTTGAATGGAGTTATATTTACCCTCAGCCTCAAAGTTAGGCTCATGTTTTGCCAATCAGAGAATTCACTCTTTTTGCCCACAGCAATTGGTCAGACATTGGCTTACAACCTAAGTCAGACAGATGATACTCAATTCTAAGACTTTTGATGAAACTTATAGACAAGAGAAATCCTTTACCAAGAGGGATGAATAGAAAGTAAAATGACTGGCAACCATTTTGCCACGAAGAAATAAACTGCCTGAGAATGAAGAGTAGAGGAAGAAGAGATTAGAGATCGGAAAATCAAGAATAAGTCCTGATGAAATTATCTGAACTCCTAATTCCAACTTTGCCTAAAGTCTAACATATCCATTAACTCATGTTACGTGATACAATACATTCCTTCTTTTCCTTTGAGCCATTTTGAGTTTGATGTCTATTCTTCAGCAGTTGTTCTGACTTAGCACATTACCCCCAACTGTCTAATAAAACTAGTGTTCAAAGTGGATACATTGAGCAGAGATGTCTTTTCTTAGTAGCTAATTCTTAAAAACTTGACAAAGTATTTTACATCTTGTGGATTAACTCTGCTAGCCTGAGGATTTCCCTTGCATCCTTATTTACAATTTTCCTACCTCCTCTCATTCCATAGGATTCCGGATGCTGATATGAGTAGAAGAGGGAGGGGTATGGTGTCACAACAAGATCAGTGCAGGAGTGCATAAATGGGTTCATATGTGTGCATGTCAAAGCCAGATAAAATTACTTTTACTATTAGTTCATTGTTTTTTCTGTTGATCTATATAGTTTTAATACAGTTTAACATGTCACCTAATATCTGTTTATAGGTGATGATTAGCATATGATTAGCATAATATATTAACTTCATATAGCATATATGATTAGCATAATATATTAACTTCAATATTCTTGGAATCTTTTATTTTTAGAGTATCCACGGGCATCAAATTTTGACCCAACAATGTACCTTTGGGAGGAAGAAAAACTACATCTGAGATAAACTGAAAAGTTTGTAAAGCTTAGCCAAAGCCACTGTGATATTTTAAGGCCCCTAAATAGACCAACAACAATAGTTGAGCAATCAAACAATAGGTACATTTATTCATTTCACAGATGTTAATTAAGCACCTACTATTTGACAGCAACTATTCTAGGTTTAAGGGAAACAGTAGTTAACAACTAATAGTCAATAGTTGGGTATTCTGATTCCGAAACAGCACCACAGAAGCAAGCTAGCTTAACTCCCCACAACACCCAGAAAACCAAAAACAAATATAGAGTGCTGAGGTTATCACCAGCAATATCCCAGAACTCAAATATGAGAATGAAACAGTTTTCAGGCCACAGAGAAGTGAAAAAACTGATCAGATAGTAAGAGAATCAAACTTCCATATCCACAATGCCTCTCCCCACAATCTGCTGGACCCCAAGTACCCAGAAAACTTCCCCCTAACTCATGATTTCTACAATGAAAAAGTGAGATCAAGGTGGACAACTAGCTTCCTCACCATCTTGGGTGCTCTAGCAGGATACCTGTGCCTATCTCAACCCACAGGAAGCATTGAAGGTTTCTGAAGGGAAAAATATCCCTCAGGGCCACCGGAGACAAAATGTAGAGGCAGGACTACCATCTCCAGCCTGGAAGCTCTACTCTGTAATCTAGCCAAATCTGAGTGGCTATTTAGCAGCACCACACTTTAGCAGATACATTTAACTAGCCTCTTGGGCACAAATCACTAGCCAGTCTTTCCACACTGCCAGGATATCATGTTTCCCTATCCTATTCAGGATACGCAGCACTCTGATAGTTTATTAGAGCAGAGGCAAACTTGAGCTAAAGGTGCCATTTAGTGTCAAAAAGGAGGCAGTGACCTAGTGGGGAAAATATGATAAATTCATCAGGTAAATTACAAATAATTCCTAAGTAAACTATCTAATAAATATCAAAACAGGCTAGACTGAGAAGAATCGAATAAATAACTAATTCTTCAATATGAAGACACTTGTATGTTAACAAGAAACAACAATAAACAAAGTATCATGACCTCCCCAAATGAACAAAGCAGGGAACCAGTAACTGACTCTAACGAGATGGTAATATGTGAACTCTCTGACCAAGAATTTGAAATAATAGTTATAAAAAAAAATAATATCTGTGATAACACAGAAAAGCAGTTTAGAAATTTATCAGAGAAATTCAACAAAGAGATTGAAATAATAAAAAAAGTCCCAGAAATATTGGAACTGAGAAATATATTTGCTGAACTAAAAAATTCATTACAGGCTCTCAACAGCACAATGCATTAAGCGGAAGAAAGAATCAATGAGGCTATTTGAAAATATACAGAGGAGAAAAAGAGAATGAAAACAAATAATGATCACCTACGAGATAGAGAAAAGTACTTCAAAAAAAGCCCCAAATCTAAGAATTATTGGTGTTCAAGGGAGAGTTGAATAAGAACAAGGGAGTAGAACACTTATTTAAAGAAATAATAAGATAAAACTTTCCAAAACTTGAAAAAGGTGTGTGTTTCTAGGTATGGGAATGTTAGAGAAGACCGAAAAGACTTGACCCAAATAAGAGTAATCCAAGACATATAATAATCAAACTCTCAAAAGTCAAAGACGAAGAGAGGATCCTAAAAGTAGCAAGAGAAAAGAAGCAAATACCTTATAAAGGAGCTTCAATTAATGTGGCAAAAGATTTATCAGTGGAAACCATGCATGCTGGGAGGGAATGGGACAATATTTTCAAAGTGCTGAAAGAAACAACTGTCATTCAAGAATACCGCATCATGCAAACCTATCCTTCAAATATAAAGGAGAGACAAAGTCTTTCTCAGACAAAAAATAATACAATTCACTACTACTAGACTCATCTTACAGGAAATGCTAAAGGGAATTATTCAGTCTGAAAGGAAAAAAACACTAACATGCAAGAAGGAAACATTTGGGGGTATAAAACCCATTGGCAAAATTAAGCACACAGACAAACCAAGAATACTCTAATACTGTAACTGTTGTGTAGAAGCCGCTCATAATTCTAGTAAGAAGTCTAAAAGACCAGTCTATCCAAAGCAGTAATAGCTACAGCAACCTGTTCAGACATAGGCAATATAAAAATATATAAATTGAGATAACTAAAAGTCAAAAGGGGAAGCATGAGGTTGAAGTGTACTTTTTTTTAACCACTTTTTCTTTGTTTTGTTTCTATTGTTTTTTTTTTTTTTTTGGTCATCTGAGATAACTTATGTCTTTAAAATAACTTGTTATACCTATAAGATGTTTCTGTAAGCCTCATGGTAATCACAATGCAAAAACCTGTAGTCATTTTATTAAAAATGAAAAGGAACAAATTAAAGCATACTACCAGAGAAAATCACTTAACTGCAAATGAAGACCATAAGAAAGAAAGGAAGGGAGGAGTTACAGAACAACAAGAAAACAAGCAACATTACCATAGCTACAAATAATATAAAATACCTAGGAATTAATTTAACCAAACAAGTGAAAGACCTAATAAAGAAAATTATCCTGGTGAAAGAAATTGAATAGCACATGGCAAAATGGAAAGATATTCTATGCTCATAGATTGCAAGAATTAATATTGTTAAAATTACAACACTACCAAAGCAATTTATAGGTTCAATGTAGTCCCTATCAAAATAACAATGAAATTATTTACAAAAATAGAAGAAAAAATTCTAAAATTTATGTGGAACCACAATAGAGCCAACTAGCCAAAGGAATCCTGAGCAAAATACAAAGCTGAAGGCATCATACTACCTGACTTGAAAATATACTACAAAGTGATAGTAACCATATCAGCATGGTACTGGCATAAAAACAGATATATAGACCAATGGAATAGAATAAAGAAACCAGATATAAATCCACACATTTACAGTCAACCCTTTTTTGACAGGGTCATCAAGAACATACAATGGGGAAAGGACAGTCTGTTCAATAAATGACACTGGGAAAACTGGATATCCATATGCAGAAGAATGAAACTAGACCCCTATCTCTCACCATGTAAAAAATTGAATCAAAATTGATTAAAGATTTAAATCTATGACCTGAAACTATGAAACTACTGGAAAATAAAATAAAATAAATGCTCCAGGGCATTGGTGTGGGCAAAGAATTTCTGTGTAAGACTTCAAAAGCACAGGCAACAAAAGCAAAAATAGATAAGGGTTACATCAAGCTAAAATGATTCTGCACAGCAAAGGAAACAATCAACGAAGTCAAGAGACAACCTACAGAATGGAAAAAAAATTTGTAAACTACTCATCTGACAAGGTATTAATAACCAGAATATATAAGGAGCTGAAACAATTCAATAGCAAAAAATAATTAATTCAACTAAAAAGTGGCCAAAAGATTTGAATAGACATTTCTCAAAAGGAGACATACAAATGCCAACAGGTATATGAAAAAATGCTCAACATCACTAATCATCAAAGAAATGCAAATCAAAACCACAACGTGGTATCATCTCACTTTAGTTAAAACGGCTTTTGTCAAAATCACAGGGAATATTGAACATTAGCGAGGATATGGACAAAAGGGAACTCTCATACACTGTTGGTGGGATTGTAAATTAGTACAGCCACTAGGGAAAACAGCATGGAAGGTCCTCAAAAAACTAAAAATAAAACTACCATATGATCCAGCAATTCCACTACTGGATATATACCCAAAAGAAAGGAAATCAATAGATCAAAGAGATATCTGCACTCCCATGTTTATTGAAGCACTATCTGCAATAGCCAAAATATAAAATCAACCTAAGTGCCCATCCGTGAATAGATGAAGAAAATATGATATATATACACATTAAAATATTATTCAGTCATAAAAAAGAATTAAATCATGTCATTTGCAGCAACACAGATGGAACTGGAGGTCATTATGTTAACTGAAATAAGCCAAGTACAGAAAGACAAATGTCACATGTTTTCACTCATATGCAGGAGTGAAAAAAGTGGATCTCAGCTGGGCATGTGACTCATGCCTGTAATCCCTGCACTTTGAGAGGACAAGGTGGGTGGATCACGAGGTCAGGAGATGGAGACCATCCTAGCTAACGTGGTGAAACCCCGTCTCTACTAAAAATACAAAAAATTGGCGGGGTGTGGTGGCACGTGCCTGTAATCCTACCTACTCCAGAGGCTGAGGCACGAGAATCTCTTGAACCTCTGAGGCAGAGGTTGCAGTGAGCTGAGATCGCGCTGTTGCACTCCAGCCTGGGCAGCAGAGCAAGCCTCCATCAAAAAAAAAAAAAAAAAAAAAAAAAAGTGGATCTCATGAAGATAAGAGTAGATTGATGGTTACCAGAGGCTGAGAAGAGTAGGGGGTGGAGAGATGAAGAGAGGTTGATTAATGGGTACAGCTATACAGCTAGATAGAAGGAATAAGATAAGATAGTATTTAATAATTGGTAGGGTGACTGTAGTTAATGTTTATCTAGTATACATTTCAAAATAGCTGGAAGAGAGCAATTCACATGTTCTTATCATAAAGAAAAGAAAATTATTTAAGGTGATGGATATCCCAATTACCCTGATTTGATCTTTACATATTATATGAATGTATCAAGTTATCACATTAACCCCCCAAATATGTACATCTATTATATATCCATTAAAAACTGTAAAACCAAAATAATTAACAGTTAAGGTCCCTACCCTCAGAGAGCTTCTGATAGCAGGAGAAAGAGGAAGCAAATAAATAAATGAACTAGACAAGTTATTAGAAATGAATGCAGTAGAGAAAAATTGAAAAGGACTGTGTAGTAGAGAATGACTTAGTAGGAGGGGTGATCGTTACATTAACCAGTCAGTGTTGGCTTCTTAAAAGATGTGGCTCTATCTTCATAGATTTGTGTTGCCAGGCAAATGGAATTCTCATATGCTCCCCTTGGGAGTGCAAATTGATACACACACTTTGTAAAATTATTTTATTCTATCTACTCAAGTTGCATGATTTTATCACAAAGATATAGTTAAATCCTTCATCCTCTGCTTGTATATGGTGTCGGCAGAGATCCCTCTCAACTTTTCTTCCTTGTCATTCCCACAGGGAATATAACTAGATTACCACATGCAGGTTTGATGTTGAGGAAGACAATTTGAGTATGGTATGGCTTGGTGATAACAATGACAACCACAACCACAATAGTGTAAAAATAGTAATAGTAATTAATACATGTGATACTTATTATTTCTGAAGCATTGTCCTAATAATTTATTAATGTTTATTTAATCCTGTGAGGTAAAAGTAAAAAAACTATGTCAATTTTTATATGATAAAACTGAGGCACAGAGATAAGGAACTTGCTCAAGGTCTCACAACCAGCAGGTGACAGAACCAAGCAATCTGGCTCCTGAAACTTTAAATTCCAGCTTCTCACTGCTATACATTAATGCTTTTGCCAAGCTGCAGGTGAATGAACAGGATGATCCTATCAAGGAATGAACATACGTCCTAGAAACAAATAGATCTGTGCTCAAATCCCAGCATCATCATTTATGAGCTTGGTGACTTAGGACATTTGTTTTTATCTTGGTGAAATTTAATTATCTCTAATATGAGAATAAAGATAACTATTTTCTTTGAGTTACCCTGAAACCAGAGCCTGAGACAAATACTTGGGTGCCGTTATTTTATCTGGAAGATAATCCCAGGGAGCATCAATGAAGGAGTGGAGAGATTGGAAAAAGAAGGGGAAAAGGAAGTTTGAAAGTATATTGTTAGGTTGTACTGTGGGTACCAGGAACTTGGTTCTTCCATGAGCTCCTAAGAAGAGTTTATAGAATGCCCCTCAGTAGTGCTCTCCTGAAGGATCTGAGACAGGAATTTACCCACTGCTTGCTGATGTGTTTTGGTTGAGACTTGTCCTGAGGCATTAGCTTCCCTGTATTTCCAGGGTGCATTTGCAATGCTGAGTGAGCACCAACTATGTGACATCAGAGAGGATCCAGAGGTAGAATGCACAATGTGCTGAGGTGGGAGGTGGCAAAGGAGATGAACCTGAGCTGGTCCAGATGCCTTTTGCCGCAGCAACTGAAATAAGAGGTGGGCCATGAGGGCACCAAATACATCTGCTACACCTTTTTTTGTCAGCCGGGGGTAAGATTAGAAATGATCCAAAGCATCTGGCAACCTCTCTGACTATAGCAGATAAATGCTACAGCCTCCCATCCTTCAAAGAGAGCAACCTTAATTGGTCTACAACTACAATTACCTTTTCTTCTGCTACTACTAATACATTGTGATTGAACTACTGGAAACTCAAATGCAAAAAAAGGAGCTTGATTTGTAAATCACACTCTATAAAAATTAACTCCAAATTCATTATATACCTAAATATAAAACTTAAAACTATAAAATTCTAGATTAAAACATAGAAGAAATATTTTATGACCTGAGTTTAGGCTAAGCATAATTCATAAAAGAAAAACTGGGATTTCATCAAATTGAAGAACTTCTGCTTTTAAAAAGTCACTATTAAGATAATGAAAAGACAAACCACAGCTGGAAAGAAAATATTTGCAAATCAGATACTTAAAAAGGACTGATGTAAAGCACTCTCAAAACTCAATAATAAACAAACAAGCAACACAATAAGACAATGGGCAAAAGACTTGAATAGACATTTCATCAAATAAGATATACTAATGGCAAATAAACACATAAAAACATACTCCCAATCATTGGTCTTTAGGGAAATGCAAATTAAAATCACACTGAGATAACACTAGGTACCCACTAATGGTCAAATCACTGACCACACAAACTGTCGGCAATGATTCGTAGCATCTGGAACCCTCATACACTGCTGGTGGGAATGTATAATGATGTAACCACTTTGGAAGCAGTCTGTCAGTTTCTTAATAAGTTAAACATGTACATACCATATCACCCAGCCATTTCTGTTTTAGTCAAGAGAACAGAAAACATATGTCCATACAAAGACTTGTATATAATTCTTCAAAACAGTTTTATTGTCACTGCCAGAAACTGGAAAAGACCCAACTATACATCAATAGATTAATGAGTAAGTGAGTTGTAGCATATCGATACAATGAAAAGTACAGATATAAAAAGGATAAACCATTGATACATGTAGCAATGCAGATTAATCTCAAAATAATTATGCTGAGTATATAAAAAGACAAAACATGATTACATACTGTATGAGCCTATTCATATACAATTGTCTAGAATATAAACTAATCTGTAATGATAGAAAGCAGATCAGTGGTTGCCTGGGGAGGGAGTAGGGCAGACAAGGGATTACAAAAAGGCAAAAAGAAACTTTTGGAGGTGATTGATCCATTCATTATCTTGATTGTGGTGGTGATTTCACAGGTGTGTTCATGTCAAATTTTAGCAATGTATACAGTCTAAAGATATGCAGTTTATTTTGTGTCAATTAAGGTCATTAAAAATATTATTATAATGAAGTTCCCCTGATTTAAAGATGAGAAAAGTGTCAGTACGGTGTTTCTTCCCCAGGCATGGCAGCTCTCCAAATATATAGATTGTAAATGGCCACCTATTTTATCTGCTCACAAGGCCACACTTAATGTACTCCCTCCAGATTTCTTCAAGTATTAAGTAGTCTTTAACCCCGATTTGCACATATGTTTATATTTGTACATTTGCCATTGCACTGGGATTAATGCTTTAAAGATTTCATCTCTGTGGTCATTAATCCCAGGTCCAGATTGTACCATGTCTGGAGAAAGATAAAATTTCATTCTCATCTTTCATTAGAAGGCTGGACAAATGCTGCTACTCAGCAGTGCTCTGTGCCTCACTGAAAAGAAACATGCTCATCAGGAAGAAAGAAATCCTCAGAAAGATATCCTCACTTTTACCCTAAGAAAGAAATCCTACACTTTAAAAATAAAAAAGCAAATACTCTACTTGTGGCAGATATTTTCGATGCTCTGTATTATATCCCAAAACTCATCTCAGAGGAGCCACAGTGGACAGTTCCTTGCACTGGCCGCTGATGTCATCCCCTCAGACTCACCTGGTTTTCTGCCCCTGGGCTTTCTCTAGGAACTGGAAAGTCTCCTCATCCAGCAACCAGGCACAGGCCAGAATTGAGAGAGATTTAATGCCCCTGGGGACAACCCTCAATTAATGGGGTATGATTGTTGACAGAAAAATACTACCCACATTCTGCAATCCTTCAGAGAAGAAACTCTAAGGAATGTTCTACATGGTGCCTCAGAGGTTCCTCGGTAGGACTCAGTCCCAGGATTTGCAGTGACAAACAAATTACACATCCTTATTGTCTTTGATAACTTCTCTATTTTCCTCTTTCCAATTCCTCATTCTTGCTTCCTGAGATGACTTCCCAGACTGACTACCTCTGAGTCCTTGTCTCAAGCTCCTCTTTTCATTATTGCCACACCAGAAGCTGTACTTTCAGTGAAGAAGTTGAAGGTCTAGATTATCATTAGTCTATAAAATAAGCTGAGTAAAGAGCTTCGATAGTGGTATATTCTTTCAATACTCTGATGCCTGACTGAAATTTTGACTTTTGTTCTTTGACCTCTTACTCTGTCTTCATGAACATAATGTTAACATTTTAGTCACAGATTGAAAGAAATTCTTTGAGAAAGGAGAATAAAGAATAAATTTTTATATTTAAAATTGGACCAATTTTATAAGACAAACCCCAATCAATTTGGCCCTTTAGGCCCATTCTCATTTGACCATCAATAGCTCAAGATGCATATGAAAATATGACCTGCATAGAAATCACATTGCAGTGCCACAAACTGACATATCAACATTAGAATCCACACTACATATTACTGTCTGTTTCTGCCTCGTATATTAACTATTTATTTTACATGGAAGACTCCTGCTGTCATAAGATACTTAAAAACTAAAGCTTAGATGCCAAGTGTTAGTCTAATTTATTGTTTAAGATAGAAGACATTTCTGTCATAATGTATTTATAATTATTGATTATCCTTGACATAAATGGGCCCATGAAAAATCAATATCTAACTACTTGTACTGATGCCTAAATGAATGCTTTTATTTGACTGATGAAAAAATTAACTCCCTAAATGATGAGAGTTATCTTTGTCTAGCTATCCATATATAACTGATAATTTAGAAATAAAGCAAACTTTCCTCCGCATAGGCTGGACCATTATGCTATTTGACACTTCATTTATAGAAAATTCTCAATTTTTGCTTTTTTTAAAAAATATCATAAGGAAAGTTATATACATATAGATAAAGTAAGAGGTTGAGTGAGAGAGACAAACAAAATGAAAGATGTTTATTTTGTATGAGTAATGAATTATACTCTAGTATTTTTCTGTTTTATGACAGGGGAAAATTTGTGAGTTGCTAAGAAGTAAAACTCTGTATGCAGTTAAGCTTCAAGGCTAGGTATTTTAGGAATATCTTCCCACAGTTCCAAGAATATAATCTAGAGACATTAGTCTTGCCTTTCATGTGTGCCCTAAAAGAAAGCAAAGCGTAGTGGTTAAGAACCAGGGCTTTGGAGTGATACTCAGATTCAAATCCAGGCTCTTCTGCTTATTAGCTACAGCACCTTAGGTAAATTACTTAACTCTTGGAGCTTAGTGTCCTTAGATCTAAACTAGAGTGTATAATATCTATCAGACAGGGATATTAGGATAATTAATTGAGTTAAAGTCTGAAACATGCTTACAAAATGACTGGCAAATAGCAAGTATTCAAAAATTCTGTTGCTGGCATGAAAGAGTAGTCATTACTGGACTGTTCATTGTGAGTGAATTGTGTCCCCCACCAAAAAAAATTCCATATGTTGAAACGTAAGCCCCCAATAGCTCACAATGTAACTGTATTTACAGATAGGCTCTTTAAAAAGTTATGAAGTTAAAATGAGGTCATTAGACTGGGCTCTAATCCAATATTACAAGAAGAGGATATTAGAACACAGACACAGATAGGGACAACTGTGTAAAGGCACAGGGAGAAGGCGGTCATCTACTGGCCAAGAAGAGAGGCCTCAAAAGAAAACAACTCTGTCAAACTTTGATCTTGGCCTTTTAACTTCCAGAACTGTGAGAAAATAAATTCCTGTTGTTTAAGTTGCCAGTCTGTGCTACTCTGTTATGACAGCCTTGCCAACTAATACACTTCCCAATAACTATAAATAAGTAAAAAACTGGACAAATAAATGAAATGGCTGTTCTCAAACATTTGTAAACAAGAAACAAAAAAAAGTGATCCTTAAGAGGAGAGAAGTAAAAAGAGTTCAGTCCATTTGTCACTATGGCTTTTTGCCTGAAGGCATTTTTGAGAATGCAATGCCAGAAGGGGAAACATAGCAGAGTATATAGCAGAGCACAGCAGTCTCTTCAAATTCAGAAGACAGAAATTAAAGTTTAAGGATTATTATTATTTTTTTTTTAGATGAAGTCTTGCTCTGTTGCCCAGGCTGGACTGCGGTTGTGCAATCTCAGCTCACCGCAACCTCTGCCTCCCGGGTTCAAGTGATTCTCATTCCTCAACCTCTGTAGTAGCTTAGATTACAGGCGCCCACCACCATGCCCTGTTAATTTTTATATTTTTAGTAGAGACGGGGTTTCACCATGTTGGCCAGGCTGGTCTCCAACTCCTGCACTCAGGGAATCCTACTGTCTCTGCCTCCCAAAGTGTTAGGATTACAGGCGTGAGCCACTGCACCCAGCCAAAGTTCAAGGATTTTGAGATGGAATTTGCCTGACCAGAGAGTATCAGTGAGAGGGAATCTATATAGAGAAAACGTTCCAGAAATCTGAAATGGGGTCCTCTCAAGTCACTGAAGACTAAATCGTGAACATGAGGCTAAAAATGTATGAGGCCAAGGAAATAATGACTACAAAAGTAGAGAACAACTTTCCAAGAACAGTCAGAACCCACATGGGCTGGCGAGCCAAGGGGAGAGAACTCATTGATTACCCAGGGATATAGTGGATATATCAATAGGCTCACAACCTAGTAATAGGAGTAAATTAGCTCTACAGGAACATTTTCCCTAAGAAATCTTAAAAACAAACATCAAAGAATCAGACTGCACTGCAAGTAACTTGAAAAAAGACATTTTATGTTAACGAAAGACTCAAGAAATCATATAATTATAAATGTATATGCTCCTAAAACAGTGCTTCAGAATATGTGAAGCAAAACCCAACAGAAGTAAAGGAAGTAAAACATCAACAATTACATTTGAAGATTTTAATATTCCACCTTCAGTAATTGACAGAAATAAGTAGACATAAAATTAGTAAGACCTGAATACAGAAGACCTGAATAACCTTATACAACCAAGTGCTGATATTTTAAAAACATGATGCCCTCAAATAGCAGAAAGTACTTTTTTTCATGGGCACATGAAACATGTGCCAAAGTAGACCATATTTTGGCCTATAAAATAAGTCTCAATACATTTAAAAAGTTTTGGAGCTTTTAAAAAATTATTTTTCACTATTATAGGTGTATATATTTATGGGCTACATGTTTTGATGCAGGCATGCAATGTGTAATAATTACATCATAGTAATTAGGGTGTTCATCACCTCAAGCACTTATACTTTCTTGGAGTTGGGAATATTCTAATTCCACTCTTTTAGTGATTTTAAAAGATACAGTAAATTATTGTTGACTATGGTCACCCTGTTGGGCTATCAAATACTAGGTCTTATTTGTTCTAACTATATATTTTTCACCCATTAACCACCCGTTATTTCCCCCAATCCCAGCATCTCATAACTAGTAAAAGTTTTGATGTATATTATATAAAATATTTAAATGGATTAATTAGGAAACAATCATAAAATAATATTTGGAAAAAAAACAGATATTTGTAAATTAAAATGTACTATGAAATTAATGTCTCAACTAATGACAATGAAAACACAGCATATCTGTACATAGCATATTTGTGGAATATGGCCAAAGTTGTGCTTAAAGAGAATTGAATATCTTTAAATGCTGGTATTAGAAAAGAAGAAATTATTAATTAAATAAACTTCCATCTCAAGGAGCTAGGGAAAAGAAGCAAATAAAACCCAGAGAAACTAGAACAAAGGAAATAACAATGATAAATGTATAAGGTAACAAGATAGAAAATTAACCAAAAATAAAGAACAATAAAACCAAAGCTGTTTCTTTGATAAAATCAATAGAATGCATAAACCTCTAGAGATATGAGCTAAAATAAAGAGCAATTCACACATTACAAATATAGAAAATGAAAGTAAAACATCACTACGGATCCTATGTACATTTAAAGTATACAGAGAAATTATGATTCATAACAAAAGTTATTCTTAATTTTACATTAATAAACCTAGCAATTTAGATGAAGTAAACAAATTCCTTAAAAGGAAATTTAAAAATCACATAAAAATAGAAAGTATTAATAGCTCTATATCTATTAAAGTAATTTATTTAATAATGAAAATTCTTCCCATAACGAGAATTCCAGTACCAGATGGCTTCACTGGTGAATTCTGTCAAATGTTTAAGTCAAAAACAACAGATCTCTAACATAAATTGTTTCAGAAAATAGAAGTGGTGAGACTACTTCCCAAGTCACTATATGAGGCCAAAACTTTAGAGATACATTATAAGAAGAGTAAATTTTAGATGAATAGCCCTTCAAATCCTAGACACAACTTATCAATGAAATATTAGCAAATGAAATTCAGAATGAATAAAGAATATATATCTCTATCTATCTATCTATCTATCTATCTATCTATCTATCTATCTATCTAAGCAACCGGGTTCTATGCCAGGAATGCAAGATTAGTTTATATTTAAAAATGAAACAATGCAATAGATTAGACTAACAGAAAAAATAAAACCGCTATTATTAAACAACAGATGCAAAAAAAATTATAAAATGTAATACTCATTAATGATTTAAAAAAAACTCAAAAAACTAGGTATAAAAGTGATAATATTCCCCCAAATTAATAATCTTAATATATTTATGAGAAAACATCAGATAAATCTAAATTCTACAAAATACTTTATCACTACTCTTCAAAAATGTGTTAAGGTCATGAAAGTTTGAGAACTTTATGGATCAAGGGGAGTTAAGAAGGCACGATGACTATATACAATGAGGTATGTTTGACTGGATCTAAGAAGAAAAAAGAGGAGTTAATTAAATTTAAAAACCTGGGTTAATCAAGTCTCTAGTTTAGTTAGTAGTATTACACCAGTGTTAAATTTTTACATTTGATAAACATACCAAGTGTTATGGGATCTCTGGGTGTTGATTTTTCTGGCTGGAAACCTCTGTGGCCACATCACTTTTGCCTGAGCCCTTGTCCTGCATCCAGAAAGAATGAGGTACGCAGACAAGTGAAGGGTGTAGAAGAGTTTTATTTAGTGTTAGGATAGCTCAGAGGAGTGGGTAGCTCCTCTCTGTAGGCAGTTCGTCCAGCAGAGTGTTCAGCTCCTAGCAGAGAGGAGGCCCTCGAGAGGGTGTCTCCTCTCCACAGGCAAGTCATTCCCATGTCTCTGCAGGTCTCTGAAGTTCTCAGCAGAGGAGGCAGCTTCTCTCTGCCAGCAGGTCACTGTCTGCAGCCTCAGCAGAGAGGGTACTCCTCTGGGCAGCTTGTCTTCCCATCATCCTCAGCTATCAGCTGAGATGGTACTCATCTCTGCAGCTATCTGCTCCTCTCTGCAGCTATCTACAGCTAGTGGTCGTCGGGTCCCGTCATCTCTCTGCCCTCTTCATCCTCTGTCCATCCTCTGCCCTCCTCTGGCTGAGCTCAGGGCTTTTATGGACCTCAGAGGGGAAGAAGTGCATGCTTACTAGCCCATGAATGACCATGGGAGGGCCCAGAAGAGCCCAGCCTTCAGGCTCTCCCTGGCCCAAAGGTGAGGCCTTACTGAGGACCCATTCCGTTCAGAACTCTGCCTCCTGCTGCCATTCATGGCCCTGGGGCTCGACCCCAACCCTGCTTGGAGATGGGAGCAGATGCCGGGAATGGAGAGAGTCCGGGCAGACATCTTTGAGCCTGCAAAGATAGGGGAGAGGGGTTTCCTTCCTGGGGCCTCCAAAGGTGCAGGCTGCAGAGACACCCGGCTCCTGCACCTAGGAGGGCGGCAGCAGCCACACTGGCACCCGGGAAGGCAGATCCTCCCTGCTCCTGGCCCTCCCCTAAGAGCACAGGGAGGCTCGGATCCACACCTGCAGCTTGGGTGGCTGTAGCCCCGCGCAGGAGGGTGGGGCTCCAGCCTGCTCAGTTGAACAGGAGCCCTGGGTCTGCAGTTGCATTGGATGGCAACCGGGGAGCTCCAGTCCCAACTGGAGCCATCACAAGGATGTACGATGTTGACATTAGAGGAAAATAGGTGAAGGATAAGTAGGAACACTTTATATGATCTTTGCAACTCTTTTGTAGATCTAAAGTTATTTCAAAATAAAAAAAATTAAAGTCATCCAGATTGGAAAGGAAAAAATAACCTTTATTCATAGATGATGACTGACTCTGAGTAAAATATATTAAAAATCTACAAAAGAGTTACTAGAACCAATATATAAGTTTAGCAAATTTTCAGGATCAGTGTCAATATACCAAAAGTATTTAATCTATACTGATAATGAACAAGTTGGAGTTAAAATTTAAAATAGCCCTTACAATAGCATCAATATATGAAGTTCATAAGGGTACATTTGTTAATAGATATGCAAGAACTATACATTGAAAAATACAAAACATTGCTGAAAGTAAACAAGCAAGACATAAATAAATGGAATGATAGGCCTTTTTCATGTATTAGAAAACTAATATGTTATCAGTATTACTCAGATTTATCTGAGATTCAATTCTATATCAAACAAAATTCTAGCAGGATTTTTAATAGGAATTGACAATCTGATTCTAATATTCATATACAAATTCAAAGTACCTAGATTAGCCAAAAAGAAAAGGAGAGAGATCAAAGTTGGAGAGGTTGCACTATGTGATCTTAAGGCATACTACACACAGTGTGTTATTGACATAAATTTAGAAAATAGATCAATAAAGCAGAATGCAGAGCACAGAAGTAGACTCATACATTCATGGTCTATTGATTTTTGACAAAAGTGCAAAGGCAATTCAATGGAAAAAGGACAGGTTCTTCAATAAACGATGCTTGAATAATTTAATATTCATATACAGCAAAAACCTCAATTCATACCTAAAACCATAAACAAAAACTTAAATAGATGATAGACTAAATGTAAAATCAAAAAACTATAAACTTATGAAAAGAAACACTAAAAAAAATCTCTGTGACATTAGATTAGAGAGACTTTTATGCTACACCAAAATTATATTCTATAAAAGAAGTAATTTAGCAGTGGACATCATCAAAATTCAGAATTCTCTCTCTGAAAGACATTCTTAAAAAAGTGAAAAGATATATTTGCAAATCACAGATCTTTTAAAGAACTCTTAATCCAACTAGTGAGTGGTGGCTAACTCCTGTAATCCCAGCACTTTGGGAGGCCGAGGCAGGTGGGTCACTTGAGGTCAAGAGTTCGAGACCAGCCTGACCAACACAGTGAAATCCTGTCTCTACTAAAAACACAGAAGTTATCCGGGCATGGTGGTGGGTGCCTGTAATCCCAGCTACTCAGGAGGCTGAGGCAGGAGAATCACTTGAACCTGGGAGGTGGAAGTTGCAGTGAGTCGAGACTGTGGCACTGCACTCCAGCCTGGGTGACAGAATGAGACTCCGTTTCAAAAAATAAATAAATAAATAAATAAATAAGAATATAAGACACCCAATCAAAAAAATGCGCAAAAGATTAGAAGATGTACAGATGGCAAATAAGCCATGAAAGGTGTTCACCATTATTAGTTATTCCTTAGAGTCAATATGCATACTAAAACAACAAGGAGGTAGAGTGTGGTGGCTCACACCTGTAATCCTAGCACTTTGGGAGGCCAAGGTGGATGGATCACTTAAGGTCAGGAGTTCAAGCCAAGCCTGGCCAACATGGTGAAACCCCATCTCTACAAAAAATACAAAAATTAACTGGGTGTGGTGGCACACACCTGTAATTCCAGCTACTTGGGAGGCTGAGGCACAAGAATTGCTTAAACCCAGTAAGTGGAGGTTGTGGTGAGCCGAGATCATGCCACTGCACTCCAGCCTAAGTGACAGAGCAACACTCTGTCTCAAAAGCAACAACGAGATAACCACTAATACCCACTAGAATGTGTAAAATTTTAAAAGGCGTGACCATATACTAAGTGCTGGTAAAAATGTAGAGCAACTAGAACTTTTGTATACACCTGATGGCAATGTAAAATGGTGCAACCACCTTGGAAAACAGTTTGACAATGTCTTAAAATAGTAAAAATATACCCGTCATACGACCCATCCTTTCCTTTCTTAGAATTTTACCCAAGATAATTGGTAGCATATATTCACATAAGGATTTGTACACAGATGTTCATAGTCACTTTATGTAATAGTAAAAACTGAAAACAGGCTGGGTGCGCTGGCTCACGTCTGTAATCCCAGCACTTTGGGAGGCCAAGGCAGGTGGACCACCTGAGGTCAGGAGTTCAAGACGAGCCTGGCCAACATGGTGAAACCCTGTGTCTACTAAAAATACAAAAAAAAAAAAAAAAAATTAGCTGAGTGTGATGGCGGGCGCCTGTAATCCCAGCTACTCGGGAGGCTGAGGCAGGAGAATCACTTGAACCCGGGAGGTGGAGGTTGCAGTGAGCTGAAATTGCGCCATTGTACTCCAGCCTGGGCAACAAGAGTGAAACTCTGTTTCAAAGAGAAAAAAAGCAAAACAAACAAACAAAAAAACCTGAAAACAACTCAAATGTTCATCAATAGCTAAAAGGAAAAAAGCACTGCTTAACAAGGAAAAAAACAAACTATTGTCTATTGTTAAAAAAAAAAGATGGATCTCAAAATAATTATGTTGAGCAAAAGAAGCCAGCCTAGGAGAATAGGCAGCATAAAATTATATTTATATAAAATTCTTGGAAATATAAACAAATCATAGTGGCAGAAAGTAAATCAGAGTTTGCCTGTGGTCAGAGGATAGGTTGGTGGGGAAAGGCAGGAGGGAAGAATTATAGAAGAAGCTTTTGGATATGAAAGATATGTTCATTATATTAGTTGAGATAATAATTTCCCAAGTGTACACAGGTGTCAAAATTTATAAAGTTATATAGTTTAAATATTTTCAGCTGGTATATGTAAAGTAAACCTTTTAAGAAGCTATAAAAGTGACCCATAAAAATACTAGCATAGTGGCATAGAGCTCTGTCAAAACCTCTAATTAAGTGATACTTACTGACTTTTATCAAATTATACATGCTACCTAAAACCATGCACCTTACATAAATTTGTATATACCATCTGTATCATCCAAAACAGATACTTGTTGGGGCAGAAAAACCACATAATGCTTGAGCCCAATTCTAGTATTATATTTTCAGAAGTGGAAAATGAAAAAAATCTGTAAATTGTGAGGAAAAAACTAGACAGATTCTGTTCTTTATGATTTCACCATTAGCCCCGTATTAGAGAGGACAAATTTGTTTGGAAAAATTAATATCAGGTCTTCCAACTTCTCAGATCTGACTGCGCTCTTGAATTTTCAGAATATTGCGCTTGGGTCGGCTGACTATGATCATCATCCTCACCCAACTAAAAGGCATAAGTGCTTCATTTGTGCAGAGTTGACACTGAATACAGAGCATGTTGAACACTGCACACAATTATCCCCATCCTCCAGGAATGCAATGTCTCAGGACATGTGCAATGTCAAAAATGAATGGTCTTGTCAAGATAATTCTCAGCACTGGATATGTGGCAGGAGCTTATCTTCTCCTTGGTGCCATTGGGTCAGTGGAGGGCATCAGTTTTAAGACAATCCCATTGGCTTTTGACAAAATGATGTATTTGCCTGAATTTGCCTTTAACATTTTTCTTTTTTGCTCAGGCTTTTAGCTAAATGTACAAATAGCTTTTCCAATCAGCTTTGTATTTTCCTTCTCTTTCTCAACTATTCCCCACCCCAGGCTCTAGTAAGCACCATTCTACTCTATGAATATGACTATTTTAGATTCCACATGTAAGTGAGGTCGTGTGGTATTTTTTTTTCTTTTTCTTTTTCTTTCTTTCTTTTTTTTTTTTTTATTTTTTTGAGACAGAGTTTCGCTCTTGTTGCCCAGGCTAGAGTGCAATGGCGCAATCTCAGCTCACTGCAACCTCTGCCTCCCGGGTTCAAGCAATTCTCCTGCCTCAGCCTCCCAAGTAGCTAGGATTACAGGCATGTGCCACCACACCCAGCTAATTTTTTGTATTTAGTAGAGACGAGGTTTCACTACGTTAGTCAGGCTGGTCTCAAACTCCTGACAGCAAGTGATCCACCCGCATTGGCCTCCCAAAGTGCTAGGATTACAGGCATAAGCCACCGCGCCCTGCTGGTATTTGTCTTTTTGTGCCTGGCTTCTTTCATTTAACGTAAGTCCTCCAGATACATCCATATTTTTGCAAATGGCAGGAACTCTTTCTAAAGCTGAGTAATATCCCATGTGTATATATACTACATTTCCTTTATCCATTCATCCATTCATCTACTGATAGTTGATTCCATACCTTGGCTATTATAAATAATGTTGCAATGAACATGGGAGGCTGGGTGCAATGGCTCATGCCTGTCATCCTACCATGATTATGAAAGGCTGAGGTAGGCAGATTGCTTGAGCCCAGGAGTTCAAGACCAGCCTGGGCAACAGGCAAAACTCTGTCTCTTCAAAAAAAAAATAATAATAATACAAAAAGAAATTAGTCAGGCATGAAGGCATGGTAGTGCACACCTGTAGTCCAAGCTACTTAGAAAGATGAGGGGGAAGGATCACCTGAGCCTGGGAGGTCAAGGCTACAGTGAGCTGTGATTGCACCACTCCACTCCAGCATGGGTGACAGAGTGAGACCTTGTCTCAAAAAAACAAAAACAAAACAAAACATGGAAGTACAGTGCAGTTGATATCTCTTTGACATACTGATTACATTACCTTTGGGTACATAACCATATTGGGATTGCTAGATTATATGTTATTTTCTATGTATATTGACATCAGTAGCAGATAATCCTAAGGCAACCCAAGGTATGTTCGAAAATTTGTAGGCTTTAGATAGAGCACCTAGAAGGCTGGGACAAGGTCTGTATCACTTCTATATAGTACATTTCTTGGCATGAACTACTCAATGAATGAATGAATGAATGAATGAACAAGTGAAATAAAAAGTGTATTTGTTCTTCAGAAAAGTATGTTCCAGATATGTAAGTGGTTGGCATTGTGTATTCTTTGTCTGCTGCTGCATAAAACACCCCCAATAGTTGGCAGCTTAAAACAATTAACATTTATTATTCTCACAGTTTCTTCAGGTCAGGAATTCAAGAGTGGCATAGCTGAGCTATCTGGCTTAGGGTTTCCCATTAGACATTGCAGTTAAGATGTCAGCCAGGGGAGCTTGCCGTGAGCCGAGATCGTGCCACTACACTCCAGCCTGGGCAACAATGCAAGACTCTGTCTCAAAAAAAAAAAAAAAAAAAGATGTCAGCCAGGGCTGTCATCATCTGAAGTCTTGCCTGAGCTAAACGACTCTCTTCCATAATAGGTTGTTGGTAGGAGGTCTCAGCTCCTCACCCTGTAAGCCCCTTTATACAGCTGCATGGATTCTTTATGATATGGCATCTAGCTTCCCCAAGAATGAATGGTCCTAGAAAACAAGGTGGAAGCTGCAGTGATTTTTTAATTATTATCATTATTATTATTTTATTTTTATTTTTTCCGAAGAATATTTTATTATTATTATACTTTAAGTTTTAGAAGTACATGTGCACAACGTGAAGGTTAGTTACATATGTATACATGTGCCATGCTGGTGTGCTGCACCCATTAACTCGACATTTAGCATTAGGTATATCTCCTAATGCTATTCCTCCCCCCTCCCCCCACTCCACACAGTCCCCAGAGTGTGATGTACCCCTTCCTGTGTCCATGTGTTCTCATTGTTCAATTCCCACCTATGAGTGAGAACATGTGGTGTTTGGTTTTTTGTCCTTGCGATAGTTTACTGAGAATGATGGTTGCCAATTTCATCCATGTCCCTACAAAGGACATGAACTCATCATTTTTTATGGCTGCATAGTATTCCATGGTGTATATGTGCCCCATTTTCTTAATCCAGTCTGTCATTGTTGGACATTTGGGTTGGTTCCAAGTCTTTGCTATTGTGAATAGTGCCCCAATAAACATACGTGTGCATGTGTCTTTATAGCAGCATGATTTATAGTCCTTTGGGTATACACCCAGTAATGGGATGGCTGGGTCAAATGGTATTTCTAGTTCTAGATCCCTGAGGAATCGCCACATGGACTTCCACAATGGTTGAACTAGTTTACAGTCCCAACAACAGTGTAAAAGTGTTCCTATTTCTCCACATCCTTTCCAGCACCTGTTGTTTCCTGACTTTTTAATAATCACCATTCTAACTGGTGTGAGATGGTATCTCATTGTGGTTTTGATTTGCATTTCTCTGATGGCCAGTGATGGTGAGCATTTTTTCATGTGTTTTTTGGCTGCATAAATGTCTTCTTTTGAGAAGTGTCTGTTCATGTCCTTTGCCCACTTTTTGATGGGGTTGTTTGTTTTTTTCTTGTAAATTTTTTTGAGTTCATTGTAGATTGTGGATATTAGCCCTTTGTCAGATGAGTAGGTTGCAAAAATTTTCTCCCATTCTGTAGGTTGCCTGTTCACTCTGATGGTAGTTTCTTTTGCTGTGCAGAAGCTCTTTAGTTTAATTAGATCCCATTTGTCAATTTTGGCTTGTGTTGCCATTGCTTTTGGTGTTTTAGACATGAAGTCCTTGCCCATGCCTATATCCTGAATAGTAATGCCTAGGTTTTCTTCTAGGGTTTTTATGGTTTTAGGTCTAACGTTTAAGTCTTTAATCCATCTTGAATTAATTTTTGTTTAAGGTGTAAGGAAGGGATCCAGTTTCAGCTTTCTACATATGGCTAGCCAGTTTTCCCAGCACCATTGATTAAATAGGGAATCCTTTCCCCATTGCTTGTTTTTCTCAGGTTTGTCAAAGATCAGATAGTTGTAGACATGCGGCGTTATTTCTGAGGGCTCTGTTCTGTTCCTTTGATCTATATCTCTGTTTTGGTATCAGTACCATGCTGTTTTGGTTACTGTAGCCTTGTAGTATAGTTTGAAGTCAGGTAGCGTGATGCCTCCAGCTTTGTTCTTTTGGCTTAGGATTGACTTGGCGATGCAGGCTCTTTTTTGGTTCCATATGAACTTTAAAGTAGTTTTTTCCAATTCTGTGAAGAAAGTCATTGGTAGCTTGATGGGGATGGCATTGAATCTATACAATTAGGGAAAGACGAAGTCAAATTGTCCCTGTTTGCAGATGACATGATTGTATATCTAGAAAACCCCATTGTCTCAGCCCCAAACCTCCTTAAGCTTATAAGCAACTTCAGCAAAGTCTCAGGATACAAAATCAATGTACAAAAATCACAAGCATTCTTATACACCAATAACAGACAGAGAGCCAAATCATGAGTGAACTCCCATTCACAATTGCATCAAAGAGAATAAAATACCTAGGAATCCAACTTACTAGGGACGTGAAGGACCTCTTCAAGGAGAACTACAAACCACTGCTCAATGAAATAAAAGAGGATACAAATGGAAGAACATTCCATGCTCATGGGTAGGAAGAATCAATATCGTGAAAATGGCCATACTGCCCAAGGTAATTTATAGATTCAATACTGCAGTGATTTTTATGACCTAGCCTTATAAGTCACACCCCACCATTTCTGCAATATCTTATTGATATGCAGGCCAGTCCTATTTGCTGTTGGAGTGGACTAACAAAACCATTAAATAGCAAGAGAGGAGAGTAAAGAACGTTATCTTGGAGTCTGTATAGGACACTATGCTTCAGATTCATTAAACCATTCCACCATCTATTGTGACATTGACACCTACACACTCCTTGAACTTTGTCAAAACCATCATGTTCACTATCACCATGATTTTGTGCCCTCCATTTACTTGTCTATATTAACCACAGGTTCTTTTTGTAGGTACTCAACAAAAGGAATCAATAAACTTTAATTGAAAGATAATAAATGTGTGTGCTGATACTGTTGGTGCTCCACTCAGATTCACTCTGATCCTAATCCCTTTTACTACTTTTATTAATTCCTCTTCTGGCTTCTGTTTGCTGTTGCCTGCACCTGCAACTGTTTTTGAAAGACTTCCTTTCTAGAGCCACTTCACCTGCCTACTCAGAGAGCTGTAAATGTCTGAAATTCTATGTCCCCTTGGGGCAGTTTTTAGTCAGTAACTGAATGATGTGAGAGTATGAGATTCTAGCTCAGTGGTTTTGGGTTAAATATAAATTATGAATGACTTACTATAGATTCCCTTTCACAATGTGACTGAAACTCTCTGTCTGATATCACATCTTGTTTAATTTCTTCTTCTTCACACCCCTACATGCCACACACCCCAGTTTCTCCAGAGATCCCTGCCCTAAAAAAAGATTTGCACGTGAATCCTTGTCTCAGGCTTTGATTCTGGAAAATCTGACCTAAGACAAACTACATGCTTATAGCCACAAGGAATGGAAAATTCAACTCAGACAGGCTTAAACAATAAGGGAGGTTTATTGGCTCAGATAACTGGATATTTTTGCGACAGGGAAAGTCTCAATGATCAGTGATGACGTGTAGTACATGTTTTCTTTGTCTTTCTTCCCTCCCTTATGTTTCATCTTTAAGCTGCCTTCCCACAAGGTGGAAAAATGGCTGCAGTACTACCAGCCTTTACATTGGCAAAACATCATCCCTAAGAGGAGAAGCCATCTCTTAGGATAACTTCTTTACAGAAGCAAGAATGATTTTCCCCCAGTTTTCTGATAAAAAAAATCACCTTATATCTTTTTTTGTCTTGATTTGGGTCATGTGCCTAATACTTTACCAGTCTCTGTGAACCAAGAGATGACCTGGTCTGGGTGGTCACTATGACAAAGGAAATAGAGATAAATGGTTGGGTTGGTCCCACCAGTGCCCACTTCTGACTTAAGGGTAGGGTCATCTTATCCACACAAAAAAGACAACTGAATATCAACCGGGTCCTGTTAGAAAGTCAGAATTGGGGGCTAGATGCTAAAAAGGTAGGAAATAAATGTTCTATCCACTCCACTCTGGTAGAGTCTTAGGAAGAGTTTAATGACATTGGCTTTGGAATGGAAAGAAAAACCAAGACCTCAACTCTCTGGAAGAGCACATGGACCCTGAATTAGACCGTTCTGACATTGCAATAAGGTACTATCTGAGCCTGGGTAATTTATGAAGAAAAGGTGTTTAATTGACTCACAGTTCCACAGGCCGTACAGGAAGCATGGCTACAGAAGTGTCAAGAAAATTACAATCATGGCAAAAAGTGAAGGAGAAGCAGGCACATCTTCACATGGCAGAGCAGGAGAGAGACAGAGTGAAGTGGGGAGTGCTATACGCTATCAAACAACCAGATCTCCTGAGAACTGACTCACTGTCACAAGAGAAGCAATGGAGAAGTCCACTCCCATGATCCAATCACCTCTCACCAGGCCCCTCCTTCAACACTGAGAATTACAATTTGGTATGAGATTTGGGTGGGGACACAGAGCCAAACCATAGCAGACCCTCCTTCTAAAGTTCTACCGCCTTAATGTTTTTCAGGACTGATCCGTTTTGCTCTTGGTTTCTTCATCCAAATATTAAAATTCCTCAGATCACAACTCTGATTGGCACAACTTTGTTCAATCATTATGGCCAAAGGGGCAGGATCATCCAGTAAAGGCACTGCTACCTCAGGTCCACTTTTACATGCTGAGGCCATTCCCAGAAAAGGAAGCCTGGCTGTTGGAAAGGCATTTCCTCCTGGAGGTGGTTCTAACCATGCAATGCCCTTAGGGATAGGAAGCTAATTAGTCTCTGATTGGATTCATCTTCATTCTCAGGACTGCATTAACACCATTAGAAGCCCTGAGGTCTGATTACCACACCTCCCAAATCACTAAATATAATTCAAAATGGAAACAATTCTTACCATAACATCAATGTAGAGATTTGATAAAATTGTGTGATTTTGCATGTTCATAGTTTCAATGCTTTTTTTCTTATTTTCTTAAAGTGCCAATAGGACTCTAAGCCTTCGTTTAGTGTTCTTTTTTAGTGATCCAACATGGATTGCTCTCATAAAGTATGCTAAAGAATTCAGAATCAAACTCAATGAATACAGTAAGTACATAGTGAAGCGTGAGTAGGGATACAGGAAATGCAAGAGTGCTGTGTCTTATGCTGCCATTATTAAAGGACACTGCCAGGCACTGCTGATGACCCTCACAAATTTTATCAGTGCTTGCTGTTTCCAACACTCCAAGGGTTTCCTCCTGCTTGCACCTGCAACTTGACATCTGAGTATTTTCTCTGACCAAAGAAGTATGCCTGGCCTAGGCAGAGTCCTGTGGAGTTAACGTCTCTGGCAACAATTTTTGGCCAATAAGGAATGTGATGAAGATTAAATAGTCTACTTCTCGTGTGGGACAACTGTGGCAATTTACAACCATTTCCCAGAGTCTCCCAGCAGCACTTAGCCTCATTTGACCACATTGGATTTTTCCCTTCCTGGACTCCCTTCTATTCTTTTTGGGTGATCCTAGGGATTATCTTTCAAATAAACTTCTTGTAGTCAAATCATTAAGTCAGAAGTCTGTGGGAACTCAACCAAAGACAGAATCCAGGGAGAGGCTATAACCAAGGGAAGGCTGTGGCCTGGCCACTTAGAACTCATATAAGTTCTACTTTCTAGATGAGGTGATAAATTCAGAGTAGTACACAACCTCACAGGAAGAGAAACTAGACTTTCTCCATACACTGGCATGATCAGTGTTTTAGTGTTAAACTTCTCTTATGTAAGTATACATTACTAATGATATGCAAGAAATTCAATGAGTAATTTTACAGTGAGACAGGGTTTGTTTTAGGAATCAGTATACTTTTCTGTCTATGGTGCCCCTATCAAAGTGCCTGAAGCCCAGTGAATAATCATAAAGTTGCTACATTGGCAATGATGTAGGACAAAAGGAAATAGGTGTTTATAACATCATTTATCCGGGCCATGATGATGTCTGATGAACCTCCCCTGCCCTACAGTAGAGACCTCTCTTTTTTTTTTTATTATACTTTAAGTTTTAGGGTACATGTGCACAACGTGCAGGTTAGTTACATTTGTATACATGTGCCATGTTGGTGTGCTGCACCCATTAACTCGTCATTTAACATTAGGTATATCTCCTAATGCTATCCCTCCCCCTCTCCCCACCCCAGGCAGAATTCTTGTGATCCCCAGGTTTAGAGGCTCTCTCTGCAACAATGGTAGACTGTTCAGTTGGTATCTCAAGAGTACAGCAAATTACCACTTATAACTGAAATATTCCTTCTCCACGTGGAACAACCAATCTATAATCATACTCCCTGGCACACAGTCTCCTCTGCATAATGTGGGCTTTTTTTATTTTCACTCCTTAAGGACAAGTATTTTCATTCCATCTTTCCAAGTATTGAGTAGAGACCTCACAATTGCCTATGTACTATTTTTTAAAATGCTTTTTATACTTCATTCTCTTCCAAAAATAAGATAGCTCAAAATAATGCATACAATGCCACAAGAAAATATAAATTAGAAAAAGGTGATGGAAAATATAGGTAAAATCAAGAGATGTGTCACAAAATGGAGCTAAAATGATATTAAACCAATATGACATGGCATTTTTGACTCTAAATTTTCTTAACACTGTTTAAGGGATTAAATCTACAAATATAAACCCACTTGTAGAAGTTCCAGTGTTCATATCTCCTGGAAACCAATGTTTGTTCTCTATCTGGGACACAAGATCTTTTGCTCATCCACACAGGAGCCTCCACTGAATTGAAGGTAGTGTATGTCCAAAGCACTTACAAGTGTCCTTGCCACCTTAAAACAAAACAGTCATAACCAAAGTGTTGTTCTCCTCCACTTCTTGCATCCTCTCCACCAAGAAGAAACAGAATCAGAGAAGTGCCATGAAAATAAATAGAGCTAGTGCTATGTATTTATTTCCAAAGACTTTACTTCTGACAAACAGTAGCTGAAGCCTTTTATCATTTGAAGATAATTAAGCTGAAATTATGAATGGCTTTACTGCTATTCAAATAATGCAGGCACTTTCACCTCCCTCTCTTCCTGTACCCTCTTCCCCATTTATATTCATGATGATGATTTCCAGAGCTTTTCTCTTTGATTTCCTTACAATGAAATTCACTAAGAGGAGAGCAGAGAGGCTTTTAAGGGGAATTGTAAGCTTGACAGATTATGACGATTTAAACTATTTTAATTAAGTCCTAAATGCTTTCAGAGAACACAGCAAACCAACAATAATGACAAAGAAACAGGAAAAGGTCCTCAGCTTTATGGTCAGCAAAATAAATAAAATGAAGTAAACCTATTCTGTTTAATACAAATCTTTTTTTTTTCTCATGCTGTGCTCATAATGAGCATGTCCTGGAATTTTACTTCTTGTTGTTATGTGTACTGCAATAGAGCTGTCCAAGCAGCAGCCTTCTCTTCAAATCTTATCTCTCAGATATGAGGTCTTGGCATGCTGAAATGCCTATCTTCAGCTTTCATTTGTTGTAAGAAAAGATAACTGCATTTCAGAGATGCATAAAAATCTCACCTTTCAGGCCAAGCTGAAAGCTTCCTAAGTCCATCTGACTTCCACCACGCAATGTGATCACAGACTGAAGTGACCAAGGGGCTACTCTTTGACATTTCATTTTAACCATTTTGTTGTTAACATAGCAGTTATCAAAACCATATCAATCTCCGAAGCCTTCTTTTAAGTAAAGGAATACATGCCATTCTGAACCATTTATTTAAAAGTGCCAAAACCATTCTGAGGGGTTTTAAGACATAGGAAAGTGTTTTCAAAAATAAGCCACAACTTTCTTAATAATTCTCCGTTTCCTACCTCTCTATAATGGTGGTAAGGCCAATACTTACCACATAAGACTGATATGAGAATTAAAAGAGAAAATAAACATAAAGTGCTTTGTACAGGATCTGAAAAATAGTAACCACTCATCTAATTAGTTATTTTTATTAGCAGCATCTTCTTTTTTATAATGACCATATGTTGAGCACACATTTTGTCATGTGCTATAAAAGCACTTTTTTGTATTAGTGTAATGATCTATTATCATTACAAGAGCCCTGGAAAACAAGTTCTATAAAATTTGACTTTTTCTGATTACGGAATAGTATATACGCTTTGTAGAAAATATAGGAAAAGGAAAAAAAACTGTGCAAAAGAAAATAGAAATAATCTATTATCCAGAATTAAGCACTTTTAATCTCTTAGTGTATTTTGTCCCAATTATTGCCTTTACATATAAAATACATATACTTCACATAATTGGAGCCATGCTGCAAATAAATGTGATCTCTCTTATTGACTTACCTTTATAGCATGAGGCATTTCCTAGAACATTGAATATTTTAAAATAATATCGGCTATTACACATGCCATTGAAAGAATGCATAATAATGTATTTAACATTCTGCAAGGTAGCTACTGTTGTTCCCAATTTGCAGCTGGAGATATTGAAGCTAAGAAAGCTGAGTGATGTGCTGAGACAGAACAGCTTATGGAGAGGAGACCCAGGATTCAAAACCAAGTCTGTCTGACTCTGAAACAGATGCTCGGATGCTCCTTCTAAATGCCATTGACCTACCCTGGAGGTCACCAGCAGACATTTCTGTACATCCCTATGGCTTTATATCACTCTACAGAAAGCATGCTTGGCTCCTACATGTCACAGCCTGGAAGTGCCTAGGAGCTAAGTTTCTAGGAGTAACCCTCCCAGGGTGCAATGGAAGTTGGTACCTAAGTACCTGATATTTCTCACCCCCTAGTGGAAAATTTCGAGGAGTGTCCCAAATAGTCCCCAGTGGGATGGAGCATCTGCTGCTCACAGCAGTAACCTTATTTGTGCAAGCTTTATGGTTCTCCTCCCTCCCTGTTTTCCTTTCTTGCTCCCTTACAGTGCTTCCCAAGGAAACAATGTCAGCAAAAACTCTTGCCTGAGTACTTCCTTTTGAGGGATACTCAAAGTAAGACAATCTCAGTAGTACTCTCAGAATCCCTCAGAGTTGCTTGGGATCTGCCCCACAAACACTCCTTTGCTTATCTTACCATTTTGCTAATAGATGAATCTCTTTCTGGTGATCGCAGCATTTACAATGTAATGACTTTCATGTTTATAGACTTCATGGCTTAGAAAGTGTATCAGTCCATTCTCATGCTGCTATAAAGGACTACGTGAGACTGGGTAATTTATAAAGAAAAGAGGTTCAATTGACTCACAGTTCCACATGGCTGGGGAGGCCTGAGGAAACTTACAATGATGGCAGAATGGGGACGCAAACATGTCCTTATTCACATGATGGCAGGAAGAAGAAAAATGAGTGATGGGGAGAAGAGCTCCTAATAAAACCATCAGATCTCATGAGAACTCACTCCCACAAGAATAGGATAGGAGAAACTGACCCCATGATTCAACTGTCTCAACCTGGTTCCTCCCATGACATGTCGGGATTATGGGAACTACAATTCAAGATGAGATTTGGGTGGGGACATAGTGAAAGCATGTGAGGAAGTTATTCCATTTTTTAGTTTTATTCTTCCTAGCAAACCTAGTAGGTGAGCATGTTAATTCTTATTAGGCCCATATTATAGATGAGGTAAAATTGGCCCAGATAGGTTAGTGATATTATTTAAAGTCTGAAAGAAAGTTTGTGACTATTTTCTGCTATTTTCTGTTGAATCCCATTACATAGATTCTCTATTATGCACCTTGGCTTGCTCCATGTTTCACAGTCTGGAATAATATGGAGAGCTATAACTGAATGGTAATTGGAGAATGAATAATGATCTGTTGATTAAAAATAAATAAGATGGTTTAGTGCTTAATACTGTTAAGTTTTAATGTTTTTCCCACAAATTCAATAAATTAGTAATACAGTTTGAACAGCAAGGTATTTAACCTTATCTGCTAAAAAAAGATAAATAAAATATGAAAAATAAAGGTCACAGTTTAAAAAAGTAACTACCTCTCCCCTTTTTGTATACATTTCTCTCTTTTAGAAAACTTCCTGTTAGAGCTAATTAGTTGGTCAACATAAGATAATGTGCAAAAGGTACTTTATTCTGTGTGGAAAATTTTGAATTGATAGCATAAGATGGAGTTGCTTTGGGCGAAAGTCTGAGATTTCAATCACACTAAAACTACATAGGAGTTATTAACACGTATAAATAACTACACCAGCACAACTCCCATGAACATGCAAAACTTATTGATGATCTCTTCTCTTGAGGCTGTTCCCCAGACTGCAACTCTGTGTTCTGTTTATTCTTAGGTTCTTAATCTTAAAGAATCCCATCAGTCCTCTCATTTCAGACTACACTCCTTGTGGATCTTTCTTAATCTAAAACTGAAGATCTCTTATTTTATGGAGACTCCGGCCTCTTATCTTTAACTGCCAGCTGGAAATTTTAATTTAAATATCCTAGTATGGCTTAAAACTCAATATGTCTAAAAAGCAGACTTTTGAGTTCTTTCCCAACATGACTGTCTATGTCTATACACTCATTTACTCTAAAAATCTTGTTTCTCCTTTGACTCATTCTTCTTTGTTCTCCCCTCCCAAAAACTAATTCTATCATTTTTTCCTATTCAAAATGGAATACCATTGCCACAACATCATGTAATTACCTCTACCTGAGTCACATCAACAGCCTTCCTTACCCACCCAGCCCTTCCCTGTCCTCCAGTTTCGCTGCTCCTTCGTGTATCACTGGGGCATTGGACCAAATCCCCCACTGACTCCATGCAGCAAGTGTAACTTCTTCTGTTGGATTCTCAAGATCCTTTCTAATATGTCCACATTTTGGTTCAACTCTATTCTTCTTATTCTGCTATGTGTACTTTCAGTTTTGATCAGTGTCCAAAGTCCCAGAGATCTCTGGTCGCTGATCAGAGTTCAGCTCACTTTTTTTTTTCCCATTATTTTACACAGGTGCATAATACAGAGGTTCCCTGAAGTTGGGGTTTAATTCCTATTCTCTGTTCATAAATGTGCCTACCACAGTGTTAAGCACAAGTAGAAGCTCAATAATTATTCATTATCTCATTAAGTTAATGCCTGCAACATGATTTTTGAGAGTTAAGGAGTGCATATTGCAGGTGCCAATAAACAAATCCACTATACTGGATATGCATTACAGTTGGTGCAATGCTTCAGGGTTTACAGGCTGGGAGGGACTTTGTAGCCCACTCCTCAGGCAGAAGTACATTGTTGCTCAAGCCAATGATTTGGTTGTCAGAAGGCACAAAGTCCAGGCTCAGGATCTAGTGGGTCAACTCTCTAGTTTCTGATGATATCCCATATCAGGATGTTACTGATTTGCCCTGGAACAGAGAGGGAAAGGATAGTATCGGGGGTGTCTTGCCTCTTATCCTCTCTCTCCACTCAACCAAGACCTCATTCTTGCTGAGTCCAATTCTGTTCTCCTGGCGGTAGAAAAAAGAAAAAAAAACATCATCTTGTACCTGGAAACAGGAAAACAAATTAAATACTGCATAAGGGCTCATATTATAAATTGTATCTTTTATATATGAGTCGCATTGCTTGAACCTGACTACTTAGAAACAAGGTCTCAATAGTAGAGGTGAATTTGAATTCTGAGTCAGTGGTCCCCAATCCTGGCTGTTGATCAGTGTCTTGGAGGGAGAGAGGTTGGATTCAAAAACACTGATGCCTGAGCTCCAACAACCACAGATAAGGATTTGGTAGCTCAGCAGTGGAGCCCAGGCATATGTAATTTTTAAAAGCTCCCCTGGGAATTCTGAGCATCCAGCGTTGGAAACCATTGTTCTAGACATAGCAGCATGAGGTGAGTGAACATTAAAGTTCCTTTTGTGTGTTAAGAGCCTACGATTTGAATGAATAAACCGATTGCTGTATCAAAGAAAGTGCTTCTGGGCTAGGAAACGTGGCTTGATGGAGGAAGATTATATTCTATATCCCATATCACTCATTTTGATTATCCAACATCGCAGGCTGTAATACAGCTATATGCTTAAACTACTCTCCTTTAGAAAGTTAAAGTAAGTAGACCTGTTGGCTTGTATTGACTTTGAGGATTTTGAATGACTATAACTTGCAAAGCCTATTGACCTCCTATATTGTAGCTAAGAAGTATTTTAAGCCTAATCAGAAACATCCTTTTAAATCTTTTCAAGTAGATAAGGTTCAACATTGAATCAACAAGTAGAGGAGGTTCAAGTAGAAATTTGTCAATAAGGACAAATTCAAATGATGTTCACTTAAAGGAAATTGATGTATAAAGAAGGAAAGAGAAACCTCTACTTTCTCAAAACAGTGAACTTCATAGTTCCCTGTAATTCCTGGAATGCCTATCATCTTCTCCTGTGTTCCCTTCCATTTTCCTATTCAGATAATATGTTTGTATTTCCATATGAAATGTCAGACTTACATCACTCGGCTACTCACTAAGGAAGTTACTTGGAAATGTTTTGATCTTCCACAGAAAGTCTTTATGCATTCTTGCCACCACCGTTAGTGTATTTTCAACTTAAACTATCATCAAATGAGTTTTCACTTTGAAATAAATGTAATCGTTCTTAGAAATGGAAGAAAGTGTTTGTTTCAGATAAGAGCTGACTCTGTGGCTGGGCTCCTGGGAGTGTCTTTTATAGACCATTGGTGCTTACCAAATCAATGGACTTCACAACCATGGAGACTGTTGATTTCAGGTAGCCTTACAGGAAAGTTCATTTTCCACTTCAAAATAAAGCCCAAAGGATTTGAAACTTTACTACATATTCATTCCTTTGGTTAATTTATTGCTAGATTTTATTCAGTTAACCTGTTCACAGTCATTTGTACCATAGTCTGAGCTAGTTCATTAACCACTTTCTACTGTGACCTCCAGCTGTTATTTTCATCTGGATCAGGGAGAATAAGATGGGTGGAGTCATTTCAGGATGTATCAAATTGATGTGATAACTACTGGACCCTCAATAAAAGGGCAGGAATTCTACTATAGCAATTAAAGATGTCTGTCTGAGCAGTGAAGTAGGGCCATATGAGGTCAAGAAAATTCTTTCTCCAGGAGGTCTAACACACTATGTGATGTGCAAATACATACACTTAGCCTTTAACTTTCTCTACCTCAGTCACTGACTGGAAAAGAAAATTGATAAGCTTTTGGACTCTACATGCCTCCATCTGGATTCTTGGGGATTTTCTGAGTGAATTGTGAAGGTCTTGTTTACCATGTATTTGACCATCCTTTAAAAAGTTTTCAACTGGAGTCCGGCATGGTGGCTCATGCCTGAAATCCCAGCACTTTGGGAGGTCAAGGCGGGTGGATCATTTGAGGTCAGGGGTTCAAGACCAGTCTGGCCAACATGGTGAAACCCCATCTCTACTAAAAATGCAAAAATTAGCCAGGTGTGGTTGCGCATGCCTGTAATCCCAGCTACTCGGGAGGCTGAGACACAAGAATCGCTTGAACCCAGGATGCAGAGGTTGCAGTAAGCTGAGATCGCACCACTGCACTCCAACCTGGGTGACAGAGCAAGACACTGTCTCAAAAAAAAAAAAAAAAAAAAGAAGAAGAAGAAGAAGAAGAGAAACGTTTTCCACTGTACAATAGTACTAATGTGGAGAGAGAGAAATATAGTGTGATTTTTCTTCAGCCTTCCCCCTACCTTAAGATAGTCCTAGGCAGGATGATGGGTCTGCAGTGTGAACTCTTCCCCAGGTCTGACTGGGCACCCCAGAGGTCTGAGCAACTCGAAACAGCAGGAGGAGTGTAGAAGCCTAGGAGAAGGTTACTAGACAAGTTTGCAGAAAAGTGGGAACATCACCTGCAGTGTTCTCTAGCTCACTATGGCATCATTATCTTTCAACTCATCCAAGGTGACCCCTTGGAAGACATCTTAGATCCTTTGCACAGTCAATCATCAAGCACAATCCATGTTCCTCTAATGTTCCATCAATGACTTCTCTCCTCCATAGCACTATAGCATTTCTGCTTATTCAGACCTTCATTGTCACCTGGGATACAGCAGCTTCATTCTACCTGATCTCCGTGTGACCAGTCTCTGTTCCTATAAATCCATACCCCACAATATGGCCAAAAAGATGTCCTAAGAACATAAATTTTCTTTCCCAAAACTTCAAAGATTTTCTTGTCACCCCAGGAGGATTTTCCTAAAAATGGGACACTAGGCACTGGTAGTTTTGAGAATGCTTTTAGAGACCCATGGTGACAGCATTACCTCATGTTAAATCCACAGCAGCAACGTCCCAGATCCCTCTCCATCCTTCTAAGGGAAAGCTTCACTGTAGGAGTGCTTTATGGCTGTCATACTCCTCAAAAACCTGCTCATTTCCCTTTTTAAGCCAAGAGATAGTAGGCTTGGGCTCAGAGTTGTCATTAGGCAAAAGTATCTAGTAAGAGTGTAATAATATAGTTTGGTTTTACTTTATGGGTTTCATTTTCTTATGTTTATGACAAATGGTATGGGTTATTATTTACAATGGTAATAGAATTTCCTTATAAAGTAAGCTTATTTAGTTTAAAAGAAGGTGAGTCCATTTAAAGACCATATTAAGTAAATGGTTAAAGAAGAGATACTGCAATACTCAGATATGGCAAAAATTGTGAAGCTGATACTGAGTGGCTGAAGTTTGGAAAGCCCTAACTTTAGGGGTTACAGTCTGTGCTACTTAACATGGCATTTGAGGACTTCAGCATACGTTCCCACTTCTCCATCTGGTGACATTGATGACCACCTTGTCCTCTCACTGTATCATGTCACTGTGCTGAGTGACACATGCTAGAGTGAATGCCTAGAGTCCTTCCCTCCTCCTCACCTACCTGTAACTTCCAATTCTTTGAGTATCAGTTTTTTTTTTGTTGTTCCTCCAAGAAATCTCCTGACATCCCAGCCCCATTGGCTATGAGAGTTGACTTTTCTGGATTCACTTATTCTTAGTCTACTATATGTCAAATCCACCCACACCTCTCAACGTGCTCCCATGGGGCATTTAGTTTAGTGTGGCTGCAACCCCTGTAAAGGAATGATGTGCCATTCTCCGTATATATAATATCTAAGTAATCTCCATAATAATAGTACTAGAAAGGAGGACTGTGACGCTAATATCACAGATATGAGAATACTGAGGCACAGAGATTAACTTTCTCAAGGCCATAGAACTACAAATGGATAGTACCCAACTATGCCAAGGGAGAAGGCAGGGGAGCAGGATACTTTTTGGATAGGTGCTGTTGGTTCAAGCACACTTAAATGTAAATGCATCTGGATGTCACCATCTTGACTATTTGCCACTATACAGAGGAATGCAAAGGCATCAGAGACTGTGACTGCAGCCAGCAGTGCCCAAAACCCTTCTCCCTTGTGCCTGTGAGGCAGAGATGACACAGTCTCTGAGTGCACATGGTCCCAGTCCCTGACAGGAAGCAACTGTGATACTTGTGGGAGACTCAACAGCAAAGACATTGACTAGTGCCTATGAACATTGCTGCTGGATACTGCAGGGGGCAGGATGGGAGAAGCAGATTACATTTCCTTCATACTTTAAAATAATTTAATTATTTCTCATGCAGTCTAAATGCTCACTGCTTTAGACTAGCAGTGTGTTTTTATTTCATTTCATTTGCACTATCTAATTTCTGCTTACATCCACCCTGAGATAGCTGGCCTTTTCATATAAAGTAAGGCATGCTTTCTTAGTCTACAGTTAAGAAAACTGAAGTTCAGAGAAGCTAAACATTTTGTCCAAGATCGCACAACTGCTTAATTCTAAGAGCTGAGACTTGAATCTGAACTGCTAGTCCCGAAACCAATGCTTTTCCTATAATGCCATGTGTGTTCCCATAAGGAAGAGGTCAGAGTTGTGTTGTTTTGGATTCACATTACCTCTGAAAGTGACATACCAGCTGGCTGGGGATTATTTCTAGTCTAAAATGGTGTGGGAAAAGAAAAGGATCACTTACAACAAATCCTAGGCTTGATGTTTTCATGAACCACAGTTCAGCAAAACATTCTGTGGAATGGTTGTGTCCAGATTGGCATTGCTGTGAGACATCATCAGTGCTGCCACGGAGAGCCAGAAAAAAAATCCTTCCTGGTACGGCTAGGCACCCTCTCTGCTTTGTGACCCATCAGTCGGGTCTAAGGTTCAACTCCTTCCTAATTTCTCTTCTGCTGTTCGTCTCCCGCTAACAAGTTCTATCTCAACAGCTAGGGCACTAGCAATCTCTAGAGTCTCAGCAGCTGGGTTCTGTGCCCCTGTCTTCAGACAGTGATGCAGAAACTAAGCATCAACCATGGCAAAAGGCTGGTAGAGATATAATGTCTACTGTTTATCATGCAGTGTAGAACACGGAGCCATTCCCTCAGCCCTTTCCTCCCTCTGCCTCAAAGATGGGTTTGCATTTCCATTTGGTTGAGGGAACAGATGACCTTCCTTGAATGTGTCCATATCCAGCTTTATCTTCTATCAAACACCCATGCTTTACTCTCACAAGACACTTTTATATTCTTCCAGGGGGCTCATGACACTCATGCCCTCCTGACCTTTAACATTTCTTCATCTAGAACGACCTGACTTATCCGTTCCATGTCTAAAAACTGTGCCTATCTTTAACACTCAACTCAAATACCACCTCTCTTGGGATGTTCTCACTGTTTCCTCCTCTATTCCTCCTTTGACACTCTATAACTCCTTAGTTCTTATACCCCATATCACAGAAGTTACGAGCACTTGCTTTAGAGTCATAGAGTCAGGCTCAAAACCAGTACCTCCAATTACTAATAATAACACTAAGAAACCCATCAATTGCTCGGAATATTTCTTCACTCATCTTAAAATAGGAATAATAATAAGATCCTCTTCGGGAGACTGGTTAGGAGCTAAATGACATGGAATGATAACATACATTTATCATAATGCCACAATGTAGATAAAATACTATAGTAATTTGTTTTACTTCTTTTGCTACAAATAAGATTTCCTACTCCATACTTTGCAGAGCAGTTACTTGGATACATGCCATACACTGATTGCAGTGGGTTCAGTCTCTAGGCCTTACAAAAGGATTGAGTGGGGAAGGGAAGAAATAATAAGGATATGAAGATTGAAGCAAGTACATGTTTTTATTTGCCATTTTCTGCACAACAGAAAACTACTGTAGACTCAACAATGTGCTCCTGCTCTTCCAGGTTGCAGTCAGTTAATCCAGAATATCTGTGAATTTATTAGTACAGCTGCTTCCTCCTCAAGGCCCCTGATACTGTGAAGAATCTGGAATTCCTGATTCCTGCCAAAAAAAGAATACTGCCTGCCAAAGAGGTTGCAACTCTGGATTTTCCCAGTGGGAAGCCATAAAGATTCCTCACCTCATTTCTTAGCGCACTCTCAAAACTAGCATCTTAAGACTTTCCCGTTCATAGGCCCTAATTTTAATTCCCAAGACCCAGAAACATACCTGAGAGGTGTTGTCTAGGAGACATTCCAGTGGAAAATGTTAGTCTCTCTGTAGATAACTAGTACTTACATAGAACTCACTATGTGCTAAGTACTTTCTTTTAAAGGACTTTAAAGAGACTAACTCATTTAATTCTCATAGTGATCATAAAGGGTATTGCTATTGTAATCCTCATTTTACAAATGAGGAAACTGAGGCATCAAGAAGCTAACTTACCCAAGATTGCACAGTTAAAAAGCAGTCGAGCTGGGACTCAAACTCTAATCGTACCTCTGAGCCATGCCCCATTAATAAAATAGGCAGACAGCTGGAAAGTCATTTATACAGATACAAATTTAAATACTGATTTAAACTCTCTCCTTGAGACTCACATACACTACCACTTTCCCTAGCACTTGTCCCATCCTCTTCCCCAAACTAATTTAGATGCTGCTTCTTTATTTTTCTCTTATCCTTCTGGATCCACCTCAATCCTGATCCCCCCACCCCTACCCAAGACTGTGGGCCCTGAAGAACAGATAACATTTTTATTAATCTTTGCCACACCATTGTCTAGCGAAATGCCTGACACAGCAATATTTAGTGAATAAATGAATAAATGATTGAGGCTATATCTGTCTATTAAATCTATGGGAATCAATCTATACTGTTCCATTTCTGGAAAGTAGGGACAGTGCTTTTTATTTTTTTATACCCTCCTAAATGCTTAGTAGCTGTCTCATAATAAAGGCTCCCTGAGTGCTGGTTGAAAGAATAAATGAATAAACAACCCTTTTCTGGAAGTCCTGGTAAATCTTGCCCCTGCCTCTTTCTCTGTTCTGTGTCTCTCTAATGCTTTAGCCCCCACAGGCTTCATCTGTGTAGCTTATTCATGTTTAAAAATGAAGATGACACTCTACTGTCTTAGAAATATTCTAGACTCCAACTGCTATTTTTAAGAGGGACAAGTGCAATTGCGGTTACAGATCTATGTGAGGAACAGCAGGAGTTTATCATTTGTTGGTGCTGTGGAATAATTCCAACATTTATGGTTCATTTCTCCCTTTCTCCTCCCATCGTGTTTTCTCAGTTCCCAAGCTTGATAATGTCCTGCCATGTTATGAGAAAAATAGTACTAAATCTGATGGCGAGTCTGTGTTTGGGGAGTCTGGAAACACATTCTCTCTCTCTTTCTCTCTCTCTCTCTTTCTCTTCTCATCAAAAATGGCAGAGGTGGGGGCCGGGGTGTCCTGAGAGTAGTTAACTACCCTCACCATATTGTATCCAATCTATGTCATTGGGGGCACTATAGAGGATCCAAAAATAATTAATTTAATGTAGCCCTTCTCTTTCTCTTTTTCCTGGTCTCTGAGTTAAGGAGAAGATGACTAGAAATGTCATCCTCTACACTCTACATGCCAATATTTAGCTGGTAGGGAAACCTGGAGCCAAGGAGTCTGTTGAGCCCCTTTTAAGTGATAACATAAAATTCTAATAGGTAACTGTAGCCCACCTGCAAGGTGGCCCACAGTAATCTCTGCCTTCTGGTATTCATGCCTTCATACAGTTCCCTCCCATATTATACTAGGGTTGGTCTCTGTGACCAATAACCCAATATCACATGACAGAAGTGATGACATGTCACTTCCAAGATTAAATTCTATATCTGCTGTGACTTCCATGTGGGTCTTGTTCTTTCTCTCTCTTGGGTCATTCACTGTGGTGAAGCTAGCTCTGTGACTGTAAGCAGCCCAATGAGCACGCCTGCATGGTGAGAGACTGAAGTTCATTACCAACATCCATGTAAGTGGACTTGGCTCTTTGAACTCATCAAAGCATTGGGATGCCCGTAGCGCTGGTAAACATCTTGACCATAATTTCACAAGAGATTCTCAACCAGAACTATCCATCTAAAATGTTCTTAGATTCCTGACTTCAGAAGCTGGGTGAGATCATCAATGTTTGTTCTTATAAGCTGTTAAGTTTTGGAATAACTTGTTTTGCAGCAATAATTAACTAGTGCGGCTTTGTGGTTAATGCAAGGAGTTGAAATCAGACTGTGGTTGACATTGCCACATTTTAGCTATGTGAATTCTATGGGTTCCTTATTTTTCTGAGCTCCGAATTTATCATTTAAAAATAGCAACCTCATCTCATAATATCTACCTCATAGAGATATGATTCAATGGGGAAAATTCATGTAAACACACTTAGCACTGTGATTGCCACGTAGTTCAGTGCTCATCAATTCAACAGTAATTTAAAGAAATTCTCAAAATAAATATAAATATTTAAAAACCCTCTTATCGCCATTTGGAGTACAGCTAGTTCTAATTTAAAGCAGTGGAGAAACATATTTATTAGTAAGAATTCAATGAGCAGTACAGATGTGATGGGCAGGAAGTAGGTGAAAATGTTGGTTGTCTGGTGGTCTAGAAGGGAGCTCAAAGCCTGATTCATTTGCATATTAATATAAATTCCCACAGAGAGATTTTTAACTGTCCAGTAGGTCCTGAACACTGTTTGCACAAAGGCCCAAACCCTGATGAGATGTCCTGCTTATATAGATTTGAATCTTTTCCCCTTTAAGTATGGTTTTGCCTCAGGAAAATCACCGTTAAACATGAAGACATAGTTTCTTATTACACAAATGGAAACACGGAAATGCAGAGAATTTAGCCTCTTGTCTCAGGTCCCCAGATAGACATGCATCAGATTAGAACCCTGGTCTTGTGCTTTGCCTCCGAATCTCCTATGTCATCTGTGAGTTGCAAGGAGACATCCCAGAGCAGCTGAGACACATTCAATCCCTTATGCTTGCTTTGCTAAAAGGAGAGTGACTATGAAGCCAAGCATAGCAACTTATGTCTAACACATGTTAAGTACGACTCAGGCCAAATGTATTGCCTGGGAATTCTGTTCAGTGCTCTGATTCTCACTCTCTACATGTCAAAAGTAGTTTCTGCAGAGCATTAGCAGTGACAAACCCTATAAATCTAATTGCTCCTCAGGTGGTCCAGATGTGGTCTGAGTCTACTGTTAGGCCCATTTCATCATACTGGGGTCACCACTGACCTTTCAATGCTTCGATGCTATTGGAGATGCTGTGATTTTGGTGCTGGGATACTGCTGACCTCTTCATAGTTCTGTGACGCTGAGGATGCTGCTGAACTTGTCAAGGTTTGGTTCTACAGTGCCAGGAATGCTACTGATTTTCTCATGGTCAGAAGAAGCTTGCTGAAAAGAAAAGCTTTCCTGTATAGATATTAATGGGAAGGATTTGCCAGCTCCATACTCACCTTGCATATGAAGGCTCTCTCACGATTACAGCCCAAATAGAAACTCAAGAGTCTGTAATGGTTGCTGGCTTTGTAGAACAATTCTCCCAAGCTGTCGGTTTTACACAAACTTTTTGGGCTATTTTCCCAGGTTTCTCAAACTGGAGCTCCAGATATAAGAATTTGTTAGATACACGTAGTTTACAGCAGCATGCTCAGAATGAGGATCAGCTGAAGTCACTTTTCTCTGTGCTGGGTTGGGGCACGCTCTGCTTGTTTCAAAAGCCATAGCCATGGAATGCTAGAGAGTGTGGTAAGATTGGCTAGTCACCAGGGTAGTGCTTGCCAAAGTGTCTCAGACATGTTTATGTTATTCCTTCATGATCTGCATGCTCACCTCTTAAAGTCTTTTCCCCCCAATTTTATTGAGGTATGATTGGCGAGTAAACATTAAATATAAGTAAGATGTACAACATGATGTTTTGATATATGAATACATTGTACAATGATTCCCCCAATCAAGTTAACCTATCCATCATCTCACACACTTTAATGAGAACACTTAAGATGTACTCTTTTAGAAAATTCTGGTATACAGTACATTATTATTAACTAGTCACCATGCTGTATATATTCATTTTACAATTCTGACACATAGTCCCCAATTTCCCCCACCTCCTGCCCCTGGTAACCACTGTTATACTCTCTATTTCTAATGATCAACTTTTGTAGATTAAGTAAGATCATGGGGTATTTGTCTTTCTGTGTCTTCCTTATTTCACTTAGCATAATGTTCTCCAGGTTCATCCCTGTTGTCACAAATGGCAGAATTGCCTTCTTTTTTAAGCCTGAATAATATTTCCTGTAATGCATACACACACTCACATACATTTTCTCTATCCTTGCACCTATTGACAGACACTAAGGTTGTTTCCTTATCTTGACCATTGTGAATAATGCTGCAATGAATATGGAGTGCAAATATCTTTTAGACATGCTGCTTTTATTTATTTTAGGTGCATACTCAGCAGAGGGATTACTGAGTCATATGGTGGTTCTATTTTTAATTTTTTAGGAACCTCTCTACTATTCTCTGTAAGGTTTGTACTAATTTACATTTCCTCCAACAGTGTACAGGGATTCTCTTTTATCCACATCCTCACCGACACTTGTTATTTTTTGCCTTTTTGATAACAGCTATCCTAACAAGTGTGAGGTAATATCTTGTTGTGGTTTTCATTTGCATTTCCTTGATGATTAGTGATGGCGAGCACCACTTCACGTACCTATCAGTCATTTGTATGTATTATTTGGAAAAACATCCATTCAGATCCTTTCCTCATTTTTTAATTGAGTTATTTGGTTGATTGGTTGGTTTTGCTGTTGAGTTGTGTGAGTTCCTTACAGATCTTGAATATCAGCCCCCTATCAGATATACAGTTTCCCAATATTTTCTCCCATTCAGTAGTTTGCCTTTTCATTTGTTGATTGTTTTCTTTCCTGCACAAGAACTTTTCTGGTTTGATGTGGTGCCACTTATTTATCTTTGCTTTTGTTGCCTGTACTTTTGGTGTCAATATTCATTGACAAAACTAATGTCAAGGACCATTTCCCTTATGTTCTCTTTTAAGATTTTTATAGTTTCAGGTCGTATGTTTTAGTATTTAATCTATTTTGAGTTGATCATCTCTCTTTCCAAATATTACTTACTTAAGAGACCTTTCCTGGACCACTCTATGTGAAAGTGCAGCTCTTCCTCCAATACTTCATCTGCCCTTCCTTGCTGATCTGTTACTCTTAGGACTTACCACCTTCTAACAAACTAAATAGTTTATTTTGTTTACACTAAAATTCGTGGCAAGAAATTTCATTTGTTTATTTACTCTGTATTCTCAGAACCTAGGGCAGTGTCTGAGAACTCAAATATACTCAGTAAATAGTTATTACATTAATTAATATTAGCAAAATTAAGAGAAGGAACACATACTTTGCTTTGCAATCTTTTAACGTCGCTAATATATTATATCTTCTTAATATCCATAAAATATTCCCTATGCCTTGCCCCATTTTGATCCTCACCTCAGGTTGGCGTAGTCAGCACTATTATTATTCTCACTTTGATAGAAGTCAGGCTCGGAGTGGTGACATAATTTTGCTAAATTCACCCGGCTAAGAAGTGACATAGCTCTGGTTTGAACAGGCATCTGACTGCAATGAGCTGTGACTCTTGAGTTTTCTTCTTACTGATATAGTTAGTGACTTAGAGGTGATCCACAGAAGAATTCTGGAAATCAAAGTCTTCGATGTTTTGATGTCCAAACCTTACTTGTTTTCCCCTTTCTTTTGAAGAACAATAAATTCATCAAGTACTAACCATTTTACTAGAAAGAAAGATCAGGAGCACATAGAAAACAAAATATTCTTTGCTTTCCTTATGAAGCAATTTCATATCTTGGAAAACATCCAGGTGGAAGCATTGGGTAGCTTCAGGCTACTTGGTGGCTTGTGGGGATCCCTCCTACAGTACCCAAAAGCTGGCTTTGTTTCCCTCTCAGCACAATAATGTGGGGTGTAGGAGCCAGGCTACCATGGGATGGTGCTCCACATGTCCAGGCCTGTTGCTCCAGAGAACCAGAGATCCATTCAGGGACCTCAGGAAAGTGTTTGTTAATAACAGCAGGGAAAGTTCATTGACTCAGACAGATACGGGTTCTGATCTCAGCCTTATTGCTTGCCATCATGGGACCTTTGTCAAGTTAATTAATGTTTCTAAGTCTTGAGTCCTTAAATGAAAAATAGGGTCAATTCTGGTGCCAGACTTCCTGACCTAGAATCCTGGCTCCTCTACTAACCAGTTGTGCAACTATAGGCCATACTGTTAATGCTTTGTTCCTTGCTGTCCTCATCCGTACACAGGTATAATTTCAGTATCGTGATTATTATGGCGATGTGAGAATTAAACTAGTTAATATGTGTAAAGTACTTGGAAGAGTGAGTAGGTGTTACCATTATTATATTATCTGACTCCATTGTTTATTATTAGCACCAAATGAGATACATATGTTGTCTTATGTTTTGGCCTCCCCCCGAAGTAGGCCCTGTGATAAAGATTTGGATGCAAGTGGTTTGTCTGGGGGAAGGTCTCAGGAAGCACTGGTAGGGGGCTCGAGAAGGAAGAAAGAAAAGAGGAGGCAGCTCACAAAGTGTGCTAATGGTCAGGGTCCTACTGCGGACATTAGAGACTCTATTCTGCCGAGGACCTCTGGGAAATAGGGAAGCTGTGCCTGAGAGCTTCCTCTCCCAAGGGGTGAGGAATATGCTTATTCACCTAGTCATTGCCATCCATCACTGACTGAGAGTTGCCTTAGAAATACTCATTCCACCTCAGTTCTGAGTTCAGTTTGCAGACAGAGTATGTGCTTGAGGCCAGACAAGCTATGTGGGGAGCAGCTTCAGTGTGCACAGATGAGTGCTGAGGGGAGATGAGGAGACTACAGTCCTGCTACAGGACAAGTGTCAGGTAGAGAACCTGGCTCACAATGGGTTTTCAATAAATGTCTGTAACGTTCAATCTACTCTTTCTTAAAATCTCCTGTGGCCAGATTCTATTCTTTAAGTCGACTCTGGCTATGCTAGGTGATTCCTCCAAAAGGGGTGAGACAGAGTTTTGAGGACAAGTGGTTTATTTGGGAGATGACAGCAGAAGGCAACAATCGGGAAGGGGGAAGTGAGGCAGGGAAGAACAGGCAGCCAGTAGAGGGTATGTTACAGATCAGAGTTCTGCTGTGGGTGACTGAGGCTCAATCCCTCAGGGGGACCCTGGGACAGTGCAGGGCACACCTCAGAATCAATCATCTGTGCAAAGGAGCAAGGATGCTGTAGGATGTTTGTCCACCAAGTCCCTGTCAGTCACCGGATGGTGGCTGCTTTGGAGCATTATCTCTCCAGTGTGAGGGAGAAACGTTGCTAATCTCTCTCCTTGCCATCATGTTTCAGGATGTGGTTAACCCAAACTGAGAGCTCTTAAAGTCCTGGTCTACCCAGATTAGGAATTAGAAGTTAGTGAATTTTGCCCAGCTCCTAAGTACGTATCCTCTTTTATCAGAAAGCAGTGTAATCAAGTTCTGGAAAAGCACAGTACATTTGGGCTTTGGCCTCCCATTCCCCGTTAAGACACCACGGCACTAGGCCTGTCCTTCCTGATCTGCCAAAGGCGACATGTTTGCCTGACCCTGCCTGACTATGCAGACACCTATGTCATCCCGACAGAGCCTCCAGCAGACTCTCAGGATGAAAATCCTGTTCATCTCAGTAAAAACGTCCTCTGCCATGTGTTGTTCACAAGCCACATCCACAGGGCAAGCACATCCCAGAGAACTGAAATTCTAGTTGCTAATGCTAAATGCATTTTCAGGAATGCTTTAAAGTTGAACCACACTGAATCAAACTCAGGGCTCACATTTCTGGTGAGCTCACCCCATCCTGGTTGGGTTATATTAACTTCGTAGTAGTGTAAACACTTGGAACCAAGATGAAACAGAGACGGCTCTGCCAGCACCAGGCTGCTTTATAGACAGGGGTGCACTCACTGGGAAAAGGTGAGTTGCCTGTGGGATCAGTCCAATGCCATCACCTTCTGGAAACTCGTTGTCACAGAATAGCCCTAATGCAATTGGCTTGGGAAGAGGTATTTATGACATCACCTTTGCATGTACTCTTCCTTCTAAAAACATGTAAAATATGTTTTAAATTAATTCCTATTCTCAGCTATTCTTTTTCTACCTCTGCATCCTGTGCTCAAGCCACTCTAGTTTATAGGCTATTCACAGAGTCATCAGCACATTCACACCACTGAATTTTGACTCGTACCATTCTTCCAAATGGAATGCTTTGTCCCCAGGCAATGCTGCACATCCTGCCCATGGTCCCAACTCAATTGAGTTTCTTATCTTTGTACAACCACCTTTTTTCACTTCTGATGAAATCAGGTGATCTTTCATTCATGGTCTCATTGCAGTCAGCACAAACTTCTATAACAGCACTTTAATTATTACATTTGATATATGCACCTGCTTTTCCTAGGTGGGTCATGGACTACCTGAGTGCAAAGACTGTACCATTCTCATCTTTATATGCCACAGGACACAGCACACTCTAGGCACACAATAAATATGTGTTGAATTGAAGACAATTCACACAACGAAATTGAAAGAATATTAATTACCTTAAAAATAACCTGATAGCACACAAGAAACTTCTGGGACACCTCAGACCTATAAGAGGCCTGGCAAGAGCCACAGGGCATAGGTCATACATGATGTTCTTAAAAGATTCAGATATCTTTTTGAAATGATAAATTTAGACAGACGGAAAAATACCAAGTAATTCTTTGCAGCATATGATTAGTGCCAAAAACAACATAAATAGTATTTATTTAAAAGCCAAAGGTACAAAGGAGAGAAAAAGAGAGAGTATTTACATATGTGACCAAGGATATTCACTGTTATAAAGTGGAGCCTGAATTGAGCCATGACAAACGAGTGAGGACTTAGTTAGGTGGAGAAGAAGCTGAGAAGGAAGAGAAAACACATCCACTCACAAAACTTCTACTGTCACAGAGAAAAACCTAAATATGGCAGTCTGTCATTCAGGGCCTTTCCTATCCAACTGTGTAGCCTGTACCTACCTATAGTCATGTGTCCATTGAACCAGAACTTCTCAGCACTTAGTATGCACAGGCATGGTTTTATGCACTACAGATACAATGTTGAGCCAGAACAGTTACTGAGCTTGTGTCTGGGTGGAATTGATAGGTGATAAACAATATGTAATCTATGGTGATGCTATAAAGAGTGACAAGGTGGTCTATTTTGAATAGGATTGTTAAGAAAGTTTTCTCTGAAGAAGAGATACTTGTGCTGAGACTTGAATGGTGAGAATAAGTTAGTCATCCAAAGAAAAGGGGAAGAACTTCAGGTACAGGAGAAGCAAGAGTCAAAGTCTGAAGATGGTAACAGACCTATCTTCTTCAAGGGTCATAAGAAAACCATCATGACTGAGATAAGGGGTGTGGTTAATGCAGGTGTATTATAGCAAAGTCAAGACAGCACAAAGCTCTGCAGTCCAGAGAAAGGGATTTGGATAGGAAAGGTTTGCAGTATTCCATATGAGTGAAGGCCGTGTCCTGGGTTAGAGCCACAATAGTGGGGATGAAGATGAATGAGTGGATTCAGGCTTCACTTAAAAGTAGAATGAACAAGACCTGCTGAACCCTCACCTTGACCCAGTTCATCAGTAACTCATGTTTCATTCCAGCTCCTTTCATCCTGCATACCGCACTCCAGCCACAATAGACATAGTTGTCATTTTTTAAACTCTCTTTCTTCCACCCACATGCAAACCACATCATGTTTCTAAAATAGAGATTATCATTCATAGCTGGCTCTCAAGGCCATCCAATCCTCTTGACCATTGAAATATTATTTTCTCCCCAAAGGCCTCCAAAATCCTCCACTAGAATTTATGTCCTTTCCTATACTCCCTTTGTACTTTATTTATAGCCATCATGACAATCTGCTTTAAGGTGGAAATATTAATACATAATTTTTGTCAGTCTTGGTAGTTAGATTCAATTAAGTGTCTCCCTTGGTACTGCTTTGGATGCAGTAAGCATTCAATATGTGACATATACACTGAATTAAAATAAATGAAGTAAAAGCTAAAAAGTCTGGTTTTTCAGCTTGGAGAACTTAATTCCAGCTTTCCTGGAATAATGATATCCTGATGGTGACAATGATATGAGGATGACAATGATAATCATAAATGATATTGATTATAACTGTTATTCATTTAACACATATGCTGAACACTGTGCTAAGCTCTTTAAATGTATCATCCTCACAAGAAACCTGTGACACAAGATTTTCCTTTTTCTCGGTGAGGAAGCCAAGGTATAAAGAGGTTAAGTAAATTACCTAAATTCATACAGTTAGTAGGGCAGGACAGAGAGTTAAACTCAGTGCCTTTACTCTCAGAAAACTTGCTCTGAGAAAGATCATCATGATGGCTGTTTAAAATATCAGGTGTTGGGAGATAAGAATTGTGCCAGAAAACCAAGTAGGAGGCTCTTGCAAGAGTTCTAGCAAGAGATGGTAAGTTTGAATCAGTACATTTCCCACAGTGGAGAAGAGAAGATGAACTTGAGACACATTTATGAGGTGGAATTGACAGTAGTTGATGACTAATTGGATGTAATGAGTGACAGAGAGGTAGTTGAAGACCATGTCAAGGTTTCTGTTTAAGGCAGTTAGCTATTTGTTGATGGCATCAACAGACTTTGTGGAGAAAGAACGACTTTGCAGAAAAAAATAGTTGGACATATCATGATTTGATTTGTTGAGACTGAGATGCCTGGGAGGCACCAGTTCTGGCATAACACTTGTAAAACCTTGAATGTGTTCCAGTGATATGAATATATTAGGAGATAATTTGAGCATAACAAGAATTTTGCATTTGCTTATGTGTGATTTCATCCACAAAAAACACTAGGTGAATGCAGAAAACTGCACACAGGTGAACAAAACTACACAGGAATACCAAAATTTGCACACATGCTTACCTCAAACATCTATCCACTATCTCAGTTTGCAGCATGTGTTATGAGCCACACCCATCCACATCTGGTTTCACAACTTTCCGACTGATTTTACATAGCCCTCTTTCTACCACTTCAGAATAACACAGAGTACAACGATTTCAAATCACATTTCTACAAGCAAACTTCAAGTCTTCTTTAAGATAAAGTGCCATATTTATTGTAGTATTTGTGCATTTATTAACCATTTAATATGTGTAAAATTGTGACATTGCTTTTCTTAGGTTTCTATCTTTTTCTCTGTGTCATTGTCTTAAGTGGATTTGGCTGCTGTAACAAAATACCATAAATCCAGTGGCTGGCTTATAAACAACAGAAACGTATTTCTCATAGTTCTGGAGGCTGGTAAGTTCAAGATCAAGGCATCAGCAGATTCAGAGTCAGGTGAGGATTCACTTCCTCATAGATAACCATCTTCTTATTTGTAACTCACATGGTGGAAGGGGCAAGAGATCTCTCTGGGGTTTCTTTTATAATCCCATGTAAGAGAGCTCTAGCCTCATGTTTTAATCACTTCCCAAAGGCTTCACCTCAGAATACCACCACCTTAGGGGCTAGGATTTCAAGATATAAATTTTGGGGAAGACATAAACATTCAGTCCACTACAGTTACTGGCAGACTGTTCTTCTAACTCTGATTTTCTACAAGTCCTATTGTTTTTGTTGCATGATTTTGCATAATGTTGGAATACATAAGTCACATTATAACAGAAATGACTATGTTTGGTTGAAAATAGAAATATGGATCTCAGAAAAGGGACAAGATACAGATTTTGCAAGATTCAGTAGGTCAACGGTAGTCAAGGCCATGGGAATGGATAAGAGATCTCTGAGAGAACTATGGAAAAATAAAAAGACTGAGGACAAGACTGTGGGGAACACCAGCATTTACATGGACAAAGAGCCAGTAAAATAAATTTAAAATGAACTACTGTGAGAGGAAAAGGAACCTTGAGAAACAATGCTGGGAAAACATAAGGGTAGGAAATTTCTAGAAGGAAAAGATGGTTGTAAAAAGAAAAGGTCAAATGAAGTATGTTGGTCAAGGAGAGTGAGAATTAAGAAATAGCCACTGGACTTTGTCACTCAATCATTGGTTCCTCTTTTTAGCCACAACCACGTGAAGAGAACCTTTACCTAAAAGAGCATAGACATCAGAGCCCTTTAACATTAAATTCAGAGACACAGAGTAGATGAGAAGTGTTTTATTCAAAGCACAGGGTAAGCAGGATTGGAGGAAAGAGGTAAAAGGGTACAGTAAAACGTACAAGACTGAGACTCAGGAGCTCTGCTTTACTCTTGTATCTGTCACTTAATAGTGGCATGATTGCAAGCATTTCCTCTAGGCACCATTCTCCAGAAATACTTCCTTTAATTATGACATATCTTTATTAATGGTGTAATTTATAAATCTATCTGGAGCATTTATTGTATTTTTTCCATTTTTATAAAGAGTTGTTTATTTATCATAAATGATGGGGTAACCACTTCTAGGGAAGCCAGGCCTTCTGGATCATAAGGCCAAAAATGAATCATCACCTACTTGGCAACAATATAATATAATTGTAGGCAAAGCACTGCATTGAAAGCATGACGAATTGATGGTTAAGGAAGTATACACAGAAAACAGGACCCTTGATCAGAGGTTGGCATACTGTGGCTTGCAGGCCAAATATTGCCTGCTGCTTGTTTTTGTAAATAAAATATTATTGAACACAGCTATATCAATTTATTCATATATTGTCAATAACTGCTTTTGAACTACAGTGGCAGAATTGAGTGGCTGCAACACAGACCTCATGCTTCACAAAGCCTAAGGTATTTACTATCTGGCCCTTTACAGAAAAAGTCTGCTGGTGTCTGCCCTGGATCAAAATGAACATGAAAGATCTAAATGAGGCTGTCCAACCAAGGTTAGATGAGTGAACCAAGTTTACCAATCCAAAGTCATGAACTCTTCATTCCACAGCCAAGGTCAAGATCATAAATTCAATAGCCATAAGTTTGCAGGAGGATCAAGAAATTCTGAGTTATTAGTACTGAATACCCAATAAACAAGCTAAACATGATAAAATATTTTTAAAATGCAATATTCAATGTTTCAAGATGCATTAATATATTCATCATGGGAAAAAATAAAACTTTATTGGAATTTCAAAAATTTATTTTATTTTTTATTGCTTTAATTTAAACTGCATATGGCAGGTGAGGCAGAGACAGGCAACTTCAATTCTTCCATGCTTAGGGCCTTTAAGGTCTTAATTCAATGTAAGGTCTTAATTGTGTCTCGAGGATTGGATGTTACAGGCTGACCAACAAAATGCCATCAGCTATCATTGTAGCTACTTTTCTTGTTGTATTTCTATTCCCAAACCACCAACTGTCTTTTTAGGTTTTGTCATAGCTCTTCCACTTTCCAATAGGCTATCTCAGTATAAATTCAAACTCCACTGTATTAGTCTGTTTTCATGCTGCTGATAAAGACATACTGGAAGCTGGGTATTTCATTAAAAAAAAAAAAGAGAGAGAGGTTTAATGGACTCACAATTCCACCTGGCTGGGGAGGCCTCACAATCATGGTGAAGGTAAAAGGCATGTCTTACATGGCGGCAGACAAGAGAGAATTGAGAACCAAGCAAAAGGGATTTCCCCTTATAAAACCATCAGATCTCATCATTCACTATGATGAGAAAAGTATGGGGGAAACTGCCCCCATGATTCAATTATCTCCCACCAGGTCATTCCCACAACACGTGTAAATTTTGGGAGCTACAACTCAAGATGAGATTTCGGTGGGGACAAAGTCAACTCATATCATTCTGCCCCGGCCCCTCCCAAATCTTATGTCCTCACTTTTCAAAACCAATCATGCCTTCCCAACAGTCCGCCAAAGTCTTAAATCATTTCAGGATTAACTCAAAAGTCCACGGTCCAAAGCCTCATCTGAGACAAGGAAAGTCCCTTCCACCTATAAGCCTGTAAAATCAAAAGCAAGTTAGTCACTTCCTAGATACATTGGGGGTACAGACATTGGGTAAATACACCCATTCCAAATGGGAGAAATTGGCCAAAATGAAGAGACTAAAGGCCTCATGCAAGTCCAAAATCCAGCAGGACAGTCAAATCTTAAAGCTCCAAAAGGATCTCCTTTGACTCCATATCTCATATCCAGGTCACACTGATGGAAGAGGTAGGTTCCCATGGTCTTGGGCAGCTCTGCCCCTGTGGCTTTGCAGGGTACACCCTCCCTCCCGGCTGCTTTCACTGGCTGGCATTGAATGTCTGTGGCTTTTCCAGATGCACAGTGCAAGCTGTCAATGGATCTACCATTCTGGGGTCTGGAAAATGGTGGCCCTCTTCTCACAGCTCCACTAGGCAGTGCCCCAGTGGGGACTTTGCTCTGTGTGGGGGCTTCAACCCCACATTTCCTTTCTGAACTGCCCTAGCAGAGGCTCTCTATGAGGGCCTTGCACCTGCAACAAATTTCTGCCTGGACATCCAGGCATTTCCATACGTCGTCTGAAATCTAGGCAGAGGTTCCCAAACCTCAATTCTTGACTTCTACGCACTGGCAGGCTCAATACCACATGGAAGCTGCCAAGGCTTGGGGCTTGCACCCTCTAAAGCCATGACCCAAGCTATACATTTGGCCCCTTTTAGCCATAGCTAGAACAACTGGGACACAGGGCACCAGGTCCCTAGGCTGCACACAGCAGGATGGCTCTGGGCCTAGCTCATGGAACCATTTTTTCCTCCTAGGCCTCCAGGCCTGTGATAAGAGGGGCTGGCATAAACGTCTCTGACATGCCCTGGAGACATTTTCCCCACTGTTTTGACAATTAACATTTGGCTCCTCATTACTTACGCAAATTTCTGCAGCCAGCTTGAATTTCTTCTCAGAAAATGAGATTTTCTTTTCTATGGCATCATCAAGCTGCAAATTTTCTGAACTTTTATGTCTGTTTCCTTTTTAAAACTGAATGCCTATAACAGCACCTAAGTCACTTCTTGAATGCCTTGCTGCTTAGAAATTTCTTCCACCAAATACCCTAAATCATCTCCCTCAAGTTCAAAGTTCCACAAATCTCTAGGGAAGGGGCAAAATACCACCAGTCTCTTTGCTAAAACATAGCAAGAGTCACCTTTACTTCAGTTCCCAACAAGTTCCTCATCTCCATTTGAGACCACCCCAGCCTGAATTTCATTGTCTATATCATTATCAGCATTCTTGTCAAAGCCATTCAATAAGTCTCAAGGAAGTTCCAAACTTTTCCACATCTTCCTGTCTTCTTCTGAGCCCTACAAACTGTTCCAGCCTCTCCCTGTTACCCAGTTCCAAAGTCACTTCCATATTTTTGGGTATCTTATCAGCAGCACCCTACTCCACTGGTACCAATTTACCGTATTAGTCTGTTTTCACACTGCTGATAAAGACATACTCGAGACTGGGAAGAAAAATGAGTTTAATGGACTTAGAGTTCCACGTGGCTGAGGAGGCCTCACAATCATGGCAGGTGAAAGGCACATCTTACAGGGCAGCAGACAAGAGAACGAGAGCCAAGCAAAAGGTGTTTCCCCTTATAAAACCATCAGATCATGAGACATTCACTACAATGAGAACAGTATGGGAGAAATCACCCCCATGATTCAGTTGTCTCCCATCGGGTCCCTCCTACAACACATGAGAATTATGGGAGCTACAATTCAAGATGATATTTGGGTGGGTACACAGCCAAACCATATCATTCATCATTTTCTGTTACTTTGGATGAAAAACTTAACCTCTTTCTGCCTTCTGTTTTTCATCTATAAATTGGGGATAGTTGTACTTACTCAGGAGATAATCAATATAAAGTGCTTAGAACAGAATCTGGCACTTATTCAAGCATTCAGAAAATGTTAGTTATTATAAATGCATATCTAAATTCCCAATACACTTTCTTCAAAGGTTAATAAAAACTGAAAAGGGACAGTGGGGATAAATTAGTTTTTTTCTCTATCAATGTTGGATCTTTGAGGTAAAACCATGTATCATGTTCTAATTTGTATAAAATGGTCTTTTATATCCACTATTCTATTCATAAGAATGCAAACCAATTTTGAAAACATTTCAGTCCAGAAGGAAGGGAAGAGAAGAAACACTGACTAATATTTCAAGTGGTATGCTATATAATATTATCTACTTACATCATTAGAATAAGCCTGTAGAATAGGTATTATTCCCATTTCACAAATGAGAAAACCAAGGCTTAGAATTACTTTTTAGCTTGCCCAAAACACAAAGTGGATAGCCCTGCCATGACTCCAAAGATTGTCCTGGTTTCCTTTGGCTTTATCAGTGGTACTCAACTAGGAATCATTTTACCTTCCAGAGGACATTTGGCCCTATGAGGTTGAAGAGGTGAAGCAGACATTCCATTGACATCTAGTAGGTAGAGGCCACGGTGCTGCTAAATACCTGTATTAGTCTGTTCTCACACTGCTAATAAAGACATACCTGAGACTGGGTAATTTATAAAGGAAAGACGTTTAATGGACTCACAGTTTTACATGGCTGGGGAGGCCTCATAATCATGGCAGAAGGCAAAGGAGAAGTGAAGCAAAGGCACATCTTACATGGCAGCAGGCAAGAGAGCATGTGCAGGGGAACTCCCCTTTATAAAACCATCATATCTCATAAGACTTATTCACTATCACGAGAACAGCATAGAAAAACCCACCCCTTTGATTCAATTACTTCCCACTGGGTCCCTCCCACAACACATGGAGATTATTACAATTCAAGGTGAGACACAGCCAAACTGTATCAGTACCCTGCAATGCACAGGACAGCTCCAAATTATCTGGCCCAAAATGTGCATAGTGCTGAGGCTGGGAAACCTTGAGCTGCATTAGAGAATTATTTTAAAAAGAAAATTAGCGAAAAAAAATACATGCAAATAAGATTTCTAAAGGACTTGCTGAAAGGGTTTCAGTTGATCATTATTCAAAGTTATTGGTAAATAGACTCTTTTTTAACTTTTAAATTTGATGTTTAACATCTTAGTTTTGTCTACTGTTCTCTGAGACTTGTTAGTACGACTCTTTGTAAAAGGCTTGGAGCATTTCAAGGAGAGAAGAAGATGTTATTTGGCTTTACAAATATCATGTGGACATTTCCCTATGTTAGTAGAATTCCCTCAGAAAACACTCAGGATGCCAGACATGATTCCCAAGGCCACTGTGAATAATGCTGTGCCAAACAGTTATACTTAGAGAGAGTACTTTGGGGTTTTTTTTCTAACTAATTGTATTTGTGATTCATGTCTCTTTGAGACACTGGCAGACAGGAAAATGCTGTTGCTCCCTCATCCAAGTGCCCTTCAAAGTATAGGGGCACTTCTTCCCCCACAGCTGTCATGATTGTTGGTTGCTAAGGTCTCATAGCTGCCTCCTTCTTAGAGAATTGTCCTCCATGGAATGGGGGAGCTCTTCACCAGGGAGGTGACACCCCATCCTATGGAGCGGCCAAAGGCCAAGGATTGCCAAAGGGTATGAAAGGCTGGTTTCCTTGCTTTTAGGAGGACCAATTCTGCAGTATACTTCATGTTTCAGAGCTCTGCATAAGATCAGACTAAAGCTAGATTCCTGTTAAGACTACATCCTAGTTTAGATTCTTCTTCTGGCCCTATTCTGCTTTCTATACTCCCCTTCTCTGGACAGTAGCTCCTAATAAAACACTTTCACCAAAATACTTACTGCAGGCTCTCATATTATGGAAGCTGACCCAAAACACATGGGGTCCATATATCCAAATGATGAGTATTACAGGTGCTTCTTTTTCCATAACAACATTCTCCTTGCTCTGCTACACCTCTGTGGTTCTTTAGCCAGGGGGTTAAATGTGATGTATGGGGACAATCAGAGCTCAGAAAAGTTTGATTAGAGATGACAGCATATGCTGCTTGCTAATCAGAGGACTTCTGGGAGCCTGTCTCTCCAAACTCAAAGTTTTCTCTGAGAGAAGTTTGTCTCCTTGGCCTGAAACCAGACCCCAAGGCAATTGCAGTTTTGTCAGACTCCCAGCTCCCATCAAAGTTAATGAAGAGGAATTTTCCTTACTTCACCATTCCTACTGAGTTTACACATTTAATATTGTCAGCACAAAATAGTCCATAAAATTTTGTATCCCTTAATAAAGGTATTAATTATATCTTATGTGAATAGATCGAATTGAATGTTTCCCCTTTTGTCCATGATACCTGAAGTATTAGAAAAATATCCTGACCTATTTGCAATACTCAGTCCACAAAGGTATGATCACCAAATAATTAACAGAACAATTAGGACTACTTCTTAAGTATAATTTTGCAAGCAATACTTGATGAGTGTGGGATTTTCTTTTTTTTTGGTAATGTTAGGTTTTTAAAATGTACCTCCATCAGGTTAAGAGGACATTTGTGATTTTTCTCTCTACTCTGACCACACACACATTTCTAGTGGGATTTTTTTTTTGTCTAAGTGAAAGTATGCATTCATTTGTTCACTCCTTGCACATTATCCTAATAACTTTTCTGTCCAGGCACTGTTTTAGGCACTGAAGAGACAAAGATGAGTAAACAAAGCCCCTGCCCTCTTGGAGCTCACTTCCTCATAGGAAAACAGATAATAAACAGAATACACTAACAAAATAATATTAGCTGTTGATAAGTGAAATGAAGGAACATTCATCAGACTAACCTCTCACTTTAATAAGGAGATGATAATTTAGTTAAGATTGTGATTTAATGTTTCTCTAATGAGATGACAATTTAAGTGAGGTATCTGAATGAAGAGAGGGAGTAAGATATTTGGATAATTGAGGAAGAGTTTTTTAGGCAGGGTCAACTAGTGCCAAGTCCTTGATATTAAAACATAATTTGCAGGCCCAAGGGTCATGGGGGATGGTCAATGGCTGGAGCATAGAGAGCAAGATGGAGAGTGGGGTAGACGGTGAACTACTGCATCCTACCAGAGGTGCTAAAAAGCTTGGACAAGTCAGTTTTTCGTAACCTCTCCCATTGCAGGAAAATTAACTTTCTTTGGCCCCAGGTGCTAAATGCCGGTAGCACCGAGCTTATCATGACAGCCAAAAATATGCCCCACACATTTCCAACAGCACACTGGGATATAGCGTTAGTCTGAGTGGAGGACTAAGCTTTATAAAAAGGAAGTGACATGATCAGGTTTTCATTGTTAAAGTTATTGTGGCTGCTGAGTTGAAAACTGGCTGAATGGGTACAGAGCTGAAGAAGACATTCCACCTAGGACGCTAATGCATTGGTCCATGCTAAAGATAATGATGACCAGAACTAGGAGTCATCAGTGAAGGTGGTAAGAAGCAGCTGATTTGGGGATCTAGTTTGAAGGTAGAGATGACAGGATATGCTGACATTGGAAGTCAAGTATGAGTGAAAGAGAAGAGCATAGAAAACTCTAAGGCTTGCTGTTGTTATTACCCTTCTTGATTTTGCTTATAAGCAAGTGTTAGAGATAATTTAGATAGCTATTTTATTCTCTTTTTGTCATCTTTGCATTTATTTGCACGTTTGTGTGTGTGTGTGTGAGTGTGTGTATGTGTGCACGCATGCGTGCACATGAAGGTGACTCTATCGCTGGGTTTCTCAGCCTTGGCCCCACTTGGTTGGACAGCTATTTTGCGTGTTTTAGGATGTTTAGCAGCATCCCTGACCTCTACCTGCTAGACACAATTAGTGCCTTCCTGCTTGTCGTGACAATGCAAAATACCTGCAGACATTGCTCAGTGTTCCCTGGGGGACAAAATTGCCACTAGTTGAGAATCACTGCTCTAAGCAAAAGTGACAATGAGTCTGTGGCCCTGGTTCTACCTCTAATTGTGTGTGCTTGGGCAAGCCACTGCACCTCTTGGGGCTCTCTTGCTTCCTGTGTGTTTATCATAAATATGAGTAAGACGTCTGTTACCCAAGTTGGAAACTCTATAAATTGGTTAACCAAGTTCTTTCTGGGGAATTAACTTTCAGTGAATTTCAAATGAATAGTGCCTCGAAACTATCTTATTAATATAAACATAAAATTAGTTCCTTCTGTGAGGAAAAAAATGCCCTTACCAATTAGAGAATTGATTTTGTCAATTTAAACCATAATCTAAACAGATATAATTTGCTATTGGGCATTCTCAGATCCTTAAATAGCTTCTGTAATTTGCCTCTTTTCAAAGGACAATTGAGGACTTATAGCCACAGCTGTCTGTGTGTGTGTGTGTGTGTGTGTGTGTGTGTGTGTTTTGTGAGCTTTATCAGGCAATTTGGTACAATAAAGTTTAGCTTTTGGTTGAAAATATTGAATTATTATAGTCACTGTTGAGAATTATTTTGCTACATCACGTTTGTTTCTTTGCCCAATTAGAGCTGTCCATAAGCAGATAAAAAAGTCAAAACAGACAGAAAGATTTAGTAACAACCTCTTCTAAATTATTTTACAAAACTCCTAAGAAGTTTTTGAAACTAATTCCTCTAAGTAATTGTATGATTTTTCTCATCCACTCCCAACTTTGAAGTGGAAGGGTGTTCATCATCTAAAGAAGTACTTATATAAATATACTGAGGCTGATATAGGTCCACCTCTAACCTCTCCTCAGTACAGAGCTGGAACCGTAGCTTAGAACTCTTCTTTAGTTCTTGAGCTTTGATCACCATAACTACAATGTCTATTTCTTTGCCAGATGTTGAGGAAGCAGGCAAGCACACAGATTTATTGGATGGGCTATAAAGGTATATTTACAAATAATAGATAGAGCATAACATCAAATGACATGGCTACATATGTGTGCATGTGATGTAAGATGGCTAAGAGCTATTCTCTCCCTCTCTCCATCTCTCTTTGTCTGTCTCTCTATGTGTCTCTGTCTCTCTCTGTTTATCTGTGTGTTTTCTTTATTTGGATGACCTATATGCAGGGTTTCTTCTTTATGAAATCTATAGATTTTTTTTTATTAAATGAAAAAGATAAATCAATTTTCTATATTTAGCCTTGCATTCTAAGCTTCTCTAAGTTAGACCACTTCCAGAGCCATTTAAGGGAAGCAGAGTCACCTGGATGGAATGCTTCTGTCCCTTTTAGGCTTTTCCTGAATTCTAGGAAGCCAGGGATTTCTTTCCTGACCTTATTCAGTGGTCAGTTCTTGATACTAAATGGTGGATTGATTTGTGGCATTGATTACTTTAAATTAAGAATCTATGTGTTTAGAGTGGTATCAATAGGGCTGGATTTGGTGATTTTAACAGGGATAACCTTGAGATGATGTTCATTATTCCAGTAACAACGAGGCAATAAAGCTTTAGGAAAATGGCAGTGATGTGGCCCACCACAAAGAAGATCCAAGGAAGAGCTCTGTGGAACAGGGCTCTATCTGGAAATGTGTTTGCATAAGAAAATGGAATACATTCACAGCCTAAGGCAGATCATCAGCATACCTTAGAAATCCATTGTACCTAATTATTGGAAGTCTAAAATTCTCATTGGCCAGAGGAATTTCAAAGAAATGATTACTCTTTATTCTTTCATTCAACGAGTATTTCAATGACTAATTTTCACAGGGCTTAATGCTAGGTAGCAAGGGAAATGCAAAAGTGAATAGGATATACAGCCTACCCTTAAAGAATGTGTAAATTGCACGGGTCAGATGATCATAGATAGTTTTAACCATTCTACATACACATGACAAAATAAAATGTGTTTTATGATAGAGGAGGTGGTCAAATATTGTAGAATAACAAAAAATGCAATCAATTCTAGTTACGAAAGGAACTGTGTGTATAGTGCGTATGTTAATTAGGATGCCTCCAACTCCAAACAACTAAATACCCAATTAAAAGTGGCTTAAACTTATTCTGGGAATCTTGTTAACATGCATGTTATAATTTAGTATTTCTGGAATACTGCCCAGGCTTCTGCAGTTTTAGCAAGTTCCAGGTGATATTGATACATTTGGTCCACTGACCTCACTCTGAGTAGTAAGAACTTTTAAAATGAGATTTTGTATTATCTTATGTAACCAAAGTTTGGATGTAGGTGTTGACCTCAGTAAGGACACAGGCTCTTTCCATTGTTCCACTTCCCCATACTGGCTTTTCCCTTAAGGTCTCAAGATGGCTGCACTGATTCTAACTAGCACATATAGACACGGCAAAGCTCATGATTAGTAGGAGAAGGATATTGTTTCTCTTGTGATCTTTTTATAAGGAGAAAAGTCTTTGCTACAAATCTCCCAGCAAGCTTCTTCTTAGGTTCCTTTGACTGGAATCATGTCTATTTCCCATTCTTCACTGCAAGGGCATCTGAGAAAGTAGATTTTCAGCTTCTGTAATGAGAAATGGGCTCTACTGGAAGAATGGTGAAGAAGATGATGGTCATTGGGTGAACAACTAACCATGTCTGCCACCGTGGGTCTGGGGTTCTCTTAGTCATGGCAATCCTGACGGGCTAGAAATGCCTCATTAAGTTAGTACATGGAAGGGATGACTGGACTCCATCATAGCACGGGTCACTGAGATAAGGCCATATGCCTTAATTTACCTCAGAACCTTCTTCTCTTATTGGTCTATGCCTCCCCATACCCTCTTGTCTTCTTGATTCAGAACAGCAACTTTTCTTACCTGGAGTGTTCATATGGTTTGGCTGTGTCCCCACCCAAATCTCAACTTGAATTGTTCCTCCCAGAATTCCCACATATTGCAGGAGGGACCTAGAGGGAGGAAATCAAATCATGGGGGCCAGTCTTTCCTGTGCTATTCTTGTAATAGTGAATAAGTCTCACCAGATCTGATGGTTTTATCAGGGGTTTCCACTTTTGCTTTTCCTCATTTTCTTTTGCTGCCACTATGTAAGAAGTGTCTTTCACCTCCCGCCATAATTCTGAGGCCTTCCCAGCCATGTGGAACTCTAAGTCCAATTAAACGTCTCTTTCTTCCCAGTCTCATGTATATATTTAACCACAGTGTGAAAATGGACTAATACAAGTACTGTGATAAAGTCCTAAATGGTCTCACTATTCCCATCCCTTTTACACATTCCCACTATGTTGAATACAACTGTCAAGAGATTTCTAGCTTGAAAATGTGCTTGTGACACAATTTGTTCAAAATTATATTATGGCCCCCATATCCTTTATGTTAAAATGTTAACTCTGTATTACAGTCTTCAAGTCTCAGTATAATTTCCTTTCTGCTGCTTCTCTAGCCTCACCTCTCAATACTCCCCACTAAAAGTCAAAGACTTTGATGTTTAAGACAATAAGAGAAAAATTCTGCTGTAACCTGTGATTAAATTCTGTGGATATACAGTTGTGTAGTTAAAAATTTCTTTTAATATCTCTGCAGGTTATGAAAAGTGATCGTTGAACTTCCCCTTACTTGGGACATTGACACTTTCCAATCCATTCTGCATGCTAATGCTTGATCATCAAGGCCATCCTTAAATATGGCAGGAGGCTTTAATAGTGAGGACTCCAGAGTCTTTTTACTCCCTGTAGGGGGAAAGTCACTTGGAGCCAAAGTTCTTATTTCCTTAATATTATGCTTAGTTTGCTTTCCCTTTCATGATTTATTAGTTTTTCTTTCTGGTTTGTTACTTTTCAAAATACATGATTTTTATTATTATCTTCCCCTCCTCTCATTACTTTTATCATTCTACCAGATATAGCTCATAAACTATGCACTGTTTCCCTCCCTGTTCCCCACCTTCCAAATATCATAGCTTTAGTAAAAATTACAAGTATGCATATGACATATTTTAGGTGTTTAGTAAATGTTCTTTTCATTCTCTTCCTTAGGCATGTATTGAGCACCTTGTATCTGGTTTGGTGGTAAGGAGATGAAGACCCAATACATGGTCTCAGCCTTTAGATGATCGCACTTGAGTTTACCAGGACAATGCTAGTTTGATTATTGCCATGTTGGAAGAATGTAGATTGAGCATTGAGAATGAGAAGGAAACAGTCCTTAGGTCTGCCTGGAGAATCAGGAAAGGGCGCTCAAGAGGGTGTTAGTGAGAGACACACAAAAGATGAGAAGCTGGCTGAGTGAATTGGAGATTCCAGGCTGTATTTCAGTGAGAGGCACAAGAATGTGGTGAATTTTGGAGAACTGTGAGCATCTAAGCTCAGCTGTACCACAGAAGAAAGAAGAATGACAGGAGGTGAGGCTAGTGAAATAGGCAGACAGGAGATTATAATGAGACTTGTGGGCTGTGTAATGAAGTTAAAATGTTATCATGAACCATTGAAGAATTTTGAGCAAGGCATGTCACAGTCACATTAGCAGACTAAAAGGATCACTCCAACTGCTGTGCAGAGAATGGAAGGGAGGTAAGGGGAGAACTAGGGATGGTGAGACCTTTTAGGAGAATACTGAAGTACTCAGATGAGAAATAATAATGTTATGATTCAAGACAGCAGCTGGGAAGAGAGGAGAGGGATGGTGTGCTGTGGGCCATTAGATAGTTATTTAGGAGGTACATTTGGTTGCATTTGGTGGTGCACATGGAGGGTAAGGTGACCTAAAAGTGAATATGTGGTGTGTGAAGAGAAGAATATAACTTTCAGGTGTTCTCATTTTGGAAAGATCTCTGCTTGCTGAAATCGTTAATGGCTCCTTGTATACAAAGTTGTGTGCCAGACATACCCAACAACCTGTAAATACAACTCAACTTTGATTCTTGTTAAAACTCCAGCAGGTACCTGTCTCCATTTAACTCTTGAGGAACTGAGTACCATGATTCGTAGAAGCAGGGCATTGGCCGCGAGTAAATATTGTGCTTTTTCTCTAGGGTAAGATCTCTATTTTTATTGAGCAACTGTCAGTAGGCCATGCAACACTGCCAACAACACACTGAAAATAGAATGAAGACAATTACCTCAGCAAAGATTAACGCAGAAAGTAAAATTGCACTTATGTAATACTCATCTTTCAGCCACTAAGACTAGCCTTCGGTTGGTCTCTCTGTGTCTGCATGAACATCATAACAGAGCAACATCATCTGTACTCATGTTGGAGGAATCTACCCTCTGTATCACTCCCTGTTCCTGTGTTCTCTAAAGCTTTCCTCAGAGCAGACATCAGAACACTGAACTGCTCTCACTGATGATCTCCGAGCAAAATGCTGCAAACAGATGAGAGATAATATTAGCTAGCAACATATCAGCACTCTTCTGGTGTTTGGCAACTGCTTGTCAGTAAACTTCAGGAAAATGCTTGCATTTTGAGAGAATGTCAGGCCTGAGTGAAACTTTAGAGACATTCAAGCCAATCCTCTCATTTTACGGAAGAAAACACTGAAGCCTGAAGGGATTAGATGGCTTGTCTCTGGTTTCCTTAGTTCCTTTTAAGTTTAGAAAGAGGACTGAAACCTCCGCCTCCACTCCAGCAAGGGCATTTCCTCCACACCCTTGGCTTCTACGATGAAATCAGGACCATAGGGAAAGCTTCCTTGTCAAATCCTTGAAACACCCCCAGGGAGTGGAGAAAACTTTACAACAAAAGAAGAAAATAAACCCCATAATTAGAAACAGAATTGACTCCAGACCAACTAACAGAAATATTGTGCTGGCTTTCACAAGTTCTACAGAAGGAGGAAGGAAAGCCTGCATCAGCAACTCGAGGCTTACATGTGGATCTGGTGGAATGCTACCATTTTCATAAAACACACATAAATAACAAAAATAGCTATGATGGGGTGCAAAAGAAACAAGAAAAAAACAATTGCTGAGAAGGGCCACACTGGCATCAGTTATTGATGTCACCCTGCTTTATTTTTTGCCCAAATCTCTGGCATTGAAAACTGAATTGGCTTATTATGTCTATTAAATTGTAGTAATAGGGATATTAACTACACCTTATCGGGCCAAATGTTACACCCGTAAAGTAACAAGAGGACATAAAGGATAATGGAGATTTTAGGGAAAAAAAATCAGATGCCTCAGAAGCAGACGTGGTGCTGTCCATATATCTATATATATATGTATACATACATATATATACACACACATATATATACATGTGTATATATATACATATATATGTGTGTGTGTGTGTATATATATATATGTGTGTATATATATATGTGTGTGTATATATATATATCTCCACATGGGTCCCTATTTTAGTTAGAGGGAGAAGGAGGAGGGGGAAAGAGAGTATTTGCCAGGTACAGTGGTGTCATATATAATATCTCAATTGATTATTACAACCTTAAGAGATGACTGTTTTATATTTACAGAGGAGTTGCAAAGATAGCACAGAGCTGTCATGTATCTTTCACACAACATTAACATTTTGCATCACCACGTGGGGCTAGCTTTTACCACTTTTTTGAGACATAATTCATCTACTTAAAGAATACACTTCAATGGCTTTTATTGATAGATATAGGACAACCAACACTTCAGTCAATGTTAAAACATTTTTATCACCTCAAAAGGAAACCTCACACTCTTTAGTTATCATGTTTTTCATCTCCAACTCATACCACAGCCCTAAGCAACCACTAATCTACTTTCTGTCTCTGTAAATTTCTCTGTCCCAGACATTTCATGTGAATAGAATAACACAATATGTGATCTTTTGTGACTGGCTTCTTATTCTACTTACCATAGTATCATGGTCTATCCATGCTATAGCATGTATCAGTACTTCATCTCTTTTTATGGCCAAGTAATATTTCATTATATGGCTATAATATATTTTCTCTTTCCATTTGTCAGTTGATGGAGACATTTGGGTTGTTTCTACCTTTTGGCTATTATGAATCATGTGAAGCTAATTTTGATGGAAATTAAAATGTCCACTGTATTGCAAATAAAGTTGATTGGAAACGTGATTTTAGATCTATAAGGACTTTGATATGTCCTAATACCTTACTTTTGAAGTAAACTGACTTGTTCATTCAGTGACTAAGACCTTCCCCAAAGTGCAAGTCCTTAAGCACATGGCAGGGTGCAGTCTGAACACGTTTGTGTCCTATGTACTTGATATCTTCAAAAGAGATAAATGTAAGGATAATTTTCAGTGTCTTCTTTTAAACTGATCAATCAGGTAATTTGACCCTCTCTTTTAGAGTTCAAGAGTGAATGGGCCAGAGAGATGCCTTAGTTGGGGGTATCCCAGATGCAAACCTTTGGGATAAGGGTGTGAATTCAAGAAATTTATTTGGAAAATTCTGGTAGAGTTAGGGCAGTGAGACAAGGATGGGAAAGAAGCCAATAAAGGGTTCGCTTTTGGGCAAGCTAGTGTTGTGTGTAACGAGTGCTTAATCATATACAGGACTTCTGGGGCACAGTGTACAACATGCCTTAGAGACATCTCAAAAGAGGAGTTGCATGTGGGATATTTATCCATCATTTCTCATCAGTTATTGGTAATGGAGCAGTAAGTCCCCTGGCACTCGTCAAAAGACCAGGCATAGAGAAGCAGGTGCTTCCTTGCAGTTGGAAGCTGTGTGGTAGAGCAGCAACAGCTACAAGAGACTAAGATGTTATGAAGTCTCTTCATGGGGAGGCAAGAGGAGCAAGAGTGGAGCTTCCATCCTCATAATAAGACTTTCAGAGAAGACATTGATGAATACTGAGGCAACACCATAGACCTCCACTTACTTGTCTATAAAATGGGAACTAATTCTTTATTCATTAAACCCTTGATATTTAAAGCTGCAATTATATATGAAGCAAAATACCAGTCTAGCTCTACGCCTTACATCTTAATACCTCAGGAAAGATTTCTGCCCTATAAAGGAACACATTAATATGTGATTGTGGGATGGTAGAAAAAACACATGTTTTGGAGACAGGTGATCCTGGGTTTAACCCCTAGCCTCAATATATAGAACCTGTGTGCCCTTGAGCAAACTGTTTTATCTATGAGAACAGTTGCCCTCCATCCCCACCCCAACATCTGGTAAAAAATGAAATTTTGACAACATTTTAGCACGATGGCTGTTTTATAGCATGAGTTCAATAAATGAGAATTTTTCATATTCCTACTGGGATTAAGAAAGAGATGCAACAAGGAAATACATCAACTTATTCAATAAATATTAATATCCTACCCTACGTAGAATTCTATTCTAGTTGTTGGAATATAGTAGCAAAGGATCCAAATCTCTGCCTTCATGAAGTCTACATTCTAGTAAATTACAAACACTGGGATCATGTTTTCACATTTAAGGTCCTATTTTTACTGTCTGGAAAAATAGTTCAGTTTATGTTGCTTTTGGGCTTTTAACTTTGAAAAATGTAAGCCTTATATCAAAGCATCCCAAAATACTTCTCTCCAACTTTTAATTAAACATTTTCTGAGAGTCATTCCTCAAATCTTTCTTTGATGTTGCATTAGTTGAAATTTTTTGGGTCCCAAATGATGGAAAGAAAATTTGAATGACTTTAAGTAAAAAGGGAAACTTATTGAAATGAGTGGATATATAAAAAGCTATGGGAAGAACAGAGACATGGCTGGACCTTTAAATAGCTGTATCCAGGGGCATAGAAGCTACAGGGAATTGCCCTGTCTCTCACGTCTGTACCTGTGTGGCAGCTTTATCACTCATACTGCAGTATGGCTTTCTCCACATGGCAGACAGTATACCTGCTCATTGCACCTATGATTTAAATCTTGCAGCTTTAGCTACCAGAGAGGTTAACCCAACCCTCCCAGTTTTCTTATACAAAATTTCCAGAGGAGAGACAGTTCCACTTTGGGGCAAGGATTCTCTATTAGATCATGCAGCTTTGTAGTTACATCACAGTAATTATGTGGCTGGGGCACTCCTAGAATTGTATAGGTACCCGTACTATCTGTTAAGACATAGAACCCCAAGAAGGCCGATTCTCATGTCATGGTCACCTTTCTGGCAAGAAGCATGTATAAATAGTGGCTCTGAAAGTTGGAGAAATAAACAAATAATAGAGCTAGAAGAGACCACATCTTATTCAGTCCACACAGGTGTCCATTAGTAGAAATGAGCCAACAATACATTACTTTCTGCAAATTTGTCCAGTACATCCAAAACAAACACACTAAAAAGGGATTATTTACCATTTATGTGTCAGGGAAGTAATAATAATGTATGTATTACACATATTAATGTTCCTGTGTGCTTCTAAAGTACTGTGGAACTTCAAAACATTTTCCAGTTTCAGGGAATTAATTAGCTTCCCTGTGAAGTAACTCATGACCAATATTGCCATTTTGGAAAATGAATGATTGAATTAGAAAGCCAAGGGATGTTGAATTATTCATTTTTTCAGTAAAGGTATATCAAGCACATACTTCATGCATGTCTCAGGGCTGAGGGTTGTGGGGACATAAACTGAAAAAGTCTCTGCTCTCAAGGAACTTAGAGTCTAGTAAGAAAGGGAGACTTCTCAACATTCAGCCCTAATACAAGTCAAAACAAGGCTCAGGTAAGATGGATAAATATGAGAGACTAGAGGAGGTGATGAGATAGGACTGGGAAGAGAGTTAAATTGCAGAGGCCTTTAAAAATACCATGAGAAATTTAGTCTTCCCTATGTGAAGACATCATTAATTTTTTTAATATAGAAACTATTGTGAATTCATTTAATTGACTAAGACTCCAATTGTTGATGAAATTATCTCAACATATAAAAGAAAAATTGATCCATTTGCCTAAATCGTTCAAATGATTCGTTAGTTCACTGGTTCAGTTTGCCTGGTGTGTTCTGGGCTAAAATTTATGATACTGTTTGAAGACTGGATGAATTTGTACAATTGATAAGGCTAAATTGTTCAGGTTTTCATTATCTGGAAAGGGTCTGACCCCTGTTGGAGCTCTCCTGGTGAACCCAACCGCTATGCGGTGAGGAAGTCTTTGAGAACCTATGGTGTGATGCACAGGGAGAGCCCCGCATGGAGAGAAACTAAGGTCCCTGGTTCTCAACTCCTGTCGGATGCTCAACCAATAGCCAACAGCCAACACAGCCTGTCAGGTATATGGCGAGCCATGTGGGAAGTGGATCAGAGGTGCGCATTACTCAGTGAGCCTTGTCCAAATTTTAGATTCAGGCTAAATAAATGATGGCTGTTATCTTAAGCCAAGAAGTTTAAGGATGGTTTGTTATTAGTAGTTAACTGGATCACCTTGTACAAAGGATTCATGGTAATCATATCTTCACATTTTCGACCCATTCATCCATTAGACAGCAGAGTTTCAGGCACCCCAGTGATTCAGATTTCAGAAACTCAATTCCTGGGCTCAGAGAAATGCATTTCCATTTCTGTAAAGAGTGTCAGAGAGAGAATACAATTTAAAATTCAAAGAATTTCCTTTACATGAAAAGTGTTCTGGAACATATTGATTTTTAAATCGCGTGCCCCTATTTCTAAAGAAAGTTAAACTGAAAACACCATAAATCATATTCCCCCCTGTATTTCTATAACATTTTTAATATACATAGAAAACTTGTACAAACCATCCATCTCTGACCCAGAGGGGCCACTAAAGTAGATGTGAAGGTCATGGTCCTGCAGTGTTAGGCTTCCTTCTGTAGTTCACTAATCAAAAGTTACAAATATAGCTTCTGATCCCTCCTTTTTCTCTCTCCCTCTCTCTGTATTGGCTGTCAAGAGAAGGCAAGGGTAGCAACGAATCAGCTCTTTATATTAAACAGCATATTTTGCTGAGCTGGACTTGACTTCTGGTTGCTACAAAACAAATCTAAGTTTATATCAGAGGTGACAAACTCCATGCCCTGTCATTTATCCTTTTTATAGCATGGGTGACACCAACAGTCAACAAGTAATGTTGATGACTTGTTGATGAATCAACAAAAACAGAAAACTTCCAAATCTAGAGGTTTCCTATGTCCATAGTTAGTCGTATTTTAATTAAAAGACAATTAAATTAAAAACAAATTCCGCTGTTATTTACTATATAATTTTACTTTATGATTACTACAGAATTTTTTTAAGACACCCCAAATCCCAGTGCCAACAGAGATAGCCACTGGTAATATTGAAGTATATCTTACTGTAGAAATGAGTCTATATATGTATATATTTTTACCAGAAAATATATCATACCTTAAACTCATGTTTATACATTTGTTTGCCAAATAAATCTATTTAATATATTGAGATTTTACTATGCATTAGGCACCATGCTAAGGGCTTCATAAATGCTATTTCACTTAATCGCAACAATACTACAATGTAAATAACATCAACCCAATTATACAGTCGATGTATTGGAGGTTCAGGTCCATAATCACATAGTCAGCAAGTAGAAATGCCTGGTTTCAAACCCAGATTTGTCAACTCCAGATTTTATTTTTTACTATTCTACTTCTCACTTTGTGCATCTGAAATTTTTGACTAAAATTATATTACAACCATAAATCATGATAATATTCACCTACAACATTTTAGTGTCTGACTGATATTCCATTGTATAGATTTACAAAATATTTTACCATTCCTCTCTTGGTAGACATTTGAGTTTAGTTTTGTTTCTTTTCAATTTTTCACTAATATAAACAACACTACAATGAATATCCAGGTAGATAAATCTTGTTGCTCAACCTTAGTTATTTCCTGAGGATGAATTTGAAGAATTAGAGTCACTGGAAAAATGAAATGCAAAAATGTTATGCTTTCAATAGCATGCCAAATTTCCCTTCAGAAAAACGACACCAAATTACATACCTGCTATCCACATGTATCTATGTTTGTGTTCTAAAATCTCCTTTAAAAAACAAAAACAAAAATTAAAAAAAAAAAAAACTTTAAACCGCAATCTTTTAAATCACAGTATCATAACGTCTAAGAGACAGAAGATATCTTAAGAGTCATTTAGTCTAATCTCCTGCATTATGGACATACTTTTTCATGCAGCATTCCTGATCTGAGGTATCTATCGTGCAATTTGTAGAAGGTGGGACAGAAAACAAACAAACAAACAAACAAATCTTAAATATCCTTAAACTACAAAGCAATTTTCTTCACCTCTGAGCAATGTAACACTGTTCAAACTGTTCTAAAATGCATCCAGAATAAGAGTGCTTCAATAGAAATGAGGAAACTTTGGCAGGCTTTCAACATACTTGACACAGGTCAAGAAATAATCAAGATTTTTTGGTCATTCTCCACTTGGAATGGGTTTGCTCTAGGTGTTGGCAGCTGAACATACATGTCTTGCTCTAGGCAGTTGCTTAGCAGTTTGGTTTTCTTTTGCTTTTGGGAATTCAGGAAACAGAGGTGGGTGGTCAGTGGGAGAAGGTTGATTGTCTAGAGACCAAAATGAATTAAATACTTTATTACCTTTCCAGTAAAGGGGCTGTGAGTCTAACTGTATGTGTGGTTCCCTCCACCACACCCTAAATCAAAAGTTCCATCCCTGGAGTCTCTTTAATTCTAGAGACACTGAGATTTAGCTCATACAGAAGGAGAAAATGACCTTCAACTGGATAAGCTTTCCTTGAGTACCCATTAGATACAAAACACTGCTGGATGTTGCAGTGAGAACAAACAAACAAAAAGCACAGGGAATACTCATATGTGAGTGAAGAGATAAATCTATAAATATATAAGTTCCGCAAGTGATTGGCAAATAAAATTCTGAGAGGGCAAAGAGAGGGGAAAGATTTCTGCCTCGAGTCAGAGGACTGGGGTAGCGGAAAAAAGCTTTAGAAAAAAAGGTGGTATTTGTAGAGTCTGGAGAGGCGGGTTCCTCTGCCCCAAACTGGTGTCTACTGCAGATATGGTAAATAATTAAAATCATGAAATAAGAACATCACTAAAACCATTAATTTGACTTACTCTTAAAACACACGCGCGCACGCGAGCGCGCTCGCACACACACACACTGGCGTGCGCGCGCTTTTTTAAGGGGCCTATAGACTCCATTTCGGCTGCAGGTTAAAGTCATCCCAGGAAGGAGAAAGGAAAATTGAATTCCACCTTCTTCTGATTTAGAAAGCTAGATTGGTTGAGGATCGGGATCAGGGACCACAACTCAACCCCGAAACTTTGGGCTTCCAGAACTGCAGGGGAAACTGATTCTGAGATCAGACAACGGACCCTGGGGCGGGAGGGGGGTACCTTATTCATAACCCTCCCTCACAATAGCGGAGCACAGTACTCAGCACCCAGTAAACACTCATTTGTCGAATTGATTTTAAGCCTCCGCTTTTCCCCCAAGGAGGGCAATCAATCCCTTGCACGTTTTGCTCCTTTCACCAGCTTAATTCAGCTCTGATCTCAGTAGTTAGAAAAATAGGAGAAAGAATGGGGCCATAGCCTGCTGCAAGTAGAGCTGTGTAAGGGGGTGCGAGGAAGGCAGGCGAGAGCAGCAGAGGGAGTTAATACTCCTACCTCAGCTGGTCTCCGGCAGCCAACGCTCAGCCCCCGCCTCCTCTCTCCATTCCGGACCCCGCAACCGCGAGGCGAGAGAGCAGCGCCGGCGAGGCACTGGCTGGGCTCTGACTGTCACGTTAATTCCCTGCTGCTTTTTCTAGTCCCCAGCCGCCTCGCCCCTCCTCCCTCATTCCCAGCCTGGGTTTGGAGGCGATTTCCCTCTATTGACTGAGCCGACTGCATCTCTGGGCAAGCGGCGCTTTGCCTCTCTCCTGTCTTTGTCTGCTCTTCCTGCAAGGCTACGGCGCCTGGAGCAGGGTCTGCAGCGGCCGCCGCAGCAACGCGAGCCAAGTCGTGCCCCGCACGGCCGCCCGGGGCCGCACCCTCGCTCGGTGGCGGCGCCCGAAGACGCCAGCCGCGCCACGCACTGCCTGCGTCCCGCGCCCCAGCCGCCGCGCACCAACGCCGCCGCCTTCGCCGGGAGCCAAGCCCGCCGGGCCGGCCCGGTCCCAGGTGGGCAGCTCGGCTTGCAGCTGGTTGGAGGTGGCGGCCGCTGCAGCCCTGGCAGCGGGCACACCCCTAAGCATACGCACCCAACGCCTCCTCCCTGAGCCACGAGGATGGAGCAGCCACCCCGGCCCGGGACTGGCGCAAGGTAAGGTGCAGCCGCCTGTTGCTTTTCGCAGAGCGCGGGATCATCCCTCTGCCCGGGTACCTAGGCCGTCCCTCCAAGGAACAAGTAGAGGAGAACTATTACACCAGTTCTAAGCCGTGCCTGTCTAAGCCTCCCTGATCCCTTTTGCGCAGACCCTGGGAGAGACCTCCTCCTGGAGAGAGAGAGTCGACCCTCTTCGCTCCTGTTCAGCCGGCTGCTATACAATAGTCTGCAAACTTTTGTGACCCCTTCCCTGCGCGGTGCTCACCCCGTGCTGTGCAACTTGCAGGTTTAGTTCTTGCCCTTCCCCCAGCCCCTCTTGCCATATGCATCTGCCCATTTCTCTCTGTGTGTTCTTGCCAGTCGACTTTTCACTCCCCGCAGCTCTGGCTCCTGAGGCGAGGGTTTGGGACCCAGCAGTGCTCGTCCTGCCTCTAGGAGCTGGGTAGGGACAGAGAAGGTGAAATAAGAGAGGTGGGACATGGAGGATGGCTGCGGCCACCCCTGAAGCTTCGTCCAGCGCGATGGGAGTCAGTCCATCCTTGCACACGCCACCCCCAACTCGGCAATGAAACCTTTGGAGTGGCTTGCGGCTGTGCGCCGTGGGAACTGCAAGTGCAGATATGGGTGGGTGAAGTAAGTGGCTCAGGGAGGGAAAGGCTGCTCGTGCGGTGGAGGAGGAAGCTGAGGGTCGGGTAGATCTGCCCACGGTTGAGGGAAATGAAAAGGTACTGCTAATGTGGGCGAGCGGCCAGCCCTGAGAGGCCATCTGACGAAGAGGAAAAGGGATTTGAGTCCGGAGGGCGCTGGCCTGGGTATGTAAATACAGATGGGGGAGGGGCTGGGTACCTGGGGGCGCGTGGAGACAAGGAATGGAGCCCCGGAATGCCGGGCCCTTGGGTACTTGGGAAGGCAGGCTGCTGAGTGCCTGGGATGGGGCGATCTTCCTCCCCAGAAGCAAACAAACCTCCCCGCGAGAATCTGAATGCGTTGGCATCTTGGGTGGTGACTGAATGGTCAGATCGTGGACTAGGGATGCTTCTCCAAGCTCTAAGAGGACCATAGTCTGCTCTCTTCTCTGGCACCCGCTTGCTTCTACGCTCCTTCACCTCTGCAGCCAGGTCGGTAGACCCACGCCCACCTTCCCTGCCAGGCACTCAGGAGTCAAGGATGTTTCCACAGCCGCAGTGTAGGAAGGGGACTCCTGCCTCCCAGGGGGAGACGTGTGTGCGGGGTAGAGGGGAGTCCCCAGCGCGCGGCGAGTAAACAGGGGTCCAAAGTGGTTGGAGGAGAGCGCAGGAGCGGAGGCTGCGGTGGGAGCCACTTTCCCCCGCCCCTCCACAAATCGCACCTGGGCGGAGCGAGGGAGTGGGGGGAGCCCTGTGCTGCGCCCGGGAGGCTGGGGAGCGCAGAGCTGGAGGGCGTGCAGGGAAACGCAGAGCTAGGAGGTGTGGGCCTCGGGTGAGGGGAGACCCAGCTCTTAGACCTGGGAGCCCAGACAGAGGTGGATCTGCCCACCTTGCAGCTCCCAGGTAGATTCTTCTTGTGGCTCCAGATGCTCTGGCGAATGCAGGAGGGGGAGGCTCTTTTCTCCTTTGCACCCCAGCAATCTGGAGTGCAAGACCGTTTGCGGGAGGGGGCTTAGTCGGCTGTTTCGAAGAGGCAGCCTCCCCTCCCTTTTATCCATCAAGCCCCCTATTTCCTGGTGGGGGCACAGTGACTGCCAAGGCCAGTAAGCACCTCACTTAACCCTTCTCTCCCTGAGGAGGTGCATGCTCCTCTCCCAGAGGTGCCTTTGGCTGAGAGTGGATCCCTGGTTCCTAGTAGCCCTATAGGGAAACATTTGGAGGTTGGGTGGGTTTGGAACCCTGTACAACCTTTAGGTCCTCCCTGTTCAGACCTTCCACGTGCAGGCTTTTCTTACTTTCTCCGCGGGTGCCCTACAGAGGACTCCTGCTGCCTTGTACCAGTTGGGAAAAAGCAAAATTCAGAGCAGTTCCTTTTTCTGGGTCCCTCGCCTTGGCCACATCGGAGGAAACGTCGACTCGCCAGGGCTCCCGGGAGAAATCCCGAGGTCAGTCCCTCCCATTCTGGGGCACCCCTGGAGCAGCTAGCTCCCTGCCTAGCGGTGGCAAACTCCAGAGCCCCAAGGAGCAGAACGGGGATTCCCTGTGCGCAGGCTCCTGGTGCAGCTCCTGAGCACAAAGGCCACACCCTCACAGACCAGGCCTGGTGAGAGAGCCGGGCTTCTTCAGAAGTACCTGGATACCTGAGGTAGGATCCTAGACTTGAAACTCGCACTCCACGAGATTTAGCTCTGACCCCCCCAAGGCTCATTTCTTTCTGGGTGCTTATCTATCGCCTGAATTTGCGCTCTGGCCACTTCTTTTTGCATGTAGAAACAAATTAGACCATGTTCCTTGGCAACTTGAGGAAAGACTCCAAATCCACACCAAGGTGGATTTATTTCAGGTTGCTGAACTGTTCTGGGGAGACAAATAGTAATGTAACAATCAGTGCTAGCTAGCAGTTGTGGAGTTCTTACTATGTGCCAGACACTATCTTTGATGTTGTGTGTGTTTGTGTTAGATTTAACCCTCACAACAACCCTGAAAAATGGGTAGAGTTATTTATCTCATGTTATAGATGGAGAAACCCAGTATTGAAGAATTCAAGTTATTTGCTTATTGACATTCAGCCAGGAAATGGTGGGGCTGAGTGGTCTGGTGATCAGAGAACACTGAGTGTGTCCCATACTCCCAGCCCTATTTGGTACTAAAAACCATTTGTCTGGAAGGAAGCATGAGTGAGGCCCCTCACCCTTTACTCCAAACTGCAGCGGCGTACTATAAGTGCCAGTCCTGGCCTGTGAGCCCCTGTGACTAGAGTATTAGGGAGACTGATGTTACATATCGCCTGTCTCAAAGTTTGTTGGGGTACACCTTGGTATAGTGGAATACTAGTAGAGGAAATCGATTTGGAGAACTGGCTACTGGTAATGGACTTCTCTTCTGAACCTTTTGTAGACATTCCCTTTTTAAATAGGAAGGTAAATGGAAGGAGGGATCCAAATATGAACAGAGATTTGCTCTGTAGTCAAAAACTAGAGGCAGTTTTATGTAGCAGTTGTATTCTGCAAATGAAAGCCTCTCTCTGAATTGAGTCACATAATTAGTTAGAGCTAAGAGGGATCTCAGATATTATCCCACCCAATCCAGACTCAGGGAGGAGATTCAATGCTGAGCTCAAGGCCATTTGGTGCATTTGTAGCATAACTAATGCTGGAACCACTGCCTTTTGACCCTTGCTCAAATATGGTACCATTATACATAAATAAATTATGCTCACTCCTGCTGTTTTTTTAACATCTTAAAATTAATTAGGAAAAGGCTTTTTATTTTTAAAAAGACTGTTTTGCTTATTTTCGTATAAATGCTTCTCAATCAGCATAACCAGAAAAACTCTATATCATATATAATGAATAAGCTACCACAAATGTGACTCTTTTTGCAAAAATAAAACATTGCAGAATATTTGTAAGCCTTCAAATCAACAAAAATTAACTATGCAAACCTCTGGATGATTCTAAATAAGATTAAATGATTTCTAATGATTTTAGCAGTCTTCTGTTAGATTGAGTTGCTTCATCCTTCTGCACTCCCAGGTATTTGTGAAAATAACAGGGAATTTTTCCTATCACAGGAAACATTCTTTTGAATACAGTGGCATAAATTCTTGGATTTCTCCTGGATTCTTGACTTTTCATTAAAGTTTATGCTGATGTAAAGCTGAGGCAAAACAATATATTTCTGTACTTGGGGCTCAGAAAGAGGAAAAATAGTTCTTTGTCACTTCCGATAATATTTGCCACTTCCTCGCCTACCTGGCCCCTTCAACAAAGGGGACTTTCTGCAGTCACTTGAGGATTTCATATACCTTTAAGCGTTTTTGTGGGACAAAGTTCTAGTTTCCAAGAACACCTCATGTCTTTTCTCTGTAGCTGTAGTACCAGGATGTCCTCCCCTTGGAGACAAACCAACAAAAAGTCAGCCAGGGTAAACAGGGAGGAGGGATAGAAGAATCCTGTTTTTCAGAATCAGATCAGCGGGGCAAGAGTCATAGACAGATAGTGGAAACCTGGTGCCTTTTAGGTCACCTGGAATAGGATTTCCATCTCTAATGCTGTGGCACACTAGGACCTAGGCCATCCTATAGTGAGGACCTAGGCCATCCTATAGTGGAGGAAGAAAAGAAGAGAGTGAGGCAACAATATTGTCAGAGGAGGGATGAGGTGGAGGAAGATGGAGGTGAGGCTTGGCTGCTGAGGCACCCAAGTGTGACCAAAATGCCCACAGAGAGCCAACGTGCACTAAGAGCTGCTCCTCCTCTTCCTTTTTTTCCTACCCTCGACCTCAGTCTGCGTTTTGTGTCAGGTTGACTGTTCTGAATCCCCAAGACCCCAGTTATCTCAAGGAGAAGCATTCATTTTCCGGAGAATTCATTAGAAGTCAATTTTGTTTTTATGCAAGTAGGAAAAACTTGCACAGCTGCCCCACTCTTCAGGAAGAGCCATTCAAAACCAGATCATCCAGAAGGGTGACCTTCTGGAGGTGGGGATACCGGCTTAGTTGAGTTGCAGCAGTGTTAAAGAAAAGAGACATAACACTGAAGTTAAGTGTGACAATATCCAAAAGAAATGGTCTATGTCCTAGGAACCACAGGAAGGGGAATCCTTTGGAACCTGGGCAGACATTCTGGTTTCCAATTCCCAGTTTATTCAGGGGAGCTCTATCCTCATCTTACTTATGTGGTCCAATCCCCTCTACTTATTTTACTGTGGCTGCTAGGTGGTGCAATATCAAAAGTCCCACATGACACGTCTGCTGGGGAGATTCTTTGGGGTGTACCTTTATCTTAAATCATATAAATATGAGTTCATTGACATTTAGAATAACAATTATTATTAAGCAATATGCTCTAAGACAAAGGATATGGAAAAATAAAAACTTTTATTCAGAACACAATGAATAGATATGTTTATACAATACATAGTATGAGTTAAAAGTCTTGGGTAAGATATTTGAAAAAAAATAATCAAGATTCGGAATATCTGATCTTGATTAATTTTAATAGCAAGAGAAGCTAAATAATAAGGTTCTGTAGAAAGAGTTTGAAGAAGATACTGGAAAAAAAAAAAAAAAAGCTCAGAGTAGGACCTGAGAAGCTTTACCCTTATTGATTTTATTTAAAAAAATATAAAATATCTTAATCTATATTTAGATTTGAATAATCCATAAGATTAATAAATTTTGTATTCATTTTATTATCTGAAGATTGTGACTTTGATGAACTTTATTTGATAAATGGTTTGGAGCCATGATGGAAGCTCTGAGATGTTAGTATATATCTACATATACTTTATAAAAACTTAGTGAATTAATACATCTCAACATGATAATGACATATGAAATGGCCATTTCATATGAGAATGAAATCTGGAATCTTCTCAAAAGCTGATAGGCTTGAACATACTATTTCTCCACCACAGGTGGTAAGTTAATAGTAAGGGCCATTTAGTTCTTTCAAAATAGATAAATGAGTAAATACTAAAAAAAAAAAAAAAAAATCCTCCACAAATAAAAACAGATTTTATTCTTTAGGAGGATAAATGAACAGATTAGGAAAGGTTATGAAATTTACAGTTTCATTTGATCCTAAGCTCTCTAAGCTACCTTTTATGTTAATACTTGTCCAGTGCAAATGTCACTACCTTTTCAGACAGTTTAAAAAATGCTTTAGGTGCCTTTTATTAGAAATAAAATGGAAACAAATATTATTTAAAAATGTGAAGCTATTCTCAACCATGGAGTAATATTTGACAAAGTGGTAAGTATGTTTTCAAATACAGATTAGTTTCCTTTTATTCTCTTTTCCTCCTCTACCCCTCCCCCTCCCTCCCTGCGTCCTTCCTTCCTTCCCTCCCTCACTCCCTCCCACTCTTCCTCCCTTCCTTCCTTTCTTCCTTTCTTCCCTTCTTCCTTCCAATTTTAGGTCATTGATAGAAGAAGTATTCAGTAACTTACTGGGAGAGACTGCTATAATATTTCAGGACAAATACGTCCTCTGGCGAGGACAGTGCTGAAGGCACAGTGCATAGTTCTCTAAAGCTAAAGCACAAAGGTCATGAGGTCTCATGGCTTTCCCCTGAGTCTTCTAACCTGAGCTCTGATTTGGAGAAATAATCATTGTATAGGCCTGCTACAGAGGGCTCCCCCTGTTAGCGGTGACTAAGCAGTATGCTTTCCCTATGCTGCACTGGGAATTTATACACTGAGAAGAGTCCTGGTCCAGGCTGCTGATCTTCTCTAGATGTCTGGCCATCAGGGATTATTAAGTGGAATACTTTTCACCCTTTCCACAATTATATTTAAGCTTAGGGTTTCAAAGTTTTTATTTTCCTGCTGCTATGTGTTGTGTGGTTTTTTATTGGGGTGGCTAGTTTGTTATTTTAACTGTGGCTCAGAAACAGTGTCTGTTAGTAAACTGAAAATGATTCCCAAAGGGAAGATGTACTGTGGACTGTTGATACCCAATGTTTCTGCTACAAAACCTGTGAAAGGGGTATGGTGTGTGGCCAGCCAAGTCAGGAGGGCCAAGCAATTGGCAGCAGACAACAGCAGAGAAAGGTGGGAAAGGTGGGGGCAGGAGAGAAAGAGGTGTAAGAGAAGCATGGCAAAAAAAAAAAAAAAAAAAATCTATCCAAAGGAAGAGAACCCAATACTTAGCACAGTAAGACTAAGAGATATCTGATAGTAAACCTAAACCAAAGGATAAGGGGAAAAAAAAATCCCATAAGAATAAGAGAAGACAAAAAAAAGAGAATGGGAGTAATAAAGACTGAAAGAAGAGGGCTTATAAGGAAGAGGAATGTACTAAATAATACCTCATAGCATAGATCAGTTCAAAGGCAGCCTAGCTCCCCAGCCAGAGGGCAAGGTCTCTTTCTCACATATCAGAGTGCCACATTAATGTGGCTTTATCAATCTCCAGGCCAAGGTCTTCTACTCTGATTTACTCCATAGTGCCCTTTGACAGTCTGACAAAGCCTGCGGGCCCTGGAATGGTGTTTAAATGCATAAAATATAATACATAAGATTATAGCACAAACCAATTTTATTGAAATATCTGTTTATCGACTTATAAAAGAAACCACTGTTACTAATATATGTGCCTCTTACATAATAATGCCTCTATAACAAGATCTTGTAGTGGGACTAGTGGCTACTATTGTTTCGAAGTAGGAATGGGCATAAATGCTACTATGAGATAACTGTGGCAGCTGTATTGTGATATGAAAATATTTATATTGGTGACATAATCACTAGTATGGCTACTATTGAGGTTTATGGCCTGTGTTCAAATGGGAATGAGATGGTACATTGCCATTTAAGCTTCACAAACAAAGTTGCGACTTTTTTTTCCATGCAAGTTCATGGATGCCTTGAATTCTATTGGTGGATGCCTTGAATTCTATTGGTAGATGCCTTGGAGGTCTCTAACCCCAAGAACTGCAGACAATGGTAACCATAAAATTTATCATTTCCCACTGGGACACTTTGGAGAATGAAAGGGCTCTCAGTTGTTTTTCCAAGACAGTAGGTATAAATCAGGACAGGCCCGGGCAAATGGTAATACAGCTGCTTTAGCTCTCTGGGATCTTCTAGCTGTGTTAGCACTTTGGGATCTTCCTCCCCAGACCAGTTTTCACTTCTCTGGCTCAGGGAATTGGCTTTTTCTGCTCTGTTCTTAGGGATCAAGACTGTGGATACTGGTATTGGAAAGTAGAGAAGACCTTCAGCTGGAAAAGGATCCTTTATCAGGGCCACAACCAAGATATGGGATGCCTTTGTGAGAAATGAAAAATGTGCCTCCTTGGAGAAGCAATAGCCTCCTGGATCCTGGCCCGATGAACATTCGCTTGTGTTTTAGCTCCCAGTGGCCCCCTTGGCTAGGTTCACTGTAGCCTTGGCCAATATCACCTGAAATGAGGGTGAATTATCAGACTACATTGCATTTCAGCCAAAAGTTTCAACTTCCCCTCCAACAATTTCTCTTAAGTAGACTTGCCAAAATAGTTTTTAAAGATTCACTTCGTTTCCCTTCCCACTTCCCAGTTATCAGGAAATGGCTTTGGCACAGGCAGGTAGATGGAGAACCATGGGAAAAGGTCAGGATCTGAAGAATTTTTAAAGTAGATAATAAGGCCCTAAGTGATAAAGAGGGAACTGTGGTCATGGAGTGTTTCCTAAACAGATGGCTCATGTTATCCAGTGTTGGGAGAAGATAACAGAATGTCCCTGTCTTGGAAATTAGCATGTTTTTGTTTGTTCTATTTGATGAAATAGAACCTGCTTAGTAGAAGAAGAAAACTCTTCTAAGAAAGGCTTTGACCTTGTAGGGGTGGCAACATCTCAGAAAATGCCCTCTTTTTGTGCACATAGACTATTTGGGAACCAGGCAACCTAGTTCTAGTTCCAGCTTTGACTCTAACCATCTCTGTGGCACTGGGCTGGTTACATCAAATGTTCTGGGCTCTACTTCCCCCGTAAGAGGGAAATTAGGAGTTAAATGGTTTCTAAAATCCCTTTCAGTTATATGGGTTTATAATGTCAAGGATGTGTCTGACATTGTTTTATTTTTACTCCATATGATGTCTTCTCTGTTTAAGTTGACTCAGACTCATTTCTTTGCTTAGGGCTTCCAGCCCTTATATGTTACAGATCCAACAATGATAGATGGACACTCTGCAGTCCTGAGGGTCTGTTACATCTGGAGCACTTCTGGGAGCCTACAATAAAAGGATGAGGGGGAGTGACACAAAAAGAGCAATAGCTGACTGGTAAAGGGACAAGGTACAAAGGGGTGAAACAATTAATAACTTTTCTTGCAGCAATAATTGCCATGCGGGCAAGATGTTGGAAGATGAAGAAGGTTCCTAAGATTTTGACTATGTGCCCATCTTGTGTCCAACTCTTTATAACCATATGATCATATTACTCTCTGCTAAAAACCTTTAAATCACTCCTGCTTGCATATAAGAGGATTACATCCTTAGTATGGCTTAATAGATCCTTGTTTAGCAATGGGCAGGTCTATGCAAACCTATCTCAAAGTTCAAGGAAGCTGAGAGGCTGAAGAAAGAGGCTGACAAATCTAGTTTATCAGAAAGAAACCTATAATTGGGACTTCTGAACAGAAGCCATATCTGTATCTCGGGCGATGGCGAGACAAGATGGTGGATCCCCGAGCCGTTACCCCCTAGACCCAGGGTTTATATATGGTAGGAAAGGGGTGATTCAGAAAGGATTTGTAGAACTATTGAAGTAGGGTAACATCAAGTTTGTTTGACCTAAGGGCAGGATTTATAGTAAGTAAGTACCTGTTCTTACACAAGGAACATTAGATAAGTGGGAAATCTTAGAGGCCTTCCAGGAACTGAAGTTAATCAGAAGTCAACATGGTGGATTAGCATCCAAGATGGAGTTGCTTTGGCCTCCACAGTCCTTTGTCACCTGGCTGTTACCTGTCGCTTTACCTGCCATTTTCCTTGGCATACCCTGTGCTCTGGTGTGTTCGAACTGGCCTGTGCTGACGATTGTCCACATTTTTTCTCTCCAACTCTGTGATCAGATATTGTGTTGGCATCATGAAATCAGCCATGGTAGGAGGATTTACACCACTATTTATACTACAAAGCAAGCATTTTCCCCTAGAAAGCTGGTTGTAGAGTTTACAAGCATATACCACTGCCCCTGCCCCACCAAAAGACTTGATGTTCCTGCAACAGAAAGCGCTCTTTCACATCTGCCTCCACTGCCATTCCCTATTGCTGACAGTTTATCTGTCCTCCCCTCTCTTCTTCCTTTCTCTTCTTCTCTCTCTCTCCCTTTCTTCCATCTAATTATTCATCCACCTACCCATCCACCCATTCATCCAAAGGTAGCCCGACTAAGTTCTAATTAGTCGGCCATTTAATAGCTGAGTGAGTGACTGTGGGAAATTTTTCTAACCTTTAGTATGCCTCAGTTTTCTCTATGTGAAATGGGTATAATAATAGGTAGTTGTGAGGCTTAAATGAATTAACATGAACAAGGTGCTTTTTAACAGTATCTGGCACATGAGAAGTACTACTTAAGTTATTATTATTAGTATAGAACAAAATATTATTGATTGCTTACAGTGTACTCAGCACTGAATATGCACATATGAAAACAGGTTTGTAAAACAAGCATAAGAAAATGTTCAAGAACCCTGAACAAAGCCTGGTTATTCCAGGGGTATCAGAATTGACTTCATGGTCAATTTTTCATGGAACCAGGGACATTTGAACCGAATCCTGGAAGATGATTACATATACCCACAAAATTGATAAGACAGATAGGAATATCCCAGGAGGAGGGAAAGCACAGACACAGGAAAAGGGAACAGAATAATGACTTGTTAGGGTTTTATGCAGCTGAGCATGAGGTCACAGACAGAGGACATCTTTGATCAGCTCTGGGTTATGGCAAGATCTTCCAGGGAGTGAGCTGCAGTTTCCTTTTAGTCCTTTTTTTAAAATTTTCCTGTTGCCTGCACCAATATAGGGAACTTTGGGTTTTCCAAAAAGTGTCAGAAATCCATATTTTTATGTGTAAGCTCCTAATGTTTTGTAGAACTAATTCAATTAAAACATGGTAGAACTAATTAAATTAAAAACAAAATAAAACAAAACAAAATAAAACACATATGCAGGCTATATTCAGCTTTCCACAGCAAAGTGGAGCCCTGGGTTGCCAAGCTTGGTTAAAGATGATAAGCTCTGCAATTGAAATTTCTTATTTTGAATATGATTCTGCCATTAGCTGTTGACCACAGGTGAGAGTTTCTTCAGCTCTCTGAGCCTTGGTTTTCTGCCAGATGGCTATATTTCTTGTCTTTCATGCCTTGCTGTGAGGAGCTTTTTGGATGATGGAGATGAAAACCCTTGCAAAGAATCAGACAAGTGTTAGAATTCTTCCTGGGTCCTAGCATGCTGTGGCAGAGCCATACACTCAGTACCGCCCTACGCATGGTTTAAGTCACCCAAAGATACCTGAATGTCCTCACCTGCCTTGTTAATTTTAACAATAGATGGGGGAAGAAAAACGTAGGTGTAGTTTTCCCCTTTATTCTGTTAAAAACATCACAAGGAGCTTGACATTCCATTTTGAATGTCTGTGTGTCAAAGATCCAGCTAAGAGTTATTTATTGATTCTGCATGGATTCAGGGTGACAGGGAAAAGGTTCAATTCACCTCGACATGGTGTGTGTTGGCTGTTCCCTTGAGATGGGGGGAGGATTCTCTGAAAAAGAATCTGCTGCACTACTTGTTAGTAGGGATTATGTCAAAATCTGCACTTGCATTTGCGTAATTTCCCATCTTTTGATCCCTTTCCATTCCAGGTTGGCTTTGATCATAAAGGCTTTTAAGGAAATGATCAAACCCTATAAAAGTCAAATTATTTCTGGTTGAGGGGCTGAGCTTGGTGGATGTTGGCTTTGACGCTGCTGAGAGTTGGATATGTACCCAGCTTGCTTCATTGGGCCTGGTTAAAAGCTCTCTGTAATTGCAGCTTTGCAAAAACTCCAGGCTATTATAATACGTTGAATGTTGGCGTTGTCTGATCTGTGTTATCTTTATTTGTTTTGTTGTATTGCCTGATCGAACATGATCATGAGAAGCTTCAAAGATACAGGCAGACCTTGAAATAAGGATACCTAACTTACAGAAGCACATTCATTATGAGTTTTGGCTCCACTGCAGAAATTTTACTACCTCTGCTTCTGGAACTGACCTGAGCCTCAGAATGTGTTTTAGTCTCCTCTGAGCCTCAAGCCACCTGGACCTCAGGACTGCAGTGTCTGATGCCTCTATAGCTCCCATTTCCTGCCAGTTTCTGGAGCCCTATCCCCTGAGCCACTGCAGGAGTCCCAGAGGAGCCAAGGTTCCTCTCCTCTGAGGTGGATTTGAGACACCTTGGTCTACTGAACTAATATTATAGATGAAATACCACATTTGCTATTAAGGAGGTATCAAAGTCCTAACCCCCAATGTGATGGTATTTGGAGATAGGGCCTTTGGGAAGTAATTAGATCTAGATGAAGTCATGAAGGTGGGGTCCTCAACATGAGATTAGTGTTCTTACAAGAAAAGACAACAGAAAGCATGCTTCCTCTCTCTCTCTCTGCCTGCACACACCAAGGAAAGGCCATGTGAGGACACAGTGAGAAGGCGGCTGTCTGCAACCCAAGGAAAGAGCCTACACCAGGCATCAACCCTGCTGGTATCTTCTCCAGAACTGTGAGAAATGAATTCCTGTTGTTTAAGCCAACCAGTCTATGGCAATTTGTTATGGCAGCCCTAGCTAAGACAAGAAACTAATGTAGGTTAGCCTGGGCATCTAGTCACCTTGTAAGCATCTCTTGGGATAAAAATGGACCTCGCTTTTGCATCTGTGTATACCACCAGCCTGGCACATAATTGGCACTCAGTAACTGTCTGTTTAATGAATCAATGAACACTAATGATTTAAGTGAAAAATATCCAATTTATAAATAAACATTTAGTGAACAATTTATTCTAGTGTTGGGGACTTCTTGCAATCATGGAATAATGGTTTGAGATTAAGAAAAAATAAATTATTTTAGGATGCGCATACACACACATACACACACCCCAAAATATTAGCAACCTCTACTTTTTTTTACTAGCTCACCCCACGGTGATATAATGATACAAAAATAAATACAGTCAGCATGCTTTCCTATTTACCCAGGATGCAAGCAAGTGACTGTTTCTAAGCATTTGCAATTTCATCAAGATCTCTTAGAACCATTCCCTATAAAGAGATGCTGAGTGGAGCTGCTGACCTGCCAAAACCTAATTAACTTGAGTTTAGTAAAATAAAGAAGTCCTTTAAAAAAAAGAGAGAGAATTACAGGAAGGGAATTCTAAGGTGCCTTTTAATTTGAAATCCCCAGTGGGCAGGTTGCCATAGAAGGATGTGATTTTTTTTTACAAAATGGTGACTTTAGGATGCTTTCTTGTTGCTCTTAGAAATTCCTTAGACACTATGAGGAGTATACTCCATGGCTTTTGCCATTTGAGAATGGAGAAGCAATTTCCTCAAGATGCTATTCATCTTTATTCATATCTGGATGCAGATGAGTTCAGAATGTGTGGGTGTGGGATTTGAAGAGTCTGAAGTGCTTAGGTAACAGTTGGCGTGCCAGTTGTGTAATGAAGAGTATGTATTGACAATATTAAATTGTGGGCTAAATCTCATTTTTTAGTGTAAAAAAAAAACAGGACACAATTTCTAAAAGCTACAGTGTTGTTTTTATGCCAGGGGTGTTTCTAAATGTTAGGACAACAGTGCTGAAAAATATGGGCCTCCAATATGCATCAATTTCTTCTGCCCAGCCTGGGTTTAGTGTGGAAAGCCCATATAGCTTTCTTTTTAACTGGAGAGTGCTGTAGTCTTTCTTTCCCTCCCTCCCTCCCTCCCTCCCTCCCTCCCTGCCTCCCTCCCTCCCTCCCTCCCTCCCTTCCTTCCTTCCTTCCTTCCTTTCTCTCTCTCTCTCTTTCTCTCTTTCTCTCTTTCTTTCTTTCTTTCTTTCTTTCTTTCTTTCTTTCTTTCTTTCTTTCTTTCTTTCTCTCTCTCTCTTTCTCTCTTTCTCTCTTTCTTTCTTTCTTTTGAGACGGAGTCTAACTGTCACCCAGGCTGGAGTGCAATGGCGTGATCTCGGCTCACTGCAACCTCCGCCTCTCGAGTTCAAGCAATCCTCCTGCCTTAGCCTCCAGAATAGCTGTGATTACAGGCGCCCACCACCATGCCCAGCTAATTTTTTAGTAGAGACAGGGTTTCACTGTGTTGGCCAGGATGTGTTTCTAAATGTACATTCATGTTGTATTCAACTGAGTGAGGGAAATGGCATCAGTAGGAACAGGTAAGAATAATTCACTTTTCATATTGAAGAACCAACTGGTTTCTAGAAAAATTAGTGGTAATTTATGGAGTTACCATGAAGTTGTTGTTTGCTTCTCAACCTCCACCACCTCAAATTCACCGTCAACTTCTAGGGCTTTCTCAGGTGAAATTGTGTGCCATTACTAGTTTTATAAAGTCATGTTCTTTTCTCTACCTTACCTTTCCTTCACGTGGATGGCAATGAAGAGGTCTTCTTTCCACTGAGTTGTAAATTGACCAGGAAGTCTGGACACATTGTGTCCAGGGCTAGGAAACACTTGTGGATTCTGTGGATAGCAGCCATCTCTAGTAATACGTGGATATTCAGGGTCCTAGATTAGTCATGGGATGCCTAGAGCAGGAGATTTAGCTATTTTTCCTACTATAGATCCCTGGGCAGTCTGGTGAAACCTATGTACCCTTTTTCAGAATGATATTTTTAAATTTAAAAAAGTACATAGGATTACCAAGAGCAAGACAATAATAACACAAAGTACACTGAATCTCACAGAATTTACAACATTATGGATGACTAATATCATCACCCAATGTGTCATCAATAATAATCTTAAAATTACTTTGAATAACACATTTCAACATTTTGTTTAACCATCAGATGTGTTTGAACTTGCCTGGTCTAGACTTGTAGCCTACATGTATATCATATTTCAAACAACAATAGTAAGTTATGAAGAATCAAAAATTCTCATTTGAACTTTCCAATTTTGCAAAATTGTAACAACTAATTTAAATGGCAGACTTCTTTCCATTGATGAAGAACAAACAAGTATGAATAAGGAATTCCACAAAGCATTGTAGATGTCTAAATATCTAGGGTGGGATAATGCATCTTCCGCCTTTCATGGCTGAATGACTGCCAAGTGAAAATTGACCAATACTTGTTTCTATATATTATGAGGTGCTATGATCAGGAGAAATTAACTATCATGACTTTAATGTCATGATATAAAAAAAATTTCAGGATTTGTAGAAAACATATTGTCATATGAAAAAAAAAGTTGTGACTTTTATTGGTGATGTCATAGGTACTATAAAGGTAGTGTAGTCTGTTGCCTGCCTTTTAAATGGAAGGAAATGCCAAATTTCAATTAAGGGTCAACGGAAAAAAAAATCAGAAAAGATCCTATACAGTTGTGGATCCCTTGCATTCTAGCCATGGCCTCATCATGGACCTGTCAGACCCTCAAGTTATAAACTTCTGTCTCAAAGTGTGAATCAATACCTGATGATGTGGAAAATAACAACTAAAGCAGTTCTTAGAAAAATAAGACCTGCAGATGGGATTATAAAAAGAATGTAATTTACTGGTTGTTAACTTATTTAACAAACATGCCATAGTTCAACCTAAAGTTTGCAATTGACTTCATAATTGGTCCCTTTGGAGAGAGATGCTGTTGCCTTTATTCAAAATAGTGTTGGGTCTTCTCTGAGAACCAGTGGTATAATGCTTTGAATATTGTCATCAGTGTTCATTCTTAGACTGTTTTGGGGTAGGTCTGGTGTTTTGAAATGAGCCAAAGTCAATTGAAGTAAGGCTGCTGAATGAAGAAGGTAATCAAGGTGTGTGAACACCAGATTGGGACTTGAAAGTCCTAAGGATTTTTTTGGAAGGGGCTCATCAGCTACCCTGAAGGTTGCTTTGTAGCAGGTGGAGACGAGGTAGGGATGAGATTCAGAAAGGATTGCATTTCCAAAATGATAACATCCTTGGAGTCAGCTTATAATCCCCTGGAATGAATACCTTATAGAGGAACACTCTTTTCCCTCATTAAATAGTCCCATTCTATATAGTCTTGAATAGAGCTGCACTGTTCAATACAAATATAATGGTAGCCACTTGTGTAATTTAAAATTTTTTTCAGTAGCTACATTAAACATGTAAAAAGAAAAAGGTATAGTTAATTTCAGTAATATACTTAACCCAGTATATTCAAAATTATCGTTTTGACTTGTAATCTAATAAAATGTATTGAATTTTACAGACTAAGTCTTTGAGATCTGGTGTTATATTTTATACTTACACCATGTTGCACTTTGGACACTAAATTTTCATTAGAAATACTTGACCTATATTTAGAGTTGATAAAATTTACAGTTGAAAAAAACAGGTTCATATGTCTAAATTGTTTCAAACATACTTAAACATTTTCCAATGACTGAATTGGAATCTTTAAATTTAAATTAAATTTAAATTAAATTAAATTAAATTAAATTAAATTTAAATCTTTAAATTTAAATTAATCACAGTTAAATAAACTTAAATATTTAGTTCCTCAGTCACACTAGCTACATTTCAAGTGCTCAATAGCCACATGTGGCCAGTGATTACTGCATGGACAGGACAGGTATAAACTATACGAAGAAACAATTGGAGAGGAATTCAGAAGCACCGTGTGGGCTTTAAACTCACTGGAAATGTTAGAGTCCTGCTTGTCTTTCCAGTTTTTAGTTGTCTTTTCTATGAACCACTTTGTTTAGTCTTTTTGTTAATCTAATATTTTTCCAAAAATCTCCCCACCTTCTCTTTAGAATCCTTTTGTGTGACCCTTCCCAAAGGCCTTTCCTTATGAGTATTTATTATTTATATCCAGAGACACCACATGGTCTCTGCTTCATAGACAGAAGGTTCAGGGGTGAGTTTAGGTGACTAGATGAAGACAGGAAGTTAATGTCTCTACACCAAATCAGGATGGATAAACAGCTAAAGCACAGGAGTGAATGTTCCTTGCTCCAAGCCCCACAAGGCAGCCATCACTTTTAAAGCACCTCTGCCTCTGATTATGAAGATTTGGTGTGGGATCTAGGAAACTGCATTTTTGTTAAGTTTCTCTTACTCCCTTTACTCTCCCCACTAAGTGATTCAAAGAGCCTAATTTAAGAATTGTTACCCTAAACCCCTATCCTCCCACTATATTCTTTTTACGAGTGGTCCTCAAGCTGTGTTCTTCTCTTTTCGTGAGATCACCCTGTGTCTTGTTCAATTGAAGAATTCTAGGCCCTGCCCCAAGTCTGCAAATCAGAATATATGAAAGCATGGCACTAGGAATCTACTTTAAAATAAAACAAAACAAAACATACCCCCAAAACTCCCTAAGTCATTGTTATGCCTTATAAACTAAAAAAAAAAAAAAAACCCAAAAAACAAAAACAAACAAACAAATGAAAACGCTGCTTTATGCAGACCCCAGCTTAGAAATAAAGAATTTGCTAATCCCAGCCTTTCTCATTCATCCTCTTTTCCAGTAACTGACATTTAAAAATCCATGTCATATTTATTTTGCCTCCCCTCTGTCAGGGTTATTTTTAAAATATGGGACTGGGATACAAAGGTATAGATCATGAGATCCTGTTTCTGATCTCAGAGAGCTTGCAGTTGTAGGAGGAAGAGAGACCTGTGGAAAACTGTGTTTATAAAGCACTGTAAGTGGAGTTCTGCATGGCATGCTGGGTGTAGGAAGGACATGGAGAGCACAAGAGTCATATCCATTGGACTGTGAGCTGGCGAAATGGCTTAAAAAGGACTTTGGGAATCCTGAGTTGATCCAGGAAAGGTCAAATTGGTGTTCTCCCAGACAGCTAGAGGCAGGGAAGGACACCTGGAGACTTCATATGAATTGAGGTGTGAACAGGGAAGCAGAGTCCTTATGAATGACATAGAATAATACATTTATTACTAGAATAAACAGACTTTCTACAGTTGTGGGAGATGTTTGGAATGCAAAGGTCTGGCAGTGCACAAAAAGTCACTTAGTAGGGACCGTGAAGGAAGCTGGTGAAGAAATCTATGGCAGGTATTGCCTCTACTGCTAGTGGTGGGACTGAAGTTGCTCTAGGTCAGCAGGGCTCAGAGAAGAAGAAATCGGGACTGGTGTGAAGAGAAGCAAGGGCAAACTAGAACCTATGAGGATGAACTAGGACCTGTGCCCCAGTAGCATAGGTGGCCTAAGGAGGAAGCAGGCACCCTTTGCCCTGGAGCTGCACACCCAGACTAGGAAACTGGGGGTGGAGACCCAGGGGGATGTGGAAGAGCTGTGGGCCCACCTGTGCTCTCCCTAACACTGCCAGTCAGGAGATTAGCAGCAATGTGTGTTAGCTGAGATGGTGCCTTCCAAGTGTAATTCTGCATGGCATGTCTGCCTTCCAGATCTCAGGATGACTTTTTTCATGGCCAACCTCGACTGGATTCCCACAGGAAAGGGAAATCTGGGAAACATGTTCCCACGTAGCTAAGTCAACACAATAGAAAACCACTGCAGTTGGCTTAGGAAACCCGAGCTGGAAGTGGCAGGATGGAACGTGGGCACGTTGGGGCAGGAGACTGGGGTGGTATGATAGGGTGTTAGCCTATGTACAGTGGTAAAGCAGCAATGATGACCTTGAGGAGTTTTATCCTCTGTATATCAATGGATTAAAATGGCGGAGTAACTTGATAAAATAGATTTTCTTTAAAAAAATTAATAAATTTAAAAAAATCAAATTTTTAAAAAATTAAAAAATGTTAAATGTCAGAGTAGTTCTCAAACTTTTTGGTATCAGAACCCTTTTAGACACTCAGCAATTACAGAGGATCTTAAAGAGGTCTTGTTCATGTGGGTTATATTTATCCATATTCACCATATTAAAAATTAAAACTGATAAAATTTTAAAATGTTTACTAATTGAAAAAGGTAAGCCTATCACATGTTAACATGAAAACACATTTTTATGAAAAAAATTATGTTGTGCAAAACAAAAAATATTTCCTGAGAAGAGTGGTATTATTGTATAGTTCTGCACGTCTCCTTCATGTCTCGCTTAATAGAAAACAGTTGAATTCTCATATCTGCTTCTACATTCACTCTGTTGTGATATTCCATGTCAGGAGGCTTCAGAAAACTCCACTGTATGTTTGTGAGAGAAAGAATAAAAAAGGCAAATCACATCTTAATCACATTGTACAAATAGTCTCATCTTCAGGAATCCCCTGCAAGGATCTTAGGGACTTCCTGGAGTCCCTGGACCAAACTTTGAGAGCCACTGGTGTGGTGGAGGAGATGGCTCTACCAGCAAGTGGGGATACCAGCAGACCTTGTAATAGCTTAGGGGAGAAAGATGAAGGCCTGCACCAAGGTGTATCTTCAGGAAAGGAGAAGAGGATGAATGGGAGAGAAGCTAAGGAGAAATAAGCCAGAGAACTTCATAACCCATAGGATGTGGGGATGGCGGAGAGAGCAGAGTCTCTGAGAATGACTTGGCCAAATGAATAGCTGGATGTCAGCAAGCTGCTGGTACAGGTATAGGGTGTTCCTCAGCCACCCCGACCCCACACAGGCCTGTTTCTCTACAGGCTTTGGCACGGTGAAAAGGAAGCAGGAGGTCCAGCTCTAGGTCAATGACTGGACTTTAAGAATATCACTACACATCAGCAGGAATTAAATGCGCAGAGTTGCCCGGGCGTGGTGCCTCGTGCCTGTAATCCCAGCACTTTGGGAGGCCGAGGGAGGCAGATCACGAAGTCAGGAGATCGAGGCCATCCTGGCTAACATGGTGAAAGCCTGTCTCTACTAAAAATACAAAAATTAGCTGGGTGTGGTGGTGTGTTCCTGTAATCCCAGCTATTCGGGAGGCTGAGGCAGGAGAATCACCTGAACCCAGGAGGCAGAGGTTGCAGAGAGCCGAGATCACACCACTGCACTCCAGCCTGGTGACAGAGCGAGACTCCGTTTCAAAAAAAAAAGGCAGAATTACCAGGAGCATTCAAGTGTGGGCTGGTTTAGTCTGCGATGTTCACATATGCAGCGACACAGGGAAAACTAATTGGTGGGTGAGTGACAAAGACAATAAGGGATGAAGTTTGTGGAATACCCTTCTCCTTGGGGCTGGACACATTCATGGTTGTAAGAGGACTTGGGAGGGACTCAGGAATCCAGAATGGTGATGTGGTTTTGTATACACACATATGTGTGAGTGTGTGTGTGTGTGTGTGTGTATACATGTATATGTATATATATATGTGGTTGTATGAAAACACATATATAAAACCATATACACTAGACACATACATGTATGTACACATATATATGTGTCTGTGTTTATATGTGTGTGATATACCTGTATAGATGGTTTTATAGAGAAATGGTTATGTCAGCCCAGGGCTCAGCATGGAGTGGTGGAATGAGCTGGCCTGGGCATTTAGAGTCATCTCCCAGTTTTCCACCCACCCACCAGCTGTGTGATCTTGGACAACTCACAAGGGTCTCTGGGCCTCAGTCTCATTGTCTGGGATATACAGTAGGTGTGAAGTGTCAGGAATTCTGTGATGCAATGTGCCTTTTTTACAGGCCACAAAGAGTGATCTTCTGGAGGACACAAGGATTCCATCACTGTCAGAGTTTGGCTGAGTAGCATTTTCCTGAGCCCCTTTTCAATCTTGTCTGTTGAATGATTTGAAAGTGAATGAGGATGCAGTGAGTCTGATGTCAGGGGACTATATATAGCAGCTGCAAGTCTCAGGAGTTACAGGTCTTGTCATTTATTTGGATATGGTCCCCAGTTTGGCCGGGCAACCTTGGCATTTTCTTGTTTTCTTAGTTCTTGAGAAGCCTTTTCTTACCAGCGAATTCTGCATAGACACACACTCATGCACAAGTATGCACACACATATACGCACAAAGAGCAATTTGACCACGCTCTGCTCAGCATTTCCAAGTATACCACTGCGGTGTGAAAGGTGATTTAGATGTGTACGAATTATTTTTTGGTATTTACATATGCTTTGATAAGTATTAGAAAAATAAAACAAGCATAACAAAGCCATTTATGCAGATATTATTTCTTAGGATGAGGAATCATTTAAATAAGTTGACTTCAAGAAGAAGATTACATAAGTATGAACACAGGTAGAGCTTAGATATAGCAGAAATCTTGAAGGTAGTATTCGAGTGACTAATATGTGGGAAGCACTAACTTAATTGTGTTGATGAGGCTTTTGTTCTAACAAATTCAGAAGAGGAGATTGCCTTAGCAGGTAATACCCAGTACCTATGTCAGAAGTGTTTTTATTCATTCATTTGGTAACTCAGCCTAAAAATTCCTTTGAGAATCTGAGTTATTTCACATCTACTTCATATTGGTCATACCTGGTACTTAGAATGTTAGACTTTAACCTGGATACAATTAGGGGGAACAATCAGACACATTTAAATGAGGAAAAATTATGCAAAGCAACTGACCCTGGAATCTACGAAAATGTCAGTGTCATAAAGGACAGGGTAAAAAACCATGCTGGAGAACAGTTCTAAATTAAAGTAAAATAAAGAGATATGACAATGAAATATAATGTGTGATTCATAATGGAACCCTGGATTAAAAATAAAAAGTTATTAAGGGCATTTTGGGACACTTAAGGAAATTTGAAAACCCACTGCTTATTAGAAAATAGTCTAGGTATCAATTTTGGACCTCCAAAGTGTGATAATTGCAGTATAGGACCATATTCCTGGTCTTAAGAGATTCATATTGAACTATTTGAGGATGAAGTATATCAATGTCTACAACTAACTCTCAAATGGTTCAGCCAAAATACACATACATAAACATACACTCACACATATAATGCCCATATATACACAGGTAATATACAAATATACACATATACATATGCATATGAAAACATAGACCTGCAGACACATACACATACAGACATACATACATATATGCATAGATACAGACAAAGACACAGACATACATCCATACATGGAGAGGGAAAGCAAACATGACAGAATATTAACAATTGGTCAATCCAGAGTGTTTATTTGCAATTCTCACAACTATTCAGTAGACTTAGACTTAAACTTTTCAAATTAATAGTTGCAGGAAAAAATAGACTTTTTGAGTTAAAGAAATCTCAGAGATAAATCTTTGTCATGTGGATTAAGAAGCAGGTGTTGAGAACTTGGATAAAATTTTTTGAGCCTACTAAAGAGGATGTTTACATTGTGCAGAGACCCATAGTTCCTTCCCAACTATTCCACAGACAAGATTCCCTCCACAAAGTAACTATGAGACATAAAGATGGTCTCTGGTAAGCAAAGAAATCATTTAAATAAGTAAATTGACTTGCTCAGACACACTCAGCAAAGATAGTTCATAGTGACTGCCTGGATTCTAGATTGCATAGACTTTATTTACTGTAACAGCTGATCAAACAATACTATTACACAAAGAATGGCCTCTGCTATTATATATGTGCATATATCTATATCTATATATATATAGATATATACACATGTATAATTTTCATTCAATAAATATTTTTTGAATGCCTACTATGCTTCCGGCATTGCTCTTAGGCTCTGGAGGTAAGAAAATTAAGATCCTACTTCTCAAACACATTACTTTCTGGAGTGTGAGGGATAGAAAATAGCCAAACAAGTAATTAAAGGAATGGATGTATTTCAAAAATTGCAATCTTGTAATGGAAAAAAAATTATGAGGGTATCATGTCAGAAAGTGATTGAGGATGGGTTCTCTGAGGAGATGGCCAACCATTAAGATTAGAAGGAAGAGTATTTTATTTTTCATGTCTCTGCTATTGATTCTTAATTCCCCTAGCCTTTGAGTTTGCCGTCATATCAAGGTCAAAGGCCTTCTGAAACTTGACCATTCTGCTGGACTACCCCAGGATCTGTTTCTGACTGTGGTCCATTCCAAGTGACCATACAATGTGGCCAACCCAAGGGTGTGCGCTTGTTTCCTTGTTCTCTTGTTGATGAATGCAGACATTCTCTATACACTTATCGTTCATAATGTAGGCCACCTCATCTTTATGATAAACTTTCAAAGAAGCTTAATCCAAAAACCATAGAAATCTCCTCATTTGTTCATTCTGATACATGGTGATGAAAGTGAGTTATAATCCCTGAATAATACAGCAGGAAGCCTTCCAACCAGCGATTTTCAATAATGCCACATTGGCACCCCTCTGAATTATTATCTGCTTTTACTAATTCAATATGACAGGTTTCTAAAGCAATTTGAATTCATGTAAAAGCAGTGAGAGAGAGAGTATTCAAACTTGCTTGAAGGAGAGTCAGGGTAAAGAACTTATATTGCATTCTCCTTGCAACACCGATCAAGATCCATTTGGATTCATTTCCTGGAGGCATTAAGTATGTTTTATCTTTCTTTTGCAGTCACCTTTTCAGTTTCCTCTGATAATTATATTCTATCTGCAGTGCTTTGAATTTACCCCAGAGTGTAGAACCAGTAAGCTGATTCTTCAGCCCAGAGGCCACTAAGGATAGGAGGTAAAAAAAAAAAAAAAAAAAAAAAAAAAAAAAAAAAAAACGGATTTTAACATGCAGGCCAAAAATATGCCCCTCATGCAAAAATCACTCAAGAGATAGGCCAGCAGGTGAAGAGGATCCTGTGGAGGATGCAAAATATTAATGTTTTTTCTATTTCCCCTGTTTCCACCTGTGTGAACCAAAGCTAGCCTCCAGATGGTAGGGTGTGGGTGAGGCAGTGTGGTATAGTGTCAGATGTACAGGATTTGGAGTCAGGGAACCTAATTTGAGTCCCAGTCCCACCACTTATGGCTGTGAATTTGGCTCAAGGCCTGGCCCATTGTAAGTACTCAGCAAATATGAGCCCCACATCTTCCTTCTCCATCTTAATTCTTTTTACTCAAGTGCGTAGCTCCTTCTCACCTTCCCAACTCATCTCTTTCCATCCGCTCCCTCAGCTACAGCCATACTGGCCTTCCTTCTGTTTGTAGAACATACCAAGAACCTTCCTGTTTCCAAGCTGCTGAACTTACACTTCCTTCTACTTGATGCATTCCTCCCTCCAATCACCCCATGGCATGCTAATCACTTTTTTCAGTTCTCAGCTCAAATGTCACCCCTAAGAGTAGCCTTTCCTCCCTCTGTCACCCTCCAACACATGTTACCCTGAGGTTTTTCTTCATGGCGTTTCTCACTATCTTAACGGTTTTGATGACTCATTTGTGTTTTGTGCATATTGTCAGCCTCTCTCTCTCAACCCAGAGATCCTGGGAGCAGAGACCGTAGCTTTTGTGCTTTCACTCCTGTATGCCAGCACCTGGCACATACTAGTTGCTCAACAAATATTTTTGGATGGAAGTTACTTGGAACTCTAAAAGAAGCAGAACAGCCTTGAAGGGCTGTTTTGAAGATCAGATAACACAAGGCTTCTGAGAGTGCCTTAGAAATTATAAAACATTATGTGAATAAAATGTATTATTAAGCCTTCCCTACCTGTCCATGAAGAAACTCTTCCATTGCCCCAGCCCAAATTATCCTCTTCATATTCTTACAGCGTTATGCATCACTCTAAAGATACGGCGTTTCTGACACATGATTTAACGCCTGATACAGCTCATTGCCAGGAGTTTCAAATGAAACTCGGAGGAATTTGAAGCAAGAGAAAAAAAGTCTCCTAGCTTGGAAATTGCCACTAGGCAAAGAATTTGCAGGTGTAAACTTCAATCCCATGGAGTACACAGAGCATGCCATGTTTAAACAATACCCAGCTTCAGAGGGAGACTGTTAAGAATTTAAGCTACATATAGCTTCCCCGCGCCAAGCTTTGCTTAAAGAAAATGTCATATGCCTGTGTTTGGGGATGAGGAGGCAGAAATCTATGCAGAGGAGAGTTCAGCTTGGAGGCCCATTTTTGTTCATTGTGTTCTGTGACTCGACAGTGCCTTGATGAAGGACAGAACTGATGAGGAAGGAGTACATCTTGCCCATGTATGGTATAAAAAGTTTGGGGTTTTTTTTTTTCATCTACTTACCTTTGTGGAAAATTTTCAAGCTTTACTATTTATAACATTTTCAGGCTTCAACCAAGATGTAGTATGTTGGCTTTGAAAGAGCTTGATTTAAATTGTGGAGGGAAAGAAAGGGGATTTCAGAACTCTCAATCCATTATTCATGATGTTTAGAAAGATGTGTTTTTTTTAGAAGTGTGAAAATCATCCTAATAAAGACTAAATCAGACAGCGATTGGCACTGATTTCAGAAGGTGGAAACCCCTCCTTCCCTGACACCTTGTAGATACAGTGCAGAATAGTACTGTGCCTTTTTGTACACACACTCCATTTTTACAAGAAATGAAAAGGGCTTTTTTTTTGTTTCAGTAAAAATTTAAATCTCCAGTTTTCAAGAAAATGAAACAAAATCCTGAACCTGGTAGAAATCATTGTACTTGGGGCTTTCAAAATGAATACTCTCCATTTTTCTTAAAGTATCAATAAAAGGATTTTGAATCCAGTCTGTGTTTCTCCTGTCCCCTCCCTAGAGAACCAGAATCCTGCCACATCTCCTACCATATGGGCTCTCTTTGTTTGACTCCTAAGAGGACCCCTCACACAAATGCGCATGTCTACTGGGAAAAATGTGTATAGCACACAAAGATTTTGATGCTTGATTTGTAATGTTTAAACTGTAGCATTTTAATGTTTAATTTGAGTGCTTTGAAGAATGGGCAGTTGCAACACCGAACTTGTAATATGGACTCTGCCTTAACATCAGCAAATGATCTGTAATAAAGACAATGAGTATACTGGCTGTCTTAAACTCTCAAAGCTTACATTCCTCCCTTGAGGCAACTCAAAAATAAGAATGGGGCATTTTTCTCCACTTCAGAGCTGAAGGTTTCTTTTAGAGAGCTTTGTTTGAAGAAAGAGGTGGATTAAGTAGTACAGAATAAATCACAAATTAAGTGCAGCCCTGAAATACAGCTCATTTAGAGGATTAAAACACTACCTTTAAAAAAGTGTTTATAATAGAGGCTACTTATTTTCTTGAGAAAAGAATTAGAAATAGAGTATAGATCTGATACCTAAAGGGTTCCAAGGGTTTTGTCATCTGACTTAAGGCCAGGCTGTCCCAAGTACAGGAAAACACTGAACAGAATTATCTTAGAACATCACACAGGTGATCCTTTCGTTTGTTTGCTTGTTTTCGAGAATGGGCAGCCTCTACTGGTCTTAGTGGAAAAACTACCATTGGGGTTCTAAGATTCATAAAGAATTATTTGCCTCTCTGGTTTCTCCTCTATTTTGTTTCTTTGGCTTATTTAGTTGAGAATATTCAGCATGAAATACTTTATCAAGGAAGCGAAGAGAACACTTCTAGATCCCAACTGTGTGACTCTTTTTCCCCAGATCCCTGTTTTCATACTCCTCAAATTAAAGATAAAATCAAACTCTGAGTTTTAATTTCATGATGTTGCCCAATATCCTGCATTTTCATCATATTTGAAGGTACAATACCTCAACTTAGACCTTAACACTTTGTGCCTGTGTCCAAATTCACTGCTCCTTCTCCTTCTCCCTCTACCTCATATTTCACATCACTGACAGATTCATCATGTTAAAATACCACTTTAATTTGGTTACTTCCTTTAAGGCATTTGGTAACCTTAAACTATCTATAATGCCAAATTCCTTAGCCTGGCATCTAAGGCCACCCTATGGGCCCGTTCTTCTCCTAAGATGTTGCATGGTGCTATTCTGTGCTCATCTTGAACATCATCCAAAATGTTTCTTCACTTCTTAACACACTTTCCCTTTTGTATAGCCCCGATGTAGCCCCCACTTGGAACTTTCTCCCTCTTTCCCTCTACTTATCCAGTGCAATTTCATCTTTTTAAGACCCAGGACAAACACAAATACAGAAGTTTCATTGACCACCTGTGATGAAAATAATTCCTCTTTTTAAATAAACTTCTATTTCTTGAATTTATTTGTCCCATGTCTTCTGCCTATATTTCTATGTTTTCTCTCTCAAACTTAATTACAAAAAACTTAAAGTCTAAGACCATGTCTCATAGCTTTGTGTGTCTCCACTTACTGCCTACCTTGTCCTCTTACACATTATGAGTACTCAGTAAATATCTGTCACCTGCTCTCAAAAGTAAGGTTATGTCCTTTCTAAAAACCATCAGGGCCGTATGGCTCCCATTTCTATGGGTATTAAATAAGCTTTTCTGTTGAGTCTCAGTGATTGTGTCAGGTTTTTCTTCTTTTACTTCCAGGATGTGGGTTGCTGGATTCAGAGTTTAAAAGGTCCAAGAGGGAGAGTGTAAAACATATTTGGAAGAAAAGATCATGCTAGATCTGGAAATGAAGAGAAAGGGGTCACACAGCTCCCCCCACCAGTGGCAGACTGAGGTCAGAGCAGTGGGAACAGCACACCCTGGATACAGGCAATAAGCAAGTACAGAGAGAATTTGAAAATATTGTAAACCAACTCGGAGGTGTTTTGCTTTTTTTTTCACCAAACACTAGCATTTCCAAACAATGTTAGTGATAAAATACCCCTTCTTTTCCAAAATATTTTGTTGTAGTAGTTACTATTAAATTTTAATAATGTATGCAAGCTCCAAATAGCTCATTATTATTATTATTGCTGTTATTATTAGTTAGTAAACACTGTAGCCTATAAGAAAATTAATTCAGAGAAGTCCCAGTTATGTCCACTGACACAAGACTTCCGTTATCTACTCGACGGTAAGTGCATAACAGTTCCAGATTTTTGTCTTGCGTCAGGCATAGCTCATGTCTCCAGCCCCTCTTGGTGCCATGTATTCCTGTATCTAAACAGTAAATTGATGTGAAACGTGGAGAGCACAGAGATTGTAAAAATGAAGAAATGCACCTCAAGTTAAATTAATTCTGTCATTCTGTGTGTCCACACTTGTGGTGTTTATATTGGTATTTAATATTTGGATCCTGCAAAGTAGATCATTTTGTTTGGTGAGCGCACATTTTGTATACATGAAATATATTTGTTCCATTCCATGATGATCACTGAAAATCATTTTGTCATATAGAGAATGGGTGTAGTTAAAAATGACTTACTCTGAGACTCATAAGTACTAGGAATTCCTTTGTATCCAATGTGCTTTTGTTTTAGTGAAGAACAATTTTCTGGGAGGTCATCAGAGATGGTTATATGCAAACATCACCTCATCAGAGAGGGTTTCTGTGACCACCTGTATAAAATATGTAATCACTCCCTTTTATTCTCTGCCTTATTCTCTATCATTTTTACCACAGTTTGTTTTTCTTCCCATGCTTGTCACCACCTGAACTATTATAAATGAGCACACGTGGTGTGTACCTGTGTGTATCTGTGTGTATATTTACTTGTTTAGTATTTGTCTCCTCTGTTACTCTCTAAGTTTCATGTGGTCAGAAAATTTACTTTATCAATGCTGTGTTCTAGACACCAATGAGACAATCTGGCATAAAGTCAATACTCAATAAATATCTGTTGAATGAATGAATGAATGAATGAATGAATGAAGTGTAGTAACATATTCTGAAGAGACATTTCATCTCTTCTCTCTGGGGCTCATTTGAAGTGGGTAAAAAGAAGCTGACCTTTCAATAGGTTACAGAAGTACCCTTTTGCCTTTTTCCTAGCCTTACAAATACAGTCCTCTTGAAGTAGATGGCAATTGCCTCAACTTTCCTACCTGTCAGTTCAGCCTGTAAGCCTAATTCAGAAGGTTACCTTATAATAAAAATGGACATATATTGAGAGTTTACTAGCGTTAGACCCTTTAATACATATTATCTCAATGGATTCTCAAGAATAGCCACTTTACAGAGGAGAAATGACATCATATCTCATTGGAACTTGCCCAGGATCCTGGTGCTAGCAAACATCAAAAATTGGATTTGAACCCAGGTCTAACTGCAGAACCGGCTCTTAACTGTTACACTGTCTTGATGCTTTGCTGCCCCTACTATAATTTTATTGGGCAATGGTGGGAGTGCAGGTACAAAGTGGCTGAATCCACAGCACTTCCCATGAAATGGAAGAAAAGTCAGAGGGTTTTTCAACCAGCTAAGGTAATGTTTCGCTTTCTGAAAACCCTACAGAACACTGTATATATGTGGAATAACACCTGCATGATCAACTGGGGCTGCTCTGTCCCTGAGACTGGGAGGGAAGGACAGCTGGGGCCTGCGAAGCAGAGCCCAACCCTTTATGGGATCCTCTCCCGTTCTCACAGTCTCTGCTGACTTGGCACCTGTTCCTGCCAGCATATGCTGCCGGGAAGTGTTAGATGTCACTGCACAGCTGTGAAGTGGGGCGGAAGAAAGAAGCCAAAGGAATCTCATAGAAGAGCTGGGTAACTAAATGCAAGTCTGCAGAGGGGTAGTAGAACAGAGTCAGCTCAAATCCTGCAAGAATAAAGGAGAGTCCAGTGGGGGGAAAATGTGTAGGAATCCTTTAGTCTGCAGAGTCAACGGTACATAAAGACAGTGAGACAGTTTCCTACGTCCATGTACTAAGTATGTCTCTGCAAAGGCACACACTATTTTCTATCTCATTCCTTGGATTACTCACTTCCAAAACCCCTTTATTTTTCTTTTTTTTAAAAAAAAATCACAGATGTTTTAGAGATTTCAAGTCAACTTTTTAAAAAGTACATAATTTTTTATTTAAAAGTATAAAATTCTAACAGTTATAACAGCACTAATGAAAGTAAACAAAGCATCTCCCCAAATTTTATTATGCTAAAAAATATTTTTGTTTCATTCTGCATTCTTCCCTTTCTAGTTCTTGTCTATATCCATACCTATTTTTATTATGGCATAATCTCATATCTCTTACATGCTGAAATCTATTTCTGGAGATAACTGTCATTTCCACCAGTTCCAGGCATTGCTGGGTCAACAAGCAGGGGATGGAGATGACAGTGCCCCCTAGTAGATTCATACTTAAGGAGAAGGCCTCAAAACCTTAGGCTGAGCTTGTGGGATCAAAAAAAAAAAAAAAGAAAAATGAGTCAGATATCAGGTAAGGTGCTAAAGATGAGGAAACAAAAATGACTAAAAGACTGGATGAAAAAATTCAAAAGACTTAAGTGGGGAAAGAGGAAAATGAGGGAAAAAATATTAGTAGGAATTAATGAAAGGAAAATGACTTGCATCTCCTTGACATTCAGTTCAGCTGGTTTGTGTTAGTCAGAGCCTGTACCTGAACAGTTCCTCCAAGAAATCTAGAATTTCTGTCATTTTTTTTACAGACAGGAACAAAGACTTCAAAAAGCTGATTTGAAATATTCTCAAAGATGAGCTTGGATATACATGTGAGTTCAGATGATGTTGCAGAAATTGATCTGTCATTAATAATGGTTTAGGAGAAGCTGACATGTCATTTCTCACTGACTTAAGCCTCTGGGAAGCTGAGAGAGATGAAGTATAAAACAAAACATGTAAACTGTCAAAAAGAAGAACTCACAGAAAAAAAAAAATAAGCTGACAATGTCCTTTAAAAAACAGTAAGATAACCTGAAGTCTAGCTGAGATTTTTGAGAACTCTTGATCATGCTGGATGTTTTAGGCCTAAGTCATTTCTCTGAGTACGGCTCAGGACCAGGTGTCAGATTTTCACCATGAATTATAATGTCCCCCATGTAAACTCACTGTGAACCGTTTGTTTCTGAGAGCAGACTGTACCCATATGTGTGTCCTGAAGTAGTTAGCATGACCACACAAAGATACCTTATTGAAAACAATAGTTCACCTAATAAGTGACATTTAGTTTATAAAGAAGTGAATTAGACTATATGGATATTGGAGAAAAAGTTTATAATGCCCATACCTGGTGGCACCAGATGGCTATTTTTTTTTCCATGTCTAATTAACAGCCTAAAATAGCCTGTGTGATACATTTCCTAGATGGGGAAACAGTCCAAAGCCTAGCTGAATTGCTGTGATGTTTTCCTGTTCCTGGTGATCTGTTTCTAATAACCTGCAAAATAATGGAATAGAATCATGATTTAAAATCTGTCAGAGAGTTGGGTGTCCTGGAACAAGACCAGGATGGACCTAAAAAATGCTGAAGTGGCTGTTTAAGTATTTCTTGAATGCTGTTCAAGTATTTCTTGCTATTCCATCTATACTAAGACAAGCAGACATAAGAAGCCGGCTGTCCAACAGTGGGGCTTAGAGAAGATTGTGAGCATGTGTAGCAATGCTTCTCAAGTTTTGCTGCATGCTAGAATCTCTTAGAGAGCTCTGGAAAACATCCTAGGTCCAGATTGCACTATATATAAATTAAACCAGAATTTCTAAGGCTGGAACTAAGGCACCAGTAGCTTTAAAATTTTCCCAGGTGGTTCTGATACACAGCCATAAAACAAGGCCTGGTATGATAAATGCAAATGAGGATTACCTGTATGCTCTGGGAGTACTTCAGAGAAAAGAGAAATCAGAAAGACTTCTTTGATGGGGAGTAAGGAGGATGTTCTAGGCAGAGAGAACAGCATAAGCAAAAACAGAGATGAGAAAGTGTGTAGTGGGACAGTGCAAAGTTCTTTTTGACTATAGCCTGGAGGCATAAAGGAGCAGCAGGGGAGAATATCAGAACATCAGAATATTCTGTAGAAGTGCTTGGATACCAGGCTGATGCAATCTTATATGCCATTTCATAGGCAAAAATAATCACTGGAGAAAGAATATTTTGTTTGTTTGTTAATGAACATAGCACCAGTGAGTAAAAAGTGCCTGGAAAAAAGCAGAAATTATAAGCCTGTGTCATATTAGTGGGCTGTTGTTGCTTTAAAATGGCATTTCCTAACTTGAGTCATTGCCTTATCATCTTCATAATTTTTGAATATAATTGTCTAATATATTTTTAAATTACTTAGTTTTACTTAAATATATTTATAAAGGATATCTACGTCTTCATTTATTTATCAATCTACTTATTTAGCTATCATCTGTCTATCTGTCTGTCTGTCCATGAACATTTATATTGCTCTCTCAATGGAAAACTAGTGCCACTTTTCATAAGTTGAAGTTTAACCTTAAAAATCAATACCATAAAAATAAAAATTGTTTCTTCTTAGATACTCTACTGCAGTGAATTAAACAGTGAAGAATTTCTTTATCTAGTAAAGAAATTAGTAGATATTACAAGAAAGAAATAAGCCTATAGTCATAGAGCAAACATTATGACCCTATCATTAAAGCCAATGATGAACTAAAAAGGAAATCTATTTCTCTCTTACGCTCTGAAGCTCTGTTAAAGCCTGTGAGAGGCACCATAATGTCTATATCTTGAGTTACTTGCAGTTTGTTTATGTAGACTATTAGTAAAAGCCAAACTCGAGCCTTCCTACAATGGACATGACTAAGGCATTTTACTGATAAGCAGATCTTACTTGATAGGTTGGCCTAGGATTATTAGTAAAGCCTGGTAGTGCTGAAGACAAATATTCTTTTTTCCTTTTCACTAATTCATCTGTCCTGTTTTCATTAACAATACTTAGCTTTATCTTTTTAGTTATCTTTCATAGATGTGCCCTTTTTATAATACCAAGTGAAGCAGAGCTCATATCTCCAATTCATCATTATTAACCACCCTATTACCTTCAGCTGCAATTCTAACTGTGTCATGGTGACAGAAATGCTCAGTAGTACATTATATTAATAATGTCTACTGGTTACTAAGTGTCTGTCATATGCCAGGTACTGGGCCAAGGTCTGTGCCAAGCATATCACACACATTGTGATATGGTTTAAAATTCTTCATGACCTTATTGCTATTTATTATCACCTTTTTACAGACAAGGAAACCACGACTCAGAGACTAAAGGACTAGTCAAAATGGTCATACTAATAAATGATAGTGCCGGACTTCAGACTAAGGTTCATTTGACTGCAAAGCCTGACCTCATCTACTTCTCTATTCTGCCTCCAACTGACTATGCCTGGTTGTTCAGCTTATTTTAGCTCAATGATTTATGAAAGCCCTGAAGAATCACTGCAAGGATGGATTTGATAGTCTCTGTAAGGCAGAACAAGAGGTATATTGGTGCTGCTGCTGCTGCCACTGCCACTGCCACTGCCACTGCTGCTGTCCCAAATGAGCTGACACGCAGGATGGTTGCATATTGCAGCGAAGATCGTCTAATCACTATAACAAACTGATCCAAATACGTAATGACTCACCACAACAAAAGTTTATTTCTTGATTACATGATTGTGCGGGCAGTTTGAGGGTGGTGGTAAAGTGGGAGGGGAAGGTAGGTTTGCTCCCTGTAGTCATTCAGGGAGCTAAGTTGACTCTAGCTCTATTATTGTGTATACATGGCTTCCAAGTTTGCCACTGTTATCTCTGTTACTGTTAGCCACAAGGCAACAAAGAGGAGCACGCATAGGATGATTTTATGGACCAAGCTTCAGAAAAGACATGAATTTTTTGCATTTCCATTCCACTGGCCAGAATTCTGTTACATGGCTACACCTAATTGCAAGAGAGGCAGTGGAATGTTGTCAAGCCAGGTATCCAAGAAGAAATGAATTTTAGAGAGACCCGTATTAGGGAAGGAGAGGAAAGCATTTAAGACTAGAAATCCACAGATTGGGATCTGAATCCTGACAACCATTGCTAGAGTCACTTGACAAGTTGCTCATCTGAAAATCAGAATCAATGGCTCCTGTTGCTTTCTACTCCACAGGGTAATAGGGTAATTTAAAATCAAAATTAGAGTGAAATAAGATGTGTGGGTATGCTTTGTAAAGCAAGTTAAGACTTAGCATGGGACAATAGACAAAGACCTAGATTTTGGAATAGAATCCAAGTTCAGATTCTTTTTTCTGCCACTTTATAGCTATGCAAGCACAACTTGGCTCTCTGAGATGCAAAAACTTTTTCTATTATTTAGGAGGAAAAACACTTGCCTCACCTTTTTTATAGGATCCAGAGTATACAACTCAGTAGCATATGATACAGTTTTTAAAAATGATTAAATATCAGAGGTATATAAAATATTTGTTTTTAATATAATCACAGCTTTCTGCTTAAGAGCCTATTGCTTAGAGAATGCTTTCCAAACCACAAACTCCCAGCTTTTCCCTGAATGAAATAAAAATAGTAAATTTTATCAAAGAACTGAAATAGATGCTCACTCTCAACACGCACCTTTAATGCCTATAAACTCTATGAGAGAACAGTCTGAATCACCTCCATGTTTGAAATTCTTAGCATTCCAGGTATACAGTGCATACCTGATTGATTGAATTATACTTATTGAATTATATTCAATTTCAAAATTTACTTTGGGTCAATGACAGAAGTGTCCAGTAGGCTGACACAAGAGTAGTGACTAAGTCTCCTGGGATGGAACATGGAACTCTTACAACTCCCATGTCTCTCCTTGAGGGTAAAATTTATCCTTAGTGATCACATTCTAACTTTCTTATTTGCTAAGTCACTTCTCTGAGTTGATGGTATTAGTCATTTAAAAAGTCCATGCCTGCTTTCATGCTTTGAGTCGATCCAGAATTAGAGTGATTGATTATTTTCCTTTTCCTCTTTTTTTTTTCTTGTTGAAGTCTCTTGAAACTTCTTAATTCCAGCCAAGGCGCTCATTACTTTCGAGGTTGCTCTCTGAGCTGCATTTGACAGAGGGATGATTGTCTGGCTTGGCTTTTCATTCATTTCTGGGCTCACCCAACTATGAATCGACGGGCATAGCCTGTTCTTCTAAATGTGAAATGAGATGACTCACTCTTATTTTTCTGGGTTGTTGCAGGTGAGGCCGCATCTGCCTTTTCAAACTTTGATAAGTAAATACCAAGAGATATAAGAGAAAATCAGTGAGAGATTGGATACCTTTAGTGACAGAATAATTGCTGCATTATATCATAGTACTGACTATCAAATTTAGATAATCTTGACTTTACTCAAGCCACTGAACACCAAGCAGAGTGTCATCATTTAAGTCAGCTTTCTTTCTTTCTTTTTTTGAGATGGAGTCTCGCTCTGTTGCCCAGGCTGGAGTTTCAGTGGCACCATCTTGGCTACTGCAAGCTCGGCCTCCCGGGTTCACGCCATTCTCCTGCCTCAGTCTCCCGAGTAGCCACCACGCCCAGCTAATTTTTTGTATTTTTTAGTAGAGACGGGGTTTCACCATGTTAGCCAGAATGGTCTCTATCTCCTGACCTTGTGATCTGCCCGCCTCGGCCTCCCAGAGTGCTGGGATTATAGGCGTGAGCCACCACGCCCGGCCAAGTCAGCTTTTCAATGAAGCATAATTTGCAAATAAAGTACCTGCAGAGAGATAGCCCAATGCTTCCCAAATTTTCATGTGTACAGTAATTACGTGGGAACTTCTTAAAATGTGTTTTGATGCAGTAGATCTAGGATGGGGCCAGGGATTTGGCATTTCTAACAAGTTTTCCAGGGATGCTACTGGTATCACACATTGAAGAGGAGGGGAAGTTGAAGAGACAGGTCCTGTTCTTATCAAAGCCTCATTCTTTATACAAAACACTTTCAGATGATGTGCTCTCTTTGACAAAGAGTAATAACCAGGCTGCGCCTGTGAAAATTGATGAAAAAATTGCAATCAGGGGAAAGTGTGATCTGTTCTGTGTTTTTCAATCTACAGTATTTTTACAAAGTGCCACCTCTAGGTCATTGTGAGTTTGCATAATTTAGGCAGCTTCAAGTCTAAGATTGCATCTACACTGACAATAAACAAGGAAATAATAGATCATACTGCATTTGAGTGGTGACATGGACATGACTGCAACAAATTACCTGAAAAAAGGATTGTTAACTGTAAGAGGACAGCTGTATGCGGATCTGCAGACAATTAAGGATCTGGGGTGGTATCAGGTGCTAACTTCCTAATGATTTTGCACAATGCATTGGGAGTTTCAGGAAATGCTGATGTGGATATTGGGAACTTAACTTTACAAATATATTCTTATGTTAAAAATGGGAGGTGGAAGTAAATATGTATGTGTATATCGATTAATAACAGCCATATGTATGCTGCCAAACACTTTGCAAATACTAACTTATTTTATCTTCATAACAATCCTATGAAGTAGGTACTATTATTGTCTTCACTGAATAAAGAAACTGAATCACAAAAAGGTTAAGTACGTTCCCTAAATCAGCAGAGCTCAGATTTTGAATCAGGGCAGCATTCTTACCATGCTCACATATGAAACTCACACACTCAAATACTCATGTGATTTAAATTCAGATTCTTCCATTTGCATTTGTCCTTGAATAAGTCCTTTCATCTCTCCAACCCAGTTCCACCATCTGCAAGGTGGGCCTAAGATGCCCTGGCAACCTCTCAGGATTTTTGGAAAGTTTAAATAAGATAATACATATGAAAGTTTATAAGTGATATACAGATATTAAGAGAGATTTAAGAATTCAATGGAAACTCATAAATAGTGGCATTTGATTACCATGGAGATAATTTGAATAGTATTTTGTAAATATCCACTTTATATTTCTTTAGTCTCTATTTCTATATTTTTCCTACTTCTTTAGGAAGAACTGGTTTTGCCTGGGACACACACATGAAAAACAATACAAAAAAAACCCTCTCTTCTTGGATTTGCTTTGTTTAGGTTTTCTGAAAATAGAATGTTCTACAGAGGCTAAAAACCAATGGAAGATCCATCAGCTGATTTCATTCATTCCTAGGTTCTGAGAAATTATCCCCTGTAGAGTCTTCTCTGAAGTGTTAGCCCATCTGGGTTGAAATGATTCTCTAACGCCTCCTGTATTTAGCTCTTTCTTTTGGAAAGGTGTTTCATGAGGAAAGTAATTTCACCATAGAATTGTGCTCTCAGATGTAGCCCATAATTTTTCTTGTTGGCTTGCCTTATCCCAGCAAATTTCTCATTCTGCAAAAACCCTCACTTTGCTTAGAGTTTTAATCTTCCAGCTGCACACATTTTTCTCCCTCCGAGTTTTAGTAGGAGAAAATATAGGGCTCCCTTCATAATTATATTACTCCATCCCTCCTCAGTCTAAGATTTCAGAGGACCTGATAATACAGAATTGTGATTAGGAAGGATTGTAGGGGGTTTGCTTGTGTTGCTGTGTCTGGTTCCCGGATGCAGGTAGTAGAGTTGCCCCTTAATTACAGATTCTCTTTTCTCTGTCAGAAAGGCATGGTAGAAGAGCAAGTAAATTTTAAGCCAGAACTTTATTCTATTTCATTTCATTTAGCCAGATCAAAATTTGTTTCCTTTTAGGCTACACATGATGATAAGTCTTTTAGAGTAAATGTTAGGGTTAGATATAATTAAGTCTCTTAAATAAATTATCAAATGCAAACTAGAACAAAGATTAAGTGATTTTTTTCTGTGTAAACAGGTAACATTTTAAAGCTGATTTAATAAAAGGAGAACCATCAAACATCATCATTTTCCTTCAACTGTGGCTTCTAAGATAGGGTTCATTTAGGTTTTTGAAGTGGCCAGTATAAGATACTTGAGTAGTCAGTACGTGCCTGTGTCTTCCAGAGCATTGCTTGCTTTCCCTGGTATTGTTCTAGGGCAAATGTTGACAAAGGAAAATGGTCTTCTGACATATCTAGATGTATATTACTGATGTAAAAAAAATCAAGACACTATAGAATAATGGTCAAAGATGTAGACCTTGAGGTCAGAGAGCACTCAGTCCAAATTCTGCTTTTTTCATTTCTGAGCTGCATGATTGAGTTACCTATTTTGCCCAAACCTATTTCCTTATTTTTACAATGGAGATAATAAGAATACATACCATGGGACTGTGGTGGGAATTATACAATCATGCTATGTGGCATATGGTAAATATATTTTAAAATAATACAAATTATCCATGTAAGAGTTACTTTTTAGATACTCTTGACCATTATTAATGTGTGATCATAATAGCTTCAAAAAATTTTCTTAGATATTTGAACAATTTGAAAAACATCCTGAATAGATTGTGTCAAATCAGCCAATAGAAGTGCTGACCCCAGGGGTATGTACATCAGTGACTGAAATCTCCCCTAACACTTGCACACACACATATTGGCTTCTGTTTAGGGGAAGGTCTTGTTCAAAGGGAATACAAAGTGTTATGGCTCCCAATGTGCAGTCAAAAGGCAGATTCCTCTCTTAAGACTTGCACTGCCTACAGAAATGAAGTCTGTAGGTAGAGCAAGTACCCATACTTTATCCAAAGTTCACTATTGTTTTTAGTCCATCTTGTTCCTCCATGCTTAAATTGGGAGAATGCTAATAAATCAGAGGATGACAAATGCCACACAAAATCTTCTTCCTCACATCCAAACCTTCTTAATATTTTGGTGATTTTTATGTCTTTAGGTATGTAGTTGTCGTGAATTGTCATCATACTATATGGGTAATTGTATATCTTCCCTTTATACCCTATTTTAAAAAATGTTTCCAAGCATTATTACTAAGTCTTTATAAACATCATTTTAATGGCTACATAACATCACATCAAATGGATATATTATAGTTACTCTAGCCAACTTTATAGAATAAAACACTTATGTCTTCCCCATTCTTTCCTGTTATAAACAATGCTGCCATGAACATCTTTGTGATTGCTAATGCTGCAGTGTTTATAGTAGTGGCCACACTCTCTTGAATATGACAAATTTATAAAAATCATTACAGTTAGAACTTGGTTGATGCAGTTTCCATTAATTTCCTACACTGCTTTTCTGTATTTCTTTAGATTCTACCAGCTCAGGATCAACACCCAAAGTTGGTCTCTGACACTTCTGTGCCTTTTAAAGACTGGTGGTCAGGAATTGCAGAAAGGCCCAGAATAAAGAGATGTTTTCTCAGAGTTACAGGTTCTGACCTCTGTGACTCCTCAAAAACTAGTAATCCCCTGAGTGTTCTGGGGCTCCTCTGAGAAATCTTGTTGTCCTTAACATATCACCCCAGCATTTACTTCTCTGTTCCAAAAACCAGTCATACCATTAAAGAAATATGCATTTCCTATCTTTTAATGAAAGTCCTCCTTTACTCCTCTTGAGTTTGATAATTGAGTCATTTTTTCTGGCTATTAATGCTAACTTGTCCTATCTTATTTTTTCCTAGACCATTATAGTCAATTAAATTTATTTACTGTTCTTAGACTCTCTGCCATGCCCAACTTGTGCTCCACATTCTGAGATTTGGACAGTTTAATGCAAGAAAAATATTCTTGTTTGCTAGGACTGATATTCATCTGATATGCATGAGTATGAATATACAGTTGTTGAAATATTGAAATGTATTACTCCGGATTAAAATTTTCTGCCACTCTGTTCCCTTAAAGTGCCCCCATTCACCCTTTAACTTCCTCCTACTCCTGCTATACCCTGGCAGCCCCAGCCCCTCCTCTGAAATCTCTCTACCGCTAAAACTACAACATTGTCCATTCTGATTGGTTGCTGTCTAAGTCATTGATAGATAGATAGATAGACAGACAGACAGATAAACAGGCATGTATGTGGGATGTGTGTATGAGTGAGTTTTAACATTACCCTTGTTTTATTCAAGCTGGGATTTGAGTATGTAACAAAATTTCTTGAAGAGAGTGTGGCTACTTTGGTGGTAGGAATGTCTCTTGAGTCCTACCACTGCTTCTTCTTGTCACCTTGCCACCAACTCAGCCCACTTCTTTAGTGAACAGTCTTTTCTCGGGTTAGTGGTGGGATGATAAGGCCAATAGACATTATCATTATTTTTAGGAAGGCCTGAAATTGGTTTGTTTATTTTCCTGTTGCTAATTCTTTTATGTCATGAGGATTTGAAGTCAAATGGAGGATGAGGAAGGAGGGATATGAGGGTTTGCAGCTGTGTTACTCAGGAGGTGCCTTCTGGGAATCAAGAGATTGAACCTTTGGGCAGAAGGGAAACCAAGTTGCTGTGCCAGATCTGCCACTCTTTCATGTTGATTCCCAGTGCATCAGATTCTAGAGGCTAGGGCTAGACTGAGTTGGGCTTTAGGCCCTCTCATGCACGATTCTAGTAAAAACTTCTTCCAAAGCATTTCCATAGGTTTCTCCTTTTTTTGTAGCCAGCTTTTAGCTTGATTGAGTTCTGTCTCTGGCAATATTTTTGTGCCAGAGTTAGGTATTGTGTTTGCTTTTGTTCATATAGTGATTTGGGGAATTCGTTTTGCAGCTTACTCTGTTGAAAGCTCACATTAATCATGTTTTTCATTCCCCCCACCCCAATACACACATGCATCTTTATTTTACTATTTGCTCTTCTAGTAAACTTTTGCATATCTCTGTGTTTAATTCTTTTAAGAGAATTTTGTTAATTACTAAAGAAATACTGAAAAATTCTATAAACTCTCCATTTAATGTAATCATGCCTAAATTGTATTTAACTGAAAGGGCATATTTATTAATTGTACCTGGTGTTTTTGTTGATTAGGCAATTCTATATCAGTACTAGTCAGAGGTGCCTTGCATTTTTCAGCACTGATAAAGCTTTCCATTGACTGTGTTGATTTGGAATATTAATTGTATCTAGCTTTCCCAAGGTAAGGGGGCGATTCTCAGTGTGGCTGTTTTAGTCCTTACTCTGAACTGGCAACATGGAAATGGTTATGACTAAGTTAATTGTATCACTCAAGCCAGAAATCTGGATTTGTCCTTGCCTTATTCCTCCCTGTCAATCAATACTACATTTATTCAGTTACCATCTTGCCAGTTTGGGCTCCTACATATTTCCTGGGTTCCATATTCTCCTCCAGTTCAGAACCTTGCCATGTCTTGCTTGGATTTCTACTATAGCCTTTGAGTTGGTCTTCCTGCCGATAAAATTGCCCCTTTTTAATTCAATCAGAGGATTTTTCTATGAACACATTTGAACATGTACTTTCATGCTTAAAACCTACCAGCACATACCTGTCACCCACCAAATAAAGCCCACACTACTTAGAAGGACATAGAAGTCTTCCTATGCTTTGGAACTTCCCAATTTTTTCACTTTATCATCTGCCCCTCTCCAATTTGAACTAGACACCACATGAACACCAAACTATGCATGGTTCTTCTCTGTCTCTTATTCCCATGTTTTGGTCCATGAGTTTTGCTGGAATACTTCATTCACTTTTCATACCCTGACAAGTCTTCATCCACATTCAGGAGTGAGCTTGGCCCATTGCTTCTTCCAGGAGTTTTGGGTAACATTTTTTCCTACACTGTTGAGAATTTGAGTATTGCTATATACACAATATCCTTTCAGGTGTCTGTCCCCCCACCCCCACGACTACTGCTACTACCCCTAGTTTTCTAGGGGCAGAGAAAGTCCTATTTATCTGGTTATCCCCAGCCTCTAGTGCCATGTGTGGAGTCTAGGATTATTGCTAATGTGATGCCAGATCACCAGACTGTAAACAATAAAGTTGAGGTTTTCATGAAAGAAGGTATTTTTGGTTTAGTTCCCTAGAAGCAGATCCTATGCTGAAGAGTCCTATGAAATTGAATTATTAGGAAGTGGTCCTGTGAAACACTGGTTGGGTGGTGGGGAAGTAAAGAGAAGGCCAAGAAAGGCTGTGCTATCGAGAGAGACCCACAGAGAATAATTTTGGGTCAGTTCTGTGGTGGAGTTCTAGGAGACAGTTTAGGTCTCGCCTCCGATTTGTTCCCACAAGGGGTGAGGCAGCTCTCGCATCTATCAGCATTGGTTAAGGGATGCTTTCCCTCAAAATGTAAACTCCCAGTCACTTGACTCCCCACGTGTCAGTGGGTCTGAAAATTGAGCATGTATCAGAATTACTAGAAGGCTTAATAAAATGTAGTTTGATGGGCCCCTCTTCTATAGTTTCTGATCTAGTAGGTCTGGGATAGGGTACAAGAATTTACATTTTCAGCATGTTCCTAGGTGATATGGATGCTGCTGGTCTGTACCAGTTTAAGCAAAATGGGCTGCAGCAGCCTAAGGGCCATCCTACCATAAAGGTACGGTCAGGCTTTTGGGAGTGAAAGCAGCACTACAGAATCTGCTGTATTTGGAGATTATTAAGAAATCTAAGGGAATGTGGGCAGAGCATCCACAGCATCTCCTTCTGAAGACTGGGCCCTGACTAAATGCCCAGGAGGATCTGAACTACCCAGAGCAGAGTTCTGTGGCCTCATTTCTAATTCAAGGCCAGATCCCAGTTTGAAAGACTGGCTTATCTCAGGATTTAACTTCTAAATCAAACTTCACTTTGCTTGATTGAAAAATCACATTTACTAAACTACTTCTTCCTATCGTCTTTGTTTTCTTCTTGTCCTTCTTATTGTGTTCTGCTATAAATACTTTCTGGAGGCACCATTGCTTTGTCTCGTTGATGTGTTTTTCTTCCCAGCTTACTTCCGTTTGTGTTTTCTTCTATTGTAATCTACCAAAACAACTTCAAAATATTGCCATCTAATCTGAAAAGCATGGAGTTCGGTATTGACAAGTATAGAAAAGAGAGTTGAGGCAACAAGCTATAAAAACATAGTGTGAAAAGTAAATAAACTGACACTAAGTTTGGCTAAATAACCAAGAAAAGACCTGGAAAAATAAATTATCTTCTTGATTTACCAGGCATTATTTGAAAACCAGTGAGAAACCTTTTGGTAATTGTTGAAATTCCAGTCAAATCTTAGGTATACTTTTTTAAGCTAAAAGAAAGTTTTCTTCACTGTATTCATCTTGGTTCTTTGTAAGAGTTCATGGAAGTCCCAAAGGCATGTGATGTTCACCAGAGTAGCTCATGTCCTGGAAAATCTGTCTAACTGGGTTCTTTGAAATAAATATAAGAGAGCTAAAAGTTTAATGTTGTAATTACATCTGACATCATGCTCAAATGTTTGCAAAGATAATAAATCATTCAAGGATTATGAAATAGTCCTTTGACTATATCCCATCTTCATTAATTCAAATCAATTTAACAGAAACATTGAGAATGTGTTCTGTGTAAAACCAAGGGAAAGAGTGAAGGAGAGAGAACCATGGAGAAAAGAGGATTTATGTCCATAAGTTTATCGTGGGATGCCTTTGCAAGAGTACTGAGTATGATCTGGATCCTAAATTTAGTCAAATGAATTTAGAAAGACTACAGAGAAAAAAGACGTCAAAGAAGAAAGCAGAGTAACCGCAAGGAAAAGGTGAAGACAAATAGATTATTAATAGTGGAGAAGAAAAGGAAAGGAAAATACATGGCTGCCTTCAAATTTATGAAAGTTTATTATAAGACAATTATTTTTTTCAGCCATACCAAGACAGAAGAAGTACATGTGAAAGAATTTATCTGATAATAGAAAATGTTAAAGATTGGGGGGATTTTAAGGGTCTTCATGGAAGGGAGGGTAATAATATTTATTAGATCTCTACTACAAGCTCAGGGCTTTGTACCTATTATCTCAACCAATCCTGCCAACTGCTTGGCAATAGATACTGCTATTTTTAAATGAAATTAGAAATTTAGAATAGTTTTAGTTGTACAGAAAAGTTGTAAATATAGAACAGGGAGTTCCTATATAACCCCACCAAGTTTCCCCTGTTGTTCACATATTATTCTGGTACATTTGCCACAATTAAGACTCCAATATGGGTTACATCACTATCAATCAAACTCCAAACAATATTTGGATGTCACCAGTTTTCCCACTAATGTGCTTTTCTTTTCCAGGATCCACATTACATTTAGTTGTCATACCACCCTTTTCTCCTCTGGTCTGTGACAGTTTCTCAATATTTCCTTGCTTTTCATGACCTTGACAGTTGTGAAGAGTCAGGTATTTTGTAGAATAGAAATTGTTGGTTCTAATAGAAATGTGTCAACTACAACACTTTCATCAAATGTAGGGATTTTAACTAAAAAGAGCGGTATTACTAACAACTAACAACTTTTGCCAGCAACAACAGTTATAACTAAGAATTAACTATTTTTTAGTGATGTCTGGGCTCCTTGAATTCTAGTAAAATGTCCCTCTGTGATTTTTTTTTAAACCATTATTAGTAAAGTCTCACTTTCAAGAAAAAAAAAAAAAAAAGCCTCAGTTGAGACTGGTATACCCAATCCCATGGCCTTTCAGCCCCTGGGAGATTTGATGAGGATGCTAGCCTTCTAAGTGAATTTTGAAAATCACTAACACTTGATGTCCACTAACTGGACTTAGTGCATTATTAAGTTTGTTAAGGGTTCTCATTCTATATTCTGTTAAAATGTCTGGGTTGTCATGCAAAGCTCCATACCTCCTTTAAGACTAGCTTTGGCTGCAAATACAGAGAGAGACCTGAAAAAAAATTGGCCTGCATTTACAGAGACTTAAAGAAAGTAACAGTTTATTCTTTTCTCACCTAGCAACAATTTAGAGTAGGCAGTCCAGAGCTAGAAAGGGAGCTACTGAAACTATTCAGGGACTTAGGCTCCTTCCAGCTCACTGTTCTACCATCCCTAAAGTATGGCCCCCACCCAGTCTTCTGACCTGGAAGGGCTGGTGAAGCTCCTGTCATCACATCCACATTCCATGGAATTGGATAGAGCAAAAGGAGGGTGTGCCTTGTCTCTTTAAAAAAGATTTTCTGGAAATATCATATAATATTTTCTTTTTATATCTCATTGGACAAAACATGGTCACATGGGAACTTACTAAAAGAACAGACTGAGAAATATAATCTTCATTGTAGGCAGTGTTGTGCCTGGCAAAAACAGGGTGTCTCTTGTCAAAGAAGAGGATGAGCCCGGGCATTGGGAGGCAAATACCAACCCTGAACATATAAATACAGATCATTGGATTACCAATTTTTTTTTACATAAAACAAACTTTATTTTATTTTATTTTTTTATTTTATTATTATTATACTTTAAGTTTTTAATGCACCATCAGTATTGAATTTTTTACTCAACATTGTTTTGAACCTGCCATTAATTTTTGCATAAGTAATGTTTTGGACATATAATTTTCAGAGTACATGATGGGGCATTTCTGGGTTGCAGTTAGATATTATTATAAAAAAAGTATGAGTTTGCTCTCTTTGTAATCTACACGGGGAATACAGAGTAGGTTAGTTTTCTTTTTTCCCTGCATTAACGAGCCCTGTTGAAACAATCAGAGAGCCTTTGTTTCATGGGATGTGCTCTGAGAAATGACTAGACTTTTCCAAGGAGTAGCAAGCAAGAAAGCTATGAGGGGCCGTTAACAGAGCCAGAGCTGGTTACTTAAGGGAGTGATTGATCATGACATTAGAGAGCTTAGTGGTGCAGGATCAGAAAGATTTGGGGGCCATGAAATTGCCCAATGGGACAATGGGGGATCCATTGAAGGACTTCAAGGAGTGTGATAGGATAAATTTTGCAATGGAAATATGCTTGCTCTGGCCAGAAACTTAGTTTTTGTGGAATGCACATTTAGGTTTCCATAGTTTTCTACATCACTGTGAAGGAATAGGTCCCCCAGGAACAAGGAGAATCGACTATTAGGGGCATTTTCCAAGAATCTGGGTTTTTAAGTTTACAAAGGACTGCTAAAGCCTTTTTAATGTGGCAGCATTGAGACCTTTTGTTAACTTTTTTGCTTTGCTTTTTTGTTGTTTATTTTTACTACAAAAGGGATAAATAATTATTGTTAAAAGTTTGGAAAATACAGAAAAGCAAATAAAGCTCCCTAAACCATTTTAGCCAGCAATGAACAGTTACCATTTCAGTGTATGATCCTCTGGCTCCTTTTCAATGCATATAGACTGCAAATTTTGCTGAATATCATGCTGGAATGCCTTCTATAAGTCTATTTTTATATTATGAGTATTTAGTAGAGAGAAAGGGTTCAGTAGTTCCTATTTGGCAGCTGAAGAACTCTGGGGAGCTATGGATTGCTTACAAGGGTCCTCAAATCCACATACTTATCAAGCATTGTCTATAGACTGAACAAATTAATATGTCATGTACACATGTTCAACCACTAGGTAAACATGCAAAGATGCTATTCATTAAGATTAATAAATGCAAATTCATCCAAAAGTCCTACTGAATTTAGAATAGCTTGCTGTCATTAGTTATTTTTTTCAGTCAGTGAACATTAAGGAGCTCAACTATTTTGTGGATGTTCCAATGTATTCTTGTGTTTGTGAAGGTGAAAGCAAAAATTCGATGGGAAGATGAGTGTCGTGCAGAGCTATTGCTGTTTCCACTGTGCCATTTCTGAGCTCATGCCAGGTGTGTGCTTCTAGAACAATTCCTTCTCCTTCAGTTTTTTCATTCCTTTCATTACGATGGAGTGAACTGATTGCATTGTTGGATGGGCCTTCTTCCATAATTGGATTAACAAATCTCAACTAGTTTTACTAGATCCAGTAAATGAAAGATTTAATTCTTCAAGCAAAAATATTGTCTAAATTTACAAGTATTTGTGAAATAAGGAGATGAATATTACCTTTTTAACCCCATGATAACCCCAAGAATCATGTAGCTGAACTCCAATTTTCACTAATTGCTTGATTTTTATTCTTTAAGATTTACTCTGTTAGTAAAATCTGTCTTATTTGAAGAGAGCAAACCAATAAATTGGAAAATAAAAGAGGTTTCCTATTTGCCATTTAAAGAAAAAGCTATTTTATACTTCATTTATTTTCTTTCCCCAAAGTTGAATCTTACTTAATGTCATATGGTTGCCGGTGAAAGATGATTTTTTTGGATTTCCATAAGTGGCATGTGCTAACAGATACCCCTCACAGGCTGATTATTTTATTTTAGTTTATGTTGCTTTGGTTTGGTTCAGTTCAATTAGGTTCAGTTTGCTTCCTTGAGGATGGGGACTGGCTCCCAGGTGAGAGTCCTCCTTATCCACACCATTACATTCCAATGTTCATCACATTTTCTTGAGCTTGATAATATGCTACTTCCCCTTCCTCCACCTTGCTCTGCTTTTTCAACTTATTGGTATTAATATTCCTGATGTTTTCTGGACCTGACTGGGTCTATTATCAGTTTAGAGCTCCATGCTAATCACTTTTTTTCTTTTGTCTCACTCATTTTTATCCTGTGTGTGCTGTTAATTAATCTACTTCTTTCATCACAGAAGAAATGAGGGTGATTTAGGAAAGGATGTGCATTTCTTGGTAGATGCTCAGTTTCAAAGAGAAGTCATTTCCTCACTTTGCCTTGCAGAAATGAGAGAGAGATGAAGCAGTCTCCTAGAATACAGACAGACACATTAGTAGTATGTTTCCAAAAATAACTGAAGGGATTTAGTTTTGTGTCCTAATCCCTTCTTCTTACCCCATTGCATGCTAGAAGATCATAATAGATTATACAGTGAAATGTTCATTGTGTTATGATTCCGAGGGCTTCATTTCTTGTTCATTCTACCACTTATATCTTCGGGGAAATTATTTCTTCTTTCTGAGCACCGGGTTTTTTAATCTACAAAATGGAGCTAAGGATATTACTAGGTTGTTTGGGAATCCCATGAAATACCACATGCTCTATAAAAATGTCAGTAATTATTACTACATCAAGGGTTTTATTAAGCTGGAGGCAAAGAAACATTTGTTTCATTATTGTGGAAAGAAGTAGTGAGTCCACATATGAATCTCATTTTACTAGTTAACTGTGTGACCTTGAACAAGTTCCTTAACCTCTGTGTGTCTCAATTTCCCCAAGTATAATATAGAGATAATTATAGCTACTACTTCAATAGATTAGGAAAATGGAAAGCAATAATCTACATGAAAAGTTCAATCTGGTATTGGGGACATAATAAAAGCTCAATAACTATTAATGGTTTTATTATCATATACAAAGAACTATCAAGGAGAATTCTGGTGCTTTAGTTCTTTTATTTAATGTGTGTTCATAGCATGCTATGGCATTTGCATAATACTATACTCAGTATTGGGAGAGGTGGGCACAGTCTACCTTCTCATGTATCTTTTTTTTTTTTTTTTTTTTTTGAGACGGAGTCTCGCTCTGTCGCCCAGGCTGGAGTGCAGTGGCGGGATCTCGGCTCACTGCAAGCTCCGCCTCCCGGGTTCACGCCATTCTCCTGCCTCAGCCTCCCAAGTAGCTGGGACTACAGGCGCCCGCCACTACGCCCGGCTAATTTTTTGTATTTTTAGTAGAGACGGGGTTTCACCGTTTTAGCCGGGATGGTCTCGATCTCCTGACCTCGTGATCCGCCCGCCTCGGCCTCCCAAAGTGCTGGGATTACAGGCGTGAGCCACCGCGCCCGGCCTCATGTATCTTATAAATGTGTGTGTATATATGTGTGTATATATATATATATATATATATAGAGAGAGAGAGAGAGAGAGAGAGAGAGAGAGAGAGAGAGACGAAGTCTTGCTCTGTCGCCAGGCTGGAGTGCAGTGGCATGATCTCAGCTCACTGCAACCTCTGCCTCCCAGTTTCAAGCAATTCTCCTGCCTCAGCCTCCCAAGTAGCTGGGACTACAGGCGCGCGCCACCAAGCCCAGCTAATTTTTTTGTATTTTTTAGTAGAGACGGGGTTTCGTCATGTTGGCCAGGACGGTCTCCATCTCTTGATCTCATGGTCCGCCCGCCTTGGCCTCCCAAAGTGCTGGGATTACAGGTGCGAGCCACCGCACCTGGCCATAAAAATAATTTTATACATGGAGTGATCAACACTAGCTCTTTTCTGCAAATGAAGAAAATGAGGCTTAGTATGTGAAGCATACTCAGGATTTGAAGCAAATTAATTTAACCAGAACCACACTTTGGGCCTTTAGATATCTGTCCTAGAATTCTTTCTCTTACATTTGCAAACTTGAGGTTGCCATCCTTCCTTGACAGAACACTCCCAGAAATGCCAAGAATTAAAATGTTGTCGCTTTTGAACACAAGATCTATTTAGGCGGTTGAAAATGGAAACTCTAGTAAAGTAACAATGACTCATTGTTAAACTCATTTTAAATACATTTTAAAGACGTTTCAATAACGTGTTCTCTGCACCTCAACACCCCAGCTCCAGGCTTTAACCATTTAAAGAAGTTGTTGCTCAGTAACTGAGGTGTTCATTTATCATTTTGTTTTATGTTTTAATTAACAGAGTGCATTTTGAAGAAAATAGTTTTGATTTTTTCAAAAGGCAAAGCAGAAGATATTAAGAAAAAAAAGTGCCACAGCCTCTAGTTAATATAATATCCTAGAAATCACAGTCAGTACTTTTTTTACAGGAGAAGGGTAGTGATTAATAGGTTGCAATAGGCCATACACTTTTGCCAGCCTGATTTCTTATTTTTATTCCTCAGTTGGTAGCTCAGTTCTTAATGGCTTAGTAAGACTTGGTTTTGATGCAGAGATATGAAAATATCTCCTCATAATTTCATGTTAATTGTAAATAATCCAAAACAAGTGGCCCTTCACTTGAGGGCCTGAGAAGACACTGGGAAGACCACTTTCCTTTTGAAACAGAAGGTTAATTCTATCATCCTGTTCCTGAACTGGCAGTTTATACTCAGTTTCTGCTCCCAGCCTCCAACCTAGTCAGCCTAAGGGTAATAACCATTTTTATTGTTAAACGTAAAATCTCAAATTTATTATCCAGTTTCTATTAGCAAATGTAATCTCAGCCCCAACTCTATTGCTCCAATTAGAGTGGCTATGCTATGTAGCTGCTTAAGATTTTTGGATTCAGTATATTTCATCTTTTCCTTTTTTGCCCCATTTTCATGTCTTTGAAATACATTTCTAATAGAGTATATCCAAGTCTTTATGGAACATCTTAATTCAGAAACAACTCCATAGTACGCTTTGTTTAAGAGCCACTTTTTTGAGCAATAATATTTTTAACATTCCACCAGATCAGCTGTACAGAATGACTTTGAGAGAACAGCACTTCTCCTTCAAAATGTGAAATGAGGGTTCTGGTTGGCGAAGTAGGTTTATTTATTGTCCAAAAATTTTACTCCACTAGTCCAGTCTCATAGCACCTGAGAATCAAATTTCTAGCCTCTGTATGTCAGTGTTGCCACATGAAATAAATCTTAGAAGTTACTCTTAAATAAAACAAAGGTCTGCTGCAGTGGCAAGCAATTGTTTTCTGCATAAATATAAAATCAAGAAAAATCAAAGTGGTCATAGGTTGCTTTTATTTTTTTTCTAGAAGTCATTCTTTAAAAAAAATCAGAACATGCAGTATTGAAAACTGAATTCATACAGTCTTTTATTTCTCTTATCTTAAGGTTTTCATTTCAAACAACAATACTGATTATAATGCTGTGCCTTTAGATACACTTTGTGTGAGATGAAAACCCAACAATGCTGAAGAGGGTATTGGGAGATAGGTAGATGGGGAGAAAAAAATAGCACCAAGGTTGAGCTACAGAACAATGAAAATGTATTCATTTCATGTTAAGTTTTGTTCAACTGCTTGGGGAGGTTTTGAGAAGCAGTCTTAGAAAATTATGCAGTGCAATAAGGTATGGTGGACACAAATACTTTCTGGTGCTTGCCTGTTTTATACGTCTTCTTTGCCTATAAAAGAGAAGAGAATATTCCAGTGGTTACAGTAGCCTGACATAGCATGAAGTGGAAGCAGTGCCCTCCATCTTGCTTCTTGGCTTAGGTCTCTAAGCTGCTCTGCCTTCTTACTGTGTCATATGCCCTGTGAGATCCCCCTCATATTATCTCCATCCTTACCTCCACCTGCTGAAGAACAGCCTCCTCCACTGAAACAGGAAGTCTGCACAAAATCAGTCAGCTCTAGGAGAGTTTTCTTAATGTAGTGCATTAATTGGTGAATGACACTCACCCTGTCCACTCTTTTGAGGTTCTTCTTGAAATTGGTCCCTGGTTTGTGGACCACATTGGAAAGCCAGCCAGACTGCAGGAGGCCCAATTTCATCTCCTGACCTAGTGTAGATTGTAAATAACAAATAATAAATACATAATAAAGAAACACATAGGCTTGTCAATGATGAGCTTTTGAACTAAGTCAACTTTGTGATTTAATATAAATCATTTAAATCACTTGAATTTTTGAAACAAGCATACTCTGCATTTTATAGGTGAGGAGAGGTTTATGTTGAGTTAGTTTTTGGATTACTGATGCTGTACTATCAGAAATATGATGACTTTCATCACCTCCAAAAGTTAATCAATCAATGGAGAAGATCCTTCTGAAGTCTGTGGGAGGTTGCACCATCTCCAATTCAACAGGTTAATTATGAATATTTGTTAAATATTTTTTGTCGTGCTGTCATAGGACAGAAGCAAAACATTTACTTATGAATGTAAAAACATTAACATGAAACTAAATGGACTAAAAAAAAGTTTAAGCTTTTGACTAATTTAGCCAGATCAAAATAAAGTAAAATATTGGTATTATGCAAATGACTTAGTACTTGGCTTCTATTCTTGTGTTCTTATAAAAAGGAAAGAAGGTTGCTTTTTAAAATTTCTAAATAAATTATATATTTCAAAACAAGTTTTCTCAAAGAATAAAAACATTCTATCTATTCAATTCCTGATGTTAAAATCTAGGTTATTCATGGAAGCAGGGCCTATATTCTGTCTTATGCCTAGCACCAAACACAGGGTTTGATGGTAAATATATATAATGAATATTTTAGATGACTAAATCAACTTATAAGTACCCACTAGACATCACAACCGGGAAGCCCCACAAACATCTCAGATTGGGCATTTCTAAAAATGAACTCATCCTTGCTCTCTCCTAATTTGCTCCAACCTACAACCTTCTCTCTACTTCTTCTCCCATGTTTTCCTTCTCAGTGAGGTTGCCCGGCCTAATACCTGGGTGTCAGTGTAGACCAGGGCCTGTCTATGGTTTTTCCTGAAGATTTCCCAAATAGCATGGGCTTAAATGTAATTTAAAAAGGATTCCAAGTAGTTTTATGTTGGGCTATTTTGTTGATATTCCGTGACATGACTTGAAATAATTGGAAACACCCTGGGGTATCACAGGCAGAAAGAACAAGAAATCCTCCTCTCAACATGTTCTAGTCTTTCTTTGATCTTTGTTTTCCGTGTACTTTAGTAGTATGTCTTCCCGGTGTGGTTCTGCCCGCCTGATTCTATTGCATATAAGTAGATACCTATATAAGCAGGTAGATACAGGTAGGAGCTTTTGTCATTTTCGTAAAATAAAATGGATACATTCAGGTACAGCATATAAACAAAGCCAATGATTCTTAAAATCAAGTCTGCATGTCTCTTTGATACCCCAATCAGATGAATTCGCCACTGACAAGGTTGAGGTTGTGAGTCAGGCCTATGCCATGAGCTCTAGGTGCCACATGCCCCTTCCTGGAGTACTTGCTACCTTCAGCCAGACACACACTGTGCCAACTACCCACTGTCTTCCTGGTGCTCCAGAGAGTGAGAATGTAGGAAAAGCGGTTGGTGGCATGGAAACAGTTAATTCTCAACTTCTTTCAGTTTGCCCAGAATATTCCAAGCTGTGTGAAGAAGCCTCACTGAGTGTTTTTTCCTTTTTTGCCAAACAGCATGTGAAACTGGAAGTCTGACAAAGGTATTGATTAAAAAATAAGTTAATTGGAATAACCAACTGTTTTTCTTCTGGCATTGTTGAATATATATGCATATATTTGAATATATACTCAGGTTGGCAAACAGGTATCAATTAAATAATTACAGCGTAGTTAAAGGAAAATTGTTTTAAATTTGAAAATATACAGTGTTTTTAAAAATAGGTTGATATGAAACGCCTTAATTGTTGTTTCTTGGGAAAAACTAGCCCTTATTCTAGAATGTTTACCTTCTTATTCTTTATGATGAAACATACAATTTTTTTATTAAATAATGGTGGTAGTTGGTAAAATAAAATGTGGGAATCTGACATCATCCTTCATTCATTTCATTTTTTTTATAGTTATAAAGCCCCTTTCTTTTTTTTTTTAATGGTTTCCCAATCTTTATTTTCATGACATTAACGTTTTTGAAGAGTGTTGGCCAGTTACTTCAAAGAATAGCCTTCAATTTGGGCCTGTTTTTTCTTTTTTTTTAATTATTATTAATACTTAAAGTTTTAGGGTACATGTGCACAACGTGCAGGTTTGTTACATATGTATACATGTGCCATGTTGGTGTGCTGCACCCATTAACTTGTCATTTAGCATTAGGTATATCTCCTAATGCTATCCCTTCCCCCTCCCCCCACCCCACAACAGGCCCTGGTGTGTGATGTTCCCCTTCCTGTGTCCATGTGTTCTCATTGTTCAATTCCCACCTATGAGTGAGAACATGCAGTGTTTGGTTTTTTTGTCCTTGCGATAGTTTGCTGAGAATGATGGTTTCCAGCTTCATCCGTGTCCCTACAAAGGACATGAACTCATCATTTTTTATGGCTGCATAGTATTCCATGGTGTATATGTGCCACATTTTCTTAATCCAGTCTATCATTGTTGGACCATAATCACTGGCCATCAGAGAAATGCAAATCAAAAGCACAATGAGATACCATCTCACACCAGTTAGAATGACAATCATTAAAAAGTCAGGAAACAACAGGTGCTGGAGAGGATGTGGAGAAATAGGAACACTTTTACATGGTTGGTGGGACTGTAAACTAGTTCAACCATTGTGGAAGTCAGTGTGGCGATTCCTCAGGGATCTAGAACTAGAAATACCATTTGACCCAGCCATCCCATTACGGGTATATACCCAAAGGATTGTAAATCATGCTGCTATAAAGACACATGCACACGTATGTTTCTTGAGGCACTATTCACAATAGCAAAGACTTGGAACCAACCCAAATGTCATTTCATTTTTAAATTTGCACATCCATGAACACTGATCTGGCAGTGTGATTTATAAGGAGGAGCTCCAGGCTTCACTGTAGACATGCTCTGGGTGGAAGTGTAGAATGGAGGTGTTAGTACTTCCAAAATCACAATATAAAGCAGGGTTGGGCAAGGTGTCATGGTGGAATAGAAATGACACTAGTCTAGGGGTCAAGAGCACACATTCTTATTCTAGCTCCATCAGTCATGAGTCAAGAAGGTGAGTCATCAATCTCATTTGCAAAATGGAGACAAAAACCATACCATCCTTCTTCACAGGGATGTTGAATAATCAAAGAAAATCATGTGCATGAAGTACCTTGATAACTGCACAGGGCTATGCAAAAAATAAGGCACTTATCATACAAGGAAGCCATGTTTTTTTCTGGAGAGTGGGAATGTGAGGGGAGGGTTGATACTGAAAATAAACACCAGTATTCTGGTGTACTTCCCATAAACTGTACTTCCCATAATGTTTCATACCAGGGTGAACCTAAGGGAGGTTCAGCCAGTGACTGGCAGTGGTCACAACCCCAGGCAGGAGGCAGGTGTTCATTTGCCTGTGATCGACTTGCACTGCTGCCAGGGGGCAGGCTGCTCACCAGCATTCTAGCCCACATTGGAAGGGCTGGCAGGCTTGTATGTGAGGAAGGGATGGCCTATGTGAGTCAAAGCAGATTGGGCAGTGGGCCAGCTTGTTGGCGGACACTGGGAGCATCCCTGTGCTAATGGCATAGACCTTCGAAGAATATTTAGAGCATGTTAGGACAATAATGCCACAATCCCAAAGAAACACATGTATACATATAACACATTCTTATTTTCAACCAAAGAAACACATGTATACATATAACACATTCTTATTGTCAGTCAAAATTGATCACCAATATGATAAATAGCCATTTTTTTTCTGTTTTGCCTTTTGTTTGTTTGTTTGTTTGTTTGTTTTGTGAGACAGGGTCTCACTCTGTCATCCAGGCTGGAGTGCTGTGGTGCGATCATGGCTCACTGCAGCCTTGACCTCCTGGGCTCAAGTGATCCTCCCACCTCAGTTCCCGAGTAGCTGGGACTACAGGCATGTGCCAACATGCTTGGCTAATTTTTGTATTTTTCTTCTTTTTTATTTTTTTGTAGAGACGAGATCTCGCCATGTTGCCCAGGCTGGTCTCAAACTCCTGGGTTCAAGTGACCAACCTGCCTTGGCCTCCCAAAGTGCTCGGTTTACAGGTGTGAGCCACCACGTCCAACCAACACTGGTATTTTTAACAGTAGTTTTAGGTACATATGAAAGTCCAAGAGGCTTTCTTGTGAGATTTATAAGCATATGGGAGAAGTAGTGGAATTCACTGGGTGCGGTGGATCATGCCTGTAATCCCAGCACTTTGGGAAGCTGAGGTGGGTGGATCACATGAGACCAGGAGTTTGAGACCAGCCTGGTCAACATGACAAAACCCCATCTCTACTAAACATACAAAAATTAGCTGGGTGTGGTGGCACATGCCTGTAATCCCAGCTACTCGGGAGGCTGAGGTAGGAGAATAGCTTGAGCCTGGGAGGCGAAGGTTACAGTGATCCAAGATCATACCACTGCATTTCAGCCTGGGTAACAGATTGAGACCCTGTCTCAAAAAACGAAAAAAAAAAAAGTAGTAGGATTCCTGGTCAGTGCTGATGCCTGAAGAATCAGATTCTGCATCCTGAGTAGCATCTATACCCAAGGTTTGTACCTAAGAGCCAGGGGACCCTCAAAACCACATGAGAAGCATGATGCTGGTTCTTAAAGCTTACTCTGAAAGAAGGATTGGAAAAGCACCACAATAGGAGGATATTAAATCATAGATTCATAGAACCAGATATAAAAATGACTTTGGGGGTTATCCAATACCCAATTCATATTCTGTTGACGGTTAGCACAAAAGCCTTAGAGAATAAAGAGAGAATAAAGACTTTCTGGGAAGAAGAATTATGAGTTGTTTCATAAGTGCTTTCCATGGGAAAGATGTGTACCTTTTCTCTTTCTCATTTAAAAAAAAAGTGAAAACTGGAATTCCTCTAACCTCAGATCTTCCAGGAGTATTTGGGTGGGCTCTGTTGACAACAGGTCTGCTATCATACAACAAATACAAATGTATTTGATGAGAAAAGATATTATCAAATCCTATGCTCATGAATAAGACAGCATAGGATTGTTATGCATAGCCATAACCTAGACAGCTAGAACCATTCATTCATCCATTCATCAGTTATTCATTCAGTTATTCAAATATTTAAACAGAGTTGTACAAAATCCTCTAGGTTGGATGATCTGTCAACTGGGTGCTTCTGCAAGAAAGATGATAGCAGGTAGTCTTGGTGTGACCGCAACAGCCAGAGTGATCTTTTCAATATGTAAATCAGTTCATCTCACTTCTGTGATTAAATCCCAGTGGCTTCTCATAATTCTTAGAATAAAATCCAAACCTTCTGGCATAGTATTTGAGATCTCCATGGTCTCCCTGATGGCCTCACCAAGCCGGTCTCTACCACTGTGCCTCTGCCTGCTTAGCTGCAGTCACACTCAACTTTTCACTTTTCTTCAAAGAAGTTGAGGGTAGCTCAGGGTCTTGGTACATGGTGTTCCTTCTCCTGGAGCTCTGTACCTTTCACTGTCTTCAAAGATTGTTTCCTCACTTCAGTCAGTTCTCTGTTCAAGTGTTACCTCCCTGGGGAGGCTTCTACTAACCTTCCTATTTAAAATAGCACCATCCACTGCAACATGTTCCATGCTTTTATTCTGCTTTGTTGTTATTCCGCTTGGTAGTTATTACTTCTCCTGACATTACATCATTTATTTGGGTGTCACCTGTCCTCCCTGCCCTCCTCCACCAGAATGTGGAGCTTTATGAGGGCAGAAACCTTGTCTGTTGTGTTCTCTGCTGTAGGCTCAACATCAAGAACAGTCCCTGGCATGTAGGAGGCTCATAAGAAACTATCTGTTAAATGAGCAAATAAATGATGAGAAGGAGTGATGAAAGGATTTGGGTTAGGAGAAAAAAGGTGTGTCACATAACAGAGAACACGGAATCCCTGAGCTTCATCTTCTTCATTGGCCACTACCCCATCCTCTACAGAGCTCACTTGCTTTTCTTCTTCAGCCTGCAGAGGAGGCCTAAGCAAAGCGATTCAAACTTTCATGTGCAACAAATTTCCCAGATCTTGTGAAAATGCAGATTCTGACACAGTAGGTCTGAGACAGGGCTTAAAATTCAGTATTTCTAGGACTCTCCCAGGTGATGCAGATGCTGCTGGTCCACAGTCCAGGGAAGGGCAAATATTACAAAGCCCGCCCGACAGGCACAGGTGCTTCCCAGCCTTTCCAATACCACCTCTCCACCCCCACTTCCCAGTAAAAACACCCATTGAGAGGGGAATAATTAAATGTATAAATTCTCTTCTTGAAGTTTCTATGTTTAGGAATCTTGTTAAGTTGTGCTTTTGGAATATTTGTCTCATTAATCTATTTAGGAAATGGCTTGTATCTCTGTTTTAGAAATAAAGTAAAAGAACGTTCTTACAGGATTTCTCCTATTTGAGGTCTAATGCCACAAGCAAAGAAAGACTGTAAATTTCCCCAAGGTGTCTGGGAAATAGAATTTTATATTGCATCCATTTGTGGGTAGGGTAGCCCAGAAGTGTCACACGTATTACACCTCAGTAGTTCCCCAACGCCTCTCCGTCATTCCATGTCACAGCGTGCAATTCCTACTCTACATCCCAGTATTGTCCAAACAAACAATTGACTTCCCATATCTTCACACAGAATATCATAAGCCTGTGCATAAAATATGCCAAGATTATTTGGCATTGCATTTGGTAAAGGAAACTCTATAGCTGATTTTTCCCTCCTTGTCTCCAACAACTTTGTTTCATTGTGACCAAAAGATACAAAGTATAGTCTAGCCCAGACAGGGGATTTATTTTGGCATATCCTAAAAGACAGATTTCCAAATATTTCAGAAAAGCATCCTAATCTAGAAAGAAGGTGTTATCATTCCTATATCATTATTAATCATAGAATTTAGTTTTGTAAGCCAAGGACCAAAGGTAACATTGGACAGGGAAGAGAAACATCTGTTATTTTGTTCTCTCAAATATTTATTTTTGTCACTTATATACTACAAAAGACAACTGAATTATTGTGGTCTGGAGTAGGCTTTTTAAAAAAGTAGATTTTGAGGGAGGAAGAAGAAAGGAAGGATAGTTTGGAAATAATATATAGTTTCTGTTCTTATTGACATTGCTTGTACTTTTTATTGTTCTTTTGATGTTTATGGAAGTGCTTTTAGACATAATTAACAATGCGAATCCTTTGGGATCACACTGAATTGTATTAATGAACATAATTATAGGTGTTGATTTCGTGGGGAGAAAAATGTGTCCTATTTAATATGTAGTTTTAACAGGGAAATTGATTTGAAAACTAAGGCTAAATTAAATATACTTATGAGAACATATTAGTAGCACATGCAACCTCTCTTCCTCACAGTCTACTAGGAAAGAACAGACATAAACCTCATTGTCTCTGCTCAGCAAGAGAGAATATTCCATAATGTCTATGAGCTCAGGCTCTAGAATTGGCAGATCTGGATTGAAATCAGGCTTAGCAATTATTAATAATTCAAGCAAGCTTCTCTGAGACTTGATTTTTCTTATCTGTAAAAGGGGATGATAGTGATTCATATCTTTCAGGGTAGCTCTGGAGGTGAAATAGGATAACATGAAGTGTATAAAGCCTATAGTCCCAAATAAGGGCCGAATAAATGTCAGCCACTACAATTATAATAATTATTCTTATCACTATATTATCATTAATGTCAATCACTGTCAGGCACTAGAGTAGCAACCAGATGGTTGATAGATCTGGTAAAAACAAAAGTATTTCTAAAATAAGCCAAAGCCTCTTGAATTGAATATAGTAGTCATCACTTACCCTTAGGGAATACATTCCAAAACCCCCAGCAGATGCCTGAAGCCATGAATAGTACTAAACCCTACATATGCTGTGTTTCTTCCATACATACAAGTTTTTGTGTATACATTTCTTGTCATATTATATCCTACGATAAAGTTTAATTTATAAATTAGACACAATAAGATATTAACAATAAATAATAATAAAATATAATGATTATAAAAATATTCTTAATAAAATTTATATGAATGTGGTCTCTCCCTCTCTCTCTCAGAATAACTCATGATACTGTATCCACCTATCTGGGGACTATGGTTGACCAGGGGTAACCGAAACCATGGAGAGCAAAACCGCGAATAAGAGGGTACTGTGGTTAACTCCCAATCCCTTCTCCACAAGACTTGCCAATAGCTTTGTAGCTGCCCTTTCCTCTTGTCCAACTGTTTTTCAAGCTCCTTTTGTTTTTTTTACACACTACCTAGGCTTGAGAACCGCTACACACATAGCTTGCCTCTCATTACTGCCACCTTTTTCCTGGCAAACTCTGAAGTTCACTGCCCCTTTCTCCTTTGCTTCTCTTGCCACCTCTCCAACCTCAAACTTTCATGCGTATATACATTGTCACTTGCAGGAAAGAACTGCTTTGGTTGCTGTCTCAAGTCACCTTATTTACTGAATAACTGTAGTTATTCATAACTACATTTCCTTTTGCCTTTGTTCCTGGTGGGAAGATCTATTTATTTTCCCCCAGGAGGTCCTGTCATTGAGATGGGAAAGTATGTTTCCTGGCCAAGTGCCACCAGAAAGACAATCCCCAGCCTGGAGAAAAACTAAATGCTCCTTTTGGTGGGGCTGTCATTCACTTTTAAGTACCACTGGGCCTCTGCACAGCTCCCCTCTCAGGGTTCTCACATGAAAGTGGCATTGCCTCAGTGGATAGTCTTCCCCTTCCCATTGCATACTGCATGTGGCATTCAGCTGCAGCACATTAAAAGTGTCAAAAAATTGCTGTGTTTTCCTCTTCTACATCAATTAGCTCTCTATTTCCTGTTTCACTTTTCCATTTTGTTTACCCCAAACAATGTAAAATCTGAGATTTTCTAATTTATACCCTGTGTTTCTCTCACAGGCATTCTGCAGCATGTAAGAATGACACACAAAAACAATCCTATCTATAGTTTTTATGCCAGTTTTTAAGTCCCGGAAGCTCAATTCTGAGATCTTTTTTATTCCAGTCACACTTACTTGGTTACAAGATGTTCTGGGACTTCTAGGGCACCATTTGGGAATGGGAGGAGTTTAGGAAAGGCCAAGACCAAGGAAAGAGAAACTAAGAGGCTATGGTGCATGTGCATCCCTTGTCCCATCAAGGAAGAGGGCAGCAGTTTAAAATCACACTACAGGCCAGAGGCATCCTTTGTCCCATCAAGGAAGGAGACAGCAGTTTAAACTACATTATAGGACCACTTTACTACACGATGGCATTTCAGTACCACAACCATCTGATCTGTTGGGTAAATTGTAGCAGCAGCTGAAATATCCAAATATTGGCAAAGCCAGATTTCAGCAGTTGTAGCATCATATTTCTTTGGGGCCCACCAGTTTAGGCCAAACATAAGCTCTAGCAAGGTCTAGAGAAATAAACAAGGGGGTTGGAAAAGATATGCTATGAGTTGGATCCCCAGGAGGCAGAGGTTTATGGCAGGTCCTCACCAGGGGATGTTGAACTCAAATGAGGAATAAAAGCACAGCCGTATTCAAAGTCCTTGTCCATGAGGTTAGGAAGGCTGTGGCTGGGTGGAACCATACATGCATAAGGTTGCACCCTATTGAAACAATGAAACTAGAAATACTACTTTCTCAAAGCAGAACCACTCCACCACTCTGTTCAGCCCATTAGTTATCAATTCTTCTGGCCTAAGACAGCAGCCTTGCCAGCTTTCCATTTTCTGTCTACCTCCCCTAACCTCATTTATTTGTGTAGAGATAGGATGCACACTTTTCCTGAGATATCTGCAGCGCAATTTCTCAGGAATAAATCTCTGTTCTTACTTTATAGCACTTTGTCAGACAAATCTTGGCGCCAGCTCTTTGGGTTCCTTTTTGAGCATAAGTCATATTGATGTGTGAGAAAAGCTGATCCTCTGTCCACAGGACTTGTTTCTCTCAATATTTTCTCAGGGTCCTTCTGGCTGAATTGTCTGCTGTGGACTTGTCCCGTTTCTCCTGGTGAATCAGCCAATTTAGATGATTTGCTCAAGTTGTTATTCAGTCAGGATCACGGTTGGATGAACAATTCCTTGGAATCTTTATTCTCCACGTTTTTTAAAAACAAAGTTGGGAAAGTTCCAGCCCTCTCTGTGCTTTCACAAAGCTTTGTGCTTTCTGATAGTATCCAAGGAACCAGGGGTGAAAGTAGATTGTATGTAACTGTCAATCCCACTGGTTCCCACTGAAATTAAGTCAGCCTCAATCTATATGGCTTTTAAAGGACTATGCGATATTCAGAAATGGGCAAGTTGGTTGGAAAATTATGATACTATCCTTGCCTTGACCATGATATGTGCTGCATCTGTGCTTACTCTTTTCTATCTCCTTTCTGACAATTTCTGGTTCTTTACTTCAGCTCTCTTACTGACTGCCTTAGTCCATTTTGTGCATTATGACAGAACACCCGAGACTGGGCAACTTATAATGAACAGAAGCTTATTTTCTCACAGTTCTGGATACTGAGAAGTCCAAGATCTAGGTGCTGGCATCTTGCAAGGGCCCTCTTGCTGCACCACCACATGGCAGAAGGCAGAAGGGCAAAGAGACTAAAAGGGGGCCAAACTTGTCCTTTTTTAATGGCATTAATCCACCCAGGAGGGCAAAGCCCTCATAGCCTAATCACCTCTCAAAGGTATCACCTCTTAATACTGTGGATAGCAGTTAAATGTCAACACGTGTTTTGGAGGGGACAAACATTGAAACCATAGCACTGACTTTCAATAAACATATGTAATATGTTCAGAGTGGAACTCATTATTCATTCAGATCCCTGAGTTCACCAGTAGCAGATCTCTGTTACTCCATTCTCACATACAATGGAGTGCTTGCAGTCACTCAAACACAGGTTTCTTTATTTTATTTTATTTTATTTTATTTTATTTTAAATGGAGTTTTGCTCTTGTTGCCCAGGCTGGAGTGCAGTGGTGCGATCTCAGCTCACTGCAATCTCCACCTCCAGGCTTCAACCAATTCTCCTGCCTGAGCCTCCTGCGTAGCTGGGATTATGGGCGTGTGCCACCACACCCAGCTAATTTTGTATTTCTAGTAGAGATGGGGTTTCAACAAGTTGGTCAGGCTGGTCTCGAACTCCCGACCTCAGGTGATCCACCCACCTTGGCCTCTCAAAATGCTGGGATTGCAGGCATGAGGTACTGTGCCTGGCCCACATGGGGGTTATTGTTGTTGTTTTTTGGCGGGTTTCATGTTTGTTCATTTATTTTTGCCTTCTTGATTTTACTTGACTTTCTTGTTTTCTAAAATGATCACCTCCCTTCAGTCTCTGCTTGTCAAAATGCTACCTATCTTACTAGTATGTGACCAAGGACCAGTCATTACATTTCTCTGAATCTTAGTTTGTGGAAGGAGGATACCCAACTAAGATATGGTAGACTCTCTCCCTCTCTCTCTCTCTCTCTCTCTCTCTCTCTCTCTCTCTATATATATATATATATATATATATATATATATATTCACATATATTCTTCAAATATATACAAGCTTCACTCATATATATATATGTGTGTGTGTATATATATATATATATATCTATATACCTCATTTTTAAAAACTACTATTACTATTTTATGACTATACCTTAATTTACTTAGGCAGTGCAGTTGATGGAAATTTCATATACAATAATTCAGAAAGATCTTAGTTTCATGAATCTCTATTCACTGAGCAAGTTGCCTGCTTTCCTCCTTTCAGACTTGGGGTTTAAATACTGTGTCTAATGTCATTTAGTGGTTCAGTGGGGGCACATGCCCAGATATGCTCCATCAATAGCTTAGTCCAGTCTCTCAGTTATGACATCTTTTTCTGGTGGCAAACATTCTCTAAGATTCTATTGGCAGTAGCTACCTCAGATAGGAAATACCAAGTTCTTAGGCTTAGTTAAAAAAAGTTACTTGTTCATTAATAGACTCGGCCGTGGTATAGGATTCATATAGACTATACCCCTTGCTTTGCCTAGGTAAATGGTTATTTATTTTCCTTTCTTTTTTTTTTCGAGATGGAGTCTCACTCTGTCACCCAGGCGGGAGTGCAGTGGTGCAATTGTGGCTCACTGCAAGCTCCGCCTCCCGGGTTCACGCCATTCTCCTGCCTCAGCCTCCCAAGTAGCTGGGACTACAGGTGCCCGCCACCACGCCCGGCTAATTTTTTGTATTTTTAGTAAAGATGGGGTTTCTCCATGTTAGCCAGGATTGTCTCGATCTCCTGGCCTCGTGATCCGCCTGCCTTGGCCTCCCAAAGTGCTGGGATTACAGGCGTGAGCCACCGCGCCCGGCCGGTAAATGGTTATTTCTTAATTTTCCATGCTCCTTATGGTAACTTCAACACTGCTTCTTTATATATCTAATTTGAAGCCCAATCTTTTTATCCAATTTCCATTTGGATCATTCATAGCCTTTTTCTCTCCTGCATCCCCCACCAACCAACCTGCATTTCTTCTTTGATGTGTTACATAACTTCTTGGAGTATATACCAACCTCATTGAAAAAAGTAAATATTCAGCTCAGAAAAAAAGTGTTAAGAAAATAAAAAAAGCCAGAGTGTGCAAAGATTAGTGACTATTAACTGTTGCATGTTGAGATTCTAGGGAAGAAGACTCTGAGATGGGATTTGGCATGCAAGAGGTTTATTAAGGAGTACCCTTGGGATCAACATTTGTGAATGGGGTGGGAAGGAATGGCAAGAAGGAGAAGATAAGCTGTGATGCAGAACCAACCACAGCCTCAGCCAACCTCTCAGCCAGCTCTGGATCTAGACTGGTCCTTCAGAGTTGTCCCATATTAGGCTGAGGGAGCTAGACCTTCATCCTCCCCCACTGGTCAGTCATTGGATGTGGGCTGTTTCTGGAAGGCAAAGTGTCTCTCTGCCACAGAGACAATCCCCGAATGGGTCACTAATTGAAAGCTCTCTGCTGCCAACACTCCCAGAAGCTGGGGCAAACCCTTTGTTGCAGGGTCATCTAGGTGGTGCCTCACAATGTCCACCACTGAGAACAGGACAGGGCATTGGTGACTGTAGTCCAACCCTTTCTTATAAGTGCAGGGAGAAAAAGACAATTCCATTGGTTCCAGGGTTCTATTCTCTCCCTGCCATTCTACATGTGTTGGAAACAGTGGTTTTAAAGGTCCTAATGTATTTTTCTTCCTTTTCATTATCCTTTAGGATTTTGATACAGCCTTTGCTTGCTTCTGCTTTTGATGTCCTTGGCATAATCTTTTAAGGAAATGTCCTCTTTATTTAAAATTTTTGCTGCTATGACAATCAGTGTATCCTCTGCATTATAATTGCTCTAAATATGTTCTAAGCATTCCTTTCTCTCTAGTTCTGAGGGGATAATATGCTTCCAAATATGAGTTTGTTTAATAAAATTTGGGCTTCTCTGTGTGGCACGCTGCCGCTGAGCATATAATTGCTTTTTCTTTTCTTTGAAGAAGCTACTGTTAGAGGGAGCTACCCCCACTTCTTTTTTCATCCCAGAGATCGTTTCCATACAGCCCACTCAATATTGCCTGGCAGCATGGGGTACAAGAATAGCAAGGAGAATTGAAACCCACAGAAGAGCTGCAGCCTCCTCCCTTTGTGTACTTGTGAGCTGAGCTGCTAACAAGTGGTAGAATCGATTCATTTGAATTTCAACTTCCTTCATTTCCTCTGTCTTCCCTCTGGTGCTGGTGATAATGAGCAATGAAAATGACCCAGGACTGAGGAGACAGATGGAATGGGAAGAGTATCAAGGGTTGAGATAATCCATAGTTTGAATAAGAATTAGCCTTGGCTCCTCTGCCTCCTGCAGCTTTATCTCATCCCACAGCAGCCACTGGACAGAACCACCAAACAAGGAGATGCTTCACAAGTAGCCTCTGGGAAGACTTTTGTCAGATTCCTCCTTGCTTTGGTGACATAAAGACACCTCATTGAAGCTTCCATCTTGGTTACATCAGAAGGAGGCTCAGGTATCCCTGGTGCACATGGGAGGACATAACATGGAAGTTTTATAATAACAGATTAATAGAAAAGGGACGAACCTATAAAGATATATCCAGATGTGAACCCATGAATTACGTTGAGTAAAAAATAATTAAAATACATCCACAGCTCTTTCTAAATATCTAGGCATCCATATTTTTCTGGTCAGCAGAAAAGAATGTTCCCTTACAGAGAAGAGCAGGCACACATTTTAAATAAAGAACCGCAGAAAGAATAATATTTGCTACTGCTTTGTGCCAAGGTTGAAAGTTCGACTTGGTCAGGGAATATTTGCCAGCACCAATAAAAAATAATGACTGTTCCCATCTGTATTAGCCTATTCCTAGATTTCTATAAAAAATACCTGAGACTGGGTCATTTATAACGAAAAGAAGTTTAATTTGCTCATGGTTCTTTAGGCTGTACAGGAAGCATGATGCTGGCATCTGCTCAGCTTCTGGGGAGGCCTCAGGAAACTTTCAATCATGGCACAAAGCAAAGGGGAATCAGGCATATCTTACATGGCCAGAGCAGGAAGAAGGAGAGGGAGATGCCACACACTTTTCAACAACCAGATCTCATGAGAACTCATCATCATGAGAACAGCACCAAGGGGATGGTGCTAAACCATTCACGAAAGATCCTCCCCCGTGTTCCAATCACCTCCCACCAGGCCCCACCTCCAACATTGAGGATTACAATTGAAAATGAGATTTGAGTGGGGACACAGATCCAGATCATATCACCATCTCACCCCCATAATCCCTGGCTAGAGTACAGTTTTTAACCACTTTGATTTGTGGCTGTAGAATGGCAAGCACAGCATTTCCACAAATAATTGTTGGTCACTTGTAAACAGATGTGCCTAGATTCCCAAACAGATAAGAATCTACTACCTGCAAAGGAGAAGAATCAGCTTTTAACGTCACCAAGGCCTCAGTTATCCCATAATAGGATGAGTGCCACTTTCCACAGGTGGAGAGACCTCAGTGTCTGCAGACCTGCGATGTTTCCTAGACTCCAGGGAGTTCCAGCAGCTGAGCATGAGGAGCCCTTATAGACTCTCAGACACTCCATCTCCCTAAGGGTTGAAAATGATGTCTTTTCTTCTAAGTTGGAGACAAAGTAGAGGAAAAGAGAGAAATGCTGGTACATTTAAAGTGAAAAATTTACTTAGTACACATTCAGTCTCTCCCTGACTCTCACTCTTTGTAAATATTTTACCCTCATGTTTTGATTAGGTGTTTCTCAAACTTGTAGGCCAGGCTAGCATCACAGGTTCAGTAACAGTGCATCTGGGACACCAGGACCAGTCCTGACAGGTTAAACAATGGTGACCTCCTCACAGAATCTGACCTCCTTCTGACAGTGGCCATCCCTGGGTGGCTTTCCCGGAGAACAGAGGTGTCATCCTCTTCATCTTTCCAGATTTTAGTTTTCATGAATTAAATACTGTTGTTTCCATTTCCCCAATGTGAGAAGCTTCCTCCTTTTGTTTTGAACCTGATTGTGCAAGGAGGAGCCGGTAATTAGTGGCTCACCCTCTCTCCTGCTCTTTCTCCATTTCCATATGGACTTCCATAAAGAGGTGGCAAAATCTGCATTGTTAAGGGTAGAGTGGCCCACCCCCAGGACTTTTAGGTTCTTGAGAGGCTCCCATCATCTTTTAGCCATCCAGATCTTCATTGAGCAAACATATTCTGAGCACAGACTATATTATTTGCTCCAAGGCAGCTCTGCGGATGCCCACAGCTGTAACAGTCAGATGGTCCGCAGGCCCCCCAACACATGGGTGTCTTGCTCTGCTCTGTCCAGTCCTCCCATCTGTGACTTTTGGTGTTGGTGAATTGGAAAGACGAAGAGGAGGAAATGCTCAGGGTGGATTGTGCCTCTGCTTAGACTGAATGTTACTAAATCAGGGAATTGAGGAGACCCCACCTGGTTCCCCACCACCTTCTTCCTCTTACATGCTGTGACTCTGCACAAAGCAAAAGCCATAGGCATGGTAAAAATGTAAAACATGGGTGTACCTGACCAAAAACAGGTTTGTTGAGCTGAATATGGGTAAAAATTGGTTTGATGTGGTAGCAATTTGGTCATGATTCTTGAAACTACCTCAGAGGCCATAAAATTTGTGACTTCATGTTAATATGATGATGTCTATTTTTAAAAGATTGTGCACGTATCTAAAGAAGGCTAGATGAAGATTTACATTATCTTGTTCTGGAAATGGCTGTCTCTCCTCTGCTTGACTTTCTTAGTTTTGCCTGCATGGATTCTACTGTCTTTACTTATCTTACCTGCCATTTGGTTCACCAAGAGAGAATAAATGCGAGGTTGGAGAATGCCAATCTGGTTTTATTTAAATGGGTGTGTTATGTCTGAGCAAGGAGACAGGGGAAGTCTTACTGCATCGTGCAGACAATTAAATGGGTTTGGAAAGTTTTATGTGGTTCATTGTTGACAAAAGCTAAGTCCCTAGGTAGCTGTTAATTTTTCCGGGTGCTTCCCAGAGGAAAATCAACTCAGAGCAACATTATTCTCTGTGGAACTTCGACTAACTGCACAGTATAGAAAAGATGGGTGGTAATCTCAGTTCTGATTTTCTTTTTTGTTCTTGGGGGTTTCCTTACTATGTAAGGAAGATTTCTCTTGGTTGGAAAAAATCTATATCTAACTGAGAAGATAAACTATTCATGTGATAACAGAGAGGCAAGAACATTTCTGGACCATATCCAAATAATTGGTTTAAAAGGGTTGCCTAGTTATGTATTGGCATAATTAGGTAAACAGGAGGCAGCCTATATGATTATCTTACTGTTAGAATTACATTGCCATTGATACTATTTAGGCAACATTTTGTATGACTTCATTGTTCTACAAATATTAGTTGATTGGCTTTTCCATTCTGTCATTTTCTTTAGGGAACAAGGACTTAAGCTTTTATATACTTACATATATATATATGTGTGTATATATGTATATATGTACATACATATATATATGTATATGTGTGTGTGTATATGTGTGTGTGTGTGTATATATATATATATATATATATATATATGAGACAGGATAAATCAAATGAGGAAAACTTTGACCTTACATGATCTCCCGTGTGATCATTCAGAAGATGAAATTTGAAAATTTACATTAGGATGCTTAAGAGAATGAAGAATCTAAATCTGAAATCAAGGACAAATTATATGAAGGTTAGGGATGATTTATACACTACTTGACTTCTACCAACAAATTGGAGGGGTAGTTATTCCATTTGATTTGATGGACAGTGGTTCTGGAAAAGAAAAATGATGAGATTCACAAGAGCAACTTTGTTTTGAAATGATTCTTGAAAATTTGGCTCTCTATTTCATGCTTCATGGGTGTAAGCTGTCTCAACTCCAAGCTGCTTACCCACCTCACTGACTCTGTAACCAGATTTTTGACTTCCTGATTAGGAAATAAAAACGGGAAGGAAGGATAAGTATTGTGTGAAAATAACTTCTCCATCCATTTCTAATTGAAATCAGCATCCAGGTGTCAGTCTTAGGTCATTAGTCTGGATAGTTCAGTGAGAATTTGCATGATGCCTCAGTTCTGGACAAGGATTGTTGGGGGACCAATGGTCAAAATGAAATGGGGGAGAGCACTCTCTTGATAGCCTACTCTTCAGTCGTGGATAATGGACAGTGGGCTCCATTTGATGGAAGCCTTTTGCAGACATAATATTGGGTGAGAACCTTATACTATCCACATGCTGGCAATATTCCTGAATTAACAGAATGTTATTTATGTCAGTTCTGTTTCATCAGAATTGCCAAGACATGTCATTTAAATTCTTCACTGAATCTCTAGAATTTTTGCTTCGTTTGTAGTTGTCTCTTTGATGTTTGTCTTCGTGTTTGCAAAAGAGCTTCTGAGAGCTGCAGAGAATCAACAGGCACTAGGATGGCTATCCACACATGTCCACTAAGATGACTATATGCCACACAGGCTCTATTTCCAAGAGTATGCTTAAAACAAAAATCACTCAACAAAGAGAAATAGCTAATATTTATTTTGTACTTATTCTGCCAGGTATCATTCTATTTTGCCTAAATAATATCACTTAGTCCTTTCTACCAATAGAAGAAATAAGTACTGCGGTTACACTCGTTTTACAGGTGGAGAAACTGAGTAAGGCAAGGTTAATATGGAAACTTGGGTTTAGACTCAGATAGTCTGACTTCTGAGTCCCTGGTCTTAACCCCTGGACTATACTAATACAGCACTAATTCCACACCAGGAACTGTGCTAGACACCAGGGATATGTGAGCAAACAATATTTAAATTTATTATTCAGATTACACCTTAGACGTGCATGGATATCTTTCATCTGTGTATCAGTTTTTCTCAGCTGCTTGAAAGTTACCATAACAACTTAGAACATTATTGACTGTCATGGTCAGCAAATAGAATTAAATAATTTGGTATCTAATGACAATGGAACTGCATTGTCCTTCAGCATTGAGCAATTACAAAATTTTAAAATGAGGTTTCTATTATACTTTTATTAAAAAGCATACTGTTCTGTTAGTTGTTAGTGTATATGTGTGAAACAAATATTAATCAGGGTTTGTGATAAAAACATAAATATAAATATATTAACTTATTTAATTGGTAAAATAGCCATGTGTATCAGTTAGCTTTCGCTACATAACAAGTATTTACAAATTCAGTGGCATTTATTATTGCTCACAAATCCGTGAGTAGCTTGGTGGTTCTTCTAGTCTTGGCTCCTTAGCCTATGGTCAGCTGCAGATCAAGTAGTTGGCTCTAATGATCAGGCTGGTTTTCCCATATGTTTGGAGTGTGGCTGGCTCTAGGCTGGGATACCTCAGCTAGAACAACAGGCTTCTCCTTTATATGGTTTCTTAACATCCAGCAGGCTAGCCAGGGCTTGTTCACATGATGGCTGGGCAGGGTTCTAAGATCAAGAGCAGGCCGGGCGCGGTGGCTCACGCCTGTAATCCCAGCACTTTGGGAGGCCGAGACGGGCGGATCACGAGGTCAGGAGATCGAGACCATCCTGGCTAACACGGTGAAACCCCGTCTCTACTAAAAATACAAAAATTAGCCGGGCATGGTGGCGCGTGCCTGTAGTCCCAGCTACACAGGAGGCTGAGGCAGGAGAATGGCGTGAACCCGGGAGGCGGAGCTTGCAGTGAGTCGAGATCGCGCCACTGCACTCCAGCCTGGGCGACAGAGCGAAACTCCGTCTCAAAAAAAAAAAAAAAAAAAAAAAAGATCAAGAGCAGGAACATGCAAGACCTTTTGGAGAAGCCTAGGATCAGAACTGGCATAGTGTCACATCTGCCTCATGAATGTCTCATCTGCCTCAACAGTCCCAATCTAGACTAAAGAATGGGAAAATAGGCTCAACCTGTTAATTTAAGGAGCTTTAAAGTTGCATTGCAAAAGACCATGGATAATACAAGATGAGGAATCATGGAAGTCAGTTTTGGAAGCAATCTATCAAACCATGCGAAATAGATATTATCATGCCCATTTTATAGATGAAAACGTTGAGGTCCAGTGTTAAGCAACATGCCCTAAAAATCACAAAACTAATAAGTTCAAATTACTAGCAGTAACTAGTAACTACTAAGAGGCTGAATGACAAAGTTAGACAAACTTAGGTATGCCTAATTCCAAAGTCCTTTAAAAAATTACTGCTTTATAAGGTTTTCAAAGCCTTTAAGGGTAATAGTATTAAATAATCTTTTCAAAAAGAAAAGTGGTATCTGAAGATGAGGAAATAGCAGAGTATAAAATTGAAACACAATAGTCCATTCATCTTCATTTACTTATAAGTATGTCTAGTTTAAGTCCAGGGACATTTCTTTAATAAAACAAAAAATAACCCTTAGTGATAACTATTGATTATTAATTTTTTCTTCTCTGCCTGCAATAGACATTAGTTGGTGGTGGGTGTTTCTCTATGGTAATATTATGCAACTTGACAGTGATCAAGTGCAACTAGAATCCTCATTTGCAAAACCTGTCACCTCATACTCTTTGAGAATATTTAGGTAAAGTGTGAATGTATTGGTAGTAGTAATTGTAGTAGTAGAGGTAGTATTAAATGTTGTGCATTTCAATCTGAATGTATTAATTTATCAATAGCAATGTTTTATTCTATGGGCGATTTCACTATAAAAATAAGAAGACCTGGGGACGCCTTCAGCAGGGAGCCAAATATATTTGGGACAATCTGGGTTAATAAATACTTTACTGCAACTGTCAGAACCTTTAACAGGCTGATATCCATTGTGAGTCTCAGAAAGAGTGTTTTTCAGACTTATGACTTCATAATATTCATTTGTAGAACGCTCAGACACCTAACTTTCCATAGAACCCCTGGAAAATGTAAATGTGATTCTGATCCCTTTGAAGGTGTATTCAGAGCTAATAATATTTGCCAAGCATCTACCATGAGACAGTCATTATCAGAACCACATCGGAAATCAATGAAATAAGCATTATTCTTAGTTCTAGTTGAGGAAACTGACATGCGGAACAATTAGTTGGCCTGTCCAAGACCTCCTAGCTGGTATCAGAAATGAAAGTTGAACTTGATTTTATCTAGCTTCAGGTTCTGGATGATTTCTGTACATTTTGTTGAGACCAAGAAAGTTTAAACGGTCCAGGGTGGCTCCACTGGTAAGAAGAGGCACTATGTCTCATATACTTTCCTATCTTCTATAGCACTTAACACGGAATAGGTTGTCTATCAATGCCTCCTGGCCAATCTCTTTGTTTGTTGCTTAGTTGTTATTCTGACTGTGCTCATGGTGAAAAATTATGACTATAGAAAATGATATAAGGTAAAAAGTAAAAATTCTCCTTAATATCATCAACCCCCAGAACCGTCCCCTAAAGGTAAAACTATTATCAATTTGTTCTTGTTTTTCCACAACTTTTAAAGCTTTTGCGTGTGTGTGTGTGTGTAGATGCTTCTGTTCTGCCTTACACAGATGGGATTACACATTCAAATTTTTCTCTCAGTGATATGTATTTGACAACTTTTTATCAGAATTTGCAGATTGCTTCATTCATTTTGATGTACCATATTTATTTAATCAATCTCTTTATGACAAATATTTAGATTAATTCTATTATTTTTTAAAAAATACTTCAGCTGGGCATGGTGGCTCACGCCTGTAATCCCAGCACTTTGGGGGGCCGAGGCGGGGGGACCACGAGGTCAGGAGATCGAGACCATCCTGGCTAACACGGTGAAACCCAGTCTCTACTAAAAATACAAAAAATTAGCCGGGCATTGTGGTGAGCGCCTGTAGTCCCAGCTACTTGGGAGGCCGAGGCAGGAGAATGGCGTGAAACCGGGAGGCGGAGCTTGCAGTGAGCTGAGATCGCGCCACTGCAGTCCAGCCTGGGCGACAGAGCCAGACAACATCTCAAACAAACAAACAAACAAAAAAACTTCTTGATTTTTCTTTTTTGCTGTAACAGACAGTTTGAAAAAAACAGGTTTATATACATGTGTTTGCACAGTTACGTTTTTAATAGAAAACACATAAAGGGCATTATTTTTCCCCAATGTCTCTTCTTAGGAAACATAGTGGACCATTTCTAAGAAATGTTATAGAATCTGTAGATAAACATGTGTGTTTAAATATATATTTTTGACCAAAAAGTAGGACCCTGACTTTCTGGTCTGCTCTGTTCTAACAAGGGAGCAAAAGGACTGAGACAATGGTTCTCATCAGATGCCTATATGTCCAAAATCCACAATGGCTAAAACCAGGAGAGGGCATTTCGGCCTCCTCAGGCTGTTACCTTCCCATGGAACAGCTCTGCACAGTTTAACTTTGATGCCAAGAACACAGATGTAACCAAACCTTTCTCATTTTAAAGGTATTCCCATTTTGTTATCAGCTGGCTCGTTCAATGATGTAGACCAGGAATGGAATAATTTTATTTCACATTATTTATGATAGCAAATCATGGGAGACAACCTAAATATCTAACAAAAGAATAATGTGTAAATAGATCTAACATATAACCCCATTCACTGAGGTACTATGCAGGCATTAAAATGATGAAAGTCATGACAATTTACAACCCTGAAAAAGAAACACAAAATTGTTACCTATGCTAACATGGCAATTGTAAAATGATGCGTGTGTACACATATAAGGCCTGGAAGAACAAAATATTTGATGTGTTACATGTATGAATTATGCATTTTTTTATTTTTTAAAGTTCAAATGTTTTTTAGCGCTATTTGTAAAATTTTAAATTAATAGCCTACAGGGGCTAATCTCTGTGGATGTCTAGGAAGACTATGATCTGTGCATGGAGGTTTGTTGTAGTCTCAGGGCTTGACATTTTCTTTTAAAATGGCATTCTGTAAATTTGATCAGACTCTCCCCTAACTCTTCAGAATGCTGTTTGTAAGTGAGGTTACTACATGTTCCATTTTGCGTAGGACTGTTCCTTCTTGAACCTGTTGTCCCAGCACAGTTGTCACTAGCTTTGCTTTTCACTGTTAGACTTGTCTTTGTTTGTACAATAAATTCTGTGGGCCCCTCACTGTGAGGGACATACTAACTATCCTGTTCCACCACATTTCTATCTCATCCTGGTTTTATCCTGACCTCTAGTAAACATCATCCCTAGATCATAATTTAACTTTCTATGGCTTAGAAAGTCTTGTACACCTCAATGATTTCACTGTATGCAAAAGACCAAAGAAGAATGTATCTGCATCATCAGTGAAATCTTAAAGACATTGTCCATTATGTTGTTTGGCAGCTCTTTCCTAGGATTTTTTGAAAATGATAAAATTTGAAAAAATTTTATCTCTGCTAATAACTAATTGTTTTGACTGTTTTAGATAATAACCATTTTGTAATCTGATGTTTTTGTTTTCTGTCTTTAGCTGCCAGGAAACTCAGAGTTAAGCCAGGTACTTAGTTGCAGCAAAAACTCTTAACTCACATAATGGGGAGTCAGATAGAATTGACTTCAAGTTCTATTCTCCATTTACTACTCTATTAGTTTCCTATAGCTTCTGTAGCAAATTGCCACAATCTTGGTGGCTAAAAATAACACACATCTATTTTCTTATAGTTCTGGAGGTAGAGTCTGAAATCAGTTTCAATGGACAAAAAATCAATTTTGGGGGTATGGCCACACTAACTCCAAAGACTATAAAGGACAATCCATTGCTTGCAACTTTTAGCTTCTGGTAGCTTGTCAGCACTTCTTGACTTGTGGCTATATCACTTCAATCCTTACCTTAGTTGTTACATTGCCTTTTCTTCTGTGTTAGATCTCCCTCTGTATCCTTCTTATAAGAGCACTCAAAATTACATTTAGGGCTCATCCAGATAATCCAAGATAATCTTTCCATCTCAAGATCCTTAATTTAATCTCATCTGCAAAGATTCTTTTTCCATACAAGGTAACATTCACAGGTTCCAGAGATCAGGACCTAAATATTTTTAGACCATTTTTGGCTTATCATAATCTATCCTCTGATTCCGAAAGATTTACATCCATCCTCCATGCAAAATATATTAATCATATTCAAACATCCCCCAAAATTCTCAATTCATTACAGCATCAACTCAGAGTACAAAATCTCATCTAAATATCACCCCAAAACCCTCACATTTTAGCATTTAAATCAGATGTGCAAAGACTCTAGGTATAAGCATCTTGGGAGCAAAATTTCTTTCTATTTTTAAAGTACAGCTTTTGGCCCTGTGCCTTGTACATAGAAGGTGCCCACAAAATGTTAGCCACCATCAGAATTATGCTCTTCATACTCTTCCCTCATTATATGGTTCATTTTCTTTACCATTCTATGATTCTGATTTACCTATGTCTCTGAACGTGGATCCCTCTTGGAATAACATGAAAAAGTTGATAAAATGAAATCATTGACTCTTTAGAAACATTGTCATAGCAGAGAGAAGACAAGGTGTAAGATGGTGAAGGCTCCACATTGTCATAGCAGACATCAGTGTAAGATGATGATGATAGTGGTGGTGGTGGTGGTGGTGGCAGTAGTACTAGGAGTGGTAGTAGCAGTAACTCTGACTGAGAGTTTATCTTGTAAAAGCAGATATTCTAAATGTGTTACATGTGTTATCTCATTTAATCCTCATCTCACCCTTGTGAGGTGGAACTTTTATTACCCTCATGTTCAGATGAGAAAACTAGGATAGAGAAATTATGCAATGAGTTAGTGGCCAAGCTGTGATCTCCATATTGGCCAATTAAAACCAAGTGCACCTTGCACATGTCTCATAGGGCAGTGAAATGGAGTCCTGGAGTTCATGAGATGCAATTGCAGAGAATCACTGCTCATTTCACCTTGGGTTTCCATTTTGTATCACTCTGAGGGGATAAGCCTTACTCTATCTAGGATTCCTAAGACTTTTTTGCATCACCAAAAAAGGACTTATCTTCCCCTCGAAGATTTTTGTTAAGATGTAGAATCTCCCCTACCCCAAATTTTTACTTGAAAAATTTGAAACTTTCAGACAAGTTGAAAAATTGGTACAATGAACACATATATCCATCACCATCCCTTTAAAATTGTTAAATTTTTCCCATCACTGTTTCTCACAATATATAGGCAGATATATTTCGTTTTTGCTGAATAATTTGACAGCTGCGGTTGTCAAGACACTTTACCCCAAAATACTTCAGTATGTTCCTCTTAAGAACAACTACCTCCATTCTACTCATATCAGCATAAATTTTAAGAAACGTAAATTTGATGCAATAATACCTTACATACAGTATACATTCAAATTTCCCCCAGTTGTTCCAATAATGTCCCTTTCTAGCATTTTCTTTAAATCCAGAAGTTGATCTCTTGCGTTGTTTTCAGTTGTGACATCTCTTTTCTTTATCTAGAACAGTTCTAAAGCCTGTGTTTTATTGTTATTTTGTTTTGTTTATTTTTTATTTTTGTTTTTTGTTTTTCTTCAGTGAAATTTCAAAAACTCCAGATTAGTAAAATACCTCAAGTTGTGAATTGGTCTGATGCTTTCCTCTTGATTAGATTCGGGTTAAATATGTATTGGCATGAATACTGTATGTGATGTGAGAATCATTTCCTAATTAGTTATACTTAAGAAATGTGAAACCCTCAAGACAGAATGATCTTATATTTTAGGAAAATAATTAAATTTTAAACCTAATCATCTTTGAATGGTCATTGACAGTTTTTGAAGCACATTTCACACATATTTTATTGTCTCCTTGTAACTGTGAGACCAATGAGGTGGATATTATTGATCATAGTCCTAGGGCAACTAAGGGATGGAAGTATGTGTGTTGTGCTAAATTCCTGAAATTCATTACTTGGGAAGCTGAGTTTTGAATCCAGTTTCTGAGTCTTCATTTTGGATCTCAATCCTGTGTTTTTCCCACCAACCCAGTGAATATTATTACAGCATCTTGTGTAAGAAGGATAAAGCAGGGTTAAGCAGGATATGTTTTTAAAAAAATTGTGACACTCATCCTACTCAGAAGTACAACTGAATTCACCATAAGTAAGGGCTTTCTAAAGGAAGCTTTCAAGTTATCCTGGACTCTGGTGAATCTTGAGAGCCTACATTTATGTAGATTAGATGTTAAAAGTTTGCAAAGCTCTCACGTTGTAAATGTCATAAGCATTTGCTGTGAAATAATAGTAGAGAAGCAGAAAGAAACCAAGATGGATAGATTCCCACTCAGTCTCCCTATAAACTTGCAACATGTTGCATAATAAATATGGATGTAGCAGAGACATCGTGGTATCTTTATGCTGTGCTCAGTATCCACAGAGGGATAAATGCTGGGTTCATAAAAAGTGGGTTTCAAAAATGTATTTGTTTGTTTTTCCAGTGGATTCATTGGTAGGAAGAACTTCTAAACCCACTCTGAAGATCCATAAGCACTAGATCTTGTAGGAAGGAGTTAATGTATTCAGAAGAGTCAGTTCTTTCCCAATATATTGAGGGTTTGCTTGAGGATTTATCTTGTGAAATAGATTTCAAAAGTGGAAAAGTAGTGCCTTAACTGACTGAGATCTAGAACAAATGGATTTCATGTGATTTTGATAAAAGTTTTATATCAGAGTGGCCTTTAAGAAATTCTAACAGGAAAAGGGGTTGTCTCCCTCTTTGATTTTCCCAAATTTGGCAGGAAGAGGTCAACAGAGGGCTGGTGAGGCATTTGAAACTCAGCATTTGTGTTTACAGACATTCATATAAAAAGTGGCCAGGAAAAGAGATATAGAAACCAATGCATGTTAAATGAGACCTGTTCTGGGGGATATCTGAGATGCAGGTCCTTTCCTGCTGCTAACCAGCTGTATGGCTTTGAGGAGTCTCCATTTTATGAGTTCCTCTACTGTATTAACATAGAGACTAATAATGTCCACTATGTGTAATTGACAGTGCTGTTTAGAGATAATCAAATGAAAGCATGCATGTGAACTTGCCCCACAAGCTTCTAAAGTAGTTCACGAATGTAAGGCAAATGGATAATTTTAGAGCTTTTGACTTGGAAGTATACTTCCCTTAATTTAAAAATCCATCTTGGTCCTTGTTTCCTATCTTAGTGGGACCAGTTAGGAAGGAAAAAAATTAGAGTTTAGCTGTAAAATGGTGTATGGTGCCATGTTTGATCACACATGCTCTGGAAACCAAAGGACTTCAGTTAAGTTCTTGCCTCTGTCATTTAGCTGTAGTTACCATAAATGGGTTATATAACCTCTTTAAGCCTCAATTTGTTCATCCGTACAAGGGTTGCAATTACTACCTTTTAGGGGCTTTGTGAGAATTGTGGTGAGGTGATACATGTGTAACCAGTATAAAATGAAACTTTCCTTCTTGCCTCTACTGTTCCTTTAATTTCTATCCTCTTGATCATTCTCTTCTAGTCCCTGAATGCAAACATTAGTAAGCCCCACAATGTTGTACTTACTCCTAGATAATAGATTGTCCTAATATTATTTTAAGTCACAAACTCAGTTAATTTAAACCAAAATAAAAATTAATCATGATCATTTAAATGTATAGTTTAAGAGATTAACAAAAACCCTGAATTTCATTTAATATTTAACTGTTCTCCCCTTCCCTTTGTTTCAGGCTCAAAGGGAAAGAGGATTTAGTAAGTGGCTTGATTTCTCTTCTCTGCCTTCCATTCCACTCCACCCCCAGGTGAGCATAACTGGGTGGCAGCTGCTCAGGAGGTAGAATTAATAGGATGAGAGGATTCAGGTCTCTCTCTCCTGAGACTTTCATACCCTCCCCCCATGTGGCTCCCCTGACTCTGATAGTGGATTCGTTTCAGATGGCCACTTGCTCGAAATCTAAGCATCTACCCTACAGTTTTGTGTTGCTGGAGTCCCTCTGTTCTATGAAGGAATTCTGTGGGACAGTGAAATAAGACTCAAGATGCTCGCTCCTTGAAAATCTCTTCCCCTCTAGTGACCGCATTTGACCTATAGGAAATAGTTTCCCATCCCTTATTGACAAACTCTGGGAGTGTAGGCTCACCCCAACATCGAAACATCACCCAACTCCATCTCCAGACAACAGGTTAACCCGGTTCTCTTTCCAAGACACTCTGCCTCCCAACTCCAGGGGTCATGTACTAAACTTTCTCCTTTCCTTGGGAAGGTGACATGATAGGTACCTCTTGACTGTTTTACTTTCAAAGTGGGCAAGGACACATTGACTCACAGAACATGTGTCAGCCAAGCTTTATATGGTAACTTAACCCCTTAATTCCAAAAAAAGTTATATGGTAACTAACTTTTTAACTCTACATTCATTTAACCAAGAACCTTGTCAGAATTTCAGTTTTACCATCCTGCTAGATGAATTCATCACTTAACAAATACCTGATGTGTAATAAATGCCAAGCAAATGATAGCTGTGTTATAATGAAATGAGAATGGATTATAATTCATTTCAATAAATAAATGTTTATTAAATTCTTACCATGGGCAATGTGAGAATGTAAAATGGGTAAAACAGTGACCCTGCCTGTTGGAACCTCATGGTCTAGCAGTAGAGAAGGTAAAGTGATGTATTTAATATGAAGTAGAAAACAGTAAATAATATAGTAAAGGCTGGAATATTAGAGAAAGGAGAGTTTGGAGATTGCAAGAGTTCCTTGCCTTAAACAGTTCTGGATCTGCTACCAGATTATTCTCTTTTTAAATGAAAATATTCTCTGTTCCTCATGCATCTGTCTGCCTTGTCAGTTCATATCCTTGACTAAAGGATCACAGCTGTTGTTATTAATGAGCCACCTAAATGGCTCATGGGCCAGAACTTTATAATTGGATTTTAAATCAGGAAAGCTATTCTACAGTGTAGAGATCTTCAGCTGGATTGGTTTCTGATAAATCTCATATTTGTGGAACGAAGTGCCATTCATCATCAGTTTTCTCCTCATTGAGCTGTTTGTTGAATTCATGTTTCTATGTCTGTGTAAGAAAACATGGTGGGAGATACAACTGTAAAAGGAGATTGTTATGAACCATCGGGAGTCATTAGTGCTTTTTTGACCTGCAGGATGATGTGGTTAAGAGTGTTACTTTAACTTGACATTAGAAGGATGGAAGCACAGAGACTGGACACCAACAATTCAGGAAGGAGGCTTTTGCTCTTTCAGAACAGGATGTTGGAGATCTGAATTAGGAAAGAGGCCATGAGAATGCAAAGCAAGGGACACGTAGAATGGAGAACAGAAAAAAACTTCAAGAAATCGGGAGGGAAGACAGGGTGGTCTACAGTGGAGGCGGGAGTCATTGGGTAAAGCTGAGGGTAAAATTATGATTTTACTTTTGGGTATGCAAAGTTGAGGCCCTGATGAACTCTTCCTGTAGTAGATGGTTGAGAATGGAAATGGAGAACTAAAGTCCATGGCAGAACTCAGTCCTAAAGATGTGAATGAAGAAGTTATTATCTCCAAACATGATCCCAAAGACCAGCAGTGGAAAAATTACTTATGCAATTTATTCACTTGAATTAGCCCTGTCCCAACTCTCTTTTCCTAGTTATTTTAGTCACAAATACACAGGAATTAGACATATTGATGGTTTATGCAACCCACACTTATTTTATGGATAACCTGATCATATAAATAAATAATATCTAAGCTCTATGATAGTCAATAAGACTAATTTTGGGAATATTGCATTAAAGATATCAAGTACTCAAACTTCAGGTTTTGTGAAAATAAACAAAAACCACCCAAATGAGAATAAGCAAATGCTATTCATTCAGAGCTTCCTACAGCAAAAGAGGCAACCACCATCCCTTGCTTTTGACAGAGAGACTCAAAGGCTGGCAGAGGAGTGTAAAAGCATTATAGTGGGAAAAAAGGAAGACTTCAGGAGAGTTCTGGTTGAAGGCTGTTGACATGGGGAAGCTATAGGTGGGCTAACTACAAGAAGGGCAGCCTACATGATTGGTTAGGGGTGTACATTTCGTGTTCTTTGGTTGGTCCTAAGTTGGAAGCAAGGTCAAAAATTAGAAAAATTATCAGTTAATAATCAGTTCTTGGCTGATTTGGGCTGTTTGCTACAGAGATTGTGGTTTGGTTTCCTGATCTAGTTGCTGCAGATTGTGCGTCAGAGATCTATTTTTGTATATGGTGTGGCCACTGTCCGTTTGTATATTCAGTCTCTCATCATGAAACATGTACTGCTTTTAATAATTCATTGTTCTTTCATTTGCCTTTGCCATCTTGGCCACCATTGTTCAACTCTTTCATGCACTGAATAGTTGCTTTCTGAGGCATTAAATTTAGGTTCATTTTTTGGCTAATCTTAGTCCTTTTGCATTATCTTTTAAATATTTATTGTAAAATAAAATAAAATATACATTTATACCATCAGGAATTAAAACTGTACAAAAGAATATAAAATAAAAAGGCAATTCCTCTTCTCCCCCTGACAGCCCCTCAGTTCCACTACTCACTTGGAGTTAACCATTACTAATAGTTTCTGATATACCCTTTTGGAAGTGATCTATGCATATGTAAACATATTAATTGCATATTTATATTTGCATATTTATCTTCTTTAAAAAAATCTACACAAATGTGATTATATTATAAGTATTTGCTTTTTTTTGAGCTGCTCTTTAGGGTAATCTTTGGACATCTTTATATCATCAACAGCTTATTCTTCAATTTTAAATTTTTGATAGATATTCCCAAATTGCTCGTATGACAAGAGTGCACCATCAATCCTCTTATCAAGTGTTTGAGAATGCTTTGTTCTTAACATGTTTATTGACACTAAATACTATGCCTAATTTTAATCTAGATGATAAGTACTTTAACCTGAATTTATTTTACTGACAGTGAGATCAAGAATCTTTTTATATTGTTTATTTTGTATACATCATATACATTGCTATTTATGTATATTATTTTCCCATCCATTTTTCTTTTCTGCTTTTTTTCTTCTTTTTATTTTTATTTTTTAGAGACAGGGTCTTGCTATGTTGCCCTGTCTGAACTCAAACTTCTGGGCTCAAATAATCCTTGCACCTCAATCTATCTCATAAGTAGCAGGGACTATAGGTGTGTACTGTTGCACCCAGCTCTCCATTTTTTAAATTAGTTTATCATTCTTTTGTAAGGATTTTCTGTGTATTAAAATAATCAACCTTTTGTTTTGTCATTTGTTCTTTGACTTTGCTTATGACCTTAACTTTTTGCCATAGAGAAGTTTTAAATTTTAAATAATTAGATGTATGAGGGTTTTTCCCCGTTGATTTGAATTTTATCTTTTAAATTAAAAGCCCTTCCTGTTTTGCTATCTATTTCCTTTTTAATCAAATTCTGCTGTTTAGTAATAGAGTTGCATAGACTATAATTGGAAGAAACTGGTGTATCTGGTATTTCTCTGTGAGTTGGTACGCTCACTTATCTCAGAAGGGTTAATAAAAGCTTTTGGGTTAGAATCTCTGAATGTTCCTATCATTTAATGATGAAAAGAAAGAAATAAGCAGAAAGACAGTTGTTAATCAGCCACTGAATGGCCTGTCTTCTCAGTGAATGAACACCCTGTTAAATGCACTGGTTTTTTTCTTCTGGAAATGGTATTTGATGGTTGCCACCCAATCCCAGAATTAACTGCTGATGCGCAGTAACCTGGATGGCAAGAAAATATGAGCGAAATATGAGTCTGGATAAAGTAATTCTCCTTTGGGGTGCAGTGCATACTTAAACACCACATCTAGAAATATTACGGCTTCTGCTTGACCCAGACGTAGTTAAAGGGAATGAGTAGATGGGGACAGGGTAGTCCAGTGAGTCGAGATTTGCAGAGGGGGAGTTAGGAGGGAGGAAAGATGCTGTTTAACTTGGTCCGTCCCTTTAATGGGTCTTATTCCCTATCAGAAAGACAGGCAGTATTGCTGTTGCTGTTTTTGCCATTACCAGTGTGACCCCAGGCCCTTCTTTATGTTCTAACCACTCATTCTGAAGTTAGTAGGAAGGCACTCTTCTTGCCCAGCAGCATAGCTTGTTTACTGCTTTGGGTTTGTGTGTAGTTGTGATTCAATCAAAGCAGGAGGGAGTTTTAGGCTTTCAAGCTAAGGGAGTTTTAGGCTTCCAAGCTTTTTAGCCCTGTATTCTGCTGGATGATAACCAATGTCAGAAGAATATCCACCTCTTTTTCTCTGAGGCACATGTCCTCATACCTTCCTTTTCCAACAGCCACTGTTGACCTAGCTAGTAATATAAAGCAATGTCAAACTGATAATCCCTTTGGAAACTATAGAACCAGTATCATAGAGTGGAGAGCAGCTCTTCCATCCTCCCTGGTGAAGATGACCTTGACTTGATACCTTTGGCTTTGCTGTCTACATCCTGGACATCTAAGTCTTTTTGCACTGCTAAAGCAATAGAAATTTATTTCTTACAGTTCTGGAGCCTGCAAAGCTCAACATCAAGGTGCCAGAAGATTTGGTTTCTGGTGAGATCCTGTTTCTTGGCTTATTGATGGCTCTCTTCTCTCTGTTTCTTCACATGGCAGAAGGGATGAGAGAATTCTCTGGGGCCTCTTTTATAAGGGCACGAACTCCATTCATGATGGCTCTGCTTTCATGACCTAATCACTTCTCAAAGGCCCCACCTCCAAATATCCTCACACTGGGGATTAGATTTAGATATAGATATCAGAATATGTGAAGGACCCACATATTCAAACCACAGCAGCATCCCAGGGCTCAGCTCTCTACATCCTGCATCTTTTGTCACTTTATTCTGGCTGGGGGTGATGGCTCTAGAGGCTGAGTCACAGTAGCTCAGCAATATAGCCAAATCCCAGAAAATTTTATTCTCTTTTTATCAAACATAATAGAAAATGAAACAGTTCAAGTCCAACTCCTCTGAAAGCAAGGCGTGCTCTGTATTTGTACTCCTAACAAGCATTACATCCAGTTCACAAGCATTACATCCAGTTCACAGGTAGACCATTTGGGATATGACGGATTCCATCTCAAGAAAGACTGCAATCTGAGTAGAGAACTCAACCTGTGTCCTAAACATTTCTTATATGTGACCATGACCATTGGACTGATCATTCTGGAGAAACCCTGATTATGGAGAAACCCTGATTAAGTATAAAGAAGCCTGCTGAGGAAGAGTTCCATTCTTCTTTCCATCTCCTAGGAGCCTGAACATATATGACTTTTCCAAAGTCCACTATGTTGCCATATAAGACCAGTAGACATTTGATGAGCCAATGTTTATGTTTAAAATATTTATAAAAATAATTGCCATGGAGAAGGAAAAGCGTACCTAGACTCTTCAATATTTTGTTGCTTTATTCATATAACATATTTATTTAGTCCTCACTATATGCGAAGCACTATGCTGGGTGTTGGGAATGTATCCGAGAATAATAATAGTAACTAAAACTATGGCTAAAAAGCATCGAACTTTTACTACCAATTTCGTACTGTGCTAAGCGCAGTGGCTCATACCTGTAATCCTAGCACTTTGGGAGGCGAGGCAGGTAGATCACTTAAGGTCAGGAGTTCAAGACCAGCCTGGCCAACATGGTGAAACCCTGTCTCTACTAAAAATACAGAAAAAAAAAAAAAAAAATAGCTGGGCGTGGTGGTGTGTGCCTATAGTTCCAGATACTCGGGAGGCTGGGGTGGGAGAATTGCTGGAACCTGGCAGGCGGAGATTTGCAGTGAGCCGAGATCACACCACTGCTCTCCAGCCTGGGCAACAGAGCAAGATTCCATCTCAAAAAATAAAAATAAAATAATAAATAAATAAAGCTGATATACAAACTCAGTGTACTTTTTATTTTTTTAATTGCTTACTATTGTCTCTGCAAGAGGCAGAAACAAGCCTCTGCTGTCATGGAGCTTGTACTCTGAATAGAGAACACTTCTTTTCTATGCCAAACTCCTTTAATGAATCCCAAGAGAAATATGAAGTGTCCTCCAGAAAAGGCTTCTCATCTTTCAGCATGTTTTAGGCTGGTTGCATATACTCAATGGATGGAAATCACTTGGCTGATGTGGACTCCCTTTATTTTCTTCAATTACATTAATTAATTTCTTCCATCTCCTGTGTTTTTCTCATGCCCTTTTCCTAGAATTCGTTGCCTTGTCCTTCTACTCCTCTGTCTCCTCTCTTCCCTTCCACACCTGTTTTTTTTTTTCTTTCCCATCTAGATTCCTAGAGTCCCCAAGTACCATGCAATACAGTTTTGAAGGGAAACATGAAAAGGAGGACACTTTCATTGCCAATGAAATGATCTGTTGATGGAGGGCTTAGTAAGCTTAGGGTCTCTCTTTAGCATTCTCTGGTATTTAAGGGACTCGACTCAGTTTTCCAAAAGCACGTCTGCTCCATTCTGCTGTTGCTAATCTCATTTTTTCCATGATTAACAATCCAGATCATTATGTTTTCAGCTCACATTAATCTTCTCTTCTGTGAGTTTGGTAACATTTGGAGTCATTTCCCTTTGTATTTATCCATCTGGGATCTTCATAAAAGACAAGTTTTCAGAAAGTCATTAGTTGCTCATGCAGAAAGTTGTTTGTTGTCCACTGCTGTAAGAGGACTGAATGCTCTTCTTGTTTCTTAGATCCTGGGAGGGAATCTTCTAAGTCAGGCATGGGTTCCCTACAAAATGCAGAGGGACCCCTCACTTGAGCTCCATGGGGTCCTCAACTTGGAACAGTATTCATAGCATAAAAGATAGGGCTGCAACATAACAGCATCAGAAATCACAATAAGCAATACTTGCTGGATACTTATAGAGTAGATGAGACTGGAAGAGAGTGTGTGGATAGTGGAAAGAGTTTTGATATTAATGAGTCAGAACAAAGACTTTGGCTTGAGTCCTGTCTCTACACCTCAATCTGTTTGACCTTGGGTAAGTAACCTCATCTCTCTGGGATCCACTTGTCTCCTTTGTGAACTGGTCCCAAAGATGTGTGCTTTCTTCTCTATATTAAAGGGTAATTTTGAGAGTTAACTTATATTCTTATCTCTGCTGTCGAGTAAGTTTCATAACTTTGTTCATCACTTAATTTTGCAATTTCTGTAGCCCCTGCCAACACTAACAGTATATGTATGCAACATGCAACATATGGAGAGTGAAGTCTATTGGGGAAGTCTTCAAAGACAGTATTTCTTAATTCTCTTGTTATATAAAAAAGTCATGGAGGTGTGTGCCATATTTAAGCATTTATTGGGAAGGGGATATGGTCCTTAGAAAAGAGAGAGAAGATCCTCTGGAAATTCAGTTAAAAGCATCCTCCCAGGTATAATGTACTTTAAAGAGGTCACAAGGAAGGCAACTATCCTGGAGGTTCTTGGTTGTCAGCCTCTAGCAATATTTTGTTGGAATGCATTTATTATTTTCTTAATTCAAGTAAGATGTTTCTTTAGAGACAATATTCCAAATTGGGCATCCATTCAAAAGCCATGACAGATATCCCTGTCTATAGTCATTAACCATGAAATATTGGTATTATTTCTCATTGCTGCCCAAGTGCAGGACTAAATTACATTAATGCATCTGTTATCTCAGAAAGGGTGAGAGACATAATTAAATTTTATTTCTGTAGAATTCGAAGGGGTCCAGGATGTGGAGAGCAGCAGAGAAATAGGGAGTATTTGTTCTCATTCTATCCAACTGAAAACCAGGCAACAGAACTCAGAAATATCTTCATATGTTCACAGTTCTCTCCCCCAGCACCTGGGATTTGAACAGGAGACTCCCATTTCGCAGATAACTCCCAGTGGCATTGATGGAAATTACCTGCATAACTAACCCCCCTGCTCAAGCAGAATGCCAGACACCTGAGAACACCTTTCATTACAATGTACCTCCCTTTGCAAAGGAACTAATTGCATCTGTTTCTCTTTCCTTTAGGTGCCCAAGCAAGGAAAGAAATAATGAAGAGACACATGTGTTAGCTGCAGCCTTTTGAAACACGCAAGAAGGAAATCAATAGTGTGGACAGGGCTGGAACCTTTACCACGCTTGTTGGAGTAGATGAGGAATGGGCTCGTGATTATGCTGACATTCCAGCATGAATCTGGTAGACCTGTGGTTAACCCGTTCCCTCTCCATGTGTCTCCTCCTACAAAGTTTTGTTCTTATGATACTGTGCTTTCATTCTGCCAGTATGTGTCCCAAGGGCTGTCTTTGTTCTTCCTCTGGGGGTTTAAATGTCACCTGTAGCAATGCAAATCTCAAGGAAATACCTAGAGATCTTCCTCCTGAAACAGTCTTACTGTATCTGGACTCCAATCAGATCACATCTATTCCCAATGAAATTTTTAAGGACCTCCATCAACTGAGAGTTCTCAACCTGTCCAAAAATGGCATTGAGTTTATCGATGAGCATGCCTTCAAAGGAGTAGCTGAAACCTTGCAGACTCTGGACTTGTCCGACAATCGGATTCAAAGTGTGCACAAAAATGCCTTCAATAACCTGAAGGCCAGGGCCAGAATTGCCAACAACCCCTGGCACTGCGACTGTACTCTACAGCAAGTTCTGAGGAGCATGGCGTCCAATCATGAGACAGCCCACAACGTGATCTGTAAAACGTCCGTGTTGGATGAACATGCTGGCAGACCATTCCTCAATGCTGCCAACGACGCTGACCTTTGTAACCTCCCTAAAAAAACTACCGATTATGCCATGCTGGTCACCATGTTTGGCTGGTTCACTATGGTGATCTCATATGTGGTATATTATGTGAGGCAAAATCAGGAGGATGCCCGGAGACACCTCGAATACTTGAAATCCCTGCCAAGCAGGCAGAAGAAAGCAGATGAACCTGATGATATTAGCACTGTGGTATAGTGTCCAAACTGACTGTCATTGAGAAAGAAAGAAAGTAGTTTGCGATTGCAGTAGAAATAAGTGGTTTACTTCTCCCATCCATTGTAAACATTTGAAACTTTGTATTTCAGTTTCTTTTGAATTATGCCACTGCTGAACTTTTAACAAACACTACAACATAAATAATTTGAGTTTAGGTGATCCACCCCTTAATTGTACCCCCGATGGTATATTTCTGAGTAAGCTACTATCTGAACATTAGTTAGATCCATCTCACTATTTAATAATGAAATTTATTTTTTTAATTTAAAAGCAAATAAAAGCTTAACTTTGAACCATGGAAAACAGAGTGACTTATTGGTCAAGAAAACAGTATAGTCATTCTACTTGCTCTAAAGAAAAACAGACAACCTTTATGAACTCAAAGAACTATCACAATGAAAAAATGTGTTATTAAGCCCTACTGTACACTGGGGAGCCGTAGCTGAATTACTGGCCGAGTTAAGTGTCTGTCAGACTCTAAAATACTGAGCTTTACTAGGTGGTTATACACAAGTGTGGCATCCTTCAGAGGCTTAAGTCAGGATGCCTTTTGGCATTTACTCTTCAAAAATAGATATAATTAGCTATTGAATCCAAATACTTACTTATTGTACCTTTGCTCTATGCTGGACAAAATGGAAAAGAAAAAGACAGCACATAGCCTGTACTCAAGATTACTTTCTGGTGGACTGAGGTGTGTGTGACAAATACAGAAATGGTTATGCTAGGGAGGAAGGTCCTCGTAATCATGTAGCATCAACAGGGTGCAAGCACTGTGAGAGGCATTTTTATGCTATTATTGTGTCCTGTAAACTCTCACAACAAGAGAAGAAAGTGACAGCTGCTCTATTTACATAGGAAAAAACTTCAAGTAAGAGAGCTTCATTGAGTTGCCAGGTAGAAAGTATTAGAACTTCTTAAATTTGAATCAGATCTTTCTGTCTCCAAAGAAAGGTCTTCACATTATGTTCCTACTGAGTTGGTTTATAGTTATAATTTTCTGTTAAAAAAAGCACCTAGGTTAAGTACACAGTTCTGAGTTTTAAAATATATATACTCCTGGCATCTGTCATACAATCAAGATATTGTGTCCTTGTCATTGGCCAGAGATAGATAGGAGAAAGCACATTTGGTTCTTAAGAGTAGGGAATTGTGTGGAAGTTATTGGTTTTAAGGTACCATTACAGATAATCTTTAAAACTTGGGTGGGATCTCATAAGGTGATGATGTAGACAAGGAAGATAGAAGAAGCAGAGGGATACCATATAGGGAGGTGTTTGGGATGAAGGAGTCCATGCAAAGAAGTGAGAAACAAGGCTGGAACTATATAGTAGAGATCTCAGTTCCAGACTAAGGAATAATAGAACTGATGGCATTTATGGAACACTTACTATGCACCAAGTACTTTCTTTGGAGTATCTTAATGAGTCCTTACAAACTCCCCTATGAGACAGTCTTTTGTGAATGAGAATCAGAGACACAGGAGTTAAGTAATTAATACAGAGTTTGTAAGCATAGCAGGCATTGAAACCCAGTCTGTCAACTCCAGAACCTATGAACATTTTATCCACTGTGCTGCCTTATGGTCATCAACTTTACTACCTAAAGTTGCTGATTCCTCAGACCTAGAGTTTTGCAGCCTCCTACATGATGGTTTTATTTTTCAAATAGCACAAAAATAGCCCTTTGTGAGATTTATGTAGGTAAGAGGGAACCTCTGCCCTTTTGAGACACTTAGCCTTCTCCAACCCAAGTTAGGGTATCTTTGGGCCTAATATTTCTGCTCTCGGAAAGCCCTAGAGGTCCTAGGCAGCAATAGTCTCTTTAAATGTTTATTTATTGCAAGGGACAATCAGGGTCAGCTAATCCAGGACCTGTGGCGAGGCATGCAGAGCACTGTGGCCAGGCTCTGCTCATGGTACACACACCCCAGGGCCATGGGCTTTTCACCCCAACCCCACCAAACTTGCTAAAAGTGTTAGATCTAGTCTAGAAGCCTGAGGTAACTCCTAGATGTAAAATTCAGGATATAGGCCCAAGAATTCCTGCATCCCAGCAAGAAGGAAGCCAGACTGTCTGCTTTTACGAACTGAATTGAGAATTCACCTTTCCAGTGAGACTGAAGCTTTGCTGAAGATTTATCGCCCCCTGGAGGACAATAGTATAATATATCTCTTCAGGTACTCTAGAAAAGATGCCCAACTGAACTGAAATACACATTTTTTTCCTAAAGAATAGGAAAATCAAGCCTTTGCTAAGACAACCCTTTAAAAAGGTAAATTAATTGTATTTATTTGAGTGTATGAATGAGTCACGTTCATTTTAGAAAAGCTTTCACAAATAAGATAATCCATTCCAGGCTGCTTCTTCCAAAATAATCTTTGTCTTCACTAATGGGAGCTTATTTTCCCAATGGTCAATTGTATTATTCAAGTAAAAGTACTTGTAAAGCAAAAATCTCTGAAAAGTTTTGTAAGCATAGTTATATCCTTGTTCAGATGCAGGAAAGTTAAATTTCCACATATTCACTTTGAAATTCTCCATATACATAGAGCTGAGAGGTGTGTCATAGGTTAATAATTCTCCTGCCTGAATTCTATGTGTAGATTTTTAGTTAACAGCACCTTAAGCGCTTTTTTTTTTTTTTTTTTAAAAAGAGCCTTTAAGTTCGGTTGCCATGAATCATGTATAAGCCATTGGAGGAGAAAATTAATTCTTTTGTTTGTTTCTTTATTTTAAAATAAATACCAGGCTATGGCACCCGTTTGTGATCAGAATTGAGAAGAAGCACTCTTCCTGCCAGCTTGTGGGAATGCTGTGTCCCCCAAGGCCAACAGTATATGCTGCCAATGAGTGAAAAGAACTAAGACTCAAGTCTGCACAGAAAAAGGCCCAACATGCATGCTTCAGTTTTGATCCCAGCTTGGCCCTTAATTTTCCAAACCCTTGCAGATGGAGAGCTACCTATTTTGGGACTGTAAGGTTTTTGAAATTAACTGTCAACTCATTATCCAAGGCACATACTATCTTACCTCTATCTTACCTTCTAAATATTTTAAATAACGCTTTTCTCAGCCTTCTCTTTTGGCATCTCTTTCTTAACCCCAACCTTTTAAATTCAGAAATACCTAGGAATTTTACTCTAATTTTTGACAATGTGCTTATCTTTGAAGCAAGGAAAATCGGAAAACATGCCAACCCAACTGGAACATTTTTAACAAAGTAATGAAAAGTTATGTAATGGAAGATTTAGCTTTCAAGAACACTTTGGCAAATTGTAATGCAATGATATACAAAATCTGCCAGGTACGCATTGTTCTTTTTTACGTCCTTCTCTGATTCTTCACAATAACTCTTGTCCTGACATCAACAAACATAAGGCAGTCTCAGATGTGGGTAGGTTTTTCTTATTGGCTTAATACTTTCAATTCATATAGTAAGTTCTCTCATCTATCTGGCAGAGGCAGGAAGTGGAAAATTCTGCTTAATTAAATGTTTTTGTTACTACAGCTAGGTGAATTCCTAGATTGTTAGGGCTGGGAGAGTCTTAGGGATGAGCTTACCTACTTATTTTACAGGTGTTGAAATTGAAACCCTTGCAGGCCTACAGATTAGCATCCATGTCCTCACGTTCCCCAACCAGTATCCCTTAAAGTACACTAATTTCCTCTCTTGATAAATTGTTTCCCAATCAACAACAAAAAAAAATAGCATAACAATATACACCATGAAAATGTCACTGACCATCAGCAAGTTTCCTTGAGGATTCAAAAGGCATGTAAGGCTCCCACATTGTCACAGTCATAGTAAAGAAAATTTATGATTCCAAAAACCCTCTTGTTCTTTCAAGATAGGATGAGGAGATCAGTTTGCCTTTTAAAATAGACCCCAGATAACATGCTCCATGTTGAGCATGACCTGGCTTCCCAGTGGAGAGATGGAGAAAATAATCCTGGTGCAAGTTGCTGGAGAGGGAGAGTTGATTAGCATTTGTTTCCTTGAGTAACAACATAAACCACAAGTGATCGAGTGCATCCCTGCTTGGCAGGAGGAGAATGACTGTTCATAAATGATGCCCTTCTCCATTTCCAGAGCTCTTGTCAGCTTGGCTTCCCAAAGTGGTATCACTCATCTGTCAAGTTGATTGGGTCTGACCCAGACAAAGCAAACCAGAGGCAATCTCAATTACGACACATTTGTAAATGTCCTGTCCAACTCATTCCAAAGTCCAAATAGGTGAATCAGAATTCGCAAAAAAAAAAAAAAAAAAAAAAAAAGGAAGATCTGCATTCCTCATCCCACATTTGCCCACACTCATGATATGGATGGTCCCAAATGTGCCAAATGACTTAGTGGGCTACATACCCTCAGCCAGGGGCACTCCTCAAGGTCCAAGACTTTTTCATCCAACTCAGGGAAATTATGCTGTAGAGGCCACAAGGTGAACATAGAGTCTCATGGTTTCATTGGTGGATGACAGTAAAAAGGAAAGCCACTAGTTTTATGGCTATAATCTCTTCAATAGGAAAAGAACCAGAAGCTAGTGAGGATCACTTAAGAACCATGTGTGTGAGTGTGTGTGTCTGCATGCACATTGGGGTAACATGGAATTGGGTTCTGAAAACATCAGGAAAACAGATGCTGGAAACATTGAAAACAAAGTGTACCTGCCAAATTTGGCCTAGGGATGGCCTAAGTTTCAGGTTTCTGGGGAAATTACTAGATATATTTTTAAGGCTGTCTCCAAGTTGAGTGCAAACATTTACACTTCTCACTCACTAGTGGCAACTGAGTTGATCAATTTCATAAGTTGTATTTCTTCTTTGGCTGGAAAATGTTCTTCATTTTGCTCACCATTTACAAAAAAGAATCGATGTATTTTTTCTTCTTTCCCTGTAGATGTCCAGGCATCCAAATGGCAGGAGTTCTCTGGATCTGACCTCAAAAGCTAGGCCTGAAATGAATACATTGTGGGTCTCTCTGGGGTTGGAACCAAAACCTCATTTTTTTTTTTGTTTTATTCTTTTTATTTTCTTACAAAGAAGAGTTTGTAAAACAAAAGGCAATCTGAAATCTGGCTGTTGGTCCAAGAATTAACAAGCAATCTGTTGTGCTAATGACATCGACTGTTGAATAGATTTCCAAAGAAAATGACCCATGGGGAGTAGGATGAGGTTAATTCACAGAAAGCCGGCTTCCTTGGGATTGTCTGCATTTCTTCTGAAGGAAAATGTCTGAAAGATGCTGGTCTTCCCTCAAAGTCTTTCATTCCCACAGACAGCCCTGCCAGTTCCTGGGCTCCCACAGGAGCCAACTGCTGTGAGAAGAGGTGAATGAGATACGAGAAAGGAAGAAGAAAATCTCGGAAAAGTGTTGCCTGGAGTAAGTCTTTAGGAGGACAAACAGGACTGACTTAAACTGATATTTTCAGCACTTCACCATTAACAAGACTTTTTATATTCACATGAACTGAGGAATCCTGTGCATAAGCCACAGATAAAGAATGTCTTATCAAATAATTCCACCTTTCCCTAACAATGGTTATCATTTATTTGGCATAGTGCAAGATTCTGTTTCCATCTTTCCTAGTTCTCACAACATTTATTATCAAGTAGATATTATTTTTCTCATTTTACAGATGAGGAAACTAAAACTTAGAAAGCATCCTGCAAGAGCAGAGCCAGTTAGCTATCTGCAAAGCCCTTTGCTCCACCAATGTCACATTGCCTAGTCCTTTCGTTTTATGAAGTCTCATCTTAAGACATGATAAGTGGAGGAGGATAGGGAAAGACATTTTTCTTAATTTGCACAAGAGGGAAGTGAGGTTCTAAAGAACAAAGCAAGTCTTAGCTCACTCAGCTAGTCAGCAGAGCTTGGTGTTTGGGGACCACTATGGTTTATCCCTTTTTTATACCCATCCCTTTAGGCCCAGCTCTGAAATCCCACATACACCTAAAGTAAACTAGGCTCCTGGATGGGGCAGATGTACATATAGTTTTCAATCATGGGAATGATGACTTTTATTTCAAGGTTGCTCATGGGATGGTGGGGATGTTGAGGAGGGTGGTGTCACTGGCAGCCACATGTGCCTTCAGTCCTACCATCTGCATGTACACCAGCCAAATTCCAACTGGCACCTCCTGCCTCCACTTGCCTGAGGGTTTTCTGTGGCCACCATGGCACATTTTGCCACTTACATAGCAGGTTTGGAATGCTGGCGAGTTGCACCTTTCAGGTGCAATCCTCAACCGATGACTACTAAGAACTTGGTGTATAAACACCCAGACCCCTCACTCTTGGAAGCATACATTCTACCCCATGTTGCAGAGTTTCCCCAGCAGAATGAAGCTCAACTCATACATCAAAATAATGGGCTTTGTGAGGGATGAATTCTTGCTGTCTTTTTTCCCTTGTCTCACTTTTCTACTTCCCTTTTTGTGTTTCCCAAATAAACCTTTGGGAAACACTTCCTAAATAAACTCTTTGCATTCAAATTTCATCTCATTGCCCACTTTTCGGGAGAACCCAACCTAAGTCACCTGAATATACCCTACATCAATACTTTCCAAACCTGGCTAATGATCAGACAGATTGAGAAAGTCTTTGAAAAATATAAGTATGAATGCGTTACCCAGATCTACTAAACTAAGATCTCTGGAGGTTGGGTTCATGCCTCTGTCTTTTCTGTTAATCTCCCTTCTTCTGAAGATTTAGTGATTAGTCAGGATACCAACACTGACCCATAAAGCATCCTGCACTAGAAATTTTTTCTGGAACATTGCACTTGGCAAAACTTTGCTGCCATTAAAAAAAAAAAAAAAAAAAAAAGTGAACTCTGTTCCTTCGGGAAGAGTGAGTGTCATGTGAGCCCATAATAATGTTCCCTGTTTTGCCTTACATCCTAGGAATATCATGAGAAAAACAAATCTATGCTTCAGATATACAACCTCACAGCCCATCTAGCTGTAGCCCAATTTCCTCTACTTTTGGCTATTTCATTTAAGTCATTAGTTATTCTGATTATTTTAAATTTGTTATTTGTATGTTCCCATTTTATTATAAGTATTTATTTACCATCTCTCAAATCCTTTATGTAATGAAATAAAGAAGAAAATGACATTTATTTGTTGTCTTTTACATTTCTCTCAAATTTATAGATGGTTCCCAGACTCATTTAATATTCTATATTGCTCAAGTTCTGATTTCTTATAATTTGTTTCCTCAAACTTGGTTTCATGTTCCAGAAATATTGGATATCCATTTATCCTTTGCTATGAAACTATGCCTTGATCACCAAGATTCAAGATCAGACACAAGTCTCCCAATCTCACAGCCCCCCAGTAGCTTTTGCTAATTTGATCCCCATTCACCTTGGAAGGAGGGAGGTAGAGTGGATGAGAGCATTATTTTTCAAATGAGGGAACTGAGACCCAGAGATGCTAAGTTACTTGCCCAAGGTGTTCCCTGGTAAGAGAGCTGGGGCTTACAGAAAATTCAGTTGACACCAAAGCTCATGTTCCGTCCACTTTTCATTTATGAGGCATGAACACCTTTGGAGAGGCATCAGGCAATTGCAAGAAGAAGAGTAATGATCTGGCTTGAGCAGCTTCTTGGTTTTCTTTGGAGTGAAAAAGGCCCATATTTATCTGTTTACTCAGATTTGGAAGATTATCTTATCACTGTTGCTATTGTTATAAGAGAGCGAATAATATCTTAGTTGCTTTATTGTTTCATTTTGTCAATTTGTGCTTTCCAACTGATGCTATATATGACGGGCTGAATTATGACAAAAAGTAATATGTTGAAGCCCTAAGCCCTAGTGCCTCAGAATGTGACTGTATTTTGAAACAGTGCCTTTAAAGAGATAAGTCAAAAGTGAAGCTATTAGAGTGGGCCCTAATCCAATCTGACTGATATCTTAAGAAAGGTGAATAGGACACACAGAGAGCCACCAAGGATGTAAGTGTTCAAAGGCTCAGTGAGAAGTCAGCCATCTGCAAGCCAAGGAGAGAGGCCTCAGAAGAAAGCAAACATGCCAGCACTTTGATCTTGAACTTCTAGCTTCAAAAGAGCTGAGAAAATCAATTTCTGGTATTTAATCCACGCAGTCTGTGCTATTATTTAGTTATGACATTCCAGCAAACTACTACACTGTATTAACCCTTTTTCTCCAAGGACTTTTGGAAGGTTTTCTTAGTAGGCAATATGGGAAAATTGTAGGAAGTGCAAATGATCAATTAATACCATCCCATTTTGAGTGCTATATGTGTATCTTTCTGTGTTGCCCTTAGTTTTCAGGGGCAACTTTGCCTTTGAAACAGATCTACCTCTGTCTTTTGGAAATGCCCTGTGCTGAGAAGCATGTGTCGTACCTCTGAGAAATGAGAACTTATGTGTAGATACATGAGAACAAATGAGAAAAAATGAATACATGATTAGATCATGCTGCCTCTATTTCCAGATAACTATTTTAAAGGGGAAATAGCCATATATCATGAAATATCTTAATTGGGAGAATTATATAATTATCTGCATTTAATTATATTTGAATTCTTATTCTACCCCCTGGCCCAGCTTCATTAGGAATTTTCCTCAGAGATAAAAATCCCAAATACCCATTAAAATAGTTTTCCTTAAAAACAGGGAAAAAAATGAGAAGGCTTTATTAATTCCCTTCCAGCAATTTTCACAGTAGATTGGCTCTGTTTACAACTCCAATGATCACTTCTGAGGTTGGGAGATCTGAAAACTCTGACCAGGATTGTAAATGATGGCTCTTGTCCCTTTCCTCTCAAAGAGTAACAAAAACACTGTAATTACAATCGGCTTACCATTCGGTCAATGATACTCACAGCTGGCTCGGCTCAGCTAGCAGGGGCTATGGTTCCGCCAGTAAGAGACTCAAAAAGACTTCTTCAGGCAAGAAATTTGGAAACCAGAGACAGTGGGAAGCCTATTAGAAAACAGTTCATTGGGCCAGAGATTTAGCTACAATAAGAGACAAGAGCAGAGGGGCCCAATTAACTCAGTATTTTAATTTGCCTTGTGGAGTGGTAAAAAAAAAAAAAAAAAAGAGCTCAGGACTTTTGCTTTTGTTTTAGTTTGCTTACAGAACAAAAATAACTTCAACGTTTAAAAATTGGAGGGTATAAAATCATGTAGAAAATGAGAGCAATATTAAAAGACACTAGGAGAAATTATAAATTATTCCAAAGCCACTAAGAAATAAGTATTCTTTCCTATTCTGTGCTTTCTTTTAGACCTCTTCTCTCTCCCTGCACATACGTTTCTAAAATTTCATATAAAAGCGACATATTATGCACATTGTTGAGATACATTTAATAACTCCCTATGCCCCTCTCAATAATGTTCAGGCCAGACCCCTTCATGCTGATATGGCCCTTCCAGATCAACCTTGTCCAGTTTTCTGGAATAATCTCTCGTCTACATACTCATAACCCACTAGGTTCCTACCTCTCTTATCTTGAATTCCTGGAAACAACATCCTTCTAACCCGCCACTCCACCCCACTGCAATCCTTTGAAGAGCTTCAAGCTGAGATGGGAGTGTGTGATCAACTTTGTATTTCTGAAAGCTAACTGGCAGCAGCATTCAGAATGAATTGTCAAGAGTGGGGGGAAAATTAGATATAAGTAGCCCGGGTATTTATTGCACTAATTCCAGGTGAACAAAAGCTAGAGGCATAGACCAGAGTTGTGGCAGTGGAGACAGAAAGTAGGTGAATTTGAGAGATGCTTGGGAGATGCAATCAGGCATATGTTAGATGCTATCTATCTATCTATCTCCCTATCTGTCTGTCTATCATTATCATCATTTTTGTAGTTATTGTGCTCTGGCCCTTAAATTTAATGATTATGAAGCTCATGATTAAAATACATGGAGTCAGAGGCTTTGTAAAACCAGCTTAATTATTCTAGCCAGCAACATAGTTTCACTGTCAAGTTGAACCTGATCTAGCCAAAAATAGGTTTGATTTAAACTGTATCACAGAATAAATGGTCTCAAATCTTTTATATTGGTTGTCAGAAAAGAATGGAGTTAATTTTATTTGAAGACATCCTTTAATGAAGGCTTTATATCAAAAACTATAACCACTTATCACCTTGCAAGAAAATGACTGAGCTCCTGTTAATGTCATTTATTACATTTCTTGTGTAATTTTTGACCTGAGAGTTGTAATCAGCTGGAACCTCTGCCCTTCTAGCACCTTCTACATCTCCACACATGTGTGGACCTGTTTCTTGAAAAACCTAGGTAATGTCTGAGCTTTTTATTCAGGAGATTAGGGTGTGGCATGCTGTACCTGGAATTCACCAAAAGAGATGTCTTTTAAAGGTGGGTGAACACAACTAAATATTATTTTCCAAGCCACTCGGATACCATCCCATGGAGTCTAAAAGACCAACAAAAAATGGCATAAAGGATTAATGCCTGGTTTTCAAAATGAAATGAAGTACATTGTTTTTAAGACTCAATGTAATAAAATGCCCTCTGGGACCCTTTAGTGTTGCATAAATTCAGCACACTTTAAAATAATGAAAATGATAACTTTTAGCTAACAACAGTTATTAAGGATTTACTATGTGCCAGGTATCATGCTAAGCATTTTTCATGCCTTCTTTGATTACTCTTCACAGCAACACTCTGAAGTAGATACATTACAATTCATATTTTACAGATGAAAGAAATGAAATTCAGAGAGGGTAATAAACTCATCTGTGGTCACACCTTCTTCAAGTGGTAGAGCAGGGGATTGCAGTTCAAGCATTCTGACTCTATAGGTCACATCACCAAACCACAGCTGTGCAACGCTGCCCCATGCCAGGATAATACACGTCTACATGTTTTTCATCATCATGATAATTAACACTTGGGTTAATTAAGCTTGAGAACTTACACTATGTACCATTATAATCTTCCATGCCCCCAAACTTTTAGTGTCTTACCAGCCTTTCAAAGTTAGTAAGGTAGAATGGGGACCATAACCTCAGTCTTCTGACACTCAGTGCTGATGAGTGTGATGTATCAGCATCATATAATCTATTTCCAAGTCTGTACTGGCAGTCCTGAATTTACCTACTTCCTGTCCTGAATTTACCTACTCTTCTGCTCATGCAGAAAAGTAGCTGAGCATTTTACAAATTAAGGAACATTAGATTTGTTAAAGGTAATTATTTGTATGTTTTAACCATCTACCATGATGTGATAAAAACTCTTGTTCATCATAAGTAATAGACTTGACAATTTAATATTAATAACTACATTCACGTTCGATTCTCACCTATATTACAGTACACTGCCAGTAACAAGAATCTACTAACCATTTTAAGATAAAAAGATCTTACTTAAGACAATAAATTAAAATGCATCACATTCTGGGCACATGCTTTAATCCAATTCATGAATGCGTACATTTCTCTTCTCTATGGAAAATTGGGTGATTTAGCTATAACATACAGACTTTTCTGTATGCAATAAATTTAGTTTCTGGTTCTTCCTAAACAGTGGAGATATCTCCAAAACACAACTTTTTTATTCATCCTGAAAGAAAAATATAAAACATAAGAAAAATATCAGCTTTGGGGGTGAAGTAATCTTGGTGTAATTTTAATCTTTTTTGAGGGTTTAGCTTTGCCTAAATTAAATATACTCTAACGTGGCTCTTCATATAGCTATTTGCTGTGATTTTATATATAGACATAGATATCAATATAGATTTAGATATATAGAAAGAGGAATCAGGAGGCAAAATTTAAAGAGCCAAAAGCAGGAAAACAAATGTCCCTGTACCAGTACGTTGGGTGCCCTGTGGCAGATTAGATCATAGCCCTATCACTTCTTACCCAGTGCCAAGGGATTTGCAGTACCTCCCACTGGTCAAAAGTAGCAGTGTGTCCTTTCAGAGCCAGGGTGTCAAATGTTTCCACATACCCTCCTACACTTCTGCTATTCATTATTAGAAGAACATATACCAGGTAGCCACTGATCTAACAAGGCTGGCAGACTCATGAAACTGACTCCTTGAGTCCCCTGAAGTGGACCACCTAGCAGCTTGAAGCAGAGTCATCCTTGCTGACTTGCAGAACAACAATCAAGAGAAATAACTGTTCCCTCTTTTAAGCCACTGAGACATTTAGGTTGTTTCTTATGCAGTATTATGGCAGCAATAGCTAACTGCTAAAACCCATAAGATATACCTAAAATAAAGGGATGAGAAAAAGAGTGATCTAAAATTTTCTGTCTGCTGCTGTAAGTGAATGCTCCTCTCCATCAACAGTGGAGAAATTGATCAGTGCCACTGCATTCGGAGCCTGGAGGGGACAACCACTTTATTTTAAGAGAAAATACACCATCTGTGTGATATGTATAGAAACAACCTATGCTCTTCTTTTGTAAAATTCTTTGGGAAAACCATTCATCAATAGCAAATGCCCTTGTGTATTCAGTCTGATTCTGACATAAAAGATGAATAATGGTAGGCATTAGTATCAGTTAATATTTAGCTCGCTTCTGAAAATAGCCATAGATGACTTTAATTGAACCATTCCAAGTCACATGTCCCATTTTAATCTAAAATGTCTCCCTGAGATTGGCATGATAACTTCAAAAATCTTAAGGGAAACATAATCCATGGGAAATAGAAGCTGTTAAGGTTTTGTGAGATATTAGCACTTTGCATAAGAACCAAGGTACTCACTGTACCCAAGGGTTTTCCATCAGTTGAGCTGCAGTTCATTGAGAAGAGTAGGCATCAGGAGCATCACAAATCTACACCTCACTTTCTCATCTACATTCTAGTGTCAACATGCATTGTGAGTTGGAAGCATGGCCTGGTATGATTCACAAGGAATGCTTTACAATCTGTGTCACTATACATGTCACAACTATAGAGAGATAGAGATCCAGGTTTGAATCTTGGATTTTCCATTTATTAGAAAATTACATGGGGTGGTTTAAATTCTATGAACTTTAGTTTCTTCAACTGTAAAATAAGAGATAAAAATAACTCTCTAGTAGAGTTATTAAGAAGGTTAAATGAGATAATATATAGAAAGTACATAGTAAGGAGAACTCACCTTCTTGGTACTATAAAGCGTGCCAACCATAGCCATTAGTTGTTTGTGCTGTTCCTGAATACAGCCCCTGTGTAACCTTATATGGTGTGTGGTATTCTTCTCCCTGGGGATGTGAGTATATGTGACTAATAAATGGCTATCAATGTCATCTGCCCAGTATGTATAAGGTGTTGTATGTTTAGTCATCCCTATAACTCTTGGGCAAGAACCCGTCTCTTAACAATGTGTTGAACAGGGTATGATCAAAAGAAATAAGCACCACATTAAAAATAATGAATGGTAATTGATGTTATAATTTTCAAGGAAAATAAACCCTAATATTGCTTTCCAGCCGCCCAGAAACACCTTTACAGTTGCTTCTCTCCAAAGCAGAGGGGTTGCCAGCTTCTGTACTGTCCAGAAGCTGACATTTGGAGCTAGGGATAGGGAAGAGGAGTGAGAGCCATAACTGCAGCAAAAAGGGGCGTTTGGCCTATGTGATTCCTGATCACTGTGGCCCACAATATAAAGAAAACAGAAATGAAAGTCCAGTTCCATAGTCACTATCACTATCTCAACATCTCTAGGATCTCTTATGCCACCGTGATCTTATGCGATCACCTCAGGGACATGTCAGTGTTATTGACAGTGTATTCCTGGAAACTTCCTGGAAGCTTCTTGGCCTGTGAGCCCAGATATAAACCCAAAAGTAGATGAGGGGAAGCTTGAGCTCAAAAAGGACCTCTGAGGGTTCTTAGAAAGCTAGAGACGGAGATAGTATATCCTCAGTTGTTGGTTCCTGCTGCTTCCTGAGGAACACTTCTTCATGAATCTTCAGTCATTACACTAAATAAGAAGCAGGGGTGTATTGTTCACTGTAGCCTTCACAGTACTTAGTATGATGCCTCACATTTAAAGGACTTTCAACAAACTTGTGTTTAATGAAATATTATTTGAATGAATGCGAAAGTGAAATGAATTTACTGTACACTTAATACAATAAAAGTATAAGAATTATAAAATATGGTCCCTAAAATTAAGGAAACTGCAGTATTTTTGAGAAGACAAAACCCCAGAACTATATGAAGGAAGGGGAAACTCAGTGTGCACAAGGAGAATTGTTGGTGACTCCTTGAAGAAGGTAATAATTGAGTCTGAAAAGAGAAGAAATTTGGTCAGCCAGGTGTGAGAACAGGGTGAGCAAATACCTGTGCTTTCGCATTTAAGAATACTCTACATGTTTCTTGCCCCTTATTTCAAGAAGGAAAGAAACATGTAGATAAATAGGCACATGTTGTCCTGCAAGAAATGCCTGTGAGCCTTTCAAATAAATTGTCTTTTATGCATCGTACTGAAAGTATGCAAATTAAATCAAAGGATTTCTCATAATAAAAGATAGCAATTTTGTCCCAGTTACCTTTTGAACAACATTATCAATGTTTGAATTTCCGATCTATGAAATGCAGTGTACCCAGTGTGACACTAAAATACAGTAGATACAATGTAAATGAATTCCCATCTCAGAAATAAACTCATGAAAAGTGTCAGTTTTCCCTTGATGCTCTTGTTCATTATTTGCAGAATAAAAAGAGAGTCATGGTATAAAAAAGACTTGACAAAGCAATGTTGAAGCGACAAATATCTGAGGCATAGAGTTGAAATGTGGCATAAAATATGATCACTAAAGGAAAATAATGATACCTTTCAAATAAAAAAAAAAAATCCTCACTATAGAAATAGAAAAATGGTATTCATGCTGTTAGGAAGACATGAAGTCAAATTCATTCCTACTGTTAAGGTGTGGTTCTATGTCAAAATATTAGAACTAGAAATTGAAATATAGGTTTAAGAGCCTGGATTAATGGACGAAAATCACGTTAGTAAGCTAAAAGAAGTTCCTAACCTTCAGGATAAAATAAATTGTGTTTGGAGACAGCATTCCAACTCCATTGTGAACAGGAGAGATACAGAACATTCACTGATAATTTAGAAGTGTTTTATGACTGAGGTAAATAGCTTCTAGGTATCATTTTTTAACATACACACATGTGCATTCATGCACACACACACAAACACATGCACTGTTCCTTAGTTACTATTTTGAAATAGAGACTTCATTTTTAAACCAAATGAAAAATATTATCTTTATGTCTGATTAATTTACCTCAATAGCTCACCCTCACCAAAAATTCTGAAGGATACAATGCTTTCCTTTAGTTAGAAACTTGAGATAACTAACATTGTGTTGTATTGATTAGTCTCTTCCAGGGATTAGGAATTTGTGATTTGGGCTTAGAGAGTCTCTGTCATGGTAATACAAATGCTTTTTGAATTAACTCGGGGAAAGGGGTGAATGCTTTTGTAGTCATTGTAAGGCCATGCTATTAGTTTATGAAAGAAAACCAAAATTAAATTAACATGAGGAATAGTTGTTTCTCAAGACTTTCAGACTTGAGACTTAGGAAAGAAATTAAACCTTATGGTATTGTGATGTGTTTGAATTTAAATATCCCTAAAGGGAACAATTTACTGCTTGGAATAGAACCCCTCTCTCATTCTTCCCCTTTCTGAGTGAATGGGAACCAAGCTCATCCCCCACACAATGTCCAAGCTTTTGGACACTGAGATCAGAGCAATATCAACAAAGCAAAGGATAAAAACGTTGCCAACTGATGCCCACGAGTATCAAATTTATAGGGCATAAAAAGGGGAAAATAAGAGACTAAGAGTTGATCATATTCTTGGTAAATCTGGTGGTTCCCCAAATTAAAAAAAGTGAACAGTGGGGACCTGAGTAAAAAAGAACTAAAGGGGAAAAAGTTTCAGAAGTAGGATGGGAAACAAGCAACAGAATGTCCTGGTGAAAGCTCCTTCTAGGAAGGACGCCTTCCAGAGTATTACTTGTTTCATGGGCGTTACCTAAAACTGGGTATAGGACCTGGTGCCAAACACCCTATTCCCCTCCTCAGCTCTCTACTCCTTTGGAGTAATCTCTCAAACCCCTTTAGGTAAGGACATTGAAATTCTTCTTTGAATTCCACTTAATATAGAAGTGGATTTCCTTTATTCCTGATTATCAGTAAGCAGAGGTAGCACCCTCACAACAAACCACCGGTCAGGAAGGAGCTTCTCTCTGAGGCCAGACACACAGTGGGAAGCACAGAATGATTCCCTCCAACCTGCCAACTTTTCCTCAGAGAGCAAACCTGTGAGCAGAGAAAAACTAGTAGTGCAGGGCAGTTCCTTCTTTGGTTGCTATGCTTCAGTTATGTTTTCCAGTTACAGAACTATTTCAACATGAAAAAATAAATCAAGAAAATCAGTTTGGGCCCGATCTGTGGGATGGCCAACAAGTCAAATATCGAGTAGAAAACCTTGCCCAAGCAGTCAATGCCTTGCATCAGGCACCCTGAGCAGAAGGTCCACAAAACTGTACCAGCCATCAGGTGGAGGCCCAAAATACAGATGTTCAGTTCACTCCAAATGGAGTCAAAGCCTCCACAGCAGTTTCTCATGTAGGTCATTACCCAAGGAAATTTAGCAGGAAATGGAGATGGAGAAGAGGGAGTAAGAGTAAGGGAGAAAAGGCTAGGGCAAAAATGGTGTGAATTCTGTGGCCTTTAGAATTTAGTCCAGTGGGTCTCAATCTTGACCACGCATTAGAATCACCTTGGGGAACTTTAAAAGTCCCAGTGCCCATGCCACACCTTGGACCAATTAACTCAGCATTTTGAAGGGTGGGACTCAAGTTAATTTAGGTTCCTCAAGTGACTTCAATGTGCAAGAAGATTGTGAACCATGACACTGGTCCATTTTTATGTCAGAAAGCGATGGGAGGCTGTGCACGGTGGCTCATGTCTGTAATCCCAGCACTTTGGGAGGACCAGGTGGGAGGATCACTTGAGGTCAGGAATTCGAGAACAGCCTAGCCAACACAGTGAAACCCCGTCTCTACTAAAAATACAAAAATTAGCCAGGCATGGTGGTGGGCACCTGTAATCCCAGCTACTCAGGAGGCTGAGGCATGAAAATTGCTTGAACCAGGGAGGCAGAGGATACAGTGAGCCAGAATTGTGTCACTGCACTCCAGCCTGGGCAACAGGGTAAGATTTCATTTTTTAAAGTTGAAATAAAAAATGAGACCTGAAAAATCAGATACAAGAGGCAAAATTAAGCCTTAGAAATATGATCAGTCTCCATAGGGTCAGTAGAGTGGAAGGTGAGTGTACAGGGAGGTGAATTTGGGTAAATAACTTTGGATCAGACTGTAGTAAAGTTTCAGGTTCCAGAGGCATCTTTATATAGTATCAGGTGTGTAATTAAAGAGATCTATTGGTTCTGAGAAATCAGAGGCACTGCCTTAATCCCAGTCCTTGGGATTTCCAGGTGGGCCATATATCGATGAGTAGGTGACTTAGGTGAAATGGCCTTTCCTGCTTTTCCTCTAGCTGAATGGTGAGAACATAGATTGTGTCCAGCTGGGACAATTCTTCCTTTAGTTAATCATACCCCTAATGAATTTCAACCATATGTCTAGGGATAAAATTCCCCCACCCAGCATGTTCTGCAGGGGACAACAATTGGTGCTGACCTGGTGAGCAGAAAGAATCAAGTTTTCTCATATTTCAGAAATACCTTGTCTTTTTCTATTGATTGGAATAGTTTCAGAAGGAATGGTACCAGTTCCTCCTTGTACCTCTGGTAGAATTCGGCTGTGAATCCATCTGGTCCTGGACTCTTTTTGGTTGGTAAGCTATTGATTATTGCCACAATTTCAGAACCTGTTATTGGTCTATTCAGAGATTCAACTTCTTCCTGGTTTAGTCCTGGGAGGGTGTATGTGTCAAGGAATTTATCCATTTCTTCTAGATTTTCTAGTTTATTTGCGTAGAGGTGTTTGTAGTATTCTCTGAGGGTAGTTTGTATTTCTGTGGGATCGGTGGTGATATCCCCTTTATCATTTTTTATTGCGTCTATTTGATTCTTCTCTCTTTTTTTCTTTATTAGTCTTGCTAGCGGTTTATCAATTTTGTTGATCCTTTCAAAAAACCAGCTCCTGGATTCATTAATTTTTTGAAGGGTTTTTTGCATCTCTATTTCCTTCAGTTCTGCTCTGATTTTAGTTATTTCTTGCCTTCTGCTAGCTTTTGAATGTGTTTGCTCTTGCTTTTCTAGTTCTTTTAATTGTGATGTTAGGGTGTCAATTTTGGATCTTTCCTGCTTTCTCTTGTGGGAATTTAGTGCTATAAATTTCCCTCTACACACTGCTTTGAATGTGTCCCAGATATTCTGGTATGTTGTGTCTTTGTTCTCATTGGTTTCAAAGAACATCTTTATTTCTGCCTTCATTTCGTTATGTACCCAGTAGTCATTCAGGAGCAGGTTGTTCAGTTTCCATGTAGTTGAGCGGTTTTGAGTGAGATTCTTAATCCTGAGTTCTAGTTTGATTGCACTGTGGTCTGAGAGATAGTTTGTTATAATTTCTGTTCTTTTACATTTGCTGAGGAGAGCTTTACTTCCAACTATGTGGTCAATTTTGGAATAGGTGTGCTGTGGGGCTGAAAAAAATGTATATTCTGTTGATTTGGGATGGAGAGTTCTGTAGATGTCTATTAGGTCTGCTTCGTGCAGAGCTGAGTTCAATTCCTGGGTATCCTTGTTGACTTTCTGTCACGTTGTTCTGTCTAATGTTGACAGTGGGGTGTTAAAGTCTCCCATTATTAATGTGTGGGAGTCTAAGTCTCTTTGTAGGTCACTCAGGAGTTGCTTTATGAATCTGGGTGCTCCTGTATTGGGTGCATATATATGTAGGATAGTTAGCTCTTCTTGTTGAATTGATCCCTTTACCATTATGTAATGGCCTTCTTTGTCTCTTTTGATCTTTGTTGGTTTAAAGTCTGTTTTATCAGAGACTAGGATTGCATCCCCTGCCTTTTTTTGTTTTCCATTTGCTTGGTAGATCTTCCTCCATCCTTTTATTTTGAGCCTATGTGTGTCTCTGCATGTGCAATGGGTTTCCTGAATACAGCACACTGATGGGTCTTGACTCTTTATCCAATTTGCCAGTCTGTGTCTTTTAATTGGAGCATTTAGTCCATTTACATTTAAAGTTAATATTGTTATGTGTGAATTTGATCCTGTCATTATGATGTTAGCTGGTTATTTTGCTCGTTAGTTGATGCAGTTTCTTCCTAGTCTCAATGTTCTTTACATTTTGGCATGATTTTGCAGTGGCTGGTACTGGTTGTTCCTTTCCATGTTTAGCGCTTCCTTCAGGAGCTCTTTTAGGGCAGACCTAGGGGTGACAAAATCTCTCAGCATTTGCTTGTCTGTAAAATATTTTATTTCTCCTTCACTTATGAAGCTTAGTTTGGCTGGATATGAAATTCTGGGTTGAAAATTCTTTTCTTTGAGAATGTTGAATATTGGCCCCCACTCTCTTCTGGCTTGTAGAGTTTCTGCCGAAAGATCTGCTGTTAGTCTGATGGGCTTCCCTTTGAGGGTAACCCGACCTTTGTCTCTGGCTGCCCTTACCATTTTTTCCTTCATTTCAACTTTGGTGAATCTGACAATTATGTGTCTTGGAGTATGACTTTCTTCACATAATTGGAAAAAACTACTTTAAAGTTCTTATGGAACCAAAAAAGAGCCCGCATCACCAAGTCAATCCTAAGCCAAAAGAACAAAGCTGGAGGCATCACACTACCTGACTTCAAACTATACTACAAGGCTACAGTAACCAAAACAGCATGGTACTGGTACCAAAACAGAGATATAGATCAATGGAACAGAACAGAGCCCTCAGAAATAACGCCGCATACCTACAACTATCTGATCTTTGACAAACCTGAGAAAAACAAGCAATGGGGAAAGGATTCCCTATTTAATAAATGGTGCTGGGAAAACTGGATAGCCATATGTAGAAAGCTGAAACTGGATCCCTTCCTTACACCTTATACAAAAATCAATTCAAGATGGATTAAAGACTTAAATGTTAGACCTAAAACCATAAAAACCCTAGAAGAAAACCTAGGCATTACCATTCAGGACATAGGCATGGGCAAGGACTTCATGTCTAAAACACCAAAAGCAATGGCACAAAAGCCAAAATTGACAAATGGGATCTAATTAAACTAAAGAGCTTCTGCACAGCAAAAGAAACTACCATCAGAGTGAACAGGCAACCTACAAAATGGGAGAAAATTTTCTCAACCTACTCATCTGACAAAGGGCTAATATCCAGAATCTACATTGAGCTCAAACAAATTTACAAGAAAAAAACAAACAACCCCATCAAAAAGTGGGCAAAGGACATGAACAGACACTTCTCAAAAGAAGACATTTATGCAGCCAAAAAACACATGAAAAAATGCTCACCATCACTGGCCATCAGAGAAATGCAAATCAAAACCACAATGAGATACCATCTCACACCAGTTAGAATGGCAATCATTAAAAAGTCAGGAAACAACAGGTGCTGGAGAGGATGTGGAGAAATAGGAACACTTTTACACTGTTGGTGGGACTGTAAACTAGTTCAACCATTGTGGAAGTCAGTGTGGCTATTCCTCAGGGATCTTGAACTAGAAATACCATTTGACCCAGCCATCCCATTACTGGGTATATACCCAAAGGACTATAAATCATGCTGCTATAAAGACACATGCACACGTATGTTTATTGCGGCACTATTCACAATAGCAAAGACTTGGAACCAACCCAAATGTCCAACAATGATAGACTGGATTAAGAAAATGGGGCACATATACACCATGGAATACTATGCAGCCATAAAAAAGGATGAGTTCATGTCCTTTGTAGGGACATGGATGAAATTGGAAATCATCATTCTCAGTAAACTATCGCAAGAACAAAAAACCAAACACCACATATTCTCACTCATATGTGGGAATTGAACAATGAGAACACATGGACACAGGAAGGGGAACATCACACTCTGGGTACTGTTGTGGGGTGGGGGGAGTGGGGAGGGATAGCATTGGGAGATATACCTAATGCTAGATGATGAGTTAGCGGGTGCAGCGCACCAGCATGGCACATGTATACATATGTAACTAACCTGCACATTGTGCACATGTACCCTAAAACTTAAAGTATAGCAATAATAAAAAAAAGAAATGCCTTGTCTTATAAATGACATCTTTATTTACCCAAAAAAGAAATAATTTAAAACATTGACATCATTTCCATCATTTTCATACTGTACTCATTCCATACAGGTAAATCTGGTTTTCAGTTTCCCACTGAAGCTCTATTCCAATTTATTTCTTATTATTATTGCATGTGGGTCTCTAGAGACACTAAGAATCATTTCTTTAAAAGTTATATTCCTTGAAACCATTGTGAAACAATTCCAGAAACAGTCCCATCCTCACTAGAATTAATAACAAACCTCTCACTCATCCCACCATTCTTAGTAGAGTCCAATTTTGAGTCCCAGCCATTGAAGCCTTCTCCTTAAATCAGCAGTCAGCAAATTTTACTTGGATATCTAGGCTTTGGGTTTAAGCATTAGGTTTAATTGAAAAAAACACACAAAGAAACAAACAAAAAAAAAACAGAAAGGAAAAGAAGAAACTAGTCCTCGGCTCAGCAAATTAATCTGGATAATCCAAATACAAATCCTTTTGTTAGGGACAGATTTGAAAAGCCTCAATCAACACAAATGGAACCTTTCATAAAAGCTTCTCTCTGCCACATAATATTTCGCTCTCTTATTCTTAAAAAGCAGGCCTTTCCAATGAGATGCCTAACACTCTGCATTATTTAGTCTTTTTAATCCTTTCTAAAGTTTTACTACATTAAAAAATAAGATCAAGGAATTGCAGGTGTCACAATAATAACATGTTTCTACAATTTGCAAAATTATTCCTGAAATTGCATACTTTAGCCTATTACTTCCTTTATTTATGCTTATAGTTATCCTTTTCTATTTTCAATTGTCATTCTTTCCTCTCCCTTTCAACCCTTTCTTCCTTCTCCCCTTTTGCTGCCAAGTACAAAGCCACCTTAGAATATATTCTAGAGAAATACATCTTTCCTGATTTTTCAGAGACAGATTCTTTTCATGAAATCCTATCTCGTTTTCAATGGAATGTCGCATTTGGTTTATAGGATGCTTCAAGACTTCTCAGTTTCTTTGGAGCTGGAGATGAAGGGAAGAATGGAAACTCATAACTTGGAGGAAGTTTCCTATTTTTATCTGTAATGTTCAAGTTGACAGTTCTCCTTATAGGTGACTTTTATCACTTTAAAAATTGGAGGAGGACAAAGATTGGTCTATTTCCCTTCTAAAGAAAAAAAAAAGCACAGCAATTTTGAAAACTCTGTCGAAATAATGCTTTCTCAAGGACAGATTGCTTCTTTTATTTCAGAGGTTTCTGGAATTCCACAGCACTCTTCCAGGAGAACCGCCTAGTGTCCAAAGATTGGAAACGTTATAATTCAGTTGGAGGCCATACACTCAGGAAAATAAGTGGTTAGGCCCAGGAACAACTATCATGATGAAATTTAGCATTTGTAATCAACTTCGCCAAGAGCTATAGCTCAGCTTCAGGTCAAGATACAGCCAATCTTCATTTTATACAAATGATCTCAGAAGAAATTATTCTGGTCAATTGAATATGTAAACTAGGTTATTCTAAATGTGGTTCATTAATTGTATACAAGCACATACCACACTGTATAGTGAGTATCATCCTGTGCTTTTCTGTCTCCATCAAATAGCTGTTTAATATTAAAGTCAAGAACTATGTTATATTTATCTTTGTTGGCACATACTCAATGTGTAGGAGACACAAGCACAAGTTAGGCATTGTTTTAATGTGGCAAGCAATGAAAAATGCAACTCAAATTGGCTTAAATAGTAATCTGAGCAATCTAGAAGTAATGTTAAACTGCAGATAAAGCTTGATCCAGAAGCAATGAAGATGTCTTCAGGTACCTTACACACTTAGTATGTAAGCAAAAGTTTAGAAGTATTTAAAATTATTTGAGAGTTTATAAGCATTTCTTCCCCAGGGTATCTGTGGTACCAAAGGAAAGATGATCAGTCCCTTTAAGTCAAAGTCATGTGATTGGAAGAAGATTTAAAAGGGTCTCACACAGCACCCTGCCACAAGTACTTTCAAACATGTGCCTAATGGTTGAAAATTATTTAACAGTGGACTAAGGTGTTCTAAAGAGACCAGACTTATAAGGCAAGCATCTTTGAATGAAAAGAAAAACCGGAACAGATCTTCCCTCCAGAATGAGTGATTGAGAGAATCTTTGCAAGAGAGAAGAGTTGAGTTATGGACCAAGTGGAAGCAATGCATGTAAAGGATGAAACCACTGTTCCTGCCACTTGGAGATGTTGTTCCTCTGCTTTTCTCCTCACGAACACCTACTGATCCTAAAAAACCTTGCTCTTATTCATTCTTATATCCCCAGTTGCTGAATTAGGGCCTGGTTCAAAATAGGCTCTGAATAAATATTTGTTGAGGAAAAGCTTATTGAGACCCATTCTATTGTAAAGGAATAAAGGAGATGTTGGTCATATAAATCCAAACTCCAGTAGCCCTCATGGCAGAGACATCAGTCATATTGTGTCTAAGGCCTATCTCAAGAGCAACCCTGAAAAGGCAGCCAAAGCTTGTGTGAGGAGGACCCCTGGCACCTTGTAAGATCTTATTCTCTGACACAGACTGCACAGATGGGGAACAGTCTCTATACAAAAATACACAGCAGTCACTTTCTGATGTTTTTAAAAATAGAAACTTATTTAAAATTTGAATTGTATAAAGTACTTCAAGGGTTTAAGATATCATCAAAAACTTTTTGTTTGCAGAATTGTGGGTAAAATGTCAGTTTTGAAAAGGGCAAATTTCTCAAATGCTATTGACAGAAAAAAATTCAATAACAAACATGACAGAAAAGAATTCAACAACAAACAACAAACAAACAAAAAGTACCAGCTAAGATTCCTGTTGGGAGTAACTTTTCTTTATTGAGCTTCTTGATGTTTATCATGCATGTCAGGGTGCTTTACGAGGTGGAAAAGAAAAAAAAGACAGTAGGAATAAAAATATATGTTACATTGACCTCACTCTAAAAATATTTTGGATATTAAATTACAAATTCATGTGGAAGCTAAAGGAGGAGGAATGAAGTACTTATTTTTAGCTTTATATCATTTATTCATTCTTTTATTCATCCATATCATCCTTCATTTCAAAAATGATTTTCATGCAACTTAAAAACATTTAAACACTATAGAGTGGTATATGGGTAGCTGTTTAATACTTTACTTTGAGGGTCAATCACTGCAGAGAAAGGACTGAGTGAGGGCACTAACTGTCACCCAAGAGTAATTTTTCTGACAATAAGCAAGAGGAAAGACAGTGCAAGAGTTATACATTAAATAAAATGAAGTTTTTATTTAAAAGGCAGTCCATTTGGTTTTCTACCTGGTATGCCATCCTATCACTTACAGCCAGGCACATTCTGCCACCATAAATATAGACTCTCTTGTCTCTTGGGAAGAGAAGCTTCAAATTGGTGAGATGGTAGGTAGGATGAATTGGGACTGGATGGGTCAAGCACTCAGCAGAGAGTTGTGAGTTGGGTAGAATGAAATGAGCTCTCTTCCTCTGTGATCCCACAGAACTCAAATATAAGCTTATTTTCTCTAAGAAACCATGAGGTTGGGAAGAGGGCAGGGTTGAGTAACAAGCTAGATTTGAGCAATGCCTACATTGAACATGTCACAAACACAGGATCAGAGTGGAAGATGCCATAAGGAATTGCAAATAGTAATTCATGGACATGTCAAGGAGAGCCATGTTTTTACAACTCTCCAGTGAAGGAAAGGTCCCAAGTGATATCTAGATTCCATATAGCTGCAGAGCCAACAGCAAGTCACTTTCTGCTTTCCTTCCCTCTACTCCATATTTGCCCCACTCATGTCAAGCTTTTCATCACCACTCCTGTGTCTTCTGGCCCCAAATAGGAGGTATTCTGAAAGATCACTACATGAACCTTTCCATTTGGACTTCATTCATGGCCTTTCTACACTTGACACACTGAAGCTAACACCTACTTAGGTCTTAGTTTACACATCAGAATTCGTGTCCCTGCTTTAAAGAATCATTGACTTTCCCATGGAGAAATTTTTAAAATTGCCTTAAAAAGTGTTAACTAGATGCCTGCATCTCATTACTGTTTCTAATTTCTGTCTGAATACCTCAGATTCGGATTTTAGGAAGTTTCATTTTTAGTTTATTCTCATTGAAGAATATACTGAATGAGGTGATCTATGGGACCACCTCTCAAGGGGGAAAAGAAGAGTCAACATTATGCAGGCTACAAAAGTCTTACTTCAGACTAAAAAAGTAATTGTAGCCCTGCAAATTGCCTTTATTACCAAAAATATAGCACCTGTCTGCTGAGGAGTAGCCTCACTTATTTCATATGAAGCAGCTTCTTGATACTAATTACAAACATCATCAAGCATGCTATACCCAGCTGAATTCCTTAAAGTCCAGGCCCAGCTCACTGCCAACCAAATAGTTCTCTGAAGCAAATGGAAGATACAAGTTTGAGGTGGCACTGTGTGGTGATGACTTCCCCGGAAAGTAGAGTTATAAGAGTACTGGAAGGCCCCTATCCTTCATAAATGTAATTGCTAGCTACTGGTACTTGAAAAATAAACAATTCTAACCTCTGTGTATCTCCATTTAATAAACAAATGGCCCTTGGGAAACTCACTTGCTTGTTAATATATTGCTGTTTGTATTCCTCATTTAATCTGATGGAACAAAGAAAGCAAATAAACAGGCATGATGATGAAGAACCAAGGTGCAGTCATGTCCAGGACACCTTGTCCCTTATAGTAATTCTAGCTCCAATCCATGTGGACATTTGGGAAGTAATGTGGAGCATGTGGTACAAGCAAAAAGCGGTGTGACCCCAGACAAATGATCACTTTCTCTGTTAATGATTCCCTCAATGAAAATAAGAGACAAGAGCTAGATAATTATGGAGGGCCCCTCCCTTAACAACACAGGTGGTGGAGACTGTCTTTTCGTAAGTCCAATCTTCTTTCTGTTGTTTATGAAATAAAGTTCAAATTTATCATGTCAGCTTTACATGCCCTTAACAATCTGACCCCAATTTATATTGCACTTCTCTTCCCTCCCCCCGTGCAGACAGCCACAATTTATTCTCAAGAAGGCAGGAGATAAGTACACTTATTCTGAGCTTCAGAAAATGGGTGACACCTGTGGGCCTTCCCCCATTTGTCCCTAGCCCGAGCTTTTTGCTTCTTTGGATGCCTCGGCTGACCCAGATCCTGGCACATTGTAAGTATTCAATAAGTAATTGTAATGAAGAAACACAATAACTTACTTCTGCCGGGGCCCTTTATTTATTAAATGAAGATGGACAAAGGTTAAAGTTGTTTATTTTTCAAGTACCAGTAGCTAGCAATTACATTTATGAAGTATAGGGATCTTCCAGTACACTTGTAGCTCTACCTCCTGGGGATATCATTACACTCCCAAGGCTGTGGTCATTTTTATCTTCCATCCTTTTTTCATGCACTTTCTGGGGCCTGGTAAGGTTCCCTGTCTGCCTCCAATTTTTCCAAGTTCCATATTATCCAGAAGGTCTTCTCAATATGACAGCCTATATTTGTCTTTGCTCTTCTAAAGTTCTATATCAGTTAGCACATCGTCTAACATTAACTCACTGCTTATTCATTAGTATTTAACATTCCATAGGCAAAAATTTCATAGGTAAAAAAACTCCACGTCCTGCATGTAGTAGCTGCTTTATAACGATGTTTTGAATAAATACTTAAACTAGACAAATTTTGAAAGTAGCCATTGAAATTAAATCAAAATACATTGAAAGAAATATATAGATTTCTTTTTTCAATGCATATTCTTTCAAGAGTTTATTTTTACCTCACTACTCTGAGATTTTAAAATGTGGGTTTCTCTGGAAAGAATTCCATATATCCAATGTAAGAATGAAAATATTTTAAATGCTACTAAAGGGTTATAGTCATATTCTTGATGAATTCCATATGATTAGGTAATTGAAATATTTCCTTTTTTCTCTTTTTTTTTGCATGCAGCATTTATTTTTAGCTTTATTGAGAACCATTTGCTTACCATAAAGTTAATCCTTTTAAAGTATAGAAGTCAGTAGTTTTTAATATATTAGAGGAGTGTACCCGTCACCACTAATTCCAAATTTTTAAAAATTATCTCCCAAATAAACCCTGTATCTGTTTGCAGTTATTCCTCATTCTTCCCTTTCACTGGCCTCTGGTAACTATTAAACTACTTTTTGTCTCTATGGGTTTGCCTATTTTGGACATTTTCTATAAATAGAATCACACGACATGTGGTCTTTTGTATCTAGCTTCTTCCACTTTGCATAATATTTTTAAGGTTCATTTATTTTTAGCATGTATCAGTGTTTCATTTCTTTTTATGAATGAATAATATTCCATTGTATGGCTATACCACAATTTCTTCATTAACTCATCAATTCATAGACACTTGGTGCTTTTCTACTTTTTGGCTCTTATGAATAATGTTCTTATGAACACATGCAGGTTTTTGTGCAGGCGTTTGTTTTCCATTCTCTTGGGTACATATGTAAGAGGGGAATTGTTGGGTCAAATGTCAGCTCTGTTTTTAACTTTTTAAATAACTCTTGAAACAGAAATACTGGGGGATATACAGGCATAAGATTAATCACACATATTTTATTTGTATTATTGCTAAATGATAAGTCCCAACTTACCCCTCCACTTCTGTAATCAAGGAATTTAGTGACACACTTGATTAGCAGCAGGGACACTGAGGAGGGAATTGGGCTTCAGTCATGAGTAGCATGAACTAGTACAGATAGGGAAAGCCTCATTGTTACTAACTCTGTCCCCACACACTTTGTGAAGATAATGCCAGTTTTCAGAAATCAGTGGGGCAGGAAATGTCAGCAGAGAGAGCAGTTATCTGTGAGATTGCTTCAAGGGAATGAGTCCTGAGTCTGATAGGCACAGCACAGGCAGCTACCAATCTTTGGACAATTTGTCAGAAATACTTCCTCCTTTTCTTTATTCTAATTATTTTCTGGGAACATCTGCTTTTCCTTTTCCACCCCACAGATTATTTTTGTTAACAATCTGGGAGCTAATTTCTTAGTGAAGATCAAAACATTTGAAAGACAACTGATCCTGAAGCTGATTCTGGAATGTACCTGAACCTGTGTTCCCATCTACAATGATACCTATTTCAGGGGATTGTTTTGAGAAAATATGACATAATCAATGAAAACTGCCTGAGGTGGTGTGATCACACAGAAGAATTCTAAATGGACCTTTCAAGTGCTTTCCCTTCTCTCCAATATAATGCAAATTTGGATGGTCCAAAGAATAGTAGACTTATAGTCAGAAGACATAGATTTGGGTTTCAATTTAGTTTCTACTTACGTTTGTTTTTCTAGTTCTATGAACTTGGACAATTCAATCTAGCCTGTTTTGGTGTCTAAGATGGAGATAATCATGCCTCCTTTGCAGCTGCCTACCTCTCAAGACTTTCAAGAGAGTATAAAGAAGTGCTTTGTAAATGTATGGGTATGTTTACTCTGACTCACATTCTACGAACGTGTATTAATAGGATTTCTTTTTTCCTCCATTCCCTTGACTGGTTCCATTCTTTATTCATGCTCTCATTGGCAACAAGGGATTTGAGGAAAATAAAACACACCTCGACTCCAAAAATTTGGATTGCCATGGCTGCTATCCTCACTTACCCTATGACACATACATTCCACAATATTGGGAATCAAAATTTCCCTTTTCCTGATTTCTGAAACTCAATACTGAGATAAACATTATGCTGCACTAAAATGAAGGTAAATCTTCCAACATGGAGCAGTAGCAAGTCCCCAGGTTTCAGAGATGGCACAGAATTATTGTAGGTCTGGCAGAGGTCCGTGTGCCCAGGTAAGTGAGCCCAAGTGTGTAATTTTTATTACTAACCCTCCATCATGCTAAAAGCACACAATATCAGATAGACGTCCCTACAAGAACAATGAATGCTTTATTTTCTAGGGGAGGGGGATTCCAAAGAGGAAAGCCTAATACAGTTATCCCTTGGTATCCACAAGGAATTGATTCCAGGACTCCCTCCGATAACAAGATTGGCAGATGCTCAAATCCCTTATGTAAAATGATATAGTACTTGCATATAATCTATGCACATTTGTATACTTTAAATCATCTTTTGAGTATTTATAATAGTTAATAAAATGTAAATGCTATTGAGATTGCAGTAATATTCTGTTGTTTTTATTTTTGTTGCTTTTTATTGTTGTATTTTTATTTATTTATTTAAATATTTTTAACGTGCAGTTGGTTAAATGGGCAGATGCAGAGCCCACAAATATGGAGAGGCGACTGCCCTTACAGCATCTAGTGTAGATCACCTGACTTAGCACAGATTCTAGCTTGCCCTCCTGAACTACTAAGTCTGTAAAACTACAAGTTACCTTTTAAAACTCTTGAGAAGCTAGAAGTCCACAGGTAAACTAAGTTTTACCACACAGACAATCCCACATTTCTTAGAGGGAGAGAGAGAAAATTGAAGCAGTGCTCCACACGAGAAGTTCCACTTTTTGGAAAACAGGTGTCTGGTTACTCTGGACCATAGGGAACACTGTAAGATCCAGGCCTTCGTATTATATTGCTGAGTGGTAGATGGTAGCAGCAGTGATATTTCTAGGAGACAGCTTCATGATATGGTTTGTTTTATTTCACTGCATTGTTCTTCACTGAGTAGCATCTAAGCCTGAATCCCTGTGAAATACTTAATATCATTTCATAGCTCTTTCTGATCAATAGCTATAGTGGATTCTGTGTCAGTGACTAAGAACCTTGAGCAAAAGTACTCCATCAAGGTATTCTTACCAGAATGAAAAAGAACCACTGAATTAGAATTTAACCAAATATTTGTAAAGCTTCAAAAAGAGGTATTATTTTTATAAAATTAGTTCCATGTAATATTTCTAATATTATGATGTTGAGAGATAGAGTTCTTATTCCAATGATTGTTGTAAATTTAGTCTTATATGTATGCAAGTTTGATGTAGTCATAAAGTTGGTATTTTTTCTGTAAAGTCTATTTTTCCTTTTCAATATTTTCAAACTTTTCTTCTAGCTCTGTTTTTCTCAAATTAAGAACAGCAGCTCCCTGCCAAAAGTTAATAAGGATATTTTCATTGGTGTTAGGAAAGCTACTTAATTTGCAAGTAAAGATATTTTAAAATTATGATTTGTAAAAATAGCACAGAATTAAACATATTTTGCCCTTCTGGGAATGTTCTGCTATAGAACTCTTGGTTTTTCTGGCCCAAGACCTGGAGCCACTATGTAGAAAACATGGGTTGTGCCTTGGAATAAATTTTGAGGCAGAAACACCTGTATTTATTTTAGACAAGACAGCCAGATGAAAGTCATAGCAACTGGCTACTGCCCCATTCTTGTTAAAAATGTTCACATTAGTCTTTTGTTCCAAAACCTGGAGACTTTCACTATTTCTTCCAAGTTGAAGTCCCCATTCTATTCTTATTTGAATTTCCCAAACTGTAGTCCTTCCGTCCTTCTTTAAATCCTTTTTTAAATTTATTTTCCTAGAGACAGAGTCCCACTCTGTCACCTAGGCTGGAGTGCAGTGGCATGACCTCAGCTCACTTCAACCTCTGCCTCCCAGATTCAAGCAATTCTCCTGCCTCAGCCTCCCGAGTAGCTGGGACCACAGGTGCACACCACCACGCCCAGCTAATTTTTGTATTTTTAGTAGAGACAGGGTTTCACCATGTTGCCCACGTGGTCTTAAACTCCTTAGCTCAGGCAATCCGCCTGCCTTTGCCTCTCAAAGTGCTAGGATTATAGACCTGAGCCACCTTACCTGGCATCCTTCTTTAAATCCTAAGCACTTTGCTAGAGCACTGTAATTGGTTGAAGAATGTCAAAGATGACCTCCCTGTCTGCTCAGAGCAATGCTTGTTATCTTCTCATAATTAATTAATTCCTTTGGTGGATTACTTTCCATGTAATGGACATTGGAAAGTCCATTACATGGACATTGCTATAAATTTACCACAACCTGTTTCTTCCTTGTGGTTGATAGAATAAGGCCTCCCAAAGATGTCCAAGAGGATCACATTCTAATTCCTAGGCCCTATGAATAGGTGACCTTACATGGTCAAAGGATATTTGCAGAGGTGATTAAGTTAATGATCTTGAGATGGGAAGATTATCAGAGATTATCTGGTGGGCTGAATGTAATCACAAGGGTCTTTGGAAAGCAGGAGGCTCAAAGTAAGAACAGATGTGATGACAGAGGTCACAGAAAGAGAAGAGATTGAAGGTGCTACACTGCTGGCTTTAAAGATGAAGTAATGAGTCATGAGCCAATAAATGTAGGCAGCCTCTTGAAGCTGGGTAAGGAAAGAAAATGGATTGTCAGCTAGAGCCTCCAGAAGTAATTCAGCCCAGCCAACACTTTGGTTGTAAGACTTCTGAGCTGCAGAACCCAAAGATAATAGCATTGTGCTAGCTGCTAAATTTGTGGTAATTTATTATAGCAACACTGGTATACTAATACATTCTTCTTCCTACTAATACATTCTTCTAATGTAGTTAGACTACATTTTCCAACTTGCTTTGCAGCTAGATGTGACCATATGACTGAGTTGTGGTCAATGGAACTTGGAAGAAGTGAAATGCACGATTTCCAGGCCAAGCCAATATAAAATCTTTTCTCATGATCCTGCGTGATCTTTCCCCTTTAGCTAGCTGTATGAAAATGATACAGCAGAGGACTCTAAGACTCTGTGAAAGGCTAGAGCCAGAATATGGAAGGATATTGCTACCCTGAATGTCCATATGGAAAGTAATCCACCAAAGAACCACAGTGAACTGATATATAAGTAAAAAATAAAGTTCTAAGGTATTAAGTCACTGAGATTATAGGTATGTTTGTTATGTAGCAGTAATGTATCACTTGATCAATAAATATTTATTAAGCATCTACACTATATTAAGCACTAACAAAATGTGAAAAAGAGACATAATTTTTACCCCCTTAAAGTTTATAATTGTCTTAGACAATTTTCTGTCTACTTACTGAAAAACCTCAACACTAAATGATGTTGTTAATGCCAATTATCTCTGTGGTGGTGGTTTTGTGTGAAGAGAAATGTGAAATGATGTTAGTGATGAGGTTAATAATACATTAGTGACTCACCTGTAGAAATAAAAATAACTACACCTGTTCATCAGACAATACTAACTTTATAATAAATAACCTTAAAATCTCAGTGTTTTAACACAATAAAAATTTGTTCCCCTTTCTTTCTTGATCCTGAAAATCCACTGTGAGGTGAGGTTCTTTTGGATAATTTATGTGAGAGTTGACTGAGAGACACTTTCATTTCCATCTTATAGCTCCAAGATTCCTTGGGTATCCTCTAGTCAAAAACTGGACAGAAGAAAGAGTGAGGAAGGCACACAGATAATTCAGCCAGCTAGGATCAAAGGTGTCACACATCACTTCCACTGACATATCATTAGCCAGAGCCAGCCACATGACCCCCCTAGGTGCAAGAGAGCTGGGAAACGGAGGTCCCAGATGGATCATCATTTCCCATTAGTCATTCTGGAAGAGGAGCATACACTGTGAATGGTCTACAAAGCCATCTCTGCCAGGGATCAGTGGGCCACGGATTTAATTATTTACTCTCAAAGAAACTCTTTGAGATGGTTATTATTTTCCATAATTTACAGATGAGATAAATATGGCTCAGAAAGAAGAACTGACAAGGTTGTGTAGACACTGTAGGGGCAAAGCCAGAATTCAAAGGAGTTTTTAAGCTTGTATCCTGAGAACATACAGAGTTCTCAGGATAGCAACCAACATAGCATAACCTAAAAAAAAAGAAAGAAAGAAAGAAAGAAATTGATAACAAAATTGAAGCAGAAATGGAACTGGCTCCTAACATTCTTCTGGTGAGATAGATTGCACCTCACCTTCAGAAAGGAGTGCTTATAGAGGCTTAGGGAATGGGAATGACTGAAACAAGACTGCCTGACATTTTGTTTACTGTGGTAAGAGAATGCTTCTTCCTTCACCTCCATTCCCCCAGGGAACTTGTCCCTTCTTAACAAAAGAATTGTTCAACGTTGGGGAAGTTCTGTGCGGAATTTAACCTACCACTACAGCCTCTACATTATCTACATTATCCTTGGGAATTTAAAACATGAGAAAGTTTTAATGCTGAAAGATACAAATCAGTCCAGGTGTGAGCAATTCCTTAGCATTTTTCTTCCACTTCTTCACAGTAGGATTGAAAATTCATGTAGCTTCTCACAGGAATTCCCCTTTGCTACTGCCCTGGAGGAGAAGCCAAAAGAATCAAAGAATATATACTGTATAGTCAACAACATAAGGAAAAAATGTATTAGAGAGGTAAAATGTATTAGAGAGGCAAATTAGATAAAATGATGATAATAATATGCTTTTCTGGATTGGGCTATATTTATTGTTGCCCTGGAGGAGAAGCCAAAAGAATGCCAAGCTTTTCTTCTGTATGCCACAAAGCATGATTAGCTTGACTCTTACCTTTAGACAAATAAAACTGAATGCAGATCTATATAGACAAAAAATACTAGCATAAATGTTATTGTTAGGAAGCTTGATTGTATTAGTCTGTTTTCACATTGCTGTAAAGAAATACCCAAGACTGGGTCATTTATAAAGGAAGAAGGATTAATTGACTCATAGTTCTGAATCATAGTAGAAGGAGAAGCAGACACCTTCTTCACAAGTCAGCAGGAAAGAGAAGAGTGAAGGAGGACTTTCAAACACCTATAAACCATCAGATCTCCTGAGAACTCTCTCACTATGTCAAGAACAGCATGGGAGAAATCACCCCCACAATCCAATCTCCTCCCTCCCTTGACATGTGGGGATTATAATTCAAGATGAGATTTGGGTGGGGACACAGAGCCAAATCATATCATCGATGATGATGAGGATGATGATGATGATAATGACGCTAACAATAAATAAGAGAAGCCTCAGGAAAAGGTTTTCATTAGTATTGCAAACAAACTGTAGCCTAACAGCTCCACTGATTTCACAGATCACAGCTGCAAGATCATCTAGCTCAGTGTCAAGGCAAAAGCAGCAAAAGTCCAGTTCTGTGAATGGATAAGGCTAGGAGTTGGGCAGGTGGTGAACGCTGGGATGCCTAGTGCCCAACTGCAAAGAAAAAGAAGGCTTTTCCCTGCCCAGAATCACCTTCTCAGGAAAGCCTTCAGTAGCTCTTAAAGGCAGAACTCACTTTAGCTTTTTATCTATTTGCACTGGGGCACTGTGTTCTCCTGTATCCCTAGCTCCAATGTTAGGCAGGGTCAGGGTAGTAAGTGGCAATTTTGTGTCTGGACCTAATGTATATGGTGGCTCTTGCTACATAGTGAAAATAGTAATTCCTACTTTCCTTTCTTTAACAGCAGTCTATATTGAGCACACTGTATGGCCTCCTCGCTGTAGTGAGAAGAAAACAATGGCCAGCTTAAAAGCAATAAAGAAGGGACCGGGGCCGGGCGCGGTGGCTCACGCCTGTAATCCCAGCACTTTGGGAGGCCGAGGCGGGCGGATCACGAGGTCAGGAGATCGAGACCATCCTGGCTAACACGGTGAAACCCCGTCTCTACTAAAAATACAAAAAATTAGCCGGGCGTAGTGGCGGGCGCCTGTAGTCCCAGCTACTCGGGAGGCTGAGGCAGGAGAATGGCGTGAACCCGGGAGGCGGAGCTTGCAGTGAGCCGAGATCGCGCCACTGCACTCCAGCCTGGGCGACAGAGCGAGACTCCGTCTCAAAAAAAAAAAAAAAAAAAAAAAAAAAAGAAGGGACCGGAGCAGGAAGTAAAAAGGGAGAGTCTGTTCTGTTTAGAAAAGCACATAAATTCTTTGTAGATTCTGGATATTAGCCCTTTGTCAGATGAGTAGATTGCAAAAATTTTCTCCCATTCTGTAGGTTGCCTGTTCACTCTGATGGTAGTTTCTTTTGCTGTGTAGAAGCTCTTTAGTTTAATTAGATCCCATTTGTCAATTTTGGCTTTTGTTGCCATTGCTTTTGGTGTTTTAGACATGAAGTCCTTGCCCATGCCTATGTCCTGAATGGTATTGCCTAGGTTTTCTTCTAGGGTTTTTATGGTTTTAGGTCTAACATTTACATCTTTAATCCATCTTGAATTATTTTTTGTATAATGTGTAAGGAAGGGATCCAGTTTCAGCTTTCTACATATGGCTATCCAGTTTTCCCAGCACCATTTATTAAATACGGATTCGTTTCCCCATTTCTTGTTTTCGTGAGGTTTGTCAAAGATCGGATGGTTGTAGATATGCGGCATTATTTCTGAGGGCACTGTTCTGTTCCATTGGTCTATATCTCTGTTTTGGTACCAGTACCATGCTGTTTTGGTTACTGTAGCCTTGTAGTATAGTTTGAAGTCAGGTAGAGTGATGCCTCCAGCTTTGTTCTTTTGGCTTAGGATTGACTTGGCAATGCAGGCTGTTTTGGTTCCATGTGAACTTTGAAGTAGTTTTTTTCCAATTGTGTGAAGAAAGTCATTGGTAGCTTGATGGGGATGGCATTGAATCGATAAATTACCTTGGGCAGTATGGCCATTTTCACGATATTGATCCTTCCTATTCATGGGCATGGAATGTTCTTCAATTTGTTTGTGTCCTCTTTTATTTCATTGAACAGTGATTTGTAGTTCTCCTTGAAGAGGTCCTTCACATCCCTTGTAAGTTGGATTCCTAGGTATTTTATTCTCTTTGAAGCAATTGTGAATGGGAGTTCACTCATGATTTTGCTTTCTGTTTGTCTGTTATTGGTGTATAAGAAGGCTTGTGATTTTTGCACATTGATTTTGTATCCTGAGACTTTGCTGAAGTTGCTTATCAGATTAAGGAGATTTTGGGCTGAGACAATGGGGTTTTCTAGATATACAATCATGTCATCTGGAAACAGGGACAATTTGACTTCCTCTTTTCCTAATTGAATACCCATTATTTCTTTCTCCTGCCTGATTGCCCTGGCCAGAACTTCCAACACTATGTTGAATAGGAGTGGTGAGAAAGGACATCCCTGTCTTGTGCCAGTTTTCCAAGGGAATGCTTCCAGTTTTTGCCCATTCAGTATGATATTGGCTGTGGGTTTGTCATAAATAGCTATTATTTTGAGATACATCCCATCAATACGTAATTTATTAAGAGTTTTTATCATGAAGGGCTATTGAATTTTGTCAAAGGCCTTTTCTGCATCTACTGAGATAATCATGTGTTTTTGTCATTGGTTCTGTTTATATGCTGGATTATGTTTATTGATTTGCATATGTTGAACCAGCCTTGCATCCCAGGGATGAAGCCCACTTGATCATGGTGGATAAGCTTTTTGATGTGCTGCTGGATACAAATAACTCAAACAAATTTACAAGAAAAAAACAAACAATCCTATCAACAAGTGGGCAAAGGATATGAACAGACACTTCTCAAAAGAAGACATTTATGCAGCCAAAAGACACGTGAAAAAATGCTCATCATCACTGGCCATCAGAGAAATGCAAATCAAAACCACAATGAGATACCATCTCACACCAGTTAGAATGGCAATCATTAAAAAGTCAGGAAACAACAGGTGCTGGAGAGGATGTGGAGAAATAGGAATGCTTTTACACTGTTGGTGGGACTGTAAACTAGTTCAACCATTGTGGAAGTCAGTGTGGCGATTCCTCAGGGATCTAGAACTAGAAATTCCATTTTACCCAGCCATCCCATTACTGGGTATATACCCAAATGATTATAAATCATGCTTCTATAAAAACACATGCACACGTATGTTTATTGCGGCACTATTCACAATAGCAAAGACTTGGAACCAACCCAAATGTCCATCAATGATAGACTGGATTAAGAAAACATGGCACAAATACACCATGGAATACTATGCAGCCATAAAAAAGGATGAGTTCATGTCCCTTGTAGGGACATGGATGAAGCTGGAAACCATCATTCTCAGCAAACTATCGCAAGGACAAAAAACCAAACACCACATGTTCTCACTCATAGGTGGGAATTGAACAATGAGAACACTTAGACACAGGAAGGGGAACATCACACACCGGGGCCTGTTGTGGGGTGGGGGCCTGGGGGACGGATAGCATTAGGAGATATACCTAATGTAAATGACGAGTTAACAGGTGCAGCACACCAACATGGCACATGTATACATATGTAACAAACCTGCACCTTGTGCACATGTACCCTAAAACTTAAAGTATAATAAAAAATAAATAAATAAATAAAAAGCACTTGAATGTGCCCAAGGCAAGGAGAGGAAACCTTCTCCATGTTATCAAACAAAAGAGCTTCCTCTGTAGGGAAGAAAAGTTGTTTTTAGGTATAATAAGTTTTGCTTTCTAAGAGTGTTTAAAACATTAACAGAAGAACTTTATTTTTACTGGGTTGGGTAGTAACTTAGGAGAGAAAGGAAATTGGAAAGAAGTCTGTTCTGAATGCTGGTAGCCCTTTAGGATCCCAGATGAGAGGTGAGGGTTCTCCAGAGAAACAAGATTGTGTGTGTGTGTGTGTGTGTGTGTGTGTGTGTGTGTGTGTGTAGAGAGAAAAATTTTAAGAAGTTGCTCATCTGATTGTTGTGAAAGCTGACAAATCCAAAATTTCAAAAGCTTCAGGGTAGGACAGCAAGCTGGAGACCCAGGGAACAGTTTATGCTGCAATTCAAGTCTGAAGGTGGTCTGCTAGCAGAATTCACTCAAGGGAGATTGGTCTTTTTTCTATTAAGGCCTTTAACCAATTAGTTGAGACTCACTCACATTATGGAAGGTAATGTACTTTACTCAAGTCTTCTGTATTAGTCTATTTTGCATTGCTATGAAGGGATATATGAGGCTTATAAAGAAAAGAGGTTTATTTGGCTCAAGATTTTGCAGGCTGTACAAGAAGCACAGTGCCAGCATCTACTTCTGGTGAGGCCTCCAAAAGTTTCCAATCATGGTGAAAGGTGAAGTGGGAGCAGGTGTGTCACTCACAGAAAGGGAGTAAAAGAGAGGGGAGGAGGTGCCAGCATCTTTTAAACAATCAGCTCTTGTATGAACTAATCGAGTGAGCACTCACTCATACCCATGAGGCAGGCAGCAAGCCATTCATGAGGATCCACCCTCATGACCTAAACACCTCCCACTAGTCCCCACCTCCAACACTGGGGACCACATTCCAACATGAGATTCGGAGGAGACAAATATCCAAACCATTACATCTACTGATTTAAGTAGAACTCTCATATAAAAATACCTTCACAGATATATCTAGAACAATATTTGAGCAAATATCTGGGTACCATGGCCTAGCCAAATTGATACATAAAGTTAACCATCTCCAAGTGCTTCTGAGAGATTCACCCAGAAGACTGCTGGTATTTAGGGGCCTCTGAACCCCTTCCTTTTTTTTTTCTCTCCATAGCATAGGGGTCTGGAGTCTTGCATCTGACTCTACCACCTTAACAGAAGAGCCCAAGTTTTGTGGAGTTTGATGCTTATGTAATTTGAGTGGCCATCTTTGAGAAATAATTAAAAGACATAAAGTCCATTTTTCATTTCAGACATTACTGATAGGAGCAGAAAAAGAAACGAACATTTTGAAGATCAGCTAATCAGTTTCTTATGAAGGTAACAATTTCCTCTACCCAATGACAAAGCAATTCCCCTCCAAAATGAAAACATTTGTCTATAAAAATACTGCACAAGAGTTTCATAGCTGCTTTATTCATAATAGATCCAAACTGATAACTCAAATGTCCATTAAAAAATAAATGGGTTAAAAATATTGATATATTCACACAATGAAATATGACCCAGAAATGAAAAAAAGGAATTACCAATATACACAAAACATGCCTAAATATAGAAAACATTATGCTGCACTAAATAAGCCAAATATAAGAGTACATGGTGTAGTATTTCATGTATATGAAGCTCTAAAACAGGTAAAACTATTCTATAATGTAAGCAGAAAAGTAGTTTCCCAGGGCTGGGGATGGAAAGTGACTTACTTCAAAGGACACAAGGAAACTTTCTGGGGTAATGGAAATGTTCCAAATCTTGACTTGCAAGGTGCTAACATTTGTAAAGTTTGTGAAACTCATTCAACAGTACACTTAAAATACATCCATTTTATGTTATGTAAATTGTTCCTGAATGAAGGTGATGTAAAACAAAATTACAAAACAAAGTAAGTATAAAAGCAAATATTTATTTAGAATTAATTGAGAAAACTCAGGAGATCAATCATTTTTAAGGTTGTCAAAAATAAATATAGCCCAATCCAGAAAAGCATATTATTTTCATTTTACCTAATTTACGTCTATAATACATTTTATCTCTCTAATACATTTTTTCCTTATGTTGTTGACTATACAGTATATATCCTTTGATTGTCTCCTCATATAACAAAAGTCTTGTAATTTATCTCTAGAGAAACTAAAAAGCTATTTCAGGGTTTCCTCTGGCATGGATGCATGAAATTCTCTTTTTCATTTCTGATAATTTAGAAGGCTTTCCTTCAGTTTCTCGACACACTCTGGGTGATGACATATCTATAAGTTCTTATGGTTTTTTATGAAGGGAGTGCTTCTTGCCCAGGAGCAGCCCTGTGTATCTCCAGACATTTGATGTTTCTTGGTGTGGCCCCTGATGACCACTCAGCAGCTGGCCCACCTCAGCCAGATCCTCACTGGTCCCTGCCCTCCAGCTCCCCATTTCTGCAGGGATGATCCTGGGGGGGTGAGGTGGCCGTGAAGCCTGAGACACAGGTCCTTAGTGGAGTAGCATCTCCCTCAGATCCTTCTCTTCTGAGTGAAGATACAGCCCTGATGCTTGATGCTTGTATCAGACATAAGATGTCAGTGTGGCTGAGAGAATGTACAGTTAAAATTGGCAGTCCCAGGATCACTTCCAGAGCACAAAAGTGACCATCAGGGCACATGGCTAGAGGTACTGCTTTCTACTTTCATCCTCAGAGAGAAACACGCTAATCCTTGTAATGCCTCCATGCAAGAGCAGGGCCCTAAAGCTTAAGCGTCATGAGCATGTGCCTAATAGCTCTGGAAATTTGTTTACACTAACCTCAGTTTCCTCATTTGAAAAACAGGGATGATGATAGTAATAATATTACAGGACTCAGGATTATTAAGAAAATTCTTTACATAAATTAAATTCACACTTTACAATGTATGTAAAGTACTGAGTATGATACCTGGTCCGTGGTAAATACTGAATATTGGTGCTTGGATCAACACACCCACATCCATTTCAAATCTACTGTCTCCAGCCAATCTCCATCCTGAGCCCCCAACCAATATATTTAACATACCAACACAGTAGATAGCTCCACATGGAAGTCCACTAGACACTTATTCATCCTTCCAGAACATTCCTCCTTCTGTCATTTCTACTTTGTTGAATGACAACACAATCACAAAGTTACTCAAGATAAAAAAAAAAGTTATTTAGGTAATAATTTTAGGTCACTGCCATTCATTAAAAATATAACATGAACCACAAATGTGAGCAACACAGGTAATTTAAAATTTTCTGGTAGCCACAGTAAAACAGTACAAAGCAACGGGTGGAATTAATTTTGATGATATATTTTATTTAATCTAATATATTCAAAATAGTATCATTTCAAGGTGATCAAGATACGAAATCATTAATGAGATATTGTACATTCCATTTTAATACTTTGTCTTCAAAATTAGGTGTGTATGTCACACTTAACAGCATGTCTCATATTGAATTAGCCATGTCTAAAGTGCTCATTAGCTACACATGACTAATGGCTACTATGCTGGACATCATGGCTCTAGACTCTCCCAACTTGGCCCTCCCCACTACACATCCAATTGATCATCCATTTTCATAACTGCTGTTTTTTGTTGCCTTCACAGTCTCTTACCCTCTACTTTCACTTGTCAGTGAAGAGGCTTTTTTATCCTAAACTGATGACTCTGTCTTCTAATTATTTTCCCTTTCTTCAAGCTCACTCCCTTCCAGTCTCTCCCTCAGGCTTCTACCAGTGGATCTCTTTGTGAGAGCACATTCAATATGAAATGCTAAGGCCTTAGCTCATCACACAGGGTCCATGATACATGGCCCTAGGATATCCCCACAGTTATATCTCCTACTCTAACATATTCTTCTCATTAATCTTGAGGAACATTTGACATTCTTTCAACAAATATTTATTGACCAAAACAAAATCCTTGACCTTAGTGAGTTATATTCCATCTACATAGATATGAACATGCAGTTCCATCTCTTTGACATGACTGAGGGCTCTTTTCCCTTTTCCTTCAATGGTCAACTTCTGCAACAATTCCCTCTGGCAGAGTTCATTACCGCCACCTCATTTATCAGGATACTTAGCCCTGTGTTCTTATAGCTCTCTCTTAATGGAACCATTAAAATGATCATTATATACTGTTCCATGCTTGCTGGTTTTCTCATCTGTCTCCAGCACCTTACTCTATGTGTGTATGGAGAGTAGAGAAAATATTTTACTTAAGTCGCTGCCCCATCACTTGGCATAGGGACTGAAACATCATGGGTCCTCGATAAATACTTTTTGAGCCCACGAATGAAATAAGACCAGAAACAGCAATCCTGAGTTTTGTTTAGTTCATGTTTCATCAATAAAACCTAATTTCATATTTTAAAAGGCGAAGTAAGTCATTTCCTCCCACTGTTTGGCAAAAATGACATTTCCCAGGCCCATTTGAGAAGGTTACTGAAAAAGCGTAGGAGAGGTTTTAAAATGTTTTTAAAAACCATATTCCACACAAAAGGCATCTCTAAAGAAGTTTAAATAAGCATCTACCTAAGAACATCTGACAATGGTATATTTATGTGGGAGTATCCAGGGTTCCCAAGGATTCCAGCCAAGAAAAATAACAGCTTATGTCCTTGTCTCAATTTTGTCATTTTAATAAAAAGTTTTGCTTTTAAATTCATTCTGTAGCATGTTGCATAAACAGCAGAGTGAGCAGATGTGCTCTCCTTTTAGCCAACTGATTTATACAGAGTCTGATTCATTGAAAAAATTCATACGGGGCTTTCTTCACTTTATGGAAAGGCTTACCTACCATGTAGGTAGAGCTGCACAGCTGGTACATGTACCTAATCTAGGCTTCTGAGATGCTGAAGGAGATCCATCAGGATCTGGAGGAGCTGCAGGCCTGGCTCTGCTGCCATATGCCAACCGACAAGATGAGATAGCAGATCAGTAACAGCATGCATGACCTGCAACAACATCCAGTACCTTGCATTGATCTCGAGAGCGTGATGACTACTGATTTGCTTCTATCTTCCAGATTGCATGCAAATATCTTTGTGGCCATCCCTAACATGGAACTTTATAGGAAGAGACTTCTGGATGTTTCCAGCTTTGCTATGTTGACACAGTAAATAGGTGCCAAAGTCTACACTCTTGTTTTACTCAAGATTCTTCAGCTTGACAATGGTAGAAATCCATCTAAAACTGGTTTAATTTGGCTAAAGGGATTGAAAAGTCTATGGCATCAGTCTTCAGGCATGATTAGTTCCAGATGTTCAGACAATGTTGCCAGAAATCTGTACATCTTCTTGACACAGCAAAGAAAACAATCAACAAAGTGAAAAGGCAACTTAAGAAGTGGGAGAAAATATTTTAAAGCCATGTATTTGATTAAGGGCTAATCTCCATAATAGATAAGGAACTTCTACAGCTCACTAGTAAAAATACTAATGACCCATTTTAAAAATGGACTAAGGACTTGAACAGACATTTCTATTTGTATGCCAAAAAAGACATACAAATGGCCAACAGATGTATGAAAAAAAAATGTTCAACATCACTAATCATCAGGGAAATGCAAACCAAATCCACAATGAGATATTACCTCATACCTGACATGATGGCAATTATCAAAAAATAAGACCACAAGCATTGGCAAGGATGTGAAGAAACTTGAATCCTTGCACAGTGTTGGTGAGAATGTAAAATGATGCAGCTGCTGTGGAAAACAGTATGGAGATTCCTCAAAAAATTAAAAATAAAACTACTATATGATCCATCAATCACATATATGTCTATCAAAATAATTGAAATCATGATCTCAAAGAGACATTAGCACTTGTATGTTCATTACAGCACTATTCACAATAGCAAGATGTGGAAATAACCTAAATGTTCATTGACAGTGGGATGGATAAAGAAAATATGGTATTAGGTTGGTACAAAAGCAATTTGCAGCTTTTGCCATCACTTTTAATGGCAAAATCCGCAGTTACTTTTGCACCAAATGAGTGTATTCATACCATGGGATACTATTCAGCCTTTCAAAAAAAGGACATTTTGCAACATGTGACAACATGGATGAAACTTCAGGACATTATGCTAACCGAAATAAGTCACTCATGGAAAGACACATACTGCATGATTCTACCTATATGAGGTATCTAAACTAGTCAAGTTTGCAGAATCAAAGAGTAGAATGGTGATTGCTGGGGGCTGAGCAGAAGCGGAAATGGGGCATTACTAATCAACTGACATAAAATTTCAGTCAAGCAAGATAAATGAGCACTAGAGATCTGCTATGTGACATTGTACCTTTAGGCAACAATAATGTATTGTACACTTAAGAATGTGTTAAGAGGATAGATCTCATTTTAAATGTCCTTAACACAATGAAAAGAAATCTGTGTTTACTTATCTAAGTGTCCTGTTTTTCTCGTGGTTGATTTTATTCACAGATGGGTTTTCCTAATGTGGTGGCAAGAATTACCATCAGGAGCTCCCAGCTTGCATTCTACTGGCTTGGGGACCCTTATGGAATAAGAGTACTTCTGTCCTCTGGGGTTCTTTATGATTCTAGAAAGAGTTTTAAATAAGGCCTTGTATTGGTTTCCCAATGCTGCTGTAACAAATTACCACAAACTTAATGGCTTAAAATAGACTAAGTTTATTATAACTCTGGAAGTCAGAAAAATTCAAAATGGGTCAGCAGAGCTACATTTCTTTTAAAGGCTCTAGGGGAAAATGTATTTCCTTGATTTTTTCAGCTTCTAAAGGCTGCCTGCATTTCTTCACTCATGGCTTATTTTTCCATGCTCAAAGCCAACAATATGGCACCTTCAAATCTCGCTTTTCTCTCTCTTCTCTCTCTCTGTCTCCCTGACACACCTCTATTTCTGTCATTACAACTAATTGTCTGTGTGATGGTTAATTTATAATACATGTCAACTTGACTAGGATTAGCCTATTAACATTTCAATCAGTAGACTGAATAAATCAGATTACCTTACCTAATGTGGGTGAACCTCACTCGATCAGTTGAAAGCTGAATAGAAAAAAATGCTGACCCTCCCTCAAGTTTGAGGAAACTTTTCCTGCCTAACCACTTTGAGCTGGAACATTGGTGTTTTGTTTTGCTTTGTTTCATTTTGTTTTGTTTTGTTTTCCTTCAAAAACATTAGCTCTTCTTGAGTCTCTAGCCTGTGGCTTCTGGTCTGAAACTTACACAACAGACTGTCTTGGTTCTCAGGCTTTCAGACTTGGACTGAAACAACACCATTGGCTTTCCTGGGTCTCCGAATAACTAACTGCAGATCTTAGGACTCCTTAGCCTTTATAACCATGTAAGCCAATTCCTTATAACAATTCTCTTTGTGTGTGTGTGTGTGTGTGTGTGTGTGTGTGTGTGTGTATGTGCACACTTTACATTGGCTTTGTTTCTCTGGAAAGCTCTGAGTAATACACTCTGACTCTAATTCTCTTGCCTCCCTCTTATAAAGACCCTCATGATTATATTGGTCCCACTCAGATAATCCAAGATAATCTCCCTGTATCAGGACCTAATCATACCTGCAAATTCCCTTTTGCCATGAAAGAAAACATATAGGTTTGGGGAATTAGGATGAGGTGGGCATCTTTGTGGCCATGATTCTGTCTACCACAGGTTCTCATTGGCCCAGAGGGGACTATTTCTTCATCTCTGAATTAATCTCTTTAGCTTGGGGGATCTGTTGCTCTGATCGACTATTTCTGAGACATTTTATCATATCTTTATCTAAGCAGAGGAAGTAAGTAGCACCAGCAACAATATGTGTACTGAAAGCAGTTGGGTCTTCACATGCTATTTCAATATTAAAGGGATTTGGATGCTGGAAAGACAAAAATGAAAGGTATTCTCTACAACCCCCAATCCAAAAGCACCTAGGACTGTTTTACAACAAAGTGCTCTGGAGTTGGAGTCAACCCAATTCTGCTTTAAATTGTAGTTTAACACTTCAGAGCTGTTTGACTTTGGATGAGTTACCAAATTTCTCCTAGCCTCAGATACTTTGTTTTTAAAAACAGGGATAAAAATATCTATAAAGCATGGCTATCATGTTGACTACAAAAAATCAAGTATATAAAATTTCTAGAAAATGAGTGGCCCTTAGCTGCTATGCAATAAATGAAAGGTTCTTTCTCCTTTCCATTTCTTTTCTGTGATAATCTGTATTTAAAACCCCACAAGGTGAACTTATCAAATCCAATTCTCAAGAGCTCTGTTAAACTGAGATCAGGATGATTTTCCATCTGGCATGTAACATGACCATTTGGAGATGCTCACTTCTAATGGACAGATTTGAGAAACCACAATTAAAATGAGAGAAGCTCATTCTTCATATATCTACCTGGCGAGAAGGGATCAAAGGCAATGACTGGCACCAGTCGCTGCTAGAGAATTTAGGAGAAGAGAGAGTGAGAGGCAAATGACCTTAGGAAGCTGGGAGAAAGACTCCACGGTACTCTCCATGCAGGCTTCTCTGGGAGCAGATCACATACTTCTATGATCTTTTTAAAGTCCCTTCCAATCCTACCAGGTCATTATTATCAATGTCTATTAGTTAAGGCCTGGAAATAAATAAACTGGCACTCTTCTAGGAGGACTGGTGAAGAAGTTAGTAAGCATGAGGAGGTTAATAAGCAAGTGTTCCTCAAACATATAATATGCTGCAAGGTTTAAATAATAACATTAAATAACTGTCTTGAAATCTTTGCTATTTTTCATCAATACTTATGCATAAATTAAAATATCAGAGAGGGGAAACAGTCCGTCCACAGTACAAAGTTTGTTGGGTATGTTGGTAGAAAATGTGGGGAAAGAAAGAAATGTGTAGTAAACATATGGAGGTTGGGACTGAACATTATTTATTTTTGGACTTTTAAAGAGCTGGCAGAGCGAATTACTGAGCTGTGATTGACCAATTCTGGCAAGTCATCAAGGACAGGGTGTACATATATTTAAACAAAATTCAAGTATACACAGGACTCATTTCCCTGATCCCATCTGATTCAAAAAGCTGATCAAGGTCAGGATGGTTGGTATGTGGTTAAGAGATGGGCTTGGAATTTGGAGGTGTGGCAACCTCTGGGGACCACATGGTATAAGAAAAGGAACCCCGACCTATGAGTCAGGACCCTAGTAAGTCTCCACTCAAACATTGTTTGACATTGAAAGACAAACTTCTCTCTCTGATTTTATCTTCTCATCTGACAATCCAGGTAGTGCAGATTAAATGATCCCTTTGAACACAAGCATCCTGTAATTCTGAGAAGAAAATGGTCTGTAAGGGACTATCTCCTCATCCTTTGTCACCCAAATTAAATGTTCTCTCCTTAGTACTTGGAATGCTTCTGCCAAACTCCCATAGAAATTGTGCCTTCTACAAGGGTATCAATCATATTTCACCTTGTGTTAGAGCAATTTTGCATTTCTCCAACAAAACTAGCTTTTCCTTCAGGACAGGGGTCCTGGTTGATACACATTTGAACTCCAACACCTAATATAAGGCCCAGCCTATAACAGAGGTTTAGTAAGCATTGCAGAAAACTGAGTGGAACTTTTCCTGTTGTCCTAGAACTGGCAACAAGGCCCCAAAGCTGGAGACAAAGAGAATAAGTACTAAACATTCTGTTATCCTTTATCAAAAATGGGTACCAATTCTCCTTCAGACAGTATGAGTAGAAGGCTGTGAAAAACAAAGGAAAAGATGGTGAAAAGCAATCATTAAAGTCAGGAATTGGCCTACTGGGGAGTTGGGTGGATGCTCCTTTTGCCTTGAAACGAAGTGACAGGGGACAGCAGAGGCAAAGGAGAGTGATGTGTGGAGAATGGAGAACTTTGAGTGATTAAGCACAGGAACTTGAGAGTCAGACTCTCCGCATTAGAATTTCATTTCCAGCAGTTACCCTCTCTGCAATGTAGTTCTCTGTGTAACAGAGATAGTAATAATGTCTACCTCATAAGATGTTGTGAAATTGAATTAATTATTATATATTAAGTGTTTAGAATAAGGCCTGGAATATTGTAAACAAACATACAATAGAAAACATTTCTATTATATATAAAAATGTATATTTTAAATAAAATAAATAGTTCTATTATTTCATTATTAAATAAAATTTTATTATAAAAATAAAAAGAATAAAATAAAATTATTCAGTACCTTCTGAGTCCAAAAGATATCATCTGGGTTTACATCCTGGTCACTGATTATATTTGCACTCACAGCCAACATATTTTCCAGAGGAACATTACTGCATATGGCTAACCATGATCATCTCTACCAGTGGCAAAGAACAGAGAGTGCATTTCAGAATTTACATAGAACCCAGGTGGTGATGTCCTGGAGCAGACAAGGTAGCACAGTGGCTTTGGAGAGAGACGGAACATGGATTCTGATTCCTGTTCTGATGCATGTTGTCCATGCAACTGTGGGCCAATTCTCAACTTACTGGGCTTCCACTTCTTTGAATTACAGAACCAACGACAAAAACCACATGATTATCTCAATAGACGCAGAAAAGGCCTTTGACAAAGTTCAACAGCCCTTCATGCTAAAAACTCTCAATAAATTGAGTATTGATGGGACGTATCTCAAAATATTAAGAGCTATCTATGACAAACCCACAGCCAGTATCATACTGAATGGGCAAAAACTGGAAGCATTCCCTTTGAAAACTGGCACAAGACAGGGATGCCCTTTCTCACCACTCCTATTCAACATAGTGTTGGAAGTTATGGCCAGGGTAATCAGGCAGGAGAAGGAAATAAAGGGTATACAATTAGGAAAAGAGGAAGTCAAATTGTCCCTGTTTGCAGATGACATGATTGTATATCTAGAAAACCCCATCATCTCAGCCCAAAATCTCCTTAAGCTGATAGGCAACTTCAGCAAAGTCTGAAGATAGAAAATCAATGTACAAAAATCACAAGCATTCTTATACACCAATAACAGACAAACAGAGAGCCAAATCATGAGTGAACTCCCATTCACAATTGCTTCAAAGAGAATAAAATACCTAGGAATCTAACTTACAAGGGATGTGAAGGACCTCTTCGAGGAGAACTACAAACCACTGCTCAATGAAATAAAAGAGGATACAAACAAATGAAAGAACATTCCATGCTCATGGGTAGGAAGAATCAATATCGTGAAAATGGCCATACTGCCCAAGGTAATTTATCGATTCAATGCCATCCCCATCAAGCTACCAATGACTTTCTTCACACAATTGGAAAAAACTACTTTAAAGTTCATATGGAACCAAAAAAGAGCCCACATTGCCAAGTCAATCCTAAGCCAAAAGAACAAAGCTGGAGGCATCATGCTACCTGACTTCAAACTGTAACAGAAGGCTACAGTAACCAAAATAGCATGGTACTGGTACCAAAACAGAGATATAGACCAATGGAACAGAACAGAGCCCTCAGAAATAATACCACATATCTACAACTATCTGATTTTTGACAAACCTGACAAAAACAAGATATGGGGAAAGGATACCCTATTTAATAAATGGTGCTGGGAAAACTGGATAGCCATAGGTAGAAAGCTGAAACTGGATCCCTTCCTTACACCTTATGCAAAAATCAATTCAAGATGGATTAAAGACTTAAATGTTAGACCTAAAACCATAAAAACCCTAGAAGAAAACCTAGGCAATACCATTCAGGACATAGGCATGGGCAAGGACTTCATGTCTAAAACACCAAAAGCAATGGCAACAAAAGCCAAAATTGACAAATGGGATCTAATTAAACTAAAGAGCTTCTACACAGCAAAAGAAACTACCATCAGAGTGAACAGGCAACCTACAGAATGGGAGAAAATTTTTGCAATCTACTTATCTGACAAAGGGCTAATATCCAGAATCTACAATGAACTCAAACAAATTTACAAGAAAAAAAACAACCCCATCAACAAGTGGGCAAAGGATATGAACAGACACTTCTCAAAAGAAGACATTTATGCAACCAAAAAACACATGAAAAAGTGCTCATCATCACTGGCCATCAGAGAAATGCTAATCAAAACCACAATGAGATACCATCTCACACCAGTTAGAATGGCAATCATTAAAAAGTCAGGAGACAACAGGTGCCGGAGAGGATGTGGAGAAATAGGAACACTTTTACACTGTTGGTGGGACTGTAAACTAGTTCAACCATTGTGGAAGTCAGTGTGGCGATTCCTCAGGGATCTAGAACTAGAAATACCATTAGACCCAGCCATCCCATTACTGGGTATATACCCAAAGGATTATAAATCATGCTGCTATAAAGACACATGCACACGTATGTTTATTGTGGCACTATTCAGAATAGCAAAGACTTGGAACCCACCGAAATGTCCAACAATGATAGACTGGATTAAGAAAATGTGGCACATATACACCATGGAATACTATGCAGCCATAAAAAATGATGAGTTCATGTCCTTTGTCGGGACTTGGATGAAGCTAGAAACCATCATTCTCAGCAAACTATCGCAAGGACAAAAAACCAAACACTGCATGTTCTCACTCATAGGTGGGAATTAAACAATGAGAACACTTGGACACAGGAAGGGGAACATCAGACACCAGGGCCTGTTGTGGGGTGGGGGGAGGGGGGAGGGATAGCATTAGGAGATATACCTAATGTGAAATGACGAGTTAATGGGTGCAGCACACCAACATGGCACATGTATACATATGTAACAAACCTGCACATTGTGCACATGTACCCTAAAACTTAAAGTATAATAAAAAATGAGATAATGATACCTTCCTTTTACTATGATAGTGAAGATTAAAAGGAGAAAATGTACTTGAAGTACTGAATACAGTGCCTAGAACATCAGAAACCCTTAATAAGGGTTAGTTTTTATTTTCACTACTATATTAGGAAGTAATGGAAAAGAGATGAGAGTAGAAAACAAACTTTGGATCAAGGAAGAGTGCCAGTTAGGAGAAAATTGAGCAATAAGCTTCCATTAGGTTTTCTGCAGCACTGGACTGATGGTTTAGTTCTGTATCTGACACAAACATAGAGAGCTGTGCAATAGAACAGTCTTTTGTGGCCAGGTGGGAGTAAATGGCAAAGCCCCTTTAGAAGAGGACAGAATTTAGCACAAGAATGAAAATGGTGGGAACAGCTGAGAATGAGAGAGAGAAGGCACATTTGAACACTCTGCAGACAAAATCCCAAACTCATTCCTGTGAGACTGTGCTGCAAGCATCTCCAAAAAATTGTCAGAGTTCGTTTTCCTGTCCTCTTTCTCTGTGTTGCTACAAATGTGAGGTTTGAAATTTTTAAAAAAGATACTCATTACCCTTTGCAAGAGAGCCTTGGGAGGCATAAAAACACCAATAATGAAAACCACAACAACAGCATAAGCTGGATGCCATAAAAAGTGCTCCACAGCCTAGCAAACATAGCTGGCAGGATGCTGGGCTGCATCTTCTTAAGGTCGGCTCCGGCTGGGCTCTGTGGTGATGAGCAGCCCAGAAAAAAAGTCATGACATTGTTGGCCTCCATAGTCAGTGAGGAAACACCAGCTAGGAGCTCCTGGGATTCTGATGCCCCTGCAAGCTCTTAGGCACGACCCTGCTCCAAATGGTCCTAACTTCCCTTCAGTGCCCTACCATTCACTGAGTGCTCACAGTAGCCCATAGTGCCCCCAGTTTTCATATATATTGAACAACCCTTCCACTTTGTGGATAAAGCTCCACAGCTATGAACTTGCCCAATGACACATATTATCTAAATATGGATCTAAGACTGCAGTCCAGACCTCTGATCCAAATTCAGTTCTGTTCTCTGGCTGTAAATGAGTGGAGGATGCTATAGGGAGGAGTCGGGGATGGGGACAGGGAAGCAGGAGAAGGCCTGGGCTGGCCTGAGGCTCAGGTCTTTTATGGTGGAATGACCTGTGAAGACCTTCATTTCTTCCCATTTAAAAGGACCCCCTCAGTTTTATTCTGGAAAGACCTGCTCATTGACTTTAAGGATTCTTCAAGTCAATTTCCTTTGCTTGTTTTTAACTCAGTTTTATCTTCCGGAAAATATTGTATAATCTCACTGGAAGAACAGAGAAGGAATCAGAAAATGCCAGGAAAGCCATTAGAAAACTTTATGCTATTAAAATGGTGGTATGTATGAAAATGCTCTCATAAACAGCAACTTCTTACATATGGTTTTCCCCTCTCAATTAATTATTATTATCAGCTTAGCACATGGAGTTCTCAAATTCTAGCATGCATTAGAATTACCTGGAAGACTTTTCAGCCCATAGATATAGACTGCTGAGGCTTGCCCCAGAAATCTATGTGATTCAGGTGATGATTTGCATTTTTCCAATTAGGATTTCATATTGCTATTAGGCCACACTTTGAGAGGCCACTGTCCTAGCAGAAAGGTGTGCCTTGCTCATGTGTGAATCACAATCTCTCCCTTCTCTTGAGCCCTCACCTTTAAATCTATTTAACCCATGGGTTGGATGTTATAGGAGAAAACACTTTGGGTAATTTTTTGGCATAGAAATCTCTCATCACCAGGAATGGTTCCAAATTATGCAGTGCTGAGTTCCTACTGGAAATTTTCTGTGCTGTGTAATGTGATTTGTGGTTATAGTTGATTGACCTATAGGTAAATTACTCATCCATGCAGGGAAGATAAAACTGGGACCAGGATCTCTTCCACTGAAAATACTCCAAAGCTTTCTCACAACTCTCAGGCTAAAGGGCAAAATCTTTAGTGGCCATATTAGTCAGGGTAAGCTAAGGCTGAAACAGCCCCAACATATCAGTGGTTTAATCTAATAAAGATTTATTTCTTGTTTCATTTCCAATCCAAACAAGTTGGCAGAAAATGGGTCTGTTTTGTGCAGTCATTTCAGGGATTAGGTACCTTCTAATTTGAGGCTCCACCACTCTTTAGAGTTTTGTTAATGACTAGCAGATAAAATAAGAAAGAGTGGGGTTTTAGTAGGAGGTTTAAGGCCTGGAGGTGATCCTTATTAATTTCCACCCATATTTCATTAGCCAGAACCTACTCAGATGGCTGCACCTAATTGCAAATCTGGCTGTAGGCCCAGGAGGAGAAGGTAGGGTTTGGTGAACAGAAATGTTTCTCTTACATGTGGCTTTTAAGGCCTTTTGTGATCTAGTCACTACCTATTACTACACAAATCCATTCTGTTCCAACCTCAGGGCATATGCTTCTCATTCATGTAAAATATTCTTTATCCCATTGTTGCCTTGTAAACTTCTAATTAGCCTTCCAATTGTAACACTCAATTGCAACTTCCATTTATAACTAGGAAGGTAACTAGGGACAGGTTGTCCTAATATGCATATTTTAATAAAATAATTTGCCTCTCCTTGAAATTCAAATAGTTTTAATTATGCTGATATTTGTGTGATTACTTCATTAATTCTACATTCTCTATTCATTCTACATTCCTCATGGGGCTGTAAATCCCATGAGAGTAGAGGCTATTTAGTTATGTTCATTGGATCCCTATTGCCTATCACTGTGTTGAGCAAATAGTAGGCATTCAATGAATATTTGCTTAATGAATGGAAGGAAGGAAGGAAGGAAGGGAGGGAAGGAAGGAAGGAGGGAAGGAAGGAAAGAAGGAAGGAAGAAGGGAAGGGAGGAAAGAAGGAAGGAAGAAGGGAAGGGAGGAAGAAAGGAAGGAAGTGAGGAAGGGAGGGAGGAAGGAAAGAAAGAAGGAAGGAGGGGGGGAGGAAGAAAGGAAGGAAGGAAGTGAGGAAGGAAGGAAAGAAGGAAGGAAAGAAGGAGGGAGGGAGGGAAGGAAGGAAAGAGGGAGGGAGAGAAGGAAGGGAAGGAGAGGGAAAGGAAAGGAAGGGAAGGGGAGGGGAGGGAAGGCAAGGGAGAGGAGTAAGGGAAGGAAGGGAAGGGAAGGAAAGGAGGAAAAGAAGGAAGGAAGGAAAAAAGGAAGAAGGAAGAAAGGAAGGAATGAAGAAGGGAGGAAGGAAGATAAGTAGAGCTGTTTTTTGTTATGGTTACATTCTGGAAAGAAGTTTCTGTTTTCCATGTTGTTGAGATTCCTTTTTTTTCATTACTCTTGTATGGTCAACCCCTCCTTCAATTCTTTGAGACCCCAAAAGTTTTTCTGATAAATCCCCCCTTGAAGCTTAAACAGAGCCAGTTTATATTGCTTCCTAACAAAATAATTCCAAGTCAGTGTTTTTTAAACTTGAGAACATATGAATACCTGGAGATCTGGTTAAGATGTGGATTCTGATTCAGGAAGTCTTGGAATTGGCATGGGGTCTGAGGCTATGTATTTTTAACAAGAGCTCAGGTGATTTTGATTTTGATGCTGCTTCTTCATGGACCACATTTTGAGGGGTGAGATCTGGCTTGAATACCATAACCCAACTGGATGATCACTCAAAGAATTTGTTCTGGAGTGCCATTGCCCTTCGGCTCATGGAGGAAGGAGTGAATTCTCTTTACCTACCATGCTTCTACACTAACAGCTGATTCACTCCACTTGATTTCAAGTGTCTTTATCCTCTACCTGCCCTCATGGCACCCATAGCACCTATACTGATTGTTGAGTTTGACTTCCTGCCTCCTGACCTAATGGTAATTTTAAATCTCACATCACTTGGCCAGTTACTGGAATGTCTGAATATTTACTACAAGCATTTAATTGCCCCAAACAATGAATTAACTATCAAAATGCCGAGTCTGGCAGACACAGCCTATTTTTTGTAAATGACATTTTCACCACCATTGCTTTAAAAGGCTCAGCAGCTGACATCCCTTGGGCGCAAGCTGGCCTGTTGTTTCGAAAACTATCAGCTCCTCTCAAGATTCTACATAATCTACAGCTCATTCATACTTCCCTCTAAAGAAATAGTTACTTTAGTTTTTGATAGTTCTTCCTATCTTACAAAACCTATTGATGTATGTCATTTCATTCTATCATCACATCCTTTAAAATTAGTTCTGCATCATCATCTATGGAGATGGCACCTCCAAGGACTGTGTATTGTATCACAAGTATGCATCATTGCTCTGCAACACCAGGAACCACAGATTTACATGGAGTCTTGTGTTGAGATGGCAATTTTCTGAAAAGCTCTATGAACCAAGCAACACCATGTGAGCCTCCGTCTAACAGTGTGTAACATAAAAGAACAAACATGTCTTTACCCGCTACAATAGAAGTGCAGACAGCAGGTGATTTTAAAGAGAGGCAATGTCCACCTCCCCACAGGGAGGTGTATCAGATGAAAAAAGAAGTATGTTAGTGTGTAAAACTATTTTTCAAAAGGATTTGACTACTTGATTATTTTTCAGCCATTTAAGTAACTTTGATAAAAGGTGAGATATTATGTTTATCCATTTATTAAAGAAAGCTTAAACTTTGTCAGGTTGTCAGCCACATCATTATGAGTGCTCTTGGGCCTAGTGTGGCAATCACAGATTTCAAATAAAGTGACTGGCAATGCAGACTTATTCAGGAGCACACGGGAGCCCTCCCCAGAAGGGTTTGAGCAAAAGGAGCAAGAACCAGGGGAACTGAATGTCACTGCTATTTTCCCCTTTGGCAGCCACAGGCTGGGAAGTTCTGGGTAAGTAGAAAATGTGGTCCATATTTTTAAGACATGTCAGTGAAAGTTACATAGTTTTAATATAAGCTCATTATTAGTTTTAGGAAAAATGTAGACATTGAAACTTTGTGACAGTTGTTCATGTTTGATGGTGACATGTCAAGGTCTGCACTGATATACTGTACATAATTTCTCATAAGAACCCCTTCAAATTGAATACTGTTAGCTGCAACTTAAAGATGGAAAAACAAAGGCTTAGAAAGATAAGCAATTTTCCCAGGGTTACACAGAGTACATCCAAACTCAAGCCTGGCCGACTTGACTCTAAAGCCTGCTAATACCTATTCACCAAAGCGAATTCCTACTTTGGTGATTTTTTTGGATCTGCTGTGTAAACCATAGTGACCATGGTGTTGACACCACAAACTCGGTTAAAGAGAGAAGAGAGCTCATTGCACCAGTATTATCTTCACTGCTTGTCCATGTTGAAATTATCCAGAACCTCCACAGCCTTCCAGTTCACTGCATATATGCACAGTGTTTCCATAATATGCTGTTAAGAAGTTCAGAATTGAATATTCCACTAAGTTTCTTTTGCTCTGTGGAGAAATCTGAGTCATTACTGGTCTGCTGAAGTAACCCCAAAGGGCTCTGGTATCAGCCATCTACCTCTCCATCAGGTGACCAAGTTTTTGCATCTGAATCAGATTTTGAGATTATTATAAGTAGAAAGAAAACTCCTGCCCTGACCTTCCAAATAAGAACATAGATTCCACTCATATAAATATGCACCTTTGCTGGGAGCCTTCTACCCTTCACACCGAAGAGAGACAGAAATATGTTGTAGCTTCTTAATTGAAAAGAAAAATTATGTTTCCTTTTAAACCCTCTGTCCCTCCTTTGCCTCCTTCTTTACAGATTCTTGGTTACCACGGCCCTTATAGGGCACTTTTTGGCTCGAGCTTACTCAGGGTATACCCTCAGGGTCTACCATAGAGTTAAGAAACTCTTTGTTCAGAAAGCAATTCCACAGGAATTGTTTACTATTCCCCATGCATATTTAATCCCTGCAAAGAGATGAAAGTCATATGCAAAATAATCATAGAAGTTAAATATTTAAAAGTGCATTATCAAGTTCTTACTGTAGGCAAGGGAAAAATAGGTTTGGCTATAAAATGTTCCCAGTCAGGAAAAATTATGTGAGAGAAACAAAAAGCGTGGGGATAGGCTTGAAAGTCTTATAGGGACCCTCTGGACTATATCATCAAAAGAACAAGAAGCAAGAGGGAAGAGGTGTAAATGTGATTACTCTAGTATCTCTTTTAGTTCTGGTCAACTCGTCAATACAGTGCAGGAGAGCATGTTTCAAGATCAAGTTCTCTGAATACAGTTATAGTGTCCTAAAGGGCTAGATAACTGTGAAATATTCAACCTCATGGTGGTTGTGTGTATCTAATTACAGAAAGAGATTTTTTTTTTTTTTACCTCTTCACTTGGCAGCTTAAAATCTTCTAGGACTCAAACCCTTAGCCACACTCCACTTGAGTGTCAATTTCTAGTGTTTTAAAAATGAATATTTCAATGAATACTAATGTTCTTCTAAGAAACCACCCAGAAGCCAGCAAAACCCTGACGAGAAAAATTTGCTTTGAAATGTGCCAAACATTCAGAATATTATTTACCATGGGATTTGCTGAGACTGTTGACAAATCCCAGAAGATACTGTGTGGAAAGTTTTCAAGAAAATGGTTACATTTCACCATCTAGAGTTTTCCAGAGGGATCCAGATGCAGAGCCTAACACAAATGAGCTCACATTATCCCTGAAGGAGGAGAAAAACTGTTGGGCTGCGGATTAAGTTACTGAATGCTTTGTCCACTCCAGCCTTTGGTGAAATCTTGTCCATACAGTAAGCAGAAACAGCACTCCCCACCCCTGAAAGTCACAAAAGAAAAGCATGTCAGGAAGGTGGTGATGATGGGGAACTGCTTCCTGGATATTAGATCTCACAAAAATAAGAGACTCTGGTGTTTTATCGATACCAGTGGGATTCTAGAACTGTGTTCATGGCTTTGGGATTGTAAGAAAGGGAAAGCACTAGTATGGAAGAGGGTATTTCCAATCACTAATCCCAACTGTGCAGTGTATCTACTATATGACTTTGAACAACTCACTCTTCCTCTCTTGGGGTCTTACCTTTATTATTTATAAACTAAGTGAAAAAATTCCAAATTGACTAATGTAATAACCCCTAGCTATATGTGAATGAAATTAAAATTTACTTTATCAGTCACACTACTCAAATTTCAATGCCATGTGTAGCTAGTGGCTACCATATTGATAGCACAGATTATAAACCATTTCTGTCATCACAGAAAGTTCTGTTGAATAATGTTGGTAGAGAAGATATATGTGGTCTTTTCTAACTCCAAAATTCTGAATCCATGCCCACACACCATCTGTGCTAGCCAGGATTATACAGCATGGACTCCTAGCCCTAGAACAGCAGCCTTTGTCTACTAAACAGATAATGAGTATGGCATTTGTAACAGAGTGAGGAGATGTTGGCTGGGATTGGTATTCAACCACCAAGCAGATGCAACAAGGAACACAATGGAAAACCCCACTAAAGAGGAATGAGGGAGAAAGCTGACTGGCCAGATGGCAGGCCTGGGTTCCCATTCCCAAACCTCACACTTGGTCAAACCTCTGAAAGAGACAGAAATACCAGACCCAGTCCTCAGAGAATAAGGCCTTTTATTGTTTATTCATTCACAATCAGCTGACTCAGGATAATTTGCTATTTAGAACTTGGTTAATGCCCTAAGAGCTGAACTCCAAAAATAATCCGCCTCTAGAAAAGTTGGTATCATGGGCTCACCTTTCCAGCAAGCCAATGGGGAAAATGTAACTCAATTACTCCCTGTGTCTGAAAACATGGAACTCACAGAACCAAACCAAGATACCTTGTTTGCTTAGCTCCTATTCTATCCTTTGATACAGCTGACTTTTGGTTGCTATTGTGGTTGTTCAGTTTTAATTTTTTAGTCAAAGAGAGCTCTGATCATGGAAGAGGGACACTGTTGGAAGGATATGAGGATCCAGGCCAAATGGAAATAAATCCTGCACATTATTTATTCTAATCAGTTATAACTAAATCTACAGCTGATTCATTTAATCATGGGTTCAGGGCCTAGAGAGCTGAGGCAATGGAAAACCCAGTGCAGAACTCTCCCTCTAAAGGTTATATCCTATACTCAAACTATGTCAGCCCTTTCTCTAATAAAATAAGACTGATACCAAACATTTATCTAGCACTAGGTATGCAACTGACATGCTTCCAAAGGCTTTAGATGTATTTAGTAATTTAACCCTCCCAGTAAATTTATGAAGTAGAGACAAAACTTTTCCTACTTTAGAGTGTGAAACTGAGGCACAAATAGTTTCAGTGCTTTGCACAAGATCACGCAGCTGGGACATGATAGAAACAGATTCTGCACTTAAGAATTCTACTTTTAGAATGTCCATGATGCACCATGTTTCTACAGAGCCATTCTAAATCAATTAGACTGTTATTTGAAAGCCAGCGTGTGAATAGCAGAGTCTATGTAAAACGTACAGTTTCAAGGTTGTCACATAATAGAAAAGATGACAGAAAAAGTGGAGTGGCTGTGACAGGAGCTGGAGTGAGTTTGGCTGGCCTTGTTGAAAACAAATTAGGGACCACATCGGTCAGGCAAATCAAAACCCAAAAGACATTCTTACAACAGAGGCTCTTAGCCAAGACAGCCTTAACTAACTGAACTTTTTCTTTTCTTTCCTTACTCGGAAAGGGCAACAAACAGTGAAATAGTCAAAAGAAAGAACATATACAGACTATGGGTGCATAAAAATAGAGGTCTAGATAAGCAAGAAGTTGTTAATATGAATATGAAGCATGAGAGGAGCTCACTTTAGAATGGGTTTAAAATTAGGGTGTCTGTCATCATTTCGGGTGGTTTACTCTATCAAGAAGTGCAGTGAGGAAAAAGTCACTTCTTCCTAGGTGTGATGCCTGTAATTCAGGGAGCTGCCATTGCATGGTTAGAAAATTTGCAAAGATAGTAGTCAGTGTTAAAGTGCTCCCAAACACAGATAACAAAGAAAGCCAAAAGGTTAGTGCAGTCATGGTGCAACTACAATTTCTCAATAAAATAACCCTCTCCTGATGATGCACATTGGCTCATGCCTGTAATCTCAACACTTTGGAAGGCTAAGGTGTTTGAGATCAGCCTGATCAACATAGTCACACCTCTAAAAAAAAATCTTCTTTAATCAGCTGAGCACGATGTCACACACCTGTGGTCCCAGCTACACAGGAGGCTGAGGTGAAAGGATTGCTTGAGTCCAGGAGTTTGAGGCTGCATTGAGCTATAATCATGCCACTGCAGTCCAGCTTGGGTAACAGAGCCAGACTGTTTAAAAAAATAATAATAAAGGCCAGGTGCAGTGGCTCACGCCTATAATCCCAGCACTTTGGGAGGCCAAGACGTGTGGATCATGAGGTCAGGAGATCGAGACCATCCTGGCTAACACGGTGAAACCACGTTTCTACTAAAATACAAAAAATTAGCCGGGCGTGGTGGCAGACGCCTGTAGTCCCAGCTACTCGGGAGGCTGAGGCAGGAGAATGGCGTGAACCCAGGAGGCGGAGCTTGCAGTGAGCCGAGATCGTGCCACTGCACTCCAGCCTGGGCGACAGCACGGGACTCCGTCTCAAATAAATAAATAAATAAATAAATAAAACAATAATAAAATAACCCTCTCCTATGAAGCAGTCATAGAAGATAATTTAATGTTTTTGTGAAGACAATGGATATGATAAGCGCAAACTTAAAATCTTAGTTTATCTGAGGGCTATGTGGCAGCCTCTCTCATACTCACTTTGTATTGATTGATTGCCACTTTATCTTTGGGGGTAAACGTTCTTGTATTTGTTTCCTAGAAACAGAGATTCCAGGAAGGTTTTACTGACATGGCTAGTTCTTTCATCTGCAACATTTACATTCACACACACACACACACACACACACACACACACACACACACCTCAAGCTGAGTTCCAGTAGCAAGGTCATAAGCATTAGGCTTTCTACTTTTCAGGTCTCTGCTATTTCTGTTCTTGTCCTTTTGCACCTTTACTGACAACTTCCATTCCCTAAATGATGAGCTCCTCTCTGGAGGCAGAGGATATACATTTTAGATCCAGCTATCACTAAGTTCCTATCTGGTTTTGGTCACTAGATAGCTTTGTTAATATAGAAAATGGAAAATTTTCTTATCCCCTGTGGGCCTTATTTTCTTCATTTGTAAAACAAAACTGGTGGCTCCTACTTCATGGCATTAATAGATGCAGATAAAATTTCTGGTCTATAATAAATGTTTAAATGATCAGTTTATTTTAACTATTTCTTCCTTTCTTAGTTCCAGAAGCCGGACAATGATGGATATTAATAAGTATTGATTAAATGTATGTATGAATGAAAAAAAAAAATGAGAAAGTGTTTTCTGTGGGTAACAATGGTTCTGAGCTTAACACAATAAAAACCCCCTCTGAGTACACTAGCTAAATAAATTCTGGTCTTTTACTTTCTTAAGTACTTTTCTCTGTCTTTTTACAAAGTATACACCTCAATCTTTTGTTCATGTAATTAAAATAACACGTCTGGCTCTAGAGATACATGGAATCAAACAATTTCATAAGCTGTGTAGCACTAATAGCTAGAGGAATGATAAAAAAAATTCAGAATGGAGTCACACAGTTGAATCTAACCAAATGGTAAGACAGAGTGAGTTGTAAACTTCCTTGAATAGACAGAAGAATAAGATACTAATAGAACTCATGCTCAGGATGGTGGGCAGTCTGCCCTGTTTAAGTTTTAGAGTCCCTGTCACAGTGACCATAAAAAGCATGAAAATAAATTTTAAACAAGGTCATATCTCTATTTCATATGTAACTTTCACTAGTTGAGAAGATAACCTCAAAATCATCCAGGTAATATAATTGTCTCAGCAAATAAGACTCTCTTATCCTTGAGAACATTTGGAAATAAATGTAGATATGTTTAAGAAAATTATGGTACTAACATTTTGTACTAAGTACATGCTTGATATTTTAAGAATTTGTAACGTCTAAAAGAATTTTGCCTTTGAGAGTAACATATCAGCTTTATGATTCCAATGTGAAATGTGTAACTGAGTAATTGATTTGGACATGTGATTTGAGGTTGAAATCTTTATATATTTATACATATATATTCATTGTGGAACTGCTTAATACAAATTTAAAATTTAAATAAGTTTCATAAGTTTATAGATTTGAAAGAGTAATTTAGGTGCTCTAAAAGATTTTTTTTGCTTGTTACTTGAAATTCTTAAAAAGAAAATTTTATGTTTTAATGTAATAAATGTATAAGGTGAGCTTAAAATATATAAGTTTAATACTTCAAGCTGGGCCAGACTCGGCGGCTCATGCCTGTAATCCCAGCACTTTGGGAGGCTGAGGCGGGAGGAACACTTGAGGTCAGGAGTTTGACACCAGCCTGGCCAACATGGTGAAACCTCATCTCCACTAAAAATACAAAAAATTAGCCGGGCATGATGGCAGGCACCTGTAGTCCCAGCTACTCAGGAGGCTGAAGCAGGAGAATAGCGTGAACCCAGGAGGCGGAGCTTGCAGTGAGCAGAGACTGTGCCACTGCACTCCAGCCTGGGCAACAGTGCGAGACTCCAACTCAAATAAAAAAAAAAAAAATACAAAAATTACCTGGGCGTGGTGGCGGGCCCCTGTAATCCCAGCTACTCTGGAGGCTGCGGCACGAGAACCTGGGAGGCGGAAGTTGCAGTGAGCCGAGATCGCGCCACTGCACTCCAGCCTGGGTGGTAGAGCGAGACTCGGTCTCAAAAAAATAGGCCAGGCATGGTGGCTCACGCCTGTAATCCCAGCACTTTGGGAGGCCGAGGTGGGTGGATCACCTGAGGTCAGGAGTTTCAAACCAGCCTGGCCAACATGATGAAACCCTGTCTCTCCTAAAAATACAAAAATTAGCCCGGCGTGGTAGCGGGCGCCTATAATCCCAGCTACTCAGGAGGTTGAGGCAGGAGAATCCCCAGAACCTGGGAGAAGGAGGTGGCAGTGAGCCAAGATCACGCCATTGGACTCCAGCCTAGGTGGCAAGAGCAAAACTCCCTCTCAAAAATAAAATAAAATAAAATAAAATAAAACTTAAAGCTTTAAATTGGACAGCATATTAGTTGAAGTTTCTTTAAAACTGAGGGACATTTTTGTTAATTTTATAAGTACAAGAAGAGATTTGTAAGTATAACTTAAAATAAGAAAAAATAGATTATTGTATTGACTTCAATAAATCAAATATTCATATTTAAAATTAAACATGTGAATAATATTTTCTGTTAATTAATATTTTACTAGGAAACCCCAAATCTTATCTTCATAGTTCACCATACCTGATATATATATTTTGGTGAATCTTTTAGACTAGACTAAGAATTTGGATGGCAGCTACTAGAGGGGCCAGACTATGGGGTTCTCAACTATCACAGAAATAAATTAGAAAAATGATTCCAGGTAACACAGGTTTCCACAAGGACCTCTATCCATAATGGACAAAAAGTGTAAGTGTAGTTTCCTCCCTCAGAACCATGTGATGCCTATCAGAGAGGGACTAAAGGAAGATAAGGAAGGAGAAAAGAACAAAGGGGGAAGAAAAGGAAAAGAACAACACAAAGCAACAACAACAGAAAAAGAAAACAAACAGAAACAAAACAAAACCCACCAACCCTGAATTGAAATTCGCAAGTTGGGTAAGTTGAGCAGAGACTAAAGCATGAATAGGAATGCCATTCCAGCAAGACTGAAGGTTGATCCTAAGAGCTAAATGTTGAGCCATTTCATATACATTGCAAAAAAAAAGAGAACAGTAATTACAGAAAAGCAGCAAGCGTGTAATCTACATAAAAGTATTTGGAAGATATTTTATTTCTTTATGCATGCCAGTTGCTTCTGTCTATCGTTAGTGAAAATGACCGCCTGTAATCTGTTGTGACTGCCAAAATGTGGTCACATAAAGGTAATTCCAAATAAATTACAGCATTGTATTATATTAATACATTTAATACATGTCTTATTTTGAATATGTAGAATGGAGTATACACTTTATGAATAGATGCTTAGCTTCTCTCTAACAAATGTTAAACCAAAAAATAAATAACATTGGTTTGAATGGTGTGCTGATTTATGGCCTACTGGGTTGCACACATTGGTTGGGAGACTGAGGGTAGCTGTAATTCTACAGACTTAACCTATACTTGGGTCAAATTTCCATAGCCTTATGGAGCACTAGCAATTTTCAATACACATACTTACTTAAATGGTATGCTTTGATTTATAAATCCAGTGGAAAGAAACTGAAATGTATGTTAAAAAATGTGAAAATAGGAAGCCAAGAGTCAGAGAATAGAATAAACATTCTGATATTAGCAGGTCATGTCAAGCTACTTCCACCAAAATAGATTGCTCTAGAGAGGAACAATTTTAAAAATCAGGCAAAGTCAGGCCATACATTGATGCCAACAGATTATGATTCTCCAAAAACTGGGGTTAAAAATGGTGAAGATTCCCAGATATCTGAAAGATAGACCAGGTTTAGATTTGGTGGGCCTGGCCTTCCTCCCTTAAAAAGTATCCTTCAATAATCTCCAGCAATAAGAAAAAAACAAATTACAAACATACCAACAACTCGAGGGATCATACTGTGTTGAGCCAAAGAAGCTAGATCCAAGAATATACTATGTTTCCATTTGTAAGAGGTTTGAGAACAGGCAAAACTAATTGATGCTATAAGAAATTATAAAAATGCCTCAGGAGAGGGTGAATGACTGAAATGGGGTATGAAGGAACTTTTGGTAGCCATGGAAAGAAATATTATATATCATTATCTGAGTGACAGTTACATGTATCCATTTGTCAAAATGAATTAAGGTTGAGAGTCTTGCAATTTCATTACATTTAAATTATATTTCAATGAAGTATTTTAGCATAAACACACACACAGACACACACACACATACACCTTACAATGAGCCTAAGTGTATAGCTTATTCACTGCTGTAGAAAATATAAACTTACAGAGTAACCTTGAGGAAAATGTTTGGCAGTTTCTACAAATAGTAAGCATACAACTATTTTATGGCCCAGAAAATCCATTCCTAAGTATATTTATCCAACAGAAATGTTCACATAAGTGCACCAAAGATATGTGCACAATTTTTTGCATACTTTTGTAATGACCCTTAACTGGAAACTGCCCAATAATCCATCAAAAGTATAATTAGTAAAGAAAGAGAAATTATGGAACACCACCACAATGGAAAACTACACAGAAATGAGAATTATCATAAAATGATAATTTTAAGCAAAAACATGGGTGAATCATACTAATACAAAGTTGAGCAAAAGGAGCTAGACACAGAAGAGTACATACTGGATGTTCCCATTAATTTAAAATAACTAGTAAGCAAAATTAATCTATGGTGTTAAAAAGCAAGATAGTTGTTACCACTGGAAGGATTATAAGGAGAAAGAAACAGGGCAGGATTTGTAGGGTGCTGGTCATATTATCTTTCTTCATCTGGGTTCTGATTACACAAATGGACTCAGTTTGTGAAAATTCATAGAGCTATACAATTATTATGGGTTTACCTTCCTGTATGTGGTACATACATAAACCTTTGATTTATATTAAAAGTAAAAACAGAAACAAAGTATCCAATTGTACCCCTCATCATCATTTGCTCTGTTAACCTGCCTTGGACTTCAGACCCACGATCACCCTTCTCTCTTTCCTTAGCAGGCGCATATTAGGTACCTTTTCATTTTTGCTTCTTCTCTCCAGGTGTCTTGGTGATTGTGGCTTTATACATCTTACATTCTCCAGTGTTTCAACTCATTTTCAACTAAGAAATTTCCTCAATCAGCTCTCTCACATCCTAATGCCTAACCCAGTCTGTAGCTCCTAGAAGGCACTCAACATTTATTTAATAAACAGATATTAAAAGAAAAAAATCATCAGATGCTCCCAACAGCTGCTCTCCACTGCCCTTACCTGGCTACCTCTACCTTGATTCTAACAAGCATGGTCTTAGTAGTAGGAAGAATGCATTGAGAATGCTTCACTGATTGAGTGCCATCAGAGACGAAGAATTGCACAAGCGTTTCCAATCCCAGAGTCTGTTGTCTAAATCGTAGGAGGAGAGCCAACAGGCATACTGAGAAGCCCATGGGACCTGCTACCATGGCATCCCCAGGGTCATGGTTAGTGGCATTCCTGTGTTACAACTGAATAATTTAATGGTATGATTTCTGGAGGTATATCAAAATGAATCTTATGGCTTATTAAAACTGAATCATTAAGGAATAAGTACAGTTGCAAATAACAGAAAATATAATCACAATGCTTTAAAACAGAAGAGATTATTTGTCTTTACAATATAAAACTGGAGTTAGGTAGTACAAGGCCAGTACAACATCTCAATAATTCAAGCTCTGTCTGTCATCCTGCTTTGCCATCCTTAGCATGCTCGCAGCATCCTCATAATTGTAGTCCTGTTGTTGCAAGACGGATACTTCCGCTCCATCTTTGTATTCCATGGGGCAGAAATGTAGAGAACACAAGGAAAAAAAGTCACACAATAATCCAAGCTTCAAAGCATCCAAAAAATTGTCTCTGTAGCAGGCACATGTAAAAAGACAGTAAGTGAAAATGGAAGTTGAGTACACACCACCCAAAGATATTTTACCAATGTTAGGACAACACAGAACACTACTACCACAAATGACTACGTAGTCATCTAGAGCATTCTTAAGCTGCCATTTAAAATGATGCCACAGCAAAAGACATGATCAACAAAATAAACAGATGATCTACAGGATGGGAAAAAAATATTTTCATTATGCACCCGACAAAAGGCTAATATCCAGAATCTACAAGGAAGTCAAACAGCTCAAGAAGAAAACAACAAACAACTCCGTTAAAAAGTGGGCAAAGTATATGAACAGACATTTTTCAAGAAACCATACAAGCAGCCAACAAACATATGAAAAGATGCTCAATGTCACTAATCAGAAATGCAAATTAAGAGTACAGACAGATACCATTTTATACCTGTCAGAATGGCTATTATTAAAAAGTCAAAAAATGACAGATGTTGATAATGCAGAGAAAAGGGAACGTTTATATGCTGTTGGTGAGAATGTAAATTATTACAACCTTTATGAAAAACGGTGTGAAGATTTCTCAAAGAACTAAAAATGGAACCACCATTCTATCCAGCAATTCCACTACTGTATATATATCCAAAGGGGGAAAATCATTCTATCAAAAAGATAACTGCACTAGTATGTTTATTGCAGCACCATTCTCAATAGCAAAAATATGGAATCAACCTAAGTGTCCATCAATGGAGGATTGGATAAAGAAAATATGGTGTATATATACTATGGAATACTACTCGGCCATAAGAAAGAATAAAATCATGTATTTTGCAGCAATATGGTTGGAACTGGAGGCAATTATCCTAACTGAAAAATCTCAGAAAAAGAAAGTCAAATACCTCACGATCTCACTTAAGTGGGAGATAGACAATAGGTACACATATACATACAGGGTAGAATAGACATCAGATACTTCAGAAGGTGGGAGGATAGTGAAGGTTAAAAAATTACCTGTTGAGTACACTCTTCACTATTTGGGTGATGGGTACATTAAAAGCCCAGAACTCACCACTACACAATATATGCATGTAAGAAATCTGTACTTCTACCCACTAATATTAAAAAGTGGTGCCAGTAAAGACTGTATAATGGGAAAGTCCCACGACTGAAGGTAAGAAAGCTTGCTTGTACACAAATATTGCAACTTTTAAAATATATATATAGACGTGGAGACCCAGGTTGGAAAAGAATGATTAAAAATGAAATTATTACTATGTTCAGCTAGTGATATTATAGATAATATTTATTTTTAAAACAAATTATTCTAGTCATAATATTGTTTTACAAACACAAAGAGATTTTAAAATGTTTTTACTTAAGAAAACCCATCTTTATAGACAACAAGGCACTCCTGCTTTGTTTTTATTTAGATTCATTAATCCTTTGTTTTTATTTAATTTTTTGTGGGTACATCATAAGTGTATATATTTAAGGGGTACATGAAATGTTTTGATATAGGCATTGAATATGAAACAAGCACATAATGGAGAATGGGGTAACTATCTCCTCAAACATTTATCCTTTGAGTTGCAAACATTTCAAATATAATCTTTATTTCAAAATGTACAATTAAGTTATTATTGACTATAGTCACTCTATTGTGCTACCAAATAGTGCGTCTTATTCATTCTTCCCAACTATTTACTTTTGTACCCATTAATCATCCCCACCTTTCCCACCCCAAGCTCCCTACTACCCTTCCCAGCCTTTGGCAACCATCTTTTCCTCTTTATGCCTGAGTTTAATTGTTTAATTTTAACATTTGTAGATCCCACAAGTGAGTAAGAACATGTGATATTTGTCTTTCTGTGCTGGGTTTATTTCACATAATACAATCATCTCCAGTTTCATGCATGTTTTTTCAAATGACTGGATCTCATTCTTTTTTTATGGCTGAATAGTACTCCACTGTATATATGTGCCACATTTTTTTTATCCATTCATCTGTTGGTGGGCACATAGGTTCCTTCCAAATCATAGCTATTGTAAACAGTGCTGCAACAACATAGGAGTACAAGATATCTCTCTAATATACTGATTTCCTTTCTTTTGGGTATACACCTAGCACTGAGATTACTGGGTTCTACGGTAGCTAAATTTTTAGTCTTTTGAGGAACCTCCAAAGTATTCTCCATAGTGGCTGTACTAATTTACATTCCCACCAACAGTGTATAAGGGTTCCCCTTTCTTCACACCCTCTCCGGCATTTGTCTTTTGGATATAAGCCACTTTAATTGGGGTGAGATGATATCTCATTGTAGCTTTGGTCTGCATTTCTCTGATGATCAATGATGTTGATCATCTTTTCATATGTTGTTTGTCATTTGTATGTCTTCTTTTGAGAAATATCTATTCAAATATTTTGCCCATTTTTATCAGATTATTAGGTTTCATTTATTTGAGCTCCTTACGTATTTTCGTTATTAATCACTTGTTAGATGAGTAGTTTGCAAATATTTTCTGTGGGTTGTCTCCTTATTTTGTTGACTGTATATCCTTTGTTGTGCAGAAGCTTTTTAGCTTGATGTGATCCCATTTATTCATTTTTGCTTTGGTTGCCTGTGTTTCTGGGGTATTGCTTGCTTAAGAAGTCTTTGCCCAGATCAATGTCCTGGAGATTTTCCCCAGTGCTTTCTTGTAATAGTTTCATAGATTGAGATGTTAAATTTATGACTTTAATCAATTTTGATTTGATTTTTGTATATGGCAAGAGATAGGGGTTTAGTTTCATTCTTCTGAATATGGATATCCAGTTTTCCCAGCACAATTTATTGAAGACACTATCTTTTCTCCAGTGTATATTCTTGGAACCTTTGACAAAAATGAGTTCAAAGTAGGTGTGCGGATTTATTTCTAGGATCTCTATTCTTTTCTGTTGGTCTATGTGTCTGTTTTTATGCCAGTACCACACTGTTTTGGTTACTATAGCTCTGGAGTATAATTTGAAGATAGGTAATGTGATTTCACCAGCTTTTTTATTTCACCAGCTTTTTTGGTTTTCGTTTTGTTTTGTTTTGCTTAGGATAGCTTTGGCTATTCTGGGTCTTTTATGGCTCCATAAAAATGTTAGGATTGGGCCGGGCACAGTGGCTTAAACCTGTAATCCCAGCACTTTGGGAGGCCAAGGCGGGCAGATGACCTGGAGTCAGGAGTTCGAGACCAGCCTGGCCAACATGGTGAAACCCCATCTCTATTGAAAATACAAAAATTAGCTGGGCATGGTGGCAGATACCTATAAACCCAGCTACTCAGGAGGCTGAAGCAGGAGAATCACTTGAACCCAGGAGGCGGAGATTGCAGTGAGCCAAGATTGTGCCACTGCATTCCAGCCTGGGTGACACAGGGATACTCTGTCTAAAAAAAAAAAAAAAAAAAAAAAAAACAAGAAAAAAGAAAATTTTTTTTGTATTTCTGTGAAGAATGTCATTGGTATTTCGATAGAGATTGCATTGAATGTATAGATTGCTTTGGGTAGCATGGACATTTTAACAATATAGAGATCTTTTACTTATTTGGTTAAGTTATTTCTAGGTATTTAATTTTATTTCTGGTGATTGTAAATGTAGGTATTTAATTTTATTTCTTTTTCACATTGTTCACTGTTGACATATAGAAATGCTGCTGATTTTTGTATGTTGATTTTGTATCCTGCAACTTTACTGAATTTGTTTATCAGATATAATAGTTTTCTTGTGGAGTCTTGCGGTTTTTCCAAATGTAAGATCATATCATCTGCAAACAAGGATAATTTGACTTCTTCCTTTCCAATTTGAATGCTTTTTATATCTTGCTCCTGTCTGATTGCTCTAGCTAGAACTTCTAGTACTATGTTGAATAATTCTGTTGATATAATATATCACAATGATTAATTTGCATGTGTTGAATCATCCTTGCATTCTAGACATAAATCCCACTTGGTTATGATGGATGATCTTTCTAATGTGTTGTTGAATTTGGATTGCTAGTATTTTGTTGAGGATTTTTACATCAATATTTATCAGAGATAGTGGCCTATAGTTTTTTGTTTTTCTTTCTTTCTTTTGATGTGTTTTTGTCTGGTTTTGGTATCAGCGTAATACTGGCCTCATAGAATGAGTTTGGAAGTATTCCCCTCTCCTCTTTTCTTCACAAGAGTTTGAGTAGAATTGGTATTATTTCTTCTTTAAATGTTTGGTACAATTCAGCCATCAGGTCCCAGGCTTTTCCTTAAAGGGAGACTTTTTATTATGACTTTGAACTCATAACTTGTTATTGGTCTATTCAGGTTTTGGATTTCTTCCTGGTTCAATCTTGGTAGGTTGCATGTATCTAGGAATTTGTTCATTTCTTCCATATTTTCAAATTTATTGGCATATCATTGCTTATTATAGCCACTAATGATCCTTTGAATTTCTATGGTATCAGTTGTAATATCTCGTTTTTAATTTCTGATTTTATTTGGATCTTCTTCTTCTTTTTTGTGGGGGAGGATGGAGTCTTGCTCTGTTGCCCAGGCTGGAGTGCAGTAGCACAATTTTGGCTCACTGCAACCTCTGCCTCCCGGGTTCAAGCGATTCTCCTGCCTCAGCCTCCTGAGTAGCTGGGATTACAGGCACGCATTACCATGCCTGGCTAATTTTTGTATTTTTAGTAGAGAGAGTGTTCACCATGTTGGTCAGGCTGATCTTGAACTCTTGACCTCGTGATCCACCAACCTTGGTCTCCCAAAGTGCTGGGATTACAGGTGTGAGCCACCAAGCCCAGCCATCTTTTTCTCTTGGTCTGACTAATGGTTTGCCAATTTTTCTTACTTTTTTTTTTTTTTTTTTTTTGAGACAGAGTCTCACTCTCTTGCCCAGGCTGGAGTGCAGTGGCGCTATCTCGGCTCACTGCAAGCTCTGCCTCCCCAGTTCACGCCATTCTCCTGCCTCAGCCTCCCAAATAGGTGGGACTACAGGCGCCCGCCACCATGCCTGGCTAATTTTTTGTATTTTTAGTAGAGACAGGGTTTCACCATGTTAGCCAGGATGGTCTCGATCTCCTGACCTGGTGATTCGCCCGCCTTGGCCTCCCAAAGTGCTGGGATTACAGGTGAGAGCCACCGCGACTGGCCGCTTGCTTTTTAAAAAAATCAACTTTGGTTTCATTGAATCCTTTTATTCATATTTTTTAATTTCAAATTTATTTATTTCTGCTCTGATATTTATTATCTCTTTTCTTCTAATTTTGCATTTAGTTTGCTCTTGCTTTTCTAGTTCTTAAAGATGCATCATTAGATTGTTTATTTGAATTTTTTTAATATTTTTTGATGTAGGCATTTATAGCTATAAATTTCCCTTTTAGTACTGCTTTTCCTGTATCCCATAGGTTTTGGTATGTTGTATTTCCATCATCATTTGTTTCAAAGAAATTTTCAAGTTCTTTCCCAATTTCTTTATTGATCCATGATTAATTTGGGGGAATATTGTTTAATTTCCATGTATTTGTATAGTTTACAAAATTCCTCGTTTTTAATTTCTGTTCTATTCCATTATGGTTAGAGAAGATGACTGATATTATTTCAATTGTTTTGAATGTTTTAAGACTTGTTTTGTAAACTAAAATATAATTTATCCTAGAGAATAATTCATGTGCTGAGGAGAAGAATGTGTATTCTGCAGCCATTGAATAAAATCTTCTATAAATATTTATTAGATATATTTAGTCTATAGTGCAGATTAAGTCTGATGCTTCTTTGTTGATTTTCTATCTGGAAGATCACTCCAATGCTGAAAGTGGAGTGTTGAAGTTTCCAGCTATTATTGTATCAGGGCCTATCTCTCTCTTTACCTCTGATAAGGTTTGCTTTATATATCTGGGTGCTCCACCGTTGGGCTTATATATATTTAAAATTATTATATTATCTTGCTGAATTGACCCCTTTATCATTATAGATTACTTTCTCTGTTTTTTCTTATAGATTTGGTCTTGAAATCTATTTTTTCTGATATAAATAGAGCAACTTCTGCTCTATTTTGACTTCCATTGGCATGGAATATCTTTTTTGATATCTTTATTTTCAGCCTATGTGTGTCTTTATAGGTTTTGTGTGTTTCTTGGCAACAGATCAATGAGTCTTGTTTTTTTCATCCATTCAGCCAGTCTATGTCTTTTAATTAAACAGATTAGTCCATTTACATGTCATGTTATTAGTGATGAGTAAGGACATACTCCTGCCATTTTGGTATTTGGTTTTTGGTTGTTTTGTGGACTTCTCTTCCTTCTTTCCTACCAGTCTTCCTCTAACGAAAGTGATTGTCTTTAATGACATGATTTAGTTTCTTGTTTTTTTATTTTTTGTGTCTCCCTAGTAAGTTTTTTTGGTTTAAGGTTACCACGAGACTTGCAAATACTATTTTATATCCCATTATTTTAACCTTTCAACAACTTAACACTGTTTGCATAAACACATTAACAAGCAAAAAGCAAATTCATAAAACCTACATGGCTTAACTTTGTCCTCTAGCTTTTAAACTTCTTGTTTACTGACTTTTTCAATATTCAGGTGGTCTTGAAATGTTGTAGTTATTATTTTTGATTGATTCATCATTTAGTCTTTCTACTTAGCATAATAATTTACACACCACAGGGGGAGGAGCCAAGATGGCCGAATAGGAACAGCTCTGGTCTACAGCTCCCAGCCTGAGCGACGCAGAAGATGGGTGATTTCTGCATTTCCATCTGAGGTACCAGGTTCATCTCACTAGGGAGTGCCAGACAGTGGGCGCAGGTCAGTGGGTGCGCGCACCGTGAGCGAGCCGAAGCAGGGCGAGGCATTGCCTCACTCGGGAAGCACAAGGGGTCAGGGAGTTCCCTTTCCTAATCAAAGAAAGGGGTGAAGGAGGGCACCTGGAAAATTGGGTCACTCCCACCCTAATACTGAGCTTTTACGATGGGCTTAAAAAACAGCGCACCATGAGATTATATCCCGCACATGGCTCGGAGGGTCCTACCCCACGGAGTCTCGCTGATTGCTAGCACAGCAGTCTCAGATCAAACTGCAAGGCGGCAGCCAGGCTGGGGGAGGGGCGCCCGCCATTGCCCAGGCTTGATTAGGTAAACAAAGCAGCTGGGAAGCTCGAACTGGGTGGAGCCCACCACAGCTCAAGGAGGCCTGCCTGCCTCTGTAGGCTCCACCTCTGGGGGCAGGGCACAGAAAAACAAAAAGACAGCAGTAACCTCTGCAGACTTAAATGTCCCTGTCTGACAGCTTTGAAAAGAGCAGTGGTTCTCCCAGTACGCAGCTGGAGATGTGAGAACGGGCAGACTGCCTCCTCAAGTGGGTCCCTGACCCCTGACCCCCGAGCAGCCTAACTGGGAGGCACCCTCCAGCAGGGGCACACTGACACCTCACACTGCAGGGTACTCCAACAGACCTGCAGCTGAGGGTCCTGTCTGTTAGAAGGAAAACTATCAAACAGAAAGGACATCCACACCAAAAACCCATCTGTACATCACCATCATCAAAAACCAAAAGTAGATAAAACCACAAAGATGGGGAAAAAACAGAACAGAAAAACTGGAAACTCTAAAAAGCAGAGCGCCTCTCCTCCTCCAAAGGAACGCAGCTCCTCACCAGCAATGGAACAAAGCTGGATGGAGAATGACTTTGACGAGCTGAGAGAAGGAGGCTTCAGACGATCAAATTACTCTGAGCTACGGGAGGACATTCAAACCAAAGGCAAAGAAGTTGAAAACTTTGAAAAAAATTTAGAAGAATGTATAACTAGAATAACCAATACAGAGAAGTGCTTAAAGGAGCCGATGGAGCTGAAAACCAAGGCTCGAGAATGACATGAAGAATGCAGAAGCCTCAGGAGCCGATGCGAACAACTGGAAGAAAGGGTATCAGCAATGGAAGATGGAATGAATGAAATGAAGCGAGAAGGAAAGTTTAGAGAAAAAAGAATAAAAAGAAATGAGCAAAGCCTCCAAGAAATATGGGACTATGTGAAAAGACCAAATCTACGTCTGATTGGTGTACCTGAAAGTGATGGGGACAATGGAACCAAGTTGGAAAACACTCTGCAGGATATGATCCAGGAGAATTTCCCCAATCTAACAAGGCAGGTCAACGTTCAGATTCAGGAAATACAGAGAATGCCACAAAGATACTCCTCGAGAAGAGCAACTCCAAGACACATAATTGTCAGATTTACCAAAGTTGAAATGAAGGAAAAAATGTTAAGGGCAGCCAGAGAGAAAGGTCGGGTTACCCTCAAAGGAAAGCCCATCAGACTAACAGCGGATCTCTCAGCAGAAACCCTACAAGCCAGAAGAGAGTGGGGGCCAATATTCAACATTCTCAAAGAAAAGAATTTTCAACCCAGAATTTCATATCCAGCCAAACTAAGCTTCATAAGTGAAGGAGAAATAAAATACTTTACAGACAAACAAATGCTGAGAGATTTTGTCACCACCAGGCCTGCCCTAAAAGAGCTCCTAAAGGAAGCACTAAACATGGAAAGGAACAACCGGTACCAGCCACTGCAAAATCATGTCAACTTGTAAAGACCATCGACACTAGTAAGAAACGGCATCAACTAACGAGCAAAATCACCAGCTAACATCATAATGACAGGATCAAATTCACACATAACAATATTAACTTTAAATGTAAATGGACTAAATGCCCCAATTAAAAGACACAGACTGGCAAATTGGATAAAGAGTCAAGACCCATTGGTGTGCTGTATTCAGGAAACCCATCTCACGGGCAGAGACACACATAGGCTCAAAATAAAAGGATGGAGGAAGATCTACCAAGCAAATAGAAAACAAAAAAAGGCAGGGGTTGCAATCCTAGTCTCTGATAAAACAGACTTTAAACCAACAAAGATCAAAAGAGACAAAGAAGGCCATTACATAATGGTAAAGGGATCAATTCAACAAGAAGAGCTAACTATCCTAAATATATATGCACCCAATACAGGAGCACCCAGATTCATAAAGCAACTCCTGAGTGACCTACAAAGAGACTTAGACACCCACACATTAATCATGGGAGACTTTAACACCCCACTGTCAATATTAGACAGATCAATGAGACAGAAAGTCAACAAGGATACCCAGGAATTAAACTCAGCTCTGCACCAAGCGGACCTAATAGACATCTGCAGAACTCTCCACCCCAAATCAACAGAATATACATTTTTTTCAGCACCACACCACACCTATTCCAAAATTGACCACATACGTGGAAGTAAAGCTCTCCTCAGCAAATGTAAAAGAACAGAAATTATAATAAACTGTCTCTCAGACCACAGTGCAATCAAACTAGAACTCAGGATTAAGAATCTCACTCAAAACTGCTCAACTACATGGAAACTGAACAACCTGCTCCTGAATGACTACTGGGTACATAACGAAATGAAGGCAGAAATAAAGATGTTCTTTGAAACCAATGAGAACAAAGATACAACATACCAGAATCTCTGGGATGCATTCAAAGCAGTGTGTAGAGGGAAATTTATAGCACTAAATGCCCAGAAGAGAAAGCAGGAAAGATCCAGAATTGACACACCCTAACATCACAATTAAAAGAACTTGAAAAGCAAGAGCAAACACATTCAAAAGCTAGCAGAAGGCAAGAAATAACTAAAATCAGAGCAGAACTGAAGGAAATAGAGACACAAAAAACCCTTCAAAAATTAATGAATCCAGGAGCTGGTTTTTTGAAAGGATCAACAAAATTGATAGACCGCTAGCAAGACTAATAAAGAAAAAAAGAGAGAAGAATCAAATACACGCAATAAAAAATGATAAAGGGGATATCACCACGGATCCCACAGAAATGCAAACTACCATCAGAGAATACTACAAATACCTCTACGCAAATAAACTAGAAAATCTAGAAGAAATGGATAAATTCCTTGACACATACACCCTCCCAAGACTAAACCAGGAAGAAGTTGAATCTCTGAATAGACCAATAACAGGTTCTGAAATTGTGGCAATAATCAATAGCTTACCAACCAAAAAGAGTCCAGGACCAGATGGATTCACAGCCAAATTCTAATAGAGGTACAAGGAGGAACTGGTACCATTCCTTCTGAAACTATTCCAATCAATAGAAAAAGAGGGAATCCTCCCTAACTCATTTTATGAGGCCAGCATCATTCTGATACCAAAGCCAGGCAGAGACACAACCAAAAAAGAGAATTTTAGACCAATATCCTTGATGAACATTGATGCAAAAATCCTCAATAAAATACTGGCAAACCGAATCCAGCAGCACATCAAAAAGCTTATCCACCATGATCAACTGGGCTTCATCCCTGGGATGCAAGGCTGGTTCAATATATGCAAATCAATAAACATAATCCAGCATCTAAACAGAGCCAAAGACAAAAACCACATGCTTATCTCAATAGATGCAGAAAAGGCCTTTGACAAAATTCAGCAACCTTTCATGTTAAAAACTCTCAATAAATTAGGTATTGATGGGACACATTTCAAAATAATAAGAGCTATCTATGAGAAACCCACAGCCAATATCATACTGAATGGGCAAAAATTGGAAGCATTCCCTTTGAAAACTGGCACAAGACAGGGATGCCCTCTCTCGCCACTCCTATTCGACATAGTGTTGGAAGTTCTGGCCAGGGCAATTAGGCAGGAGAAGGAAATAAAGGGTATTCAATTAGGAAAAGAGGAAGTCAAATTGTCCCTGTTTGCAGACAACATGATTCTATATCTAGAAGACCCCATTGTCTCAGCCCAAAATCTCCTTAAGCTGATAAGCAACTTCAGCAAAGTCACAGGATACAAAATCAATGTGCAAAAATCACAAGCGTTCCTATACACCAACAACAGACAAACAGAGAGCCAAATCATGAGTGAACTCCCATTCACAATTGCTTCAAAGAGAATAAAATACCTAGGAATCCAACTTACAAGGGATGTGAAGGACCTCTTCAAGGAGAACTACAAACCACTGCTCAAGGAAATAAAAGAGGATACAAACAAATGGAAGAACATTCCATGCTCATGGGTAGGAAGAATCAATATTGTGAAAATGGCCATACTGCCCAAGGTAATTTACAGATTCAATGCCATCCCCATCAAGCTACCAATGCCTTTCTTCACACAATTGGAAAAAACTACTTTAAAGTTCACATGGAACCAAAAAAGAGCCCGCATCACCAAGTCAATCCTAAGCCAAAAGAACAAAGCTGGAGGCATCACACTACTTGACTTCAAACTATACTACCAGGCTACAGTAACCAAAACAGCATGGTACTGGTACAAAAACAGAGATATAGATCAATGGAACAGAACAGAGCCCTCAGAAATAATGCCGCATATCTACAACTATCTGGTCTTTGACAAACCTGAGAAAAACAAGCAATGGGGAAAGGATTCCCTATTTAATCAATGGTGCTGGGAAAACTGGCTAGCCATATGTAGAAAGCTGAAACTGGATCCCTTCCTTACACCTTATACAAAAATCAATTCAAGATGGATTAAATACTTACATGTTAGACCTAAAACCATAAAAACCCTAGAAGAAAACCTAGGCATTACCATTCAGGACATAGGCATGGGCAAGGACTTCATGTCTAAAACACCAAAAGCAATGGCAACAAAAGCCAAAATTGACAAATGGGATCTAATTAAACTAAAGAGCTTCTGCACAGCAAAAGAAACTACCATCAGATTCAACAGGCAACCTACAGAATGGGAGAAAATTTTTGCAACCTACTCATCTGACAAAGGGCTAATATCCAGAATCTACAATGAACTCAAACAAATTTACAAGAAAAAAACAAACAAACCCATCAAAAGGTGGGCGAAGGATATGAACAGACACTTCTCAAAAGAAGACATTTATGCAGCCAAAAAACACATGAAAAAATGCTCACCATCACTGGCCATCAGAGAAATGCAAATCAAAACCACAATGAGATATCATCTCACACCAGTTAGAATGGCAATCATTAAAAAGTCAGGAAACAACAGGTGCTGGAGAGGATGTGGAGAAATAGGAACACTTTTACACTGTTGGTGGGACTGTAAACTAGTTCAATCATTGTGGAAGTCCGTGTGGCGATTCCTCAGGGATCTAGAACTAGAAATACCATTTGACCCAGCCATCTCATTACTGGGTATATACCCAAAAGACCATAAATCATGCTGCTATAAAGACACATGCATACGTATGTTTATTGCGGCACTATTCACAATAGCAAACAAAGACTTGGAACCAACCCAAATGTCCAACAATGATAGACTGGATTAAGAAAATGTGGCACATATACACCATGGAATACTATGCAGCCATAAAAAATGATGAGTTCATGTCCTTTGTAGGGACATGGATGAAATTGGAAATCATCATTCTCAGTAAACTATTGCAAGAACAAAAAACCAAACACCACATATTCTCACTCATAGGTGGGAATTGAACAATGAGATCACATGGACACAGGAAGGGGAACATCACACTCTGGGGACTGTTGTGGGGTGGGGGGAGGGGGGAGGGATAGCATTGGGAGATATACCTAATGCTAGATGACGAGTTTGTGGGTGCAGCACACCAGCATGGCACATGTATACATATGTAACTAACCTGCACAATGTGCACATGTACCCTAAAACTTAAAGTATAATAATAAAAAAATCAATCAATCAATCAATAAAAATAAAAAATAATTTACACACCACAGTTACAATGTTATAATATTCTGTGCTTTTCTGTACACTTACTATTACCATTGAGTTTTGTACCTTCAGGTGATTACTTATTTCTCATTAATGTCCTTTTCTTTCTGATTGAAACACTCCCTTTAGCATTTCTTGTATGAAAGTTCTGGAGTTGATGAAACCCCTTAGCTTTCGTTTATTTGGAAAAGTCTTTATTTCTTCTTCATGTTTGAAGGATATTTTCTGCAGATACAGTATCCTAGGGAAAAAGCTTTTTCTTTTCTTTCAGCATTTTAAATATGTCATGCCGCTCTCTGCTGGCCTGTGAGGTTTTTCATGAAAATTCTGCTACCAGATGTTTTAGAGTTCCATTTTATGTTATCTGTTTCTTTTCTCTTTCTGCTTTTAGAATCCTTTATCCTTGATATTTGGGAGTTTGAGTATTAAATGCCTTGAAGTGGTCTTCTTTGGGTTAAATCTGCTTGGTTTTCTACAACCTTCTTGTACTTGAATATTAGTATCTTTCTCCAGGTTCAAGAAGTTCTTTGTCATAATACCTTTGAATAAACTTTGTCCTCTTATCTCTTTCTCTACCTTCTCTTTAAGGTCAATAACTCTTAGATTTTTCCCTTTTGCTTTGCCTATTTTCTAGATTCTGTATGTATACTTTATTGTTTTTTATTTTTTGTCTCCTCTGACGGTGTATTTTCAAATAGGCTGCCTTTGAGCTCACTAATTCTTTCTTCTCCTTAATCATTTTTGCTATTAAAGGACTCTGATGCATTCTGCAGTATTTCAGTTGCATTTTTCATCTCCATAATCTGTTTGATTCCTTTTAATTATATCAATATCCTTGTTACATTTATCTGATAAAATTATGAATTCCTTCTCTTTGTTATCTTGAATATCTTTGAGTTTCCTCAGCACAGCTATTTTGAAGTCTCTTTCTGAAAGTTCACATATCTCTGTTTCTCCAGTATTGGTCCTCTATGCCTTACTTAGTTCATTTGATGAGGTCATGTTTTCCTGGATGGTGTTGATGCTAGTAGATGTTCTTCTGTGTCTGGTCATTAAGGAGTTAGCTATTTATTGTAGTCTGCACTGTCTAGGCTTGTTCATAGCCCTCCTTCTTAGGAAGGCTTTCCAGGTATTTGGAAGGACTTGAGTATTGTGATAGAAGCTGTACCTACCTTAGGGAGCACCCCAAGCCCAGTAATGCTGTGGTACTTGAAGACTCATAGAGGTACCACTTCGATGGTCTTAGACAAGATCCAGAATTCTCTGGATTACCAGGCAGACTCTTGTTCTCTTCCTTTACTATCTCCCAAACAAACAGAGTCTCTGCCTCTGTTCTGAGCCACCTAAAGCTGGGGATGGAGTAACATAACCACCCCTGTGGCTACCACCACTATGACTGTGCTGGGTCAGACCTGAATCCAGCAGAGTACTAGGTCTCATCCAAGGCCTGCAGTAACCAGTCCCTGGCTACTGCCTATGTTTGCTGAAGGCCCTGGGGCTCTACAGTCAGCAGGTGATAAAGCCAGCCAGGTCTGTTTCCTTCCCTTCAGGATGGTGAGGTCCCCCAGGCCCCAGGTGGATCCAGAGGTGCTGTCTTGGAGTCAGAAACCTTAGATGTCTACCTGCTGTTCTATTGTATTGCAGCTGAGCGGGCATTCAAACCATAAGACATAGTCCTTCCCCCTCTTACCTACTCTTTGGAAAGGCAGAGGAGCCTTATCCCATAGCCATTGCCATCCAGGCTGCAAAGAGTACTGCCAGACTGCCAGTCAATGTTCCCTTAAGGCCCAAGGGCTCTTAAGTCAGCTTGCAGTTAATGCTACCTGGCCTAGGATTCATCCTTCAGGGCAGTGGGCTTTCCTCTAGCCCAGGACAGATCCAGGAATGCTGTCCAAGAGTCAGTGCTTGGAATCAGGGACCCCAACAGCCCCCTTGGTGCTCTGCCCTCCTGTGGTTGTGGGGATACCTAAGGTTTAAGACAAAGTCCCCTTTACTTTTCCCTATTCTTTTCTCAAACAGAAGGAGTTTTGCCCCACAGCCACCTCAGCTGATAATGATGTACTGAGTCTCACTTGAAGCCAGCAAGGTCTCACAGGCTCACCCAAGGCCCTCAATGCAGTACCTGGGTATCACTGCTAATTATTCTGGGGCCAGGGACTTTTCATTTAGCAGACAATGAACGCTGGCAGAACTGGGTTTTTTCCTTCAAGGCAATGGGTTCCCTTCTGGCCCAGGGTATGTCTAGAAATGTCTGAGAGTAGGGCCTGGAACAGGGGCCTCATGTCTCTGACTAATGCCCTATCTTGCTGTGGCTGAGTTGGTATTCAAGATGCAAGACAAAGTCCTCCTTACTCTTCCCTCTCCACTCTCCAAGCAGAAGGAGGGGGTCCCTTTTGGAGATGTGAGCTGTGTAACCTGCAGTTAGGGGAGGAGCGGTGCCACACTCCCTTGGCTGTCCCAGCTGGTATTTCACTATGTTGTGTGCCTGCCCTGCCCCAGTCCACTGTCTCTGGGCATAGTTCAGCACTAGTACTCACCTAAGAATCTCAGTCTTTATGGCCCAGACAGCCTTTCAAGTTTACATGGAGACAGAGAGTGCTGTAGCCCTCAGTGGCGAGATTTGCAGGCACTCAAGTTCAGACCACTGGGGTCAGCAGTTCCCCTCTGGATAGAGCTGGTTTAAATGCTCCCTCCATGGGTGGGTGTCAGCTGAGTTTGGTCCAGTTTTCACTTCTGCTGTAACAGGACAGCACTGAATTGTTGTGTTCCCCCTCCCCCAATGCCCAGAGATGGTCTCTGCACTACTCTGCTGCTGCCAGGTGAAGGAGTAGCGTCGGCTATTCAAGACTATCTCTTCACTTGATGTTTGGTTCTCATGAAGATGTTTTTTCTGTGTAAATAGTTGTTAGCTTGGTGTCCTTGTTGCGGGATGGTGGGGTGAAAATTGGCGGAGCTTTCTATCCTGCCATCTTGCTCCACCTCCTCAACATTTCTGCTTTGAAAAGCATTATTTTGGAGAGAAAATAGTCCTTAAAATAATTTGATGGCAAATTTTAGTCAAATAAAAGGTGACACAATAACAAGAGCAAAAGAGTTTCAGAGAACATGTGGCATATTGTGTCAAGTGGATCCATTCAAGTTCTTCAGAACAATTTCTTGGATACTTTGTGATTCTGGCTTCTCTGAGAAGATCAACTGCCTGGAAGAATTGTATAAAGATGGAGACTAAGGTGCAGGCAAAAGATGAGAGGGTGAACGTGGAAAGAAAAGATGTCAGGCTTTAAATCCTTCTGGAAGAGGTTAGCTTGGGACAGAACATTGCCTGAAGACTAATGACAAAGCAGTTATCATTTTGAGTGGAATTGAAGAAATGTTTCCTAGGCCATCTCAAATGATAAATAGTGTTAGATTGAGTGACTATTGGCTTTTTAGCCACTGGGTTTAGCATGAGGTATGTGCTTCCTTGCAATTAGTCTCAGATTAGAACATTGTTTCTTGAGTGGACAAAGGGAGCCCAAATGGGTCAATGAATGGAAAACTTCTTTATTGACAAGAAAACATGTGTAAACTTGTGATTGCTGCAGGTTGGCTCAAAAGCTAATGTGAGTTGTGATCGCCTTTTTGTGTTGCATGGGAGAATGGAACATGTGGAAGACAGACAAAGGAATAGCTCAGATTAGTGTCTAATAAATGTCAAATTCGTTAGCCATTTGAGTAAGAAATAGACTTGTTGGTGTAGAAAAATTGGTATCCTTGAATAAGAGGAATTTAGCCTATTTTTTGTTTACATACTAGTTAAATACATTTCTTAATACATGGTGAAAATAGTGGTGACTTAACATTAATTTGTAGAAAAGACATCTGAATTATGATAGAGACTGGATGAAGTTTGGTATTAGCGGCATCAAGTCAAGAGTGTTGAACCATGTATTTCCTGGTTCTTTGCTGTCACTCCCTGTCTTCATTCCACTCAACAAAGTCAAGCATGGATCACTTCAGGAAAGCAGTGTCTCACCTACTTGAATGAGTTCTTTCCATGTTTTTCCTTTGAATTCCTTTAAATTTTTCTGATAGGCACCCATTCACTTTGGTCTCAACTTCAGAGATAAGTAAGACAGCCTTCAATGAGCCTCCCATATAAAGTTATCACTATTCTGAATGATGAATATAAAAGTACTTGCAAAATGAGAGCAACAAAAGTAGAAACACTGTAGCATTCACCATGATCCTCTGCAGAAAAAGGGAACAGGAGGCACTATAGGGAGGTGCTAGTAAGTCAGTACTTACTATGGGATTTAAAGCCTGATCCAGATTATGCTTTAACTCTACCAGTATCAGAATTCAACCTTCACAAAGTTTAAGTTAAGAAGTGAAAGAAATTTGGTTAAATGAAAGGAAAGTGTGATCACAAAGGATTAAAATAATAAGAAAAATACACGACTAAATACTCAGAGAAAGTTTGGCCAACTTAGAGAATTTTCAAAGTAAAATTTTTGAAAATGATAAAGCCTAAACCTTTAATTTCATGGATGAAGAAATTATAAGTCTTGTACAGGGATGGTGGTAATGCCAAGACTAGAACGCGGGTCACTAGCTTTATGGGCCACTTTCTTTTCTGTTGCACTAAGGTTATTTGGATGCTGGTGATTGTTGCAGCTGTCAAGGATGACCACAAATCCTGGCTGGTCAGCTGGCCCACAGAGCTTCCTGCTGCTTGCCTTCAGGAGTTGACACCATCTCCCTCAGAAATGGAGAGGTCTCTTCCAATTAAACTTTACTGACGAAAATAGGTAGTTTTCCATAATTTGCTGATTTGATTCTTTTGGAATACTGCATTGAAATAGCATTTCTCTTGACTATGGAGTTTGGGGCCTTTTCTGAAGTTTTGCATTGGAGGCAAATGTCTCCTTCACCTCCCCCTAGATCCAGCCTGGGTCTTACTATTCTTTGGTTAGCAGGAGAAATCTTCTACCTTGCATCTGGTAAGGCATAGGAACTTAATTAGCCACAGAAAATTTATATTACTTTCCTCATGTTTTTCTTGGAAAATTTCCTGCATGCTTTGTTATGATTTTATTCCCTATGTTTAATTCTTAAGACTCCATAATGATTATAGACAGCTCATGAAAATATTGCCCATCTACTTGGGCTTCATCAGGCTAAAGCTTTCAAAAACAGCTGCAAATAGAGTAAAAACTAACACACTTTAAGGAACCATAGGAGGGATACTGGAGCTGGCCAGAAAGGAAAGATGGAAGGAGGGTTTCCATTAAGCTACCATGAGAAGATCCAACTACCACATCTTTTTCAATAAATTCCATTAAGTATTTTGCAGGGTGCAATGATATAGAGAAAAATGGCAAGGGGTGGGGATAAAGGAAAATCCTTTAGAATCAGACTTATCTGAATCTTATACTGCCTGCCCCTTGAACAATTTAAAGAGTCCAACATCCATCAACTATTGTGACTATTGCAGAATATGATATTTCATTCATTTCTTTGTTCAACGGATATATACTGGGTACATACTATGTGTTAGGCACAAATATAAGAGCTTAGGAACTGGCAGGAGGAAAAATATATTCCTTCCTTCATGGGGTTTATATATAGTGGGGAAACAAACAATAAAAGTCAGGCATTTACACTGACTACTCCTTCTCTGGGAACCCATACCTCCAGATACCTTTATGGATACTGTATACTTTTTCAAGGCACATAGCATCTACAGACTATATATATATTCATAATTCTGTATTTTTAATCTTTTTTAACTTTTAGTTTCAAGGGTACACGTGTAGGTTTTTTATATAGGTAAACTGCGTGTCACAGGGGTTTGGTGTACAGATTATTTCATCACCCAGGTAATAAGCATAGTACTCAATAGGTATTCTTTCTGATCCTTGCCCTGTGGTTGGGAGGAGGGAGAGGATGTGTTTACATGTATAGTCCACAGAATGCCCTAATGGATTGGATATAGGGTGTGAGAGGAAGAAGAGTTGACATTGATCCCAAGGTATTGGTTCAAGCAACTGAAAGGATGAAATTACAATGAACTGAAATGGGGAAGTCTGTGAGAGAGGTATGTTTGACAGAGAAGATCGAGTTCAGTTTTGGATTTGTTAAGGTTGAAGTGTCGTCAAATAACCAAGTGGAAATGTTGAGTGAACAGCTGGAAATCCAATTACTATTAATATTAACAATAACAACAGCAGAATTTCTTGAGTGCCAAGTATATTTCTATGTAATTTACATGCATTTATATTGTTTTATTATCTCTATTTTATAGATGAAATTCAAGAGGTTAAGAAACCTGGCCTGGTCAGAGGTTAGAAAACTATATAGGTCATGGGCCAAATTCAGTCCACTGTGTGTTTTTTAAGTAAAGTTTTATGAGAACACAGCCACACTTACTTGTTAGCATGTCTGTGGTTGCTTTCATGATGCAAAAGTGAAGTTCAGTAATTGTGAAAGAGACTGTATGGCCCACAAAGTCAAGATATTTGCTATCAAGCCTTAACAGAAGAAGTTTGCTAATTCTCACCCTTGGTTATTCAGCTAGACAGTGACAGACTATGGATTCAAACCAGCCAGACTGACCTGAAAATGCACATAGCCTAGCCACTATGATCTACTTCCTCCCAAGTACATGCAAACCTGTTCTAACTTTTAATATAAAATTTAATGTTATTTTTCTTTCTCTAGAAGCCACTAAATCCATATTTTTGCTCTACATTCCAAGCCCTTCTTCACATGGAGTAGAATAAACATATTTCCTGTGAATAATGGTTAGGGGCTTAGATCTAGGAGAAATTAAACATTGCTAGATATATCATATGTTCTTTCTTTGAATAAAAGTCGCATGGTGTAGAAGTGAAAAAGGGGGTATTGAATGAAACCAAAAGAAGAGAGGTGCCACATTGAAGTATATGGAAACCTCAGGGCCCTGCCTCAAAAGGGGGCTTGGCAATATGGAAAGTACAAGGTAATGTAGACAGGGAAAGAACTACTGCAAGGAGCACTGTTTTCCTGACTAGGAGTATGAGGGAGTTCACCAACACTGAGGTTGCTATTGGGGTGAAATTTGTTACGGCTAGCTATCTGGCCATTCCACATCCAGAAAGCCCACAATCCTGTTCTTTAGTCATAATATAAGCAGGCCAGTGTCTTGCCCATGCTTTCCATTATCGAAGGTCATAGTTTTTGGTCACTCTGTGAAGGTTTCATTCCTGACACATGTCAGGATATTAGAAAGCATAAAAGAAGCCCCAAGGACATGGAGGTCTATAGTTATGGAGGTAGTAGCTCCTAAAGTTTGGGTTCAAATCAAGAAGGCTAAGAGTATTTTAAACTGATGTTGAGGTTGGAAAGTTGTCATATAAGAGGATTAAATGAAAAGAATAAAATATTTTTAATAAAGTGCTCATTAGAATGCTTGGTACATAGTTGGTGTTCAGTAAATGGTAGGGTAATAGAGACTGTAATGGATAAAACTCTAAGTAAGGCTTGCTACCCGGACACTGTGGAAGGGAGATGAGATTTATAGGCTCTGGATTTTAGAGAATCGTTGAAATACTTCAACGGATGGAAAAAAGATACTTGTAGCTATCACACTCATTTTGGAAATGCCAATGCATCTGCTAAAGAGATTGAAATTAATTTGTTGGCTTTCACCCGGAAGGCAGATAAACACTGCCCATGTTTACTCTCTCCATTTACTCAGCAAACCCTTTGATCCATGAATTTGCTCCACAGTGAAAGGATAAATTTCATTCCTGCCCTACGGAAACACAGGAGATTGTAGACGAGAGAATTCCCCACTAGCACAATCTGTCTATTATAAGACTAAGCTTTGGTAGCTATGATAGTGTCATTTTCTGAGCCAGGAGCAGAGCTTGTGTCCAAGGCTGCACTGTTAATGGCAGCATTAAAAAAGTGTTGAGACTAGACAATTCTGGCTTTTACAGCGTCTACAGCACCTCAAGGCCAGTATTTCCTTTATGACTGTCATTACTACTGGACTGCAGACTTTGGAGCTTGGTTTGCTACTAGTGAATTGTTAGCAAGTAAAACATTGATGATCAGTAGCATCGATGCCAAAAAGAGTGATTGGGTTATTAAGGCTTTTAGGAAGAATACAGTTATCAAGGCTCTAGAGAGGCTACCAAGGAGTAAATAAAACCTCTCTTGATCCCTTCTCCAATTGTAGTGAGTGATATCTTCTCTTCTGATATCATTTCTTCATTTCACATCTTATGGGAGTTTCCTTTCTCTGACCACCAGCTAAAGTGGAGGTAAACAAAAAGAATCTAATTAACACTCTTCTCAAATCCCACCTATGACAGCAGGAATGATGCTTTTCAAGCAGTCTTTATTTGAAACTAAAAACAAATTTAATTCACTTTGAGAAGTATTTAGTAAGCATTGCCAATGCTTCTAGAACTTTATTGGACACTGTTAGGTACCAGGATTGTCTAAGGCATAAAATGGCTGTGGTAAATATATAAGATGCTTCCTGCTAAAGAAAAATTCCAGGTTAAACCCTCTTATATAGCCCAAAATGGTGAGAAAATGAGTAAGGGTTGTCAGTCTATCTTCAGCTGGGAATCCAGGTGATTGTATAATACAATTTGATTGTATCATTTCTGTTAGTGGTGAACAGATCCGGGGTATTAATTCTCAATTATCCAAAATTCTGGTTGTACTTCCATTATTGTAATTACAGTGTTGTATTGCCACTCTCCCCTGCTAGACTGAGGAAAGGAAACCCAGTTATCATCTCTATTAACCCATGGTATAATGCCTAGGTCCAGTAAAGATGATTATTAAATGCTAACTTATTAAATTAAAAGACAAGTGAATAAAAGTGGTGAAAATGAGGACTGATAAAATTACTTAAATAATATGGGCAAAAGTTTATGTTCTTCAAGCGCCCTCCTGAAGATATCTCCCAAAGATACACACACCTTAATCCCCAGGATCTGTGAATATGTTACCTTACATGGCAGAATGAATTTTGCAGGTGTGATTAAGTTAAAGATTTTGAAATGGGAAGATTATTCTGGATTATCTAGGTGGGCCCAATGTAATCACAAGAATTCTTGAAAGAGGGAGGCAAGAGATCAGAATTAGTAAGAGAGGTGACAGTGGAGGCAAGAGTTTGGAGAAATTCAAGGGGCCGTGAGCAAAGGATTGCAGGCAGCTGCTAGAAGCTGAAAAGGGCAAAGAAATAGCTTCTCCCCTCAGAGCCTCCAGAAGGAACCAAACCAGCCAACACCCTGGTTTTAGTCACCTAACACACATACAGAGGACTGGAGGACAGACCCTCTGGCCTAGAGGGCAGATTCACGGGCCAGAGAGGATTATTTCAGCTCTCACACCTGATGGAATTTGCCGAGTTGATTTTTGAAATTGCCTGGGCCCTCCTTTTTTCCTTTCATTTTCTTCTTCTGGGGATGGGAATATATACAACTGTTATCCTGTGCCTGTTCCATCACCTTATTTTGGAGCAGATAACTAGAGTCTTGAGTGTCATAGATTCGTAGGTGGAGAGAAATTTTGTGCCAGGATGGAATATATCCAGAGTCTCATTTATACTTAATTTAGGGATTTGTATGATGAGATTTAGGACTTTTAAACTTGTGAGACTTATATGAGATTTTGAACTTGAGTTGACTCTCTAGTGGGTTGAGAGTTTTGGAGACCTGAGAACGGGTTGACTTTATTTTGTGTGTGGAATGGACATGAATCATTGTCATAATAGCAATAGGAAACAAGTACAGTGTATTATTAAAATATTTCCAAAAGTCCTTTAACTTATTTGTTAGCTTGCTTCTTACTACTTTCAGTGACAACTGCTTGAAAGTGAATATGGATAATACAGGAAAAAAAATTTCATCCTTTTTCATCAAATATCTTCTTCAGTTTAGTCCAGTTAGCTCTGGACTGAAGTATTTAAATAATTGTTTTCTTTACTGTGTAGATGTGTGTGTGTGTGTGTGTGTGTGTGTGTGTGTGTGTATGAGAGAGACTGTCCATCTGTTAAAGAAGTCAGATCTTTATTCTGATATTCTTATTGAATGTAGCAGCATCGGGAAATCCATACATAGGATTTGTTACTTTGGGTTAAGATACAATCACCGATGTACCATGGCCATGATTCCATGACACATTTTTTAATTTTCATCATTCAATCACATTTCTCCTTAGCCTACTGTTTTCTAGTCACTTGTACAGAATAGTAGATTAACTTATTTTTTGCTTGACTAATTATAATAAATCCTCATACCTGGATCATGTCTCAACATAATCTCAGGATATGTCAATGTTGTCAATATTATGTTGAGAAATTAAACCCAATAGACACTTCTCTTGGTAACTAAGGGAAAAGCCCTATATCTCAGTAATATCACCAGATGTTACTGATAAGCTGATTATTTATTAAACTTTCTTGTTTTGATATATTTATAAAAATCTAATTCAGTGTATAAATTAATACTGCAAATTCCACACTCTGTATTCCAAAATTCTATTCACCATTTTGTTGTAAAGTATTGTTAAGTCACTTATGTAACATATAGAAAAATATTTAGGGCCCTTCTGAGGGACATAAAAATTACAATAGCCTCATAATATTTAATTCCAAGATAGTAGGTCTTTTCTAGTTCCCTAAATTTGTGCTAGGTTTAATAAAATTTGCTGAATAGTGAATTATTGCTGCAAATAATTTGATGACAGGAAAAATTTGAAATCAACCAATTTGTGTCAACTAGCTAAAACAATAAATTGATAACATTTTTAAAAAACCTACTTGTCCAGGAGTTACGGGTTTGTGAAGACAATATACCTTTGATCAGCCAAGAAAAGGGCCCCTGCCTTCGGATTCTCATAGGCTTTAGAACCTCACATTCATTTCCGGATGGCTGGCTGGTGCATCAGGAGCTCTCATGAGGCAATCACAGAGAAAAAGGAGAAGTGAAACATGTTTCCTAGCCAATGGGACTCCTATTAGTTTGCGTAGAAGCAGAAAAGCATCCAAAATTTATTTTATTATTTGCTCTAAGAACAGTTCAGCTTTAAGGGAAAGCAGACTACCATCAAAAAAGGAATTTTGTATTCCAGTATATGTATTAAATGGTGATCTTCCGAGGAAGAGAAGGAAAAAAAAATTATTAGACCCTCTGGTAGAGCATTTATCTTTTCTGTTTGGAATCCCAAACTCCTTGCAAAAAGACATGAAAAAAAAGGAGGGAGAAGAGCTATGGCCATAGGATTCATACCTATCTCATCATCCTTGCTGGAACCGTCTGTGCTGTTTAAATACCAGCTAGACCCAGACCACTCCAAAATATGATCTCTAGCCACTGTACTGAACGTTACACACAGTTGCTTACTGACAATGCTGCACAGATTTCTCACACTTAGCGGGACCAAATCAGAATTTTTTTTTCTTTTATTTTTCTACAAACCTACCCTGCTCTGGGGTTTGCCATCTTAGTGAATAGCATCTTCATCCATACAGTCACCAAAACCAGAAACCTTGATTTAGAATCAGTTCCTCTTCCTCCCTTGCTCCTCAAATCTAATTCATCACTAAGATTTGTGCATTCCACATGTGCACTATGTCCTCAGTCCACGCTTTGTTCACCATTCCTTGTGCCACTGCTAATTGCAAGCCCTGGAAAGTTGTCTTTTGAACTCTTTCGCTGTCACTGAAAGATTCTATTGACCTGTGCCACCTCGAGTCTATCTTTCGTGTAGCCACCAAAACATACCTTTTATTTTTAAGTTAGAATTTTGGAGGATGTAAATAAAATTCAAACACAGTCTCATTGCAATATATCTATATCTATACCTGTGTCTATATTTAGATATCTATACAAACACACATACGCACACACAGATACATAATAATGTCTCTTACATTTCCCCACTCCACTTTCATCCCCAGAAGTTGCCATTATTGATGTATTAGTGTCCTTTATACATTTTTCTATACATTCATGTAAATATGTACTTCTGCACATACTCATTGCTGTTTAAACATAAATGGAATTATATTTTGTGTCTTGATTTGTAACTTGGTATGTTAACAATGTCTTCAAGATTACTTCATATTAATAGATACTATATTATACAATCTAACATTTATTTAGCAATTATTTTATGCTACTTACTGTTCTAAGTGTTCGCTATGCATTATCTCACCTAGCTATTAGATTATCTCTACGTAGTGAGAACTATTATTGGTATCGTTACATTACACATCAGAAAACAGAGGCATTTAGAGGTTAATTGCTCCCTGAAAATCCATAATTAAGAAGCAGTAAAGGTAAAATTAAAACATAGACAATATGATTCTAGGACCCACATTTAATCATTTTATGGTAATACTTCAGTAGTTAAAACAAATGCATTATTTTATTAAATGCTTCAGAAGTAACTTTTGATTGCATGTTATGTGCCATGCTCTGTGCTAAGAACTGAGGATAGAAGGCTAAAGAAACTATTCAAGGTCCCTGATCTTGTGAAGTTTACATTCCATCAGGACAATATTCATAATATGAGTGTATTATATATTTTTTAATTTTTCTACTGAAGAACATTTAAATTTCTTAAAAACAACAACATAACAAATGTTATTGTACAGCATATGCATTTGTGTGCTCATGAGTGAGTATTTCTGTAGGACAAATTCCTAGAAACACAACTGTTAATATGAAAAGTATGCACATGTAAAATGTTGCTATGTCCTGCCAAATCATCAACTCAAGAAAAGATATACCAACACTTACTGCCATAAACCATGTACAAAATGCCTGATTTTGTTCAGTTTTATCATTGTGTACTTGAGAAAATGAGCGTTCTTTAATCATGCATCTCTAATCATAGGTAGGAGAACAATATACACACTCAGTAGGTCAAGTTACATAATTGTGTTGTTTAGATCATCGATATTCTTTCTGAATTGCAAAAATTATAAAAAATCCTTAATAATATTTAAAAAGTAGTTATCTACAAATCTTATCTGTACAATTTAGAAGTTAATAACAAAATGCTAAATAAAAAACCCATCCATATTTGGAAATTTTAAAAACACATTTGTAAATAAGTCATGGGTCAGAGGAAAAATCCTAATTTAAAATTTTTTTCAATATTTTTACATCTATGATAACAAATATACTATGTATGAAAATTTGTAGGATATAAGAAGAGTGGAACTTCAATAAATATACAGTGATAAAGTATTTAAATTAGGAAAGAATAAATCCTGAAAATTAAAAAGCTAAGCACACATCTTAAAAATTTAGAAATAATACCAGAAAAATTCAAGGGAAATAGTGAAAATATATACTAAATATGAAAGTAGAAGTCAATTAAAAGGGAAAAATATAATAAGGAAGTTTAATAAAGCCAAAAGTTGGTTATTTGAGAAACCTCACAAATACACAACTGCTATAAGGACTAATTGATAAAAAGATATAAGTAAAAAATAAATATATTGATGAAAATGAAAAAACAACTATAGATAAAATATAAATTTAAAAGATAATAAAATTATTTACCTAGGTTGCACAAGATCCATTTAGATTTCTATATCCAGCAACAAACAAACAGAAAATATTAAAATGTATAATACAATAGCATGAAAAAGTCAAGTAGGTAAGAATAAATATAACATCTTGTACACTAAAACCTATTCAATGTAATTTTGAGAACTTTAAAAATTCCTAAATGAACAGAAATACATCACATTCCTGTAAGACTCAATATTAGAAAATAATAAATTCTCTATAGATTGATCTACAGAATGAACATGCTACAATTAAAATCCCACAAGGGAGTGTGTGTGTGTAAAGTGACAAGATTCTAAAGTTTATACAACAATGCAAAGGGCCAAGAAAAGCCAAGACAATACTGAAAAGACCAATGCTGAAGAATTCTTACAGTCAAATATACCATTTATTTTAAAGGAATAGAAATGGAGGTAGTATGGACAACAAAATAGATGTCATAGAACCAAGTGCTCAGCAACAGACACATACATTTACAATCACTTGCTTTATGAAAAAGTTGCCACTGCAGGGGAAGTGGAAAAGAATCATCTTTTCAATAAACGGTGCTAGGAAAATTTAATATCACATAAGGAAATTCAATCTCGACCATAACTCATGCTGTCTATAAACACATACATACATACATACAATTACAAATTGATTATATATATTAAAACAAGAAATAGATTATGTATAATAATTTATGTAAAGTTTCTAGAGGAAAACTTAGGAGGATCTCTTTAAAATCTTGTGTTACACAAAGATATTTCAAGTAAGTCACAAGAATAGAAAATCTGTAAAGAAAAAAATATTAATAAATTGGTCAAATAAAAATGAATAAGGAATTCCTTTTCTCAAGAGATACCATTTAAGACTGTGAAAGGTAAATCATAGAGTGGGCAAAGATATTTGTCCTGTATACGTAATAAAAGATTTGCACCGACAAAATTTTTGCAATCTGCTCATTTGACAAAGGGCTAATATCCAGAATCTACAATGAACTCAAACAAATTTACAGGAAAAAAACAAACAGCCCCATCAATAAGTGGACAAATGATATGAACAGACACTTCTCAAAAGAAGACATTTATGCAGCCAAAAGACACATGAAAAGATGCTTATCATCACTGGCCATCAGAGAAATGCAAATCAAACCACAATGAGATACCATCTCACACCAGTTAGAATGGCGATCATTAAAAAGTCAGGAAACAACAGGTGCTGGAGAGGATGTGGAGCAATAGGAATATTTTTACACTGTTGGTGGGAGTGTAAACTAGTTCAACCCTTGTGGAAGTCAGTGTGGCAATTCCTCAGGGATCTTGAACTAGAAATACCATTTGACCCAGCCATCCCATTACTCGGTATGTACCCAAAAGATTATAAATCATGCTGCTATAGAGACACATGCACACGTATGTTTATTGCAGCAGTATTCACAATAGCAAAGACTTGGAACCAACCCAAATGTCCATCAATGATAGACTGGATTAAGAAAATGTGGCACATATACACCATGGAATACTATGCAGCCATAAAAAATGATGAGTTCATGTCCTTTGTAGGGACATGGATGAAGCTGGAAACCATCATTTTCAGCAAACTATCACAAGGACAAAAAACCAAACACCGCATGTGCTCACTCACAGGTGAGAATTGAACAATGAGAACACATGGACACAGAAAGGGGAATATCACACACTGGGTCCTGTTGTGGGATGGGGGGAGGGAGGAGGGATAGCATTAGGAGATATACCTAATGTTAATGACGAGTTAATGGGTGCAGCACACCAACATGGCACATGTATACATATGTAACTAACCTGCATGTTGTGCGCATGTACCCTAAAACTTAAAGTATTAAAAAAAAAGATTTGCACCTAGAATATATGTATTTTTAAACCTAACAAGAAAAAAGACTTAAACAAACACATCACAAAAGACATCCAAATGGCCAGCAAATACAAAGCGCTTGACATCTTAATCACAAATAATTAAACCATAGGGAGGTACCACTATCCACCACCAGAATGGCTGTAATGAAAAGAGTGAGAGTACCAAGTGTTTAGTGGAATGTATTATAACTGTGCTTATGAAAGTTTAAACTGGTACATCTAGTTTAGAAGAATGTTTCAATATGCTCATACCCTGTGACTTAGCAATTCCAAAAGGCATGTATAAGAACTTCTGGAGCCATTTATATGAAATAGAAAATATGGGTTCTTAAAAGTCTGGTGGAACTCATCCCCCTAAATTATCTGAACCGGATGCCTACTTAGGAATAGATATTCAACTCCTTTACCTTTTTAATGTTCTTCTATTTAAGATATATCCAAAACTGGAAGCACTTCCAATGTCCAACAAAAACAGAATGAATAAATACAGTGTGGTGTATCCACACAATGAAATACTACACATTAATAAAAATGAATAACATAACTATATGCCATAGTGTGGATGCATTCTTAAGAGAAAAGCTAGACACAAAAGTACCTACCATATGACTCAACGTATATAAAGTTCAAAAACAGGCACTATTAGTCTATAATGGTATAACACAGGATAGTGGTTACTCTAGCATAGTTTCCCTCAGGGAGAATAAAGGGCATTTCTGATATTTGACAAGATTGTATTACTTTTACTTAGTACTGCTTTTATTTATATTCATTTTTGTGAAAATCTAGTTTAAAAGTGTTTTGTGCATATTATATGTGATACTCCTATAAAATTTAACTTTAAGAAGATAAGACAATGGAATATTACTATGGTAACAATTTTGGAAAATTATATGAAATGGGCTAATTTCAAGAACCATGAAACTTTCCATAAATAAACTCAAGAAAAATACAATGCTCCTAAACTGTTAAAGATAATGATGATCTTTTTGTGTATTCCTTTTTCAATTGTGATGTCAGAGTTACATTAGCCTTGCAGAATAATTTGAAGAGGTTTTCATATTTACCATTAACTTCTCTCATCTGGACCAATTTCTATAAAATGGAGATTATGGGTTATTAAAAATTTGGAGAAACGCAAGATATTATTTGGACCTGATGTTGACTTAGGTATATTACCACCTTTAATTTTTTTTTTCAAGTAGTCTACCTGTAATCTATGCAGTTTACATAGATTTTGTAACTACTTCTTTAAGTTAATTTCGGACATTTGAAATTCCATAAAATCTTGTCTATATTTAACACATGTTAACTGCATTAGGAATTGTTGAGCAAGCACTTTGTCTGCCTTTGAAGGTATTTGTAGAGTTCCTTTTATGAAAGTAAGTTTAATTGCTGCAACTAACACATGCAGAAGAAGCACCTAAGGAGGTGGATTTTTATATTTTTTAGGGACAGATGGTTAGGAAGGTGTAGTGAAAGAACAATCATTTCATGGGATGAAGAATGAGAGAGATCAAGCCAAAAAGATGAAAGAGAACAAAATTGTGTAATGTGATCCTTCCTTATTATTCTTTAAGTTTTCATTAGTTTTAAAAGTTAGAAAATTCTGAGTATGATACCATTTCTTATGGGAAATTGCAACAAGACTAATGTCTGTCTACTAGTTGTCAGAGGTCTGAAAAAAATAAGTGTGTGTTAGTGAAGAAAATGCAAAGTCAGAAAAAATAAGAAGAAAGTATTGGAAATTATTAGAACTTTGAACGGAAGTGAAAAGTGAGATTCATCAAGGGTCCCATGTGCAGGAGGTCACAGGGGTGTTTAGACTACATTTATATACCTTTTTCTTACCACATTAATTGGCATGATGTAGACACTCAACATATGTGTTAAATTGAATAACTGCTTGAAAACTGATGTTGGAGAACATTTCATCATCCTCTTACAGTGATCAGTGGGTCCTGGAAGTTATCCAAGACAATGAGATGAACATGTGAACTATCAGTTTATAGTCTCAAAAAGTTATTAGATCACTGCTCTAAGCATGACACAAGCTTCTGATAGGCCGATCAAGTTACCTAAAACCCCAATCATCACATTAGGCTCCAAGAAAGAGTATGTGGGAGTGGTGATGACAAAGTAGACAGGCTTACTATGAAGAATTGAGGATTCTGGCAAGGGGTAGATAGGTATAGAAAGGAAATTGGGCTTTCACTGCCTATCCCTCCACAAGAAATATTCTCAAGGTGAGTTCTGCCCTCTGTTCTCTTCAGCTTGACTATGAGTTGAGGAATGGCCTGTGATTCCATTTCTTTCTAGCTAATTCCAAACACTGAAGACTATAATTAACCATTAAATCAGACACATAAACTTGGTAAAATGTGTATCTCTAGTTCATTCTTTGGGTTATTTCAGAGACAATGCCATGGGAAAATGGGTCTGTACATTCCTTTTTTTTAAGACACAGGCTTTCTGTCATGTAAGTTTTGGGACGCAAATATATTTTCCTTTTTTTCAACTTTCACTTTGGGCATTATAATTAAATATTTCTCTACTCCCCCTTCAACCAAAAAAGAAAAAAAAAAGAAACTATGGGCTAAACTATCTGACTTGGAAGTTAAAACCACTAATTTGTGTTAGTTGTCTGTGCTCAAAGATTTCAAGTTATCTACAGATGGCCTCACTTGACATTTTATACTTTTATATGTAGTTGTATTTACTCCTACAAAGAAAATTGTCTCCACCTTGCTCTTACTGCTACCCAGAGATGTAATAGAAAGGGAGAAGCTTATAGGTGTGGACTAGGAAGAACACCTAAGCAAGGCTGTCAGTGACACGTGGTGGCAGCTTCTCTGTTGGATGTCATGAGTCATGCTAAATGATTCCTCCTGCCAGTCTCAGGAGCTTCTCCTGAAGTCACATATTCAGAACCAATGCTGGAAGAGACTTGGCATATTTGGTGCAAAAAATACCTAGATGAAATCTACCTAAGGGTATTCTAGTGTTGGTATACAACAGTTAAATTCTCTTTCTAAAAGTTTTACTTAATATGTTAGAGAACAAAACAATCAGCTTTCTTACTTATTATATTACTTGTTACATTATTTATTATTTTAGAGATCAAAACAATCAGTATGGACTATCTTTCGTCCATGCTGATGACTGCATCTGAAACAACCAATATGCTAAGGGCCTCTGTCAATCATACTATAATCTAAATACACAGCATGACTAGAAAATGACTAAAAGTTATTATACCAGCTGGCTATTAATTGGGTAGATAAAACTCTAGGGAGGGATGAGATATTAATAAAGGTAAATGATAGAAACCCCTAAAAATTATAATAAACCACACTGATTAATAAACAGCTCAGACTCTTGTTAATATATCCTAAATATATTAAAATGTGGCTTTAGTGACCCCCAACCCTGTTTTTATCAAGAAGAGAATTGATATATTGCAAGCTTGTTTTTTGGGCCAAACACAGTAATAAACTCTTTAAGTTTTAATTTTCAAGAAAATTTTATAATCTTGAGAATTTTTCAGACTATGGCCCCTTGTAATAGTAAGTAATGAGAACCAAGATGCCATGGGCTCACAGGAAGATAGACGAACATCCCCCAAGACACCTAATATCTAGGTATTAGGACAAAACCTGCAGTGCCTTCTCTTTAATGTCCTAATAATGTTCCACAATTCATAAAAATGTTGGTTGTTACTATATTTGAAGGGAGATTTAAAATGGAAATAAGTATATACCCTGTCTCATTTAGATAGAAATTACACTCAACCAACAAGATTTTACACTTAACCTCCATTGTAAATCTCCCTTCTTTTTTCACTCAGTATGAGTCCTAAAAGAATAACATTGATCTGACTTATTGTATGTATCCAACCTGTTTGTTCCTTTTAAGTGCTGAGTAGTATTCCACAGTATGGATGTGTCAGTTTGCTTAACCACGCACCCATTGGAGGATATGTGGGTTGTTTCCAGAGTCTGGCTATTATGAGTAAAGTTGCTGTAATTTTTTTTTTTAAAGAATATCCTACAGGTGCTACGCTGGAGCTACCTGATAGAATGTCTATTAGGGCAACATTAAATATATAAATCCCTTAAGAGTCCATATGCCAAATAAGTATTTTCATCTTTAATGTACGTCAGCACTGCAAAAGGTACTACTTAAAAATGATAGAGTACTGGTAGTATCTATGGAAAATGTCACACAAAGTTATTGAGTTAGAAAGAGATAAATATGAAAGAATATAGGACAATATACTGGAACCAATCTAGGTCAATGAGTTTCTTGCTCACTGTTAACATATCAAGCATAGAGTACATGCAGAGAACATAGTGGGTGCTCAATTAGCACTTGTTAAAAGATGGATAAATTAATAAGTGAATTAATAAAATGATTACAAAGTTAGGTAAGACATTCACAATTATGAAATGTAGGCAATTCACAAAACCCATATTTCTGAGGGGGAGGATAGTTGGAGGGAGGGAAGCAATGACAAGAAACATATGTGAAAGATATCAGTTCTAAAGTAAAGTTACGCATAATTTATCTTTAACAAATAGAAATATAAGCAGATTATTTTTCTTAGATGAATATTAAAAAAAGATTTCAAAATTTTAAAAATAGCATAAGCATTACTGAGCAATAGGGCTCACTGCCCAGTATGCTAGAAGTCAATACCATGACACCAGGTTTCTGAAAAAAGAAAGCCATTCTTTGTAGGTTGAACAATAAGGAGACAGGAGTCCAGCTCAGATTAGTCTGTCTCCACTTTTATTAGAAAAGGGTTAGGGAGCCAATTTGGGGATAAACATGTGATTAGTGGAAAGAAAGAAGGGGCCTGGAAAGTCCTCAGGCTTGTGCAGTATCTCTTTATGCCTCCTCGTGGTTCACATGTGATAATTTGTGGGGAGTTCACATTAAAAATGCAGTAAAAAACGGGGCTGTGATGTCAGCAAGTTTGTTCTGAACAGACTCCAATTGGCCATATAGGTACCAGCTGATTTCAGCCAGTTTTGGTATCTTACAGGCAGAGAGAGCTCCAGAGTTTCAGCAAGCTGCTTCTTTTCTTATGTGCCATCCTGCAAACTCACGAATTTCTGTTAATCATTGGTTTCTTTAACTCCTTAGGGCACAGTTTCATAAGCCTGAGAAAAACACGGTCAAATGGAAGTATAAACAAAATAGTTAAAACAATAAGATGATGACAGTTCATCCAAGTAAAATGAAAGAGCTGCAGTAAAAATATCTTAGAAAGTTGAGGACCAAAAGCCTATTACATGCAGTGACAGTAATTCTAAATGAATGCTAGACTGGCCTAAGCCAGTGTCTGTGCTCCAGTAAATAACTCATTGGTGAAAGTAGAATCATCTTCTATTAATTTTTCAGTCATTGGAATACATTAGTCAGTGAATGGATGTTAGCCAAAGTAAAAGAAAGTACTATGCAGCTAGAAAATTTTAGTTAGCAAATTACACTGTAAATCTTTAAAATGAGACAGAAATAAAGTCAAAAAAGTCTTTATTTCTCTGATGATCAGTGATGATGAGCATTTTTTTATATGTCTGTTGGCTGTATAAATGTCTTCTTTTGAGAAGTGTCTGTTCATATCCTTTGCCCACTTTTTGACGGGTTTTTATTTTTTTCATGTAAATTTGTTAAAGTTCTTTATAGATTCTGAATATTAGCCCTTTGTCAGATGGGTAGATTGCAAAGATTTTCTCCCATTCTGTAGTTTGCCTGTTCACTCTGATGAGAGTTTCTTTTGCTGTGCAGAAGCTCTTTAGTTTAATTAAATCCCATTTGTCTATTATGGCTTTTGTTGCCATTGCTTTTGGTGTTTTAGTCATGAAGTCTTTGCCCATGCCTATGTCCTGAATGGTATTGCCTGGGTTTTCTTCTAGGGTTTTTACGGTGTTAGGTCTTACATTTAAGTCTTTAATCCATCTTGAGTTAATTTTTGTATATGGTGTAAGGAAGGAATCCAGTTTCAGCTTTCTGCATACAGCAAGCCAGTTTTCCCAGCACCATTTATTAAATAGGGAATCCTTTCCCCATTTCTTGTTTTTGTCAGGTTTGTCAAAGATCAGATGTTTGTAGATGTGTGGTGTTATTTCTGAGGCCTGCGTTCTGTTCTGTTGGTCTGTATATCTGTTTTGGTACAACAACCATGCTGTTTTGTTTACTGTAGCCATGTAGTATAGTTTGAAGTCAGGTAGCATGATGCCTCCAGCTTTCTTCTTTTTGCTTAGGATCGTCTTGGCTATGTGGGCTATTTTTTGGTTCTGGATGAACTTTAAAGTAGTTTTTTCCAATGCTGTGAAGAAAGTCAGTGGTAGCTTGATGGGGATAGCATTGGATCTATAAATTACCTTGGGCAGTATGGCCATTTTCATGATATTGATTCTTCCTATCCATGAGCATGGAATGTTCTTCCATTTGTTTGTGTCTTCTCTTATTTCATTGAGCAGTGGTTTGTAGTTCTCCTTGAAGAGGTCCTTCACATCCCTTGTAAGTTGGATTCCTAGGTATTTTATTCTCTTTGCAGTAATTATGAATGGGAGTTCACTCATGATTTGGCTCACTGTCTATTATTGGTGTATAGGAATGCTTGTGGTTTTTGCACATTGATTTTGTATCCTGAGAATTTGCTGAAGTTGCTTATCAGCTTAAGGAGATGTTAAACTGAGATGATGGGATTTTCTAAATATACAATCATGTCATCTGCAAACAGAGACAATTTGACTTCCTCTTTTTCTAATTGAATACCATTTATTTCTTTCTCCTGCCTGATTGCCCTGGTTAGAACTTCCAACACTATGTTGAATAGCAGTGGTGAGAGAGGGCATACTTGTCTTGTGCCGGTTTTCCAAGGGAATGCTTCTAATTTTTTCCCATTCAATATGATATTGCCTGTGAGTTTGTCATAAATAGCTCTTATTATTTTGAGATATGTTCCATCAATACCTAGTTTATTGAGAGTTTTTAGCATGAAGGGCTGTTGAATTTTATCGAAGGCCTTTTCTGCATCTATTGAGATAATCATGTGTTTTTTGTCATCGGTTCTGTTTACGTGATGGATTACATTTATTGATTTGCGTATATTGAACCAGCCTTGCATCCCAGGGATGAAGCCGACTTGATTGTGGTGGATAAGCTTTTTGATGTGCTGCTGGATTCGGTTTGCCAGGATTTTATTGAGGATTTTCGCATCGATGTTCATCAGGGATATTGGCCTAAAATTCTGTTTTTGTTGTGTCTCTACCAGGCTTTGGTATCAGGATGATGCTAACTTCATCAAATGAGTTAGGGAGGATTCCCTCTTTTTCTATTGATTGGAGTAGTTTCAGAAGGAATGGTACCAGCTCCTCTTTGTACCTCTGATAGAATTTGGCTGTGACTCCATCTCGTCCTGGACTTTTTTTGGTTGGTACGCTATTAATTATTGCCTCAATTCCAGAGACTGTTATTAGTCTATTCAGAGATTCAACTTCTTCCTGGTTTAGTCTTAGAAGGGTGTATGTGTAGAGGAGTTTATCCATTTCTTCTAGATTTTCTAGTTTATTTGCATAGAGGTGTTTATAGTATTCTCTAGATGGTAGTTTGTATTTCTGTGGGATCCATAGTGATATCCCCTTTATCATTTTTTATTGCGTCCATTTGGTTCTTCTCTATTCTTTATTAGTCTTGCTAGCGGTCTGTCTATTTTGTTGATATTTTCAAAAAACCAGCTCCTGGATTCATTTATTTTTTAAAGGGTTTTTTGTGTTTCGATCTCCTTCACTTCTGCTCTGATCTTAGTTATTTCTTGCCTTCTGCTGGCTTTTGAATGTGTTTGCTCTTGCTTCTCAGTTCTTTTAATTGTGATGTTAGAGTGTCAATTTTAGATCTTTCCTGCTTTCTCTTGTGGGCATTTAGTTATAAATTTCCCTCTACACACTGCTTTAAATGTGTCCCAGAGATTCTGGTATGCTGTGTCTTTGTTCTCACTGGTTTCAAAGAATATCTTTATTTCTGTCTTCATTTTGTTATTTACCCAGTAGTCATTCAGGAGCAAGTTGTTCAGTTTCCATGTAGTTGTGCAGTTTTGAGTGAGTTTCTTAATCCTGAGTTCTAATTTGATTGCACTGTGGTCTGAGAGACAGTTTGTTGTGATTTCTGTTCTTTTACATTTGTTGAGGAGTGTTTTACTACCAATTATGTGGTCAATTTTAGAATAAATGTGATGTAGTGCTGAGAAGAATATATATTCTGTTGCTCTGGGGTGTAGACTTGTGGAGATGTCTATTAAGTTCGCTTGGTCCAGAGCTGAGTTCAAGTCCTGGATATCCTTATTAACCTTCTGACTCGTTGATCTGTCTAATATCCACAGTGGGGTGTTAAAGTCTCCCATTATTCTCCCATTATTATTGTGTGGGAGTCTAAGTCTCTTTGTAGGTCTCTAAGGACTTGCTTTATAAATCTGGGTGCTCCTGTATTGGGTGCATATATATTTAGGACAGTTAGCTCTTCTTGTTGAATTAATCCCTTTACCATTATGTAGTGACCTTCTTTGTCTCCTTTAATCTTTGTTGGTTTAAAGTCTGTTTTATCAGAGACTAGGATTGCAACCTCTGTTGTTTTTTGCTTTCCATTTGCTTGGTAGATTTTCCTCCATCCCTTTATTTTGACGCTATATGCGTCTGTGCATGTGAGATGGGTCTCCTGAATCAGCACACCAGTGAGTCTTGGCTCTTTATCCAATTTGCCAGTCTGTGTCTTTTAATTGGGGCATTTAGCCCATTTACATTTAAGGTTAATATTGTTATGTTTGAATTTGATCCTGTCCTTATGATGTTAGATGGTTATTTGGGCTGTTAATTGATGCAGTTTCTTCATAGTGTCAATAGTCTTTACCATTTGGCATTTTTTTTGCAGTGGCTGGTACCGGTTGTTCCTTTCCATGGTTAGTGCTTCTTTCAGGAGCTCTTGTAAGGCAGGCCTGGTGGTAACAAAATCTCTCAGCATTTGCTTGTCTGTAAGGGATTTTATTTCTCCTTCACTTACGAAGCTTAATTTGGCTGGATATGAGATTCTGGGATGAAAATTATTTTCTTTAAGAATGTTGAACATTGGCCCCCACCCTATTCTGGCGTGAAGGGTTTCTGCTGAGAGATCTGCTGTTAGTCTGATGGGCTTTCCTTTGTTGGATAACCCAACCTTTCTCTCTGGCTGCCCTTCACATTTTTTCCTTCATTTCAACCTTGGTGAATCTGACAATAATGTGTCTTGCAGTTGCTCTTCTACCATCTCACACCAGTTAGAATGGCGATCATTAAAAAGTCAAGAAAACAACAGATGCTGGAGAAGATGTGGAAAACAGGAATGCTTTTACACTGTTGGTGGGAGTGTAAATTAGTTCAACTATTGTGGAAGACAGTGTGGCAATTCCTCAAGGATCTAGAACTAGAAATACCATTTGACCCAGCCATCCCATTACTGGGTATATACCCAAAGGATTATAAATCATACTACTATAAAGATACATGCACATGTATGTTTATTGTGGCACTATTTACAATAGCAAAGACTTGGAGCCAACCCAAATGTCCATCAATGATAGACTGGATTAAGAAAATGTGGCACATATACACCACGGAATACTATGCAGCCATAAAAAGGATGAGTTCATGTCCTTTGCAGGGACATGGATGAAGCTGGAAACCATCATTCTAAGCAAACTATCACAAGGACAGAAAAGCAAACACCACATGTTCTCACTCATAGGTGGGAGCTGAACAATGAGAACACATATACACGGGGCAGGGAACATCACACACCAGGGCCTGTCGGGGGTTGGGGAGCTGGGGGAAGAATAGCATTAGGAGAAATACCTAATGTAAACGACAAGTTGATGGGTGCAGCAAACCAACATGGCACATGTATACCTATGTAACAAACCTGCATGTTGTGCACATGTACCCTAGAACTTAAAGTATAATTTTAAAAAAATGTCTTCAAACTGGATTTTTGAAATCCTAGGTCCCTTCACTTCTAAAAAGGATAAGGAGAGTCCCACGTTACCATTGCTTCCATCCTAAGAAAAACAACCTAAATAAGCCGTAAAATTATAGTTTTTACAAACGTGTCAGAGACCTGAGGATCCAAACAAACCTGCATCAACCAATTTCCAGAATATGGCAACACATTCTTAGAACTGAAGCACTCCATGACTATTTTTATCCTTTGAAAGTCAATGAAAAAAAGAAAGCGTCTACCCTATACAAGGATAAAGAGAAACTAGAAAAAAATGTTAACAAACTTTTGACAATGGCATGTTGAATGATATGATAAACTGGAATCCTGAGAAGCCCCAACCACAGATCAAGCCCACATTCATATACCAACTATTTTCCCTCAGCTGTCGCTTAATAAATGGGACAGTATTCTGAAGGCTCAGGGCAGGAAATAGAGTTGAGATAAGTCTCTCCAAGGCACTTCAGATCTTCACCAAATGCATTATATTCAAACTTCCAAGGCTGGAGATAGCAGAGCAAGATAGGTCTTTCTAGGAACAAAAAGGCAGTGGTGGAAATAAAAAATACAAAGAACATTCCTCAGCAACTCAGAGAGTAGATGACAAAGAGTTAGGCTGTAATTCAGAGTCATATCATAAGTGGTTCAGAAAACTGGCAGCAGTGCTGTAAAACATAAAGTGATTTCCAGAATCTCAAAGATTCTAAGATCTGAAGCCCTGCTACAAAAGAAGTCTATATTCAATTATCAGAAACATTCTAAGACAATGGTTAACTGCCTCCAACTAAAGCTGCAACAAAACTCAAACCTACCTCAAATGGAGCTCAGGTTAACCAAGCCACCAATACCAGAAGCCCTCCTTTTTAGAGGAATAAAAATTATTTACTTCTCTACACACACAAAGTTCAGAATAAAATGGGAGATTATGAGCACATAAAGAATAAAAAAAAATGGTAAAGTGAAGATACTCTCAATAAAAATAGCTGCAGAGGTGGGCCAGATTTTGGAATTATCAGAAATGATTTTTTAAAAATAACTGTGGTGAATATATTAAAAGATCTGCTTCTAAAGCTAACAGCATGCCTAAATAGATGGATTAGATGGAAAATTTCAGCAGATATGTGGAAATTATGAACTATTTGAACCAAATGCAAATGTTAGTAATAAAAATATAAAATAAATGCAGAATTCATTTAATAGCATGAACAGCAGATTGGATATTGCAGAGAAAATATACAGACACCTGCATACAACTTAATAATTTATTCATAGTGAAACATTAAGAGAAAAAAACTGAAAATAAAATAAAATAGAGCAAGAGCTGCAAGACAATATCCAAAGTCTACGTAGGAATAATTGGAGAAGCAGAGGTAGAGAAAAGAGACAAAGTAAAATAAGTATTTAAGGAGATACTGACTGAGGATTTATCAAATATAATCAAAGAAATAAGCCCAGGAATAAAAAAAAAAGACAGCCTCAAATAAACCTCAAGCAAGATAAATAAAAAGAACGGTAAATCATGTAATAGTCAAACTGCAAAAAAAAAAAAGTATCATAAAATAGGAAAAGAAATGTCTTACATATAGGGAGCAACAGTATGAGTGACGGCTTAATTCTAATCAGAAACAATGTGGTCTAGATAGAATATCATCCTTTAAAATCCGACAGAAAACAGAAGTGTCAATCCAAAATTCTACCTTCAGCAAAAACTAGCATTAAAGAGGAAAGTAAAATTAAAAACATTTAAGACAAATAACAGGTGAGAGTATTTGTCAAAACAAATCTACACTACTAGAAAAAAAAAAGAACAAAGTTGAAGGATTTGCACTACCTGATTTCAAGACTTACTAGAAATCTCAGTTAATCAAGAAACTATGGGTTTGGGCATAATGATAGGCAAATAGATCAGTGTAACAGAATAGAGACCCCAGAAATAGATTAACTCTCAGCTAATGTGCACGTATGTGTTTTTTTTTAAAACTGAGGTATGATATCAATTCAATAGAAAAGAGAATCATTTTCAACAAATGATGCTGGAAAAAGTAGATATCCATCTTGAAAAACATTAAAACTTAATCCCTACATAACTCTTTAAACAACAATTAATTTAAAATGAATCATAGACTTCAATGTAAAAAATAGAAAGAACCATAAAGCATCTAGAAGAAAACACTGAAGAGTATCTTGCGACCCATGGGGTAGGCAAAGATCCCTTAGATAGTACATAAAAACCACCATTGATAAATAGGAAAGTTGATGAGTTACATTTCATCCTTTTGTAAAATTTCTGATCATCAAAATCAATGTAAAAAAATGAAGTCACAGACTAGAAAAATGTATACACACACAAGCATATACAAATATATATGTATAAATATTATATATGTGATAAGGAACTTTTATATAAAATTTATATTTTGAAATGCTTACAGATTAACAACAAAAAAGCAAACAAACCAATAAGAATGGACAAGACCTTTTAATGAACACACAGTAAACACATAAAAAGGTGCTCAACATCAATTTGCCATCAGGAAAATTCAAACTAAAACCACAGTGATGTATAGTTTACTAGAATGTATAAAATATAAAAATTGACAATACCAAATGTTGACATGGATGTGTAGTAACTAGAACTCTCATACATTCCAAGTAGGAGCATAAAATGGCAAAACCACCCTAACAAACTGCATGGCAGCTTCTTTTAAAGTTAAACATGTACATAACCTATGATGTTATTTCATTTGTGTGTGTTTAGCCAAGGGAAATCAAAGTAGATTTGTATGAAAATGTTCATAGTAGGTTTATACATCTACGTAAGCCAAAAACTGGAAGCAACCTATATGTCCATTAACAGAACTGATATTTGTAGAGTTTAATACTACTTAGTGATAAGAAATACAACTAATCACACACGAAACAATATTAAAAATATCTGAAGATTATTTAATAAAAGACAAGAGACACAAAAGGATATATACTACATGATTCTACTTGCATAAGTACATGAACTTTTTTTCTGATGGAAAGCTCAGGAAAATCTTTTGTGGCAGTGCTGAAAAGGTTTTATGTCTTGCTTTGAGTGGTGGTTACATGATATTACACTTGTTGCTTGGGTGATGTCAGAACTCTTGGAACCACACATTTAGGATCTGTGTGTTCTGTTACACACAAATTTTACCTCAATAAAGTATTTAATTAAAATAGCACTGTTTCAGTCTGCTCAGATGGCCATAACAAAACACCATAAACTGGGTGGCTTAAAAAACAAATGTATTTTCTCACAGTTCCGAAGACTGAAAGTTCAAGATCAAGATGCCAACAGGCTTGGTGTCTGGGGAAGGCTCCCTGCTTGAACTTCAGACGTCTGTCTCCTCTCTGTTGGTTCACGTGGACTTTCCTCTGTTCCTGTGCCTGTGGAGTGAGTGAGCAAGCTCTCCAATGTTTCTTCCCATAAGGATACCAATCTTACTGCATTACAGTGTTATCCTATGACTTCGTTTAACTTTAGTTACTTCTGTAAAGGCCTTATCTCCAAACAGAGTTTTACTGGGCATTTGGGTTTCAGCATAGGAATTGGGGAGAAGATTACAAACATTTAATCCATAACAAATACTGAGAAATAATTTCTTTAGAAAAGAAGACCCAAATTTATTGGAGAGGATTTCTTGTTTCAGTAGTTTTGTTGTGTTTTTTTGTTTGTTTTAGACTTCCTTACATGCAACATGAAATTAGATGAAATAAATGAAAAGTACAATTCTACACTTGGAAAAGTACCTGTAATGTGCTGAGAGAAGTCATTTATTTTTAAAATTAATTCTCCCAATGCAAAACAGAATATTGAGTTAGCAAATAGAACAGGTTTTGTAACAACCCGTCAGTTGTGAAGATATGAATGATTCCAAACATTTGTAACACTTTGAAGTATTTTATAAAATAATGTTTTAAAATCCTGTCTCAAAATATAGGAGCAAAACAAACCAACCACCAAGTACATGAAATATTAAATTTCATGTTGAGAAATATGGAAAAAGTCCCTGGCTATAATGAAAAACAATGACTTAATCAGATGTTGAACTGAAAAATTATTCAGAAAAATAACTAAGAGGAAAATGTTTTGGAAGAAAAATTAACCTGAAGACACATACAGGCTGCTCCTTACTCCTAAAATGTATCTCAATTTGAAGAAGAGGCCTCTTTTTACCACTATTGTGTCTAAGATATTCAGGGCACACACTACAAGGCTGAAAATAAGAAAAAGGTACTTTACTCCTTACCATTCATAAATTTCCCAAGAGATGTTTTTTTTTCTTCTGATAGCCAACAAGGAGCAAAGGCCACTTCTATACCTAGGATGTAATCAATGATGAAAAATAAATGCGGGCATAAATGATGAAACTAGTATTGCTCACGGCTAAAAATTTGATGTGTTTTATGTATGTAAAGGCCATAATAAATCAATATCTTTTCCAAGTACAATTTTTGCCTCTCAGCCTCAGAGGCAGCAGAGATTTTTAACTAATTTTTCCTTTGTGTACTTTATATCCCAGTATTAGTGAGGTATGTTACTTTTTTCTTCTGTTTTGTTTGTCCCTGAGAGCCTGCCTCTATATAGTGAAAGTATTTCTGTAGTTTTCATTTTATGATAAATTCATTGTTGGAATCAGAACCATCTTTGATCTTAAATATTGTTTATCTGGAAGTAAAGATGGGATCCAGTTAAGAAAAGAGACATTTTACTATCAGGTTTTTAAAATCCCCTTGCAAATAATCTTAGGAAATAATTGAAGCCAATCTTTTCCATAAACTCAATTAGAATTTCTATACAAAGATGATCTATTTTTTTAAATAAACAAAATAAAGAAGTCATATAATGCAGTTATGGTCTTTAATAATCTGTGAGGCTCAAATATATAATCCATGTAGCAAATTTGAGCAAATTAATAACTTACTATATGTAGCAGATGCTGTTTGTTCACCACCCAAATTCCCAACCCTACACACATAGTGCATATCTGCCAGGTTTACAATGGCAGTCCTGCTTTTTTTTTTAATTTCAATAGCTTTTGGGGTACAAGTGGTTTTTGGGTACATGGATAAATGATATAGCGGTGAATTTTGAGATTTTAGTGCACCCATCACCTAAGCAGTGTACACTGTAGCCAGTATATCATCATTTATCCCTCACCCCCTCCCAACCTCCCTCTGCCCAAGTGCCCAAAGTTCATTACATCACTCTGTATGTCTTTGTATTTTCATAGCTTAGCTCTCACTTATAAGTCAGAACATACAGTATTTGGTTTTCCATTCCTGAGTTATTTCACATAGAATTATGTCCTCCAACTCATCCAAGTTGCTGCAAAAGACATTATTTGTCCCTTCTTATGGCTGAGCAGTATTCCATGGCGTGTATATATCACATTTTCTTTATCCATTCATCGGTCGACGGGCACTTAGGTTGGTTTCATACCTTTGCAATTGCAAATTGTGCTGCTATAAACATGCATGGGCATGTGTCTTTGTTAGGTAATGACTTTTCTTCCTTTGGGTAGATACTCAGTAGCGGGATTTCTGGATTGAATGGTAGATCTACTTTTAGTTCTTTAAGGAATCTCCATACTGTTTTCCATAGAGGTTGTACCAATTTACATTCCCACCAACAGTATAAAAGTGTTCCTTTTCACCACATCCACTCTAACATCTATTGTTTTTTGACTTTTAAATTATGGCCATTCTTGCAGGAGTAAGGTGGTAACTCATTGAAGTATAAATTTGCATTTGCCTGATGATTAGCAATATTGAACATTTATTCACATGTTTGTTGGCTGTTTATGTATCTTCTTTTGAGAAATGTCTATTCATGTCCTTTTCCCACTTTTTGATGGTATTATTTGTATTTTTCTTTCTGATTTCTGTGAGTTCCTTTTAGATTCTGAGTACTAGTCCTTTTTTGGATGCATGATTTGCAAATACATTCTTCCACTTTGTGGGTTGTCTGTTTACTGTGCTGATAATTTATTTTGCTTTGCAGAAACTTTTTAGTTGAATTATTAGGTTGGTGCAAAAGTAATTGTGGTTTTTGCCATATTTTTGCAAAAATCTGTTTGCCTAACAGGTCCCATTTATTTATTTTTGTTTTTGTTGCATTTGCTTTTAGGGTCCTAGTAATGAATTCTTTAGCTACACCAATGTCCTGAATCACTATCCTTTGGGGGTGGAAAAAAAGTCTTCTTTTTCCTTTTTCTTCCTCTGTCTTCTCTTCACAGATGGGTAATTTTGTCCCTGTACCACAAGACACTCCCCTCAGATGCATCCCCCAAACTGAGAAAAGTTTAATTTCCTCAAACCTTAAATCCTTAACTGCTTGGCTTGAAGTTAAACTGGGAAAAGAACCCCAAAGCCTGACATTCCAGCAAAAGTGTAAAAGTTATTGCCAGTCAGACTTCTGGCCTCTCTCTTCCTCTGCAAACTGGTAAAGGAATGGTAAAAAATACTGTTTATATCCTCTATAAAGTTTTGATTAATGGAAAAAAGGATGTGTGAGGCTAGTTTTAAGCTGTAGCCAATCTGATGTGCTTTGTGTGTCTTTCTATGTGGTTCTGTCTTAATGAGGAATATCTCAGGATAGAACATGGGCCTAGGACCCAATAAGCCCACTTCTCAAGCCAGCCCAGGAAACTATTCAGTTACAAACTTTGCTATAGGTCTCTGAGGGGAAAAAACATAAATGAGGTCTCCATCTTGTTTTATGTCCTTGGGAGCTTGACATTTTAACAACGTGGCGGTAACTTCTTTGGGTCTTTGTCATTTTACAATAGTGGCCTGGGTTTAATCCTGGCCTAGGGAATGAGTACTTTCTGGCTAATATCTGCATGACTTACCATTTGCTGATTCTCTCCCCCTCTGTGAACTTCTAGCTTCCTTTCTTAAATCTTCCTTTCTCTGAGCTACCTCTTAAAGATTCTAGATTTTTTAAGTACTGCTTGTCATCTCTTTGAAAATACCTGGTACAATCATTTTTAAGTCATAACCTTGGTTAAGGCTTCTTGGTTTCACCTGTGAGGTTACTTTTGGCAAAGTTCAAAAGCCAGAAATATCGGCTCCTTGGTGCAGCTAAAGTCAGGTAGCAAGGGATTTAAAAGGATTTTCTTAAAAAGCGCTACAGTTAAAAGTCAGCTTAATTAAAAGTGGATATCCAAGCTATAGGTATATTTAAAAGGCCTTTATGTTTTTCTCTACTTCAATCTTGTTTCACTGGAAAAAGGTGTTTGTTTGTTTGTTTCAGTCAACTGAATTATTTTTCTCCATCGTGTCTTGCCACTCTTAATGCACTAACATAACTTCTGATGGCCTGGGACTCCCTGGGATAAACAGAAGGTGCCACTGACCCCACTATGGAAACAAACCTCTGTTTTCCTCATGGAACCCCAAGAATTAAAAGTGGATAAACCCTCTCAAAATCTATTTTTGTTTCCTAGCTATATCTGCTTATTAGGCCCTACAAACTGCATGCTTTTCCAGCTCTGCTCTTGAAGGTCTCCACTCGGGCCAGTAATCAAATTAGGAGTTTGGCAAATGAAAAATCTCATAAGTACTGGTTCACCTTCTGTGTGTGAACATATTTACTAAATTCATAAGGGCATTATATATTTTTCCAAATAAATTGAACATTGAAATAAAAGCAAAACAAGGTTTTCTTAAGGCACTGATCTACTCTTTAACAAAAATTTGTAAAGTGTTACAAAAGGTTTACAAGAATCTCACCTCATGGTCAAACTGGTTAAGACAGGATAGAATTATCTATAAGGTTTCATTAAAAAATGGGGTCAACATTAATAGTAGACTAATGCAAGGGTGCAATTTGGCTTTCTCTCCTTTGAACAAGATTTTCACGTAATAGTAAAGAATAATGAAAAACATTTGCTTACCTTGTGAATAAACTACTGAAAAAAAGGAGAAGACAGGAGACAGATTGTTGGAAACCTAAGTCTGAGTCATTTTGGCTAAATAAATGACTTATGGTAATATGGATTTTTATTTCACTTTATCAAGTGTTTTAAACCTCTAACATATTTAACAGGCTTTCCCAAATCAAACTTCAGTTTCAAGGTTGTCTTTTCTAACCCCTAATATTGGGATGCTACAGAGGGCCCCTAGAGCATCCAAAAAAGAGGTAAACAGGATTTTTTGACATGTTTAGTTATGCGAGACTGCCAAATAAAAATAATGTTTAATCTTCAGGTTATATTTTAGTGAAATATTAATATATGTTTCAAAATTTCATGGGATTTCTAAAATTCTAATGAATGAGTATATGTTATCAATCATAATTAAAGTTATTATGTTAAGTTATTGTAAACATTAGAAATTGCCAAGACCACCTTGGTCAGGGAGACCCTAACCCAGTGGCACTAGAGGAATTGAAGACACACACACAGAAATATAGAGGTGTGAAGTGGGAAATCAGGGGTCTCACAGCCTTTAGAACTGAGAGCCCCGAACAGAGATTTACCCACGTATTTATTAACAGCAAGCCAGTCATTAGCATTGTTTCTATAGATATTAGATTAACTAAAAGTATCCCTTATGGGAAACGAAGTGATGGGCCAAAATAAAGGGATGGGTTGGGCTAGTTATCTGCAGCAGGAGCATGTCCTTAAGGCACAGATAGCTCATGCTATTGTTTGTGGTTTAAGAAGGACTTTAAGCAGTTTTCTGCCCTGGGTGGGCCAGGTGTTCCTTGCCCTCATTCCGGTAGACCTACAACCTTCCAGTGTGGGTGTTATGGCCATCATGAACATGTCACAGTGCTGCAGAGATTTTGTTTATGGCCAGATTTTGGGGGGCCTGTTCCCAACAGAAATAACCAAATTTCTTTGTCAATTGTGTTTTTTACTGTGGCTACCCAAAGACATTTTGTCATCCACAGACAATTGTCATCTTATTTTGATCCTTTTAAAAGATGGTTTATAATCAGCTATAGGACTTTTACAGGTGCTCTCAAATGCAAGTTTCTAACTTTGGAGATTGTGACATTGGAATAGAGGAAAATATACAGTACTCATAGGAGCTGAAATGTTCATGAATATCAAGCAGAACAAGAGTTAATGGAATGGAATGAACTAACAGAAAATTGAAGTAATTCTTCTTAACTTTTTGCTTAAAACATTGCTGATCCTTATTTTGTTTTTCAGAGTCAAGGAAACTTTTCTTTTGAGCTATCTACAGCTTTTAACAATTGAGTAAGGTACACTCCTGTGAACAAAATTTGGAGCATATTTGTTTCTGCCTGCCTGCTTTCTCTAGAATTTGGAAACTGTTTTGAGTATTCTTAACTTATGGCAATATAGTTATTTGTGTTAGTGCAATAAAAATTCATTTTCTTTTGCAACAGGACACAATTAGAGAAACTGGTTGTTTTACCAAGGCTTTGACTGAAAGGGTATGCTTCCCTTTAAGAAATCAAATTTGACTTGCAGAGCCAATAAAAGCCCCTTGGGAAAACTGGCCTCATACTTTGTCTACACAGTCCCCATACAGGACTCCTAACCTGTGGTGAGTAAAGAATGTCACTTTCTAACAGGCCCAGGAGCCTCATGTTCTTGGGATCTCAAAAAGGGAGGAATGTACCCAACTCATAGGTATTTGAGGGTATAAACCCATGGCTAGGCTTGGCTTTAAAAAGTCTTATCTGAGATTTCTTGTAAAACAGGGTTCCATCAAAGCCAATTTAAAAAGCCTATGAGAAAATAATCATTCTTGCTGTACTTTATGCAAATAATCAGGCCAAGGACAAGACTGATGTTTATTTTGCAAAGAAATCAGTCCTATCATGATTTGTTTTTAATAAAAATGAGGACTGAAGAGAGAAAAATTATGTTTCAAAACTTACCATACACTTGTCATTAAATCTAGTTTTGTTAGTTGTTTTTAAGTTTTTACCTACATTTTAAACTAACCGTGCTTATTTCTGTGAACCAACCACTGATTTCCAGCTACAGCTCAGAAGAAACAAAAGGTATGGGTAGTGTAAAAATCTGGATCAATATTCTAGTTCTGGGCAGTTATCCTGCAAATCCTGCCAGGTGATAGGAGTAAGTAGGGTGCCCATAACCTGGAGGTTTCCTTGTTTGGGAAAACAAGACCAAAGAAGCTGACCAAAGCCAAGCCCCATGCACCCAAATCTTAGCAGCAATAACTATAGCCACCAGTTATCAGGGCATGTTGGCAGCCTCAGGACTTTTAAGCTGTCTTTACCCCCTTGTTTCATTTTTATACATGTTGTCTAATAACCTGGTTTGTCCCTTCTCACCTTCAGGCCATCAACTCCAAACCGTTGTGCAACTGGAGCCTTGGATGATGGTTCTGTATCTTTTCAGATCAGGGAATCGATAGTGACTGGAGGCAGTCAATTGCCTAGGCAGATAGGGGAGGGGCCAACCTCCAAGCCAAAGAGATTTTCAAGCCTGAAAGCCAAGCTACAAGTTAAATCCTCAGACCAGATTGAGAACCTGTCTTCCTGTTTGGCACACTTTCCTCTGACTGATCCCCACTCTTCACCTATTTTACATATACCTACCCTTTCCTAATTTGGTTTTCTATACTGCCATGCCCACCTTTGAGTGGTGTCTTTGCTTTAAACTTTTTTTGCATACTGACAAACAAATCAGCACCCACTCCCCATTCTGAGTCCATAAAAAGCCCCAGACCCAGCCACAGAGAGAAAAAAATAAAATAAAATAAACACCTGACTGTGGGGGTGGGGGACCCTATGTCCCCTCATCTCCTCTCCACTGAGAGCTGTTCTGTCACTCATTAAAATTTTTCTCTGTCCATCCTCACCCTTCAACTTTCAGCATATCCCCATTCTTCTTGGATGCAGGACAAGAGCTCAGGAACTGCTGAACACAGGTACACAAGCTATAATACAGGTGGGCTGGGGTGTGCCCAACCATGGGCTGAGCCAGTGTGCAAGCCAGACTTGGTCTGGGCAGGCCAAGTAGGCAGGGAACCTCCAGTGGCAGGCCTGGGGCTGAGCTAGGCCCAGTGGGGTTGGGGGCTGTCGCCAGCCAGAGGTCCCAGCTGGCAAAGTGACTGAGAAAATTCCTGCATCACTATTAGTCTAGAGAACAATTTTATTTTCCTCTGCCTGGGAAATAATAAACCTCGGTACTGACATTTTTGAGGATGAGAAAAAGGGTTGCTGAGGGTCTCATAATTTGATGAAACTTCCCTGTTTTGATTACGTTGTTTTACCTTTGACCTCACCTATGTTGTGTGCCCTAGAGCCTTGAGACTCTGTTTCCATTTTTCCTAACAATAAACCTCCACTTTTTTTCAGGGATCAGAGAAAAGATTGCTGCTTGCAAAAGGTAAGACTGGTAAATAACTTATATATTAATTTCAGTAATTAATATATAATTACCTTTCTATTCAGCCCCATGCCTTCATCCATATTTCACTGGTTCTTCAATTTCCTTTTTTTTTTTTTTTTTTTTTGAGACTAGAGGCTGGACTGCAATGGCATGACTCCCTCCCAGCCCCAACAAGTAGCTGGAACTATAGGCAGGTACCACCACACCCACACCCAGTTAAATTTTTTTTAAGAGATGGTAGTCTCCCTATGTTGCCCAGGCTTCTTCAATTTCTGACATTTTCCAGGATGGAGCAAGAGGTATCAACCTCTCCTTATTATTGATCCTGTATGCTCTTAGGTTTCAGCTTCCTCTGCTATGTCAGTCATCACTCTTCCAACTGAGGCCATGCTTCACCTACTACTGTTTTCCTCTCCAGTTTTATTTATCCTTGTATCCTTATTATTTTCTTGCTTATTCCTTTTATGGTATTTTAATGGGATATAAAAATGGAACAAAGAGAAACACTTGGATTAAAGCCATCATGATTAATAAAAACTAGAAGTTGTTTTTTCAAGATAATATTGGACAGGGCTATCAAAACCATCATAAGTCTTACCATTGTTCCAGTTCTGCAATGTGAATGATCTGAGAGTGTGCTGTGAGGGTTATGTGGCTTCTCTGTAGAGAAGTTTTATCATAAGAGGTAGGAATAAAGACCTCAAAGAAAGAGGATGATTTACCCTGCTGCAAAATTATGTTCAAGATATAAAAGCCAAAGTGGGATGGCAAGATGGCCAAATAAATGCAGCCAGGTGAAACAGCTCCCACTGAGAAACTGAGATGCCTGACATGCTCCTAACAGGTCTTCAGAGGGAAGGCACCAAGAGTGAATGGAGGGAAGACACAGAAGCTGGGCTGAATAGGGAAAAGGTTGGGAACTGCATGGGGCTACCACGCACTGGGACTGATTTCTGGCCCCCAAGGGCTCCAGGGGAACAGGTGAGTTGAACTGGCATGGAGCAACCCACTTCCACCAAGGGCCTCTGGAACCCTGGCAAGAGAAGAATTCCTTGACCACCAAGGACACTCAAGTTGGCAGGGACATCTAAGAGAAGTGGTAGGGACAGCAAGCCAGCTGATGAGCAGCCCAGAGGGTTTGGTGCAGAAGGGTCTATAGCAAAACATGGCCAGGGATGGCCATTCCCCTAGGCTTGACTTTCTCCTGTAGGATACTTTAGCCCTAGGAGAACTAAACTCTGCAGGAAAGTCTTGCCAGTCAGACAAGACTGGCCTGACCTGAGCACCTCTTGATCTGCTGTCTTGTCCCAGGTCCCCAGCCTGGCCACACCTGCTTGCAGGGCAGTCTGGAGTACACAGGGGCCCACACCATACCTTCTGCACTGGCATGCAATGCCTGACCCACAGACAGCTTCATCAGGGCAGCCCCTAAGTCCATGCAGCAGCCTGCATGCACCCTCCCCATACTGCAGCTTGTCCCAGACCCGTGGCAACTCCCCACATCACTTTACTGGTGCATATTTGCCCAGGTGATGTTTGCCTTCTTTGCTCCACCAGCTCATGGGAGAGCAGTCTGTTCCCCTTCCCCCAGATGACCACCATTGCAGACAGCCTTGGTAGCCCCACCCTCACAAGTACCATGCCCTTGCACTAACACTGTGCAGAAAACAGTGGACAATTCCCCTACCCCCGGTGACCACTCCTGCCTGTGGAGCCCAGAAAAGGCAGCCAGAGCTAAGCCTACCAGTGCCCCACCCCCAAGCCAACACCACCTCTAGCGTGACTGTCCACACAGTCACCAGCAGGGACTCCCTGTCCCCACCAGCAGCATTGCCTCTGCCACTGTGGAGAATGCCCACAGGGAGATAGGTAACTCCCACCTACTAGCACTCCACCACAGCTGCTGCTACCATGGCTGCTGGCACATGCTAAAGAAGATGGATCCTGCTGTCACTGCACTCTAAAATGGTTTGGCTGACACCACCCATCAGAGTGTAGTGACCAGCAGTCTGGGGCACCTTGCTCCCCTCAGTGAAGTGGATTTCTAACCTCAAGGAGCCAGAGAACAAATTCAGGACCTAATATAAGTCCCCCAGAGTTAAAGCACATAGTCCAGGAGTTAGGAGCTGAGCATTAGCCCCCTAAAATCTTCCAGAAACAAAGCAGTCAGCTGAATTCACTTTATAGTATAATCAAACCCTCAAAGTCATCAAATAGAATTTAAAAAAATCCAAAGGTCAGTAACCTCAAAGAGTAAAGGTAGATAAGCCCACAGAGATGAGAAAGAATCAGTATAAGAACCCTGACAGCTCAAAAATTCAGAGTGCCTTCTTTCATCCAGATGAGTGCAGCACCTCTTCAGCAAGGGTTCTGAACCAGAATGAGATGGCTGAAATGACAGAAATAGAATTCATAATATGGTTAGGAATAAAGATCACTGGGCTACAGAAGTATCTTCAAACCCATTCCAAAGAAGCAAAAAAATCATGATAAAACAATGGAGGAGCTGACAGACAAAATACCAGCATAGAAAAGAATGTAACCAACCTGATAGAGCTGAAAAACACACTATAGGAATTCTGTAATTAAATTATAAATATTAATAGAGTGGACAACGCACAGGAAAGAATCTCAGAGCTGGACAACTGGCTTTCTGAAATAAGACAGTCAGACAAGAATAGCAAAGAAAAGAATGAAAAGAAGTGAACAAAACCTCCCAGACATATAAGATTATGTAATGAGACCAAATCTACACTCATTGATGTCCCTGAAAGAGAAAAGGGTGAATGGAACCAACTTGCAAAACATATCTCAGTATATCATCCATGAAAACTTTGCCAACCTAGCTAGACAAGCCAACATTCAAATTCAAGAAACAAAGAGGACCCCAGTAAGATACTCCGATACTCCACGAGAAGATCATCCCCAAGACACATAATCATTAGATTCTCCAAGGTTGCAATGGAAGAAAAAATGCCAAGGCAGCTAGAAAGAAAGGTCAAACCACCTACCAATAGAAGCCCATCAGACTAACAGTGGACCTGTCAACAGAAACCCTATAAGCCAGAAGAGATTGGGGACTTACATTCAACATGCTTAAAGAAAGAAATTCCAACAAAGAATTTCATGTCCAACCAAACAGAGCTTCATAAGCAAAGGAGAAATAAGATCCTTTTCTGACAAGCAAATGCTGAGAGAATTCATTACCACCAGACCCACTTTAATAGAGCTCCTGAAGGAAGCACTAAATATGGAAAGAAAAGACTATTACCAGCAACTACAAAAACACACTGAAGTATAAAGACAGACCAGTGACACCATGAAACAACCACAAGTCTGCAAAATAACCAGCTAGCATCATAATGACAGGAACAAATCCACACCTATCAATACTAACCTTGAATGTAAATGGGCTAAATGCTCCAATTTAAAGACACAGAATGGCAAGATAATGGTTCCAGATAAAGAACCAAGACCCATCGGTCTGCTGTCTTCAAGAGACCTATCTCATATGCAGTGACACACATAGGCACAAAATAAAACAATGAAGAAAAATCTGCCAAGTAAGTGGAAAAGAGAAAAAAAGCAGTTTGCAATCCTAGTTTCAGATAAAACAGACTTTAAACCTACAAAGATCAAAAAGGACAAAGAAGGTTATTACATAGCGGTAAATGGTTTAATTCAACAAGAAGATCTAACTATCCTAAATATATATGCACCCAACACAGAAGTAACCGATTATAAATCAAGTTCTTAGAGACTTTCAAAGATACTTAGACCTCCACGCAATAATAGTGGGAAATTTTAACACTCCACTGACAGCATTAGATAATTGAGACAGAAAATTAATAAACGTATTCAGGACCTGATCTCAGCAGTGGGTCAAATGGACCTGATAGATATCTATAGAACTCTCCACCCCAAAACAATAGAATATACATTCTTCTCATTGCTATATGGCACATACTTTAAAATAAATCACATAATCAGAAGTAAAACACTCCTCAGAATATACACAAGAATAGAAATCCTAACAATCTCTCAGACCAGAGTACAATCAAATTAGAAATCAAGACTAAGAAATTCATTCAAAAACCATACAATTACATGGAATTTGAATAACCTGCTCCTGAATGACTTTTGGGTAAATAATGAAATTAAGGCAGAAATCAAGAAGTTCTTTGAAACTAAGAAGAACAAAGATACAACATACCAGATTCTCTGGGACATAGCTAAGGCAGTGTTAAGAGGAAAACTTATGAAACTAAATGCCCACATCAAAATGTGAGAAAAAAATTAAAAAACCTTAAAATTAAAGTTTAAAAAAGATATAAAAGCCTTTATGTTTCTGTAGAAGCTGTGCTTTGTTTGTTAAACAAGGTCTTTTCAGAAGAACTATGTATATTTTCATTTAATCTGTAGGAATCCTGCATATTTGGTGCCAAAGCAGTAATTTTTGCCTTATGGAAAAATAAGAACTTCAAGAGTTTGTACATGTATTCACACAATGAGTCTTAGAAAGAGTCACACAGAGCCAGTGAACTTGATTAAGTATAGCACATTAAAAGTCAAACATCTGAAATATACTGAGTGCTAAGAAGTGGAACATAAATAAATTTATAAAAATTGATCTAAGTTCATCAAATTCGGATGTATCTAATGAAGCATAAACCCAGAATGTAAAAAAGAAAAAACTGTCTTGTAAATAGAGTAACTATATGGGTGAATATACCCAGTGCAGTTTCCAACCAATGACAACCAAGACTCAGATCAGAAGTAATACTTTGACACTTACCACTAAAATCAAGTCTATCATGTTTTTAACCAAGAATCTCAATAAAAGAATGTGATTTCATTTTATATCAAAGGAAGAAGTTACGTGTCTTAAATGAGATTCAGATTTGGTATGTCAAAAGAATAATAGTTTCAAGTGAATAAACATAATGGATTTGCAAGAGGTGCAAATATTAAACGACAGTTAATACTGAAATTCAGTTGCACTTCCTAAAGATTACCTGGGTCACCAAATATAGAAATACTTAATTCTTTTACTAAAATTGCTGCAACTAAGGTAACCAATCATCAACTACCAGAAGTTTTAACTGGTGTTTAGTCTTTGACAATGACATAGATACATTCTGGCTTCATTAAGGGTAGCTAAGTGATGCCATGTATTTTACATGCCAGGGGAAGTCGTTTAATCTTGATGTGATTACTTTTCTTTGGGTTTCTCATTTTTTTGAGTTATTTGAATTACCTGTAGAGTATGGCCAGGGAAACAATACAAGGTAACTGTTGTTTACCTTGTATTGTTTAAGACTCCAACTAGTACATTCTACATGTTTTATTAGCAACTCATAAAATATGCCAGAAAATATTAGGATTGACAGACTCTAACTTCTCCCTTTAACTGACCATGCTCAAAATGCAAATTCAGAGAAACAAAAAGGAAAATGTTGTGTTTTACATTTATATTAAAATATTCTTAGAAGAAGAGCAAATTCAAATTATTTTACTGCCATATGCAGTTATAGAGTAAAATGAGGCATTTAACCTCAGTGAGGAAGAGAAGCAGGTTTATGGGAAGGAGAGAAGGTACAGAGAGAGAGAGAAAGAGAGAGAGAGAGCCTCTTACAATTTATAAACAAATGTTCTTAATAAATCTCAGAATTTAAACAGAAAATGTGTTTAGGAAAAATGCAAGGGTCTCTGTTGAGCCCAATTTTGTGATTATTTAAAAATAATTTTTGTAACTTATTAAATCAAATAAATTCTGCCTAGCATACAGCAACTTTAAATGATAAAGTTTTATTAAGGAAGAAGTTTGATATACATGACTTATGCCCTTTAATTCTTTCAAGGGCTTCACATAAAAAAGAATTTAAAATGGTCAACTATGCATAAAGTCCATTCAGTACTTAACCAAGCAAATGGAAAGAGCATATGCCAGGGAAAGACAAACACTCTGATAAGACCTGTTAGGGCAATATCAGGAGTTATGTCGCAGATATATGTGTATACGTAGACTTTCAAAAGAAGTCTTTCCTCATGAAAGACCTCAAAGTTTATCTACTAGCTGTAATGTATACATGCCATAGTCAAAAACTAAATACCATATAAAACCGATGGCAGAGAAAAAAATTAGCAAATGTATCAAATACTAGATGTCAAATTCTGTATATCTTTGTTGCTAAGCCTCTATATGAGTAAGGAAGACTCCTTAATGAAAATCACTATTCTCTGTAAATTAAAATACCTTTAAATTAAATATTTTTTAAATTTTAGTTTGAATTTCAAAACAAGACATTCTAACTTTGTTAGAACTTCCCTTTGTTTATAATCAGTGTTTAAGTTATTAATAATTAACAGCTGATGCATAAAGCAAACCCCAGTTCATGGATTTGTGTACTATATATCCCTTTGGCAAATCAATTATTTACTACTGAATAGTTAAAACTTTCATTGGCTTCCCACCGCAATTACAATAAAATCCATACTCCCTATCAAGGCTGAGAAGACTTTACATTCCTGTCCAACGGGTATCTCTCTGACTTTATATTGTACCTCGCTCACTACAGTTCCGTCTCACTGCTTGTGACAGTCAGAATTCTAAGATGCCCACCAAGATTTCTGTGCACTGGTATACATTCCCTGACTAATCTTTTCCCCTTGAGTATGAGCAGAACCTGTAAATATGATGTGATAGCAGACACCCTCTTGATTAGGTTATGTTACACAGCAAATATGATGGGATAGTCACTCCATGATTACTTACTATTACATAAGACTGTCTTGGTGGACTAGAGAGACTCTTGCTATCCTTGAAGAAGAAAGATGCCATGTTATGAGAGAGTCATGTGCTAGGACCTGAAGGCAGTCCTTAAGGAGCTGGAAGCAACTCTCTGAATATCCCGCAAGAAAAAAACACAACGAATTAAATTCTGCCAACTAGTGAGTTTGGAATAGGAGCCCGAACTCCAGATGAAAATGCAGCTCAGCATTCTTGACTCAGACATTCCCCTAGGCAGAGATCCCAGGTACACATGATAGAATCTTGACCTACACAAAATATGAGATGCTAAATGTGTGTTGTTTTAAGTCAATAACTCTGTGGTAATTTCTTATGCAGCCACAGAAAATTAATACATTTCCTTCCTTTGTTCTTCAAACATGATAAGCCCATTACTTGGGTGGTCTGTTTGTTGCTGCAAAGTCTTTTTTCCTTCAACTTTTATGTTTGGAGTACATGTTTAGGATGTTCAGGTTTGTTACATAGAAAGACGTGTGCCATGGTGGTTTCCTGCACAGATCAACCTATCAGCATAGGTGGTTTCTTATTTAAATTGAGATCTTAGCTTAAAATCACATTCTCTGATAAGCCCCAGCTGCCAACCACATCTAAAGTTCAACCCACATATATAGCAGTTCATCTCCTGAAGATTACCATCTTCTATTTTCATCATGGCACTTATTACTATTGACAAGTATCTGTTTAGTTTTCACGTTTTTAAAAATTTTAAACAAAGTATCTCATGAACACAGTTTAAAAGGCAAATAATACTACAAGACTTACAGTAATAACAACAGTAGTTGTTGTTTAATTAGTTGCTTAATTAAAATGTACTTATCTCTTTAATGACAATAGGATGAAGCATCTCTGATTCACCTCTTCAAATGCTAACCATATCAACATTTTATTGTGTCTTGTTTTTTGAAGATGATTCTTCCTTCACTTAAGTATTATTGTTGCCTTGAGCAAAGAGTTGAACTATATCACCTAGCTCACTATTAGGAGAAGCTTAAAATTCAATAAATACTTCACACTATGTTCTGCTTTGTGTATTTTTATTGCAAATGAAATAAGTGTACCATCCTTTTAAATTAAGTATAAGTTTTTAAAGAACAATCAAAATGAAGAGGTATATGTATATACAATAGGATACTACTCAGCCATAAAAAGGAATGAAATGGTACTCGTAGCAACCTGGATGAGATTGGAGACTATTATTGTAAGTGAAGTAACTCAGGAATGGAAAACCATACATCGTATGTTCTCACTCATAAGTGGGAGCTAAGCTAAGAGGATGCAAAGGCATACGAGTGTCACAGTAGACTTTGGGGACTCAAGGAGAAAAGGTGGGAAAGGGTGAGAGATAAAAGGCTACAAATTGAGTTCTGTGTATGCTGTTTGGGTGATGGGTGCACCAAAATCTCACAAATCACCACTAAAGAAATTACTCATGTAACCAAATACGACCTGTTCCCCAAAAACCTATGAAAACAAACAAAAAAAATTTAAGTGCTTCTGAAAAAATGGTTTAATAAGGCCGGGCGCAGTGGCTCAAGCCTGTAATCCCAGCACTTTGGGAGGCCGAGGCGGGTGGATCACAAGATCAGGAGATCCAGACCATCCTGGCTAACACGGTGAAACCCCATCTCTACTAAAAACATTAAAAAAAATTAGCCGGGCGTGGTGGTGGGCGCCTGTAGTCCCAGCTACTCTGGAGGCTGAGGCAGGAGAATGGCTGAACCCGGGAGGCGGAGCTTGCAGTAAGCCGAGATCGTGCCACTGCACTCCAGCCTGGACGACACAGCGAGACTCCATCTCAAAAAAAAAAAAAAAAAAAAAAAAAAAAAAGGTTTAATAAAATAAAGTGAAGTGGTATAATTTTTCACAATGACAGGAAATTAAAGGCGATATTTAGCAGAGGCTTAGGCAAGCATAGGAAATTTTCTTTTTTGGAGAGAGAGGAAAGAGTATAGATTTTATTAGAAATGTTTATATTTAAGCAATTACATGAAAAACTCATAATCAGCAGAAGATTAACACTACAAAAAATCTTCAAAATAAGAAACAAAATAAAGGGGACAGAGGCTGGAGAATAAAGAATTCTTTATGTAAATAGGAGATAAGAAAGAAGACAAAAGCAAACAAAATAGATGACAAAAATATTTGGTTGTATTAGTTTGTTACGTTAAAAATAAAGAATTGTGAAAGAAAAGCTTATTGAATATTTTTTTAAGATGGAGTCAAAATTTGTATCTAATCACTTTGCTTCTCTTGAAACGGTCAGTGGATCCTTGCTGGTTCCACTTAAAATAAAGTTAGAGGTATTTTCATTTCTCTGGAGTGTACATGTCCCAATCTGAACATTATTGTTTTCTGTTCTCTGTCTTCCTCATTTCATGTAACAGATTACTCCATAGATTAATAAACAACTCATGTCATATAGGTCACTGAACAATTGGTCCATAGTAATTGTACTGCATTCTGGCTACACCAAACTAAATTTCCTCTTACGAAAGGAAGGAAGGAATACCTTGTTATAGTCTCTTTCTTCATCTCAACCTCTCTTCCACCCTGGAGAAGGCCAATATGCTGAATAGATATCATTAAGGTTGAATTTTTTTCCTAAAAATTCTACTTACTTTCATTTTTGACCAATCTTCTGTTTTACATAATTTTAAGGATATGTGTAAATTAATTGTTACTTAACAGTAAATATTACTTCAAAAAATTAGAAGATAAAAAAATCACAATTTTTGTGAATTTGGCAGGGGAAGGGGAGTCCTTGGGAGTAATTCAAAGATGGGCTCATTAAAGCCCCAAAGTGCCTGAGGACATACAACTACTTACCAAAGGAAGTGAAGCCGGAACTCAGGCCTTATAGAACGTATCAAAATTGTTCACACCTTTTAAAGGCCTATCTATGTAATAGTAGAGTCATCGGTTGAAAAGTAGGAAGAGTGCTTTGATCAGCTAGTACTTTTGTCTGCACCTTATGTAAGCAACATGGCTTAAAGTTACAATGCTATCTGTGTTACAAATGTCTTCAGTGAAGTCTGGTTGTCTCCTCCACACAGAAGATGATGGGTAAAATTTATAGCTTCCCATCTCCCATTCTGGCACTAAGGATGGAGATGTATGTTCCATATCCTTAAAATTCTATTTAAGAAACTCCTATGACATAAACCTAGAGCAAATTTCAAAGATTTCAATAGTAGTTCATCTGTTCATTAACCTCAACCATGTGCAAAATTTTATAAAAATATCTACTTTAACATCAGACTTCCCAGATTTGTCACTTCCATTAGAATTATAAGATGGTAGAAATGAAAGATATCTTAGAAAAAAATCTACTTGATTAATACATGAAGAAACACAGGCCTAGATAAGTGAAGCAATTACTTGAAGTGTCACTTCAAATGGTTCATACCAGGTCATCGACTAGAATTCACATCTTTTCATTCCCACTCCAGGGAACTTTTACCATTTTGGAGGGTAAGGGGTATAAGATGGGAGAGCTATTCAGATTTTTGTTCTTCCACTAATCTATTTTTAGTTCAGATGTTTATAAGCTAGTCTTTCTGAAGACAAAAACACTAAGCAAGAAGGCTTACAGTAAGAAAAAACACATTTATTTATTCATTGAATAAGTAGCATGCACCGTTCCAAATAGTAGAGATGTAAATCCCCTCACTTTAAATGGAACTTAGATTTTAGTGGGGGTCAGGGAGGTGCTGGTGGTGGAGGTGCTGGAGACACACAGTCTAAAGAAAATAAATTGATAAGCCAAATAAGTTCACATAGTGATGCATTCTAAAAAGGAAATAAAATAGAATGAAAAGGAGGAGGTGACTACTTTAGATTAAAGGTCTTTCTGAGGCATTAACCCTTGCACTAGAAGCTGAATGATAACAAGGAGTCGGCCATGTGAGGTCCTAGGAAAGACCATTCTAGACGGTGGTGGCAAAGGACTGGAGGTCAGAACAAGGCTGGCAAAATAATCCAGGAGGGGAAAGACTAGTGGGGCTAGAGTGTGGTGACTAAAGGAGACAACAGGGAGAGATGAGGTCAGGGTATGCGGAAGCCCTATCATGCCTATGACAGGAGGTTTGAATTTTATCCTTAGTATAAAGAAATACGTTTGAAGATTTTACACAGGGAAACATCATTCTTCAATTGATTCTTTTATAAGATCACCATGACTCCATGTGTGAAGAATAGATTACAGTGATGGCACTGTAATTTGGTCTATATTTTATGACATGTGACATAGAGTAAAACAAACTAATCAGATAAAACAAGGCCAAAATAACTGGAATTATTCAAACGTTATGTCGTCACACCAACTGGAGAAAGAAAAATCACAAAAAAAGCTGGTTGAAATCGGAATTCCATACATCTGGCTGATAAAAGGAAGACCTTGATATCCAGTGACACTCAAAAGAGTTTTAGAATCCAGCAACTTTGAAGATGGTCATTAAAACTCATGGTACCAAATACATGGTCAAAATCAGTCCATTTTGCAAAAGTCACAGTAATGAATCTTAATAAGTACATTAATGCATTATATTCTCAATCGATCTTATTTTCACATTCCCCTCTCATGACATTGATCATTTATTCTACATTTTCATACTCTGTCCTTGAGGGAATAAAGATGCTCCATAAGCCATTTGCCTCATTCTCTGGGGACCAAAACACTTACCTGTTGAAGTGTGCTTATAAAGTATAGCCCTTACCCTTATGTAGGAAAAGACTCGAGAGGTAAATTGCATCATTTGTCAGCATTTGTTAGTATTTTACATATGCCACCTAGTTTATGTTAACAGAATCATATGATAGGTACTATTTTTGCCATGTTCCAGATAAGAAAGGTGAGGCTTAAAATATTTGACAAACTGTCCAGGCTCACACAGCCTCAAAATAGCAGAGGTGATATTTTTAACCCAGGAAAATATGACCCCAAAGACCAAGAGCTTCTGTAGCAGCCCAGAAAGAATTCTTCATGCTGTAAAGGAAGTTCAAGTAAGAGAGTTTAGGCTGACCTTCCAGTAGATCTTGTGGGACCTGGAGTGTGTTCCATTTTTAGACATTAATCACCTTCTCATCACCAACAGGAATATTGTCACACATTTTTTAACCTCAGTTATAATTGACTGAACACTATGGTAGTCCAGGAAGTTAGGACTAATGTAGCATTATAATTGCTTTAGGAAAGCATTACGAGAGCATTAAAGTCGTCTTTTATAAAACAACTTTTTAAAAGGCTGTATTTCATGTAAAAATCTTCCTCCACTCCTATTACACTTCAATGATGCAAATTGTTTTCCTTTTTGTGGTAATTTAATGCTCCCCTGAACTGACTCCCTTGATTTCAGAAGCTGGCCTCAAAACAGTCATGCTCACTGATACAGACTTGGCACAAAGAGAAATTCATTTTCTGCTTGACTTTGTAAGTGAAATTACACTCTGACGGCACTCCTTTCCACTGCCACTGAAAGGTATTAATGAAACATGGCACCAGAAATTTATTTGCCAGGTTGTCTTCTAGTTTACCCTTAGGTCTAAAAATGCCTTTTTAGATCTATGTGACGAGAGAGGAGGGGGGAGGAAGAAAACTCTTGGCATGGCCGGAAAATCACACAAGTTGTTTGATCTCCAGATTGAGAAGAAGTCAGCATTTCACAGGGGTCTTAGTACTTATAAAAAACAGCTGTGCTCAGATACAAAATATGTAGGTTTATATTTCATGATTGAGTCCCAAGCCTCTCAGGTCAGAAATCACTAGACAGCTAATTATCTTTCGGAAAGGAAGATTATCTATGTAATGAAACTCACTGTTCAGGGTGTAGTTTCAGAAGCAAGATGTCTAACATTGAGATGAAGTTCCTCAAAGTATTTCTGTATTGACTGACTCCTTGTTCTTCTCTCCATGCTCAAAAAAAACCAAGCCATCCTAAGGGATAGAAAGGAGGGAAAGAATATTTCTGCAGCAGCCTGCTCAGATGGCTCTGACCTGAGGACAATTCACTGAGGAGTCTTCCAGCATTCTGTCTACACTCTTGCCAGTTCACCATGATTTACTTTCTATAATGATTGATTGTCAGTCCTTCTTACTATAGACTATATGTGTGCTAAGAGCTTATGACCCATTTATTTTTTTTTCCACAACTTAGCACAGGACCTAACATGTAATTGACTCAATATTTTTGATGAATACATGAAAAAAGAAAAAGAGGAAGAATACATCAATTGATTGATAGATAAATAGATAGATAGATAAATGAAATTTGATTCTGATTCTGGTGAGACAGGCAGGGATCTGGCATAAACCCTCAACAGCCTTTTGTCCTCAGTGAATAAATTTGATGTTAGAGTCCGCATGATTAAAAGTGACATCTATTGGTCAGGGGCAGTGTGATAAAGAAAGCAAGAGCCCTGAGGACTTTTTTTTTTTTTTTTTTACCAACTTCTCATATACTAAGATATTTTTCTCTAAGATCTAAACTTCACATGCCTTTTGCCCAAGTGAAAAAGATGAGGATATCCTAGGTAAATATCAGCATCTCTCAGTATGGAATTGGAAGAGAGTTTGATGGAGTTTACCCTAGTTTTCTGAAACTCTTCCTGATGTGGAGAGAAGTAGATAAAAATTATCAAGTACCTCCCTTATGCTTCTGTATAAACCAGCTCTGTGCTAGGATAAAAAGACAGCCAAGCACTGGTAAATTATTGCAAGATGCCATGGGGGAAGAAACAGCATTTTTTTTTTCTGTCTCAAGAGCCCAATCTTAGTTCTTACTGCCTAGAGATCATTATTATTAATAATGTCAGGCCATGGGCTAAATAAGACTGGCATGCATTAGCATATTTAATGCTCATGACATCCCACTGAGATACAGGGCTACTCACATTTTATACAAATTGGAATCACACAAATTTTAAGTATGCAAATATGAAATAGTTCAATGTAAAAATATCAACACATTCTCACTTTATTTACAAAATTTCAAATATAGCAAATGTATTCCAATTTAAAATATTATGAAGACTTGCCTAATTTAAAAGACAAGCCTAGAGAATTTTAAATGATATTTATGTTTTGGTCATGTGAGGATGTGCTACTTTTGCAGGAAAATAAAAATTGTTACAATAAAATCTAATACTTTTTGAACATTAAGCACCTCATAGATCTCAGGCTATTTATTTTTCACAAAAAAGAAGATTCCATGAAGCAACACTCTTATTATCCCTCTTTTGCAGAGAAGGAAAATGTGATGTGCAAGCTCTGAGTAGCAGAGGTAGAATTTAAACTCTTGCAGCCTGGCTCCAGACCTAATCAAATCAATTCCTGGCCTTACTTTCTAGGATTAATTTTGACATATATGCATTTTTAATTGAATAAAGCATTTAGGAATCCTTCCTTCACATAAAATATGCCTGCTTTGTAGATACTATTCTCACTTTTGAAATTGAAGCTTTAAAGTAGTTAAGTAACTTGTCCAAGGCCTCAAAGATAATAGAAGCCAAACTCAACTGACAGAGACAAAAGCAGTTATTTCTAGGTAAGTTCGTAGACATGCCTGAGAGATCAGTCAGAACCTGAGTCCTCCAGTTCTGTGCCTTTGTTGACTCTCTGCTATTTGCATAATGTTGAGAAAGCTTGGCCCACAAAAACCCTCATATTCAATCCCTCCACTTTTTTCCTCCCCAGGATTCCCAGCCTTCTCCTAAGGAAATTACACATGTCCCAAATGCCTGAATACATTACCTTATTCTTCCAATTAAAGTTCAGACAAAAGAACCTCTCAGCATGTTCTCAAGTATCCCACACTCCTAACAATGTCTGTTCTGTAACTGCAACACCATCTTGTCAAACTGCAACCAGAATCAATAAATGCTTGACCCAGGCCAAGTGCCAGGAGAAGTGGAGGCAGTTAACCACTAATAACCCCATCACACATTCTTGTTATCAAATTCAGATAGATTTTTGCAGTACATGTTCTGCCCACTGGTAAATACAAGATATGTTATTTCCAGGTGGGCATCAGAATTAACAAAAACTGTTGAAACTCATGGAAGCTGAAAATTAAGGACATGTCCTTTTACTTTCTTTAAACAGAACTCCACAGCAGTTAAAGCAAAGCTTTTGTGTGAGAACAAGTTGACTATGATGTGTTGTGCAGGATAACAATGAGCAATTTTTTTCAAAGATGATGCTGAAGCATTTTGCTTTCTATGCTTGCAATAGACTTAGCATTGATTAACCCCGATTTGTGTGTGTGTGTGTTTGCATGTGTGTGCATAAGCACAGTACATGTGTAACATTGGTAGGAAAGAAAAAGTTTTCTCAAGTAAGGTGACCACAGCTTACTAACTGTAAATCTTCCTTGCCACAAAATAAATTGTTTTCCTTAGAGGAAGAAAAGATCCCCAAAACAGAAAAGTTCATAGCAATCCATAGCTCTGTGTCTCGACTGTCTTCTGAGAGGGTTTGGGCACTGAATAATCAGCAATGTTTTTGTTTTCAGGCCAATTGAAGTAGCTACTGAAATCAATTAAAAATAATAGCTATACAAAAATATTAGTGTATAATATACACTAACATATATGTAATTAAAACACACAAAATATATATAATATATTGTATACATTATATATTTATTAAATATATATTTTATGTAATAAAATATGTCACATATAAACATATAATTCTTTTTTACAATATACATATATATTTCAAATTAAATCCACAGCCTAGTTTCTTCTTACTTATCATAACCATTACCACCATTATCAACATTTAACATTTTCTGGTATCTGTAAGTACTTATTTTATAACACTCTCAATTGCTTAACACAATAAACTTCTAAGTTTCATTTACAGATATAGACATAATTTAACAGAGAGGTTAAATTTCCTGTCCATGGCTAACCAGTGATGGATCCAAGGCTAGAACCAGCAGCCTTCCTTCTTTAACTGAACATGTCATATACCGAGAAAGTTCCTCATTCCTTCTGATTTCTCCTTTTTTTAAAATTATACTTTAAGTTCTGGCGTACATGTGCAGAACGTGCAGGTTTGTTACATAGGTATACATGTGCCATGGTGGTTTGCTGCACCCATCAACCCATCATCTACATTAGGTGTTTCTCCTAATACTATCCCTCCGCTAGCCCCCCACCCCCTGACAGGCCCTGGTGTGTGATGTTCCCTCCCTGTGTCCGTGTGTTCTCATTGCTCAACTCCCAATTATGAGTGACAATGTGCAGTGTTTGGTTTTCTGTTCTTGTGTTAGTTTGCTGAGAATGATGGCTTCCAGCTTCATCCATGTCCCCGTAAAGGGCATGAACTCGACCTTTTCCATGGCTGCATAGTATTTCTGCTTTTAAGAGATTATTCTCTCTCTTCCTAGGCATTCTTAAGAAAAGGATGTATATTATGAAAAGGGGCACGAGATCATTTTCTCAAAGGAGCCCAAGAAGAATACAGAAATCAGAACAAGTCAAGTCAGATAGCAGGTACTGTGGGTGAGCAGATTAGCACCCTCTCCCAGTTCTTCTCAGACCACCTGAGTCTGCAGGGAACCTGGGTCTTCATGGAAATATCAAGGAAATGAGATATTTGTTAAAGGTCATGGCTGAATAATTTTAGTTTAGTATAGAGAAGAGTAGTTGCAATTATGTAATGACAAAAAGAAGATGGAGAATGAAGTTACCAAGTTCAGAGGCACCAGGGCATCTCTGCAGGCTGGGGAGTAAGGCATTGACTAGGATCTTAGAGCAGACATATCACAGTTCCACCACTAGGACTGAATGGAAAAGCAACCACTGAAACTCTCAAACCTTTTAGGAAGGGACTCCAATTCTCTGGTTTTGGTCATGTGTGGAAGTGGAGTACAGTTTCTTGGTTGTTCCAAGGTAAAATAGATGGCAGGCAGCCAAAAAGTAACAAATAGCTACTGCAGCATGTTTTAAAATGTACTTTCAGATACCTGCTCATATATATTTATCACAGCACTATTCACAATAATAAAGATTTTGAATCAACCTAAGTGTCCATCAGCAGATGAATGCTTAAAGAAAATGTGGCATTTACACACAATGGAATACTATTCAGCCATAAAAAAGAATGAAATCACGTCTTTTGAAGCAACATAGATGGAACTGGAGGCCATTATCTTAAGAGAAACAACTCAGAAACTGAAAGCCAAATACTACATATTTACACAAATAATTTTAAGTGGAAGTGAAATAGTGTGTACACATGGACATAGAGTGTGGAAGAATAGACATTGGAGACTTTGAAGGGTGGGGGGGTGTTGAGGAATGACAAATTACTTAATGGGTACAATGTACATTATACAGCCCAGCTGTCACCACTACACAATACATCCATGTAATAAAACTGCATTTGTACACCTTAAATGTATACAATTTCTAAGGTACTTTCAAAGTATTTTAAAAGTTATTTTTTTATTTGATTCCAACAAGCAAACACACTCAAAGAACAGGCAGATATTGCTATTTCTACTTTTTTTTTTTTTTTTTTTTTTTTTTGAGACGGAGTCTTGCTCTGTCGCCCAGGCCGGACTGCGGACTGCAGTGGCGCAATCTCGGCTCACTGCAAGCTCCGCCTCCCGGGTTCACGCCATTCTCCTGCCTCAGCCTCCCGAGTAGCTGGGACTACAGGCGCCCGCCACCGCGCCCGGCTAATTTTTTGTATTTTTAGTAGAGACGGGGTTTCACCTTGTTAGCCAGGATGGTCTCGATCTCCTGACCTCATGATCCACCCGCCTCGGCCTCCCAAAGTGCTGGGATTACAGGCGTGAGCCACCGCGCCCGGCCTTCTACTTTTAAGATAAGCAAACTAAGGATTAGGGATGCCAAGAGATATGCCTAAGGCTATGTGTGTAGAAGGTAGTAATATCTGCATCTTAAAGCCAAGTGCTCTGGCCTATGTCTTCGTTGACCCCTCTGCCACACACACACACACACACACACACACACACACACTCGTATTAATGTTGGTTGCTCATGTCAGAGAAATAAAAATGGAATAAGGTCACACCCACATCAACTTGTACAAGTTTCTGGGGGAGGATCTATGCATTGCTATTTTTTAAAGTGTCCCAGGTAATTCTAAAGTGCAAGCAGAGTTGAGAACCACTTTTCTAAAAAATCATCATCATCATCATCATTTGAATGTCGTGTAAAAAAGCAGTTATTGAAACTTGTAATAAAATGCTAAAGGTATGATTATACTTTCGCTGTGTTTTCTATTTGAACGCTGTTCTTTTCCAATATGAGCTTAGATTTATAGCTGCCAACTCTGCAAAAGATAACAATTTGAGAAGTTGAGGTTGCTAGGGGCAATCCAATTTACCAGGGAAACCAGCTGAGTGGAGGAGCAACATTGAGTGAGCAACACACAGCTAGACTGCTCTCTGTAGAAGGGCATGCTCTCTTTGTTTCTTTAGGCAGAAATTGGAATATTATTCCCTTACCACTGGTAAAAAAAGCATTTCACTCTTTGCTAGAAGACGCACTTATGTAACCAAGACTTTTCTGTTTTCTGCCTTTGCCATGAAGACCAGTGTAGTCCCTACAGAGAGGTAGGAGCCAGAAATGAGAAGATCATTTTTTTTACTTCTCCCTGGAGACCCTTAATCCAGGAAGCATTCTTGTCCTTTTTAGCTATGAACCAGTGGTTTCCCTGTTAACATGCAAAATAGTTAAGGTGGAGAATTCAATAACAGCATAGTTTACTTACAATCTTACTCTAAATGTGTATCACCTTTATATTTGTTATTTCAGTGTTGCTATTAGCTGTTTAATAATAAATGGTTATGACTAAATGATTTAAAACAAATAAATCTGTAGATAATATAATGTGAATCTCACCTTCGAATACATGCTGTCATCACACACCTATGTTGTATGTAACAGAAATTATAAATGGGTAGAAGAGAAATTAAACTTCCTTGAGTGATAAATTTGTGAATCAAAGCCAAGTAAAAGCAAACGGCAATTTTACAAACTAATATCCCGAAAATGAGTTTATGAGTTTATATCAGTGTGTCATCTATATAAATATCACAGTTCAAGGGGTTTAAATGTGATAATGTCTCATGATAACTCAAAAGGTGCCTTTTAGTTATTAACTTTTACTTTCTGGATGTGTGCTTGTCAAAGCTATTGCTCTAGCTCTGCGTACAGATAGACAGTAATACCTTACTCTATGGCCATGACCAAATCTAAGTCAAATGTTTACAATTCAATCAATGTCTTCTTTTTAAACCTAATTCCTAGTTAATATTTGGGTATCAGTTTAGTAACATCTTTCATCTGTCTTCCCCATCCCTATTGTGACTTGCGAACTCCGTGTGCTCAAAACATCCCGTGCTAACCTTTCCGTAACAATCATCATATGACATAGAAATTTCCAGTCTAGACTGCAAGTTCTTGGGTGCAGGGATTAATTTCATTCATTCATTTTCTCAAAACATATTATTAATATTAGCTACTATGTACCAGGCACTGTCCTAGGTCCTGAAGGTACAACCAAAACAAAAATCCTTGCCCCTAGGAAGTTTACATTTTTGGGAAAACAGGAGGATATGAAATGTGTGTGTGTTATGGTAGTGGTGGAGGCAAAGGTGACTTTGGAATTTTACATGGGATATCCTGGGAAGGCCTCTGTGGGAAGGTGACATTTGAGGAAAACCTGAAGGAGGTGAGAAAATAAATGAAATAAGATTCTGGAATAAGAAAGTTCAGGCAGGGGAAACAGAATAGGCTAAATCTAAGCCATGAGAAAAATGTATGTCTGGCATGTTCCAGGAACAGCCAGATGGCCAGCAATTTTGGAGTGGAGGGAGAGAGCAAGAGTAGATTACGTTCATTGTGGTGCTGTGCTTAGGTACTAAGTAACTATTTGTTGAATTATTTTAAAATAATAAAATTCCCCATCTCTACTAAAAAATATGAAAAAAATTAGCTGGGCATGGTGGCGGGCGCCTGTAGTCCCAGCTACTTGGGAAGCTGAGGCAGGAGAATGGCATGAACCTGGGAGGTGGAGCTTGCAGTGAGCTGAGATCGCACCACTGCACTCCAGCCTGGGTGACAGAGACTCCATCTCAAAAAATAATAATAATAAAATTAATAATACATTTGACATAATACCATATGATTTATAAACTATTCTACTCAAACTAGTACACTTTCTGGGGAAAAAAAGATGCAGGTTTATCCTCTGTAAAATAAAGATATGTTCACAAACTCATTCAAATTTGGAGGAAATTTGGGGCTTTATGCACCAGATTATCTGACAGTAGGTGAACTGTATTCAATGATAGGCTACACTCATCAAATTTTAACTTCTTTCAAGGTAACTTTGACTGTTCAAATGAGTTTCACCCTTGCTGTTTTAATTTCCTTCTCATAACCCTCATCTTTTGCGCACATTATGGCTTTTGGGTAAGCACTGATTACTCTTGATTCTCCTTGTTGAGTGTCCTCACTGCTCCAAAGCACCTTAATGGTGCATTCTTCTGTGGATTTCTTGTTTCTGTAACTTCTTCCCCAGTCGTTATTAGAGAATGAGTTCCTGACCACGTCATGATGGCACTAAGTAATGAGGAAAATGCCCTGTCTCACAGTGTTAGTAGCTCTGACAATTAGAAGCAGAAGAGAAAAATAACCCTCTTTACTCTGCCACCAAAGAACTATTCCATGATGATATGAGGGGGGATGAGGTACTCCTAAAGAACTGCAAATGAAAGGGGTAAGATGGTGACCCTTTTATCAGATCCTTCTCTTATGTGCTCAGCTGTGCTATACTGTATGAAAACAGCCTGATGAATTGGGCTTTGAATCCTAATTTATAGCTTGACTTGCTAGGCAACCTTAAATGAGTCACATTACACTGTCTGAAGCTCAGTTTCTTTATAAAAACTGGAATAAGAAAATCTGCATTGTTTGTCTCCCAAGGATGGTATAAGGATTAAAAGAACAATGTGTATGAAAGTATTAAGAAAAGAATGAAGGGTTATAAAAGAATACTGTTTGGATTTAAATGGAAAAATAATACAGTATATAAATTGGTAGGGAAAACAAACAAATGTTTTTCTTAAAAGTTCTCTTTAATATTATTTGGAAAACAAATGGTAACTATTATTCTCAGGTAACAGCAATTCTCTACATACCAGATGCTATCAGCACTACCTCCAAAATATACCTTTCATCTGTCCGCTGTTCCCCTTTTCCAGTGCTGCATAAGCCAGCATCACAGAGTTCTGCAATAGCCTCTGAACTACTGCTTCTAAATTCGACTTTCTCCACCTTTTAATCCTTTTCCCACAGAGCATCTAAAGTGTTCTTTCAAAATTATAAATCAGATTATGACTACCTTAAAGTCCTCAAAAGGTTTTTGATCATACTTGAATCCCAAATCGCTACCATGAACAAAAGACCCTACTCTGCCCTCAGGACTTTATCCACGACTTAGGTCTTCCTCTCTCATGATGCTTCAGCCTAATGCTTTCTGCTGTTCCTTGAACACACCAAACTTGTATCTGCTTTAGAACTTTTGCATTGCTGTTTCCTCTGCCTGGAATTCTCTTCTCCCATCTATGCTTGAATGGCTCCTTCCAAAATTAATCTCCTTGGGAGGGGGCATATGTTGCTGCATCATCTAATGGTGCCTTCTTTCCAGTCATGCCATCACAAGGGATCCTGGGAAATGGTGCCTTCCCTCACTCCATCATTCTACCTTTATTCTTAGTATTTAAAATTTGTGAAATTATTGTATTTGTTTACATGTTATTGCCTGTGTTCCGCAGTCAAATGTGATTTGCATGACAGGAGTGGCCTTGTTATTATAATAGCTTATTTCATCATTGAGTCTTCTGTAATGAGATTTTCACCTGGAACACAGTAGCTGATCAGTGAATTTTTGCAGAAAAAAAAATGAGTTAGAGAAATTTGAAGTCTCAGGAATGGTTGTTAAGTGCCATTTGTAACAGTGAGATTTCAAATGGTTTAGATAAAATGATTATTCAGCATAAACTTGTTTCCTTGAAAGGAAGTTTAAGAATGAATTAGGAGACTGTGCTGAGGATGATGATGGCTTTGTTTTTCAAATGTGTGTAGCATATCAGTTGGAAGCAAGCCAGAAACTTATACTTAGCTCCTTACAAGTCTATAATGTCTATCCCAATTTGTTACAGGTCATAAAAATGAAACTTGGCTGGTCATGGTGGCTCACACCTGTAATCCCAGCACTTTGGGAGGCCAAGGCGGGAGGATCACCTGAGGTCAAGAATTCAAGAACAGCCTGGCCAAAATGGCAAAACCCCGTCTCTACCAAAAATACAAAAATTAGCTGGACATGGTGGTGCCGCCTGTAATCCCAGGTACTTGGGAGGCTGAGGCAGCAGAATCGCTTGAACTGGGCGGCAGAAGTTGCAGTGAGCCAAGATCGTGCCACTGCACTCCAGCCTGGACGACCGAGTGAGACACCATCTCAACTTAAAAAAAAAAAAAAGAAAAAAGAAAGAAATTTGACAACAAAATTGGAAGCCTGTGTCTTTAGTATAACTTCCATTTCAGAGAAAATACAGAGTCATCCACCAGCTCTGTGTTGGCACAGTGAGGTTCCTACCAATTATAAGAATAGAAAAAAAAAATACAACTTTTTTTAACAGCTGCATCAGGGGACCTTTACAGTGACATCTCTGTGGCAGCACTTGAAAAGAATTTGGAGCTGTTTTCAATCATTCTGTGTATAACATGACATTTTCAAATAGGAAAGAAAGGGAAAAGAACAAATGCTTCATAAGTGGTTTTAGATTTTGGGGATCTAGATAGCAGGCTAGATCCACCCTTCAGTCCCTGCCTATTGAATTATATACAAAACAAAAGGACGTGAAACTAAGATATTGGTCCGTAATTGGCCAGATGTCAGAATCAATTTTTACAAATCAAACAAAATGGTAGCTATAGCAATTCTATAGTGCCAAAAAGGTACAGATAAATTTTACAGTTTAATTTTGGTTTTGTTATTCTACTGGTGCTTTAGGGTTTAGACCCTATGTCTTTAATTTATCCCAATTTAAATGTAAGGGATATTATACCATTCCATGCATAAAATGAGAACTTTACCTAGTGTAATTTTATTCCTCCATTTCTGACTTTTCAGGTATCGTTGTCATATATTTTACTTCTTGTTTTTAACCTAACACTACATTGTGATAATTTTTATTTGAAGTCATTTATGTTGTAAAGCTAGTTAAACGATATCTTTAAAATCTTACGTATTGACCCATGTAGTTACCATTTCATATATATTCTTTTTCACATGATATAATTTGCCTTCTGTCTGAAGGACTTCTTTATTTCTTGTAATGCAGATGTGCTGACCATGAATTAGTTCAAGAGTTTGCATGTCTTAGAAAGTCTTTTGCCTTTGTTTTTGAAATATATTTTTATTGGGTGTAGAATGTTAGGTTGACATTTTTTGCGGGATTTTTGTTTGTTATTGTTTTAGTTTCAGTACTTTAAAGATACTGCTCCACTTTTTCTACATGCATTGTTTTCACCAAGAAGTCTGTTTTGTCCATATTTACCTTTGTTCTTCTGCACAACATGTCTTTTTCTTCTCTAATTATTTTTAAGATGTTATCTTCAGCAATAACTTTCAACAATTGCATTTTGCTGCTTGTTAGTATCGCTCTTTTTTTCTGTTTCTTCTGCTTGTGGTTTATTGAGATCTTTGGAAGTATATGTTTATTATTTTCATAAAATTTGAAAAATGTTGGACATTGGTTCTTCAAATATTATTTTCTTTTCCCACTTTTATCTCTCCTTCAGGAAATCCAATTATACACAGTTAGGCTGCTTCCAGTTGTCACACAGTTCACTGCTATTGGATTCTTTTTAAAAATTATTTTATTTCTCAGTATGTTTTATTTTAACTATTTCCATAGATACGTTTTCAAGTTCATGAATATTTTTCTCTGGGATGTCTAATCTACCATTAATCCAAGTCAGTTTATTTTTATATCAAACCTTGTAATATTTATGGCTAGAAGTTAAATGTGGGTCTTTGCAATATCTTCTGTGTCTCTACTTATTAATTTTATGTAATTTAGTTACAGTGATTGATGCCATTGTCTACTAATTCTAACATCTGTGTCACATCTGCTTAAGTGTGAAATCAACTGATTTTATTTCCCACATTATAGTTGATGTTATCCTGTTTCTTTGATATCTGATAATGTTTTATTAAATGGCAAGGTATTTTGATTGGATATGATCTTGTTGAGTACTGGATACTTTTGTACTCTCATACGTATTTTTTAGTTTTCTTCTGGGGCAAAGATGAATTACTTGGAAACAGTTTGAACATTTCAAGTCTTGCTTTGAAGATTAGTTACATGTAACCAATTATCACATAATATCTAGGACTAATTTTTCCCACTATGGAGGCAAGAAACTCTGAGTACTCTACCCAATATTCCAGTGAATTATGAGATTTGCCAGTCTGGCTGGTAGAAACAGGCACTGCTTCTGGACTTCTGTGAGCAGAACATTTAGCAATGCTAATATTCAGGGTTTCAACTAGAATTAGTCCAGAGCTAATTTTTCCTTACCATGGAAACAAGACACTTCAAAGTATTTTACCTAATACTCCAATTAAATATGAGATTTTTCCAGCCTGGTTAGTAGAAATAGACACTGTTTCTATCCCTGCGTGAGCATTAAGTACTGTGGTTTCTACCCTTTAAAGTGATTATTTCACCAGCCTCAAGTAGTTTTCTCATATGCATGCAGTGATCAGTAATCTATAGAAAACTTGAGGGGTCGCTCTGCAGATCTTCAGATTCCTGTATTCTGCCCTGTGAACTCCAGCTGCTCTTACTGTCCAAATCCCCAGCTCTGTCTGCGCAACAAGTAATGTCCACTGGGCTCTGCCTGGGCTCACCATCCCTACCCCACTACCTGGAAACTCTCAAGGCACAAAGCTGGGTCAATCAGAGGGCTAATGTTGTTTCCCACATCTCCTCTCAGGAATCCCTGTCCTTTATTATATTGTGCCCATTGTCCTGAAAGGCATTCTTTTTGATATTTTGTTCAGTTTTTTATTGTGACAGGAGATTGACTTATTTCATATTTGCTAGAAAAAGAAAAATTAAAGCTTTTTCATTATTGATAGCAATAATTAAATACATATAGATTCAGCACTACCTTTTGAAAATTTAAATAAAACCATTTGTAGAAATAAAAACACTAAAAAATCACTTGAGAAATGTAAAATTCATGTAGCAACAGACAAAATAAAAAACAAATATAAAAATATGACAGAAAGAAAACAAACATGTTAGTTAACATAAACATAAATAGGCTAGGCCGGGCACAGTGGCTCACGCCTGTAATCCCAGCACTTTGGCAAGCCGAGACGGGCGGATCACGAGGTCAGGAGATTGAGACCATCCTGGCTAACACGGTGAAACCCCGTCTCTACTAAAAATACAAAAAATTAGCCGGGCGTAGTGGTGGGCGCCTGTAGTCCCAGCTACTTGGGAGGCTGAGGCAGGAGAATGGCGTGAACCCGGCCAAGCTTGCAGTGAGCCGAGAACTTGCCACTGCACTCCAGCCTGGGCGACAGAGTGAGACTCCAACTCAAAAAAAAAAAAAAAAAAAACCATAAATAGGCTAAATATTTTGTTAAAAGAAAAATTTCTTGACTACATGCTACATACACAAAAGGCAGAGCTGAAAATAAAGCGACTCTAAAAAGTAAAACTACAATATGGACACAGGTATATCAAGCAAAAACAAACCAAAGGGAAACATGAGTAATATGATTTCATTAGGCTAATTTAATGCAAAGTAAACTTAACTAAATGGGGCAAAAGGGATCATTTATTAGAAAAAAAAGGATAATCAATCCATAATCAAGAATTATACATGGAATTTTTGTACCACACAGATCAGGTTAGCAACTTGTACATAGACCTCTGCATTTTTACATTAAACTAGGCCCCAAAAGCACTATAAACATGGGGGATGGAGGTGTGCACCTGCAACCCTTATCCTTTACACTGGACTAAATGGACTAAATTGCTGCATCAAAAATAGAACTATTTAAAAAACAAAAAAAAAAGTGAATGTTATATAAAGATGTATGAAAATACATCTCAGGTTTGAAAAGGACTGTCTAAGAATTGACAATAATAGGGAAAAAACATAATGTTGTCAATAATTCTATAAGAAGGCTTTCTGGAAAATAACTTGACAATTGCATCTTTAACCACACAGAGGCCCATAGCATTTGACTTTATGACTTAACTTACAGGAATTTCTCCTTAGGTGATGTTTACATTTAACAATATTTACAATAGCCAAAAACTAAAAATAAGCTTAAATATATAGTAAGAAGAGCTGCTTAGCTAAAATATAGTATAGCAATAGAGAGCCATATAAATATTTATTAAAATTCTAAACTTGAAAATATGAATTTGATTTGACATAGGAAAATGCTTACAAAATGTTAAGTGTAAACAGTAGTATATACAACTGTGTACATAAAATTAGCATGTGTCAGATAGATGTTTGAAAATAGATGTGTATGAAGTAGAAGGAAGAGGAAATGAGGAAGAAAGATACAAAGAGAATGTAAAGATATTTACTAACACATTTTTCTTTTTGGCAGTAAAGATGGTTTGGAAGGTAGTATTTTTTCTTCACAATTTTCTAAAATTTATAAATTTCAAATTTCATTAGAAGAATTGAGTATTTATCACTTTTACAATCAGAAAACTCTACTTAGGTTTTCTCCCCAATGTTCCCTTTGTATTTTCTTCCACTCATTTAACTCTTTTTATCCCTTGAATTATCACTGTTGCCTTTAAAACCTAGCCTGCTGTTTCCCCTTATCTATGTTTGGATAAATTTAAAGTGAAATAATTGAAGAGAAACCTTATATTCAAGAAAAAGTGCAAACCTCAAACAACCTTCGTTTAGGAAATAGAAATTTTAAATGGGGCTTTAAAAATATCTCAGATTGAGTTTCACTCAACTTGGCTTGGGAATATTTAAGGGGAGAGGAAAAAACTCATAAATCAAGAGAAATACTATTTTTTAAATAATTTTTTAAATGGTTTTTATTTTAACTCAGAGATTTTTGGAGCTCCCTAAAAGTTTGTACTCAAGACAAGTGCCTCATTCTCCTCACCCTAGTCCCATCCTTCCACCCAATGCCACATAAAAATATGGCCTGCTCATTTGCAAAGGGATTATCTCGCATAAAAATGGCCCTTCTCCTGCCTACAGTCAACAGAGTGGGTGGAAACAAATTAACAATCTGGCATGACCGAAAAACAGGGACTCCTGCCATCCTCCATGCAGTATCTTCCTTTTTTTTGAGACGGAGTCTTGCAGGCTGGAGCACAGTGGCAGGATCTCGGCTCACTGTGATTTCCACCTCCCAGGTTCAAGTGATTCTCTTGGCTCAGCCTCCTGGAGTAAATGAGACTACAGGCATGCGCCACCACTCCTGGCTAATTTTTGTATTTTTTGGCAGAGATGGGGTTTCATCATGTTGGCCAGGCTGGTCTCAAACTCCTGACTTCAAATGATTCTCCCACCTCGGCCTCCCAAAGTGCTGGGATTATAGGCGTGAGCCACTGTGCCTGGCCTCTGCACCTTCCCTTGTATGCCACCTTCTTCAATACACTCACTGCCAAAAGCCCTTTTTAAACACTGCCAGAAATAACCTGGCTAATGAAATGCAGCCTTTATCAGGTTTAAAGAGTCAGATAAGAGGAAATTGCTGGAAAATTTCCTTCCATTTTGACTTGATCTTTGGCAAAATTGGGCCAATTGTGAAGGATGGAGAACTGCACTCTCACATTTTCATATTTCCTTTGTCTGCAAAAAAAATGTAAAAGAATCTAGGCCATAATAAGTTTGATGTAAGACTGAGCTTACAAGGATGCAGAAACCAGGAGGCAGAAAACCATATAATCTTTGTCAGAATATATAGTAGATTCCAAGTCTCCTAAATCCCAGCTGAAATAGTGTTTTCATGGTACACAATTGTCCAACCAGGCAAGTGTACTAATTGTCAATTGTATATATTACCATTTATTTTAGGAGACTTAGAATCTAGTATGCATTTTCTCAACCAGGAAGGTTGAGAAAATTACCACTCAGCAAAGGTAGGCTTTGAGTCATATATTCTTTATTTGCCATGTCTAACTAATATTAGAAGAATAAGAAAAACTGAAGACCTATAGATACATTAATCTAGAGAAGAAAGCCACATTAGGGTTCTTCTAAGTGAATGTTAGACTATTCATCACTATATTTACAGAGAGAATGTTAGCAATATCATTATTCTAAAAATATATAACAACTCCATAGAGTCCTTGGGTACTTTAGGACTTCATAGAGTTTTCATGTATTTTAAAACTGTAATAACCAATGAGATGGTAAATACATAGCTGACATGCTTGCTCCTTGGGCTTGTTTATTGGGAGCTATCAGCAGGTGATACAACGGTATCACCCACCAAGCCTGGATGCAATTACACAATATTGTTTTATACAACATCTGGAGCATCCACCAGCCAAAACTCTCTGAGAAGAAATCCCTTACTATCACTGATTTAGGGTGTAGATTAAAAACAAACACATTTAAAAGCTTTGCATAAAAGTATAATGATTATGCAGAAAAGTATCATATCATAAGTTTACTGCTGGAAGAATTTCTAAAATTCCAGCACCCAAATTAAGAAGCAGACCATGACTCTAGAAGCCCACTTCATGTCAGTCTCTCATCTGTGACGGGTTAGTTTGGTTAAGCTATAGCACCCAGTATTCAATCAAACACGAATTTAGACCAGCTGAGGTGGCCCATGCCTATAATCCCAGCACGTTGGGAGGCCAAGGCAGGCAGATCGCTTGAGCCCAGGAGTTTGAAACCAGCCTGGCCAACATGGTGAAACCCTGTCTGTACTAAAAATACAAAAATTAGCCAGGAGTGGTGGCACGTGCCTCTAGTTCCAGCTACTCTAGAGGCTGAGGTGGGAGGATTGCTTGAGCCTGGGGGCGGAGGTTGCAGTGAGCCAAGACCACCCCACTGTACTCTAGCCTAGACGACAGAGTGAGACCCTGTCTTAAAAACAAACAAAAACACTAATTTTGGTGTGGCAGTGAAGATGTTTTGTAGATGTCGTTAACATCTATAATCATTTGACTTTAAGTAAAGGAGATCATTTTCAATTGTATAGGTAGGCATTATCCAGGTCCAAGACCTTAAAAGCAAAACTGAGATTTCTCTAATGAAGAAAAAATTTTGCCTCAAGACTGCAGCATCAACTCCTGCTGGAGGGTTTCCAGCCTACTAGCCTACCCTACAGATTTTAGAATTGCCAGCCCTCACAACTGCTGGAACAAATTCCTCCAAATAAAGTTCTTTATATATGTATGTGTACGTGTGTGTGTGTGTGTGTGTGTGTGTGTGTGTGTGTGTATCCTCATGGTTCTGTTTTTCTGAAGAACTCTGACTGATATACAGTCACTGCTTTCCTGAGGGTAACATTTTTTCAGACAGATTCATTTTATTAAACAATATTTAAAAACACAATTAAAACAAATTTGTTATACTTTAGAGGTAATGGTTATAACTACCATTTATGTATCATATCATTGTGGCAGACACTGCTCTACGTCTTCACAGTCCTTATTTAAACCTCATGATTCATGCTTGCCTGTTTTTTTCCCCTAAGTTTGCAGATCAGTAAATGGAAGATCAAGGAGGTTAAGAAATTTCTCCAAGGTTCTCATAGCAAGTCACTGGCTTTATTGCCTCTTTTTCTAAATCAAACAATTGTATCCAGCTTCCGTAACATGAAATGAAAAATGGCTCTCATAACCAAAAAAATAAACTGGCTCAAACTGTATTGAACTACATTTTACTCACAAGTATAAAATTTAAATGTAAGTGCAATTAATAGATTGACTGTACTATCCCCACAGCTATGTTAAATTTTACCATTTAAAGATGCAGCAAAGATTTCCTTATTCATGTTATATTTCGAAAAATAGGTAAAGTAAAAGAAAAGGGGATGGGTAGAAGAAAGAAAGCTCTATCAGTGATCTATAATTGTCCTAAAGTCTTGTAATTTTCAAAGTAATAAATTGCAAAGAGGGTAATACAAGTCTTCATAAAAGTATAAAATATGAGAACTGGAAAGTAATTTGCAAATTATTTTACCCAATCTGTGCTTTATTATTTGATATGTTACTGCATTATACAAGGAAGAGAAAGGCACTAACATGCTCACTGCATGCCAGGCACTAACTACCCTGGGAGCTTTTCTTATGTTAATCTAACTCAATGTTCATATCATCCCTGACATTTTCCGTAATGTACAGATGAAGAACTCAAGCCTTGGAGACTTAAATGTAATCGATCTACCAAGCTTTGCAACACCTGCCCTTCTCACTGGCCCCTTCTATGTTGTTCACACTGAGGTAGTCACAACCAAGTGGTTCATTCACTCAACATAGATGCTGCCACTCACCTTTCTCTTCACGTCCCATCCTTCTCCAAAGATGGTTTTGCCTCCCATATCACTGATTACATCAAATGCAAATTTCTCCCTGATCCAACTCACAAAAGTAACCTTCTTGCTACATTTTCTCTTCGTCTCTAAAGAACAGGTGACCTCCCTTTTATTATCCAGGTGACCAGCATTTTCTATGCACTTCTTCAATAGATTCCAGAAATATTTCATCCCCTAAATCCTCACCTGCATTCTTTAAAGAGATTATAATTAAACTTACCTATCTGAAATTAACCTAAATAGGCATTTTAAAAATGAGATCATCAATGGAAAAATCTTTCTGGCCACATTAGTCAAATGGTATGCAAATGTAAGAGATTACTCTTTATTAAAACAGAATATGTTTACAACCCAGAAAAAAAATCCAAACAAAACAAAAATCCTTAAAAGAATATTTCATTTCAACAGTATTATTTTCACTTTATATCTTTTTTTTTTCAATAATGTCTGTTACATGTTTCTTGGTCTGAGAAATGTTGAAAATAGAATTAAAATTGCACCAACCATCTTATAAGTATTTTATTTCCTCCTCTTTTGAATTTTGCACATAAGTCTTCTCAATGGGTGAAAGATAGAAAATTGTTTTATGTTGGTAGAATGTTCAGATATCCAGTATGACACCTCTGAGAAATATATTTGCTTGATAGTCATTTGAGATTACCAGTCTTTGTAGTAAAAAGAATGACATTATTTCCAAATTTGAAGGTTTTGTGCCCTATTAAGGAGAGAAGTAACTTAATTTCTCTGAAAACTCCCCTAAATGATTAGCCTCAGAAATGAATAAATGCGTATGAGAGTACTGCTTGCATTAATAATTATATAACTTTTAAATTATACGGTGTTTATCTTTTAGCAATTTGTAAGCAAAATTTATTTCACAATAGGTCTTAAATGTATTAAATTATTTAGAACATCTCCCATAGGATGCCATATTAATTAAAATGAGAAGTAATGATATTTTAAAACCATCATCTTTAACAAATGATAGCAAGATGTGATAGAAGGAACAGCAAGTGCAGTGAGCATGGGGCAAGAGAAACAGGTTAAAGTTCTCATCTATTCCAATTTTGCTGTGCCACCTTGACAAGCCATGCCACTTCCGTGAACATCTTGACAAGAAGCTTAGACTACAGACAGTGATAAGCAATCCATTGGCCCCAGGCTGCCTAGCAGATGCTTTCGAAAATGACCCATAACTCTATCTATCACAACTTGAGTAAATATTTATTGAGCTCCCTTCCAAGGACTTAATATATTGTTATGTAATTTAATACTACCAATTCTGAGAGAAGTCAAAATTATCCCCATTTTATAGGTGAGGCTCAGAGGTGTTAAGTCACATTGACATCACCAGAAAGAGGAAGAATCCAAAGATGGTTTATTTTAAGAAAAGGTTTCCTCTGTTTTATGAGACATTTCTCAAAGGAGAAAATTAAAAGTTAAATGGAGGAGTGCTAAAATAATATAAAATAGATATTAAGCTTAGATCCAATGGACCCACATAGATGCTATGAGTTGGGGTTTCATGTTCTATCATAAAATATAGGTGTGTGATGAATATTCACATCCAAGATGGTATTAGCAGAGGATCAGCTGCCAATCACATGACACCGATGTCCTATTCTGTTTTGGCGTTTCCCTTTCTTTTAGCAACATTACAGATAGTAGCTTGAAAAATCTGATACTAATCTAGTTATGGGAAATTTAGACACTTTAACTTGGCAAGGCATTAATAAGTACTGGAAAATGTCCAGAGGGCCACAAGCAAGCTCTTTCAGAAAATTTATCAACAAGGAACTCCCTGAGCACTCATGCAGTTGCTGAAATGCTTTTCCAAAGGTAAATTCGGTGTTGGCAGAGAGGTGAACATTCTGAGTGATCTCTAGGGCCTTCAGTGCCGCCCCTGTTATAATGGGTATTGAACTGATTTCTATGTGGGTGGGAGAAAGTAGAAAAAGCAATAAAATCATGCTCTTGGTGTCTAGAAGCATATCTGAGGCTACCTTATTAGTAGCAGCATCTATCTTGGAAAAGGGGGAACATTGATTATTGATTTACTTTGCCACATGCCACCAAGATAAGAAACATGAGTCATTTCAATTGGCTATAAAGTACAAGGCTTTACTGAGTCTGAGGAAGTTTTGCTTTGCTGTGTATTTTAGGGAGGTTAGACTGACAAGATTAAATCCCACTTGCCACCTACTCATACTAAGGTGGTTTTTCACGGCCAAGGCAAAGTCAGAAACTGGACAATCTTAAGGCAACACTTAATGTGCCTCAGCTTTAGGTAAGACAATCAATGAATGGCCACTTGCCTTGAATAAGGAACAGCCAAATAACTGATCTGCAAGGAGGATATAAAAGGAGGGTGTATTTATGAGGAGGATTTATTTGGAAGAAGAGTTGGTCTGAATCTCACATCTGCCTCCCAGTAGGGAAGGGGGTATGGAATCTCCTAATCCTATGCCTGTGAAGGGGCTTTAACACAACCCTGGGAGAGCTTTATATGTGTCCTTGCGATTAGGGAACAGAGAGCACTAGCAACATCCCAAACCCAGGTAGTGACCAAGAGAAAACAGGAAGTAAGCTAAGTGATTCTGATTATCAAGGAAGAATCACTAGGAGGAAGGGTGGACTATTATTCCATTCTAGATGTTTGGGAGATAAGAATTCAGGCTGCTTCATTCATCCTCTCTAGTTATTTCCGTGCCTTTCATCTCTTTCTCCCCTCACCTCTTTCTCCAAGGAGATATTTACAATATTATACTCATTTTCAGTTTCTTCTCCTAGCTCTCTTCTGAGCTCTCAGCTTCCTTTGGAGGGGTCTATCCCACTCTATCAAATAGGAACCTGCCCTCCTCTCTTCACCTTCTTCTTATATTGGACTCTTTTCTCCCCATGGCTCAGGAAGAAGGAAGAAAGAGACCCACCTTGATTCCTTCATCTTCAGGAAGGCTCTCCCTCTCCTCTATCATTCTTTACCTATGGACCTACCACTTCCCCACCACCACCAAATTGCCCAAGAAATTGAACCGCCAGGGCAAGAGGAGTCCCCCAGCAACAGAAAGTGGGGTACCAGCCACCCTACCTCATAACAGGGCAGAAGCTGCAAGAAGATAAGAAGCCTCCTGGCAGGAAAGGCCCCAAGAACTTTGACTACCAGTGGGGCCCCATAATGGGGTCACCTGAGAATCCACCCAAGCTCTGGTAAGAGTCAACTTAAATCATCATATGGGGACAGGTTGCTCAGGGCTGACTTTGGACTTTGGTGGATGGGTAAACACATTCTGCCACATTTACCCCCTCTTTCTGACCCCTCTTCTCCCTGTCCACTGGCAGGGTCAGAGTCAGTAGCCACTGATACAAGAGAAGGTAAAGCTGGAAAGAGAAAAGGCACATATGCTCCACCTCCGCCCCAGTCCTCCTGGAGGAGAGAGGGAAGATGCTCTAACATTCAGTCAGGTTCTTGGTTTTGATTACGGTTTGTAACAGATAATTTTCAACTGCTAATGAGATGACAATTGTGATTTAATGTGACCATCAAACTTCATTATTTAAGAGTGACTTGAAAGCTTCTGGAGCTTCTCCTAAGTTTCCATCAAGAAGCAAGGAAAGGACCATTCCCACTAAATACATTTTAAAGGGAGACTGGGAAACAAAATAAATGCATTTTCTGATTGCTTAGCATGAATCTTTCTTGGTCAATGCGCTGGCTACCATGGTTTTCATTTCTGATTTATCCGAGTATTACCTGCTGAAACAGTTTTCCTTCTCTTTTGCTCTTAGATTGGTTTGGATATATAGATTGTTGATGTGGGAAGGGACTTCATTTGAAAACTATCTCTGGTTGATTCCATTATGTTTATTTTAAGAGTGTGTAAATTTGGCCCTTCATGAATACACACAGTTCTGCAGCTGGTGAATGTTACGGGAGTTTCCTCAAATGGTTCTGCCCACGCTGCTTGGCCTGCAAATGAGCCCCCTCCCACCAGCCCCCTTCCCTCCTGCCATACACAATGTGTACACATGCTTCCAGGCACAGAGAATTTTATTTATCCCCATGCCCAAAGCTCAGACCCCAGAAAAGCTCCCAGTTTTGCAGGCATAATTATTTATGTACTTTTCCACTCATTCTCTAGGACACTGGTAACCAGAAAATCTGCATAGACTGTGTCAAAACTAAAAATGTTGGTTCACCTTTGCTCATTTCAATCATCTCTTGCCTATTTGTGCTTCCATTTTCCAAATAAAAAGTCCTTATTCTCTATAAGGCATTTAAAACCCTCTGCTCTTCCTCTCTCTCCTCTAATATGCACATACTTTGTCCCCAGGAAGACAGAACTCTCTTATGAGACAAGGACAAAATGTAGTCTCAAGGTCACAAAATGGAGCCATCATTTTTAAAAATGGGTCACTCTTTGTTGTTGTGGCTCTTTTTTTGGATGAAAGTGATTCCAAATAGAATAAGATGTGATCACAATCCTCTTACCTTGGAACTATTTGGTTTCTACACTTTCTCCCCTTTCCCATGAAGCTGTAAGGTAATGAAGTAGGAGGAAAGCTACCAGTGGCAGATGCACATAGCTGCCTTCTGTTTGCCTTAGGCCAAAAAACAAAACAAAACAAATACCCCAGAATATAGGGGACACAGCTTCCAGCACTGACCTTGTACCAAGTAGAGGCCTTTGAGTTTTGTCCATAGTTAAGCTCGGATCAGCAACATAAGACTTAGATGGAGATTTAGAGCCGAATCAATAAAGAGTGAAAGTTTTCTATGGGTATTCTTGTTGCATGTGTTCCCTAACTGGAGTGGTAGTGACCTTGGGAGGGTGGTGTTGGTCTAGCCTTCAAAGTCAGGATGTCAGCTGTGTATTTATGCATAACATAACATCTATATTGTCAGAGCCTTGACCCATTTATTACCAAAACAAAATGGTAACATGTAATTAATGTCCAATGACCATTGGAGGTTATTTTGAGGAGAAGGATTAACCAACGGGGTGAGTTTCATGGCAGAAAAGAGAGTTAACATGTATCATACAGCTACTACGTGGTACCAGAGTGCAAACAGATTTGAATAGAATCTCATTTAATCCTCTGATCATGATCATGTCTCATGGATGCTTTAGTACATGATGAACTAAAATGTATCCATCTGTAAGTTAGTTATTATTATTCTCATTTATCAGATAAAATGAAAAATCAGAAAGGGTAAGTGACTTGTATGAAGTTGTATTTTAATGTCTTCATGAACTTGGCCAGTTGTGTTTGGGTTATGAGAAAAAATTGGCCAAAATTCAGTCTGCCCCTGTATTATTTCCTCAACCATTGGCCCAGTGAATTGGCCATGGTGTTGAGGATCTGCTATTGTGGTGTTATAAGACATAAAGAGTTGTCACATATGCATTAGTCTTTTAATTCCAATGTTGTATATGCATTCCTTAACATGAAAACTTAAATTATTTTCTCAAGTATATGAGTCTTGTGGTAGCTCAAACCTTGTCAGTTATATCTTGTGGGGGTGGGGGAGGGAAAAATAATATATATGCCAAAATTAAAAGCTGTTACATAACAAGATGATGAGATTCTTTTTCTTTAATATTCTTCGCAATACATTATTTTTTCCTTTCTTTGTGATTTTTAAAAATTTTTATCCATGATCATTTGTTATCTTTTTTTAAAATTCAACTGAACACAGTGTAAGAACCATACTAAGGAACTAGACACAAAGTAAATAGCAAAATATGACATGTGCCCTTAAAAAAACTCACTAATAAAGAAGAGCAATTCTGCTCACCAGTCTCTTCATGTTTCCAGTTACCTCAGTAAGGCCCCAAGAGATAGTTATAGCAATTTATTTTAAGGCTCTTGACTCTTACAGTGAGTGGTCAGCCATTCCAGGACTCAGCTATCCATGATTATAAAACCCATTAGTCGTAAAATGCATTGCTAACAAATATTTACACATTTATATTTGAAATACAGCATTTATGGCTCAACTTAAGCTATTGCATTGTAATTAATCTGTATTAATCTTTTTATATTAAAGGGGTAGAAGGGGATTTTTCTGATGATTAAAGGGATGAAGACATATGGAAAAATAATGAATATAAAGGGAATGTTCCTGAGTAGCAGGCCAGAATGCTCTAGGAAATGTTAGAAAAATGAGAGTCAGAGAGGTAATCATTGGTTATGCCCATCCAAGCCCTTTACTAAGAGCCAAATGCTAACCACTTTAAATAAACTTCTTTGAATATCATTTTTTCCTTAGTCCTCCACAAATAGTAAGAACTCTTTCACATTAATAATTACTTGCAGCTTCCAGTAATTAAGTTCTAATCAATTTGTTTATTAAAGAGCATTTAATATATTCATAATGTTATGGGGGAAAGGTAAGTATAGGATTGCAATGAAGAATTGCTTAGAAAAAAAGTAACTAATAATAGTATATCCATAAACACAAAATTCAAACTATTTACTCACTTAAGCCTATCTCAGTTGCCTTAGGTATTTGTGACATATCAAACAACAAATGCTGTTATATCATAAGTAATAAGATTTGTTTCTTTGTAGTTTCCTTTAAGCAATAGAATGCTAGCAGTTCAATGCTTCTTAAAGTCTTGCTGTAACTCAACAAATTTTGATTTTCCCTTCTTTATCTGACAAAGAGAAGGAAACCTCTGAGGGATTACAGATGACCTCATCTTTTTGCTTTTCAAGTCTCTGCTGCAAACCTAGCTGTGAAGGAAATATGAATTCAGCTAACATCATGTCACCTCCTTTATTCTTAGAGGCTGAAACAGTAGAGAAATTTCCTCTGAGGGAGCTCCCAGACAAAATAAGACCTAGCCTGAAGAATAAAGGTGATATTGGATTATATTTTGGCTATCCAGAGAAGGTCTGTGCCAGTCAGAATCCAATCAGATTTTAAACAGAGAATCTAATTCATTGAATTGGTGGCACAGGTCATAGAACAGCCGGTGAAAACAAGAGACTGTAAGGCCATTAGGGATTAGGATAATCAGGAAGCTGCTTCCACTGTTAGGAAAGAAGGGAGCAGTGGTAACATCAGCCCCTAGTGTTGTGACATCCAAGGGAAACTGGAGCCGTGGTGGGCTTGCCTCATGTAGGGGGTGAAGACTGCAGCAGAGAGTAAGGCACAGGATTGCCCTGGCTTCTCCCTTCTTCCCATTCTCTAGTTTCTGGGAAACATCACCTAGGGGCTCAGCAGCAGAAGGGCAAGGAACAGATCTCAGGGCAAACAGGACAGGATTGGCAAAAAGGCTTAGAAGCAGAATTGTTTCATTATAATGTACTTGAAGCTGCACCTACAAGAATTGAGCTGCAAGAGATGCAGATTTAACTGTTGGTCCAATGAGGTACAACCATCTCACAAGCCCAAGCTAACCTCTTTCCAGGAAGAGGAGCAGCTATAGGCCTGCAGTGGCAACATATGTGAGAATTGTTTGTGAATTCATGTTTGACACTTGCAGCATCCCCCTCCCAACAAAGATCCCAAAAATATTTGAGACTATGAAGAAGTAGAGAAGAGGAGGTGCTAATGGTCCCCCAATATTCAAGGAGACTAAATCTATGAAACTTCAATTATTACCATAAATAGGACCTAGCATTACCTCTGGACTAATGCTACGTGGAAGAGTTCTAATTACTCATACATGTTAGATAACTAAAAACATATACATCAACAGTGATTATGTCTATATTTTCTGAAATTTCTACAATGAGTTTATATTACTTTTATTACTTTCTAAGGTTTTTAAAAATAAGGTACCATAATAGATTTTGCTTAAAATACTTGGTGCTTTCTGTTTTCCTGGTTGGACTTTGACTCACATGGACATTTCTCGGTAGCTAGCATCTGATTATCCATCTCAAGGCAGTTCAACAAGGACCCATCTCCCAGAGCACTGCTTGCTGTGAGCATATTTAATTGGACTCCCTTGTCAAAACTAGGCATTCAGCTTTGACTCATGAGCTTCTCTGAAAGCATTTAACCAAAGGAAAACCTCTGACCAAGGTAGCCTTAATGTTCCCCACAGCTTGACTACACTTTAGACAGATTTCTTCCTGACTATAGGCCCCTGACCTCCTTTTCCTTAGAGCATTTACTTTACAAAACTTGTAATTGTAAATTCTTCCTCTGTCTCCTTTGAAATAAATCTCCTTAGAAACCTCACGAGTTTTAAGACCCAATAAATGTCTTTCTCAAGGACCTGGGAGCTGTCTCTTTGAAATGTAAACATCAGAGGAGATAGCTCTCCAATCTTCCAGTTTCTGTGGAAGGGTAGGAGCCTAACTTCAGTGGGCTCCTTGTTCCAAGCTGTAAAAGTACTTCTTGTCATGAAGACACAGAAAGTTTACTTTTCCTCTGGGTAGAAGCCAGTTAGAAATCACGTGCGTCCAATGATTTCTCCCACCCCAGCTCCTGAAAACCCTCCAGTGAGAAATGATTGTGAACTCATGTTTGATACCTGCAATATCTCCCTTCCAGGTTCTCTCACCCCTATTGTGATAGTCTTGAACAAAGTCTTCCTGTTTAACTTTTTCCAGTGCAATTCTTACTTTGACACCTCCCAGTTCCCTCCTGAGATTATCCTATATTTATGAATCAGCAGTGATTTTTTAGCAAGGGGAAATAGGATTCTCAGTTGGCTCCCTCAACTCTCCGGAGTGCCGAGGCAGATCAATGAGAAGCAAGCTCAAAAGGGTCTTGCAAGTTGCACTTTGAAAACAAGTTGCCTTTACTACTAAAAGGCCTGCAATTAAAAAAAAAATGTGTTGGGTTCCATTCTCTTCTTTCCCCTCTCTCCTCTTGATTCGCTTCTCTTTCTACCTTCTTCCTTCCTACACAACACCCCCTGACTCCTACACACAGCCATGCATACACCTCTCTACCTATGTCATTTACAATAAGTAGGTACCCTTCTTGTCGATTTAGAGAAGACGCTCCAGGCCTGGGATAAGCTCCAACAACCAGGTCTCCCTTCAGTGAAGGACTCATCCCCCAGCTGCCTGGGAGGGCTATCTGTGGACAACCTTTAGTTGTCAGCCTCTTCGGCAAGTGTCTCCCTGTAGTGTCTTTACCCAAGACCACTTGTCTGTCAGACACAGAGTGGCCTCACTCAATGACTGTCAGGTGCAGGGGTATGAAAACCTAGGGCTTGACCCAACTCTGGACAATTTTTCATCAGGCCCTTCCAGCTGCAGAGCTCCCACAGAGTAGACCAAGGCTGTTATTGGGTTACACCATAGTTTGACTTCTCCCTCTGCCCATCTTGCTTCCTCCCCTCTCTTTTTTAGGTGTTGATCCCAAGAATACTTTGGAATATTCTTCCCACTAAAGCATCTCAGTGTCTGCCTCCCAGGAAATACAACCTGCCACAGAGTTGTTATAACAATCAAATTAAATGTATGTGAAAGTCTTGTAGAATTTCTGATGTGCTAATCAATGGAAAGGTAAAAATAACAATGACTGATCATTGAGTACTTTGTTAGGCACCTTAGTAAATGTTTAATCCTTTTAACCAAAAATGGCAGAATAGATAATTTTATTCTTAATTATTTTGAGATAAGACTAAAGCTCAGAGAGGTCATTTTTTTGTGTGTTTTCCAAGGTCACCGAGCTTGTTACAAAGTGTCAGTGCCTGAGATTGGACCTGAGGGTAGTGTGATTCACTTTCATCCCGCTGCCTTGTAACCTACCACAACCTCATATTGGTTGAGACAGTTTCTCAGTTGAGTGCCATTAATGGAGTAGAAAATTATGACTTTAAGAAATAAGAGTATTAAGAGGGAATATAAAAAAGCTTTCAGGTGGGGAGAATTCATGTGAGAACAACCAGTGAAAACTTCAGCTGCCTCCTTCCTGATGGTTTCAGGATGTGCTTCCTGCTGAGAACAGAGAAAGGTTGTCAGGTCTATTAACCTCAGCAAATGTAAATGGGGACCCAGATGCTCTCATCTAAAATAAAATCCTCCCCAACAGATGGTCAGGTTTAACAACTTGGTATGGAGACTGGAGCTTCCAAATAGCTCATCTGCACAAAAGCAGAATCAGATAGAACCAAAAAAAATTTCAGCCAACCCATTTTCTGGGGTTTGGATGCTGCTCCCAAGAAGGGTCAGCTTCTAAAAGTAGCACCTTTCATCAATGCCAGTATCCACCTGGATACCAATACAGAGCAGATTTTTCGATTACCTGTTCAAAGGAGGCATGATCTGGTGACGAGGAGACTGTCTAATGTAGGACAATCCTGTGGGAGTAAATAATTCACTCTTTTGAACAATGTGCATTGAGCATCTCCTACATGCCAAGAACTGACTCTGTGGCTGGATATTCCAAGTGAGGAGAGGCAGTACTTGCCATTAAAGAGGACACGGGCCAATGAGGACAAATAGCCAAGTAAGTGGGAAACTTCTATACATGTGATTTAAAAGGCAGTGGGAATAAGCAAGGGTTCAATGAGAAATATTCTTGATAGCAGTCTTTTTTCAAATGCATAATTTGCAGGTATTTCTCCCATTCTTCAACTTATCTATATACTCTGTTGATTATTTCTTTTGCTTTACAGAAGCTTCTTAGTTTAATTAAATTGCATTTGTCTATTCTTGTTTTTGTTGCTTGTGCTTTTGAGGTCGGAGTCATGAACATCTCCTAAGCAGCTTTTCTTGGTCATAGCCTGCTTTCCAGAGGAGGCTGAGAGATTGAGACTAGAACACTGAGAAGTTAGTTAGCCACAAAATGTTTGGAACGGGGAAAAGAACTCATAGGTAGAGGCAACTGTTTCACAAAGACTCAAGGAAAGAATGGCATATCCGAGGCAGAGTAGGTTCATTTGAGACAAGGTTTTTCCATATTCTTGGAAAAATGTAAAATTGCTATGATAAAGTATGTATTATTTTATAGACTTTTTGAAGCATGATAATACTATGTAACATCCATGCATTCAACAGATGTTTACTGAGCTTCTACTAAATGCTAGGCACTGTTCTAGTCTTTGTGGTTATAGTCACCAGTAAGACAGAGCTGTCCCACTCACTAACAAGGTGTATACTGAGTGACTGAACTAAGCCGGAAGCCCTAAATATTAGAACAGAGCAGTGGTTCTCACTCAGGGTACAACATTGGAATCACCTGGGGAACTTTAAAAAATTTTGATGCCAAGATCACACCCTATCAATTAAATATGAAAATCTTGGGGAAGAACACAAATGTACTTTCTAAAATCCTGGTGATTCCAGTGTGCAGCCACATTTAAGAAGCAGTGTACTGGAGCAGTGGTTTTCAGAGTTTAACTGCACCAAAATCATCTGGAGGGCTTGTTAGAGCACAGATTGACAGGCTCTGCCCCTACAGTTTCTAATTCAGTAGGTCTGGAGTAAGACCCAAGAATGTATATTTCTTTTTTCTTTGTATTAATTTTAAAAGTACAACTGCAGTTTTGACACATGGATACACTGCACAGTGGTGAAGCCTGGGCTTTCAGTGTAACTATCACCAGAGTGATGTACATTTTACCTATTAAGAGATTTCTCATCCCTTACACCTCTCCCACCCTCCTGAATCTCTAGTGTCTATTATTCCACACTCTACGTCCATATATATGCATTATTTAGCTCTTATAAGTGAGAACATGCAGTATTTGACTTTCTGTTTCTGAGTTGTTTCACTTAAGATAATGGCCTCCAGTTCCATCCATATTGATGCAAAAGACATTATTTCATTCTTCTTATGGCTGAATAATATTTGTGTGTGTGTGTACTACATTTTTTTCTTCAGTCATTCATTGATGGCACTTAGGTTGATTTTACATCTTTGCTATTGTGAATATTACTGCAATAGACATCCAAGTCCAGGTGTCTTTTTTATGTAATATTTTCTGTCCCTTTGGGTATATACCCAGTAGTAAGACTGCTGGATAGAGTGGTAGTTCTATTTTTACTACTCTGTGAATTTCAATTCAGTTTTCCATTGAGGTACTGCTATTTTATATTCCCACCAACACTGTATAAGCATTTCTTTTTCTTCTCATCCCTGCTAACATCTACTATTTTTTGACTTTTTAATAATAGCCTTTCTGGCTGGTGTAAGGCAATATCTCATTCTGGTTTAATTTGCATTTCTCTGATGATTAGTCATGGCAAGCATTTTAAAAATATGCTTGTTGGTCATTTGTATGTTTTCTTTTGAAAAATGTCTAATCATGTTTTTTGCCCACTTTTTAATGGGGTTATTTGTGGGGTTTTTTGTTGTTACTGAGTTGTTTGAGTTCCGTGTAAATTCTGGATATCAGTCTTTGTCAAAGGCATAATTTGCAGATATTTCTCCCATTCTTCAACTTGTCTGTTCCCTCTGTTGATTATTTCTTTTGCTTTACAGAAGCTTCTTAGTTTAATTAAGTCCCATTTGTCTATTCCTGTTTTTGTTGCTTGTGTTTTTGAGGTCTTAGTCATGAATTCTTTGCCTACACCAATGTCCGGAAGACTTCCTAGGTTTTCTTCTCATATTTTAATAGTTTCAGGTCTTACATTTAAGTGATCCCACATAGCCAAAGCTATCCTAAGCAAAAGAACAAAGCTGGAGGTGTGACATTACCTTACTTCAAATTATACTACAAGCCTATAGTAACCAAAACAGGATGGTACTAGCATAAAAATACATCGAGAATCCAGGAATAAAGCCTCATATCTATAGCCAATTGACTTTTGAGAAAATTGACAAAAACATACACTGGGTAAAGAACACTTTTTAAAATAATTGGTGCTGGGAAAATTGGGTTGCCATATGCAGAAGGATAACACTGGACTCCTATCTCTCACCACATACAAAATCAATAATCTGTATTTCTAACAAGATCACATGTGTTATGAATGCTACTGGTTCAGAAATCAGACTTTCAGAATCTGTGTACCAGAGTATGGAAACTTCTTTGTATTTGTTTTATCTCATCACAAAAAAAATATACCTACTCAATAACCCTACACATTAATGGTATCTGTCTAACTTAGTGACAGATTTCCTCTTTTAAGTAAATTTTCTTCCAAGAAGGGGATGAGAATGAGAACTTGGAAAGGAATGTTGATTTTTAAATTAAGCCTTCTTTGCATGGAGAGTTTCCAAAGAGGAGAGCACCAGAATGAGACACAGAAGAGAGGGCTCTCTTTGTCCTGGTAGCCTTGTGTAGAAGTTAAGAGCAGGGACTCCAGAGCTGCCTGGGCTATCAGGAGCACATCTATGCAACCTATCAGCCTTGCAATCTCCAACAAGTTATGTATTGTTTCTGTGTTTCAGTTTCTTCTTAAATTGTGATAGTTAAAATATACCCACTAAGTGCTTAGAACAGAGCCTGGCACATGGCAAGAACTACATAAGTGTGTGCTATTGCTACTCTTTTCAAATCAGCCCAATATTTTTCTTGATCAGTTTGTAACAATATTATAAACTACAAACATCATCCTTTCTCTGCTCCATGTTTCAGATATCAAGCATGTCTTCTGAAGATTGTATCAATGTGACAGTATGTATTATGAAGAAACAAAGAAATTTGTGCTGAATACAAGGCTATAAATGTTAATATCATTTGTATAGGCTCAAAAGGAGCTATGTAGATAAGACATAATAGTACTCTCAAAGAACTTAATACTTGGTGAGAGACAGAAGGCATGTTTGTAAATAATACCCCAAAGCTGGTTTTATAAGTCTATTAAGAAAAATAAGAAAAAATTTCTGCAGATAAGGGAGGAGAGAGTAGACATCTGGTTGGAATGATAATGGCTCATGGCTATGGCTTCAAGGAGAATATGACAGTTGATTTGGCTCATCAAGGATGAATAGGAGCCCAATAAACAGAGATGGTTATGGGAAGGGCACTCCAAGGAGAAGGAATGGCATGTGCAGAAAAATTAAGGAAATAACACATATTCAGGTTAGTTTATGAAAGCAAACAGCACATGCATGGAAAACTACAATCAGTCTCACAGTGTTTATCTTATCCCTTGCAGCCCGCAGAACCAGCCCTGCCTTGATTCTTATTCCAGCAGATGAATGAGTTCTTACAATAATAAGATACTGGTATTTCCTAAGCGATAAAGTTTATATTCTTGCAATTAAAAAATCAAAGAAACAAGCCAAAAAATATGCATTAAAAGCAAAATGCACAGGTGAGGTATCGTACAAGTCAGCCTAAACGTGTTTTTGTTGTTGTTGTTGTTGTTTGTAAATGGATTCTGGCACTTTTCCAAAGCAAATCTTAATTGGTTTTTACCTCTTTTAATTGTATGTTTAGCATATTGGCAGCAAACACTTAGGCAGAAATGAATCAGCTTTGGATTTGGAATCACAAGGCTTTATAATTATTGGCCTTTTGGAAATTCTCACATGACAAGTACAAAAGTAATGACTGTCCAATAAATTACTTTTCTTGATGCCACACAGCTCAACTGTATTGTCCAGAGCTGGAAGAATATTGCATGAGAAGAAAAGATTGTTGGGGTTGGGGGTATGGGTAAGAATCTCATGAAACTCATAACTCTGCCTAGAATTTGAAGCAGAGAGTTTTAACAGAGCCTTAAAACAGCACTATTGGTAGAGGAGGTAGGAGGTAGAGGCGGTCAGAGAAAAAACTGGGCAAAAGTCAAGAAGGGCAGGAAATTATATGTCCAATCCTGAATCACAGTTGGAGTTTCCCATATTATATGATTTCTGAGACACAAAAAGAGTTCCTAGGCTAGGAAAACCCTTTCTTACTAGGTCACTGATGTCTAAGATTTCACTATTTGGAACTTCAACACTTTGGTCACTTGGGAAAATTGTCACATTTTATTGTCCTGTTATTCAATAACACTTCAACGTGAATTCATTTCCCAGAGTGTTTCATTCAATAAGCATTGATTGATTTGTTCATTCAATATTGGTTATTAAATATGTACCATGTGCCAGGCATTTTGATGAAGGCAAGGGTATCAAGGGGACATACATGGCCACATGGCTTCTACCCTTACCAGGCTTAGAGTAGAGCATAGCACACCAATCTACTTTCAGGTTTTTGGTAGGGAGTGAGAAAGAAGGAAGCTTCTGCAAGGCAACTGGGCAACTATCTATTCCTCCTCTAGGTTCTCTTACAGAACATTTACTTACATTTCTCTCATGACACTTAATAACTTTATCATCTTAAAGTTATTTGTATGGTAGAAAACTCTCTGACAGGAGTATTAATTATTTGAAGATAGCATAAAATAGTTATAAAACTATTAGACTTGGAGGAGAACTTTTGATTTTTTTATTATGATCCTTATTCACATTTTGCAAATAAGGAAAACGGAGGCTTATACCACTCAGTGACTTGCTCAAGATTATACACCTTGGTCTCTAACTCAGCTCCTCCATATACATTTACAAGGCTCTTTTTGTTCAAGCACTCCTGCAGGCAAGAAAACATAGGTTTATTCTTGGTGCACCCATAACTTTGTGCTGAAATAATATTCCCTTTAGCTTCTCCATTGTGGTTTTAACATGTGTTCACAAATTATTCAACATTCCTCCCTTGAAAAGATGTGAACTAATTCCTCTCCCCTTGACTGTGGGTTGAACTTAATGGACTTAATGACTTACTTTTAAAGGAGAAAATGTGGCTGGAGTGGCGGTGTATGGCTTCTAAGACTAGATCACAGAATATGGTGCTGCTTTCTTTCTCTCCCTCTCTCTCTCTCTCTCTCTCTCTCTCTCACACACACACACACACACACACACACACACACTTTTCTCTCTCTCTCATATCACCTGCTCTGAGAAAAATCAGTTGCCATGTTATAAGGATGCTCAAACTACCCCATCTATGGAGAAGTCCACACGTGGGGAATACTAAAGCCTGACAACAGCCATGTAAGTGAGCTATTATGAAAGTGGACACTGAAGCCTCGGCCAAGCCTCCAGATGACTGCAGCCCTGGCTGTTATCTTGACCACAACCTGTAAAAAACTGTGAGCCAGAAACACCCAGCTAAACTACTCCCAGATTCCTGACCCATTACCACTTCATAAAAAATAATTACTTAGTATTATTTGAGGAGTAATTTTTACTCAGTGATATGTATGTAGCTAATACCCTTTTCCATACCAAATCTATTCGTAACTGTAAAAGTGGATACAATCATTAAATACCCTCATGCTACTGGGTTCTTGCAGGCTAAAATTATTATTTTACCATTTTAAAACCAGTACAGTCATAGTTTTGTTTTACTAATCATTCATTTTACTGTCATATAATCATCATAATGCAATTCCTATTAATCTTGATTTCCAGAGTGTTCACTTATATGTGACCAAACCACCATAACAGTCTTCAGACCAGATACCACAGACCCCTGCCACTGCTACATTTTCTGCCACTTCCCCTCAAGAGAATGGAAGGGGGAGACTCTTCTCCCCTAGACCAAGGCCTGAGATATCTCCCTCCTATTTCAGAGTCACTTTAGCCTACCACAAATCACCGCGTTAGGTACACACACAATCACACTCACAATTATACTTATATATGTGAAATGATGAAATGGTTGAGGCAAAGACTATTGACCCATTTTGGTCAACTGTGGGAGAACCCACCACTCTGTCTTGCTCTAAAGATGCTTGACTGGTTCTGGTTTTAATCTTTTTGAAATTAGGCCTTGGGTTCTTAAAGTTTCGTTTCAGTCATCACAAAACCTTCATATTGAAAACTTTCTCTAAAGCAACGCACTCTGGATTTCTAGCCCTTTGAGATTAATCCAGGATAGGGAGGCTCTAATACATCCTGGAAGCCATGATAGCCATGTTCTACAGCCATTTACAATCTTCTTTTCTCTTGGAACCCTGATCTTCAGACAGGAGATATCTTCTGCCGATGCACCTTCCCCATACAAATAAACTGAGTTCTGTAGCTGGCTGCAGATTCTCCAGCCACTAATCTCAACTGTTGCTTGTTGCCCTCTCTTTTGCTTTCAACCCCACCCACTCCTGAGTGCCAAGTGATGTAGATATGAGGGTCTCATCAATATATAAATCGGCATTTTTATGTTCTAATTAACATTATAATTACTCTTTTCCACCCTTACAGATCTATTCACTATTCATATGATTTGTGGTGAAGAAGGAAAAAAGGTAAATTTCCAGAGAGGCGCCTACCAACAGGAGAGAATCCAGAGAACAATGGAGAAGGGAAATAGAAGTCACCTTTCTCCAGAGAAAATTAAGTAACTGAAGGGCCTTGCTAACCATAAGCCTCAAGTTGGACCATGTTAAACATCCTCAGCCCCTAATTCACAAATTCAGGACACTCAGTCATTGACTGAAACACATTCCTACTTCATTCACTTGCATTTAAATTGAGTTAATGTCAAGAATATAAACATAGCTGGGTGCAGTGGCTCAGGCCTGTAAACCCAGCACTCTGAGAGGCTGAGGTGGGTGGATTGCTTGAGTCCAGGAGTTCAAGACCAGCCTGGGCAACACAGCAATACCCTATCTCTACTAAAAATACAAAAAGAAGCTTAGCCTGGTGGTGCACACCCATAATCCCAGCTACTAGGGAGGATGAGGTGGAAGAATCACCTGAGCCCAGGAGGTTGAAGCTGCAGTGAGCTGAAATTGTGCCACTCCACTCCAGCCTGGGCAACTAGAGTGAGACCCTGTCTCAAAAAAAAAAGAAAAAAAAAAACCGCACAGAATATAAATGTGTTTTTCTTTTATAATATTTAACACCTTTACTAAAGTATAATTTTCATACAATAAAAGTACTCATTTGCGGTAAATGGTTTGATGAATTTTGGCAAATGTCAACATTCTTGCAACCATCAACACAATCTAAACTCAGATTATTTCCACTAACCCAAAAATTGTCTTTTGTCTCTTTGCAGTTATTCTCCACCCCCACTCCTGGCCCTAGACAACTACTGATCTGTTTTTCTTTTTTTAACGATATGTGTCAGTTATCTACTGCTGTGTAACAAATCTCCCCCCATCTCTTGGCAATTTAAAACAAGAAACATTATCTCACACAGTTTCTGGGGGTCAGGAATCAGGGAGCAGCCTAGCTGGATAATTGTGGCTCAGAGACTCTCATGAGAGTTCAGTCAAGCTGTTGGGGAGGGATGCAGTCTATGAAGACTTAACTGGAACTTCAGGATCCACTTCCAAGACAGCTTATCCTCACGGCTGTTGGCAGAGGGCAACAGTTCCTTTTCACGTGGCTGCCTGGATGTTCTTGTGACAAGGACTGTGGTGTCCTCCAGAGTGAGTTACCAAAGAGAGTGATCAAGCAGGAAGCTGCAGTGCTTTTTATGACCTAGTCCACCGAGTAGCACACTACCACTTCTACTGTTTTCGAGTTGTTAAAACCAAGTCATTAAGTTCAACTCACACTCAAGGTAAAGGGAATTAGTTCTGTTTATTTAAAGGGGGATATCAGGCCAGGTGCAATTGCTGACCCTGTAATCCCAGCACTTTAGAAGGCCCAAGCAGGTGGAGCACTTGAGGTCAGGAGTTCAAGACCAGCCTGGTCATATGGGGAAACCTTACCTCTACTAAAAACACAAAAAAGTAGCCAGGCGTGGTGGCACACGTTTGTAATCCTAGCTACTTGGGAGACTGAGGCATGAGAATTGCTTGAACTTGGGAGGTAGAGGTTTCATTGAGCTGAGATCATGCCACTGCACTCCAGCCTGAGCAAGAGTGAGAGTCCATCTCAAAAAAAAAAAAAAAAATGAACATTAATAAAGGAGGGGTATCAAACAATTTGTGTACATTTTAACAACACCACCCCAAGTTTTGCCTTTATAAAAATTTCCTGCAAACAAAATCATACATTATGTTATTTTTTATGTCTGGCTTCTTTCACTTAGCATATTGCTTTTGAGATTCATCTGTGTTGTTGCAAGTGTCAGTGATCTGTAGCTCTTCATTATTGAGTAATATTCAATTGTACAAATGTGCCCCATTTTGTGTATTTATTCAGTAGCACTTGTTATGAAACATGTGTTTTGAGGGCTTTTTTATCTAAAGGATCTATTGGGTTCTGGGCAAGATGGTCAAATAGGAACAGCTCCGGTCTGCAGTTCCCAAAGGGATCAACACAGAACGTGGGTGATTTCTGCATTTCTAACTGAGGTACCCGGTTCATCTTATTGGGACTGGTTAGACAGTGGGTACAGCCCATGGAGGGTGAGCAGAAGCAGGGTGGGGTGTTGCCTCACCCAGGAAGCACAGGGGGTCAGGGAACTCCCTCACTTAGCCAAGGGAAGCCGTGAGGGACTGCACCTTGAGGAACGGTGCATTCCAACCCAGGTACTACACTATTCCCATGGTCTTCGCAACCCACAGACCAGGAGATTCCCTTGGGTGCCTGCACCACCAGGGCTCTAGGTTTCAAGCACAAAATTGGGCAGCCATTTCAGCAGACACTAAGCTAGCTGCAGGAGTTTTTTTCTGTTTTTTTATTTTTTGTTTGTTTTTCATACCCCACTGGCACCTGGAACCCCAGTGAGACAGAACCGCTCGATCCCTTGGAAAGGAGGCTGAAGCCAGGGAGCCAAGTGGTCTTGCTCAGCGGGTCTCACCCCACAGAGCCCAGCAAGCTAAGATCCACTGGCTTGAAATTCTTGTTGCCAGGACAGTAGTCAGAAGTCGACCTGGGACATTGGAGCTTGGTGGGGGGAGGGGCATCCACCATTACTGAGGCTTGAATAAGTGGTTTTCCCCTCACAGGGTAAACAAAGCTGCCGGGACATTCAGACTGGGTGGAGCCCACTGCAGCATAGTAAAGCTGCTGTAGCCAGACTGCATCCTGCATCTCTAGACTCGTCCTCTCTGGGTAGGGCATCTCTGAAAGAAAGGCAGCAGCCCCAGTCAGGGGCTTATAGATAAAACTCCCATCTCTCTGGGACAGTGCACCTGGGGGAAGGGGCGGCTGTGGGCACAGCTTCAGTAGACTTAAACGTTCTTGCCTGCCAGCTCTGAAGAGAGCAGCGGATCTCCCAGCACAGCACTTGAGCTCCTCTAAGAGTCAGACTGCCTCCCCAAGTGAGTCCCTGACCCCTATATATCCTGACTGGGAGATACCTCCCAGCAGGGGCCGAAAGACACCTCATACAGGAGAGCTCTGGCTGGCATCTGGCAGGGGCCCCTCTGGGATGAAGCTCCCAGAGGAAGAAATAGGCAGCAATCTTTGCTGTTCTGCAGCCTCTGCTGGCAATACACATGCAAATAGGGTCTGGAGTGGACCTCCAGAGAACTCCAGCAGACCTGCAGAAGAGGAAGCTGACTATTAGAAGGAAAACTAACAAACAGAAAGGAATAGCATCAGCATCAACAAAAAGGACATTCAAAAGAAAACCCCATCAGAAGGTCACCAACATCAAAGACCAAAGGTAGATAAATCCATAAAGATGAAGACAAACCAGTGGAAAAATGCTGAAAATTTCAAAAGCCAGAATGCCTCTTCTCTTCCAAAGGATCATAACTCCTCGTCAGCAACGGGACAAAACTAAACAGAGAATGAGTTTGACGAATTGACAGAAGTAGGCTTCAGAAGGTGGGTAATAACAAACTCCTCTGAGCTAAAGGAGCATTTTCTAACCCAATGCAAGGAAATTAAGAACCTTGATAAAAAGTTACAGAAATTGCTAACTATAATAACCAGTTTAGCGAAGAAAAGAAATGACCTGATGGAGCTGAAAAACACAGCACGAGAATTTCTTGAAGCATACACAAGTATCAATAGCTGAATTGATCACGCGGAAGAAAGTGTGTCAGAGATTGAAGATCAACTCAATGAAATAAAGCAAGACAACAAGATTAGAGAAAAAACCGCCAAACGAAAAGAACAAAGGCTCCAAGAAGTATGGAACTATGTGAAAAGACCAAATCTATGTTTGATTGGTGTACCTGGAAGTGACAGGGAGAATGGAACCAAGTTGCAAAACACACTTCTGGATATTATCCAGGACAACATCCCAACCTAGCAAGACAGGCCAACATTCAAATTCAGGAAATACAGAGAACACCACTAAGATACTTCTCAAGAAGAGGAACCCCAAGACAAATAATTGTCAGATTCATCAAGGTTGAAATGAAGGAAAAAATGTTAAGGGCAGCCAGAGAGAAAGGTCAGGTTACCCACAAAGAGAAGTCCATCAGACTAACAGTGGATCTCTCTGCAGAAACCCTACAAGCCAGAAGAGAGTGGGGGCCAATACTCAACATTCTTAAAGAAAAGAATTTTCAACCCAGAATGTCATATCCAGCCAAACTGAGCTTCACAAGTGAAGGAGAAATAAAATCCTCTACAGACAAGCAAATGCTGAGGGATTTTGTCACCACCAGGCCTGCCTTACAAGAGCTCCTAAAGGAAGCACTAAATACAGAAAGGAAAAACTGGTACTAGCCACTGCAAAAACATACTGAAATATAAAGGCCAACACTATGAAGAAACTGCATCAAATAATGTGCAAAATAACCAGCTACCATCATGATGACAGGATCAAAGTCACATGTAACAATATTAACTGTAAGTGTAAATGGGCTAAATGCCCCAATTAAAAAACACAACACTGGCAGATTGGATAAAGAATCAAGACCCATCAGTGCACTGTATTCAGGAGACCAATCTCACATGCAAAGACACACATAGGCTCAAAATAAAGAGATGAAGGAATGTTTACCAAGCAAACGGAAAAGCAAAAAAAAAAAAAAAAAAAAAAAAAAAAAGCAGGGGTTTCAAGCCTAGTCTCTGATAAAACAGACTTTAAACCAACAAAGATCAAAATGACAAAGAGGGCATTACATAATGGTAAAGGGACCAATGCAACAAGAAGACCTAACTATCCTAAATATATATGCACTCAATACAGGAGCACCCAGATTCATAAAGCAAGTTCTTAGAGACCTACAAAGAGACTTAGACTCCCACACAATAGTGGGAGACTTTAACGCTCCACTGTCAATGTTAGACAGATCAACAAGACAGAAAATTAACGAGGATATTCAGGACTTGAACTCAGCTCTGGACCAAGTGGAGCTAATAGACATCTACAGAACTCTGCACCCAAAATTAATAGAATATACATTCTTCTCAGCACCACAGAGCAATTATTCTAAAGTTGACCACATGATTGGAAGTAAAACACTCCTCAGCAAAGGTAAAAGAACAGAAATCATAACAGTCTCTCAGACCACACTGTAATCAAATTAGAACTCAGGATTAAGAAACTCTCTCAAAACTGCACAACTACACGGAAACTGAACAACCTGCCCCTGAATGACTAATGCATAAATAACTAAATTAAGGAAGAAATAAATGTTGTTTGAAACCAATGAGAACAGACACAACGCACCAGAATCTCTGGGACACAGCTAAAGCAGTGTTTAGAGGGAAATTTATAGCACTAAATGCCCACAGGAGAAAGCTGGAAGGATCTAAAATCGACACTCTAACATCACAATTAAGAGAACTAGAGAAGCAAGAGCAAACAAATTCAAAAGCTAGCAGAACAAGAAACAACTAAGAAGACAGCAGAATTGAAAGAGACAAAGACACAAAACACCCTTCAAAAAAATCAATGAACCCAGGAGCTGGGTTCTTGAAAAGATTAACAAAATAGATAGACTGCTAGCCAGAATTATAAAGAAGCAAACAGAGAAGAATCAAATAGACACAATAAAAAAGGATAAAGAGGATATCACCACTGATCCCACAGAAATGCAAACTACCATCAGTGAATACTATAAACACCTCTACACAAATAAACTAGAAAATCTAAAAGAAATGGATAAATTGCTGGACACATACACCCTCCCAAGACTAAACCAGGAAGAAGTCAAATCCCTGAATAGACTGATAACAAGTTCTGAAATTGAGGCAGTAATTAATAGCCTACCAAGCAAAAAAATCTCAGGACCAGATGGATTCAAAGCCAAATTCTACCAGAGGTACAAAAAGGAGCTGGTCCCATTCCTTCTGAAACTCCAAACAATAGAAAAAGAGGGACTGCTCCCTAACACATTTTATGAGGCCAGCACCATTGTGATACCAAATCCTGGCAGAGACACTATAAAAAAAGAAAATTTCAGGCCAATATCCCTGATGAACATCGATGTGAAAATCCTCAATAAAATACTGGCAAACCGAATCCAGGAGCACAACAAAAAGCTTATCCACCACCATCAGGTTGGCTTATCCAGCAGGATCAAGTTTCCTGGAGTGCAAGCCTGGTTCAACATATGAAAATCAAAAAATGTAATCTATCACATAAACAGAACCACTGACAAAAACCACATGATTATCTCAATAGGTGCAGAAAGAGCCTTCAATAAAATTCAACATTGCTTCATGCTAAAAACTCTCTAAAAACTAAGTATTGATGGAACATATCTCAAAATAATAATAGCTATTTATGACAAACCAATATCATACTGAATAGGCAAAAGCTGGAAAACCAGCACAAGAAAAGGATGCCCTCTCTCACCACTCCTATTCAACATAGTATTAGAAGTTCAAGCCAGGGCAATCAAGCAAGAGAAAGAAATAAAAGTATTCAAACAGGAAGAGAGGAAGTCAAATTGTCTCTGTTTGCAGATGACATGATTGTATATTTAGAAAACCCCATTGTCTCAGCACAAAAACTCCTTAAGCTGATATGCAGCTTCAGCAAAGTCTCAGGATACAGAATCAATGTGCAAAAACCACAAGAAATCCTATATCCTAATAATAGACAGAGAGCCAAATCATGAGTGAACTCCCATTCACAACTGCTACAAAGAAAATAAAATACCTAGGAATACAACTTACAAGGGATGAGAAGGACCTCTTCAAGGAGAACTAGAAACCACTGCTCAAGGAAATAAGAGAGGACATGAACAAATGGACAAACATTTCACGCTCATGGATAGGAAGAATCAATATTGTGAAAATGGCCATACTAACCAAAGCAATTTATAGATTCAATGATATTCCCATTAAGCTCCCATTGACTTTCTTCACAGAATTGGAAAAAAACTACTTTAAATTTCATATGGAACCAAAAAAGAGCCTGTATGGCCAAGACAATCCTAAGCAAAAAGAACAAAGCTGGAGGAATCACACTACCTGACTTCAAACTATACTACAAGACTACAGTAACCAAAACAGCATGATATTGTTACCAAAACAGTTATATAGATCAATGGAACAGAACAGAGTCCTCAGAAATAACACCACACATCTATAGCCATCTGATCTTTAACAAAGCTAATTAAAAAACAAGCACTGGGGAAAGGATTCCCTATTTAATAAATGGTGTTGGGAAAACTGGCTAGCCATACGCAGAAAACTGAAACTAGACCCCTTCCTTATACCTTATACAAAAATTAACTCAAGATGGATTAAAGACTTAAACTTAAGACTTAAAACCATAAAAACCCTAGAAGAAAACCTAGGCAATATTATTCAGCACATAGGCATGGGCAAAGGCTTCATGAATAAAACAACAAAAGCAATTTCGAGAAAAGCCAAAATTGACAAATGGGATCTAATTAAATTAAAGAGCTTCTGCACAGCAAAAAAAAAAAAAAAAAAAAAAACTATCATGAGAGTGAACAGGCAACCTACAGAATGGGAGAAAATTTTTGCAATCTATCCATCTAACAAAGGGCTAATATCCAGAATCTACAAGAAGCTTAAACAAATTTACAAGAAAAAAACAAAACAACCCGATCAAAAAGTGGGTAAAGTATATGAACACACACTTCTCAAAAGAAGACACTTATGCAGCCAACAAACATGAAAAAAAGCTCATCATCACTGGTCATTAGAGAAATGCAAATCAAAACCACAGTGAGATACCATCTCACACCAGTTAGAATGGCAATCATTAAAAAGTCAGGAAATGACTGGAGCCAAGATGGCTGAATAGGAACAGCTCTGGTCTACAGCTCCCAGCGTGAGCGACACAGAAGATGGGTGATTTCTGCATTTCCATCTGAGGTACCGGGTTCCTCTCACTAGGGAGTGCCAGACAGTGGGTACAGGACAGTGGGTGCAGCGCACCGTTTGCAAGCCAAAGCAGGGTGAGGCACTGCCTCCCTCGGGAAGTGCAAGGGGTCAGGAAGTTCCCTTTCCTAGTCAAAGAAAGGGGTGGCAGAAGGCACCTGGAAAATCGGGTCACTACCACCCGAATACCGCGCTTTTCCGACGGGCTTAAAAAACGGTGCACCAGGAGATTATATCCCACACCTGGTTCAGAGGGTCCTATGCCCACGGAGTCTCACTGATTGGTAGCACAGCAGTCTGAGATCAAACTGCAAGGCGGCAGCGAGGCTGGGGGAGGGGCACCCGCCATTGTCAAGGCTTGCTTAGGTAAACAAAGCAGCTGGGAAGCTCGAACTGGGTGGAGCCCACCACAGCTCAAGGAGACCTGCCTGCCTCTGTAGGCTCCACCTCTGGGGGCAGGGCACAAACAAAAAGACAGCAGTAACCTCTGCAGACTTAAATGTCCCTGTCTGACAGCTTTGAAGAGAGCAGTGGTTCTCCCAGCACACAGCTGGAGATCTGAGAATGGGCAGACTGCCTCCTCAAGTGGGTCCCTGACCCCTGACCCCCGAGCAGCCTAACTGGGAGGCACCCCCCAGTAGGGGCAGACTGATACCTCACATGGCCAGGTACTCCTCTGAGACAAAACTTCCAGAGGAACGATCAGACAGCAGCATTCCTGGTTCACGAAAATCTGCTGTTCTGTGGCCACCGCTGCTGGTACCCAGGAAAACAGGGTCTGGTCTCTAGCAAACTCCAACAGACCTGCAGCTGAGGGTCCTGTCTGTTAGAAGGAAAACTAACAAACAGAAAGGACATCCACACCAAAAACCCATCTGTACGTCACCATCATCAAAGACCAAATGTAGATAAAACCACAAAGATGGGGAAAAAACAGAGCAGAAAAACTGGAAACTCTAAAAAGCAGAGCGCCTCTCCTTCTCCAAAGGAATGCAGCTCCTCACCAGCAACGGAACAAAGCTGGACGGAGAATGACTTTGATGAATTGAGAGAAGAAGGCTTCAGATGATCAAACTACTGAGAGCTACAGGAGGAAATTCAAACCAAAGGCAAAGAAGTTGAAAACTTTGAAAAAAATTTAGACGAATGTATAACTAGAATAACCAATACAGAGAAGTGCTTAAAGGAGCCGATGGAACTGAAAGCCAAGGCTCGAAAACTACATGAGCAGTGTACCTGAGAAGCCTCAGGAGCCGATGCGATCAACTGGAAGAAAGGGTATCAGTGATGGGAGACGAAATGGATGAAATGAAGCGAGAAGGAAAGTTTGGAGAAAAAAGAATATAAAGAAACAAACAAAGCCTCCAAGAAATATGGGACTATGTGAAAAGATCACATCTACGTCTGATTGGTGTACCTGAAAGTGATGGGGAGAATGGAACCAAGTTGGAAAACACTCAGCAGGACATTATCCAGAAGAACTTCCCCAAGCTAGCAAGGCAGGCCAACGTTCAGATTCAGGAAATACAGAGAACACCACAAAGATACTCCTCGAGAAGAGCAACTGCAAGACACATAACTGTCAGATTCACCAAAGTTGAAATGAAGGAAAAAATGGTAAGGGCAGCCAGAGACAAAGGACAAGTTACCCACAAAGGGAAGCCCATCAGACTAATAGCGGATCTCTCAGCAGAAACGCTACAAGCCAGAAGAGAGTGGGGGCCAATATTCAACATTCTTAAAGAAAAGAATTTTCAACCCAGAATTTCATATCCAGCCAAACTAAGCTTCATAAGTGAAGGAGAGATAAAATATTTTAAAGACAAGCAAATGCTGAGAGATTTTGTCACCACCAGGCCTGCCCTAAAAGAGCTCCTAAAGGAAGCACTAAACATGGAAAGGAACAACCAGTACCAGCCACTGCAAAATCATGTCAAATTGTAAAGACCATCGAGGCTAGGAAGAAACTGCATAAACTAACGAGCAAAATAACCAGCTAACATCATAATGACAGGATCAAATTCACACATAACAATATTAACTTTAAATGTAAATGGACTAAATGCTCCAATCAAAAGACACAGACTGGCAAATTGGATAAAGAGTCAAGACCCATCAGTGTGCTGCATTCAGGAAACCCAACTCACGTGCAGAGACACACGTAGAGTCAAAATAAAAGGATGGAGGAAGATCTACCAAGCAAATGGAAAACAAAAAAAGGCAGGGGTTGCAATCCTAGTCTCTGATAAAACAGACTTTAAACCAACAAAGATCAAAAGAGACAAAAAAGGCCATTACATAATGGTAAAGGGATTAATTCAACAAGAAGAGCTAACTATCCTAAATATATATGCCCCCAATACAGGAGCACCCAGATTCATAAAGCAAGTCCTGAGTAACCTACAAAGAGACTTAGACTCCCACACAATAATCATGGGAGACTTTAACACCCCACTGTCAACATTACACAGATCAACCAGACAGAAAGTTAACAAGGATACCCAGGAATTGAACTCAGCTCTGCACCAAACGGACCTAATACACATCTACAGAACTCTCCACCCCAAATCAACAGAATATACATTTTTTTCAGCACCACACCACACCTATTCCAAAATTGACCACATAGTTGGAAGTAAAGCTCTCCTCCGCAAATGTAAAAGGTCAGAAATTATAACAAACTGTCTCTCAGACCACAGTGCAATCAAACTAGAACTCAGGATTAAGAAACTCACTCAAAACCGCTCAACTACATGGAAACTGAACAACTTGCTCCTGAATGACTACTGGGTACATAACGAAATGAAGGCAGAAATAAAGATGTCCTTTGAAACCAACGAGAACAAAGACACAACATACCAGAATCTCTGGGACACATTCAAAGCAGTGTGTAGAGGGAAATTTATAGCACTAAATGCCCACAAGAGAAAGCAGGAAAGATCCAAAATTGACACCCTAACATCACAATTAAAAGAACTAGAAAAGCAAGAGCAAACACATTCAAAAGCTAGCAGAAGGCAAGAAATAACTAAAATCAGAGCAGAACTGAAGGAAATAGAGACACAAAAAACCCTTCAAAAAATTAATGAATCCAGGAGCTGGTTTTTTGAAAGGATCAACAAAATTGATAGACCACTAGCAAGACTAATAAAGAAGAAAAGAGAGAAGAATCAAATAGACGCAATAAAAAATGATAAAGGGGATATCACCACGGATCCCACAGAAACACAAACTACCATCAGAGAATACTACAAATAACTCTACTCAAATAAACTAGAACATCTAGAAGAAATGGATAAATTCCTCAAAACATACATCCTCCCAAGACTAAACCAGGAAGAAGTTGACTCTCTGAAGAGACCAATAACAGGCTCTGAAATTGTGGCAATAATCAAAAGCTTACCAATCAAAAAGAGCCCAGGACCAGATGGATTCACAGCAGAATTCTAATAGAGGTACAAGGAGGAACTGGTACCATTCATTCTGAAACTATTCCAATCAATAGAAAAAGAGGGAATCCTCCCTAACTCATTTTATGAGGCCAGCATCATCCGAATACCAAAGCTGGGCAGAGACACAACCAAAAAAGAGAATTTTAGACCAATATCCTTGATGAACATTGATGCAAAAATCCTCAATAAAATACTGGCAAACCGAATCCAGCAGCACATCAAAAAGCTTATCCACCATGATCAAGTGGGCTTCATCCCTGGGATGCAAGGCTGGTTCAATATATGCAAATCAATAAATGTAATCCAGCATATAGACAGAACCAAAGAGAAAAACCACATGATTATCTCAATAGATGCAGAAAAGGCCTTTGACAAAATTCAACAACCCTTCATGCTAAACACTCTCAATAAATTAGGTATTGATGGGACGTATCTCCAAATGATAAGAGCTATCTATCTATGACAAACCCACAGCCAATATCATACTGAATTGGCAAAAGCTGGAAGCATTCCCTTTGAAAACTGGCACAAGACAGGGATGCCCTCCCTCACCACTGCTATTCAACATAGTGTTGGAAGTTCTGGCCAGGACAATTAGGCAGGAGAAGGAAATAAAGGGTATTCAGTTAGGAAAAGAGGAAGTCAAATTGTCCCTGTTTGCAGATGACATGATTGTATATCTAGAAAACCCCATCGTCTCAGCCCAAAATCTCCTTAAGCTGATAAGCAACTTCAGCAAAGTCTTGGGATACAAAATCAATGTACAAAAATCACAAGCATTCTTATACGCCAATAACAGACAAACAGAGAGCCAAATCATGAGTGAACTCCCATTTACAATTGCTTCAAAGAGAATAAAATACCTAGGAATCCAACTTAGAAGGGATGTGAAGGAACTCTTCAAGAACTACAAACCACTGCTCAATGAAATAAGAGGATATAAAGAAATGGAAGAACATTCCATGCTCATGGGTAGGAAGAATCAATATCGTGAAAATGGCCATACTGCCCAAGGTAATTTACAGATTCAATGCCATCCCCATCAAGCTACCAATGACTTTCTTCACAGAATTGGAAAAAACTACTTTAAAGTTCATATGGAACCAAAAAAGAGCCCGCATCGCCAAGTCAATCCTAAGCCAAAAGAATAAAGCTGGAGGCATCACACTACCTGACTTCAAAGTATACTACAAGGCTACAGTAACCAAAACAGCATGGTACTGGTACCAAAACAGAGATATAGATCAATGGAACAGAAAAGAGCCCTCAGAAATAACACTGCATATCTACAACTATCTGATCTTTGACAAACCTGAGAAAAACAAGCAATGGGGAAAGGATTCCCAATTTAATAAATGGTGCTGGGAAAACTGGCTAGCCATATGTAGAAAGCTGAAACTGGATCCCTTCCTTACACCTTATACAAAAATTAATTCAAGATGGATTAAAGACTTAAATGTTAGAACTAAAACCATAAAAACCCTAGAATAAAACCTAGGCATTACCATTCAGGACATAGGCGTGGGCAAGGACTTCATGTCTAAAACACCAAAAGCAATGACACCAAAAGCCAAAATTGACAAATGGCATCTAATTAAACTAAAGAGCCTCTGCACAGCAAAAGAAACTACCATCAGAGTGAACAGGCAACCTACAGAATTGGAGAAAATGTTTGCAACCAGTCATCTGACAAAGGGCTAATATCCAGAATCTACAATGAACTCCAACAAATTTACAAGAAGAAAACAAACAACCCCATCAAAAAGTGCACTAAGGATATGAACAGACACTTCTCAAAAGAAGACATTTATGCAGCCAAAAAACACATGAAAAAATGCTCACCATCACTGGCCATCAGAGAAATGCAAATCAAAACCACAATGAGATACCATCTCACACCAGTTAGAATGGCAATCATTAAAAAGTCAGGAAACAACAGGTGCTGGAGAGGATGTGGAGAAATAAGAACACTTTTACACTGTTGGTGGGACTGTAAACTAGTTCAACCATTGTGGAAGGCAGTGTGGCGATTCCTCAGGGATCTAGAACTGGCAATACCATTTGACCCAGCCATCCCATTACTGGGTATATACCCAAAGGACTATAAATCATGCTGCTATAAAGACACATGCACATGTATGTTTATTGTGGCACTATTCACAATAGCAAAGACTTGGAACCAAGCCAAATGTCCAACAATGATAGACTGGATTAAGAAAATGTGGCACATATACACCATGGAATACTATGCAGCCATAAAAAATGATGAGTTCATGTCCTTTGTAGGGACATGGATGAAATTGGAATTCATCATTCTCAGTAAACTATCGCAAGAACAAAAAACCAAACACCGCATATTCTCAGTCATAGGTGGGAATTGAACAATGAGAATACATGGACACAGGAAGGGGAACATCACACTCTGGAGACTGTTGTGAGGTGGGGGGAGGGGGGAGGGATAGCTTTAGGAGATACACCTAATGCTAAATGACGAGTTAATGGGTGCAGCACACCAGCATGGCGCATGTATACATATTTAACTAACCTGCACATTGTGCAGATGTACCCTAAAACTTAAAAGTTTAATAATAATAATTAAATAAAAAATAAAAATTAAAATAAAAATTAAAAAAAGTCAGGAAACAACAGAGGCTGGAGAGGATGTGGAGAAATGGAATGCTTTTACACAGTTGGTGGGAGTGTAAATTAGTTCAACCATTGTGGAGGACAGTGTGGTGATTTTTTAAGGATGTAGAACCAGAAATACCATTTGACCCAGCTATCCCATCACTGGGTATATACCCAAAGGATTATAAATCATTCTACTATAAAGACACATGCACATGTATGTTTATTGCAGCACTCTTCACAATACCAAAGACTTGGAATCAACCCAAATGCCCTACAATGATAGATTGGATAAAGAAAATGTGGCATACATACATCATGGAATACTAAGCAGCCATAAAAAGAATGAGTTCATGTCCTTTGCAGGGACATGGATGAAACTGGAAACCATTCTCAGCAAACTAACACAGGAACAGAAAACCAACCACTACATATTCTCACTCATAAGTGGGAGTTGAGCAATGAGAACACATGGAAACATGGAGGGGAACATCACACAGCTGGGCCTGCTGGAGGGTGGGGGGGTAAGGGGAGGGAGATCATTAGGAAAAACAGCTAACGTAGATGACGAGTTGACGGGTGCAGCAAACCACCATGGCACATGTATACCTATATAACAAACCTCCCTGTTCTGCACATGTATCCCAGAACTTAAAGTATAATTAAAAAAAACAAGAAGAATCTATTGAATTGCACATTGTCAAATATTGATCTGGATTTTTTAAAAGACTATTTGTATTACATAACAAGCAATAAGATGTATTTTACTTCAAGGGAAATTACCTCAGTTCACGTGCTCTGGAATATGTAGCACAACTACATATTTGGGTAATCAGATGGCAAACAAGTGTGTCTAATCAGAAATCTATAGTTCCTTTATTATATGATGATCACATACGCAGAATTTACCCCAAGTCACAATCAATCCTGTTAATGGTTGACATTGAACTATATTCTTAAGAAGATAAAAGGAAAGTTTTTGAGGTACACATTTTTCAGTTTTCAGAGTTGGGAATAACTCGATCTTGTTGGAAAATTTAGTTTCTATCACTAAATGTCTGCAGTTTTGTCTGGAAAATATGAAATACTCTTATTTCTCCTTTCCATCTGCCAGGGGAATGAATTGGATATTCAAAAGCCTTCAAAGATCTGTAAAAGCTTAACCTCTTGCACCCAGGCTTAGAGACTCCCTTCCAGATGATTTTTGTCGGTCAGAAGTGGCCAGTTAAAAGCTAACACAGTATCAATGCAGACAGGAGAAGGAGTAACATGACACAGACAATGTCCAAGTCTCATATGAGCAGTGCTTGGCTGGTTCCCAGGGACCTCTGATTCTCCTTGCAGAATTTAGCATGGATCAAAACTTCAGGAGCTGTTGAATAAATAAATGTCTCTCTTAGCAGGTCTATTCATAAAGCATACATGACAAAGGTGAATACCTTTCTAGCGCTGAATATCACGTGAAAAACGGGAAATTCACCTTCATAGATTTGTAGGCTCTAGCCTCCAGACCATGAAACTCACTCTAGGATGGGTCTACTTACCCTTATGACATAGAAAATGGGTCAGAATCACTTGGTGGTCTCTTACAAGCTACACAGAGTTACCTATCTCCAAATTCATATGTGAGCCCCCTATGGGATTAGAATGACTACAGTATTAAGTCACTTTTATCTATAGGAAAATGTTCCACATTTCACATGAAATGGAATTGGGCAAAAATAAGAGTGAGAATCTTTTCGAAAATGGTTTTGATTGGCATTTAATCATTATTTATTTTAGTTTTAAATGTCAGCTAATGTTAAAGCATGCTCGCTTTAGTCAAAATGGGGCATGGGATGAAAAAGATTGAGAACATGGTATTTAATAATAAAATATGAGCTATGGAAAGGGGAACGGAGAAGTTTAAAGTGTTAACCAGGAGTGCTGGAGGATCATCAAATAGGCAGAATATGTTTTATCTCAGATGTCAGTCCAGAAATTATCCTTCCTTTCATATGTGACATTTCTTCACCATCACCACTGCCACCTGCCCCTCAACCCTCACCACACACACATACAGGCACACAGGCAAATATGCATTTGCCCTTTTTTTGCCTCTTTTAAATTTTGCTTGTGCCTGGAGCTTCCTTCAAATCCCTATTGTTTGGGGGATGAAGGGGAAGTTTCCCTTTATAAACACATGTGCTTTGTTTAACAATAGAAGCATACATGACAAAGGTCAACGCCTTACTAGCTCATAGATCCACATTCTGTGGATCTCAATGTTGGGACTATAGGGCTCCCACCTACCTGCCACGACCAACTTACATGATTTGCATACATTATTTGGTCCTAACTTACTACTCTAATCACTGGCCATGTTTGATTCATATATGCAAATCAAGAATTAACACTGCTATAGGTTGGCTTTCTGTGATAAGTGCTGCAGAAATCAGTACCAGTTAATTTGTAAACAGTCTTACTCTCTGGAGCCAGCTGCAGAATTTCTCCTCACAGTATTGGGACTCTCTGAAATCTCTCTCTCTCTCTCTCTTTTATTCTGTTTCAACTTCCCAGGATACCTAAGCATCAAATACTCAAGAAATATTTTCTACATTTGTTATTTTTAAGGGAAGTTCTGTCTAAGATACTGGGGAAGTAGTTGGAATTTAGAAGTTTCCTGCTAGAGGTAGTTGGAAACAGGAATCCAGAGGGATGGCCAAACAATTAGATGAATCCAAGACTTAGACATCAAAAGATGTGGTCTAATTGCAGAAGCCATGCATCTGAGGCAAGAATCAAGGGGAGAACCAGAGATCCAGAAAGAAGTGAGGAGGATGGTGTTTAAATAGGAGCAAATTGATTTTAAAGAAGGATGGCTGGGATTCTAAGGGCATTCCCTTGAGCACTGAAGGGTTGATGATCTATGCTGTTTATCTGGGAGAGCATAACAGTCTTCTAAAAGATCAAGGTAGAAAGGATACCAATTCAAAATGAGTCCTTTATCTATCTTAGGCCCTTTATGGTCCTGCTTTTCATTGCCTAGCCTAATATAAATTTGACTTTAGAGCTTAAGCCACTGTAGCTATATTAACTGTCTAAACTTTATTATCCAAGACCACCACAAAATAACAGCACACTTAGGGGTGAGAGATACAGAAATGTCCTTGGATGAGCCAAACAGACTTGTTTAAGCAAGAGATGACCTAGAAGTTTCTTGTGTTTTGAGGAACGAGAGGGAAGGAAGCTGGGAGAGACATGAACAAGGGAAGGGCACTGAAAATGTTGCTGTTACACTACAACCTATTAATTCTCAGAAGAGTGACAGAATACTTTAGGGTATGCAATCAAATGAATGATTTACATTAAACATCCAATTTGTCAATATTGGGCTGAGAGAATGTGTGCATCTCATTAATTATGCTCACATCTGTTACTATGTATCCTGTGATTGCATTCTGTATATTGACAAAGAAATAAAATGATTGAATGAACACATATTTGTGTATGTCCCAAAAGGGATATGATAATTTCAGCCCACTGAAATGTAACACTCATCCTCAGGGTATCATTCAATCACATCGCTGAGTAACAACGTAAAAGAGAGATAAAAAGAAGCAAATGCCTGTTGACATTTAAAAGACAAAAAACGGATGCAAAAGATACATCAAGCAAGTTTCTCTCTGCAAATCACTTATGCACTAGCTACTACTCTCCAAAGCATGGATGCAGCACATGAAATTATTCTGTCTCCTTTTCAAAAGGAAATCAATATTCCCAAATATTGCAAGACTAAGACTCTACTTGAGTACCTTATTTGAAGTAGGTACACAGTGCCATGTTTATTAATACCTTACAGTTGTATAGGTCTTGATGGCTTAACCAGTGCCTTCACACACACATTTTTTAAATTCTCATAATTAATGGATAAATATTCACATTTTATCTTTATTTGGAATATAAGGAAACATAATCCTAGACTAAATGACCTACAAAGGCTTACCAGCTATTTGCTGACAAACTCAAATGCAGTCTTTTAATTTCAAATTAAGTATTATTTTTATTACTTTAGTCTATTTTAATATGAAATTTATATATATATATTCAATATTGCATATTATACCTGTTTAGGGAAAATTGCCTATAATATAACTGTGTTAATGGTGATATTATTTATCAAATTTGAGTTGCTAGATCCCATGGAATGATCTAATTTGTTTCACACAAGTCAACAATGGCACCTAAACTGCACATCTGTAGACTCTTTGAAGAAAGATGTGTGATGAAAACAAGAAGTCCACAGTGACCCAAATACTGAGCATGAGTGTGGGTTGCTGGCTTGGCTTATAATTACTGTTATTACTCTTATTATTTGTCTCTATCTTTTTATTCTTTAGGCTTATTTTATTAGCTATCTACTTTGAAAATTGACAACATTATTTACTCTATATTTTCTTATTAGGTAATATATGTGATTATAGTCATGAATTTTCTTCTCGGTACACATTTGATTGAGTGCAATAGTTTTGATATATAGTTTTCCTTATTAACATTTTCTACATATTGTAATGGTCTCTTTGGGACAAAAAAATGTTTAGGAAGGAGTTTTTAATTTCAAGTGGTTCCGCTCCTATTTTGTTTGCTTTATTCATTTCAGCACTATGTATGTCAATGCACAAGGCAAATGATTATACTCACTGTGGACTATACTTTTAATCAGTTTCATTTAATACAACCTCAACTTATATACATCATTTTCTAACAAAATTGCAAGCCTTGCTTTAAATTATATTTTTACTATAATTTTTTACACTTTAATTTTTAACCTATTAGTATTACCATTTACCCTTATATGTCTCTTATAAATACCATATAAATATCTGCTTTTATGCAATCCAAGTATTTTCCTTTTAGTTAAATTTATATCATTTAAATTTGTTATCAAAACATGTAAATTTGTTCAGAGATATATATATGTATATATATGCACACGCACATATATATACATAGCCTTGTGTAGCCTTGTTTTGTATCTTTCCTATAAAACACGACATTTTTCTCTTAACAATTCCAATTCTAAAAGAGATTATTTTAACAAATTTAGATAGTGTGTTCAACTCAATTTTTTCTGTTTATGGCAATTAATTGTTTTGACATTAGCAATGGAAATAATCCCAGAAGTCATTAAGCTCAGTATTTCCTGCAAAACAATTTTGTAAAGAACAAAGTTGAAGGCTTACATTAGCTGATTTCAAAACTTAAAGTTTCAGCAATTAACCGTGTATAGTATTGGCATAATAATACATATATAAATCGGTGAAAAAGAATGGAATTTTAAAATTCCAGATAAAATCTGGAAATAAACCCATGTGTCTGTGTGCATATAGTCAACTTATTTTCAAGATAATTCAATAAAGGTGTGCCTTTTCAATAAATATGAACTGGAACAACTGTAAAAAATAAACTTCAAACTTTATTTCACATAATATACAAAAATTAACTTGAAATAGATCACAATTTTGAACATAAAAGTAAAAAATATAAAACTTCTAGAAGAAAATAGGTGAAAATTTTTGTAATCTGAGGAAGGCAAAGATTTTTTAGAGAGGACACAAAAAGCACAAATCGTAAAAGAAACTTCTTTGTCCCTTAAAGTTAGGCAACATGGCAATTTGACTTACCTTGGCCAAAGAAATAAGAATGGAAGTAGCATGTGCCCATTCTGTGTTTAATTGCCAGTGCTGACATGACCAGGAAGTTCTGGGTAATGAAGTCTCCATTAGCCTGAATCTCTGGGTAAAGCAATGGAAAACAAAGTGCCACTAACTTGCAAAGCGAATGTGACCTGTGTGTAAATGAAACCCCTTTGTCATTTGCTTATTTGTCTTAAGCCAATCCTATTTTGGGGGTGTTGTTTGCTATGACCACATAACCAAACGTATCTTAGGTAATACAATTAAATTCTAAGATGTACATTTATTTTTCTTCAAAACTTATTTAATGTTTCCTAAATTTGGAAAGGTGTTAAATTGAATGATATAAACATTTCTTTTAGGGATCCCTCCCCACCCACCCTTCAAAGGAAGTTATTAAATCCATGGTGTATCCCATAACCTGTGGCATCCTAGAAATGGGAGTAACAGCCTACACAACAGTCCCTTCATATGGAAGACTCTTCTGTATTTCCTTCTAATACAGGCTCCTAAAGATGCTCCAAGATCCCAAGGAGAGTTTGCTTCTTCTAATTTCCTTATCCTGGAAGCCCTCAAGAATCTGAGACCTTTACCATATGCTTTCTACCTCATAATGCCCCTGATATGATCCTCTAATATTCAATTTTAAAACGGTCAAAGTATACATAAAGGCAATTAGATTTTCCTACCATTCTCTTCTGTACTCTAAGTACTTCCATTATTAAATGCCACACTCAGTTAAAAAAAAAAAAACATAATCTTCCACAAAAAAGGAAAGCGAATATATGGCCAAGGATATCCCTGTAGGTAAGCCCTCTTTCCATCCCTTATTTTAGTTTCCCCATGCTTATTCTGTCTACCCATCCATGCTGCCTGTTCTTCAAGGGCACAATTATCCTGTTACTGGTTTGCCAGTAGCCTTCTATGGTGTTTTTCTATTAGTCATATAAAATCATCTCTGTCAGTATTTTGAGACAGATTTTATGCACAGCGCTCTTCTTAGGAAGGCACAACTGGTCTTGTCAGGCTTCCTTACCTCCTGATTCTTTTCTCTCACCTTTTTGTTTCTTTGCCCACAATCTTATAGTTACCCTTATAGCTCACAGACAAGAGCAGAAAAAAAAATTAATTTTTCTATATTTCTTACTTGAAATGGTGTCATCTACCTCTCCCATTTGATATAACTTCTCTTTCATTGTTCCTACAAAGGTCTCTCTGTCTTTGCATAATCCCTAAAAGAGGGAACCCTCCTCTAGAAACCAAAAGTACCTTTGAAGATAATTTGTGCATTTATATGACACTTTGTATATCAGAGGCACTCATTTTATATTTGTTGTTGTTACGGGAATTCTCATAAGATTTGTCCCTTGCCAACTGCCGCATGATTCACCCTTATAATAAATCAAGATAATTTCATCAAACAGTCTCAGCAGCCCAGATTAACTAGCACCCTTACTCTCACATAACCACCATAATTACAGTAACGCCAACATTTAGAACTTCAGTGAAATACCTCTATTCATATTCCCAGCTGGTAAAAACAGGAGAAGCATACAGGTTTTTATGAACTTAGATAATAATAGGTTCTCACTATAACCTAAAAAGACAAAGTTGTCTAATGATTTTACTTCCAACTACATGAACAGACCTCCTCCATATGCCAGCACTTGTTAGCCATTTTTACAAGTTTGGTTTTGTGTTATTGAAAGCCACCAGAGTCCAAATTTCACTCAGTGGAGACCTTGTGGCTCTGGAGAAGGTAGACATCTGAAAGCATAAGTAATTTCCCCTGAGTCCTGTAAAGCTCTAGCAAACTGCAGTGGATTGTAAATCCTGCTGGTTGTTTTAGACAATAGTAAAATAATGTAATGAAAGGCAAAGAGAAGGTATTTAAATTATTAGCTTTAATAATGTGTCATGGTTATTTCAATTAACATGTATGTTTCTGTTAGAATAAGGAAAATTTACCTTCTATGCAGGTAAGCAGACAGACTCCTAGTCAGCTAGAGGGAATGGAAATTGGAAATATCTTTCCGTGGCAGCCATCCAATTAATATAAATAAACCTGTAAATAATCACGTGTTCTACTTCTGGAAATTCATTATAACCAACTATTGAAAGGAGCCCACAAATATTTATTCATTATACATTAATGTTCATAATTTATTAATAATATATGCATTTATTCATTTATACATAGCATGCATTATGTAACTACTGTTTGCCATGCAGTATTCTAGATGATTTTCACCAAGTTTTTATTTGTAGGAGAAAAAAAACTATCCTATTGGCTAAATAAGTTGAGAAATATACCTCTAATGAATACTATATCATTTAAAAAGCTAATATTGATAAATATTTATTGACATGAATAATGACAACGGCTAACATTTATCAAACACATATTATATACTAGGTACTGACTTGATTGTGTGCTTTATATAAGACCTCTAATTTAATCCTCATAACTCTTTAATTCTCCTCACTTTATTGATAAGAAAACTGAGGCTCAGAAAGGCGAAACCCAAGGTTATACAGTAAGAAGTACACAAATCCAACCCAGGTCTGTTTTTTTAAACAACTTGATTAAGATGTAATTCAATATACCATACAATTCATTCATTTAAAGGGTACAATCCAACGGTTTTAGTACATTCACAAAGTTGCACAATCAATTTTAGTACATTTTCATCATCCCAGAAAGAAGCCCCATACCCATTTCCTTCAATTCTTTATATACTCAGCCTCTGGCAATGTAATATACTTTCTGTCTCATAGATTTGCCTACTCTGGGCATTTCATACAAATGGAATTATACAGTATGTAGTTTTTTGGGACTTCTTCCACTTAGTACAATGTTTTCAACTTTATTCATTATGTTTTATGTATCAGTACTCTTTATGACAAAATAATATTCCATTGTATGATTATATCACATTTTAGTTACCCATTCCTCAGTTGATGGACATTTGGACTATTTCTACTTTTGGCTATTTTAAATAATGCAGTTGTGAACATTTGTATACAAGTTTTTGTATGGACATATGCTTTTATTCTCTTGGATGTATACCTACAAGCGAAATTATTGAGTTTCAATAATGGCTACTCCAAGTTTAACCTTTTGAAAAACTGTGAGGATGTTTTCCAAAGGGGTTGCATAATTTTACATTCCCATCAGCAGTTTATGAGGTCTCTGATTTCCCTACATCCTCATCAATGCTTGTTATTGTTTTTTTCATTTAAGCCATCCTAGTGGATGTGACGTGGTACTTCAATGTGGCTTTGATACGCATTTCCCTGATGGCTAATGATGTTGAGCATCTCTTCAAGTGCTTATTGGACATGATCTTTAGAGGAATGTCTATTTAAATGTTTTGCTCAGTTTTTAGTTTGGTTATTTGTCTTTCTATTATTGAGTTTTAAGAATTCTTCATACATTCTGGATATAATTGTCTTATCAAACTTGTTGCTTGCAAATATTTCCCCCATTTTGTAAATTATCTTTTCACTTTTGTAATGATGTTCTTTGAAGTACAAACATTTTTAATTGTGAATTCCAATTTCTCTACTTTTTTTTCGTCCTGTGTGTTTCTGTTATCATATCTAACGAATCTTTGCCTCATGCAAGGACATAGAGATTTATGCTTATGTTTTCTTCCAAGAATTTAATAGTTTTAGGATTGTATTGTACTGTACATATTTAAGGTAAACAACATGTTTTGTTATCTATATCCATAGTGAAATGATTACTGCAGTGAAACAACATATCTATTACCTCATATGGTTACCTTGTGTATATGTATAGTATGACCATTAAAACTCTATTCTCTTAGCAAATTCTCAGTATACGGTATTATTAATTATAGTTTTCATGCAATACATTAGATCTACAGACTTATTCATTCCACACGACTGCACCTGTGTACCTTTTATAAATTTTATTTTTAATTTTTGAGGGTACATAGTAGGTGTATATATTTGTGGGGTTCATGAGATGTTTTGATACAGGTATGTATTTTGAAATAAACACATCATGGAAAATGTGTTTGTTTCCATGGGATTATTTCACCTCCCCAATCCCAAGCCCCCCACTACCCTTCCCAGCCTCTGGTAACCATCCTTTTACTCTCTATGTCTATGAGTTTGTTTTGATTTTTAGATCCTACAAATAAGTGAGAACATGTGATGTGTGCCTTACTGTGCCTAGCTTATTTCACTGAACATAATCATCTTCAGTTCCATCCATGCTGTTGCAAATGACTGAATCTCACTGTTTTTATGGCTGAATAGTACTCCATTGTGTATATGTACCACATTTTCTTTGCCCATTCATCTCTTGGTGGTCACTTAGATTGCTTCCAAATCTTAGCTATTGTAAACAGTGCTGCAACAAACATAGAGTGCAGATACCTCTTTGATATACTAATTTCCTTTCTTTTGGGCATATACTCAGAAGTGGGATTGCTGAATTATATGGTAGCTCAATTTTTAGTTTATTGAGGAACATCCAATTCTCTCCATAGTGGTTGTACTACTTTACATCCCCACCAACAGTGCACAAGGGTCTCCTTTTCTTCACATCCTCACCAGCATTTATTATTACCTGTCTTTTGGATATAAGCCATTTTAACTGGGGTGAGATAATATCTCATTGTAGTTTTTATGTGCATTTATCTGATGATCAATGATGTTGAGCACCTTTTCATATGCCATTTGTCATTTGTATGTCTTTTAAAAATATATCTATTCAAATCTTTTGCGCATTTTTTGATCAGATTATTAGACGTTTTTCCAATAGAGTTGTTTGAGCTTTTACTATATTCTGCTTTTTAATCCCTTGTCAGATGGATAGTTTAAAAATATTTTCTCTAATTCTGTGGGTTGTCTCTTCAATCTGTTGATTGTATCCTTTGCCGTACAGAAGCTTTTTAACTTGATGTGATCCTATCTGTCTATTTTTGCTTTGGTTGCCTGTGCTTGTGAGGTATTGTTCAAGAAATTTTTACCCAGATCTATGTCCTGGAGATTCTCCTTAGTGTTTTCTTGTAGTAGTTTCTTCGATTGAGGTCTTAGATTTAAGTTTTAATCATTTTGATTTGATTTTTGTATATGGTGATAGATAGGGGTCTAGTTTCATTCTTCTGCATTTGAATATCCAGTTTTCTGAGCACCACTGATTGAATAGACTTTCTTTTCCCCAGCATATGTTCTTGGCACCGCTTTTGAAAAATGAGTTCACTGTAGGGGTGTGGATTTGTTTCACAGCAGAACTAAAAGGAATTGAATCTATAAATTTCCTTGGGAAGTATGGCCATTTTCACGATATTGATTCTTCCTACCATGAGCATGGAATGTTCTTCCATTTCTTTGTATCCTCTTTTATTTCATTGAGAAGAGGTTTGTCGTTCTCCTTGAAGAGTTCCTTCACATCCCTTCTAAGTTGGATTCCTATGTATTTTATTCTCTTTGAAGCAATTGTGAATGGGAGTTCACTCATGATTTGGCTCTCTGTTTGTCTGTTATTAGTGTATAAGAATGCTTGTGATTTTTGTACATTGATTTTGCATCCTGAGACTTTGCTGAAGTTGCTTATCAGCTTAAGGAGATTTTGGGCTGAGACGATGGGGTTTTCTAGATATACAATCATGTCATCTGCAAACAGGGACAATTTGACTTCCTCTTTTCCTAATTGAATACCCTTTATTTCCTTCTCCTGCCTGATTGCCCTGGCCAGAAATTCCAACACTATACTGAATAGGAGTGGTGAGAGAGGGCATCCCTGTCTTGTGCCTGTTTTCAAAGAGAATGCTTCCAGTTTTTGCCCATTCAGTATGATATTGGCTGTGGGTTTCTCATAGATAGCTCTTATTATTTTGAGATATGTCCCATCAATACCTAATTTATTGAGAGTGTTTAGCATGAAGCTTTGTTGGATTTTGTCAAAGGCCTTTTCTGCATCCATTGAGATAATCATGTGGTTTTTGTCTTTGGTTCTGTTTATATGCTGGATTACCTTTATTGATTTACGTATGTGGAACCAGCCTTGCATCCCAGGGATGAAACCCCCTTGATCATGGTGGATAAGCTTTTTAATGTGCTGCTGGATTCGGTTTGCCAGTATTTTATTGAGGATTTTTGCATCAATGTTCATCAAGGATATTGGTTTAAAATTCTCTTTTTTGGTTGTGTCTCTGCCAGGCTTTGGTATCAGGATGATGCTGGCCTCATAAAATGAGTTAGGGAGGATTCCCTCTTTTTCTATTGATTGGAATAGTTTCAGAAGGAATGGCACCAGCTCCTCCTTGTACCTCTGGTAGAATTCGGGTGTGAATCCATCTGGTCCTGGACTTTTTTTGGTTGGTAAGCTATTGATAATTGCCTCAATTTCAGAGCCCGTTATTGGTCTATTCAGAGATTCAACTTCTTCCTGGTTTAGTCTTCGGAGGACGTATGTGTCGAGGAATTTATCCATTTCTTCTAGATTTTCTAGTTTATTTGCGTAGAGGTGCTTGTAATATTCTCTGATGATAGTTTGCATTTCTGTGGGATCAGTGGTGATATCCCCTTTATCATTTTTTATTGCATCTATTTGATTCTTCTCTCTTTTCTTCTTTATTAGTCTTGCTAGCAGTCTATCAATTTTGTTGATCTTTTCAAAAAACCAGCTCCTGGATTCATTAATTTTTTCAAGGGTTTTTTGTGTCTCATACTGCCCAAGGTAATTTATAGATTCAATGCAATCCCCATCAAGCTACCAATGACTTTCTTCACAGAATTGGAAAAAACTACTTTAAAGTTCATATGGAACCAAAACAGAGCCCGCATTGCCAAGTCAATCCAAAGCCAGAAAAACAAAGCGGGAGGCATCACGCTACCTGACTTCAAACTACACTACAAGGCTACGGTAACCAAAACAGCATGGTACTGGTACCAAAACAGAGATATAGACCAATGGAACAGAACAGAGCCCTCAGAAATAATGCCACATATCTACAACCATCTGATCTTTGACAAACCTGACAAAAACAAGCAATGGGGAAAGGATTCCCTATTTAATAAATGGTGCTGGGAAAACTGGATAGCCATATGTAGAAAGCTGAAACTGGATCCCTTCCTTACACCTTATACAAAAATTAATTCAAGATGGATTAAAGACTTACATGTTAGACCTAAAACCATAAAAACCCTAGAAGAAAACCTAGGCAATACCATTCAGGACATAGGCATGGGCAAGGACTTCATGTCTAAAACACCAAAAGCAATGGCAACAAAAGCCAAAATTGACAAATGGGATCTAATTAAACTAAAGAGCCTCTGCATAGCAAAAGAAACTACCATCAGAGTGAACAGGCAACCTACAGAATGGGAGAAAATTTTTGCAATCTACTCATCTGACAAAGGGCTAATATCCAGAATCTACGATGAACTCAAACAAATTTACAAGAAGAAAACAAACAACCCCATCAAAAAGTGGGCAAAGGATATGAACAGACACTTCTCAAAAGAAGACATTTATGCTGCCAAAAGACACATGAAAAAATGCTCATCATCACTGGCCATCAGAGAAATGCAAATCAAAACCACAATGAGATACCATCTCACACCAGTTAGAATGGCAATCATTAAAAAGTCAGGAAACAACAGATGCTGGAGAGGATGTGGAGAAATAGGAATACTTTTACACTGTTGGTGGGACTGTAAACTAGTTCAACCATTGTGGAAGTCAGTGTGGCGATTCCTCAGGGATCTAGAACTAGAAATACCATTTGACCCAGCCATCCCATTACTGGGTATATACCCAAAGGATTATAAATCATGCTGCTATAAAGAAACACATGCACATGTATGTTTATTGTGGCACTATTCACAATAGCAAAGTCTTGGAACCAAGCCAAATGTCCAACAATGATAGACTGGATTAAGAAAATGTGGCACATATACACCATGGAATACTATGCAGCCATAAAAAATGATGAGTTCATGCCCTTTGTAGGCACATGGATGAAACTGGAAACCATCATTCTCAGCAAACTATCGCAAGGACAAAAAACCAAACACTGCATGTTCTCACTCATAGGTGGAATTGAACAATGAGAACACATGGACACAGGAAGGGGAACATCACACACCAGGGACTGTTGTGGAGTGGGGGTAGGGGGGAGGGATAGCATTAGGAGATATACCTAATGCTAAATGACAAGTTAATGGATGCGGCACACTAACACGGCATATGTATACATATGTAACAAACCTTCACGTTGTGCACATGTACCCTAAAAGTATCATAATAATAAAATTAAAAAAAACAAGTAATTGATACCCCAAAAAAACCATACTAAGGATTAATGAAACAAAACATTGGTTTTCTTAAAGTTTAAACAAGAATGATAGATTGTTAGCTGGATTAACAAAGAAAAAAGAGAGAAATAATATCCAAATAAACACAATAAAAAATGACAAAGGTGACATTATAACTGATCCCACAGAAGTACAAAAGATCCTCACAGACTACTACAAACACCTCTATTCACACAAATTGATAATTCCTGGAAACACATAACCTTCCAAGATTGAATCAGGAAGAAATTGAAACCCTGAACTGACCAAAAATGAGTTTCAACATTGAATCGGTCATTTAAAAAACTACCAACCAAAAAAGCCCCTGACCAGATGAATTCACAGCTGAATTCTACCAGACATACAAACAAGAGTTGGTACCAACCCTTCTAAGACTATTTCAAAACATTGAGGAGAAGGGATTCCTTCCTAACTCATTCTACAAAACAAGTATTATCCTGATACCAAAATCAGGGAGAGATACAATGAAAAAAAGAAAACTATGGGTCAATGTCCCTGATTAATGCAGATACAAAAACTTGAACAAAATACTATCACATTGAATCCACCAGCACATCAAAAAGTTAACTCACCATGATCATGTAGGCTTCATTCCTGGGGTAAAAGTTTGGTTCAATATACACAAATCAATGAATGTGATTCACCACATAAACAAGATTTAAACAAAAACCATATTGTTATCTGAATAGATGAAGAAAAAGCTTTTGATAAAACTCAACTCGCCTTCATGACAAAAACCCTCAACAAACTGGTCAGTGAAGAAACATATCTCAAAATAGTAAGATCTGTCTATGACAACTCCACAGCCAACATCATACTGAATGAGCACAAGCTGAAAGCATTCCCTTTAAGTACTACAGCAAGACAAGGATGCCCACTCCCACCATTCCTATCTAGTACTATTCACATAGTACCAGAAGTCCTAGCAGAGCAGTCAGACAAGAGAAAGAAAAGGCATACAAATAGAAAAAAAAGTAAGTCAATGTATCTCTTTTCAGCAATGATACGATTCTATACCTAAAAGACCCTAAAGACTTTGCCAAAAGGCTCCTAAACCTGATAAATGACTTCAGTAAAGTTTCAGGATACAAAATCAACATATATAAATCAGTAGTATTTCTATACACCAATAACTTTCAAGCTGAGAGCCAAATCAAGAATGTAATCACACTACAATAGCCAAAGAAAATAAAATAAAATACCTAGGAATACATCTAATCAATGAGGTGAAAGATCTCTACCAGGAGAACTACAAAACACTGCCTAAAGAAATCACAGATGACACAAACAAATGGAAAAATATTCTGTGCTTATGGGTGGGAAGAACCAACATCATTAAAATATCTATACTACCCAAAGCAATCTCCAAATTAAATACTATTCTATCTTATTAGCAACATCACCTTTCATGGAATAAGAAAAACCTACTCTAAAATTAATATGGAAACAAAAAAGAACCTGAATAGCCACAGCAACCACAAACAAGAAGAATAAAGCCAGAGGTATCACATTACGAGAATTCAAAGTATACTACAAGGCTACAGTAACCAAAACAGCATGATATTGCTACAAAAATAGACACATAGACCAGTGGAACATAATACAGAAACCAGAAATAAAACAGCACACATACCTGCAACCAACTGACCTTCAACAAAGTTAACAAAAATAAGAAATAGGGAATGGACTCACTATTCAATAAGTGATGCTGGAAAACTGGCTAACCATATGCAGAAGAATGAGACTGGATCTCACTTATTACCATATACAAAAAAATTAACTCAAGATGGATTAAAGACTTACATGTAAGACCTCCAGCTATTAAAAAAAAATCTAGAAGAACACCCAGGAAATACCTTTCTGGATATTGGTCTTTGCAGAGAGTTCATGAGCAAGTGCTCAAAAGCAATCACAAAAAAAAATGAAAATTAATAAGTAGGACCTAATTAAACAAAAGAGCTCCTGCACAGCAAAAGAAACTGTCAACCAAATAAACAGACAACCTACAGAATGGGAGAAAATATTCTCAAACTATACATCTGACAAAGGTCTAATACTCAGAATCTGTAAGTAACTAAAATAAATCAATAAGCAAAAAAATAAATAACCTCATTAAAAAGTGGGCAAAGGACATGAATGGAAACTTCTCAAAAGAAGACACGCAAGTTGTTAACAAACATGAGAAAATGTTTGACATCACTAATATCAGAGAAATGCAAATAAAACCACAGTGAGATACCATCTCACACCAGTCGGAATGGCAACTATTAGAAAGTCAAAAAATAACAGATGTTGGTGACATTGTAGAGGAAAGAGAATCCTTATATACTGTTGGTGGGAATGCAAATTAGCTCAGTCCCTGTAGAAAGAAGTTTGGAGAGTTCTCAAACAACTGAAAATAGAACTATCATCTGATCCAGTCATCTCATTACTGGGTATGTACCCAAAGGAAAATAAATCATTCTACCAAAACGACACATACACTTGTATGTTCATCGCAGGACGATTTACAGCAGCAAAGACATGGAGTCAACCTAGGTGCCCATTAACAGTGGATTGGATAAAGAAAATGTGGTGCATGTACACCATGGACTACTACACAGCCATAAAAAAGAATGAAATCATGTCCTTTGCAGCAACATGAATGCAAATGGAGGCCATTATCCTAAGCAAATTAACACAGAAACTGAAAACCAAATATTGCATGTTCTCACTTATAAGTGGGAGTTAAATCTTAACATAAAGACAGTAATAATAGATGCTAGGGACTCCAAAAGGAGGGATGGAGGGAGAGGGCAAGGGCTTAAAAACTTCCTATCAGGTACTGTGTTCACTATCTGAGTGACAGGATCAATAGAAACCCAAACCTCAACATCATGCAATATACCCTTGTAACAAACCTGCATATGTGCCCACTGAGTCTATAATAAAAATGGAAATTAAAAAAAAAAGAGAATATAAATTAAAAGCTACCTTTTCCAGAACCTCTTGAGGTTGGGCTTTCCAAATATTGTTAAAGTTTCATTGATAAGATGCATCCATTTTATCTGAATTCATGAATGTCTTTAGTAGAGAGGGACAAGGGAATGCAAGGTATTTTATTTTACTGGTATAGATCTAATAGGCATAGCTTCACTCCGACCTGGTAGTAGCCATTTTCCCCCTGGATTTCAGCTAAGACAGTATATAACTACAGCAGTCTGGCAACAGCTTCCTGAGGCCCAGATTACAATGAGGACTACATGATGGTGGCCACACCATGCACCTCTTGCGTATAGCAAAATACAGCCAGCCTCCTGTGGCTGTCCACCTCTGTATTGTTTGCTGGGAATCAATCCTGAAGACTTAGTCTTCTGATCAACAATGATTTTGTAAACATCAAATTTCCTGTTAAATCACTTCCTCTGTAAAATGCTAACATAGTTTCTGTTATCTTCAACAGAAAATTAATATAAGGGGCCATGGCAGAAGCTGTAAATAAGTGACTAGGACCTCATGGCTACATATTAAATACTTAAGAATGTTTTTTCACTTTTATAAAATAATATGGTCCCTACTACTTTTTTGAAATCAAGTGTATTCTTGACCTGTCTTTTGTTTCTCCTCTTTAATAGACATATTTTAGAACTATTTCTCAACTATGGAGATAAGAAATACCATGCAAGCCTGGTACTAAATGACATCTGACAACTGGCCTCATTTTGGGTCATGTGCGGGGCATGGCATGTGTTGTGGAAACTCATAATGGGACTCTGAGATACTTCGACACTAGAGGATCAAGACAGCAGAAGAGGAAAAAGGCAAGCTGACCAGAAAGCCATGTCCCAGACTATATCACACCCAGCATACCCACCCTCCCAGTGCTGGTGTGCTTTCTTGTGCACAGTAGGCCCCTTTCATCTCATAAGTAAGTGTGGAATTCCATTGCATGCAGGATTCGTGAACTGATGCCCTGCAGGCTGACTAGACCCCTCAAAATCATTTGGTTTAGCCAAAATCATGTTTAAGAAACTTAAGCCCACATTGCAGAATGAAAGTATGTTTGAAAATATGGCTTTCAAGTTTTGCTTGAAAAATCTGGTCTGACAGCACTGGGAATACCTTCCCACATGGCAATGAGTAGCTGGAGCTAATCCACAGAGTTCCCACATGGCAATGAGTAGCTGGAGCTGAATCCATAGGAGTTCTCCTATGAGACTCATGTCATCTTTATCATACGCATCACACTGAGGTGTGATTATCTCTTGCTCACTGTTTTCCCCTGTAGAATGTGGAGAGAGCCTATTTCTTTTAAACCTGTACCCCTACCACCAAATTTTATGTAGTATATACCCTGTTAAAGTGTTAATGTTTATCAAGTGAATGAATAAATGTAGGTAGACAAGCTATTCACTAACAATTACATTAAAATAACATTTATTGAATTCCTACTCTGTACCAGTTACTGAGCTAGGAGCTTGTCATGCACCCTCTCATTCATGTAGCAAACACAACAGCAATGGTACAAAGTAGTCAAGAGAATCAAAGGAAAGAAAGTTGACACTGATGAGACTCCTTCATAAATAATGTGAGATTTCATCTGATGTTTGAAGGAAAAGTAACATTTTAATAGATGAGGTGAGCATGGAGCAGTGCACTGTTCTAAAGAGAAGAATATGACCCTGCTACAAGGCATGCCTGAAGAAGAACAGACCCAATTCTATAACAAAGAGTCTAAAGGAAATAAAACTGGAGAGGAATGTTAAGGACTTAATGTTGAAACAAAGTAAATGCCCAGCTCAAAAGTTCAAATCTGATCCTCTAGACTCTGGGTGTCATTTAAGCAGATTATAATGAAAGTTAGGGTAGAAAGATTTAGCTTATCATAACCTATAGAAAGATTTTAGATTGAAAACTTGTGACTTGTAGAAGCAGTTAGTTTTCACAAGTGCATATATATGTTAAAATTCATCAAGTTGTACACTTTAAATATGTGCAGTTTATTGTACCTCAATTATATTTCAATAAATATGAACAGGAAGCAGGTAGACTAATAGGACACATATAGGTTTGTATTAAAGGAGATTTATTATAGAAATTGGCTCATGAGATTATGGAGGCCAAGATGTCTCACGATCTGCCATCTGCAAGCCAGATGACCAAAAAAACCTGGATGGTATAATTCAATCAAAGTCCAAAGGCCTGAGAATTAGGAGGCCAAGAGTGTAAGTTTTGGTCTGGGTCCAAGAAACCAAGAGCACCAGTGTCCAAGGGTAAGAGAAGATGGATATCTTAGCTTAAGCAGAGAGAGCAAATTCACCTTTTTTCTACCTTTTTCCTCTATTCTGACCCTCAATGTATTGGATGATACCCACTGACATTGGGGAGGGCCATCTGCTTTACTCAGTTCTCCAGTTCAAATGCTAATCTCTTCCAGAAACCCTCTCACAACCACACGCAGAGATAATGTTGTACCAGTTATCTGGGCATTCCTTAGCCCAGTCAAGTGGACATATAAAATGAACCACAACAGGTAGCAATGTTGAGGTGGCAGAAATGAGCTAAAATTTGTTTAAAACCTACTGAGGGCAAGGCATGGTGTTAGGTGCTTTACTCAAATTATCTTAACTAGTCAGCATAGCAACCCTGAAAATGATACATTAGCATAGAAACTAATGTTCAAATACCAGCTCCAAATGTCATTTGGTTAGTAAGAGAGTGGTTAGATTTGAACACAAATCTATCTCGGAAGGAAGGAAGGGAGGGAAGGAGGGAGGGAGGGAGGCCATCAATTTCACAATGGAAGCTCATACATTAAAGCATACATTAGGCTAATTAGGAAGGAATTTAACCAATGGAAACTCATTTCTAGTAGTTATATGTAGTTAACAATGCCCCTGATATTAATCAGAATTAAAGACAGCTAAACTCCTAAGTGTGGATTTTTCTGATAAAAATGCCATTGCCCGTCCTAGAGTAGGATTCCTCTTTAGAAAACTGACAATACTGACAATGTAACTAAAATGCATGCATAATATCTCACTATCCATCTTAAGTATTTCAATACAATAAAAAGTGTTCAGTACAAATTTTGGCTTATTTAAAAATTATCATAATGGAAATGTGAAAAACATTGAGTAACCCTGAGTATCAACAGACCGTCATTGAATTGTAGCAGTTAATTTAAGCAGAAAGTCATCTTCATTACATAGCTATGAGACAAAACCTGGATTTGCTTTGCTGTCATTTTTGAATTTTAGTAAGCTTCTTCTTTCATTCTCTGTCATTTGCCAGCAAGTAGTTCAAAATGTTATAGTTTATTGAGGTGGATTTTTCTACAGATTATTGGCTTCTTGAGTTTTGTATTGAATATTTTTTTTTAATTTTCAACTTGGCACTATCCTCCTAGAATTTCTTTTCTACTGACATTCAACTTATTGGAGAAAATGAGAAATGTGCAATGGTGTTGAAAATACTTTTTAATTTAGCTGTTCTTATACTATGCTTAGTTAAGTGCTATGTGCTTCAAAATCATCATTTATTCCTCAATCATCTCTTTAAATCAGTATATTTTCCTTCCTATGATAGCGAAGATGATCATTGCTGTTAGCATCAAGGAAAATGAGGCATAGATGTATTAAGTGGCCCATTTTCTTCCCTGAAAAATGAAGAAATGAACACTGAGGTCTAATATGGAATGCCATGCCAGGCACACAGTTTTGTCAAATATTAGGACAAAGATTGAGAATGTTTTTTAAAAAAATAATTTTAGTACATAGCAGAATCTTCTTCCCTATTTCCCATGTTTAAGGGTCTATATCCTGTACTTAATAATAAATGTCTAGGAAGTATGTCGGAAAAGACTAAGATAATTAATCTCAAAAACTTCCACATCTAGTTCATGCAGCTATAACACTTATTCTTCATACATGAAAAAAAAAAGTGCAGGAGGCATGAGCTACAAAATAATATAGACAGTGACAAAATAGTAATCCTTATTTACAGCGGGTTTATTGTTATGCCACTCATTCAGAAAAATCTCTTATATCTTTCTTAAACACAAAGGAAATGAAAATGCAACAAATTTTCAAATTTTTACTTTATTTTCTTGAGACAATATTTTAGAAGCCCAAGGTCACCATAAGATTGCAATTAATTTGAATGTGTTCTTTTAAATTAGCATCTTTTCAAGAAAAAAGATATGTCCATTGCCATTGTCACTACTAGAAATGAGATATCAAGAGTGAAGATGAGTGGAGCAGGCTCCGACGAGAGTTGAATGATGGTCTAATCCTGAATCTGCTAAATAATTTATTGTGGTATGCCCTTATCACAGGCCGGTGTCAAAAATAACTTCCAGAAATGTGATGAGGATATTGGTCAGAATCTATTTAATTTCCCAAAGAAAGAACTCTTTCTGTCAATGTACAGTAATTTTATCCTCTCATAAAACTTTTACTGCAGTAAAAAGTATGTGTATCATTGCTAATGTTCAAATTTTGCCCAAGAGCTGACTAGATAATTCACATTTCATGCAATTGTTCCTATGTAGGATGTTCTGGGCAACTTGTCAGTGTTCTGTAAATTGATCTTCCCTACATTTTTATCACAGTAAAAATTATGTTCATTACAGCTAGTGTTTGCTACTTGACTTAGAAGCGTGTAAATATTTCCCAAATTATAAAATTATTCAATTTCAGATGTGACTTAGAAGTACATAAATATTTCCCAAATTATAAAATTTATTCAATTTCAGAAGGTTATTTGTAACTCAAATTTTGCAAGGTCAAAAAAATATGTAATTTATGTATTCAAGGTACCTAATGATTCTGGGGTACAGAGTGGAAATTAAGAGAAAGCGAATGGGAATGAACCCTCCAGAGATCTTGGGACACTCAGAGAATTTTAAGAGGAGCCTTGGGCCTGATCATCACTCTGTCTTCCAACAAGGAGAAGAAGGATTGTTTAGCAACATGAGAGAAACCATAGAATTCAGATGCTACCTTCAATTTAACTGCTCTTGACTCTAACTTGCAGGCAGGCACCATGTCCACAGTCCTGGAGTTCAATAATCAACAATGATTGGGAATAAAATGTCTTTTTCTGCTATGTATTCTTTACTTGCAATCTCACCTTAAGTCCTTGATTCATGCACTTGACAAATTTAGTTTTCTCTACATAATGCAGTATTATCTGCCTCTAAAAATAATAAACTCTATGAAATAATTTGTGCAAGATTTAATTTTTATACAAGAGTTTCATGGCCCAATGAGCATGCATTTAACCTTCAGAATAAGGATAGCTCAAAACACCCACATATAGTCTGAAACATGAGCACTTTTAGTTTTATATTTGCCTATGAAGACTTTTATAATTGTATTTGTTGAATTTTTCAAATCAGTCTATGCAAAACATCAAGAGAATAGCATTTTAAAAAACCGTGTTGATCATTTAAACTGTTGAACTTTAGCAACAACAGTATTATTATGCATAATGCTTAGCAATTAGCAAATATTTATCTAGAAAATATCTATTGATAGACCAACTCAAAGTATTAGAAATTATTTTTATTTGCCAGCTTAATCAAGAAAGATATAGTCAATAAACACATGTTCCCATCTCAATTGAGCGTTTTACTTAATTCTAAACAGTAAACTTACTCAGTCTCTTTTGCTAATGCAATTAATATTCATGCAAACGTGATGATAACTGAAGACCCTTTTTCCTCGTATTTTCAGATCTCTATGTTGGGGATATATGTCTATCAAAATTTTATACCACTTTGTCCTCACCCATGCAGAATAATAATCTAAACCAGTGTTGTTCACTCCCCATCTGGTATGAATCCATATATCAGGATTCATTTTAGGCTGTAATCCCTTTGAAGCAATACAGATACATATATATCTCCACCTACCTCTAAATGTTTAGAAAAGGAACTGAAGAGTGGATGCCTGTAATGTGAACAGAACTCTAGTGCCAATTTTAATAGCAATACTGACTGTAAGCCTGATATCAATACTTACTACATATCAGGCAGCTGTAAGCTAGGTGTATTGACTTACATGGAATATCTCATTCCTGTGGGAAACTGCCTTTATTATTTTCATTTTTCAGATGAGGAAACTAAAATGAAGAGAATCCAAGTTCCCATAATCAGAAGGATTGAGTCCATATCATCTGCATATAAAAGACATGTATTTTCTACTATAACTCCGACAAAAACTAATAATCTGTTATTTTTCATTTTCTACTACATAATACTTGAAATATCATCATTATCTTATTTTCATTTTAGCATGCTTCCTTAAACTCTTAGGTTTTTTTCTTTAAGTACTTTCTTTGTATCAAGGATTTTTAGTTTAAAATATTTCTACTGAAAAAAACTTCACACTTCACAATATTGTATTATATTCCATAAAATCTTACAGTCTTGTATTACATTTTTTGTCTTTTATTCAAGATTTTTTCTTCACTCCTCCTTGCTATCTGCTGATAGCTGTCAGTAAATGCTTTTTCTGGGACACTCTCTAAGGTTGAGGGTCCCTCTTGCCCTCCCTTCTTTCCATTTGATCCTCCTTTCAGAGCAACCAATTGCCACATGGAACTCAGAGCTGCAGTGTACTTGGTGGAGTTTGGGGAAAAAACAAAGCAAACAGGTTCTCCTTCTTACCATTCTGCACTGTTAGGGTTCACAAGCCTATTCAGGCATATTGAAAATATTTTTACTGATGGAGTCAAATTTAGAAATAATAACATAGAGACTTTAAAGTGAAAAGTTGAAATCAATTTGGACTTCTCTTGAGTCTCACAAGGTGAGGACTCAGAAGGAGGGGTCCCCAGTGGCTGAGGGCCAATGTGAGCTATAATCTCAATTATGAGCCCTTCTTTCCAGTCTCTCATATGAAAACTCTATACAAAAAGATGCTCCACATCATATGTCAATGGGAAAATGACAATGAAACAGCAATGAGGTACCACTACTTATCTATGAGAATGGCCAAAATCCAGCACACTGACACGAACAAATGTTTGGGACAATGTGGAGCAAGAAGAACTGTCATTCATTATTGGCGGGAAAGCAAAATGGTATAAATACTTTGGAAGACAATATGATGGTTTCTTGCAAAACTAAACATAATCTTACCATACAATCCAGCAATCGCACTCATGGGTACTTATCCAAATGAGATGAAAATTTATATTTATACAAAACCTGCACACAGATGTGTGCAGCCTTATTCACAATTACCAAAACATGGAAACAACACTCAGACAATAGAGCATTATTTAGCCCTAAAAGGAAAAGAGCTATTAAGCCATGAAAAGACACGGAGAACACTTAAATGCATACTAATAAGTGAAAGAAGCCAATCCAAAAAGTCTACATACTGTATTATTCCAACAATATGACATTCTGGAAAAGGCAAAACCATGGAAACAGTAAAAAGTTCAGTGGTTGCTAGGGGTTAGCAGGAAGGGAGGGACAAATAAATGGTGCACAGATGATTTTTAGGACAGTGAAACTATTCTGTATGACACTATAATGGTGGACCACATGCTACCGTACATTTATCCAAATCCACAGAATGCAAAACACCAAGAGTGAACCCTAATGTAAACTCTAGAATTTGGGTGATAATGAGTGTGACAATGTAGGTTCATCAGCTGTTAACAAATGTACCACTGTGGTGCAGGATGCTGATAATGGGGGAGGCTGTACTGGTGTGGAAGCAGAAGGTATGTAGGAACTCTCTGTACTTTCTGTTCAATTTTGCTATGAACCTAAAACTGCTCTTAAAAATAAAGTCTATTTAAAAGGAAAAAAAATGGAAAAATCCCAGCTTTTTACTCTGAGGTCATTTTCTTTGCAGTATTCCTACCAGTGGCAAATGAGTCTGAGAGGCTTTTTAGCAGAAAATCTATAAGGTAGGAATATTGTTCAAGGAAATTTTTCTTCTTTCCTCAGACGTATTCCAGTATAAGCCAATGTGGAGAGAAGATTTTTTTTTCCATTAGCAGATACTTAGCTGCCCTTGGAGTCAAAGGGTTTCCATCATTGTGTTTTTAAGGACTTCTGGTTTCTTTTCTTCTCTACTCCAGGGGCCAACTAGAGTCTCAAAATGCTCTGTTAGCCTTGAATGTTTGATCTTTGGATACCTGGAGGATATTGGTGTGAGTTCAATTCCTATCATTCTGAGATCTTCTTGTGATGAGAGTTAAGAATCAACAATATTTCCTGCCCTGTCTTATATATTTAAACTAGCTTTAATACTATCTTTCTTTCTAAAAGTTGCTAAATTGCTAAATTCTATTTGTCCCTAATTTATTAATAACTGCAATGACACTGAAAAACATCAGACACCCAATTTTTCAGTCACTTTCTTTACACTACAAGAAATGCTTTATCAAAAAAAATTAAATTTTGCTTAGAATACATGATAATATCAGTCTAAAAATGTACAATAGAACTGTATTAAGGATTGTGCAGCAGAATTTTTTTAAGTTGAATATAAGAGGTTCAAGGCCAAGCAAAGATCATCTCTTGTTTGATATCAATATCTACCACATTCTGGTCTTAATAAAAAGCAGGCTTCATTTACTAGAATTTGCTTGTTCAACAAAAGTATGATTATTAGCAGTGGCTGGTAATGGTGGCAATAAAGAAAGTTCAAAAACCCAACTCAGACAAAGAAGAAAAGCAAAAGCCAGAAGAAAATACACATTTGTTATATAGTTCACAGTTAGTGTCTAAATATAAAATGCCTCATGGGGACTGAACATGAGGTTGTTTGTTCATCTATATCAAATGATAGGAACTATTATATGTGTAAACATCAGTTATTCATTTATTCAGTTAATCAGTTACTCCACAACATTTGTTATAAGACATTTTCCTTGGTTGGATGGAATATAAAATATGTTTGCGACCCAGTTCCAGCCATCTTAGATGCTCTATTTGCTTTAGCCAGTAGGAAACATGAAGCAAATATACAAATAATTCAGTATAATAGTGTATGATTAGTCGAGTGCTTTAGCCTGAAGAACTGCTACTCACAGTGTGGTCTGCAGACCAAGACCAGTCTAGGAAAGTATTACTTACTTATGATGAGCAAGGTACAGAATTTGAGAAGTACTATATAGAAACTTTGATAGCATTTGGCATTGCTGCAACATTCCATATAATCAGTGGTCTTAAATGATGAATATAATAGTAAAAATTGGGGATTAATGTTTTATATGCCTTTTATTTTTGAGTACTTTATTGTAACTTACAGATATATCAGTTTGCTATGGGCTGGGGGGGAAACACTGACCTTTCACTGATATTTTTAAAAACACTATCTTTAAAAATCTTAAAAGTTCAAAGGTTAGGAAGAATAGCTCCATTCCAGGGTAAAAGTGAGAGCCTAATGAAGAAGCTGGCATTTTGAAGGGGTCTTACAGGATAACTAGGGTTTTGAGAGGTGGGGATCGAGTGACAAAACATATTTTAAAAAAGAAAAATCGCTTAAAGTGTGTTTGGAAAGCAATGTAACAATCACAAAGATAACTGGGCAGGTAGGTAAGAGTTTAAGGCGAGAATGCATAGAATTTCACGAAGGAATCTGAACTTATCCTTCAGATTTTTAACAAGTGAGTTATCTAGGTAGTAGAGTATGATGTAGGTGTATCTTTCAGTGGTGTGCAAAATCTGTTGGAAATGTTACTCCTAGAAACCAGAACCCTGTTAGAGAACTATTGTAGCAGCATGGAAGTAATTGAAGGGGGCTCCATTTGGCAGCTGGCAGAGAGAATATGGCAACAGTTAATAAATACAAAGCTTCAGGAATACCTAAACTGCCATTTTTACTTAGCAATTGAGCCATACAAAACATCCACTGCTGTTGCTTAGTTGAGCTAGAGACAGGGGTTAGAATTTTAATGAAGATCAGGTCTTCAGAAAAACAAGGACTAAAAGTGACCCTGAAGTCCCTATGTGGTGCACCAGGAAGGCTATCAAATTGTTTTAAAAACTAATCTGAAAGGAAGACAAGTCAGGCTCCATTTTAGACACAGTCAGACAAAGTCACACTGATTTGAAATACAGCATTAAGAGAAGAGATCAGGATGGAAATACCACCGGTCAACCATAGAAGTTTCAGTGTTCAGGCTAAGGGAAAGACCACAGGGGAAAGAAAAATGCTGAGGACAGAATGCCAGCTGGAGAGGCAAGAAGGCAAGAACTCATCAACGGGGAGTCTGAAAGGTAGAATGGGAAGGGAACCAGATCAGTAACCAGCATCAGCCACACTTTCTGGGGATTATGAGGCCTCTGGCAAGGAACCTTAGAAGGCCATTGGCAAGCTTTGAAGGAGTTGTTTTCTCAGTGTGGCAAGGGCTGAAACTAAGTTGGAGCAGTTTATGACTGAACAGTGAGAAATGATAGCCAGGGGTTAGGGGTCAATATTGTTGAAAGGTTATGGAAAATGTGATGGAGAAGGTGGCAGGACTGAGGGAAGGCTGGGGAGAAGGGTGGGAGTGGTGAAGCAAGTAAAATGAAGGTAACTGAGGGAACAGTGTTTGGAAGAAGCAAAAAGGCCAAGACTCAAGGGGACAAGTAGAACCTGGGAAGTGAGGATTAGGAATCTCTCTTCTGAGCAAGAAAGGTCAGATGAGACCAGTGACCTATAACTTGGAAATTCAGAGAAAAGCAGAAATATTGACAATTTTTGTTAAAAGAAAATTATTTAATAGACTATAGAGGTTAAGGCTCAATTCAGCTGACACCCATCAGGCTGCACCTGCTGCATATGCTAACAAGACACACCCTGATTGGAACTGGGTTAGTGCTTTATAGATAGGGAGGGGACAGTTGAGTAGCTGTCCCTTTTAGTATGAACATAAGCAGCAGTTTTTTTACTTTGACCAAAACTTACTTGAGTTTAAGAGAGCTATTTCCTGTTTTTGTGCTGCTTGCTCAAGCTCCCAGAAAACATGAGAATAGTGTTTTTTCAAAACTGTTCTTGCAAGCCTTGTGGTTTACAAGCTAGTCAATTTTCTGGAGCAGGAGAACCAGATTAAAAAAAAAAAAAGAAAGGCGGCACAGTTAAAAACCAAAGGAAAAAACTGAGGGACCCTCTGACACGTTTGTTTCAGTCCTTTTACATCTTTATTCCTTGTAATTCTTTCTTGTTCTCTCAGTTACCAACTTCATCCTTAATGATTAATGTAAATAAGATCAAGTCTACCTTTCTTTGAATAACCTCTCTCCTCACCTGTCACTTGTCTCTACTGGTAAGGCAGCGCACCACCTTGGAGGAGCTCTCCTGGAATTACAAAGCCCAGTCGATCTTTTTCTTTCTCTCTCTGCTCTCTCTTTTCAATAACAGCAATAACAAATCCCTAGCCTTGTCTAGCTTAGCTACACCCTTATAGACCTTTAGTGAGGAGAGCATAACAAAAAAAAAAAGAAAAAAAATTCATTATCCATTGCCTTTTGCCAAATAAAATGGAGCTTAAAGCCTGGCTTTGCCACTGACAGGTTGTATGACTTTGGACTAGTGAGTTAGTTTTTATGAGATTCAGCTCAGACTGAAGATTTCATCTTCAAAGTGAGGAAAATAATACCTCCTTTAAATATATTGCAAATATTAAATTAAGTGAAATAATACCAATAAATTCCTTGTTACATTGTAGGGAACACTGGAGAAATGATATCTACTATTATTAGTGTGGGCATATGGCTCATTTTATGCATGTCAGTCTCTGCCTGCTGCAGCCCTACCATATACAGCTATAATGTTCTCTGGACACAGGCATACGTCTGTCCAGCATTAAAATCAACTAGAGACAAGACCGGAAGGCTACCAGTACCCTTCTCTTTACTAGCAGGTGGAAACTGGAAAGAATTGACAACTATCTTCATGATATCTTACTACCTGGAGGTGAACAGTCCATAAGAGTTCACCTCTACTGTCTCTCGACATTCCTTTTCCCCAGGACATGGCTGCCTGATTCCCCTCCTATGCAGACACTGGTCTTCTTCCTCAAACACTTTCTGTTTAATGTGTTTCCCTTTTTCTAGATATGATCTCCTGCTTCCTCTCCCATATGGAAATATTTAACATTGACCACGATGCTGGTGCTGACCTTAGTAGTAGCCCCTCAAGGACAATAAACATTTATCAGGGATCTACTATGTGCTCAGAACATCCCTTCGTATTAGTACACCAAGGTTGCCTTTTGAAAAGTTAAGGCCACTCTTAGCCACTCACATACTGTCCTCTAGTCCCTTCCATTATTTCCTGCATTATTTAAACACACTTTTGTTTCCTTTGAAAGATTTTGCGGTGCATCTGCACACAGACTGATACATGCGCATCCTACAAAGCAGTATTCACAAATCAGGATAATCAGTGAGAAGTCCTGCCAATGGAGACACACATCAGCACTCCACTTACTTCCATCCCAGGGGCATCTAATCAGTATGAATAAGCCCAGATGTGCACAGAAGAAACCTTTTCTGTGAAATATATACTTGACTCAAGAGCAAGAATAGCCATACATAAGGTGCTACTGATGGGAAGGTTGAGACACTAAATCGTTGATGCCTTATGGTGTGAAAGCTCAGGTTCAGCAACGTGTGCCTAGTCTTACTCCCATCCCTTTCTCCCTTTCTTCTCCTGCTATTTACATGATTGAACCAGAGATTGCAAATTAAACTGGTGGCTCAGATGTTAACTCTAGCCAGCAGATGGCCAGAAGCGTATAATAACGTGTTTTGGATTAGTTACTAGAAAGAGATTAAACACGAAAATCTGAAATTCTAGAGTACCTCCTCAGTCATTCAACCTACCTAGCCCCAGGATGCATGGTACCTTGAAACCCTGGTGCCATATTAGTCTGTGTCTTTTTTCTTCTTTATTTTATTATTATTATACTTTAAGTTTTAGGGTACATGTGCACAGCAGGTTAGTTACATATGTATACATGTGCCATGCTGGTATGCTGCACCCATTAACTCATCATTTAGCATTAGGTATATCTCCTAATGTACTCCCTCCCCCGTCCCCCCTCCTCCCCACCCGACAACAGTCCCCGGAGTGTGATGTTCCCCTTCCTGTGTCCATGTGTTCTCATTGTTCAATTCCCATCTATGGGTGAGAACATGTGGTGTTTGGTTTTTTTGTCCTTGCAATAGTTTAATGAGAATGATGATTTCCAATTTCATCCATGTCCCTACAAAGGACATGAACTCATCATTTTTTATGGCTGCATAGTATTCCATGGTGTATATGTGCCACATTTTCTTAATCCAGTCTATCATTGTTGGACATTTGGGTTGGTTCCAAGTCTTTGCTATTGTGAATAGTGCCACAATAAACATACGTGTGCATGTGTCTTTATAGCAGCATGATTTATAGTCCTTTGGGTATATACCCAGTAATGGGATGGCTGGGTCAAATGGTATTTCTAGTTCTAGATCCCTGAGGAATCGCCACACTGACTTCCACAATGGTTGAACTAGTTTACAGTCCCACCAACAGTATAAAAGTGTTCCTATTTCTCCACATCCTCTCCAGCACCTGTTGTTTCCTGACTTTTTAATGATTGCCATTCTAACTGGTGGGAGATGGTATCTCATTGTGGCTTTGATTTGCATGTCTCTGATGGCCAGTGATGATGAGCATTTTTTCATGTGTCTTTTGGCTGCATAAATGTCTTCTTTTGAGAAGTGTCTGTTCATATCCTTTGCCCACTTTTTGATGGGGTTGTCTTTTTGTTGTAAATTTGTTTGAGTTCATTGTAGATTCTGGATATTAGCCCTTTGTCAGATGCCCTTTGTCAGGCTGCAAAAATTTTCTCCCATTTTGTAGGTTGCCTTTTCACTCTGATGGTACTTTCTTTTGCTGTGCAGAAGCTCTTTAGTTTAATTACAACCCATTTGTCAATTTTGGCTTTTGTTGCCATTGCTTTTGGTGTTTTAGACATGAAGTCCTTGGCTATGCCTATGTCCTGAATGGTAATGCCTTGGTTTTATTCTAGGGTTTTTATGGTTTTAGGTCTAACATTTAAGTCTTTAATCCATCTTGAATTAATTTTTGTATAAGGTGTAAGGAAGGGATCCAGTTTCAGCTTTCTACATAAGGCTATCCAGTTTTCCCAGCACCATTGATTAAATAGGGAATCCTTTCCCCATTGCTTGTTTTTCTCAGGTTTGTCAAAGATCAGATAGCTGTAGATATGCAGTGTTATTCCTGAGGGCTCTGTTCTGTTCCATTGATCTATATCTCTGTTTTGGTACCAGTACCATGCTGTTTTGGTTACTGTAGCCTTGTAGTATAGTTTGAAGTCAGGTAGTGTGATGCCTCCAGCTTTGTTCTTTTGGCTTAGGATTGACTTGGTGATGCGGGCTCTTTTTTGGTTCCATATGAACTTTAAAGTAGTTTCTCCAATTGTGTGAAGAAAGTCATTGGTAGCTTGATGGGGATGGCATTGAATCTATAAATTACCTTGGGCAGTATGGTCATTTTCACAATATTGACTCTTCCTACCCAAGAGCATGGAATGTTCTTCCATTTCTTTGTATCCTCTTTTATTTCATTGAGGAGTGGTTTGTAGTTCTCCTTGAAGAGGTCCTTCACATCCCTTCTAAGTTGGATTCCTAAGTATTTTATTCTCTTTGAAGCAATTGTGAATGGGAGTTCACTCATGATTTGGCTCTCTGTTTGTCTGTTATTGGTGTATAGGAATGCTTGTGATTTTTGTACATTGATTTTGTGTCCTGAGACTTTGCTGAAGTTGCTTATCAGCTTAAGGAGATTTTGGGCTGAGACAGTGGGGTTTTCTAGATATACAATCATGTCATCTGCAAACAGGGACAATTTGACTTCCTCTTTTCCTAATTGAATACCCTTTATTTCCTTCTCCTGCCTAATTGCCCTGGCCAGAACTTCCAACACTATGTTGAATAGGAGTGGTGAGAGAGGGCATCCCTGTCTTGTGCCAGTTTTCAAAGGGAATGCTTCCAGTTTTTGCCCATTCAGTATGATATTGGCTGTGGATTTGTCATAGATAGCTCTTATTATTTGGAGATACATCCCATCAATACCTAATTTATTGAGAGTGTTTAGCATGAAGAGTTGTTGAATTTTGTCAAAGGTCTTTTCTGCATCCATTAAGATAATCATGTGGTTTTTGTCTTTGGTTCTGTTTATATGCTGGATTACATTTATTGATTTGCATATATTGAACCAGCCTTGCATCCCAGGGATGAAGCCCACTTGATCATGGTGGATAAGCTTTTTGATGTGCTGCTGGATTCGGTTTGCCAGTATTTTATTGAGGATTTTTGCATCAATGTTCATCAAGGATATTGGGCTAAAATTCTCTTTTTTGGTTGTGTCTCTGCCAGGCTTTGGTATCAGGATGATGCTGGCCTCATAAAATGCGTTAGGGAGGATTCCCTCTTTTTCTATTGATTGGAATAGTTTCAGAAGGAATGGTACCAGTTCCTCCTTGTACCTCTGGTAGAATTTGGCTGTGAATCCATCTGGTCCTGGACTCTTTTTGGTTGGTAAGCTATTGATTATTGCCACAATTTCAGATCCTGTTATTGGTCTCTTCAGAGAGTCAACTTCTTCCTGGTTCAGTCTTGGGAGAGTGTATGTGTCCAGGAATTTATCCATTTCTTCTAGATTCTCTAGTTTATTTGCGTAGAGGTGCTTGTAATATTCTCTGATGGTAGTTTGCATTTCTGTGGGATCGGTGGTGATATCCCCTTTATCATTTTTTATTGCATCTGTTTGATTCTTCTCTCTTTTTTTCTTTATTAGTCTTGCTAGCGGTCCATCAATTTTGTTGATCCTTTCAAAAAACCAGCTCCTGGATTCATTAATTTTTTGAAGGGTTTTTTTTTTGTCTCTACTACTTCCTTCAGTTCTGCTCTGATTTTAGTTATTTCTTGCCTTCTGCTAGGTTTTGAATGTGTTTGCTCTTGCTTTTCTAGTCTGTGTCTTAAAGAGACCTACTCCTACTTATGAACCCTCTTTAGAAGCACTGGGACTAAAACAACAAAGCCCTTTCTAGCAACTCTTTTATTGGCAGAGCCTTCATCTGGCTGACAAATCATTGCAAAACATTTATTACGATTCCCCATTTTCCCCAAGTCCCATAGATCCACCTGGCCCTTTTACTCAGAGCATGACAAAGAGGGCAGGAAGCAGCCACTTGGGATTTTACAGGAAGCAAGCGTGAGAGACAGCCAGTTCTCCTTGCACCAAACTGCTTCATTAAACAATTCATTTAACGACTTCTGCCAAGACCCTGTTGCTGCTTAATTACTTGCTTGCTTTCTTCTTCTCTCTCAACTTTCTTTTTAATTGAAAATCCAAGCCAGCCTTGTCACAGCCTGGGAAGTCAGATTGCTTAGAGACATCTTCTGACTCGGTCTCATTAGGTGTCCAGCCGCTGAAAAATGTATAACGGTTGGAGAAAAGAATAAAGAAGCAAACAAATGCGAAAAAGTAGATTTACCAACGATGTCTAATGAAGAGAACAACACTTGGAAACCCAACTCGGTTTTCTATTTAACAAGCAAAGCAATAAACCACAGTCATACAAATGAACTGGGAGCCTAGGAATTATTTCTGGTAAACGAGGGTTGGACTACTTGGTAGAATCAGTTAACAGAGAAGAAAAACAGCAGGGTGTAGACACAGCCAGTAAATCATTGTTGTCTGAAGAGGGTGTGAGACCGAATGGGAATCTAAAATCTGTGCCATAGGAACAGGAAACAGGGACCCATCTGAGCAATTTAAATCAGAAATAGAAACTCAGTCTTATGGCAGTAGAAAGAAGCTTTGAATTATATTCAGACGTATGGACTTCAGGCTGGGTTCTCAAGATACCCAGTCAGTGAGAATGCCCAGAAGCAGCCAGAACAGATGCACTTTGGATCCCACAGCCCAATACCATGCTTCCCATATAGATTTCCAGAAAGTATTTTCTTCAAAATAAGCTGTTTACTCTAAAAACACTGAAAGAAACATAAAAACATTTAGAATCAAATGCAAACTGTTTGAATATAAATCATCTGGAATCAGGTGGCCTTGTTCTAGATCCCCAATATTTTTTATTTTATTTATTTATTTATTTATTTATTTATTTTGCATGAAGCCCTACATATTATCACCCAAGTGACTGCTGTTCTTTGGGGCTCAGTTTCTTTCATTGTAAAACAGAGCTCGGAGAAGTTGAAAGGTGTGCTGGAGTCATCTCTCCTGGAGGTCACACAAGGTGTCTGGTTAAGCAGAAGTTCTGTGCTTTTCTAGTATCTAGAGGTTATGAGGTTTTAGCTCTCAAATCAATTTTTTTTTAACAATGAACAAGAAGTGCAGATTGATGCAATTAACTCAAAGTCCTTCATTTCCGGGCTGAGAACTGTGGGATAAAGGATGGAAGCAATCGTGAGAGCAGCTTAGCGTTCCTGCTGTGGAAATGAATGATGTGGAGGCCATGGGAAGAGCTCCCTTTCCCACCTATGCAGTGCCATCACCCCACCCCCCAGACCCAACGTTAGTGCTAGGCAACCTGGTCAAAGCCCTGACCTTACCCCTCATAATAGTTTGATAAGAATGAATTTCAGAAGCAAACATGGTGCAATAAGTGCACATAATTTGAAAATGAAATTGAACAGAATGGCTTAGAATAAAAAGGAGCAATCTCATTCCCAGACCTTTCTTTGCTTTCCTAGTTTTTTTGGGCAATTTCCACCATAGTGCTAAAGAATACATTTTCTACTTCTTACTCCTGATATATCAGCTTTAGACCTTATTGACTCTCTGCCAAAAACAAAAACAAAAAAAAGATAGCATTTTGATGTATTCACACTATTCTCCAGCTCTCTGCTTTCCATTTTTAATAGTTTTATTCCAACTACTCCATGGGTTTACTTTGTTTGTAAATCTGTTTGTTTGTCTCTCTTTCTAATGTTAAATAAAATATTTTAATCTATACCCTACTACATCTGCTCTAGACACTATTTCTTGATTCCCTTCTATATGAGCTGTTGTGATTTATACTATTAAAGTAAAATAAAATGGAGGCCACAGTTTAGATATAACATATAACCAACCATGCAATAAAAACTTAAGTCATCCTGATTTCCCCAAAATGCTTGCTCTAATCATAAATGAAACTCCAAATATAAGCTTTAAGTTCTTGTCAGCAGGATTCAGGCAAGTTAAGCCATTCAGCTATAAACAGATCAGCCTAAACAGCTCTGCTTGCCCTAAAAAGAATGTTAATGTTAAACAATCATGAAAAAGGTTAAAATACTTTATCCTTTATACTTTATAAACTGTGCTGTAACTGCTGTAAGCAAAGCTTTTTCTACACTTGGTTTGAGGCCTCCCAGTTCTTGAATTGTTTTGTATGCACAATAAACTTCTACAATTTATCAACTTGACCTGATTTTGTTTTTGACAGTGACCTCATCTTCCCTTAAACTTTCCAACTTTTACCTTCCAACTTCTATCGCCTTATATATCAGCTTTAACACTGTCAAATATGGTAACAGAAACTGTGTTATAACCATAATTAAGACTTTTGAGCACTGCCCAGAGGTTGAGTCTCAGAATTAAAACTAATAAACAGTGTTTGCATTACTATGTCATGGTTGAACTGAGAAGCTAAAGCTATTGTTCCTTCACTCTGATATTATAATAATCCTTATACAACCAGAGGGAGAATAATCTTAGTGTGAAGGTTTAATGTATTCCTCTTTCTCCTACTCATCAATAGACAGAAAACCATGCCACAGCTTCATTTTCTTCACAGTCTGACTGTGACCTTCTGTTACTTTTCTGTGTGACTCCTGGGGCCTCTGTCTTTGAATTTCATTCTTTGGAAAAAAAGACACATCTTTCATGCAATAGCAGGAACACCTTCCTCATATTTGCCAATTGGATTTTTTATTTGGGATCCATTCCAATCTTTGAAGATAAGGTAGTCAAGTTTGTGTTTTTTCTTTTCCTTCTTTTTCTAAATTTGTATAAGTGTAAGGGGTAAAAATGCAGTTTTGTTACATGGATATACTGCATAGTGGTAAAGTCTGGGCTTTTAGCGTGGCCATCACCTAAATAATGTTTCCTATTCTAATTTAGAGGAGTGTTGGATAGCTGTATCTTGGGATCTTTGTTCATTGGATTTCTGGCTTAATTCCATAGTTTCTTGCTTCCCATGTCATTCTACATTTGGGGTGTTTCACCCTAGGCTTATTGAAGTACATCTTTATGTAACTTCCTTAAAAATGGTTCTGGGATGTAAATTCTCTGAGACTTTGTGGCATTTAAAAATGTCTCATACTTAATTGCCAGAACAGCTGGAAAGGGAATTTGAGATGCAGAATTATTCTTCCTGTAACTTCTAAATGCATAGTTCCATTATCTTATGACATCTGGAATTATTAAGAAAAAAATCTAAAACTTGTATGATCTTTTTTCTGAGTATAGCTTTGTAGGTATAAGCTTCCTCTTGTTTTAAGATCTACACAATTTTAGTAACCTCATGTATTAGTCCATTTTCATGCTGCTGATAAAGACATACACAAGACTGGGCAATTTACAAAAGAAAGAGGTTTAATTGGACTTATAGTTCCATGTGGCTGGAGAAGCCTCACAATCATGGCGGAAGGCAAGGAAGAGCAAGTCACATCTTACATGGATTGCAGCAGGCAAAGAGAGAGCTTGTGCAGGGGAATTCCTCTGTATAAAACCATCAGATCTTAGGAGACTTATTCACTATCATGAGAACATGGGAAAGGCTTGTCCCATGATTCAATTACTTTCCACTGGGTCCCTCCCACAACAGTGTGGGAACTCAAGATGAGATTTTTGTGGGGACACCGACAAACCATATCACCTCCCTATCTCAGTGAGAGCTTTCATTTTAGTGTCATGATTTTCCTTAGCTCCAAGCAGGTTATACCTATTTTTGCTTGGATAATTCCCTCCTTTTCAATTCCTCTTTCAGGAAATTCTATTAATCAAAAATTGAACCTCTGAGACTGACACTCCATAGCAGCAATGTCCAATAGAAATATAATATAAGCTATAAATGTGAGCTCCATATGTAACTAAATTTTCTTGTGGCCACATCAAAAAATATAAAAAGAAAGGGGTAAGAATAATTTTAATCAATTTCATGTAGCTTTTAAAATATATTAATATATTCAAAATATTATTTCCATATTTAATCAATAAAAATATTGAGATATTTTACATTCTTAATTTGTCTTGCCTTCAAAATCTGGGGTATACTTAATAATTACAGCACATTTTACTGCAGACTAACAACATTTCTGTTGTTCAATGGCCATATGTGGCTAATGGCTCCCATATTTGACAGTGCAGATCTATAGCATGTATGTCTTCTTCCATATTTCTTTGCCTTTTTTCTCTATGTTATGGCACAGTACCCAAAGTTTATCTTTAATTCTCATACTAAATGTTTTATTTCTGTAATCACTTGGAATTTCTCTGAATTTTGTTGTTCTCTTATTACTTTTAGTTGAAAAAAATGTAGGCCATTTAGTTCTTGTTTAATAAATTCAGTATCTTCTCACATCTGTGCACACTAATTGCTGATTTTATTATTTTGCTCTGCGTTAGGTTTCTTCTGTTCCAGTTATTTCTCTTCTGGCATCAGTTTTTATATTTGTTTACTTTGACCTTCATATGCCTGCTGATCTTTGTATGTTTATACTTAAAAGTAAGGGACTCAGTTGATTAGTCCAGGCAGGAGATGTGGGTTTCTTCTACTCAGCACATACACATGGGCAGGGAGTTGGCTGTTAGGCTAAGTAACAAGGGGGAAATCATGGCCATTGGCAATCTTCCCCACAAGGATTTCAGTTTGTTCAGGAATGGGTCCTACGATTTTTGGCTGGCACAAAATGGTAGACCACCTAACTCTGTATGCTACATATAGAGGATATGTGTTGAGGTCCAGAGAGGCACTAACTCACAGCGTTTTCAAATTTGCATTTTGAATTAACTCCACTCTATCCCCACTTCTCACTCTGCTCCTGCCCATTTTGAGCCCCAGAATCTTTTTCCACATGAATAGCTTTGACTCTATTTATCAATATGCTTTCTAGAAAAGCCTGAGATGGAGATTTTAATGCAAGTGACTTATTAGGAAAGTGGTCTCTGGAGAAAGAAAGTGAAGATGGCAGGATTAGGACAGGAGAAGGAGCTAAATAGGTTGTGGTCTCAGCTGAAGCCTGACTTCAAACCTGACACCCTGGGGAGCAGAGGAGCAGGAATGGCCTGGGGTAGTTGTGCCACTGTAACACATTCACAGCAACTGGGGGAAAGACATAGCTTTGGTTAAATTGATCTGGAAGGGTCACCAACAGCTTCCACTGCGTGAGATTATTTTTTTTAAGTACTTTTCTGTTATTTTAATGCATTTGAAGGAGCAAGGATAGATATATGTGTTCAGAGCGCCATCTTAAACCAATAATCCCTTGGTATCATTTTGGAAAGCTTTGTTCTTTCTGCTAAGAAAGAAAAGTACTTGAATAGTATATAGAAAACTGTTACTCAGAGAAACAGATGTAAATTTCAGAATATCCTAGTTCTTCTAGGAAAGAAAGTGATGGCAGTGAAGACTCAACAAACATGTGCTGCCTACTTACTGTAGTGTTTGTCCTTTTCCATTATGTGGTGCCATTTAATCCCACACTACTATCTTTATTCTTAACCAATGAACAAACTGAGACTGTATAATAGTGTCTTATTCAAGATTTTGTAGTGCATAGTAGAATTGAACTGGGGCCTAACTCTTTATTCTTTAACCTAATTGTGACCATACCATCAGTCTCTCTGAAATGAGCAACTGCACCTTGATTTAGTAGCAAGTAGAAATGGGCAACTGCACCTTGATTTAGTTGTGTATGCTGAAATTCTGATAGAGGAGATGCTGTCTCTCTCACCAAAGAAATGTACATCTCCATGATTCCCTCTTATTTCTAAAAAGAAACCATAGAATCTTCATCCCAGATCACATGCTATGCATTTACATATAGTCTTTCATTTAATTCCCTAAACAACCTTGTGAATTACTCATTTTTTTACAAAATTTCAAATTCTGAAAGATTAAATAGCATGCCTAAAGTAAAACAGGTAGCAAATTGTTGGAGCTAGAATTTAAATCCCAACCTTTGTAACTCCAAACTCATGCTTTTTATTAATGATCAAGTAGGCACTAATTTAAGAGTTTGAAAATGCCCGTTGGTGTTCATTGGATTTAATTAGTCCCAAACAACACCAAATTCAATCAGTTCGTTAAATTTATTTCAAGTTTTAAAATTGACAGAATATGCCAAATCACAACATTATTATTAAAAGCTAAACAGTTTAATCATTCATATTTGCCCTGAGGGTACTGTTCTTGACAGTTAGCTATAGTCTACTAGAAAAACAGAAACAAATTCAACCACTGTCATCCATGTTCCCGGAGATTGACAGTAGGGAGAACAGTAAGACTTTCTATTTATTTTATGCACCTATTTTCTTGCTAGCAAACACAATTTACCTACCCCCAGGTCATTTCTTTCAGTGCCAGGTAGATACAACTATGAAACACTCACATTGATCTCTCATCAACCCTGAAAACATGTCATCGGTAAATGTTAAGAGATTGTTTCTAATATCATCTTTGCTGGGGCATATTGCAGATAAAATACACTCTTTCAGGAATTCCGTCGGTAGATGGTTATTCAAACCCTCTTATTTGCAACTTGCTTCCAAATAAATTCAATGCAAATAATGAACAAACAAAAACTTTTATGCTTTTCCAGAGTTTGGACTTGAAATCTTGCAGAATTTATCAATAACCCTTTTCACAAGCCCATGAGGATTTAACCCTCCTTACATTCTTTATGATTAATACATTTACTGAAAGATTAGGTCTCTAGATGGTTTTTAAATCCCAGAGGAAGATAAGAAACTCATAAAATAATAATTCCTAGGTTTTAGTAAATCAAAACATTTATTCCAAGGAATGACAGCCAAATGATAAAATAATATCCCTTGGCAAATTTCAGTGAGGGCATCAGGAGAGGAGCAAAGAATGGTTCAAATATGTGGAGGTGCTAAGTTCAATTTCATCTAATTGAGAGATTACTACCTTTTTTTTTGAGATGGAGTCTCACTCTGTCCCCCTGGCTGCAGTGCAGTGCCACCGTGTCGGCTTACTGCAACCTCCGTCTCCTGGGTTCAAGCAATTCTCCTGCTTCAGCCTCCAACACACCTGGCTAATTTTTGTATTTTTCAGTAGAGACGAGGTTTCATCATGTTGGCCAGTCTGGTCTCAACCTTCTGACCTCAGGTGGTCCACCCGCCTCGGCTCCCCAAAGTACTGGGATTACAAGCGTGAGCCACGGCTCCCAGCCAAGATTACTACTTTTTGTACCCAGAGAGTCAGGAATTGTTGTGAGTTCCAGTTGAGTTCACTGAGCAGGAAAAACCATGAAAGGCAAATTATCACTAGAAAAGCCAGTGTAATCAGAGAGTATATTCTCCTATCACTTTCTGCAGGGACTTCTTCCACAGCTATGTTCAATTCATATATTAAAAGTAACACCTAGCTAACAATAAGAGAAGTGGTAAGTCTATTCAGGGATTCAACTTCTTCCTGGTTTAGTCTTGGGAGAGTGTATGTGTCCAGGAACTTAGCCATTTCTTCTAGATTTTCTAGTTTATTTGTGTAGAGGTGTTTATAGTATTCTCTGATGGTAGTTTGTATTTCTGTGGGATCGGTGGTGATAACCCCTTTATCATTTTTTATTGTGTCTATTTGATTCTTCTCTCTTTTCTTCTTTATTAGTCTTGCTAGCGGTCTATCAATTTTGTTGATCTTTGTAAACTAGTTCAGCCATTGTGGAAGACAGTGTGGTGATTCCTCAAGGATCTAGAACTAGAAATACCATTTGACCCAGCCATCCCATTACTGGGTATATACCCAAAGGATTATAAATCATGCTGCTATAAAGGCATATGCACACGTGTGTTTATTGCGGCACTATTCACAATAGCAAAGACTTGGAACCAACCCAAATGTCCATCAATGATAGACTGGATTAAGAAAATGTGGCACATATACACCATGGATTACCAGGCAGCCATAAAAAAGGATGAGTTCATGTCCTTTGTAGGGACATGGATGAAGCTGGAAACCATCATTCTCAGCAAACTATCGCAAGAACAAAAAACCAAACACCGCATGTTCTCACTCACAGGTGGGAATTGAACAATGAGAACACTTGGACACAGGAAGGTGAACATCACACACTGGGGCCTGTTGTGGGGTGGGGGGGGGGAGGGAAAGCATTAGGAGATATACCCAATGTAAATGACAAGTTAATAGGTGCAGCACACCAACATGGCACATGTATACAATGTAACAAACCTGCACGTTGTGCACATGTACCCTAGAATTTAAAGTATAATAAAAAAATTAAAAATAAAATAAAAAATAAAAGAGAAGTGATAACTAAAACTATCATAATTTCCTGTCTTTGTGTATGCAATACTGGGAATGAATGGACATAATTCCCCAACTCTATACTAAATACTAATAACTTACTGGCTTGTTCGAGGAAATACAAAACCTGGAGGTTAAGTCTGTTTGCCAATCATTCAGCTAACTCATCAAAACAGTTTCCTCATCAAGACTTACTTTCAACCTGTCTTCTCGCTATTACCATCAAACTAAAGCTATTATGTCATAAACTCTACTCAGCCCCAACCAGTTCTGACCCTGCAAGACCCACCTTAAAGTTATCCCTTTCAGACCTTGAAACCCTATAAATACCCTGCCCTAATTTCCCATGACTCTGTCAAGGCAGTATTTTTTCTTGGTGCAGTAAATCTAATAAATTCAGCTGTTTTTCCAGGGGTCAATAGTCAACAGTAGTTACAGCTCTGATTGGGAACCTACAGTGTGCCAGGTACCATGCTAGTTGGTTTGTATATGTTATTTCTAATCTTAGCAACAACTCCTCAAGTTAATGTTGTTTTTTATAATGCACAAAGAAGAAATTGAGACTCAGGAATGTTGGTAAGCTGCCCCAACTACACAAATAAGAAGTGGCAGATACAGAGGTCGCCTTGAGTCTGTCTGACTTCAAAAACTTTTGGTAGCTCACAAGTCATTTTAAAAATAAGCACAGAAAGTTACCTCCCCACCTCTTCCTTACCCTAAAATTAATTCCAATGATTAAAATGTAGAAAAATTAGTTATTTCATTCTTCCATTAGATTTTACTTACCTAAAATCATTTTATAATTTTAATGGTAACTGCAGATAATAATACATTTTGTCCCTATTACAATCTTATAAAATTTAGTACTTTTCAATTTCCCAGGAAAACAAAAACTTCAGAACTCTTCAACTCCATTTACTTCATTTTATGCATTATTACTATGGTCATGAATTTTAATTCTTTAAATAGTTTAAGCTACTTAAGATGTAATATTACTATTATATATAGTCAATATTTATTTTTATTGGCCCACAAATGTAATCTTTTCAGTCATCTTTCTTTCCTAAAATTGTGAGCTTCCATCTGGGATACTTTTCCTTCTGCTTGAAAAAAACCCTTCAGTGTTTTCTTCACTGTCAAGTGGATGATAACATATTCCCTTAGTTTTTGTGTTTGAACATTCCTTTATTATGCCTAAAATTTGAATAAAATTTTCATTTAGTGCAAAATTTAAGGTATCTATAGTCTTTCATCAATTTGAAGACATCATTTCATTGCCTTATTATTACTGTAGAGAAGTCAGCAGAAATCAAAGTTGGTCTTACTTTTTCTATTTTGAAAAATAAATCTGTCCTTTTCCTCTAGCTCTTTTAAATATTTTCTCTTTGTTTTCAATTTCCAGAAGTTTTACTATTACGTACCTAGCTTTTGTTTACTCTTTGTTTTGCTTTGGGTCCACTGTTATTGTGGCCTGATGTTTTTCTTTGTCTTGTGAAAATTCTGACCATTATCTCATTAGTTATTGCTTCTGATCTAGTCTCTCTTCATTCCTTTTGATATTCCAACTGTATATATCATAAGTCTCATATATACTTTTTAATACTTTACATCCTTTTGTTTCTTTGTTCTTTAACTTAAATATTTTCTTCTGACTTATCTCGGTTAACTAATTTTCTTGTTAGCTGTAAATCTTATATTAAAACCATTAATCAAGTTTGTAATCCCCATTATTGTATGTTTTTAGTTCTAGAATTTCCATTTGATTATTTTTATAGTTTCCAAATTTCTACTGATAAATATCATTTTCATTCTGTAAACATATTGCTTATAGTTATTTTAAAGTCCACACTTGTTAACTTTATCATGTAAATCACCTTCTAGTTCAGTTTCTGTTTCCTTTACATTTTCTCAATTTTGGGGGCAATTCTTCACTCCCTATATACCTCGTTTTATTGAGTTCTGGAATATATTAAACACGCGAAGAGAAAATGAGACACTATGAATAGTATCTTCCTCCAAAGAAGATTGCTTTTTTGTTTTGGCAGCTAGGGGAAAGATTGCCTTAATCTAATCAGTGATAGATTTGATTGGTTTCAGTCCTGTGTGGACTAGTCTGTGCCAGGCTTATGCTTATTTCTAGCATAGATCTGTTTGGAATCACAAGTAATTTTGGGGGGTGTTACTGGTGTCCTCTGTTCCTGATAGGCCCTGAAACTCTAGTTTTCATACCTTTATCTCTGAGAGACTTTCAAAAGCTCTGTTCACCTTACCTTTTTAGCACCCTTATTCAGTATGGACAATCATCTGGAGGGCTGCCATATACTGGGTTTATCTCTTTCCACTTTCGAAAATATTAGTTGCTCTCAGGCTGAGTGTTCCAAGACAACCTAGGTAAGCATTTCTGTAAAAAAAAAAAAAAAAAAAAAAAAAAAAAAAAAAAACCCTCCCATATTTCTCTTTTTAAAAAAAGTAAATTTATATGCTGCTGGTTTTTTTTTTTCATAAAATTAAGACCAGGCTTTTAGTAAGTAGAAAATTATTAAATATTTTTTAAATTAAAATTCTTAAAAGAGCAAAAAAAATGTCTAAAATAACATCTGTGGAAGGCTATATCTGTTTCCCAGGGTAAAACAGGAATCTACTAGCAAGTTTTCTTCACTTCCTAGTAATAATATACACCCAGGCATGACTGTGACAGCAATTTTTGTAGTCTATGCATCCAATCCAAATAGCACATTCACTGACGACAATCCCATCTTTCTCTACCTACTATCATGTCTTTAAAACTAGCAACCAAGATGAGTTACAGGTGCAACAATTAACTGCATCAGAGGACAGAAACTAGAGAATTTTTTTTTTTTTTTGCTGTTATTTTTCTGAACATCTAGCAAATGGACTGGCTTGCGATCACTTTTGTCCTCTCTCTTTTTTGTTATATTCCATCCCAGGGGAGATTGAGCAATTTATCTGACTGATAAATTTGAGAAGACTTGGCTGTGCATGCTCAGATTTGGTCTGTTCTTTGTCATCTGAAAGTCAGCCTTTTCATGAAAAAACACACATTTTTCTCTTGATCCTCCATGATGCAATTCACATGTAGAGGCAAGCCCTTGTCAACTGGTGCATGTGTCCAGGTGGACAAATCTGCTTAGTTCTGGGATTTAGTATTAAGAAGACCATTTGTTTTCCATACTATGCTATATTCTCCAACTTAAACTTTGTCAGAAGCAAATGTGACATTTCAGCCTTCATATCTCTCACTCTTATTATTCAACTTGTTCAGAACTTGTGTGGGGAAGATAGATGCTATTTATTGTATTTCCTTAAAAACCTTGATATTAAAGAGCACGATTTTACACATCTGTACTAAACCAGGTTATTATCGATGATTTTTAATTTTGCCAATTTTATAGCTGAATAATATCTAGTTATTATAATATACCACTCTTTCATTACTAGTGTTATCTCACATTGTTTTAAATATTTACTAAATACCTTTAACTACTGATATCATTTTTCCATGTCCTAGTGAGGTATGCACATTTTGTTATTGATTTATATGAGTTCTTTATAATTACAACTGCCAGTGCTGTCAGATATCACTGTTGTAATCCAGATTTCTAGATTAACTTGAGAAACATATTATCGATTTATTTTAACTCTTTCAAGGTTACTCACACATTTCAACCATGACTGAGGAATACTGCAACTAGCATTATATTCTTCCTTTTAAGATGATGCCCTGAGGCTCTATCCTACTCTTCCTTTTCCCTGGTATAAAAGATTGGGCCATGATTCGAAAAGCACTATTGACAATAAATACATTTACTGTAATTCCCAACTATTTTAAGGAAAAAGTACTGGCATGTAAATTTATCCAATCCACAAACCAAAAGCTTGCATGAGAAATGAGGTTTTAGTAATTAGTTTCACTTCTTTCTTTATTCACACTACCAAAGTAAATGGTACTTTTTTTTTTTTTTTTTGAGATGGAGTTTTGCTCTGTCACCCAGGCTGGAGTGCAGTGGTCTGATCTCGACTCACTGCACCCTCTGCCTCCCGAGTTCCAGCGATTCTCCTGCCTTAGCCTCCTGGGTAGCTGGGATTACAGGCACACACCACCATGCCCGCCTAATTTTTGTATTTTTAATAGAGACGGGGCTTCACCAGGGTGGCCAGGCTAGTCTCAATCTCTTGACCTCAGGTGATCTACCCGCCTCGGCCTCCCAAAGTGCTGGGATTACAGGCGTGAGCCACCGTGCCCAGCACTTTTTAAAAATATATAAAACCCAAACATGGAGCATGCTTAAATTGATCAAAATGACTGATGGAATGGGGAAAATTTTATTTCTAGCTTGTCTTGATTTTATTAAATTGTTAATGTAAATTTTACTGAAGTATAGCACATATACATATAAATGAACAAATCATAAGTGTAAAAATCAATGAATTTTCACAAAGTGAATAACCAGATCAAAAACAGAACATTTTTCTTCAGTATCAGAAGACCACATATGGCCCCTTTTAGGCATTCTCCCCAAAAGTAATCACAACCCTGATTCTTATTGCAATAGGTTAGGTTTGTCTGTTTTTAGACTTTATGTCAATAGAATCAGAGTACTTTTTTATCCATCTTCTTTCTCTCAATATATTGTTTCTTAGTTCGTCAATCTTACTAGCATTTCAATGTCAGCTGTGGACTAATTCAGTGTGCTCAAAGCTTCAGTCACATATCTATTTTTCATGATTTTTTGTCACATACATATACCACTGGTTCTTTTATTTGTTTAATATTTTTTCTTTGAAATGATCTATTTTGTTAAACATAACCTCATTCTAAACTCTGAAATATATGAATCATTGGGGTTTTATGTGCTAGTTTTTTAATTACATTTAAAATAAACACTATTAAATTTTTAAAAATTGTACATGGAACGTTTAAAACAATTTCATACCACACTTTGTACTGACTTTGTACCAAGAGGTCCAGTTGCAAAAGAGCTTTCAAAAATGACATTTTCTAGAAAATTTACTATATTCCAAGGCTGTTCTTTTGCCTGGCTCACAAACTCACAAGTTCAGATTTTGTCAGTATCCCCCAATTGTCCAAATCCTACAAAGCTTAATCAAACTGACAAATCTTATAAAACAACCTTAGGAAACCAGAGTACTAATTTGAGAAGATGCAGTGAAAACTTCAGCTGCCAGCCTGCCTAGGAACTCACATCAGTATGACCAGAATACTCCTTCCCTGTAGACTAAGCTCTCTCTAAAGCCAACAAATAACCTAAAAGTTATTCCTGAGTGTCAAATAAGAACATGATAGCTTAGTAATGATCTTTAAGCCTTGCTGCACCGGAAGCAGGCACTCTTGCCTCTCTGAGGTGAGTTGCAAATCACTTCTTTGGACTGTATAAAATTAATTCCATATCTACTCTCAGCTGCCAATAACACTTCTCTCATTTCCAAGTATAGGGGTGCAGTGCAGGGAGAAATGCCTTTTTGATTTCATTCATTTTTGGAAGGGAAACTAACATTCGAAGAAGTTAACTAATTATACTCTAATAAGTGGTGAAGCCATGGTTTTTTCGCAGCTCTATCTCATTCTGATATGAATAGTTTTTCCATTATATTAAATGACTTCACAAACTGGCTAGGCCATCTTCTCCAATCTACTTTGCTTCTCTGGAATTCAGTTTCCAGCTGTAAAGAAAAAATGTTAAGGTGTATTTTATTTTATTTTTTACTTGCAGTGGCACTTTCTAAGAGATATAAAAACTGAATCTTGAGAAGTTCCAGCTCCAGCATGGGCACAGGAGCCCATTACAGCCCATCTCTTCTGCTGCTTACAACTAAAACTTCTTAACAAAATACATAAAAAATACCTGAGCATGCTGAAAAATAAGGAAAATTTAGATGGATTAAGGGTGGCTGTCAACATTTGGAGAAGTGACTGATGAAATATGTTTCACTGTTTTCTTTTTTCTTTTATATAGCTTCACTCTATGAGTGAGTTCCCAGCACAGAGCTGTGAGATGGTAGCAGCAGCACAGGCAGCTAATAATTTAATTACAACAAACAAATAAACAAACTTGGTTCGGCCAGAGAAACAATGGAAAAGAGACTTTGATGGCTAGAGAATGAGTGGAGGGTCCCATAGTGAAGAAAGTCAGAAGGGATGTATGGCTCTTAATTGTATGAACAAACCTGCCAATGTCTTCAGGCTCATTCTTGAGCTGTGCATGGACAGATCAGATGCAAACTAGCATTAAAAAGCTTAAATATTGGGACTGGAATTTGAATCAGCTTCCACAAAAGACAAGTCAGAATTTCCAGTCTGAATCTCATCAGATTGATTGTCTGCTAAAGGAAAAACATCAACACTCCCCAGAATATAACGACCCAGAGTCTAAATATCATAACATTCAAAATGTTCAGGACACAATGAAAAATTACACAATATATTATGAAGCACCAAAAAGTGACTGATTTAAAAGAGAAAAGACAATAAACAGATGCCAGCCCCTAAAAAAAAGCCAGATGTTAAAATTATTAAAGCTACTATTATATCTATGCCCCATGACATAAACAAAAACACACAAAATAAATAGAAAAAAACAAGGGAAGATTTTAGACTGGAAAATGTAATCTCCGAAATTTGTCTTTAAATTGCTGATGAACTTAAGAATGAATAGAAAAAAGAGTCAGTGAACTTTAAGATCAATAAAATTATCCAATTTTAAAAGCAGAAAGTTAAAAAAAACAGAGCCTCAAAGACCAATGAGACAGTATTAAAACATCTAATATATGTATTTAGACTCTTAGGAGGAAAAACATTGTGGAAAAAAAATATTTGAAGAGACAGTGACCAAAAACTTGCCAAATTTAGTGAAAGATATAAATTTAGAGATTTGAAGCTCTGTGATCCTAACTGGGATAAACCAAACAAAACAACACACAGACAAATCATAGTCAAACTGTTGTAAAGCATAAAATAAATATTAAAAATATTTTGAAGACAGCTATAGGAAAATAATATATTACATACAGGAAAACAATTATTTACGTGGCTATGGATTTCTTATTAGAAAACATGGCGGCAAGATCACAGCAGAATATCTTCGAAATGCTGAAAGAAAGAACCTTCAATTTAGAAACCTATATCCAGTGAAAACGGCTTTCAGTAATGAAGTAAAAGATAATCTCAGATGAAAAAAAAAAAAAACCAAGGGAATTTGTTACCACCAGAGCTACTATAATTAAAATGCTAAAGAAAGTTCTTTAGGCTGAAAAGAAGTACTATCCAAGGGAAACTTCGGTCTTCAGGAATAAAGGAAAAGCAATGTAAATGACAAATATCTGGGTAAACATAAAAATATAAAACATATGAAACATATATAACTGTTGAAAATAAAAATTATGACATTATCTGATAGGGGTTTCAATGCATATGATAATAATAACAAAGATCAAGTTTGGATGGGTAAGTGAACCTATATGATTGTAATGTATCTACCTTTTACTTGAAGTTGTACAATACTAACTGTAAGTAGACCCTGAAGTGTTAGATACATACACAGTATCCCTTTAAAATACACATAGAACTAAAACAGAGATATAGACCAATGGAACAGAAAAGAGCCCTCAGAAATAATGCCGCATATCTACAACTATCTGATCTTTGACAAACCTGACAAAAACAAGAAATGGGGAAAGGATTCCCTATTTAATAAATGGTGCTGGGAAAACTGGCTAGCCGTAGGTAGAAAGCTGAAACTGAATGCCTTCCTTACACCTTATACAAAAATTAATTCAAGATGGATTAAAGACTTACATGTTAGACCTAAAACCATAAAAACCCTAGAAGAAAACCTAGGCAATACCATTCAGGACATAGGCATGGGCAAGGACCAAAAGCAATGGCAACAAAAGCCAAAATTGACAAATGGGATCTAATTAAACTAAAGAGCTTCTGCACAGCAAAACAAACTACCATCAGAGTGAACAGGCAACCTACAGAATGGGAGAAAATGTTTGCAACCAGTCATCTGACAAAGGGCTAATATCCAGAATCTACAATGAACTCAAACAAATTTACAAGAAAAAAACAAACAACCCCATCAAAAAGTAGGCAAAAGATATGAACAGACACTTCTCAAAAGAAGACATTTATGCTGCCAAAAGACACATGAAAAAATGCTCATCATCACTGGCCATCAGAGAAATGCAAATCAAAACCACAATGAGATAACATCTCACACCAGTTAGAATGGCAATCATTAAAAAGTCAGGAAACAACAGGTGCTGGAGAGGATGTGGAGAAATAGGAACACTTTTACACTGTTGGTAGGACTGTAAACTAGTTCAACCATTGTGGAAGGCAGTGTGGCGGTTCCTCAGGGATCTAGAACTAGAAATTCCATTTTACCCAGCCATCCCATTACTGGGTATGTACCCAAAGGATTATAAATCATGCTGCTATAAAGACACATGCACATATATGTTTATTGTGGCACTATTCACAATAGCAAAGACTTGGAACCAACCCAAATGTCCATCAATGATAGACTGGATTAAGAAAATGTGGCACATATACACCATGGAATACTATGCAGCCATAAAAAAGGATGAGTTCATGTCCTTTGTAGGGACATGGATGAAGCTGGAAACCATCATTCTCAGCAAACTATTGCAAGGACAAAAAACCAAACACTGCATGTTCTCACTCATAGATGGGAATTGAACAATGAGAACACTTGGACACAGGAAGGGGAACATCACACACTGGGGCCTGTTGTGGGGTGGGGGGAGCAGGGAGGGAAAGCATTAGGAGATCTACCTAATGCTAAATGACGATTTAATGGGTGCAGCACACCAACATGGCACATGTATACATATGTAACAAACCTGCACATTGTGCACATGTACCCTAAAACTTAAAGTATGATAATAATAAAAATTAAACAAATAAAATAAAATACACATAGAGGAGCCAAAAATGTAAAAATAAAATATAATACTAAAAATTATTCAAATAATCTCAATAAAGGTAAGAATGAGACAGAAGAACAAGAATCAATAGTAAAAGGAAAAAATAATAAAATAGTTCTAAATCCAACCACAATCATTTGATGAAATATAAGTTATGTAAGAACACCAATTAAAAAGCAGAAGTTATCAAATTGGATAAATAATGAATACCTAACTATGTACTGTCTACAAGAAATCAACTTTAAATAAGAAAATATAAATGGATTCAAAATAAAATATGAAAAAGGATATAGAATGCCCATACTAATCAAAAGGAAACTGGAGTGTCTTTTTAAAGATGAATTATGTGCTGTTTGGTTTTTCTGTCAGTGAATGTAACTGTTTAATAGAGGGAGAAATCTGTAAGCAAGTGTTGAGAACATTCTATTGAAAAATATCTTTTAGCTTTGTACATAGGGCTTATTGGGATGGGTTTACATGTACATGTTCAAAAGGTAAATCAAAGTACACTTCTTTAATGGTGCATTTTGTGCTGCTTTGCTTCAGTTAATGGAACTGTCTAAAAAACAGAGAACCCTACAATCCAATAATATAAAAATCCAGCTGTATAAAAACGTCAGACAAAATAAACTTCAGACCCCAAATAGACTTCAAAACAAGCAATATAATGAGGGATTAAAAATAATTAAACAAGAATAATTAAAAGACTAAATCTGTAAGCACTTTGGAAAATTTCAAAATATTGAATCAGAAACTGACAGAAGTAAAAGGTGAAATAGATCAGTCTATAATAATAGTTGGAGATTTCAACATTCTTCTCTCAGCAATCAATATAACTTGTAGACAGAAAATCAGTAAGGATAATAGAGGACTTGGGCAACATTAGCAACCAACTTAATTAGTATTTACGTAACATTCTACCCAAAAAATGCAGAATATACATTCTTTTCCAGTGTATATGAAGCAATAACCAAGATAGACAAAATTCTAGACCAGAATACAAACTATAACAAATATAAAAGAATTAAAATAAGACAAAGTATGCCTTCTAATCCTAACAGAATTAAAGTAGGAATCAACCACACAAATATATCAGGAAAATCCCAAATGTTTGGAAATTATATAATTCTAAATAACACATGGTATAAACTGGAATTCACATGGAAAATCAGAATATTTTTAATTGAAAGAAAATAAAAATACAACATATTAAATTTGTAGGGTATAGCTTTACAAAGTGCTTACATGAAAATTTAATTTTAAATTAATTATCAAACCAATAATTTAAATTCCCACCTTAGCAAACTAGCAGAAGGAGAGCAAATTAAACCCAGAGTAAACGGAAAAAAGAAATCATACAGATAAGAGTAAAATGCATAAAATTGAAAACAGAAAATCAATAGAATAAATCAATGAAAGCAAAATCTGCTTCTTTGGAAGGATAAATAAAATTTAATAGTCCTGTAAACATACTTACCAAGAAAAAATAAAAGAATTTAAGAGGATACATCACTACTGACCATACAAAAAGTAAAAAGTACTAACCCTGCAGACAGTAAAATGATAATAATGCAATATTACAAAATACTTTATGTCCATTAATTTAAAATTGGAAGTGAATAACCTGAATATTCCTAAATATTTTAAAGAAATTGAATTCATAGTTAAAACCATTCTAAAAAATTCCTTCTGTAAATTCTACCATATGTTGGAAAAAAGTACCAATTCTATACAAATCCCTCCTAAAAGTAGAAACAAACAATTCTCACCTCCTTTTTATAATACTCTGATCATCTTGGTACCAAATCTTGACAAGGTAATTATAAAATAACAGAAAAAACTTACAGATGTTGTAAATCAAATCCAGCAATATGAAAAAAATCAACTGGTATTTATCTCATGAATGCAAGGCTTTTAAAATATTTTAAAAGCAGTAAGAATGAATTAAGTCTTTAAAAAGAAAGCCTGACAGTATTCAGTGCTGGTAGGAAGGCAAACTAACCAGAACTTGCTTACATTACTGAAAAGAATACAAGATGGTACTACTATTTTGGAAAATAGTTTCACAGTTTCTTATAAAGTTACATATACTCTTGTGTAACCCAGCAAATCTATTTCTTAGTACTCAAAAGATATAAAAAGTTATGTTCACATAAAAAATGTAGAATTTTGTAGCAACTTTATTAATAATCTATGAAAACTGAATACAATTCAAACGTCCACCAACTTGTGAATACATAAGCTAACTATGATTCATTCATACAAAAGAATACCAGTTAGCAATAAAAAAAAACTACTTATACATGGAGCAATATGAATGAATACCAGATACATTATTCCAACTGATAAAAGCCAATTTTTAAAAAACATATTGCATGGTTCCATTTGTATAAAATTCTTAAAAAGTCAATATTGCAGGAATAGAAAATAGATCAGTGGTTGACAAAGTCCAGGGTGAGGGCAGGAGTTGATTACAAAGAGATTTAAAGGAATTGGGGAGATAGGTGGGCAGTGGAACTGTTCATTTTGATTATGGCAGTTGCTGTAAATTTTTGTGAAAACTCATAGAAATATACTCCAAAAAGAATGGATTATTATGTGTAAATTATAGCTAAATTTAAAAAAATATATAGTAAATGAGTTATAATGAGTGGGTTTATATTTGAATGTGCTCTTATCAGAAAAAGACAGTCATAAAATCAAGTATTAGAATTTAAGTGTTGCTCACGACAGGAGTTTTAACCAATGAACTTTGACTATTCTTGACACAAAGTATTCAAATTTTCTACCTTGGTCATTCAACTCTGGTATGAGGCCAGGCATGACTCTGTGATGCTGTTGTCAGCTTATGACTTTTTTCTGCAATATTTATTTCATTTTCTGGACAAAACAAAATAGGTGACTAGAAGGAGATAAAAAATAAAAGAAGAAGCAAAGTAAAGGAGAAAAAGGGAAAGAAGTGAATACTATGTATAACTTTATACAAATAAATTTGACAGCTCTGATGAAATGGGCATATTTCTTGAAAATTACAAATTATTACAACAAGAGAACCCAAAAAATAAAGATTTTGTATTCACTGAAGAAACTGAACTTTTTACTGAAAACATTTCTCTCTACCATTCTCATACACATGCAAACCAAAAACCAACTTCCAGGCCCAAATGGAATAGAGAAGCGTTTGGCATAACCTCATCGCCAAAACCTGACAGACTTCACTAATAAAGTAATATGAAGATAAGCATCCCTCATAAACATGCACACAAAAAATTTTTAACAAAATAGTAGTATACATTGAACCCAACAAGGTATAAAACTTATTACACATTATGACCAAGTAGGGTTTGCCCCAGGAATGCAAGGTTGGTTTAACAAATGAAAATCAAGTAATGTAATTCACCATGGTAATATAATAAAAGAGAAAAACTGATCTTTTAATGGATGTAGGAAAGAGGTTTGAAGAAATTCAATATCCATAATTAAAGCAGCAGGCATAAAATATGATAAGATGCTGTTCTGAAAATACACAAAGAACCATAAAAATATATGTTCCTATTATTACTGAGTATAGGCTGAGTATGTTGAGTAGGAATCCTTTAGTCAATATCAACCTTTAGCTGGAGCAGAATTTTCACTGGTTCTGTGGAAATTTGAATTTAATTTGAGGAAATTTGTCTTTGTGTGTTTGTTAGTTTTTTATAGATAGATAATGACAGAGAACAGACACTGTGCTTGAAGAAAAACATTCTAGCAGCAAAGATATCATTTAATACCCAAATTACCTAAGATTATTCTCTCTCAAGAAAAAAAAACATTAGTAATAACTACTTCATGGGAAATAAATATACCACGAATATGGAAAATTATTTTGTCTTAAACTGTTTTGGCCTATTTAACCAAACCAGGAAAATACAAGAAAAATAAAACATTTTTTTCTACGAAATAGACAAAGATTTTTAAATGTCAATAACAGCACTGGTAAAGGTATAGAGACAATTTTTCTCTTGCACAGTGACAATGAGAGTGCAAATTAGCAAAACCTCCCTGGGTTGGGGAGAGATTGGCAAAATATAGTCATAGCTTTAAATATTAATTGTATGTCCTCTGTTGCAGAAATTCTATTTTTAGACATTTATCCCAATGATCAGCAATATGTCCTTTTATTTAAAATGTACTTGTGTTGTTTATTTAATGTGAAAAACTAGAAATGTTTTGAGTAGGTCAAAGAATGGCATTATTGCAGGGGAGGGGCCAAGAGGGCAGAATTAAAACAGCTCCAATCTGCAGCTCCCAACGAGACCAATGCAGAAGGCAAATGACTTCTGCATTTCCAACTGAGGTACTCAGTTCATCTCACTGAGACTGGTTAGGCAGTGGGTCCAATGCATGGAGGGTGAACAGAAGCAGGGTGGGGCATTGCCTCACCCAGGAAGTGCAAGGAGCAGGAGACCTCCCTCCCCCAGCCAAGAGAAGCCATGAGGTACTGTGCTATCTGGCTGGTTTACTACACTTTTCCCACAGTTGTTGCAATCTGCAGATCAGGAGATTCCCTTGTGTGCCTACACCACAAGGGCCCTGGGTTTTAAGCACCACACTGGGAGCCTGTTTGGGCAGCCACCAAGCTAGCTACAGGAATTTTTTTTCATACCCCAGTGGCACCTGGAACCGCAGTGAGACAGAACCATTCACTCCCTTGGAAAGGGGGCTGAAGCCAGGAAGCCAAGTAATCTGGCTCAGCAGGTCCCACTCCCGTGGAGCCCAGCAAGCTAAGAACAACTGGCTTGAAATTCTCACTGCCAGCACAGCAGTCTGAAGTTGACCTGGGATGATTGAGCTTGGTGGAGGGAGGGGTGTCTGCCATTACTGAGGCTTTAATAGGGGCATTTCCCCAACAGTGCTAAGGAGACTGGGAGGTCTGGGCTGAGCATGGCAAGGCGGCTGTGGCCAGACTGCTTCTCTAGATTTCCCCTCTCTAGGCAGGCCATCTCTGAAGGAAAGGTAACAGCCCCAGACAGGGGCATACAGACAAAACCCCCATCTCCCTGGGACAGAGCATCAGGGGAAGGGGTGGATGTTTACACAGCTTCAGTGGATTCTCATTCCTGCCTTCCAGCTCTGAGAGATCCTGACAAGAGCGATTCAACCAGCACAGCCACCAGCTCTGCTAAGGGACAGACTGCCTCCTCAAGTGGGTCACTGACCCCTGTGGCTCCTGAATGGAAGAGACCTCCCAACAGGGGTCAACAGACACCTCATACAGGAGAGCTCCAGCTGGCATCAGGAAGGAGGAAGCCGCAATCCTTGCTGTGCTGCAGCCTCTGCTTGTGATACCCAGTCGAACAGGGTCTAGACTGGACCTCCAGCCAACTGCAGCAGATGTGCAGGAGAGAGGCCTGACTGTTAGAAGAAAAACTAACAAACAGAAAGCAACAATATCAACGTCAACATAGAGGACTCCCACACAAAAACCCCATCCAAAGGTCAATCAGCCTCAAAGATCAAAGGTAGATAAATTCACAAAGATGAGGAAAAAACAGCACAAAAAGCTAAAAATTCTAAAACCCAGAATGCCTCTTCTCCTTCAATTGATTGCAACTCCTCTCCAGCAAGGGTACAAAATTGGATAGAAGGTGGGTAATAACAAACTCCTCTGAGCTAAAGGAATATAGGAATATATTCTAACCCAATGCAAGGAAGCTCAGAACCTTGATAAAAAGGGGGCCAGTTCCAGTGGCTGACACCTATAATCCCAGCACTTTGGGAGGCCAAGGCAGGCAGATCACGAAGTCAAGAGATTGAGACCATCATGGGCAACATGGTGAAACACTGTCTCTACTGAAAATACAAAAATTAGCTGAATGTGGTGGCGTGCACCTACAGTCCCAGCTACTCGGGAAGCTAAGGCAGAAGAATCACTTGAACCCAGGAGGCAGAGATTGCAGTGAGCCGAAATCATGCAACTGCACTCTAGCCTGGCAACAGAGCAAGACTCCATCTTAAAAAAAAAAAAAAAAAAAAAAAGTTTACAGGAACTGCTAACTGCTAACTAGAATAACCAGTTTAGAAAGGAACATAAATGACCTGATGGAGCTGAAAAACACAACACAAGAATTTCATGAACCATACACAAGTATCAATAGCTGAATCAATCAAGCAGAAGAAAGGATATCAGAGATTGAAGATCAACTTAATGAAATAAGGCATGAAGACAAGTTTAGAGAAAAAAAGAATGAAAAGGAATGGACAAAGCCTCCAAGATATGTGGGACTATGTGAAAAGACTAAACCTACAATTGATTGGTGTGCCTGAACGTGATGGGGGGAATGGAACCAAGTTGGAAGAAACATTTCAGGATATTATCCAGGAGAACTTCCCCAACCTAGCAAACCAGGCCAACATTCAAATTCATGAAATAAAGAGAACCCACTAAGATACTCCTTAAGAACAAGAATCCCAAGACACATAATTTTCAGACTCACCAAGGTTGAAATGAAGGAAAAATTGTTAAGGGCAGCCAGAGAGAAAGGGCAGGTTACCTACAAAGGGAAGTCCATCAGACTAACAGTGGATCTCTCTGCAGAAACCCTACAAGCCAGAAGAGAGTGGGGGCCAATATTCAACATTCTTAAAGAAAGGAAATTTCAACCCAGAATTTCATATCCAGCCAAACTAAGCTTTATAAGTGAAGGAGAAATAATATCCTTTACAGATAATCAAATGCTGAGGGATTCTGTCACCACCAGGCCTGCCTTACAAGAGCTCCTGAAGGACGCACTAAATATAGAAAGAAAAAACCAGTACCAGCCACTACAAAAACACACCAAAATATAAAGACCAATGACACTACGAAGAAACTGCATCAAATAATGTGCAAAATAACCAGTTAGCATCCTGATGACAGAATCAAATTCACACATAACTGTATTAACCTTAAAGGTACATGGGCTAAATCCCTCAATTAAAGGACACAGACTGCCAAATTGGATAAAGAGTCAAGACCCATCAGTGTGCTGTATTCAGGAGACCCGTCTCACATGCAAAGACACACATAGGCTCAAAATAAAGGGATGGAGGAATATTTACCAAGCAAATGAAAAGCAACAAAAAAAAATCAGGGTTTGCAGTGCTAGTCTCTGATAAAACAGATTTTAAACCAACAAAGATCAAAAAGGAGAAAGAATGGCATCCCATAATGGTAAAGGGATGAATGCAACAAGAAGAACCAATTATCCTAAATATATATGCACCTAACACAGGAGCACCCAGATTCATAAAACAAGTTCTTAGTGACCTACAATGAAACTTAGACTCCCACACAATAATAGTGGAAGACTTTAACACCCCACTGTCAATATTAGATCAACGAAACAGAAAATTAATGAGGATATTTAGGACTTGAATTCAGCTCTGGACCAAAAGGACGTAATATACATCTGCAGAACTCTCCACCCCAAATTAACAGCCTATACATTCTTCATAGCACCACATCACACTTATTCTAAAATTGACCACATAATTGGAAGTAAAACACTCCTCAGCAAACGCAAAAGAACGGAAATCATAACAAACAGTCTCTCAGACCACAATGCAATCAAATTAGAACTCAGGATTAAGAAACTCACTCAAAACCACAAAACCACATGAAAACTGAACAATGTGCTCCTGAATGACTACTGGGTAAATAATGAAATTAAAGCAGAAATAAAGAAGTTCTTTGAAACTAATGAGAAAAAAGACACAACGTACCAGAATCTCTGGCACACATTTAAAGCAGTGTGTAGAGGGAAATTTATAGCACTACATGCCCACAACAGAAAGCAGGAAAAATCTAAAATTGACGCCCTAACATCACAATTAAAAAAAACTAGAGAAGCAAGAGCAAACAAATTCAAAAGCTAGCAGACAACAAGAAATAATGAAGAGCAGAACAGAAATGAAGGAGGTATAGACACAAAACACCCTTCAAAAAATCAATGAATCCAGGAGCTTGGTTTTTGAAAAGATTAACAAAATAGATGAAAAACTAGCTAGACTAATAAAAAAGAAAAGAGAGATGAATCAAATACACACTATAAAAAATAATAGGGGGATATCACCACTGATCCCACAGAAATACAAACTATCATCAGAGAATACTACAGACACCTCTACACAAATAAACTAGAAAATCTAGAAGAACTGGATAAATTCCGGGACACATATACCCTCCTAGATTAAAATAGGATGAAGTCAAGTCCCTGAAGAGACCGATATCAACTTCAGAAATGGATGCAATAATTAATAGCCGACCAACCACAAAAAGTGCAGGACCAGACAGATTCACAGCCAAATTCTACCAGAGGTACAAAGAGGAGTGGGTACCATTCCTTCTAAAATTACTCCAAACAATAGAAAAAGAGTGACTCCTCCATAACTCATTTTATGAGACCAGCATCATCCTGATACCAAAACCTTGCAGAGATACAATAAAAAAAGAAAATTTCAGACCAATATCCCTGATGAACTTTAATGTGAATATCCTCAATAAAATACTCAGAAACCAAATCCAGCAGCACATCAAAAAGCTTATCCACCACGATCAAGTTGGATTCATCCCTGGGGTGCAAGGCTGCTTCAAATGTAACACATCACATAAACAGAACCAACAACAAAAACCATATGATTAGCTCAACAGATGCAGAAAAGGCCTTCAATAAAATTAAACATCACTTCATGCTAAAAACTGTCTATAAACTAAGTATTGATGGAACATATCTCAAAATAATAAGAGCTATTTATGACAAACCCATAGCCAATATCATACAGAATGGGCAAAAACTGGAAGCATTCCCTTGGAAAACTGGCACAAGACAAGGATGCCCTCTCTCACCACTCCTATTCAACACAGTACTGGAAGTTCTGGCCAGGGCAACCAGGCAAGAGAAAAAAATAAAGACTATTGGAATAGAAAGAGAGGAAATCAAATTGTCTCTGTTTGCAGATGACATGAATGTATATTTAGAAAACCCCATTGTCTTAGCCCAAAATCTCCTAAAGCTGATAAGGAACTTCAGCAAAGTCTCAGGATACAAAATCAATGTGCAAAAATCATAAGCATTCCTATACACCAACAATAGACAAGCAGAGAGCCAAATCATGAGTGAACTCCCATTCACAATTGCTACAAAGAGAATAAAATACCTAGGAATACAACTTACAGGGGATGTGAAGGAACTCTTCAAGGAGAACTACAAACCACTACTCAAGGAAATAAGAGAGGATGCAAACAAATGGAAAAACATTCCATGCTCATGGATAGGAAGAATCAATATTGTGAAAATGGCCATACTAACCAAAGTAATTTATAGATTCAATGCTATTCCCATCAAGCTCCCATTAACTTTCTTTACAGAATTAGAAAAACTACTTTAAATTTCATATAGAACCAAAAAAGAGTCCGTATAGCCAAGACATCCTAAGCAACAGAACAAAGCTGGAGACATCACACTACCTGACTTCAAACTATACTACAAGTCTACAGTAACCAAAACAGCATGGTACTGGTACCAAAACAGATATATAGACCAATGGAACAGGACAGAGGCCTCAGAAATAACACCACACCTCTACAACCATCTGATCTTTGACAAATCTGACAGAAACAAGCAATGGGAAAAGGATTCCCTATTTAATAAATGGCGTTGGATAAACTGGCTAGCCAATGCAGAAAGCAGAAACTGGACCCCTTCCTTACACCTTATACAAAAATTAACTCAAGATAGATTAAAGATTTAAATGTAAAACCCAGAACAATAAAAACCCCAGAAGAAAACGTAGGCAATACCATTCAGGACATAGGCATGGGCAAAGACTTCATGACTAAAACACCAAAAGTAATTTTAAGAAAAGCCAAAATTGACAAATGAGATCTAATCAAACTATAGAGCTTCTGCACATCAAAAGAAACTATCATCACAGTGAACAAGCAACCTACAGAATGGGAGAAAATTTTTGCAAGCTACCCAACTGGCAAAGGTCTCATATTCAGAATCTATAAGGAACTTAAAGTTACAAACAAACAAAAACCCATCCAAAAGTGGGCGAAGGATAAAAACAGACACTTTTCAAAGAAGACATTTATGCAGCCAACAAACACATGGAAAAAAGCTCATTGTCACTGGTCATTAGAGAAATGCAAATCAAAACTACAATGAGATACCATTTCATTCCAGTTAGAATGGTGGTCATTAGAAAGTCAGGAAACAACAGATGGTGACAAGGCAGTGGAGAAATAGGAACGCTTTTACACTGTTGGTGGGAGTGTAAATTAGTCCAACCATTGTGGAAGACAGTGTGGCGATCCTCAAGGATCTAGAATCAGAAATACCATTTGACCCAGCAATCCCATTACTGGGTATATACCCAAAGAATTATAAATCATTCTGCTGTAAAGACATGCACACGCATGTTTTTTTGCAGCACTATTCACAATAGCAAAGACTTGGAACCAACCCAAATGCCCATCAATGATAAACTGGATAAGAAAAATGTGGCCCATATACACCATGGAATACTATGTAGCCATAAGAAAGAATGAGTTCATGTCCTTTGCAGGGACATGGATGAAGCTGGAAGCCATCATTCTCAGCAAACTATCACAGGAACAGGAAACCAAACATTGCATGTTCTGACTCATAAGTGGCAGTTGAACAATGAGAACACATGGACACAGGGAGGGGAATATCACACACCAGGGCCTGTTGGGATGTGGGAGAGAAGAAGAGGGAGAGCATTAGGACAAATACTGAATGCATGAGCAGCTTAAAACATAGAAGACAGGTTGATAGGTGCAGCAAACTACCATGGCATATGTATACCTGTGTAACAAACCTGCAAGTTCTGCACTTGTATCCCAGGACTTAAAGTGAAAGAAAGAGAGAAAGAGAGACAAAGAGAAGAAAGGATGGATGGAAGGAAGGAAGGAAGGAAGGGAGGAGGAAGGAAGGGAGGAAGGGAGGAAGGGAGGAAGGGAGGAAGGGAGGAAGGGAGGGAGGGAGGGAGGGAGGGAAAGAAAGGCATTGTTCAAATGTTGTATAGTATATCCATTAATGGATCTCATTCATCTTTAATAGTCTTGTTCTAGGAAAATATTTAATGATATCAGAAAACTCTGAAGATTTACTGTTAAGCATGGGAAAAATACGTTACAAAGTTTGATGTGTACTATTTTCCTGTGGTAGGCAAAATAATGTCCCTCCTACCTCCTCTAAAAGATATCCATAACTCATCCCCAAAACCTGTAAATATAGATGATATGGCAGTAGAGGCTTTGAAGATGAAATTAAGGGTAAGGACACTAAGATGAAAAAATTATATTTTTATTCAAGTGGCCCAATCTAATCATGTGAGTTTTTTTAAAAAGAACCCTTTCCTGATTATGGTCAAAAAGAGATGTGAACACAGAAGAGGATCAGAGAGATGCTACTTTACTGGCTTTGAAGATTAGGAAAGTGAAACCCGGATCAATGAATGCAGACAGCATCTGAAAGCTGGAAAAGCAAAGAAATAAGATTGCCCCCTAGAATCACCAGAAAGGCAGCCCTGCTGAAGCCTTGATTTTAGCCCAGGGATCTCTATGTCAGACTTCTGAACTGCGGAACAACCATAAGAAAATAAATTTATGTTAAGCCACTGTGCTTATGATAATTTGTTACATCAGCAATGAAAACCAAATACAGAGTCCTATTTTGTTCAATAATCCAGTTGACCCTTTAACAATATGACTTTGGACTACACAGGTCTGATGCAAGGCAGGTAAGCCTCAAATGTGGGGCTTAGCCTAGGAGTGTTCCTGGCTTCACCCAAGAAAGAATTCGAGGGCAAGCTGCTGGTGGTAGCAACTTTTATTGAAGCAGCAATGTACAGCAGCAGCAGAGGTACTGCTGCTTGTGGATCAAGGCTACCCTATAGGCAGTGTGCCCAGTGTAGTAGCTCAGGGGCAGTTCTTCAGTCATATGTAGACTCACTTTTAATTACATGCAAATTAAGGGGTGGGTTATTCTGAATCTTCCAGAAAAAGGGTGGTACTTCCGAGTCATTGCCATGGAAAGGGGCTATAACTTCTGGGTGTTGCCATGGCACTAGTGGGCATGTCTTGTGAAGAGGTGATTTCTCCTCTTCCTTTGTTCAGCTAGTTTTCTATCTGGTCCAAAGTTGAGTCCCTGCCTCTGGAGTTGAGTCCCACCTCCTAACTTCATCCTCAGAGAATAGATACTCCTTCTGAATCTTAAGAGGGCTGTAGCAGGGTAGAGGCCCACCGTCTGTAATTGCTTCCTGATGATTTTACAGGTGTAGGCCCTGCCTATCATTGAAGGAGTATAAATCTCTGGATACCAATATAAGGGGCCAGCCCAGAGACAGGATGCTTTCATTCTCCAGGTCAGTAGATGGGATAGGTTGGAAGCCTTGTGCCAGCATTCTCTTCAGCAGAAACTGTTGTAATCTAGAAGACACAAACTTTACTAAGAAGTTAAACAAGCAAGGGCTAGAAATTAGTAACAACAAGAGAACTCTCAATGGTCCTAGGAGAGGTAAAAACCAAGTAAGACTTGGGAAGGCACTTTTGATAATTGACCAGATATAACTGAGGTCAGTGCCCTTGTTATGTCTATGTAAACAGGTACAAGATCTCTTGAATGTTAACTTCAACAAGTCCAGAGTTGTTCATATATGTGCAGCAGGTTTTATTAATAACTACATAGACTCTGTCTTGTTCAGCTAGTAAATAATCTAACGCTAGTCTGTTATCTAGAACTACATTTGCCAAAGAGTCTAGAGATTCTTGAATTCCCTTTCGTGCTTGAACTGTGCTAGTGGCTAAGAATTCTGGGGTTTAAGTCCAGTTCTTTAGAGTTGAGTCATGGTAGGCAAAGCCACTCCAGGGTGCCACTAGTCCTATTGCTGCCCCATTTCCCACCTGAATTAATCCTATTGCTCACTTACTTCTGGCATTCCTCGGTCTTACACGATTATAGACTGTGACCCCTGAAAGGGCAATGGTGGCCAATGTACATCGACCCCTGTACCAAGTTTTTGATATACAAAAGAAAGCTGCTCCTAAAAGAATAGATGACTCCCCAGGAAGGTGGGTGTGGTTTAGGGGTGTGACTTTTCCCCACTCAGGGCCAAAAACAAAAATAAGCCCATTTGAGGCACAAACAGAGAAGCCCTGCAGGGTGTGATGTTTACACTTTGCTACCAAGTTAGGTCTATAGAAATATTTCTTCCCTGTTCCAGTGGGTGTGGTAGAACCATCTTTGTTTTCCAGAAGGGGGTGGTATTCCTACCTTCCCCGATTAGGCTGTTGTTTTTTTCTCTGTATGTTCTGATCTGAGAAAAGGCATCATATATATCCTCCTTGCTTATGAGTGGAATCCCATTTACCTTGCTGCAGCCTTGGGAACCTGGCGACTAGAGTTGGATCATAGCATTGCAGGGAAACTTCCACTTTTGTCTCAACACAGCAGTGGGTGTGAAAGATGGAATCATTAGTGCACTGGAGCTATAGGTAACCAACTTCCCAGGTCCGGGTAACAATGGCAGGAGGGTTCTGGTGGAATCCGTTAAGCTGGGGAGAGTTTCATCTAACGAGTAGGAGTTTGGATATCTTCGGATCGCTATGATTAGTTAGGAGGTCTGGGGAGATGGCCGTGAGATTTTCTGAATGGGCCAGAAGATGAAACTCTCTGCCCTGGAGATGTTGATTACAAATCTGGCAACCATGAAGATAATTTCCTGATGCTATAATTTTTGAAATATTTACTATAGAGTTTTGTTCTCACCCACACTGGATCAGGGAAATTAGAAGTGGAAACAGGATTAACAGTGGCAAAATGGTGTCCAGTTGGGTCTTAGAGCGGCCTCTACACCCAACAAGAACTAAAGAGGTGTTTCTCAGGGGGAGGTGGTTGGCCAAAGCAATAGAAAAGAAGTACTACAATCAGGAAGAAAAGGAAAAAATAAAGCCCTTATTCCCACCCACAGTATTACATTACCATTTCTGACTGAGTGCTGATTATTTTAAATAGGTAGAAGAAGTCTTCCAAAAGTTTACTAACGTAGGTCAATCTGTCACCTCTTTGTACCTGTGACTCATAAGAAACAGATTTAATCCTTAATAGATGGACTCAAGTAGCTATTGCCTGATGTTTAATAGTGGTGGGTATATTTAACAATACCTGATAGGTACCTGTCAAAGATTAAACCTGGTTCTTAGATTTTATTTTGGTTGTAATTGATTATTGAGGGATCCTTCTTTTTAAGTTTTTAGTCAGACTAAGTCTTCTGGTTGGAGGCAATACTTTATATCTGTATTCTTGAAGGACCTTGTATACCTAGCCTAAATTTTAAAGGGTATAGTGAGATGTGTCCAACCCCATTTCCCATCATGGCTTCAATTAGTTTTTGTTTTTGTTTTTTTTTTAAAGATGTCTTTGGAATTTCCTTTGGCCAAGGGACTTAGAGTCAAAAGACTTATAGCTAATCAAACATTCTAGGATAGATGGGAATGGAGGCAGGCTGACATTTCTTATTTCTTAAAACCCTCCTAGGCAATATAAGAGTCAAAAAGCCAAAATTAAGGTTACACATTTAACAAAAACAAAAACCCAAGAGCATAAAATCAAACTCCACTGGGGGGAAACACTGCTCCTATAGACCTCTAAGACAAAAACATGAGCATCAGGCTACGACAACAATCTGAACCAGAGGAAGAAGTCACAGGAGCTGATTTTAAAAGCTAAAGGAGATAGACATCATCCTAGGCTTTCTTAAAGGGAGAAAGAACTGAAAGCAGCAAGATACAATAACAGTTGAATCTCTGAGACACAAATCCAGTAAGTTTTAAAAGAAACTTGTAATAGCATTAAAAGCAAAATTTCCCATAATTTAGGAAATCAATGGCTCAAGAAAACCTTGTTCCAATATGTAGACCATTTTCTAGAAAACCTACCACAAACAATTTTCCTTTATTCATAGCAAGCTTAATCATACACAAAATTCCTTCCATAAATTCCCCTTCATGAACCTAATCACAATTTACACAGACATGGCTTGAACTTTCTGACTTGTCCTATACTACCACTTTCTTAAATAACCAGTCATTTTACTCTAGGACAAAAATTTACTATATAAGATTTTTCTCATACAATATTACTCTTTATACACTTCTTTTTTTAAAAAAATACATCTATCCATAACTTTCTTCACATCTGTTTTCTACTCACTGGTTTCCTCATATTATGAATCTCCCTTTAAGAAACTTCCAAGTTAGATAAAAATTATTTTTCCTCAATAAAATACATCTTCTTTGGCACATTTTATAGAAACCTAGAAAGCAATAAATCTTGAACTGCCCATCAGACATTGCCATTCTATAGATGAGAACTATTCTATAATTTCAAGATTCTCAACTATGCAAAAAACTCAGTATTTAAAGCCATATTAACAAATTCAAAGCCTATGAACATCAATGATTTACCAAGGTAAAACTCTTAAAGTTAAATTTTAGAAGACACAATTTTTTTAATTATTATTATTCTTTAAGTTCTAGGGTACAGGTGCACAATGTGCAGGTTTGTTACATAGGTATACATGTGCCATGTTGATTTGCTTCACCCATCAACTCATCATTTACACTAGGCATTTCTCCCAATGCAATCCACTCCCCTACAGCCCACCCCACGACAGGCCCCAGTGTGTGATGTTCCCCTACCTGTGTCTATGTATTCTCATTGTTCAATTCCCACCTATGAGTGAGAACATGTGGTGTTTGGTTTTCTGTCCTTGTGACAGTTTGCTGAGAAAGATGGTTTCCAGCTTCATCCATGTCCCTGCAAAGAACATGAACTCATTCTTTTTTATGGCTGCATAGTATGCCATGGTGTATATGTGCCACATTTTCTTAATCCAGTCTATCATTGATGGACATTTGGGTTGGTTCCAAGTATTTGCTATTGTGAATAGTGCTGTAATAAACATATGTGTGCATGTAACTTTATAGTAGCATGATTTATAGTCCTTTGGGTATACACACAGTAATGGGATCACCGGGTCAAATGGTATTTCTAGTTCTAGATCCTTGAGGAATCGCCACACTGTCTTCCACAATGGTTGGACTGATTTACACTCCCACTAACAGTGTAAAAGCATTCCTATTTCTCCACATCCTCTCCAGCATCTGTTGCTTCCTGACTTTTTAATGATCACCATCCTAACTGGCATGAGATTGTATCTCATTGTGCTTTGGATTTACATTTCTCTGATGACCAGGGATGATGAGCATTTTTTCATGTGTCTATTGGCTGTGTAAATGTCTTCTTTTGAGAAGTGTCTGTTCATATCCTTTGCCCACTTTTTGATGGGGTTGTTTGTTCTTTTCTTGCATATTTGTTTAACTTCTTTGTAGATTCTGGATAATAGCCCTTTGTCAGATGGGTAGATTGCAAAAATTTTCTCCTATTTCACAGGTTGCCTGTTCATTCTGATGGTAGTTTCTTTTGCTGTGCAGAAGCTCTTTAGTTTAATTAGATCCCATTTGTCAATTTTGGCTTTTGTTGCAATTGCTTTTGGTGTTTTAGTCATGAAGTCTTTGCCCATGCCTATGTCCTGAATGGTATTGCCTAGGTATTCTGCTAGGATTTTGATGGTTTTAGGTCTTACATTTAAGTCTTTAATCCATCTTGAGTTAATTTTTGTATAAGGTATGAGGAAGGGGTCCAGTTTCAGCTTTCTACATATGATTAGCCAGTTTTCCCAGCACCATTTATTAAATAGAGAATCGTTTCCCCATTTCTTGTTTCTGTCAGGTTTACAATGATCAGATGGTTGTAGATGTGTGGTATTATTTTTGAGGGCTGTGTTCTGTTCCATTGGTCTATATCTCTGTTGTGGTACCAGTACCATGCTGTTTTGTTTACTGCAGCATTGTAGTATAGTTTGAAGTCAGGCAGCGTGATGCCTCCAGCTTTGTTCTTTTTGCTTAAGATTTGGTTATGCAGGCTCTTTTTTGGTTCCATATGAACTTTAAAGTATTTTTTTCCATTTCTGTGAAGAAAGTCATTGGTAGCTTGATGGGAATGGCATTGAATCTATAAATTACTTTGGGTAGTATGGTCATTTTCAAGATATTGATTCTTCCTATCCATGAGCATGGAATGTTCTTCCATTTGTTTGTGTCTTCTTTTATTTCATTGAGCAGTGGTTTGTAGTTCTACTTGAAGAGGTCCTTCACATCCCTTGTAAGCTGGATTCCTTGGTATTTCATTCTCTTTGTAGCAATTGTGAATGGGAGTTCACTCATGATTTGGCTCTCTGTCTGTTCTTGGTGTATAGGAATACTTGTGATTTTTGCACATTGATTTTGTATCCAGAGACTTTGCTGAAGTTGCTTATCAGCTGAAGGAGATTTTGGGCTAAGAATATGGGGTTTTCTAAATATACAATCATGTCATCTGCAAACAGGGACAATTTGACTTCCTCTTTTCCTAATTGAATACTGTTTATTTCTTTCTCTTCCCTGATTGCCCTGGCCAGAACTTCCAACACTATGTTGAATAGGAGTGGTGAGAGAGGGCATCCTTGTCTTGTGCCAGTTTTCCAAGGGAATGCTTCCAGTTTTTGCCCTTTCAGTATGACATTGGCCATGAGTTTGTCATAAATAGCTCTTATTATTTTGAGATCTGTTCCATCAATACCTAGTTTATTGAGAGTTTTTAGCATGAAGAGCTGTTGAATTTTGTCAAAGGCCTTTTCTGCATCTATTGAGCTAATCATATGGTTTTTGTTGTTGGTTCTGTTTATGTGATAGATTACATTTATTGACTTGGGTATGTTGAACCAGCTTTGCATCCCAGGGATGAAGCCAAATTGATCGTAGTGAATAAGCTTTTTGATGTGCTGCTGGATTCAGTTTGCCTGTATTTTATTGAGGATTTTCACATCGATGTTCATCGGGGATATTGGTCTAAAATTCTCTTTTTTTGTGTGTGTGTCTCTGCCAGGCTTTGGTATCAGGATGATGCTAGCCTCATAAAATGAGTTAGGGAGGATTCCCTCTTTTTCTATTGATTGGAATAGGTTCAGAAAGGTACCAGCTCCTCTTTGTGCCTCTGGTAGAATTCAGCTGTGAATCCATCTGGTCCTGGACTATTTTTGGTTGGTAGGCTATTAATTATTGCCTCAATTTCAGAACCTGTTAGTGGTCTATTGGGTAGGCTATTAATTATTGCCTCAATTTCAGAACCTGTTATTGGTCTATTCAGAGATTCAACTTCTTCTTGGTTTAGTCTTGGGAGGGTGTATGTGTCCAGGAATTTATCCATTTCTTCTAGATTTTCTAGTTTATTTGTGTAGAGGTGTTTATAGTATTCTCTGATGGTAGTTTGTATTTCTGTGGGATTGGTGATGATATCCCCTTTATCATTTTTTATTGCATCTATTTGATTCTTCTCTCTTTTCTAATTTATTAGTCTTGCTAGCGGTCTACTTTATTGATCTTTTCAAAAAGGCAGTTCCTGGATTCATTGATTTTTTGAAGAGTTTTTTGTGTCTCTATCACCTTCAGTTCTGCTCCAACCTTAGTTATTTCTAGTCTTACACTAGCTTTTTAATTTGTTTGCTCTTGCTTCTCTAGTTCTTTTAATTGTGATGTTAGGATGTTGATTTTAGATCTTTCTTGCTTTCTCTTGTGGGCATTTAGTGCTATAAATTTACCGCTACACACTTCTTTAAATGTGTCCCAGAGATTCTGGTATGCTGTGTCTTTGTTCTCATTGGTTTCAAAGAACATCTTTATTTCTGCCTTTATTTCATTATTTAGCCAGTAGTCATTCAGGAGCAGGTTGTTCACTTTCCATGTAGTTGTGCGGTTTTGAGTGAGTTTCTTAATCCTGAGTTCTAATTTGATTACACTGTGGTCTGAGAGACAGTTTGTTTTGATTTCTGTTCTTTTACATTTGCTGAGGAATGCTTTTCTTCCAATTATGTGGTCAATTTTAAAATAAGTGTGATGTAGTGCTGAGAAGGATGTATATTCTGTTGATTTGGGGTGTAGAGTTCTGTAGATGTCTATTAGGTCCACTTGGTGCAGAGCTGAGTTCAAGTCCTTGATATCCTTGTTAACATTCTGTCTTGTTGATCCATCTAATATTGACAGTGGGGTGTTAAAATCTCCCATTATTATTGTGTGGGAGTCTAAGTCTCTTTGTGGGTCTCTAAGAACTTGCTTTATGAATCTGGGTGCTCCTGTATTAGATGCATATATATTCACGTTAGCTCTTCTTGTTGAATTGATCACTTTACCATTATGTAATAGCCTTGTCTCTTTTGATCTTTGTTGATTTAAAGTCTGTCTTATCAGAGACTAGAATTGCAACCCCTGCTTTCTTTTGCTTTCCATTTGCTTGGTAGATCTTCCTCCATCCCTTTATTTTGAGCCTTTGTGTATCTCTGCACTTGAGATGGGTCTCCTGAATACAGCACACTGATGGGTCTTGTCTCTTTATCCAATTTGCCATTCCGTGTCTTTTAATTGGGGCATTTAGCCTATTTACATTTAAGGTTAATATTGTTATGTGTGAATTTGATCCTGTCATTATGACTTTAGCTGGTTATTTTACCCATTAATTGATGCAGATTCTTCCTAGCATTGATGGTCGTTACAATTTGGCATGTTTTTGCAGTGGATGGTACCGGTTGTTCCTTTCCATGTTTAGTGCTTCCTTCAGGAGCTCTTGTAAGGCAGGTCTGGTGGTGACAAAACCTCTCAGCATTTACTTGTCTATAAAGGATTTTATTTCTCCTTCACTTATAAATCTTAGTTTGGCTGGATATGAAATTCTGGGTTGAAAATTCTTTTCTTTAAGAACGTATATTTTGGCCCCACTCTCTTCTGGCTTGTAGGGTTTCTGCCAACAGATCTGCTATTAGTCTGATGGTCTTCCCTTTGTGAGTAACCCAACCTTTCTCTCTGGCTGCCCTTAACATTTTTTCCTTCATTTCAACCTTGGTGAATCTGAGAATTATGTGTCTTGGGGTTGCTCTTCTCGAGGAGTATCTTTGTAGTGTTCTCAGTATTTCCTGAATTTGAATATTGGTCTGCCTTGCTAGGTTGGGAAAGTTCTCCTGTATAATATCCTAAAGAGTGTTTTCTAACTTGGTTCCATTATCCCTGTCACTTTCGGGTACACCAATCCAACATAGATTTGTTCTTTTCACATGGTCCCATATTTCTTGGAGGCTTTGTCCATTTCTTTTTACTCTTTATTCTCTAATCTTGTCTTCTTGCTTTATTTCATTAATTTGATCTTCAATCACTGATATCCTTCCTTCCACTTGACTGAATTGGCTATTGAAGCTTGTGCATACATCACAAAGTTCTTGTACTGTGGTTTTCAGCTCCATCAGGTCATTTAAGTTCTCCTCTACACTGTTTATTCTAGTTAGCCATTCATCTAACCTTTTTTCAAGATTTTTGGCTTCCTTGCAATGGGTTAGAATATGCTCCTTTAGCTTGGAGAAGTTTGTTATTACTGACCTTCTGGAGCCTACTTCTGTCAACTCGTCAAACTCATTCTCTGTCCAGTTTTATTCCATTGCTGGCGAGGAGCTGCGATCCTTTGGAGGAGAAGAGAAACTCTGGTTTTTGGAATTTTCAGCTTTTCTGCTCTGGTTTCTCCCCATCTCTGTGGTTTTATCTACCTTTGGTCTTTGATGTTGGTGACCTACAGATGGGGTTCTGGTGTGAATGTCCTTTTTGTTGATGTTGACGCTATTCCTTTCTGTTTGTTAGTTTTCCTTCTAACAGTCAGGCCGCTCAGCTGCAGGTCTGTTGGAGTGTGCTGGAGGTCCACTCCAGACTCTGTTTGCCTGGATATCACCAGCAGAGGCTGCAGAACAGCAAATATTGCAGAACAGCAAATATTGCTGCCTGATCCTTCCTCTGGAAGTTTCGTCCCAGAGGTGCACCTGCCTGTATGAGGTGTCTGTGGTCCCCTACTGGGAGATGTCTCCCAGCCAGGCTACAAGGGGGTCAGGGACCCACTTGAGGAGGCAGTCTGTCCATTCTCAGAGCTCGAATGTCATGATGGGAGAAAGAACCACTGCTCTCTTCAGAGCTGCCAGATGGGGACATTTAAGTCTGCAGAAGTTGTCTGCTGCCTTTTGTTCAGCTATGCCCTGCCCTAGAGGTGGAGTCTATAGAGGCAGTAGGCCTTGCTGAGCTGCGGTGGGCTCCACCCAGTTTGAGCTTTGTTTACCTACTCAAGCCTCAGCAATGGTGGACTCCCCTTCCCCAGCCAGGATGCAACCTCGCAGGTTGATCTCAGACTGCTGCGCTAGCAGTGAGTAAGGCTCCGTGGGCATGGGACCCACCAAGCCAGGCATGGGAGGTAATCTCCTGGTCTGCCGGTTGCTAAGACTGTGGGGAAAGTGCAGTATTTGGGCGAGAGTGTACTGTTTTTCCAGGTACAGTATGTCACGGCTTCCCTTGGCTAGGAAAGGTAAATCCCCCAATTCCTTGCATTTCCCGGGTGAGGCAATGCCCTGCCCTGCTTCAGCTCTCCCTCCATGGGCTGCACCCACTGTCCAACCAGCCCCAGTGAGATTAACCAGGTATCTCAGTTGGAAATGCAGAAATCATCTGTCTTCTGTGTCGATCTCTCTGGGAGCTGCAGACCGGAGCTGTTCCTATTGGGCCATCTTGGAAGTGACCTGATGTGATTTCTTATTTACTGCACATTCCCATCTAATTGTGTTTAGCCAATGATTTATAAAAAATGTCACATTTGGCTCTTTGCCCTTCCAAGATCAATAGGAGGGCCCAATGTGGGCTGGCTGTGAAAATATATCAAACATGTCACCAAGAAGAGGGTGCAAACTGGGGATAGAAATTTTTTTTTAATTAACAAGTTTAGACTTATTTAGTTTATGAGTGCTGTTTTATTTGTAAGTCAGTTTGATAGCATGCTAAACACAATACACATCACACTATCTGTATTTATATCTTAAAAAACAAATTAAATAAAATGGCCTATATAAGGCAACTGATTCAAGCTATTTATAAAAGGGGGACCCATCTACCTGGACAAATTTTGTTTGTCCTAATAAGTATGGAAGACAGGAGGTGGCACAGGGAAGGAGATCCCATAGCACTACAAATGGAAGGGAGGGAGTGAACTGCATTGTTCAAAGGGAGTCCCTGAGCTACTGGAGAGCTCACCCAGCTGTGGAGACACTGAAGAAAAATGTTCAGGCAGCTGCTTGTCTGTCACTGCAGGAAGCTGTCCATTGGGTCAAGGGTCCAAATTTGCTTAAGCCAGGTGGTTGGTTGGGGCTACTGGAGGAAGCCTAGCTCTGGTATTGATGGAAAGCTTTTTCTTCTCTCACTGGGGAGATATAGGACATTCTCATTGCCAATGGCCTTTTTGCTTATAGTAGGCACACTGATTCTGACCCAGGGCTCTTCTCTGGGCATCCCAGATGCTGATCTCACAACACTTTCTCAAGATGAGTAACCCTGAGGGGTAGGAGGCTTAAAGAAACTGTTAAAAATTACACTTTAGGGTTATTTATTTTGTTTTATTTTTATCTCTTTTGCCAAGTTCCCATTGTTATCAACTTTAAAAGCCAAGTTTAAACGTTGGCTCATAGAGATTTGAAGTCCCATTGCTGCTTTTTGTAGTCTCCTTCTAATTTCAGGGGCAGACTGAGTAATAAAATATATACCACTCAGGTAACTCTCATATATATATAATCACTCAGGAGAGCTTGCCCTTCTGGGGAGTCTTGGTCTGCATTAGTATATTTCCTGCAACTAAGCAGCCCTAAACTAGAGCGGGATTTTTGTTTTTTCCCTCAGTTATTTCTCTAACCTTGTCATAATTGACTGGCTTAACCATATAATTTTTTCTCCACTTTTTTTCCACAGCATAGCAAGCAGATGACAATACTTGTAAGTCATGGCAAGTTAAAGAACATAGTCAACTTAACAAACTCTTCTATAAATTTTTCTGGGTTCTCTGAAAACTGGTCAAATTTTTCCCTATCTAAAGCCAAATCACACATAGCAAATGGCACTTGTATTCTAAGTGTTTCTTTATTTCCATCATCTACCTCCTGCAATGGACATAGATTTGACTTTACGAACTAATATGTGGCCCCACTCTTGGTGGTATTGGTTGGGCTTACTTTCTTGGGCAGTGGTAGATATAGGCTGGGGCTACTTGGATAACAGAGAGGACCTTGGGGTGGAATCCTTTTTTAGATAACTGGCAGGATCCCCTCAGAATTGAGGGAATGAGGAGACTCTAGGGAGGGATAGGACTTCTTGGGAGAACATCTAGGAGCAGATCCCTTAGGTGTGGCTTCCCAGTGCCTGGAAGTAATGTGAGTCAGTAAAGGTTCATAAAGGCTGGTACGTAAGGGGCCTTTTCCCATTTTCCTTTTTTCTTTTTTTAACATAATATGTTCAATATGCAAATTAAGAGATAGGTTATTCAATTTTTTTTTTTTTTTTTTTAGAAAAAGGTTGGTATTTCTGGGTCATTGCCATGGAAAGGGGTGGTAATTTTCAGGTGCAGCCATGGTAATGGTAAACTGACATGGTGCTGGTGGTGAGGTGCTCTTATGAAGAGGTGCTTTCACCTCTTCCCTGCTTCAACTAGTCTTCAGTCTGTCCCAGAGACAAGCCACCACCTCCGGAGTCAAGCCCTGCCTCCTACCTCAAGCCTCTTATCTATGGATTTTCTTCCACCTCTGCTACCCTGGAAACAGCAAGACCAACCCCTACCTCTTCCTGCTCCTATTCAAAGTAAGGATAAGGATGAAGACCTTAGGATGCACTGCAACATAATGAATGGTAGACATGTTTTTCTCCTCCTTATGATTTTCTTAATAACATTTTCTTTTATATAACTTACTTTGTTGTAACAATACATTATGTAATGCATATAGCACACAAAATATATGTTAATCAGCTGTTTATGTTATCGGTAAGGCTTCCAGTCAGCAGGATGCTGTTAGTGTTTAAGTTTTGGGGAACTAGAAAAAATATGCAGATTTTTTACTACAAGGGGAGTTAGTATCTCTAACCCCAGCAATTGTTCAAGGATTAATTGTATATGTACATTTTGTATTAAAAGGAGAAAAGGGATGTATATTGGGGCAAATGTTAATAATGATTCTCTTTGAAATTATAAAAATTTCTAATATTATCATATATTTTAAAGTTTTTTTCTGAATTTTATAGGTAGAATGCTTTATGATAAACAAAAAACACATTAAATTATATATTTTTAAAATAAACAACCTCTATTTATGTTATAATAATTGTGAAATATTCCTAAGCAAATCAACTGCATCTTTCAAATTATTCACTTTCTCTTTCAATAGGTATTTACTAAGGCTTCCTAAAAAGGAAATTTCACATGAGTCACATAATCTGCTCTGTCACTTTCAAAAACTGAAACATCATATCCATTTCTAGAGCAACAGGTGCTTGGAGTTCCCCCTCTGTAGGGGTGAGTGAAGTATTGGCCTCGGGCCCTTCATGGTCTCTCCACAGATCTTTGTCCAGATCAACGAATACATTTTTCCAAGTGGCTGCCTGTGTTGAAAATAATGTTCAAAAAGGATAGTGTATTCCCTAACAGCTGCTTCAGATAATAAAATGATGACATTTTATTGGTGCATTTCCTTCTCTAATGTGCTTCTGCACACATCATCTCATATGATGACAGCCTAGAAACTTCCGACAGCAGCAACATATCATAGAGCGATTTTGTACCTCATCCTCTCAACCACATTTGCTTTCAAACAGCAACAAGAAACTGTACCAAGAAAATCAAACAGTTGGGCCTGGCTTGAGTAGGCAGTGAGATAGTGAGGCAGGAGACTAGGATCTGGAGGCAGGGAACCTAAGGCTGCTTCACGCCAACTTCCTAGAACTAAATTGCAAGGAAAACCCTAACTTTCCACGCCTAAGTCACAAAAGGCCAGAGGCTACTCCCTTTGCAAGCCCTCCACTTTTTCTGCATGGCAGATGGGAAATTGGCTGCACAACCAATCAGACAGACTGTGGGTGGAGTCTTCACTTTTTACAACCAATCAGATGTTTGCAAAGGAGTGTGACCTTCCTAACTTCACTTCAGCCTCTGGTTGGCTGCTTTATGCAACCAATCAGACTGATTTCAGGCTACCACTTCATTTACATGAGGTGAGCATGAAGTGGCCAATGGGAAACTTCTAGGGTGTATTTGGACCCAAGAAGATTCTATGTCTGGGCCCCTGAGCCACTGCTCGGCCCGCTCCGCTCCCACACTGTTGGGTGTACTTTCATTTTCAATAAATCCCTGCTTTTGTTCTTTGATTGCTTCATTCTTTCTTTGCTTTGCTGAACATTTTGTCCAATTCTTTGTTCAAAATGCCGAGAACCTGGACAACTTGCAGTCACGGCCCTCTACTGGTGACAGTAGAGAAGGAATAGGAAATTATATCTATTGGATGCCTAAGTGTGATGTAGGCACAGTGGGAAGCCCTTTTACCCATGCTAATATGTATATTTTTTGACTAAGGGACTTTTATCCTGGGGATAATAAAAGTGGGTGAAACTAAAATAAACACATATTCAAATCAAAGTACAAAAAGAAATGTAACATTTTATTCACTGGAATCCCTCTTGGGATCACATGAGGAATATCTGCAAATCCTCCATCCTTTCCCTGCAAAATACTTTGTTATTAACTCTGTGACATCTACAAAACAACCTTAGATCTTCTTTATTTGATCATGTGGCTCAGTTTTGTGTTACTATGCAAACGTTTCATGCATAGGAGACACTTGAGGCCTTAGCCATCATTTACAGCAGTGGTTCGCAAAGTGTGGTCCCTGGCCTAGCACCATCAACATCACCCAGGAACTCACTAGAAATGCAAATTGTGGGGTCCAAAAATTATAATTTAAACCAACTAAATCAAACTAAGAGTGGAGAGAGAGGGGTACCTTAGTAATCTATGCTTTTTACAAGTCCTACAGGTGGTTCTGATATAGCCACAAGTTTGAGAAGCCCTAGTAGTTAACAAGAATGATCAGATAGTATTTTTTTTAACTATAATCATTAAATCTGGTATTTCTCTTTTTCTTTGGCCCTCTCTCCATTCAGTCTGCTAGTTCAGGTTTACTCTATCTTAGCAGCAGAGTTCCCTGCTGAGACAAAGATTACTTTGTGTCTTAATTCAGACTATAGACTGAGGCTGGACACTGGCTCACACCTGTAATCCCACCAAACAAGAAAAGCATTCCCTGAGGAGAGAAAATGAAGGGAGGGTTGCAATGACAGTGTAAACATTGACAGTTCCCAAAAAGTGTGGTTCAGCACACTACCCTTTTGGAGTGTCACTGACATGACCTTAGACCTTTGACCTCACAGTCATACAAAGTATGACTAAGTACTTAACTCACTCAACCCTCTCAACAACCCTGTGAGGTAGGCACTACTATTATCCCTGCTTTACAGATATGGGTATTGAGAAGTCCAATTACTTGGTAAAGGTCACACAGCAAGTAAATGGGCAAGCTGGAATTGGAACCTGGCAGTCTGGATCCAGAATTCATGCTTATAACCACCTAGTTATGCTGTCTGATTCTGAGGGCACATGAGCAACCAAACTGAGTAGCATTTAAACATCTGTGATTTGTGCCACTAACATGTAGAAAGAATATAGATAGAATTTAGAGGAGAAGGCATAAAGAGATTAGTTGAATCCAATTAAATGGTGAGGCAATTTTCATGAGGAGGCATAACAAATAGGTAACATGGAAAGTGAATCCAGAAGATGCAGTCTGTGAAGTGAGATGGACAGCCAGAAGGAACAAATGTAAAACTCGTCTCAGTCTGGCAGGCAAGAATCCCATTGGCATTCCAGACAGCACCCTCTCAGGTCATTAAAAACCTCAGCCACTTGAGAATGTAACCTCAGAAATTATTTGAAAGTGTTACCCTAAATATTTTGGCTTAGCATAATTATTTCATTAGTTGGTAGCATTTTTCAACACAGAGAAGATTTATAATTAGATATAGAAATACTTAAGCAAATCCAAGCTATAATATGAACGTTATGTTCTAAATCTGTGCATGTGTGGTGTGTCTGAGAACTTATAATGATCAGAAATATTTGGTCTATTAAAATAATAGGTTATACTTATAATTCTAATTCAGAAATTAATGCACAATTGAGTAATTGGTTTATATTTTCTATTTTTTTTTACTAAAGTATGCCTTTTAAAAACACAAAGAAAAATATGTTAGCAAATAATTAACATTTTTATTCACAATTTTTATCCTCCTCTTTATTCCCTATAGCAACCTTTTATTCAGTCTTAGGAGAAAATACTATTAAGATTTTGTTTATATACTAGTAGACTTATAATTTTAAATTGAAATCTTACTAAGATATTGTGAACAATATTAGAACACTAAATAGAACTTGAGATTCACCATGCATATCAGTTATTCGGCTGATAAGAATAACTTAGGTACTTAATTGAGGTACTTAAAAAGAAATAGAATATATTAAATTTATAGACACCATTTAAAATATTATTTAAATGAGTTTAACAGAATGTGTGTAAATAGGGCCAACTAATGATTACAATGAAACAGTGTATTTACTACAGTTTCTTCTTCTTGCACATTCAGGAAAATTGTATTTCCCAGCCCTACTGATAGGTTGAGATCTTATAAACGAGTTCTTGCCTGTAGAAATGTGTCACTTTGGTATAAGATGGTTAAGAGCAAGACTAAATGAAAGTGAAGTACTCTGAGATGGCAAAGTTGAAAAAAAAGAAAGCAGCCTAGATCCTTGAGTAACTTTTGGAGGACAGATGCCCAAGAAAACTACCTGACCTGTATCAGGCTGTGACAAGAGCAAGAAATGCACCTTTATTACAATTAAGAGCCTGAAATTTGTTACTGCAGCATAACTGAGCTTATCCTGATTAAAATAGCAATCCAGGATCCCTTAAAATGGATTATTGGAATCTAATAGATTTATCAAGAAAAATAAGAATTTAAAACTTAAAATGTTAAGGAATGGCCAGGAGCAGTGACTCATGCCTGTAACCCCAACACTTTGGGAGGCCAAGGCCGGTGGATCACGAGGTCAGGAGATTGAGACCATCCTGGCTAACACGGTGAAACCCTGTCTGTACTAAAAATACAAAAAAAAAAAAAAAAAAAAAAATTAGTCAGGCATGGTTGCATGCGCTTGTAGTTCCAGCTACTCGGGAGGCTGAGGCAGGAGAATCGCTTGAACCTGGGAGTCGGTGGTTGCAGTGAGCCAAGATCGTGCCACTGCACTCCAGCCTGGGCGACAGAGCAAGATTCCATCTCACACACAAAAAAGAAAGAAAGAAAAAGAAAGAAAGAGAAAGAAAGACAGAAAGAAAGAAAGAAAGAAAGAAAGAAAGAAAGAAAGAAAGAAAGAAAGAAAGAAAGAAAGAAAGAGAAATGTTAAGGAACAGCTACGTACTTAAATCTGTAACTTTAGTAAATTTAGCACTAGTTTTCACTTCTCATTTTATTATAGAGAAAATTTAACTTATAGAAAGTTGAAAATTGTTACAGTCAGTACCTATATGCCCACCATATAGGTGGGCGTACAATTAAGAATTACCAGGCTTGCTTTATCAAATATTTGTTCCTATTTTCATATTCTATTAATCAGCAGTCCATCTTATTTTGATGTATTTCAAAGTAAATTTCAGACATCAGTACATTACCCAAAATACTCAGCATATATATCATTAACTACAGTTCAGTATTTTCTTTTGAGATAAAATTTATATACAATGAAATGCACAAATTGTAAATGTACTATTTAGTGTGTTTGGACAAAAGCACACCTGTGCAACTCCAAATCTTGTCAAGGTTCTTAATATTTCCATCACACAGAAGGTTTTTTCAGGTACCTTTCCAAGTGATCCCTACCCACACCTTGAGAGGCCATCATTGTTATGAATTTTTCTACCACAGTTTTGACTTTTCTAGAGCTTTATGTAAATTTAATCATGCAGTATGTACTCATTTGTATAAGACTTCTCTCACTCAGCAAAATGTTTTTGAAATTTATCCATGTTGTTGCATGTATCAGTAGTTTGTTTCTATCTATTGTTGAGTAGTAGTATTCCTGTATGACTATACCATAGTTTGTTTCTGCATTTTATTAATAAATTTTTAGACTATTTCCAGTTTGAGTAATTAAGAATAAAGCTGACATGAATATTGTCATACAAGTCTTTTGTGATATATGTTTTTATTATTCTTAGAAAAATATGTAGGCATGAAATTGGTGGGTCATAGGGAACATACATCTTTGGTTCTATAATAAACTTCCAGATCTTTACTCAAAGTGGCTGTGCCATTTTACATTCTCACCAAAAGTGTATAAGAGTACTGTTTTGCTCCATTTCCTCATCAACATTTTTATCCATCTTCTGAATTTTAGCCATGCTGGTGGGTGTGTAGTAGAATCACGTTATGTTTTTGATTTGCATTTCCTTGATGACTAATGATATTGAGTAATTTTCCTTTGTAGTGTCTGTTCAAATACTTTTGCCCATTTTTTATTGGATTATTGGTCTTTTTGTTGTTAAGTTGTAGGAGTTTCTTATATATCCTGGATACCATTCTTAGATATCCTGGATACCATTCTTAGATATCCTGGATACCATTCTTATATATTCTGGAAATGTTTTGCAAATATTTTCTCCCAAACTGGGGCTTACCTACTCATTTTCTTAACAGTGTTACTTAAAGAGCACATTTTAGTCTCAAGGAAGTCTTATTAACTTTAATTTTATGGTTATCACATTATGTAGCCTAAGAAACCTTTGTCTACGCTAAATCATGAAGATATTCTAATGTTTTCATCTAAAAGCTTTTCAATGCTTTTATGTTTAGGTATGTGACCATTTCTAATTTGTTTTATGTTTGGTGTAAGATAGAGGTTGAGGTCAATTATTTTCCCACATAGAGACCCATTTATCCAAGTGTTATTTCCTTTCCCCATTGGATTGCCTTGGAGCCTTTGGCAAACATCAAACAACTGTGAACATTAACTTTTAAATCCAAAGTATTTTGTGCATGAAAGATGCCCTCAAGGACACCATAAAATTTATAATCGAGAGCAGTAAAAAAAGAAAATCATTTTGTGGGATCCAGCACAGAAGGACCTTGGGCCAGTTTCTTGGGGAAACCATAGAGGAAGGCAGAAATGATGTAGAAAAGAAAGCACCACAGACTCTGACTAGGCAACATAATGCTAGAGCCCATCAGTTTACTGTGCTTCAGCATGGATCCAGAATGAGTCCCACGTACCAATCATGACAAAAGAGTAGTAAGTGGTCTCCTGGTTGATGGAACCATGCAGGTGGGAAGGAAGGACAAGTAAGACTAATCTGCCCAGAATGGTGACCAAGAACAAGGTAGGATGATGGACATCTCAATTAACACTAATGAGAAAAGACGGTGTCAGGGTTGAAATATAATATCTCCCTCCCAAACACAATCTCAGTTCTTAGCACTAGGTAAGTCTGGGAACTTAAACAAATCCAGAGCAAATAGGGGAGAAAAGCCAAATTGACCAAAATATAAACTTTCGTGTCAATGGACTAGAAATTTGAAATAGAAATGAACTTGAATTGGATTTCCCATACACTTGTATTTCTAGGCTAGGAATTGTACTCATTATACATTCATTATTCAGGTGCTATTTTTTTAATACAAGTGCTTATAAGGGAAGGTAAAAAATAATAGAATTATCAGGAATCTGAAGTAGGATTATAGTATACTATAAACTGGGGCAAAAAACAAAAGAGATTGTGCCTCTTGACATCTCTATCAACAGGAGTAGGAAAGGTAAGACCACAGATCCCACCCAAGCATGTAAGTTTTACAAGAACCCAGGACTAAGAACTATCTAGAAATTTATTCTGTCTTTCCTATGTGGCCTATACCACAGGATAACCAAACAGCTGATAAGAGAAAATTATTCTTCATAAAAGAATTCCAACTAATTAATATAGAAGGAATGATGCATTAGATTATCCCTATTTTATAACTTCTACAAATATAATGGTTTTAGATGATCATCAATGACTGATAAAACTATAAATTATAAAATTCATGAACAATTTTCATAACGAATAGATCAGGCTAGTAACACTTAATCCTATGAATTGATCTTAGCATCACAAGAAAAACAACCAGAAATTATGTGCCTCCTGAAATTATATGATAAAAAGTACTTCCTATAAATTTTTTCCAATAAAATTTTTAAAATATATTTAGTCAGAATCAGAGCAGGCCTCTAGATGTAAGTACTAGTTTTGGAAAGTAGAGTTAGAAGAACATGGAATGTGATCAACAGTATCAGACAGGCAATTAGCAAAATCTATAAAATTATAGGAAATTCTACAGAAAACAATGACCAAGTGTTTTTAACAAATAAAGAGAGAGAAATAAAGAGAGGGGGCCCTAAAGATTAAAAGAATCTTGAAAGACAAAAAGACACACCAGCCCAATGCAATGGATGGACCTTGCTTTTTGTAAAAATAAATAAATAAATAATAATTTTTAAAAACTATGAGAAAATCAGAAAAAAATGAATATTGACTAGTAATTTGATGATATTAAGAACTCATTGGTAAGTTTTTAAATGTTCAATGGTGTTGTAATTCTTTTTTTAAAAGTCTTGTATTTTACTGGCATATACTAAAGTATTTATGAATAAAATTATATGATGACAGGGAATTGCTTCAAAATAATCCAGTGGTGGGGAGTGGGAAAAGTAAAAAGGTATAGAAAAAATAAGATTGGCCGTACTTGATAATTGTTGAACGTGCAGCATAGGTAGATAGAGATGCAGCATCTTATTCTGTCTACTTTTTTTTAGGTTTTAAAATTTAAAAAGTTCAAAATAGCTTTAAAAGGTGTCAACAGGAATAAAGATACAATTAGAATGACTTTATTCTGAGCACTTGTTTGAGAAATATTGCCTTTATGATCAAGATGAAGAGAGTAAATACAGAGAGTTGATGTTCAATGTTATTAGAACACTGACAACAAAAAGGTTTCACTAAAGCCTCCTATTAAACCTTTTCCAGTAGACAATGTATTGCTTTTACATTTGTTCCACGTAGCAATAGCAGTCATCATTCTTGGACCAATGGATTAATTAAATAAGATATAAGAAAATACCTATTATGATATCAAAGCTGCATAGCTGCAGTGATGGATGTAAAGTGTCTGCACCTATTCCTGTAAGAGCTCAACCAAAAATTCACACCAGAACCTGTAGGATAGATTTTCAATAGGTAATTGGAAAGCGCTTTCAATTCTGAACTCTATTCCACATCTCGTTTCTATTCCTGAAACCTCAACTGTTTATCAATAAGTTGTGATTTATTTACTGTTCTTTTATTGAGAGATGGAACTGGGTTTTAAACACTTGAGCATAAAACCTGTTTAGTTACCAGAAGGGGGGATACACAGCCAGCATCAAGAGTAGACGCTCGCAGTTCATTCCAGAGGAGGAGGACGCAGGTTCTGAGTGGACGAACTAATGGTTATAGCACCTTTCTTAAGAGGTTTGGTCCATACTTAGAGGTCAGCTAATTGTTGTTGTCTGATGAGTTCGGTGACTTTTCCAAAATTGAGCCCGCAATGTTAACTCTCTTCTGGCAATTGGATAGGTGAAAACTCTCTGTAGGCATTCAATCCAAATCAGTACAACACACATTTCGACTCAACACATCTCAGAAGTGCTAAGACTATAAATTAGACACCTCACTTTCTCCCTTTCTAATTTTTTTCTCCTACATATAGTAGTTTCACTTTGTCAGGGCCAGTATTTTCTACCTATGTACCTTCACCCTAAAGATCATCCAACCAGCAGTAGACAGTGAAAAAAAATGTAGAATTTTATGTTTGCAAATATAAAAATCATGTAATCTAGCATTCACCAAAGTGTTTTCCATGAGATATTTTTAGTCTTTGAAAAAAAAAACTGGTGGAAAAACATGCATTTAAATAGATTTTGGAATCTTAATTATGCTAAAACAAACAGTTCTTATTTATTGCAGAACTCCCCAAGCATATAATATGTTAATGTGCCTGGTAAATTGCTAAAAGAGGCATAGATCATGCATTTTCTTAATTTTATTTTACCACATACTTCTTTGTTTTAAGGAGCAAAATACGTTGTGAAAAACATTGATTCTAATGTAATCCCTTATCTTAGAGATTATGAAACCAAGGACCAGGGAGACTTCATGTCTTGTCCAAGGAGACAGAGCAAATCTACCCTAGAAGTGGAGTCCCTTACCTTTTCTTGACACGTATATCAGAGCCTTTCCCACTATGGACACCTCATGTCATATCAACAACTGACATTAGAAAATACTAACTTTTAGCTTTTAGCCTTGTGCATTACTCATTGGATTTTAGCCTCATCATAACTCTGAGTTTTGGAAGGCCAGTAATTTTGTCTCTTCTTAGAGGTAAGAAAAACAAAGTCACATGGGGCAAAGTCATCCTCATCAAGTATCCAGGTTTTTGGGTGGAGGTGAGGTAAGGACAATGTTGAGTTCATTATGAGCCACCACTCATAGGAGAAACCTGACCACTTAGTAAAATGGCAGTTTGATTTCCTAAACCTCTAACTATCCCATGTGGGAGCTTTCTTCTTGTGAAGAAGTTCTTTAAAAAGACAGATGATGTACAAATATTAAAGTGTCTGCTCTTGCCAGATCTCTTGACACGGCTCTTTCCCCAAGTCCTACCTGCTGCTTAAGGAAACCCATTTTAAAGAAGCTTAAGGCCTCTGCCACCCAATCAATAAATACAATCACTTTCTTTTCTGTAATAAGAATTGTAAATTTTAATATTTAAATGCAGTATTTAAAATATAATATTCTTCCTTGAATATCAGGAAGCTGGGGAAAAAATCTGAAGCACAGTTAAGCATGTTGATCACACTGATCAAAATGCTGGTGCTCTTCAATATCTAGTTCCTTGATTTTTTTCTCCTGTTTATATTTTCTTCTTAACAATATCATTGAATGTAATATCTATCTTGCTTCTTCAAATTCTCTCTGAAGAGGGGCAAAATATGAATACGAATAACTTCCATTATAATTGAAACTTGTGCCAGAAATGTCAGTTATGATCCTACCTTCTCAAAGCTCCTTAAAAGGGGGGCAAGTTTAGGCAACCACCTTGGGTTTTAAGTGGCCTTATCCACTATGCAAAAAGATTTTTCTTTTCTTTTTTAAAAATCAGACTAGGGATGGAATCCAGATTCCAAAGTAGCCAAGCATTCAGTTTATAAGATTACTTAACATGAAAAGCTTTTCCAGAATAGAGACCAGTTTGACCAATCAGAATCTCATTTCCAGGAATTAAATTGTGGACCAATGAGAATATCAAGCAGTTGGCAGTAAAAGCTGAAATTAAAAGCAGTCACACAGAAAAGCCTGCAGAGACTTCAGGTGGGGTACATGTGAGCTGAGGTTATAAGTAAACAGGAGTATTAGGAGCAGAAATTATAAAGAAGCAAGGAGCTATTGGAATAGAAAAGATATAGAAAGGTGAGGAACTAAGTGTATATAAGGCAGGGCCATATATAAGGTTGAGTAGGTATTCCTTACACAGGGAATCTGGCTCGGGGGGAGTAGGGAAGGAAATCCAGTGTGTGCTGCTTGATCCAAATTGTGCCCACCCAGGCATGGCTGTGCCAGCCAGAGGAAGATGAACTCAGTAGTGCTGGCCACAGGCATTGAAGGAAAAAAGACTGATTCAGAATGAAGCAAAAAATCTAAAAAAGTGAAGTCCCATAAATGCTACACAGACCTATGCTGGTGAGGTCCCTAGATGTTCCCCAGTTGCTGAATGACCTTCCAGTTCCATACTCCTTGAGACCTGGACCTTCTGTGATTCAGAGACTTCTCATGAGGCCTAGATGTTTGGCTTCATCCCATGGGAACTGGCTGCCTGTGAGCCTTGGCTGAGACTTCTGTTTTCCTTATTCTTAAGTATATGCTTAAAATAAATCACAGAAATGTTTATTGTGAGTTAGCCCTTCCATAGAGTCTACCTAAAACAAACATCAATGTCAAATGGTTTGCCTGCCACTCAGCCTCAATTTTCCTTCATAATGCTTTGGAATAATATGCTGATGTGAACAACCTCCCTTCTGTGCTTACAGTAGTTTCCAGTTGCTGGTGTAACAAAATTACCACAAACTAAGTGACTTACAACAACACATCTATTTACTTCTAGATCTATAGATCAGAAGACTGACACAAGTTTCACCGGGCTAAACTTAAGCTGTTGGAAGGACTGCATTTCTTCTAGAGGCACTAGGGAAGAATGTTTCATTTCATTTTCCAGCAGCTAGAGGCAGTCTGCATTTCTTTGCTCTTGGCCTGCTTTCCTCACGTTCCAAGTCAATCATCACATCACACCAAACTCTCCTCCCCAGCATCAGATCTCCTTCTCTAGTTCTGACTCTCTAGCTTTCCTCTTTCATTCACAAGACCCTTGTGATTACATCGGCCTACCTGGATAATCTGGAATAATCCCCCCATAATCAAGATTCTTAATTTAATCACATCTGCCAAGTCCTTTTTGGTGTGTAAGGTAATATATTCACAAGTTCCAGGGATTAGGATGTGGACATTTTTGAAGGACTATTCTGCCTACCACAAAGATAAAGTAAAGGCCCTTGCCTAATGGACCACTTTTTCAAACTCGTTCATGGGAATGAACAATTCATCTCCTTTCTATAAATAAAAATATCCAGAACAATAAGAGAGAACAAACAACTACACATAAATGTACCTTCTATTGGTTGTCCTCAGTGGAACTAGAGACTCCTAGGTTTGAGATTATTTTTTCTCCCACATTATTTTTAATGAAAAACTTTAAACATACAGAAAAGTTGGAAGAATTATACACTAAACACCTTCATACCAAATGTGTATATTCTATAAACATTTTGCTCTTTTTGCTTTGTCACTCAGCTATCTAGCTATCTATCCTTCTATTCACCAATTGATTCATATTTCTGATACATTTCAAAGTAAATTGCAGATATCCATATACCTCACCCCTAAATAATTCAGTGTACATATTAGTAACTATAGTTCAATATTGGTTTATGATGCTTTTTTGAGATTTATATAGAATGAAATGCACAACCCATAATATTTGAGATATCCATGCACCTGTGCAAACCAAACCCCTACCAAAATACAGAACATTGTTATTGCCCAGAAAGTTTCTTCATGTACCTTCTCAGTCTATCCCTGCCCACACTCACTTCCAGAAGCAATGACTATTCCGATGTTTCTTTACTACCATAAATGTGGGTTGTTGAGTTTTGAAATTACTGTATTTATATCAAGAATCGGTAGAATGAGGTCCTAACACTCAATTACCAATTTGGTTCTGGTTTGCTTCTGTAGCTTGTTGCTTCTCTGTTGCACTGACAACATTTCCTGTGGCCATTTGCTAATCAGATGTCACCTGGGACATTCTGCCGGAAACTACATGAATAAAAATTATTTGACGCAAAAAGACAAAAACATAAAACAATAGTAGTTTAAAGTTTAATTAACTGATATGGACCAAAAAAAGAGTATGAGCCTATCTGCAGGGTTTTTTTGGGGGGTAAAACAGAGGAAGAAAAAAACTACCATCACTAAGGTTTAAAATCTGGTTTTCTCAATTACACCCTGAGTTCTTATTCAACATACAAGTTAATCCTGTGTGGCTGAGAACACAGTTGGAGAAGTTAGCAAAATATACTTTGGAGTCAGATAAGGTTGTATTTTAGGTTTAGTAGCTGCTGATTTTGGTATTTCATGTAATCTTTCAGAGACCGCTTCTATATCCATAAAATGGAGAAGATAATATGTATTTCTTAGTTTGAGAATTTGAGATAAAAATATCAAGCACCTGGCAAAATATCTAGCTCATTGTGGTACTCAATACATTGTTGATATTAACATTCTACTACATCATATTACATCATAGTAGTATCGGTATCATATTATTGTGCTTATTAAAATTAATTTGGCCAATGGAGAAAGAAAAACAAATTTTTAAACCCAGGAAATTCTGGACAACTCAGTTCTAATTTGTTTTCGTTCAAGAAAGTTTTTTGTTAAATTGGGACCACGAAGTAATTTTCAAAGTCTCTGGACTATAAATGTGAAAAGAAAGACTAAAATTTCAAGAGGGTGACATAGGAGGAAAAAAGGCTAACATTTGCTGGTTGATTTCCTGCAGGTTCTCCCAGGTCCTAGAGTTATTTTTCTGGACAAGTATTTTTGTTCTCTAGGAAATGGCAAGGAACAAAGCCATAGATTAAATTATCTAAGAAAAACTTGCTAAAGGAAATGTGATGTTCTAATTATGAGGTCTGATGATCTGGAGAGCTTAAGTTGTAATGTTCAAACCTGGGCTTCCTTTCTCTTCATTTATTTTTAGGAGAAAAACAAATCAACCCTTAGGAAGGAGAATCCATGACAAACATCAGTTGCATTACCTAATCAGGGGTCCAGTCCAAACGATTGGTTTCCTACCATTTTTAGCAAAAGATCTGCATCCCAGTCTCAGTGCTATAACCAAATAACTATGGAATCAAAGAAGTCTCTCAGATTTTCCCACCAGTTTCCATTCCTGTCAAAAGGAATAGTTTTTGCACTGAAAACTATCATTTGCATCAATTTATAGATAGCAGATCTTTTTTGATACCCTATACCACATACCCTCAGGCCACCTCTGTGCACCCTAATGGCATCCCACCTCAAGACCAAGCTGTCTCTTTCCACGTTTTCATCCCAGGTCACAGTCATCAAATGACCCAGACTGCAGGTGTTTAGTTGGACAATTCTGGAAGGCATCCTATTCTTGGAAGTCCTATGAGAATCAAGTTCTAGTGCCTGTAGTGGTGACCTTGCTGCATCCTTACCTGAACTTGTCTTTCTTTCCTATCTCACTCTCCTTGTTTTCTCACTTTCACTTTCTAGGATTACCTCCCAAGTAAACTATCTATACTGAATTTTTGTCTCAGTCTCTGCTTTAGGTATGACCCAACAGAAGACAATATATTTTTCTCCCTATCTATTCTGCTGGCACCCTGGTCCATGTCACCATTATCTCTTCCTTAGAATATTGCAATGACCTCTCAACAGATTTGCTTCTTTGACCTCAAATTGATTCTCTACACAGCATTCAAAATGACCTTTAAGTCATATCATATCACTGTTCTGCTTAAAACCCTTAATGGTTTCCTTCTACACCTAGAAGAAAACCCAAATTTCTTGCCACGGCCTATAAAATTTTTGATGTTCTAGTCCCAACCCAAACCTCCAACTTTACCTCGTACTGCTCTCCATCTCTGACTGTGTTCCCACTATAACCTTCTTTTTTCCATGAACATACCAAAACTATTTACACTTCAGTGCCTTTATGCTTCCTCTTATTCCTTTGCCTAGAATCCTCATCTTCCAAATATTTGAATGGTAAGTTCTTGACATGACTGGCTCTTTCACAATTTTCACATCCCAGCTAAAACTTCTCCAATTCAGAGAGGACTCTCCAACCACCTTAAGTTAAGCACTCATCAATCCTATGAATTTCCTCCATGTATCTTATAATGACACACATTATTTTATTTGTGTTTACTTGTTGATTTTTTGTCTCTTCTCACCAGGACAAACATTTGCTAAGGGCAAAGATCTCATTTTTCACCACACCCTCCAGCACACTGTTTGACACAATAAATGTCTTACGAGTAAAAAATTAAAACCCTAAAAGAAAACCTAGGCAATACCATTCAGGACATAGGCATGGGCAAGGACTTCACATCTAAAACACCAAAAGCAATGGCAACAAAAGCCAAAATTGACAAATGGGATCTAATTAAACTAAAGAGCTTCTGCACAGCAAAGGAAACTACCATCAGAGTGAATAGGCAACCTACAGAATGGGAGAAAATTTTTGCAACCTACTCATCTAACAAAGGGCTAATATCCAGAATCTACAATGAACTCAAACAAATTTACAAGAAAAAAACAAACAACCCCATCAAAAAGTGGACAAAGGATATGAACAGACACTTCTCAAAAGAAGACATTTATGCAGTCAAAAAACATACGAAAAAGTGCTCATCATCACTGGCCATCAGAGAAATGCTAATCAAAACCACAATGAGATACCATCTCTCACACCAGTTAGAATGGCGATCATTAAAAAGTCAGGAAACAACAGGTGCTGGAGAGGATGTGGAGAAATAGGAACACTTTTACATGGTTGGTGGGAGTGTAAACTAGTTCAACCATTGTGGAGGGCAGTGTGGCGATTCCTCAGGGATCTAGAACAAGAAATACCATTCGACCCAGCCATCCCATTACTGGGTATATACCCAAAGGATTATAAATCATGCTGCTATAAAGACACATGCACATGTATGTTTATTGTGGCACTATTCACAATAGCAAAGACTTGGAACCAATCCAAATGTCCAACAACAACAGACTGGATTAAGAAAATGTGGCACATATACACCATGGAATACTATGCAGCCATAAAAAAGGATGAGTTCATGTCCTTTGTAGGGACATGGATGAAGCTGGAAACCATCATTCTCAGCAAACTATCGCAAGGACAAAAAACCAAACACTGCATGTTCTCACTTATAGGTGGGAATTGAACAGTGAGAACATATGGACACAGGAAGGGGAACATCACACACCGGGGACTGTTGTGAGGTGGGGGGAGAGGGGAGGGATAGCATTCGGAGATATACCTAATGCTAAATGACGAGTTAATGGGTGCAGCACACCAACATGGCACATGTATACATATGTAACAAACCTGCACATTGTGCACATATACCCTAAACCTTAAAGTATAATAATAATAAAATATAATTAAAAAAAGAAATTGGAATATAAAATTTACAAAAGGGCCTGGTGCTGTGGCTTATGCCTGTAATCCCAGCACCTTAGGGGGCCAAGATGAAAGGATAGAGGTTTATTTGAGGCCAGGAGTTCAAGACCAACCTGGGAAACATAGAGAGACTCTATCCCTTCAAAAAAAAATGTAAAAAGAAATTATCCAGGTGTGATGGTGTGCACCTGTAGTCCTAGCTACTCAAGAGACTGAGGAGGAAGGATTCTTTATGTCCAGGAGTTGGAGGCTTCAGTGAGCTATGATTGTACCACTGCACTCCAGCCTAAGTGATGGAGCCAGACTCTGTCTCTTAAAAAAAAAAAAAAAAGGAAATTCCCTCTCCTAAATAAACAAAAAACATAAACACAAAAGCATTCCCTCTCCTAAATAAAGATATGATTTTAAAACAATATTTTATATAATAAATCTAAATTAAAATGTTCCATTTTCAATCATGCTAGCAATAGTACGATAATTCTTTGTAAATAGGTATGAATCTGCACAGCAATTTGGTAATATGTATCAACAATAATAAAAAATGTTCACACCCTTTGACATAGTCATATGTATTACATTTAAAAATTTATTGTAAGGAAATGATATAAATAAATACATGGAAAATGTCTATGCAAAAGGAAGTTTACTGAGGCTATATTTGCATAGTGCGTATTGAGAGAAGACAAATAAATTATACTATATTCACTTGTATAAATAGGGATTAAAAACAATGATTATGTAAGCAAAGTAGCAGCATGCAAAAATAACCATGCTATAAAATTAAATTGAAAAGGATACAAAAATGCATGTGTATGATTGCAAATTTTTTTAAATATGAAAAATAAAATACATAAATATAGTAACAAAGAAGTGATTGGATTTAAATTGCTTTTTAAAGTTTATTTTCTAAATGTTTTGTGTTTTTTTACTACCATAATAAAAATAAATATCTGCTCTGCTTATCTGAAAAGGTTGTTGTAAAAGTAAAATTACAGTTGATTCATTCATTCTTCAAACATTCAGATCCTGACATATGCCAAAAACATTTAAATCCTGCAGGTTTAATAAGGCCATATTTGTCTTTAAAACCATACATTGAGGAGGCAGAGAGAGATGAATACAGCTAATTGCAAGGCAAAGTAGGAAGTGGTAAGTACTGCAAGGGACAAACAAAATACAATACCTTTCTCTCAGTTATCCATCTGTATGAGAAATCGATGATTTCTAGTTCCCCATAATAGGATTTGGTTGTTTTCAATGTGCTGTTAGCGTCGCAAGCTGTATTAGAGTACTCTGTTACGTGCCACCAAGTTCAGAAGACCAATGCAGATGTTTTTAGTCAGGTGGCTCTTTTGATGCCTCTTCCCTAAGCAATGACTTAGGCATCAAGCGCTTTCCAATTGATGATGCTGACATCTTCCAAGTTCTCCTGAGAAAGGTACCATAACTAGGGGAAGGTATGCCAGATACACAACCACTTTTGCCTAAAATGCTATATCAATCCATTTCAATTACTAGAATGAGTCACTTGCTCCCATGCCTAAAGCAAGGGTCTGGAAACTGTAGTGCCCAACTGACTAGCCAATTCCCAGCACAACTACTCTACGCCATGGAAGGGTAGGGGCCACTTCCATGGCAGGCAGCGAGTATAGGAGCCAATGTGAGAGTGAACTCAAGTTCAAGTCTCTGCTGTCAAAAAAAAATCAAGGCATACATAAGGAAAGACTTTATTCTAAAGAATTATTACAAGAGCAAGCAATGGGGTTATAGCTGTAGGGAGAAGGCACTGACCATGAGATCTGCAAGTATTTCGAAGTTAAGCAGAAAAGGGCTTTCCTTTAATAGGGAAGAGTGAACAATGTTAGAAAGAACCAGTGAAGGGAAGTGGCAACAGGTTGAATGGGTGATGAGACAGTAGACAAGAGCATGTTTACACTGAGGCCAGCCTACTCTCAGGAGGGGCTGTTTAGGGAGGGTTAGATGCTGGCTCAGGTTGAGGGTGGGCTGAAGTTCAAGATCCTTGAGGAAGGAGAGAAACTCAGTTCACTTAAGCATTTTGTTCTGATTGATCAGTGGGGACAAAACTATTCAGCTAACCATTTATGAGGTAAAGAGTGGGAATTTGGAGGACCTATGTCCGGCCTTAATCTCAGATAAACATGGGGCATCCATGAGTCTTACCTAAGTCCTATGAAAAAGGTTGGCTTTTTTTTTTTTTTTTCAGTAAGCCACTTTCTGAAATACAAAATGTTAGGAGGACTTCTTAATAATTGCTGTTTTCCAGGATCCTAGGGCTCAGGTCAAATTTAACATTGTCACTGCTCTCTTAATTTCAGTCTTAGTTCGTTCAGGTTACCATAACAAAATACCATAGGTCAGGTGGCTTATAAACAGTAGAAATTTGTTTCTCACAGTTCTGGAGACTGGAACGTCCAAGATCAGGGTGCTGACAGATTTGTTGTCTGATGAGGGTCTGGTTCCTGTCTTATTGTTGCATCCTGACATAGAGGAAAGAGTAAGGGACCTCTCTGAGGCCTCTCTTATGAGGTTACTAATCCCATTAATGAGGGTTCTATCCTTATGAACTAATCACCTCCTAAAGTCTCACCTTTGAATACTCTCACATTGGGAGTTAGATTCAACATATGAATTGTGAGGGACACATTCAGACAATAACACTAGTAGGTACTTTTGTGGCCAAAAACTTCTAAATTTTCACCAAATTAATTGTGTCTTTCTCCTGGATATAAACTAGTTTACATTTCCCAGCTATAAGACAAATTGTAGACAATGGAATGTGAGTGGAAGTGATATGTGCCATTTCTAGGACTGGCCCATAAAGTCTTCTCATATGTGAGCATTTATCCTTTCTCTCCAAGCCAGGAAGCTTGGAAGCCACTTGTTAAAGATGGCAGAGCCACAGGATGGAAAGATCCAAAGTCTTTAAATCCCCACAGTGCCTGCTTATCAGAAACACTTATCGAGACTTTACATACATGAGAAATAAGTTTCAATTCCGTTAAGCCACTGAGATTATGTTTTGTTTGTTTTGTTTTGTTGTTATAGAAGCTAACATTCCTTAATCTTTCAAAAGCCTGAAAGGTTTTGGTTTAAATATTTGCCAAAAACTTCTTAGCATCACATCCGGTCCATAGCAAGCCCTCAATAAATGTTAGCTATCATTATAAATATCATTCTATATTAGGACAGAAGGCTTGCCTGAAGAAATGGCATTTGAGTTATGCCTTGACATACTTGCAGGAATTCAACTGGCAAGAGGTCTAAGGGACAGCATTTCAAATGGGATTTATGATGTAGAGAGAAGAAAAAGTTCAGGAAATGAGACTGGTCCAGTGTCACTGGGCAGCTGGGAAGCTAGAGAGAACCAATGGAGGATATGATAGGAAAGTTGATTGCTGCCCAATACTGGAGAGTCTTGAATTAAAACTGAGGCTTGACTGACATTCAAGCATAAGGAAAAAAAGTATTAATATGCATATTAAGGATCCTGAGTGATTTTTCCAACTTTTTTTCTAAATGAAACAAAACAAAACAAAAAAACAAAGAAACCTACTGACTTTCTGAAAATCACTGACTTCAGGAAGAAAGCTTAGACTGTCCCAAAGTCCAATAAATGATGGTGAAGCAGGTAGGGGAAATGATAATAGTGAAAGCACTTTATCTTAAGAAACTAAGGCACTATTAGCAGCAGCAGCTTGGACAATGGCTTTTTATTTTGATCCCAGAATTCTTTGAGAATGATGGAAACTAAGGATCCCTTTGTTTAAACAAACAAAAAAACAAAGCACATATAAATACTAAGTCCTCAGAGTCCATCTGGGCCCCAGGTTAGGGACCTCTAAGTCAGAAGATTTTAAAAGAAGAGAAGAAAGGCAACCTGGATTATGCTCAGTGAGGTGTCTGGCTGAAACCTGACAACTGAATATGTCCTTCTATCCCATGGTGGCAAAGGCATCATGCCGCTGGCAAGCTAACACGCTGATGGTGACAGGAAAAGCATGACTTTGCTGCAAGGACCATGGTGTGATTTCCAGCACTACGATCCACAGCACAGCATTGGGCAAGTTAATGTAATGATCAAATTAAGTTTCTTCATCTGTAAAATAAAGTTGTTAATATCTGCAGAAGACATATATAAAATTGCCTTCTAAAATTCTAAATAGTTAATTCCTATATAAATTAATGCAGCTTATTTGTTCAATAATGCAGAGTTTTCTACTTTGCTCCCTCAGAGGCTAAATTATTACCTCTGTTTCTCATTCCCTGAATGAAGTATGTATTGAGTGACTAACCTGAGCCAAATGATGCCCTAGGTGCTGGGGATACAATGGCAATGGAGACACTCTCAGCCCTCAAGAGCACCACATGCTAGTGTTTTGTTCTCCTCTGAATTTAATCCTATCTTCTCAGGTTAGGTTCTCCCAGAAACATACCCTGAAACAAGAATTCAAGTGTAAGCAGTTTATTTGGGAGGTACAGGAAATATCAGTAAGGGAGGGGAGTGGCATAACAGAGGAAGAAAGGCAGCAAATACATGATGCATTATCATTACAGCTACCACTGTAGACAGACTGGAGCTCCATCCCATGAGAAACCTCTGGGAAACTGTAAAACACACATTTCAGGTTAATCCCACCTGAGCACCAAGGGAGCTGAGGTTTTTATACACAGCTTTCCCGAGGTGTTAATTCCCAGCACTCCTAGCCTATCTTGCCAAGAGACCTTCTCCAGCTTCTGTGAAAGCCCTTGGAGGGAGAGATGTAGATGTTGACAGTTAGAATTCAACTGAAGATTATTAAAGTAGAAAGACCCAAGGGATATAAAGAGAGAACAGGCAGCATCTGCCCTATGTCCTAAAATAGTGAATCCCTTACTCCTTAGCTTTGGGTGGTTTCAGACTTTCCTGAGCCTCATCTGAATTGGTAAAGGAGATCCTTAGCTAGAAGACTAGCCTAGGGAAACTGCAGGCTCCATTCCAATGATCATCTGTTATAGAGGTTCTGCAAACATTTTCCTTCACAAAGTCCATGGAGTTGTTTAATCCACAAGGTTTTGTGCATAGGAGAAAGCATGAAAGGAAGAGACAAACCACAAATATGATAGCCATTATGTATGAAGCCCTTATTAAGAGTCAAGTGTTAGGTTAATTGCTTTATGTGCTCTATTATCCTTCAACAACACTACAAGTTAGGTCTTACTATTTCCATGATGAAGCAAAGAAACTAAGGTTTAAAAGGATTACATGAAGGACTAGGATTTGAACCTAGTCAGTTATAATACATAGAAGACATTCTTAAGTATCATGTTAGGTTGTGCTGTGTTGGAAGAAGTAAGTTTGGGTCTCTCAATAAGCCATGTTCTTCTCCTATGGTGCTAGTGAAGAAATACAGGCTGTCCTCCTATGGATGTCAATTTTAGGAAAACAAAGATATGAAATCCAGGAACAACAAAGAGTCCTGGATCTGCAAAATGTGAAGGAACACCAGGGCTCCTTCTTACAGTAGACAGTTCTCCAGGAAGAAGGCCTTTCTGTTCAAACCTGGCCCCTACTTCTTCAGTTTCAACAACCCAGACATCTCAGGAGCCTGGAACATTCTTCTGCTAGCCAGGAAGGGGTAAGTAAACCAGTAGTGTTATCTGCATTCCTAGGAAAGGACGAGTGCCAAGTAATGTTTTTTTAAAGGTAGCCATTTGCCTCAGCAAGCCCAGCATCATCCAGCAAAGTCTAATTCCTTCTTATTCACCTTTCTTCCTCCCTCCACTCCTCAGGTGAATGCCTAATAAGTATTCCTCCCAGGCTGAGTTAAGGCACCCATTACAGGCCCTTCCCATAATCCAAAGGGGATTGGCATTTTCCTCAAACAAATAGAAGGGGGGCAGTAATAGGTATTGAGAACCACCTATGAGCCAAGCCTTTTCGTATCAGCTTCATATTGTCTTATCCTCTCTGTGCAACAGTCCAATGAGGTTCTATTATTCCCATTTTTCAGATGAGGCAGATGAGCTTTTGCTGAACATGAAAGTTTGAGTTTGCTTGTTCCTTGAAGTTTTTCTAAGACTTCTCACAAAATATCCATTCAAGAAGGCCATGAATATAGCTGTGAAGACCACTCCCTCTAGGCCAGTAAAGAACTCTCTGGCTTTTGGGGAAAAGAAATAAGAATGGACAATATTCCAGATAAAAACATAAACCTCATAAACTCCTTCTGTGGATGAAAGTAGCTCAGAGATTGAAGTCCTGGCTGTGTAACTTTCTAGGTTAATTGCTTTGATTTTAGGCAGGCACATTTAGGTAGTTTCATCTGAGTGTCTCCCTTAGAGAGAGTGTGTGCTTATATTGTTAATCAACTTCGTATTACGTTAGAGCCTCATCTAATTTCCTTAAGAACATGCAGTGAGAAGATAGTAGCAGAGGGGAGCCTGGGGAGATTGTGCCCCATGAGGAGTCCTAAATGGTGCTTTCTATGAGCCTAGAATACAAAGAGAAACTGGGGAGTCCTCCTTGCTCCCTAGAGGCTCCCTGCCTCTTCCCAGGAACAGCATTAAGACTCATGTCCCACAGTGGTAGAAAGGGCAGCCTAGTTTCAGATGATTGCTCACAGCAGCCACTTCCCTTCAATAAACTCTGCTGCAAATGCATACATCTTTGATGCCTCACTACCACCTGACACTGAAATGAAAAATGTGTCCCTCTCTTGCTTCCTGCCTTTTATTTCCGGATAGAAATATATAAGACCCTTTTGTTGCCTATCAGAGTGCCTAATACATAATTAATGCCCAGTATCAGACAGATGGATAAATGGTTGGATTAAGGAATGCATGACATTTTTTAAATGAATGAGTGAATGAAAAACTAAGCTCTCTTCAAAACAGGCATAAAGCACTGAGTCAAAGACTGTATCCTATGTTCTCTCTGCATCAAGGAATGGCCCACAGATGTTTCTAGATTATTTCAGTTGGCTGAACAAATTCAGAATGGCAATACTTGTCATGATTCAGGCAGCATTGTGAAACTAGATTAAACAGACTGAGCTATAAAGGAAAATGTCAGTCTACATAGAGGGAAGGTCTCAGATGTTTGCTTATGACTCTCATACCGTGAAGTAATTGATTATGGTTTCTCTGTCATTTTTTCCTAACTCACTTGCCCACATAAACCCCTTCCAATAATTCCTGGGAACTCTAAAAGTAAGGAATCAGCATGCTAATTAAGTTAGATAACCATCAAATTCATAAGAAATACATTTACAGACTGGCTTTTCCAAGACCATCATTCTAAATAGTGGCACATAGCAGTTTGGTACAAAAAATCCACCAAACCATGATCCCAAAGATTTGGGTTACATGCTACCATTCATTCCTTTTTGTACCTTGGAGTCTAAAAGTTTTAATACTTCCAAGTCCTAAAAAGGCTAAGGTTTTCTCACCATAGTGTTGCCAGAAAGAAAAGCAACCTTCTGTTGCTCTTGGCTTCAAATTTATAGTATGTCACAGCTGAAAGAGACCTTAGAGATGATCCAATCTAGCATCTAGATTGTTGCTAGTTAATACAAAAACTGTTTTGCCTTCTTCCTTTTCTTTGCAGAATAGAAGGCTCATGTTTCCCCACATCTCAAAGAAAGGTTTGAGAATTAAGCCTGTACTAACCGCTGAGAACAGAACAAGTTGTTGAGTTATAATGGTCCTGGGCCTGAGTTAAATAAGTTATCAAGCTTTATTGGGCAAGGAGGAGGAAGGTCCTAAGCAAGTTTTCATAGCAGGATAGGTCAGCTATATAGGAAGAGCCTGGCAAGTGGAACTCATCAAGTTCACTGCATTGTCCAAATGCCCAGGAACTACCTAGGAACCGATCTGTCATCCCCAACTACCAAGCTTCCACATAGTGGTGAATATTTTATCACCCAGGTCGAGGGGCCTTTGCCAACTGTGCCTCCCCATGAACACCCACTGAGGACTTAACTTTGTCAGTATGCGTCACTTCCACAAAGATTTGTGATCAGGAGTGACATGTGATATCACATACAACAGTCGGCTTCTGATAACTTCCTGCAGACACCCCTCAAAACACAGCAAGAACCTGGGAACCCCAAAGAAGGGGAGGAACCCTACAATTGGAGGGGCTGAAATGAAAATCTTAAGACTGTGAGAGATGTGAAAAGTGTTTCTTCAGTAATATTTTACTTTAGATATGAGAAAATGAAAATTCACAGAGGGTTTGTGATTTTTCCCAGTCACAGAATAAGTAAAGACAGAGCCAAATCTAGAATCCAAGTTGCCTGGGTTCGTGGTCAGACATGAATAATATGCCTACAATTGCTATAACTTATAGTGCCTATCCTAAAATATTTTTAATAAGCACAACCTAAAAAGGTCAGGATAGGCAACCTCAAAATTTGTTGAAGTGAATTCCTGATTGACAGACTCCCTGCAATCATTTGACTCTCTCACATGGAACCCTAGACAAACCTTTCCCTTCACCCTCTCCAGCAGCCAGATTTCTTGGGTCTCTTGGTCTTTAGTCTTAAACTCCACGAACAGATCCAGCCTGCTTCTCCTATTATCTCCCTGAGGTGGTGACACCTGCTTATTTGTAAATCTGAAATAGGGACCTGCATTTCAAAGGCCATCCTTACCCAAACAGGGAGCCCCCTCTCCTCTTAGGCACTTTTGTATTTTGTGATGTCTGCTCCTTTTCCTATTTTTTTTTTTCTTCTTGATGGGTCTGAATTGTTTGCTCTAATTTCTCCTCCAGGTAGCCTCATTCTTGGTCTTTCCAAGAACATGATCCTTTCTTTCATCCCTTATCTTTAATTTTCTGATATGGGTTTGGTAACTGCTCTCTCCTTTGGTAACTATCAATTAACAAAATAATACCATTCATTCACAGATCTTCTCATGGCAAAAAAAAAAACAAAAAAAAAAACATGCAGAGAAGAGCCCTCAGGAGTCAAAGGCCAAACCAGCACCTTTTTTCTAAGCTTGGTAGATGGACAGGAGTACAGGCCAGTAATAAACTTCGGTCATTGTAGTTAATGTCATGGATCTTCCCTACTTGAAGGGCAGGTGGTTGATGTTTTTCTAGTACTCCTGGCAGAGCTATATTGAACTTCCTATGTTCTTTTTCTCTAAGATCTTTATAAAACCAAGAACATATTGTGGCAGGGTAGCAAAGATCATAGAGTATGGTCATAGAGAAGAGTGGCCTCACTGTTCCAGAAAGGGAACAAACCTATGGCTTTGGAAGGCAAAGAAAGTTGACATTTACTGTGAATCTAGATTCTGTACTAAGTGTCATCACCTGCGTTGTTTTATTCTCACAGCGACCTATAGTAGGGGTGGTATTATTCCCACCCTCATTCTTTTCAGATTCATAAACAGAAGATCAAAAAAAAAGTTTATGTATCCACTCAATATATTCATATTGAAGTATCCTTGATGGGGCAGGCATTAGGGATGCAATAACGACACAACAGCCACTGTCACTCTTTCATGGGTTTTGCAGCCTGTTCTCTACCAAGTAAACAGACAAGAAACAAGCCAAATAAAAAATAATTACAAATTATTTCTGCAAAAAAATAAATATCATAGAGTCAAAATAACCTAAGAATGCATGGTTTACAAACAGTAGAGGGATTTTTCCAACCCACATGTTTCTGACCCAGAGCCTGAGTTCTGTCCTTCTCAGCATCTTGTTCTTTAATCGAAGAAACTGATTTAAGAATCACCAAATTATACGTTATCATGAAAATAAGGAGAGGATGGGAGATGGTGGAATATCTGCTTTGACCTAAAACCTAGCAGGCTATTTAATTATAAGGTTTTCTGTATATGCCAGTGAAAAATCCCTGCAGGTTTTAGTTTAGTCTACTTTTCCTTTCTGTCACTCAAGTGTCTGCTGAGGCAACTCTTCAAGGTTTAAAGGAAATGGACTCAAGACTTGGGTCACAGATCTTGTGGAAAGTGGAGCATCTTCTCTGAAATAAATGTCTGCTGTTTTTTAACCTTGGTCTCAATTTCACTTTCCCTCCTGTGACTGGTCTACTCACATCTTTTTGTTCCAGGTGTGCCCAGACTGGGAACTTAGTCCCCTTTCCTTAATTTTACTCGAAATCTATCCTATGATGGTTTGTATATTGCACAGAACTTAAGGGCCAATGCTGGCTGTTTACATTGTGAGAGAGATAGGGAGGACAAGGGGGAGTTAAAATTGGACATTAGATTCCTCAGTCCTTAGATGCCTTTGTGCTTCTGTTAGCCACTATGTTCATCTTATCCTCCCATCAAATTGCCAGATTTCCCCTCTCCTTCACTTCTGTCCTTTCGCAAATTCCTGTTTATATCTTAGGAAAAATATTATGTAAGGGCCTTTTCCTTCATCATACAATTGCCTTCTTAGTCATTTCCCCTAGGCTTCATGTTCATCTTCTACATCTTAAGTGTCTTATCAGGGCACTAGCCTAAATTGATATTGTTCTTTCCCTAAGAAAAACTTTGCTGCCAGCTCTTTAAACAATGCTATTTTTCACCCTGCTACACTTGTTTGGACACCCAAAATATACCACCAAATGAAAAAAAAGAATGCAGCAACAGAATTTAAAATGACTTTGTATTTAAAGAGTACAAGAAAAGGAAAAACAAAGTCACAGCTGACTCAACCCAACATTTTGATACTCAAGCACTGTGTAAGTCAGTGAAGGAACCTAATTAAAAGATTGCCTCCTTCTCCCAGACAGGTGTCAAAGCTCACAATCACATTGGAGAAAAAGCAAATGGCAGGACAAAGGACATTCACATCGCCACACCTTTTCACCAGTGTCATTTCACCCTTGTCCCTGGGGAGCAGCAGCAGCTGAAAACCTGTCCACAGCCTGGCACTGTCCTCTGAGGGCCACTTGAGAAGGGAAAGCAGCAGGCACTGAAGGGCTTCTCAGCATCATCCCTTCATAAAAATTGACTTCTCATTGCTCCCCCAATTCTTTGGATCAATTGTGCAGACTGAGCTGCTTAGCTGTGGATTTTGGCAACTTATTGCACGTTTCACATCATCCACTGGGCAAACACATTAACCATCTCTTCTGCTTCAGTTCACCTGATAAGTTAGCAGGCATGTCATGTGTAAATAAGCCAAGGCATAACCTCAGAAAGGACAAGAGCCTCTCATAACATGGGTCATTGAAAATACTACTTGGCTGCAGCTATCTGGCTCAAATTCAGCATTAAAAGCCTATGTCTCATTGGATATCTCATTGCCTTGTGGAACACAGAGAAATTAACTGGGATTCTTAAATACATCACACATGTTTCCCCAGGTAGTTTTGTAAAGTGATTAAGAACACAGACCCTAGAATCAGACTGCATAGGTAAGGACCCTATCTTTGCCATATAACGCCTAAATGACCATAGACAACTGAACTCTACACACTCTATTTTCTCTTCTGCAATTACAGTGTGAAATTATAGTAGCTACTTCATAGAGTTGTAATACACATACCATACCTAGAAAAGTGGTACAAGTACTAATAAATATGAGTGATTAGCAAAACATGAATAAGCAGATTCCCACCAGCTCAGGAATAGAAGATCTAAACTCCACATACCAGTTTCTAATTGAGCTAATGTGAGACCAAGGTAGGCAGCAGCATGCCTGGAACATTCAAAGCGACAAGATAAATGTAATTCATCTTCCCAAAATATCAGTTTGACTCCTAAGAAGTAATTTAAAGGAATGAACTCATCTATCTGTATTAGTATGTATAGATCTCAAAAAAGTCATTTTTGGGTGAAGGCAAGATACAAAATTATGTATAATATAATATTTATTTTTGAAACACAAAACACTATATCTGTTTTAGTTCTGGCTGTTATAACAGAATACCACAGACTGACATAAACAGTAAAAATTTATTTCTCACAGTTCTAGGGGCTGGGAGTCTGAGGTCAAGTTGCCAACATAATCAGGCTCTGGTGACTTCCCTCTTCCAGGTTGTAGACCCTAGTTCCTTGAATTCTCACGTGGGAGAAATGGGGCTGCAGTGCTCTCTAGGTCTCTTTTAAAAGGGCACTAATGTCATTAATCAGGGTTCCACTCTCATGACTTAAATTATCTCCCAAAGGCCCTACCTTCTAATACTATCATTTTGAAAGTTAGGATTTCAAGACAAGAATTTGGGGATGGGGAGCTGGGAGACAACAAATGTTAAGTCCATAACAGTATCTTTTCCCAGCACAAATAAATGAATGCAAATCTGTAAGGAAAAACCACAAGTAAATAGTAGTAATTACTTGTGGGAAGTCAAGTGAAGACTGGGATTACAGATGGCAGTCAAGGGAGACTGTAACCATATCTATCATCTTCCAAAGGTGTTCAAGCTGGGAGGATAGATTGGTAAATCACTTGTATAATTAACTTTTTTCTTTTCAAAGTAATTTAAAACATTATTTTACATTTTGGCATGTTTCTGCAGTGGCTGGTACCAGTTGTTCCTTTCCATGTTTAGTGCTTCTTCCAGGAGCTCTTTTAGGGCAGGCCTGATGGTGACAAAATCTCTCAGCATTTGCTTGTCTGTAAAGTATTTTATTTCTCCTTCACTTATGAAGCTTAGTTTGGCTGGCTATGAAATTCTGGGTTGAAAATTCTTTTCTTTAAGAATGTTGAATATTGGCCCCCACTCTCTTTTGGCTTGTAGAGTTTCTGCCGAGAGATCCGCTGTTAGTCTGATGGGCTTCCCTTTGTGGGTAACCCGACCTTTCTCTCTGGCTGCCCTTAACATTTTTTCCTTCATTTCAACTTTGGTGAATCTGACAATTATGTGTCTTGGACTTGCTCTTCTTGAGGAGTATCTTTGTGGCATTCTCTGTATTTCCTGAATCTGAATGTTGACCTGCCTTGCTAGATTGGGGAAGTTCTCCTGGATAATATCCTGCTGAGTGTTTTCCAACTTGGTTCCATTCTCCCCGTCACTTTCAGGTACACCAATCAGACGTAGATTTGGTCTTATCACATAGTTCCATATTTCTTGGAGGCTTTGTTCGTTTCTTTTTATTCTTTTTTCTCTAAACTTCCCTTTTCCCTTCATTTCATTCATTTCATCTTCCATCGCTGATACCCTTTCTTCCAGTTGATCGCATCGGCTCCTGAGGCTTCTGCATTCTTCGCGTAGTTCTCGAGCCTTGGCTTTCAGCTCCATCGGCTCCTTTAAGGACTTCTCCGCATTGGTTATTATAGTTATCCATTCGCCTAATTTTTTTTTAAAGTTTTTAACTTCTTTGCCATTGGTTTGAATTTCCTCCTGTAGCTTTGAGTAGTTTGATCATCTGAAGCCTTCTTCTCTCAACTCGTCAAGGTCATTCTCCATCCAGCTTTGTTCCATTGCTGGTGAGGAGCTGCATTCCTTTGGAAGAAACTGCATCAACTAAGGAGCAAAATAACCAGCTAACATCATAATGACAGGATCAAATTCACACATAACAATATTAACTTTAAATGTAAATGGACTAAATGCTCCAATTAAAAGACACAGACTGGCAAATTGGATAAAGAGTCAAGACCCATCAGTGTGCTGTATTCAGGAAACCCATCTCATGTGCAGAGACACACATAGGCTCAAAATAAAGGGATGGAGGAAGATCTACCAAGCAAATGGAAAACAAAAAAAGGCAGGGGTTGCAATCCTAGTCTCTGATAAAACAGACTTTAAACCAACAAAGATCAAAAGAGACAAAGAAGGCCATTACATAATGGTAAAGGGATTAATTCAACAAGAAGAGCTAACTATCCTAAATATATATGCCCCCAATACAGGAGCACCCAGATTCATAAAGCAAGGCCTTAATGACCTACAAGGAGACTTAGACTCCCACACAATAATCATGGGAGACTTTAACACCCCACTGTCAACATTAGACAGATCAACGAGACAGAAAGTTAACAAGGATACCCAGGAATTAAACTCAGCTCTGCACCAAGCGGACCTAATAGACATCTACAGAACTCTCCACCCCAAATCAACAGAATATACATTTTTTTCAGCACCACATCAAACCTATTCCAAAATTGACAACATAGTTGGAAGTAAAGCACTCCTCAGCAAATGTAAAAGAACAGAAATTATAACAAACTGTCTCTCAGACCACACTGCAATCAAACTAGAACTCAGGATTAAGAAACTCACTCAAAACCGCTCAACTACGTGGAAACTGAACAACCTGCTCCTGAATGACTACTGGGTACATAAAGAAATGAAGGCAGAAATAAAGATGTTCTTTGAAACCAATGAGAACAAAGACACAACGTATCAGAATCTCTGGGACACATTCAAAGCAGTGTGTAGAGGGAAATTTATAGCACTAAAAACCCACAAGAGAAAGCAGGAAAGATCCAAAATTGACACCCTAACATCACAATTAAAAGAACTAGAAAAGCAAGAGCAAACACATTCAAAAGCTAGCAGAAGGCAAGAAATAACTAAAATCAGAGCAGAACTGAAGGAAATAGAGACACAAAAAACCCTTCAAAAAACTAATGAATCCAGGAGCTGGTTTTCTAAAAAGATTAACAAAACTGATAGACCGCTAAGCAAGATTAATAAAGAAGAAAAGAGAGAAGAATCAAATAGATGCAATAAAAAATGATAAAGGGGATATCACCACCGATCCCACAGAAATGCAAACTACCTTCAGAGAATACTACAAACACCTCTATGCAAATAAACTAGAAAATCTAGAAGAAATGGATAAATTCCTCGACACATATACCCTCCCAAGACTAAACCAGGAAGAAGTTGACTCTCTGAAGAGACCAATAACAGGCTCTGAAATTGTGGCAATAATCAATAGCTTACTAACCAAAAAAAGTCCAGGACCAGATGGATTCACAGCCAAATTCTACCAGAGGTACAAGGAGGAACTGGTACCATTCCTTCTGAAACTATTCCAATCAATAGAAAAAGAGGGAATCCTCCCTAACTCATTTTATGAGGCCAGCATCATCCTGATACCAAAGCCTGGCAGAGACACAACCAAAAAAGAGAATTTTAGACCAATATCCTTGATGAACATTGATGCAAAAATCCTCAATAAAATACTGGCAAACCGAATCCAGCAGCACATCAAAAAGCTCATCCACCATGATCAAGTGGGCTTCATCCCTGGGATGCAAGGCTGGTTCAACATACGCAAATCAATAAATGTAATCCAGCATATAAACAGAACCAAAGACAAAAACCACATGATTATCTCAAAAGATGCAGAAAAGGCCTTTGACAAAATTCAACAACGCTTCATGCTAAAAATTCTCAATAAATTAGGTATCGATGGGATGTATCTCAAAATAATAAGAGCTATCTATGACAAATGATATGATAAGCCAGTATGATAAGCCAAAATCATACTGAATGGGCAAAAACTGGAAGCATTCCCTTTGAAAACTGGCACAAGACAGGGATGCCCTCTCTCACCACTCCTATTCAACATAGTGTTGGAAGTTCTGGTGAGGGCTATTAGGCAGGAGAAGGAAATAAAGGGTATTCGATTAGGAAAAGAGGAAGTCAAATTGTCCCTGTTTGCAGATGACATGATTGTATATTTAGAAAACCCCAGCGTCTCAGCCCAAAATCTCCTTAAGCTGATAAGCAACTTCAGCAAAGTCTCAGAATACAAAATCAATGTACAAAAATCACAAGCATTCTTATACACCAATAATAGACAAACAGAGAGCCAAATCATGAGTGAACTCCCATTCACAATTGCTTCAAAGAGAATAAAATACGTAGGAATCCAACTTACAAGGGATGTGAAGGACCTCTTCAAGGAGAACTACAAACCACTGCTCAAGGAAATAAAAGAGGATACAAACAAATGGAAGAACATTCCATGCTCATGGGTAGGAAGAATCAATATTGTGAAAATGGCCATACTGCCCAAGGTAATTTATAGATTCAATGCCATCCCCATCAAGCTACCAATGACATTCTTCACAGAAATGGAAAAAACTACTTTAAAGTTCATATGGAACCAAAAAAGAGCCTGCATCACCAAGTCAATCCTAAGTCAAAAGAACAAAGCTGGAGGCATCACTCTACCTGACTTCAAACTATACTACAAGGCTATAGTAACCAAAACAGCATGGCACTGGTACCAAAACAGAGATACAGACCAATGGAACAGAACAGAGCCCTCAGAAATAATATCACATATCTACAACCATCTGATCTTTGACAAACCTGACAAAAACAAGAAATGGGGAAAGGATTCCCTATTTAATAAATGGTGCTGGGAAAACTGGCTAGCCATATGTAGAAAGCTGAAACTGGATCCCTTCCTTACAACTTATACAAAAATTAATTCAAGATGGATTAAAGACTTACATGTTAGACCTAAAACCATAAAAACGCTAGAAGAAAACCTAGGCAATACCATTCAGGACATAGGCATGGGCAAGGACTTCATGTCTAAAACACCAAAAGCAATGGCAACAAAAGCCAAAATTGACAAATGGGATCTAATTAAACTAAAGAGCTTCTGCACAGCAAAAGAAACTACCATCAGATTCAACAGGCAACCTACAGAATGGGAGAAAATTTTTGCAACCTACTCATCTGACAAAGGGTTAATATCCAGAATCTACAATGAACTCAAACAAATGTACAAGAAAAAAACAAACAACCCCATCAAAAAGTGGGCAAAGGATATGAACACACACTTCTCAAAAGAAGACATTTATGCAGCCTAAAAACACATGAAAAAATGCTCATCATCACTAGCCATCAGAGAAATGCAAATCAAAACCACTATGAGATACCATCTCACACCAGTTAGAATGGCAATCATTAAAAAGTCAGGAAACAACAGGTGCTGGAGAGGATGTGGAGAAATAGGAACACTTTTACACTGTTGGTGGGACTGTAAACTAGTTCAACCATTGTGAAAGTCAGTGTGGCGATTCCTCAGGGATCTAGAACTAGAAATACCATTTGACCCAGCCATCCCATTACTGGGTATATACCCAAAGGATTATAAATCATGCTGCTATAAAGACACATGCACATGTATGCTTATTGTGGCACTATTCACAATAGCAAAGACTTGGAACCAACCCAAATGATAGACTGGATTAAGAAAATGTGGTACATATACATCATGGAATACTATGCAGCCATAAAAAGTGATGAGTTCATGTCCTTTGTAGGGACATGGATGAATCTGGAAACCATCATTCTCAGCAACCTATTGCAAGGACAAAAAACCAAACACTGCATGTTCTCACTCATAGGTGGGAACTGAACAATGAGAACACATGGACACAGGAAGGGGAACATCACACTCCGCGGGGACTGTTGTGGGGTAGGGGGAACGGGGGAGGGATAGCATTAGGAGATACAGCTAATGCTAAATGATGAGTTAATGGGTGCAGCACACCAACATGGCACATGTACATATATCTAACAAACCTGCACATTGTGCACATGTACCCTAAAACTTAAAGTATAATAATAATAAAATTTAAAAAAACAAACACATTATTTCACAACAAGCATATACGTTACCTATACATACAAATAGAAAGTAAAATTTGCATAAATTTTCAAAATAAAACATACCTTGAAGAAGTTGTTTTATTTGGGGGGCAAATTACATATTAGAGCCTCACAAAATATGCATTTACCTTGTTTTGTTGTTAAAGGAATTTTGAAAGAAAACTTTCAGAAGCACCATAGTAGCTGAATGGGATCCTACTCCATTTCCTTCTAATTTGATTGTTAACACATTTATCCACTTACCCAGGCCAGAATGTCAGCTACCCATTTGTCATGCTCAGGGTTAGGTTCTAGCCCCAGCTGAGAGCTGAGGGGAATGGGTGGATGGGGGTCAGGGAGGTGGAAGAACACACAAGAGACAGCAGGTAAATGAGACATGGCTTTATTCAGCAGAGCCTTCACAGGGTCAGTGTTACATTTGTACACTACACAAAAACTGGTGGCTGAGAGCCAGGTGGGGAGCTTCTCTATGTTGTGTGTACATGGCTATGATTATCTAAGACATGGGACTGTGCGCTTGCACCCCAATCCTGCTGCGTTATCTATGCTGTTTACCTTGGCCTATGCCTGCTGCTCTATGCCTGCTTCGCTGCAGCACAGCCATGTTCCTTACACCATCTCTTCCCATTCCCTTCATATTTAACCAGTCTTCAAGGCCTGCCTCCTAAATTTCTCTAGAACTTGTCAAACTCCTCTTAATTCTCACTTATCTAGGTCATTCTTATCTCTCACCTGAATTACTGCAAAAGTCTCAAAATTGGTTCCTTTGCCTCCATTTTCATGGGTTTTTTTTTCTTTTTTTTTTGTAGAGACAGGGGTCTCAAACTCCTGGGCTCAAGCAATCCACCTGCATCAGCCTCTCAAAGTGTTGGGATTATAGGCAAGAGGCCCCAGGCCCAGCCTTTATGATTCTTTTTAACCCACTGACACAGTGTTACAGTCATGACCTTTAAAATGTGAATATCATCAGGCATTCTACAGCTTAGAATTTTTGGTGGCTCCCAGCATCTATAATTCATTTAAGCAACTTAGCAGCAAAAGAGATTCATGACACAAAAGGGAGGCTAACTGACCACCAGAAGTTTTGTCTTCATTAGCATAGAGTTTTAGCTTGAAGATAGATGCTATTGTGTCAAACCCTATTAATCTCAATAGGGAAAACCCCAGGATCAAGAGGTCAAAGAAGAGAACCAGAGCCAGGAAACAAGACATGGGGTTCTATTAGGGGCTTATATACAGGAGAGTCCAGTGGTGGTGGGTGTGACAGGAAAACTGCAACCACTGAAAAACAACATGCTGTTGATAGAGCATTTTCATTTGATACTCTCCCATTAATTACTTCGACCTCGCAACCTTCATTTAACCCAAAACTCAGGGCCTCAATCCCCTGTATCACCCACGTTCTATGAAATGGGCTAGGGGGAGGGGTCTCAGATGGTCTTCATAGAAAAGGAACAAATCTCCTGATTGACTATACCAGGATTCCCTGGCTCAGAACACACACCTTCAGAAGTGTCTGCCATATAGGGCCATTCTAAGGGTATGCTTAAGTTATTGCTATCAGGGGTATTTATAGAAGTTCAGAAGGAAACTGATTTCTTAGATCACCTGGCATCTAGATAAGCCAGTTGACAAAGTCTGATCTGTGGCAAGCGAGCAAATGTGATGGGTGCTTCTGTGTTTCACAGGCTCCTCCTTGCTTTCTTTTTCCTTCATCAGCTGGATGCAGATGATGAGGTTTGACAGATGGTAGGGCCATGAGATAGAAAGGACCTGGTCTGTGAATCACCACAGAGAGGCATCTGCCCTGTTGATCACATGCATGGGAAATAAGCTCCTGTTGTAGTTAAGCTATTCTAGATTTAGGGTCTGTTACAGCAGTTGACCTACACTAGCTAATGCAAAGGATATGGTTCCTGCTATCTCTCAATTATTCATTATTCCCAAATTCCCACTTTACATTAAAACGATACCAAACTATTTGCTTTGCTCTGAAAATAAACCTCCATTTTTTTCCTTTTTTTTTTTAACTGCCAGTGCACATTTGTTCATATGTTTTCTACTTTCTGAAATATAAAAAATGTAGTAAGTATTGTTTATGGGTTAGATATGCTGGTTATGAAAATGCACCTCACAGACCTCCAACTACAGGGACTTCCATCTGCAGGGCTCCAGCTGTTGCACTCTTAAGCCCACAGTAGGGAGCTCGTGCTTCCTCCGACTGCCCCCATTATTTCAGCTAATACTAATGAAGAACTGTTAGAGACACAGAAATCGTCTGTCAATTTTGACTGAAGGACTCCTTGATGCCCTGCTGAACCTTCCTTAGCTGCATGGAAGTCTAGGACTTGGCCATCCAATCCCCCTTCCCTCTCTCCTTCACTGAGAGTCAGATTCCCATCACAGTCTCAAGATTCATCCAGTTTCACCCACTTTCTTCCCTGTAGTCTCTTAAGTGATTTCATCAAATAAGATCCTTGCATATTTAATTTTATCTTGGTGCCTGCTTCTCAGAGAACCCCAATTTGAACACAGGATATAGTGCCAAGCATGCTGTACAAATTAGGTAATCCTCGCAAAGTCTTCTCAGATAAGTACTAATATTTTACAAATCTCTAGACTGAGGTTTGGGGATACTGAGTAACTTTCCCATCATCTCACATTTTCATCCCCCACCCCCATTGCCTGGTAAATTTTCACATTCAAATCTCAACTTGGGGGTCATACTTCCTACATTTCTTATCATAGAGAGGGTTAAACTACTTTTTTTTTTCTGTGCAAACTCTTCTTTGTTGATCCTGTTTTTTCACATGACTGTTTCCCCTATTAGACCTGTGAACCACCTTGATGTGAGGACTTACTCATTTCTGTATTTGTAGCACCAGTGTTAGCACAGATGCCTAGAATAAACAATAATTAGATTCAGTTGAATTGTGTTTGATTTAGCTGTGTTGATTCTGAATGAGATAATATAGCTACGTGTGAGAAAATGAATTTTTGGTGGGTAGATTGAACTCAAGAAACAGGGTATAAAATTGAAATTTCAACTAGGCACCTATGTTTCAATAAATGTGAAACTACAAAGCAAGTTGCCAAATTAGCACTTGAAGAATTTATAAAAGAATTCTGAGAAATGGTTCTATAATTTTTGGACCTCTTGGCCAAATCAAGGAGTTAGAATATGGAAGAAAAAGACTTGCAAAGAGATTTCTTTACAGAAAATTGTTTCTCTGCTGTAAGTCTACCACCACCTAGGGGGAAGGGTATATAGTACTAATGCAATATTTTCCAGCTGCAGAATTAGATATTCCTTCCCCTCTCCACCAAGAGAAATTTAGCCAGTGAGAACACAGTTAGCTGCCTTAGTGGTGTGAAGAGAAGGCTGTGTGCTTGGGATTCTTAGGGCTCTCAGAGTTCAGTGGGGCAACGGATGCATGAATTCTTCCTGTGATCAAGAATAGGATCAGGTAGTAGAAGAGAGACAAAGCATAGAGTAGTAAGACTTTTTCCAATAGGGTCTCCTCAGGGGACAGGGTCCCCAGTAGCAAGAATATGGAGGCAAATTGACCCATTCCTGAGAAGCACTGAGGAAGCAATCCCATAAAATTATCTGTAATAGAGATGTATCCATCCCAGTCCAGGTAACTATTAAAAAGTAGAACCCAGCAGAAAATTAAAAAAAAAAAAAAAAAAAAAAAAAAAAAAAAAAACTCCAATGAGCTAATGAAAGTGTCACACAAAAAAAGAGTTAGTTTCAAACATCTCACTAGAGGTTAGTGGTTTGAGACCAGCCTGGGCAACCCTATCTCTACAAAAAACAAAAACAAACATACAAACAAACAAAAACTAAGAGATTAGCCAAACATAGTGTTGTATGCCTGTAGTCCCAGCTACTTGAGAGGTTGATACAGAAGGATCATTTGAGCCCAAGAGTTCAAGGCTGCAGTGAGCCATGATTGTGCCACTGCACTCCAGCTTAAGTAATGTAAAAAGACCCTGTTAAAATAAAATAAATAAAATAAAATAAAATAAAATAAAAGTGCTTGACCCAAGAGCACAAAGCTAGCTGATAAAGGTGCCAGTTCAAGTAAGAACCATCCTGTCCTCTGAATCTCCTCCCACCTCCTTCCTTCCTATTTCACCCCTCTCCACTAGAATCCCAAGCAGCAGCTGGTGAGGAAAAAGGAGAAGCACCTGGCTGAGAAACATAGATTACGTTACCAAACCACACTTTCTCATTCACAGACTTGCTCCCTGAAGCAGACCAAAGCCAGGGTGGGGATGGAGAGAAGAGCTTTTATAAGTTCAGTTCAGGGAATTGAATGGTACCTTTGACTGAACATTTTAATCACTAAAAGCAAGCAAACTGTGTTTTTACCTGTCTATTAATAAAAGTGAACACAAAAGTCAAAGGCCCGCCTGAGTTTTCATTTGAAAGAGAAAATTATTTCCCCTGAATAAATTTTTTAAAGTTGATGGGAAATGAAAATAAATTTGTACTTTGATGTGTGAGCGTGGCCCTTATAAGTTCTGCCTGTTCCATATGCCAGTGTCATCACTGTCAAAACCACTGTGATCATCATAATTCAGAGTCAGGGTAGACTGCAGACAAACAGATTTTCTAGAATATGGAAATCCACAGGCAGAAATACCATTCAGGCTCACCTAGGCAAGACTCTACTTTTTCTTTCAAGGTGAAGTGCTAATCTTTGTAGTATCAAGTATGGTTCAAGAGGCTCAATATTTTTTAATATTCTCTTAAGTTGGACCATATAAAATTTTAGTGCAGAATAATAGCTCTCAGAGTGTGATCTTTAGACCAACAGCATCAGCATCACCTGGGAAGAGGTTAAAAAATGCAAATTCTTAGTTCACATTTTAAATTTACTAAATTAGAAATTCAGAGTGGGGGCCCAGCAGTCTATGTTTAACAAGTCTTGTAGGTGATACTGATGGAGCTGAAGTTTGACAGCCACAGGCGTAGCATATCCCAGAATATAGTACTGACACAATTCCCTGTATTAAAAGTCAGAAATTTTACAAAATTTTAGCTTTTTTGTTTTAAATTTAGGCAGCAATGGGACACCACCTGAGCTAGTAGACAATTGTACCAAAATATAGATGGGTATCACGTGGACACTACTAATTGAGCAGAGGAATGACAGAGCAATAAGTAATACAAGAAATTGTGCTAGCCTCCTTTGACAAGTGTTTTATGTATCAATAAGCAGTAATGGATAGGACTAAGCCTAGTACAAATGCATTTCTTACACAGGACATGTAAATATCAGGAGCATGACTATTCTGCATGAGCAATTGTTTTAAAAAACCTTAATTCCTCTTTGAGCCCCCTCCCTTTGTATGGGAGCTCTGTTTTCACTCCATTAAATCTTGCAACTGCACTCTTCTGGTCCGTGTTTGTTATGGTTCAAGCTGAGCTTTCGCTTGCTCTCCACCACTGCTGTTTGCCGCAGTCACAGACCCGCCGCTGACTTCCATCCCTCCAGATCTGGCAGGGTGTCCGCTGTGCTCCTGATCCAGCACAGGCGCCCATTGCCTCTCCCAATTGGGCTAAAGGCTTGCCATTGTTCCTGCACAGCTAAGTGCCTGGGTTCATCCTAATCGAGCTGAACACTAGTCACTGGGTTCCACGGTTCTCTTCCATGACCCATGGCTTCTAATAGAGCTATAACACTCACTGCATGGTCCAAGATTCCATTCCTTGGAATCCGTGAGACCAAGAACCCCAGGTCAGAGAACACAAGGCTTGCCACCATGTTGGAAGCAGCCCACCACCATTTTGGAAGCAGCCCGCCACTATCTTGGGAGCTCTGGGAGCAAGGACCCCCAGGTAACAATTTGGTGACCACGAAGGGACCTGAATCCGCAACCATGAAGGGATCTCCAAAGCAATTGGAAATGTTCCTCCCAAGGCAAAAATGCCCCTAAGATGTATTCTGGAGAATTGGGACCAATTTGACCCTCAGACAGTAAGAAAAAAATGACTTATATTCTTCTGCAGTACCGCCTGGCCACGATATCCTCTTCAAGGGGGAGAAACCTGGCCTCCTGAGGGAAGTATAAATTATAACACCATCTTACAGCTAGACCTGTTTTGTAGAAAAGGAGGCAAATGGAGTGAAGTGCCATATTTACAAACTTTCTTTTCATTAAAAGACAACTCGCAATTATGTAAACAGTGTGATTTGTGTCCTACAGGAAGCCCTCAGATCTACCTCCCTACCCCGGCATCTCCCTGACTCCTTCCCCAACTAATAAGGACCCACTTCAACCCAAACAGTCCAAAAGGAGATAGACAAAGCGGTAAACAATGAACCAAAGAGTGCCAATATTCCCCGATTATGCCCCCTCCAGCAGTGGGAGGAGGAGAATTCAGCCCAGCCAGAGTGCATGTACCTTTTTCTCTCTCAGACTTAAAGCAAACTAAAATAGACCTAGGTAAATTCTCAGATAACCCTGATGGCTATATTGATGTTTTACAAGGGTTAGGACAATCCTTTCATCTGACATGGAGAGATATAATGTTACTGCTAAATCAGACACTAACCCCAAATGACAAAAGTGCTGCCATAACTGCAGCCCAAGAGTTTGGCAATCTCTACTATCTCAGTCAGGTCAATGATAGGATAACAACAGAGGAAAGAGAATGATTCCCCACAGGCCAGCAGGCAGTTCCCAGTGTAGACCCTCATTGGGACACAGAATCGGAACATGGAGATTGGTGCCATAGACATTTGCTAACTTGCATGCTAGAAGGACAAAGGAAAACTAGGAAGAAGCCTATGAATTACTCAATGATGTCCACTATAACACAGGGAAAGAAAGAAAATCCTACCGCCTTTCTGGAGAGACTAAAGGAGGCATTGAGAAAGCATGCCTCTCTGTCACCTGACTCTATTGAAGGCCAACTAGTCTTAAAGGATAAGTTTATCACTCAGTCAGCTGCAGACATTAGAAAAAAACTTCCAAAGTCCACCTTAGGCCTGGAGCAAAACTTAGAAACCCTATTGAACTTGGCAACCTGGGTTTTTTATAATAGAGATCAGGAGGAGCAGGTAGAACGGGACAAATAGGATTTAAAAAAAAAAAAAAAGGATTTAAAAAAGTCATGGCCCTCAGGCAAGCGGACTTTGGAGGCTCTGGGAAAGAGAAAAGCTGGGCAAATCAAATGCCTAATAGGGCTTGCTTCCAGTGCGGTCTACAAGGATGCTTTAAAAAAGATTGTCCTAGTAGAAATAAGCCACCCCCTCATCCATATCCCTTATGTCAAGGGAATCACTGGAAGGCCCACTGCCCCAGGGAATGAAGGTCCTCTGAGTCAGAAGCCACTAACCAGATGATCCAGCAGCAGGACTGAGGGTGCCCAGGGCAAACGCCAGCCCATGCCATCACTCTCACAGAACCCTAGGTATGCTTGACCATTGAGGACCAGGAGGTTAACTGTCTCCTGGACACTGGCGCAGCCTTCTCAGTCTTATTCTCCTGTCCCAGACAACTAGCCTCCAGATCTGTCACTATCTGAGGGGTCCTAGGACAGCCAGTCACTAGATAGTTCTCCCAGCCACTAAGTTGTGACTGGAGAACTTTACTCTTTTCACATGCTTTTCTAATTATGCCTGAAAGCCCCACTCCCTTGTTAGGGAGAGACATTCTAGCAAAAGCAGGGGCCATTATACACCTGAACATAGGAGAACACCTGCTTGTTGTCCCCTGCTTGAGGAAGGAATTAATCCTGAAGTCTGGGCAACAGGACAATATGGATGAGCAAAGAATGCCTGTCCTGTTCAAGTTAAACAAGAGGGGCTGGGTGTGGTGGCTCATGCCTGTAATCCCAGCATTTTGGGAGGCTGAGGTGGGGGGATCACGAGGTCAGGAGATCCAGACCATCCTGGCTAACGTGGTGAAACCCCGTCTCTACTAAAAAATACAAAAAATTAGCCAGGCATGGTGGTGGGCACCTGTAGTCCCAGCTACTCGGGAGGCTGAGGCAGGAGAATGGCAGGAACCCGGGAGGCGGAGCTTGCACTGCACTCCAGCCTGGGCGACAGAGGGAGACTCCGTCTCAAAAAAAAAAAAAAAAAAAAAAAAATTAAGGATTCCACCTCCTTTCCCTACCAAAAGCAGTACCCCCTTAGACCTGAGGCCCAACAAGGACTCCAAAAGATTAAGGACCTAAAAGCCCAAGGCCTAGTAAAAGCATGCAGTAGCCCCTGCAATACTCCAATTTTAGGAGTACAGAAACACAACGGACAGTGGAGCTTAGTGCAAGATCTCAAGATTATCAGTGAGGCCATTGTCCCTCTATACCCAGCTGTACCTAACCCTTATACTCTGCTTTCCCAAATACCAGAGGAAGCAGAGTGGTTTACAGTCCTGGACCTTAAGAATGCCTTTTTCGGCATCCCTGTACATCCTGACTCTCAATTCTTGTTTGCCTTTGAAGATCCTTCGAACCCAACATCTCAACTCACCTGGACTGTTTTACCCCAAGGGTTCAGGGATAGCCTCCATCTATTTGGCCAGGCATTAGCCCAAGACTTGAGCTGGTTCTCATACTTAGACACTCTTGTCCTTTGGTACGTGAATGAAATCACTTTTAGCTGTCCGTTCAGAAACCTTATGCCATCAAGCCACCCAAATGCTCTTAAATTTCCTTGCTACCTGTGGCTACAAGGTTTTCAAACCAAAGGCTCAGCTCTGCTCACAGCAGGTTAAATACTTAGGGCTAAAATTATCCAAAGGCACCAGGGCCCTCAGTGAGGAATGTATCCAGCCTATACTGGCTTATCCTTATCCCAAAACCCTAAAGCAACTAAGAGGGTTCCTTGGCATAACAGGTTTCTGCCGAATATGGATCCCCAGGTATGGCAAAATAGCCAGACCATTATATACACTAATTAAGGAAACTCAGAAAGCCAATACCCATTTAGTAAGATGGACACCTGAAGCAGAAGCAGCTTTCCAGGCCCTAAAGAAGGCCCTAACTCATGCCCCATTGTTAAGTTTGCCAACGGGGCAAGACTTTTCTTTATATGGCACAGAAAAAACAGAAATAGCTCTAGGAGTCCTTACACAGGTCCGAGGGATGAGATTGCAACCCATGGCACACCTGAGTAAGGAAATTGATGGAGTGGCAAAGGGTTGGCCTCATTGTTTACGGGTAGTGGTAGCAGTAGCAGTCTTAGTATCTGAAGCAGTTAAAATAATACAAGGAAGAGATCTTACTGTGTGGACATCTCATGATGTGAACAGCATACTCACTGCTAAAGGAGACTTGTGGCTGTCAGACAACTATGAGGAAATTAACTAAAATCATAAATCCCCATGGCCCTCCCTTATCATATTTTTCTCTTTACTATTTTCTTAACCCCTTTCACTCTCACTGCACCCCCTCCATGCCACTGTACGACTAGTAACTCCCCTTACCAAGAGCTTCTATGGAGAATGCAGCTTCCCAGAAATATTAATGCCCCATCGTATAGGAGTTTATCTAAGGGAAACCCCACCTTCACCGCCCACACCCACATGCTCCGCAACTGCTATAACTCTGCCACTTTTTGCATGCATGCAAATACTCATTATTGGACAGAGAAAATGATTAATCCTAGTTGTCCTGGAGGACTTGGAGCCACTGTTTGTTGGACTGACTTCATCCATGTCTGATAGGGGTGGAGTTCAAGGGCAGGTATGTCTGATGGTGGTGGAGTTCAAGATCAGGCAAGAGAAAAACATGTAAAGGAAGTAATCTCCCAGCTGACCCGGGTACATAATACCCCTAGCCCCTACAAAGGAACAGATCTCTCAAAACTACATGAAACCCTCTGTACCCATACTCGCCTGGTAAGCCTATTTAATAGCACCCTCACTGGGCTCCATGTGGTCTCGGCCCAAAACTCTACTAACTGTTGGATGTGCCTCCCCCTGCACTCCAGGTCATACATTTCAATCCCTGTACCTGAACAATGGAACAACTTCAGCACAGAAATAAACACCACTTCCATTTTAGTAGGACCTCTTGTTTCCAATCTGGAAATAACCCATACCTCAAACCTCACCTGTGTAAAATTTAGTAATACTATAGACACGACCAAATCCCAATGCATCAGGTGGGTAACTCCTCCCACACGAATAGTCTGCCTACCCTTAGGAATATTTTTTGTCTTTGGTAGCTTAGCCTATCGTTGTCTGAATGGCTTTTCAGAACCTATGTGCTTCCTCTCATTCTTAGTGCCCCCTATGACCATTTACACTGAACAATATTTATACAATTATGTCATACCTAAGCCCCACAACAAAACAGTACTCATTCTTCCTTTTGTTATCAGAGCAGGAGTGCTAGGTGGGCTAAGTACTGGCATTGGCGGTATCACAACCTCTACTCAGTTCTACTACAAACTATCTCAAGAACTAAAGGGTGACATGGAACAGGTCACCGACTCCCTGGTCACCTTGCAAGATCAACTTAATTCCCTAGCAGCGGTAGTCCTTCAAAATTGAAGAGCTTTAGACTTGCTAACCACTGAAAGAGGGGGAACCTGTTTTTTTTTTTTAGGGGAAGAATGCTGTTATTATGTTAATCAATCCGGAGTTAATCATTCCAAGAAAGTTAATCAATCTGGAGTTAATCAATCTGAGAAAGTTAAAGAAATTGGAGATCAAATACAATGTAGAGCAGAGAAGCTTCAAAACACTGGACCCTGGGGCCTCCTCAGACAATGGATGCGAAGGATATGAACAGACACTTCTCAAAAAAAGACATTTATGTGGCCAACAAACATATGAGAAAAAGCATATCATCACTGATGATTAGAGAAATGCAAATCAAAACCACAGTGAGATACCATCTCATACCAGTGAGAATGGCAATCATTAAAAAGTCAGGAAACAACAGAGGCAGAAGAGGATGTGGAGAAATAGGAATGCTTTTACACTGTTAGTGGGAGTGTAAATTAGTTCAACCATTGTGGAAGACATTGTGGTTTTTTTTCAAGGATCTACAACCAGAAATACCATTTGACCCAGCAATCCCATTACTGGCTATATACCCAAAGGATTATAAATCATTCTGCTATAAAGACACATGCACACGTATGTTTATTGCGGCACTATTTACAATAGCAAAGACTTGGAACCAACCCAAATGCCCATCAGTGATAGACTGGATAAAGAAAATGTGGCACATATACACTATGGAATACTATGCAGCCATAGGGATGAGTTCATGTCCTTTGCAGGGACATGAATGAAGCTGGAAACCATCATTCTCAGCAAACTAACACAAGAACAGAAAACCAAACACCGCATGTTCTCACTTATATGAATAATGAGAACACATGGACACAGGCAGGGGAATATCAAACACTGGGGCCTGTTGGGGGGTAACAGGGGGCTGGGGGAGATAGCATTAGGAGAAATACCTAATGTAGATGACAGGTTGATGGGTGCCGCAAACCACCATGGCACGTGTATACCTATATAAAAAATCTTCATGTTCTGCATGTATATCCCAGAACTTAAAGTATAATTTTAAAAAAAGAAAAGAAAGAAAGAAAGAAAGAAAGAAAGAAAGAAAGAAAGAAAGAAAGAAAGAAAGAAAGAAAGAAAAAGACTCTAAGAATATCAAAATGCCCCAACCACATGAAGCTACACTCCAAAGCCAGAGAGTTGCAAGCTACTAGAGGCTAGCTCAGGCTTTCAACAGGGGCCCATATTAGGGATTTATTTATGTTACCTTATTTAATCTCCATGACAGTGAGTTTGATATCATTCTCATTACACTTTGAATGATAAAATTAAAGCCTGGAGAGGTTAATCCACTTGCTCCTGTCACACATTAAAAGAGCTGTGATTCAAACCCAGGTTAGTTCGAGTATAAAAGTTCATACTATTCCCAGTATGTTATGCTGATTCCCTTGTATAAAGACACGTATAAATTATGCAAAATTTCAGAAACAGATGACCTTCTTTTTTTACCATTAGTATGAATGACTGCTTATTATAAATATTAATATCACTTTAAGTTTCCTCCATTGGCTTTATTGTCATGAAAAATGTGTTCCCCTTACTGCCAGAAAACTCTTCATCTATGTGAGACTAGATTAGTCATTTCACAATTTTTAGTCACTACCTTCATGTGTGCCATCTTCATGACTTTTGCTTTTTCAAAGTTGGCAGCTACAACGGATTGCCATTATTACCTGCCACAAATAAAACACATTCATAGAAATATAAATTAAACAATTACATTAGATCCTAGCTAGATGATGTTCTCTCTCATTTTGGTGAAAATAGAGATTAACAAGCATTCCAGAAGTGGTACAAAAAAAAAAAAAAAACTAATATCAATCTGAAACTTCCTGCTTAACATAACCAGGGAACACCATTTAGGAGGTAATGTTATTTAATGTCTTATCCAGGTACTAACTAAAATCATATCATATGCCACTGAAGATCATTTCCTGTAGTCTCCAGTGGTAGTTCTACCATACTTTAGGAAATAACCAAAATATTTTCATGACTTTCTGGTCCTACAATTTCATTAAAAAAATTTCTACTTATGCCTTCAACAACCCACCTTTTACATAAATTAATGATATTCAGGCAGCACTCAGCAATGTGTGGGTGTGTCATAAATAGTGGTAGTGGATTAATAATACATACTTCACCCTCATTTGAAGGTACACTAATGATCAGAATACGAGAAAGCAAGTTGTCCAATTTGCTTGTAACTTTAACAGTTCCCTGAAACTGAGTATGTCTCCAGTGACTAGGAACAAACCCTGAAAAAAAATCTGCCTGTCAAAACAGAATGCAACTCACATCAGCTCAAAATATTGGGAGGAAATTGACCTGGCTATTCTCTACCAAGTAAAATGCACTATCAATTCACATCTAGAGTTTATCTGTGATTGCCTTCCAAATGTTCCTTTCTGCCTCCCAGAAATATTTTATTTATATCAAAGAGTTAAGGGAGACAATTCCTCGGGAGAAAGAAAAGGCTATGCAGAAAAAGAATGACCATATCTGCTTGTATTCTGCTTGCTTTCCTCAAACCACGAACATTAAGACAATGAATGATATATTGGAGAAACTGATGACAAAGTCAGTGTACTTCATAAGAGTCCTTAAGAACTGTTCTCTGCTGACTGGCTTCACTACAGTTAGGCAAAAGCTCCCAGATATGCAAATACTGGTGGTTTTCAAGTAAAAATGTCCCTTCTATTAATATTTCCAATTACCCTCCTGGGAAATTTCATCTGAAAAATTCATTAGATACAATTTGCACCTCCATAAATTTTGTTCTCTTTCATGGCCTTGAGAGTTAGTGGAGAGCAAGCATGAATGATTTAGCAAAGCAAGTGACCAAATATCATGCTTAGTTTTAAGTCATAGCTGAAGATACTATGCGAAGGAACCAGAAGATACTAGCAGAAAGGTCAAGGAGAAAATCCTTGAAAGGGAGTCCCTCATATCTAGTGTAACTGTATGTCATCCAAACTGGAATAAATTTATAAAATGAAGAGGGACTGTATTGGTTAGATATTGCCATGTGAGAAACCATCCAAAAATTCAATGGCTTAAGGGAAGAGTTATGCATTATTTCTTGAGTCTTTGCATAGGCTGGGAGTTGACTGACATAAGCTGACATTGGCAGGAGTAGCTCTGCTCCATGTGTTTCTAATCCCCCTCCTAAAACCAACAGACTGGCCTGGGTATATCTGCTGTATAGCTACAGCAGGGATTCAAAAGTGCAAACCCTATTGCAGGCAGGCTTTTTAAAGCCTCTGCTTGAATCAGTTCTGCTAATATCCCAATCTCCTAAAGCAAGTCACATGGCTGAATTCAGAATGGAGGAGCAGAGAAATACACTCGCCTTCTCAGTGGGCAGAACTGCAAAACCACACGCCAAAGAACATGGATTGCACTGATGGCCCCAGTTCCTCATAGAGAGAAGTCCTGGCACCATGAATACAATCCACCTCAGGCTACAATTCATAAACTAACTCATCCTATATGACCTGCCTCACAGAGTCCCTGCTGAAGAAACATTATAGTAGCCAAAGATCCCTCAGCTGAAGTTTCCCATTTCAAAAGCCAGAAAATGAGTCATAGTGATTCTGGCCTTGGCAAGGTAAGATCCAGCCCCCGCAAAATACCTGCAAGTACAACTACCTTCAGTAAATGTGAGTTTTATGTAGAATTTGATGGGGGCTGCAGTCACTGGCCAATATTTACATATATGTCAGAAGAAAAAAGACATTGATGGAAGTACCCCCTATATGGCAACGCTCCCATATTGTATCATTTTAAATCTGTGTGGAAATCCTTCAAGATGTTCAGCTCCCCATTTTATGAGGCTGGTGCAAAAGTAATTGCAGTTTTTGCCATTACTTTTAAAGAGACATGGCTGATACATATGGCTAAATGAGATATGGCTAAATAAGATGGAGATTGGTTGAGTATTTTACTCATATATTCATACCTAGTAACTAGAAACAGGAAAAAGCTCAAATCTACTTGTCTGAAAAGACTCTCATACCTCCATTTTATTACACTGTCTTAACCTGACTGGAAGATTATGTCTCTAAAAAACATACTTAAAGAACCAGATTATCAAACACCTATAGTTTCTTCTCTGGAAGATACAATCCCAACTAGTGCTATTTCTGAGAGACAGTTCTTTTTCAATGAGGAGCACACTTTTATTTAGGACATATTTTGAGTATTATTTACATTTTATCAGCAAGGCACTTTAAGCACATATCTCTAAATATGTTTAAGTGTGATTTTAATTTAAACTTTTCACAGGATAATAATCCAAGTAATAGAAAAATTAAAATTAAAAATAAGTTAATTTCACATATTTCTGTGTGTTTATTTAAAGCATAGATATATAAGAATATATAGTCATATTTAATATAGATTATACATTATATATATGTTATATTTGTGTTATTATAGAGTATAGCTTACAGATTATAACACCTAAAACCTTTTATTATAGTTGCACTGATTATTAAATAATTACCTAAATATCTTAACATAATACCTGGAACATAGTAAGTATTAAGTTATAGCTATATATGGAAAGTGCCTGCTTATCACATAAGAAGCCCTTCCTTTAAGCCTCATTTTGGAGATTAAAATTCAACTAGCTGATTTATTCATCCCAGATCAATACATTTCAAGAGGCTACCCTCTTGACCCAGAATTTCAAATGATCTTGCTCTCATTTAGTATTGTAACGAACCAAAAGAACCTCTGGAGAAGCAGCTTTTAATCATGCAGATGAACTGAGAAACATAAAGTAGATCTCATGCCACTCCTCACTTGAAATTCATAGACAATGCCATGGAATATAATGCAGATGCTGATTAGGCAGACTTTGCCCTTTGGCTGAACCCCCAAAGGCCTGTAAGAGGATAATACTTTCCACACAATTTTTGCACCAAATTTTTTTCTTTCTTTCTTTCTTTTTTATTTATTTATTTATTTATTTTGAGACAGAATTTCATTCTTGTTGCCCAGGCTGGAGTGCAATGGCATGATCTTAGCTCACTGCAACCTCCACTTCCCAGGTTCAAGCAATTCTCCTAGCTCAGCCTCGAGTAGCAGGGATTACAGGCATGCACCACCACACCCAGCTAATTTTGTATTTTTTTTTTTTAGTAGAGATGGAGTTTCTCCATGTTGGTCAGGCTGGTCTCAAACTCCCGACCTCAGGTGATCCGCATGCCTCAGCCTCCCAAAGTGCTGGCATTACAGGTGTGAGCCACCACACCCAGCTGCATCAAATTTCTTCTTGGCCCCCTCTTCCTTCTGTTCCTATATGTGAGTATGCCATCTTTGCACTATCCTAATGACAGTCATCAACTTCAAGGCAAAATATGTACTCCTGTCTCTGCCTTACATATATACGCACTTATCGCAAGCATTTCTTGAGTATATGAGACTTTACTGAAAATTTGAGAATCACAAGGAACATGTTCCAGTTATCCATTGCTATGTTAAAAATAAAAAAGGTCTACCTGAAATAAATCACCCCCAAAATTTAGTGCTGTAAAACCATTGCAATCATTTATTTCTATTATTGTTATGACTATTATAACACCTCCTGGTCAGCAGGTTGACTGAGGCTGGGCTCAGCTGGGTGGTTCCCACTCAGTCTCTCTCAAGCAGTTACAGAGGCTGGGGCTGGAGTCACAAAGGCTTCCTCACTTATGTGTCTGGTGCCTGGGCTGGGAAGACTCAAATAGTTGGGGACCAGACAGCTGGATCTCCTCAGGGCATATGTCATTCTCTTTATGGTTTATCCACAGGATCTTTTCTAAGCATCTGTGCTTCAGGATGGCCAAACTTCATACATGGCAGCTCAGAGTCCCCACACAAGCATCCTGAGGGAGAGCTGGGCAGAAGCCATATTGCCTGTTCTAACCTAGCCTAGGAGTCAGCTCCACCACATTGTTACTTGTCAAGGAAGTCACAGTGTCACAGTCAGTTTTAAGGAGAAGAGACAGGCTATCTCCTCCTGATGGGGGAATAGCAAAGTTTTGAAAGAGAATGTGGGACAGGACACCTGTTTGTGATTATTTTTGGAAAATGCAATTTGCTACAAAGGGATAATCTCATGAAGTATCTTATTATCTTATTGGCTTCTCTCTTCCCTTGCCTCCCTGTCCTACCTCCTTACTGCCTTCTTCACGTATTCCCTTCAAGCTCCAAATTTTTCTCCCTCTACTATGAAGAGTAGTTCAGTTGTCCCCCAGATCCTATTTCCATTGCTAGACAAAACAAAGGGACTCCATTTCCCAGAAACCTGACCTACTATCATTAGAAAGTAAGGTTTTAGTTTGTTCCTTACACAGATTTGAAAGAAAATAATAATCGTGTCCACTCTCTGCAGAACTGCAGAGACTAGCATGAGAGAAAATGAAGAGAATATCAAAAGACTAGACAATGGCCAATGAGAAAAACGTGTGGAAAGGACCCCTCAGGCTTGGATTACTCACAGCATCACTTTATGATCTATTTGAAGATGGAGGAATTCCATTGTTTCAGCATAGAGTAAGTGATTAGTCAACAAGATAAGAATGTCAGACCGAGAAAATTCCACAGAAAAACAAAATTGTGTACCTGCTCCAAGAACATCAAAACTCTTCGGAAATAGTTCCCTGCTTCATACTTCCATTCTGTCTCCTGCATCTCCAGGTTACATAAATGAAAAAAAAAGTGATCATAGTAATTTTTCTGAAGATGACTGTTGCATTAAAATTGTTCTGATACAATAGTCCCCTCCACAAAGTATTCTGGGAAAAATAGTTTTCCTGAGGGGACATGTTTGAGACACAGCTGTACCAGCTTAGATCACATTATGCAGCATGTAGTTATAAATCTAATTAATATGACTTAAATAATTAAGGTTTTCTTCCCTCATATAAGTCTAAAGATTGACAGAACAAAATCATTACAAGGGTCTTACAATTTCATAAAAGGTTCTGTTTTCCTCTATCTTTTCAAGACCACCAACTTTAGCGCCTGGCTTTCAAGTATGTGGTTGCAATATAGCTACTGCTCCTTCAGTCATCACATTGACATTCCAGGTCAGAAAAAGGGGGAAGCACCAAAAGCCTTCTCCTTGTGAAGTCTTGTCTTTGTATGAAAAAGGGGAAGTTCCCCTCAGTGACATCTGCCTATATAATATTAAGCCAAAGCTTTTCACATGGCTACAACAAATCAAGCAATATTTTAGCTTTTCAACCACTTCAGTAGAGGAAGATAAAGAATGGGGGCTGTTAATAATGCTTAGTTACAAAACTTTTGTAACTAAAGTGTCTACACTTAACTGCTTTGTAACTACAGTGTCTGCCACAGTAGCAGACCAGGAGTAATGAGTGCTGGCTTCTATCTAATCCTCTGACCTAACTAAACATCTAACTAAGGGGAAGCCCTTTAATTCTCAGGATTCCAGTTTTCCCATGCAAAAAAAAGGTGGGGGAGGAACAAAAAGGAATAATAACATAGAAGATCTCTCATGTTCTATAATTATTTACATCCAGGATATCTTTAAGGCAGCATGATGAGGCAGACACTGTACGTTACTTACCCAGGCATCCCTCACTGTCTTCCTCACTGGCAGTGGCCAACTCCCACTGTAAAACCTGGTGGGGTTTTCTGAATCTCTCTTCCAGCTAGAGTATGACCATGTGGCCAAAACTTGGCCAAGAAGACCCAAGGGAATGAATGCCCTGGGATATTTTCTGAGAAAGATTTTGCAACAGGCTATAACATGATAAGTGAAAAGTCTTTTGGATCCCTCTTCTACCCTCTCCCTTCATCCAATTATTCTTGTCTTCAGACTCAGCTGTATGCATTATAGCAGCCATTTTGTATCAATGAGGCAATAAAGCCAAAACATTGAAAATAATGAAATGGAAGAGTGAAAATGAATTTTAGTCATTGATAAAATCAATCATGAGAACACCTTTTCCTGACTTCATGTTACAGGAAACAATAATAGTCCTATTTTCGTATGCTATTCCTGTTTGATGCTATTACTTGCAGCCCAAAACATCACACATAATACAATGATCTAGTAGAAACAATTATAGCTTCAAAATTAGCGTATGTCTCACACTTTAGGTGAATATGAATCTGCACAAGCGAGACTTGTTAAAATGTAAATTTCTGATGTGGTATGTCTGGCATGGGGTCTAACATTTTGCATTTCTATCAGTCTGTTCAACGTATGATCTGCATCTATACCTTGAACAGCAAGGTTCTAACCTATATTTGGCCATTGTATGACATTGATCAAATTGCATCACTCCTCCAGACTCAATTTTCTCATGGAATCCTGTATCTTATGCTTCTAAGTACTATCACAGGGATATAAGTTCAGTTCTTCCATAAAAGAAGATATATATGAAAAGTGAATTGAGGGGGGATAGATACTGTAATTTATTTTAAGCCTCCTGCCAAATAGTCATTCATCTTTTCTCTTGATACAAACTGTATCCAGGACCAGGGGCACACAGTCTAGTGCTTGTCTCCATGACTATCCAACTGCCCCACCTATACAGAAATATCACAGGAAAAGAATGTCAAACTTAGCTACATTTGCAGATGCTCCATTATACTTACTATGTATAATGTGTGTGCTAATCAGAAATTCATTTAATAAATATTTGAAAAGATTTAGAGTAATCCATCCTCTTCCCCACCCCATACTCTTTCAATGAGAATAAAGAATGAATGTGTGTGTGTGTGTGTGTGTGTGTGTGTGTGTGTGTGTGTGTGTGTGTTTTAAATAACAAAAAAGCCATCTGTCTGCAAGATGGGATTACAGATGCCTGCCACCACCCCCAGCTAATTTTTGTATTTTTAGTAGAGATGGAGTTTTACCATGTTGGCCAGGCTGGTCTCGAACTCCTGACCTCAGGTAATCCACCCGCCTCAGCCTCCCAAAGTGCTAGGATTACAGGCATGAGCCACCATACCTGGCCCCACTCAAGTATTTTGCATTCTGAAATTCATAAGGTAAGACACCAAGGGCAGTGCTGATTACAAGAAAGACAAGAAGAAAGATTATAGAGTTAATACGATTGCTCAATCTTCTGAGAAACATCTCTCAGCCTTCAATGTTTAGTACCCTACATCAGGCCAGAGAGCTGATTTTAAAAACTGGTTCCTCCTCAGACTCAGGAAGAGGCTGCTGTGTTTCTCTGTGGAGTTAGGGCTGTATTTCTCAGTCACTACATTTCTCGGTAACAGGTAACTATTTCTGTTAATGAAGAGGAGAACAAGTTACCATTTAAAAAAAAAAAAGCCCTGCATAAATTGCAGGAGCATTAATTACTATGGCCCTTAGGCTCCCAGGAATTTATGCAGACTTTCCATGGTGATTATTGTGATTATGTGGTATTTAACTGTATATTTAGTTCTCTACAGATATTGCAGACATTTTTCAGCTCTTCTAGAGGAGTTTTTAATCAAAATGAGTTAACATACTCTTCTTCATTCTAAATTAAACTCAATATGGTTATGTGCATCTCAAATGCATGATCACATCCTTGAACTTTTCAATGAGAATTTTTCACAGATAACTTGTCCTCATTGTCAGTATCTGGAAAATCTTGTGGGATCATCTGTTCTAGGTTGTGACTTTCAGTATTAGGCTAGTCTGGTGAGGAAATGCCAAAGTGCCCAGTCTAGATCCTTCCACATCACTGGGCTGGAATAATTAGAAGCTAGTGCCAGATTCTTGGGGACTCCCATTATTTTTGATAAAACATACAGAAATACTTTGTTGGTCAAGTAAAAGAGCAGCTATTCAAGATTGTTCCTGACAAGTTTGGGAGCCAAGGGAATCTCATGTTTAGGGCTTTGGTGTCCCTACTATCTCTTCAAAATGGAAATATGGCTTGCCTAAGCCAACAGGGAAGTAGAGTGCAATGGTTAATACTGAGCATCAACTTGATTGGATTGAAGAATGCAAAGTATTGACCCTGGGTATATCTGTGAGGGTGTTGCCAAAGGAGATTAACATTTGAGTCAGTAGGCTGGGAAAGGCAGACCCACCCTTAATCTGGATGGGCACCATCTAATCAGCTGCCAATGCCACAAGAATGTAAAGCAGGCAGAAAAACATGAAAAGGCTAGACTGGCTTAGCCTCCCAGCCTACATCTTTCTCCCATGGTGGATGCTTCCTGCCCTCAAACATCGGACTCCAAGTTTTTCAGCTTTGGGACTTGGACTGGCTTCCTTTCTCCTCGGCTGGCAGATGGCCTACTGTGGGACTTTGTGATTGTGTGAGTTAATACTATGTAATAAACTCCCACATATATTAGTTCTGTTCCTCTAGAGAACCTTGACTAATACACAGGGCTAAATATAGCAAATTTTGGCTTTGATTGGAATATATTTCTTTCTCTACCAACTGGGATTCTATAGTAGTAGAGACTGAGTGAATGGCATGGGAAAGTAAAGAACTCATTTTTCTAATGCATGGCCAAACCCCCAAAAATGGCCTTGTCTACTCATCACTAGATCAGGACCCATCAGCCCAACAGGTGGTTTAGTTTATCCTTTCAGATTAATTATGTTTTACCAAAAGAGTTCGACCACCCTTCTAAATGATACAGTTCATGTTCCCATTTCATCCATGTCAGAAAATAAATAGCATCCTCTATAAGGATCAAATAATGTGAGGTTTAAGCCACAACGGAAAATACTTTTCCCCTAAATCTGGAAAACTCAATCTGGGAAAATCATATTGGTAATAAGAAGTTGACTATACATCAAAGGAGAGAATTTAACATAACTTTGGTCAAACCTAAAATTTAGAGATTTTTTGGCCATAATCACATGGCAAATTGGACAACCTCTACAAGGTTTCATATGTTTGTCCAATGCTAGGAAGACCTGACCTTAGCTAAAACAACTGGGTCTTACCCTACTCCTGCAAGTAGCTGGATGCATGTATTTCAAGAAGACATAACCTACCTGGTTTTTAGAACAGAGTTTATTTTCTTAGAATACTCCCTCGTCTCTTCCAACTTCCTCATCTAAAAAACAATGAAGCTTCAACTTCCTCATCTAAAAAACAAGGTAGTTGGACTAGATCAGGTTTCTCAACCCTGGATGTATTTGAGTTATGTGGGGAGATTTTTTTTTAAATGTGATGCCCAGGTCTTAACCTAGACTAATTAAATCAGACTCTCCAGGCATGGGGTTATTTGTTTAAAGTTCCTTCGGTGATGCTAATGTTCAGCCACAGCTAAGACCCATGACACCAGGTAATTCCTGAATGCACACCTATATGAACATTCTGTCACTTTCAGTTTGATATCGTCTGCTACATTCATCCTCTCTGAACTTTTCCTCTGTCTTGGGAAAGCAGAATTCTAACATGACCCTAAATGAGTTATGCCCTTGAAGAAAACCTCTTTGAATGAATACTGGCTAGCTTCTAGTCAACAGACCATGGCAAAGGTGATGAAATATCACTCCCATGATCATGCCATGTTACCTACAGCAGACTGAAGTGAGATTTTCTTGGCTGCTGGCTTGAAAGAAGCAAATCGCTATGCTGTGAGTAGATCTCTGTTATGAACTGAATGTTTGTGTGCCTCCAACATTTATATGTTGAAATGTAATCATCAATGTGATAGCATTAGCAGGTGGAATCTTTGGGAGACATTTAGGTCATAACTGGAACCTTCATGAATGAGATTAGTGCCTTTATAAGAAGAGGCCAGAGTACTAGCGCACTCTCTCATGCTAGTGCAATGTGAGGATAAAACTAGAAGTTAAAAGCCTGCATCCAGAAGAGGACACTCACCAGAACCAGACCAGGTCTCAGGTCTCCCACTTGTAAAATGGGAGAGGTAGAGGCGTTTCCCTCCAATTGTAAAATTCTATGATCCTTAGCTCTTAGCATGGTGAAAACATCAGTATGCAGTATGCAGTTGGAAGTTAGTCTAACCTGAGTTTAAATTCTGGCTCTACTACTTATCCGTGTAGATCTTTGGCCAAAATTTATTAATCTTGCTAAGCTTCAGTTTCCCCTTCTATAAAACTAGAATAATAAAACTCGCCAATCTTCTAGCATTTGCGTGAGTTGATTACATGAGTCAATGGATGTAATAGTCTTAATAAACACAGGACTTAATGCATAGTAATGACTCAAAATTGGTAATGGTGACGGCTTTTGCTTTTGTTACAAGCTCTTTACTTGATTCTTTTAGAGACAATTTGTTTATTTTTAGCATCCATTATGATTCTTCCAAGAATAGCATTCAGAAAACCTGAAAGGTCTACTAGGCACATTTTGAAATGTGGAGTTGGAAGAGAATTCAATCGTGGTGTACAATGTCTTCAGAGGAGGGCAGTGTCCTCTTCCAGAGCCAGCAGGTAGAGGCAATCTCCTCTAAGTCCTCTCCACTATTTTCATGAAGCAATCTTCAACAAGAGGGCCAACACTAAGAAGGCCAACACTAAAAGGATAAACATGACATGTTGACAATGCATTCTCATTAGTTTATATGGGTTAAAGAGCAAAAACATGAAGATTTTGCCCATTCTTTAACTTGTTCCTTACATATTTTTCCCTTTTGACTATTAAAGCTGTTCTTTTTCAGGCACTGTTCTGAACTACTTTCAGAGCCCAGATGTAGCTCTTTAGAAGTCAAAAGATGGGAAGAAGCTTGACAGCCTGAAAAGTCTTCAAAAATTATTGTGTTTGAACTGCATCCTCTGGTAAGACCAGCCAAAACCATACTCTTTGCTCAAGCAGAGCTGCAAAACATAAGTTCCAAAGTTTGCTTTTGAGAGCCTCATACTAAATGTAGAGAAGAGAACTAACTATAAAACTGAGTCCCATGAGAGACTTTCTACTTGGCTGAGAAGAGCTTCCAAGAAAGATGCCTACCAATCCTCAGAACTCACATTTATTTGGCAAGGAGTGGACTGCTTTTCAGAAGAGAAATAAGAAATTAAAGTAAGAGATACTTCCTGTTCATGAAAAATAACAGTTCTTTAAAAAGGAGAAACAAAGTTATTAGTGAATAATTTAAGAAAATACTAAATTATATTGCAATATGAAAGTGGGAACATAACTAATTCATTACCAGAAATTTGGTGTGAGCTAAAAACAAAGAGCTTTAAATAAATCTATGGACAGGAGAGCCATAGGAAATCATAAGCTTCAAATTAGAGCTATTGGAGGTATTCAAGGAGTTGTCAGAAATGCCAAGCACACCTACCCACAAAAGGTCCCTTATTGATACCATCAGAAAACTAATTCAGTATGCTTTGGTTTCTTTGTTGCATTCTTATTTCTTGCAGACACAAAGGAATGACAGAGAAGGCAGAATTTTTTTTTTCAAAATCTTTATCTAAAGCATACTAAACTACTGTTAGTACCATGATGTTTATTTGAGGGGCAATATGAATGAAATTTGCCTTTGTGGAGTAGTTATAATCACTGCAAGCTTTATTATTAAAATAAGAAGCAAATGCCCCATGAGAGCAATGTTCAAATATACAATTAGTCCTTGCTCACACAAAATCGAACATGACTGCTGGCCTCCAGAGATCTTCTCTGGTTCACTCTGCGGATGCAAAGCTGAAAATAGAGCTGTCTAAAAGACTAAGAAGGAAGAGATTACATGGAAGAAGGAAAGGTGAAAGCAACTCAGAAATTGTGCTCAGTATGGCTTCTTAGCTCCTGCTGTAGGAAGAGCTAAGAAAAAAAAAAAAGTTTTAGGATTTACTGCATATACTACAAATCCCACTGCAGAGGTCTTTCCATACTTGGAACCAAAGGCCTAGATCCAAAGAACTGAATCATGCATGCCGGGTGCAGAAAGTTGTGAAAAAATGTCTTAGGTGTTCACAATATCCTTGTGGCAATTCTGGGACCAAATCAATACTTTTTTCTGGTATTTTTCTAGGTCTAGTACTTCTCCAAGCAACTGGAAAATTATGTATTAAACCCTAGTCATGTCTTGAATCAAAATGGAATTTAAAGAACAACATTCTAGGGAGAGGAGGAAATGGAGAGTTACTAATAAATCAGAGTAAAGTTTCAGTCAAGCAAAATAAGTAAACTCTGGAGATATTCTGTACAACATTGTATCTATAGTCAACAATAATGTATTATACACTTAAAATTTGGTTAAGAGGGTAGATTTCATGTTAAGTGTTCTTATCAAAATAAAATAATAGTTTTTAAATTAAAAAATATCATTAAGCATTTTCCTTCCTAGCCTGCAGAGGACTAGAGTATAGGAACTGTGGCTTATTCACATTGGATTTCCACCATCCAGTCAAATCTGTGTTCAACAAATGTACTTGGACATTAATTTTCTGCTTCCAACCAGGTCAAATAAGAGTTGTCCATAATTCTCCCATAATTCACAAAACTGATAGCCAATTGGATGTAGTTTTCTAGATAAATGATACTACATGGAAATTAAAATATTTTAAAATATTTTATGAATAGTCACGTCACAGATTAAGAAGCAAAATGACAAATATACATATAAAAACTATTTAGCCTCATTGTAATCAAATAAATAGAAATTAAAACATTGAGATAGCATCTTTCTTTTTATTTTTTTTTTTGAGACGGAGTCTCGCTGTGTCCCCCAGGTTGGAGTGCAGTGGCGCGATCTCAGCTCACTGCAAACTCCGCCTCCCGGGTTCACGCCATTCTCCTGCCTCAGCCTCCAGAGTAGCTGGGACTACAGGCGCCCGCCAACATACCCGGCTAATTTTTTGTATTTTTAGTAGAAACGGGGTTTCACCGTGTTAGCCAAGATGGTCTCGATCTCCTGACCTTGTGATCCGCCCGTCTCGGCCTCCCAAAGTGCTAGGATTACAGGCGTGAGCCACCACACCTGGCCACATCTTTCTTATAAAAATGGTAAAAATAAAAATATCAGTGATGGTGAGGATGATAGAAGATGGTCATACTCGTCCACTTCTAAGAGTACAAAGTGATCCAGTCTTTTGTGGTGGTGGCTGGTGGTGGGGGTAGGCTTGGCAATATTTACTAAATGCTTTAAAAATTCACATACCCTTTTGATTCAAAATTCTACTTCTATGAATGTATCCTAGGAAAATATTTAAGAATGTGCATAAGCATTCGGCTTTAAGAATATTCAGCACAGTATTTTTTATAATAGTGAAAAAAAAACAGAACTTAAATTTTAAAAATCATGTCAGTTAAATGAATCACTATCTATACAATAGAATGCGATTTGCCATTGAAAATTACACTGAAGTTTTTTATAGACATAAAGATATAGTTGCAGCATATTTGTTATGAAAAAGAAGGTTACAGAAATTGTGAGTTTGTTTTGGTAGATGTAAAGTGTAAGAGGTAAAAATGTGGAGAGGTTTTGATGGTATTCAGTATTTGGGGTCAGAAAACTCAGGAATGCCTGGCTTTTGCCCTGCTAAGTTTTCCTATTTGTTAGCATTCCCAAGGTGGCTTGCACCTTGGGTCCCAAGCAATCCAAGGAACAAATCCAAATAGTAAACAGAGTACCAGTTTATTAGTTGGGTCACTGCCTGAAATGTCCATAAAGACAGTTAAAGGTGAACTGGGAGCCTAAGTGGGACCTCTGCCGCATCACCACAGCCAAAACCAAAAATTCTGTTTAGCCATGCATACAGAGAGAGGAGAGTTGGGCCCTGCCTTATTGATCTCACTGCATGGAATGAGGAGAGCCAATGAAGGTAAACTACCTGGGAGCCACCTTTTAAATACAGCAACCTGGCCCAGTGGGAAACATGGGCCTATGAATGCCATAGAATTTTATCAATGAAATGAGAAGCTTTCCTTCCCTGGGATGGTAGGGTAGTGCGGAGGGAGATATGCTGCATACCTGCGGAATGAAAGGCAGACCTGGCACCATAAGGTTCCTTTCCTGCTACATTGTTTCAATAATCTTCTGCTGCATAACAAGAAGTCCAAACCTCAGTGACTTAAAACAACAATGACATTATTTCTCACAATTCTGTGGGTTTACTGTGCTCTAACGTGCAGCTCTGCCCCCTGTAGTACAGCTGAGATTCCACATGCATCTGCATTCAGCTAGGAGCTCACCTGGTGTAGAGCCTCCTATGGGGCTTCTCATTCTCCAGGGTCTCACTCATCATTCAGGACAGTTACTGTAAATTCGTTATGCATGGGGACTGGCTTTAAAGAGGGAGAGTTCTAAGAAAACAAACTCTGCTCTAAATATGTACCCAGGATTTGTTTTAATCAGATATGGTAAGGCAGACAAGGAAATAGCTGCCACAAAGGAGGAAGTTCATAAGCACAGACCTCTAGAAACAGGAGGCATGGCCTGATGTGCTGGTCTAAAGAGGGAAGCACTAAGGTCAGTTAGGAAGCAGAAGTGGGAGAAGGACGAGAATGACTGAGACCCTTTGATGGGGTTTTCACGAGAAGGAATGGAAGGGGCAGGGTAGGCATGCTGAGTAAGCTTAAGACTAGAGAGTTTTAATCATTTCAGAGAGCTCTGGGCTATAGGGGTGCTTGCTAGTTGTCTGATACCTGGCCCTGGGGTGATTTAGGATAGAAGGAATATTGGATTGGTGTGTGAGAGATAAAGAAGATGATTAGGGGTGTGGGCTCTGGGCTACTTGGTTTGTATATCAAAGGTACTCTCACAGGGGAGTCATTTGCTATTTCTACGAATTAGCTAGCCCTGGAATGGATGTTCCCTCCAGGATCAAGTACCCAAATGCCAGAGCATCAAATATACAGAAAATAAGAAAGTAAAGTCAATACAAACCCTGATATGCAAGCTCTTGCCATGCCTCTGCTTGCATAATGTTTGCTGGGATCCCATTGATAAAAATAAATCACATGACCAAAGCAAGAGACAAAATGGGAAAGGACTAAACAAGGGCATAAATATGGGAGATATAGTCTACCCAGGGCCATCAATGTAATGGTTACTACATAAATATTTCTGTATAAAAGGATATTTGCCAAGGTCAACAAAGGTCACTTCTAGAGTCCAGAGCTATTTATTTTGTTATTTATCAGATTTTCTTATTTTCAACAAAGAATATACACTGCATATAGAACAAAGCCAACATTAATTGACAAAACAAATATTACTATCTTAAATCAGGTTCTCTACAAGAACCTAAGATGGGGATTCTTATGCAGGTGATTTAGTGCCCCCAGAAGAAAACCAACCATAAGAGAGTAAGAGAAGCAGGATAGGGCAGGTGAAGAAGCTGAATGAGAAATTCAGTCTCAGCCTGAGCACAAGAAACTCTGCAGAATGAGCAGCACCATGAGCTGTCTCATCTTGAGGAAATGGGATTGGGCTTTTGTGCCTTATTTCAGTCAGTTATCAGCTGTGGCTACTCCTCGGGAGGAGAGCATACCTTTCAGCATTTCCTAGAAATATAGGTCTCATGGTAGAGGACAAGTCTCTGTAGAAGGGTTCAGCTTTCAGCCCTGTCTTAGTCCATTCAGGCTGCTATAACAAAATACCATAGACTGGGTAAATTTTTTAACAAAAGAAATTCATTGCTCACAGTTCTGACGACCGGGAAGTCGAAGATAAACGTGCCATCAGGTTCTAGGTTTCTTAAGGGCCCATTCCTCATAGACGACACCTTCTTGCTGCATCTGCACATGGAGTAAAGGGCAAACAAGCTCCCTCAGGCTTCTTTTATGAGGATACTACTCCCATTCATGAGGGTGGGGCCCTCATGACCTAATCACCTCCCAAAGGTACCACTTCTTAATACTACTGCACTTGGTAATTACATCTCAACCTATAAATTTTGAGGGGACACAAACTTCAGACCACAGCAAGCTCTTATCGGGTAATACCTAGAGCAGTGAGAAGGGGAGTGTAACACTCTATGGGGCCAGCAGCATCTACTAAAGCTACCCTCAATTTTTCCAAAGAGTCCATCTCTGTAATGTCTCACATGAGCACCTCCGACCCCCACCCTATATACTCCAAATACGACCTCTAAACAGAAAATAGACAGCAAGTAATATAAGTTGGATGAATGAATGTTCAGTATGTACTACTCAGAACTTCTCCAACTCTTGAATTCATATACTGTGGATCCTCAGTGACCCACAGATCCTCAGGGATACCATGAATTTCGGGTAGGGAGTGGGAATCTAGGGAGTGTCCCAGGACATTATGGATAAAATAGCACTCTTTTCTCTTTGAGTAGCTCTATAACCCTGATGATAAGGAAAGGTTGGTAAACTTTCAAAAAAATTCTCCTCTGGACTAAAAGCATGCATGAGAAATTTCAAGGGGGAAGGCCTATTTTTTCTAATGGTTACAAGTCTAAATTATAAACTCAAGTCAATAAGATAGACGTCTAAAACTTCTAAAAATAGTGGTGGATAATAAGAATGCTTTCTCAACCAAAACCACAACCTTCCCTCTGCTGCACTTACAGAAAGCAGCAGAAACTAATCTTTCTCCCCAAGTGGAAAAAATGGGTAATAGAATTCTACCAGATGCCTTGGATTTTGTGCACTGATGATGTATTTCCATCAATCTCATTTATTTTTGTCTGAAGTCTTATTTTCAGGCCAACCATTCCATTCAAATATTGAATCAGGCCATATCTACCAAGATGCTATCAGGGAGAAAAAAAAGAAAATGTCTTTTATTAGCAGACACACTTATTTTCTATTTTTTACCATCAATGATGACAAGTCTTGGCTGAAGGAGGTATGATAATGGCTCATGGAATCTTAAGTAAGCAATCTGATAGAGGTTCTTGGAAACATGGAGAAGTCTGGAGGTTTCTTAGGTGAACTGCAGACAGGACAGGGAAGGGCTTCATCGAAAGGACTCTAGCTTTATTAAGTGGAAAGATAGACAATTTTTTTTAAATGAGACGAAGTTTCTGGCACTGACATGATCCAAGTGACATGGGGTGAGAGGTCAAAGTTCTGCCTATCCAGCTTTTTCTCAGACCCTACTGCCTTCAACAATTAGCCTACATGACTGGGTCATGTAGCTGATTTAAGTAACTGAGGCCAGAAAGGGAGAAAATGGGAGAGGGGCACAAAGCTATACGGCTAGCTAGAGAGAGAAAACTAGTTCAGAAGTGCAATGGTCTTTCTAAATTATTGCTCAACCATTGATTAAATACTATTTTATTTTTTTCAATCCAGATGACACATTTTAGACATTTTTAGGATTTTTTAAAATAACAAATCCACAGAACAAAAAAAAAAGGAAAATTTTTAGCAGATTATATTTCTTGTTTGGGATTTGGACATTTTGCAACCCTCAATTTCCCCATGGAAGATTTGCATGGAGGCACACGTGTAGAAAAGTAGTTTTCTGTTTCTAAGCTTCAATTTCAATTCTCTGTCAATATCGAGCCCCCTCCTCATGCTTTCTCTTCTCCCCTTTCCCTCTTTCCATCCATCCTCCTCTCTCCTCCTTTTCTCACACTTCCATAAAGTATTTGACAGATCAGTCTATTTCCCTTCTCACAGGGGCTCACCATAGGCCATCTGGTTGTGTGACTACCAGGGAAAAGCTTGTGACGTCTCTAGGTGACTCCACAGAATAGCAACAGTCTTTTGAAGATGCCAGCTGCCCTTCCTCTTTCATGGAAGTTACAAAAAGATAGCTCCACATGCTGACACTTCCTCCCACTGAGAAGCTGGCTTTGGAAGAGGCACTAGCTCAGCAGGGGTCCTCTAATGTTGGCCTGAAAACTGACTCCACCAGGCAGGAGGCAAGGATGTGATAATATTTGTAGTCCCTCCCGGGGGGCTCCCACCCTGGGTGTTGCCAATCTTCCAACTGGCAGGCCTCTGCAGCTGCCAATGGACAGGAAGAAGAAAATATTCTAGAGTCCATTTCACAACTAGAAGTTTTAAGCCAGTTCTAGTTACTTCGCTTAGAAGACATTAGGTGAAATCACATGAAATTGCCAATATTTGACTGGTTAGCCTGCAAAAATGGTCAAACCTAATCTCATATGGTTCAATCTAATCTATCCTGTATGATCTGTCTGAATGACAAAGAAGTCATGGAAGAAAAATAAAATATTTAGAGGGCCTTTATTCATCATAGTGACTGCATCAGTCCCATGTTCAAAAATATTCAGTTGATCACTACTAGCTTACATTCATCAGAGTGAAGAGCAAAGCCCTCTAGAGAGGACTCAGCCTGCTCATCAGTAGTATTCATTCCTACTTCCCAGCACCAACCAACACTTTTCTCAGAATCTTTCCAATCTTGTCTCTTACTTCACCTCTTAAAGTTCAGCATATGTAAAAGGAGTTTGTCAAAGGGTCCCAAATTTCCTCTAATTCATTTAAACATTCAATTTAATCCAGTCTTATTAAAAGCAAAGGATAACAGAAATAAGAATTATAACCAAAGTATAACAAAGAAGTCAACATTCTTTTCCAGACCCTGAATATTTATCTAAAACCGACGTCAACAAATTCAAAAGGCAATTTTGAGTTTCTGTTCAAACAGCAATACATTGTTTGATAATAAATCACTTGATCTTTAACCAATAAAAGGAGAGGCTTATGGAATAAGCCTTAGTTCAGAGGATTCTTCCAGGGGTTGAGGAAATTGTCAATAGTGTATTTGCCAGGGCAATACTTCCCAAAATCCCTGTGAGAAAAAAAAAAAAAAAAAGGCGTTCCCAGTGTCTGAGAGGCGGGCACTCATGTTGGATCTCCCTCAAGGCATTCCCTAGGTGATTAGTTTCATAGGAAACTGGACTTGCTGAAACCATGTCCTTCCATAATAGGGTTGGACTATCTGAATCACGGGCAAGTCAGGTCTCAACTGACCCTCTTGCTAACACTCAGACTGCAAGGTTATTGGAGTTGGTTAAGAACTGCAAACATGTCTACTACAGGGGCCCAGCCTTCTTGGCTGGACCTTTCTTCCCAGTGATTCTACAGACCATATTTTCTATGCTATACGCTGCCCCTGACAATGGACCAAGATTTATTTTCCAGGATATTTCTAATTAGAACCATTTTACATGCAATAGTCCCTTCTTTCACATTTTTTACCCCTTCCTGTTTGCACATAACTCTTCTCTTACATTTTCCTAGTGAACACTTTCCCCCTTGACTTCTTTTAACCCTTTAGAGGGGTTGAATTGGGGGTTGATGAAAGCCTGTTTTGCATGTCTCCCCAAAGACATAATTCATGCCCCCTGTGATATGGATCCACAGGGCAACTAGTTCACCTGGGAGTCGATTGCAACGAACACCTGTAGGGGAGTAGGGAAATGAGACAAGGAAGGGAAGGAGCCAGCAGAGGGTTCAATATCAGTCAAGTTACCACTGGGGGCAACTGGAGCAGGAGTTGCTGAGTAACTCAGGGAGCCAGTGTAGGACACATGCTTCAGTTATCCCAGTGAAGGGGTAAAACAGAAATATAATTTATATGTCAACTCCCCTCAGTCATTGGGAGAGAGCTGCTGTGAAGTGGAGGAGTGGTGAATCCTTCAAAATTTTTGACCACCTGGCAGGTACGCAAAGCAATCTTTGGGGCGAGAGAAAGATGTTAGAAAAAAAAATTGCTGGCATTTTGAAGGCAAACAGATGCAGGGTGGAGGAAAGGGTGCATTAGGGGTACTGACGGTGTCTGCTACAAAGCTAAAACTCAATTTGAAAGAACAAAAGTAAAAAAGGGTTAACGGAATCAGAAAAGACAGATAGAAAGATGCCAGTCAGAAAAAAAAAAAAGCTCTGTGATAGAATCTCAGCTTAGCTAATCCATTCCTAATTTCCAGCACAGACCATTCACAAATTATACTGAAATGTTGCTTGTTAAAAAGAAGGCACTACCCTCCACATTTCATGGTTGAAGAAGAATTGAACCCAACTTTTGCACAGTTTCCATAATTTTCCAACTCACACCTCTTTTCTTCAGTTTAGACCCATCTCCCTGCCACCCAACGTGCTCATGCCAGGCTCACTTTAACTGCTATGCTTTTCTCATGCTGCTTAGCCTTCCTGGAATCCTCTCCACATCATGGAAAACTTCCCCATCTGTAAGATCTACCTCAGACTCTCCTCTGCTCAGTGAGTTCCTGCCAACACTCCACACTTCCTGATTGCCCTCTCCTCTTCTTATCTGGCCAATGGTTGTGGTAGGCAGAAAAACGGCACCTGTCCTAATCCCTGAAACCTGTGAACATGTTACCTTCCTTGGTAAAGGGGATTCCACAGATGTGATTAAACTGAGATGAGATATTCCTTTTCTCCAAGTGAGCCCAATGTAATCACAAGTGTCTTTAAGAAACGGAAGAGGGAGGATGAAGATTCAGAGTCAAAGAGAGATCTGAAGAGGCTATACTGCTGGCTTTGAAGATGGAGGAAGAGGCCACAGGCCAAGGGATACAGATGGCCTGTAGACCTCAAAAAAGTCACAGGAACAGATTCCCTCTAGAGCCTGCCAACACCAGTGGAACCTGTTTTGGACTTCTGACCTCCAGAACTGCAAGATAATAAATTTGTGTTGTTTTAAGTGACTATGCTTGTTGTAATTTGTTACAGCAACAAGAAGAAACTAATAAAGTGGTTTTTAAGGCATGCTCCTCAGCATTCTGCATATTTTTAGAGCCCTTCTGCAACAAATTCAACTAGAGAACTCTATATTTTTCAGATTTACAACATGGACTTCTATCATATTTCATTTGAAGAAAATATTTGCCCTTAAAAATAGGTGAAATCCTATAACATATCACATATCATAGTTTACGTATTTAATTTAATGTGCCTTACGTATGGCACACTGACTAAGAACATGGATTCAGAAGTCTGGTTGCCTTGGCTTGAACCCCAGCTCTGTCACTTACTAGCTGTGTAATCTTGGGCAGATTGCTTAACCTCTCTGTGCATGGCTTACTCATCTATAAAATGAAGATAAAATAATATCTACCTCTATTGAATTGGATAGTGTCCCCTCAAAATTCAGATCCTTCCCAGAACCTAAGAATGTGACCCTATTTAGAAACATGCTCATTGCAGATATTATTAGAGTAGATGACATCATTCAATATGATTGGTGTGCTTTAAAGAAGAAGAGAAACACAGGGAGAACACCATTTGTCAATGGAGGGAGAGGTTGGAGTCATCGATCTACAAGCCAAGGAATACCACAGACTGTCAGCAACACCAAGCTAAGAGAGAGGCGTGGAACAGATTCTCCTCTAGAGCCCTCAGAGAAAGCATGCCCCTGCCAACACTTTGATTTTGGACTTGTGGCCTCCAAAACTGTGAGAAATTTCTATTGTTTTAAGCCACTCTATTTGCGGTACATTGTTAAGAACAGCCCTAGGAAACTAATGCTCTATTTTACAGAGTTTTTGCAAAGACTACATTTGTTAATAATACATGTGAAGTCCACAGACCATACCCTGCATATTATTAATAAAGGATAGTTATTATTGTTTCATTTCATAAGTATTAGCCTTATTATCATTGAATTTAAAAATGCAAATTTCAGCCATTTATTGTGTGCCTCCCAGCACTGTTTTTAAGCACTTCATGTATTCTCTCACCCAGGATGTTGCTCAGGGTGCCTGAGCTGAAATGATCCTCCCAACTAAGCCTCTGGAGTAGCTGGAACTACAAGTATGCACCACCATACCCAGCTAATATTTTTTAATTTTTTATATTTATAGAGACAGTCTTGCTATATTGCTCAGGCTAGTCTTGAACTCCTGACCTTAAGCAATCCTCATACCTCAGTCTTTTAAGCGCTGGGATTACAGATGTGAGTCACCATGCCTGGCCCTGAGACTGCTTTCTGTACTTCCTTAGAATTCCCTTCTGAGTGCAGCCTGCTGCGCAAAGGGGCCCAGTGGGCACATCTTTGTTTTGAAGAGGTGAGTCCTCTGCATTCTAGTCAGAATCTTTCACAGTCCTGGGTGTTAGACCGAGCAGCAGTTCTCAAAGTAAAGTCTAAGAATCCCTGAGGGTTACTAAAATGGTTTTAGGGATTCCACAAGGTCCCTGTCTTTGCCAATTTAAGTATCTGTGTGCCTGATTGTTTCATATATTTCAACCAAACCAATATATTCCAACAGATTAAATGCAAAAGCAGATGTTTGATTCCAGCTGTCTTCCAGTAAGCTAGAGGTTAAAGAGGTTTACAAAATGTAAAACAATGCTACTCTTCTCAGTATATTTTCTTGGTTTTTGAAAATAAAAGTGTTTTTAATAAAAATATTTATATTAAGATATGAGTTTATTATTTTAAATATACTGATAATAAATATTTTAATTTTTTTGCTTTTTTTCCTAATATTAAAGCTATAGAGAACTATATCACACATCAATATGAGCCCTTGAGGGTACTCAATAATTTTTAAAAGTGTAAAGGTGTTCTGAGACCAAAAAGTTTAAGAAATGCGGGTATAGTGGCTTTAAATTTTGATATTTTACTTATTTTTAATTGCTCAGGCAGCTGGTCTTCACTCACTATATGGCTTCTGTACAAAATTGATGGTATCATCCTTCTGCGGGGTTGATTTGAGCAGTAAGATTCCAGAAAATTGTTTTACGCTTTTTTTTTTTTTTAAACACTGGTTGGGGTGAGAGTATATAAAATTGTGTGTTTGTTTGTGTGTATATTTGTGTACACCAATTCTACCACTTAATAAACACATTCCAATTGAAACTTGAGGAATGAGCAAGGGTAAAAATAGAAGATGAATTCAATAGGGATGGATATAAGTTGGGACGTTTACTTGCAAAGTCACAAAGACAAGTGCCTAAGAGAAACGATGTTGACTACAGAACCCATGCTCCTTTTATACGAGCAAATAACAGAGAAATTTATTTTGGGATTCTCTGACTTCTTTCCCTCATTTGTTGTTATTTTGGGAGGCCATCCAAATTGTCTTTAGCTTTATGTATAATCCCAGACACCAATCAAAACTCTCCAAATGAGCATGGCAAAGCTTGAGCCATGGCAAGATTTTCTTTCTTGCTTAAGATGGCAGGTAAGAATCCAGAAAAGCCAGATGTAGTATTTGAACCCAATTTTCCTCAGCAAGAAGGCAGCTTCCATAATTCTAAAAGGATTCCATGATACCTCATGCTAAAGTGTTTACGTCTTGCACCCATCTCTGAGTCTTTAGAGGATACCGTCTCTGAGGAACCCAATAAGAGAGCCCACCTGGACTCAGCCAGGCCACTGAAGAGGCAGCTTCTGAATGCTAGCCAAATTCTGACCATTGTGTTCCAGCAGCTTCATTTCCCAATGGCCCAAGATTCCCTTCGAGAAACAAGGACAAGAACCAAACATAAGTTGTTTTGAGAAGAAAGCTATTTCGTGCAGATTCCTAATCCCCTCTTCATGAAAAAATGGAATTTATACTTGTTTACCCATCTGTGTTCTTGCCAGAGAAGAGAAGTCACACCAGCTCTGTGGAAGGCATTAATCCCCTGGCTAAATCCTTGCAGATATGTTTTCAAACAGGCCTGAAATATGAACCCTGGTTCCCCCTGTGTATTGCTGCAGTGACCTGAGAACTCTCCTCAGGGAGCTAGATACTAGAAGGCAGGCTGAGCCAGAAGCCATCTTCATGCGCAACTGCAAAACTCGTATTTCCCAAACAAGAGTTTTTCTTCAGCTTCCCTAAACCTCATATTACCTTCCTTTCGGCAAGAGGTGCCCACCCCCCACAAATTAATGGGCTGGGTAAAGAGGAAGATTATGACAATAATAACAATGACAACAATGATGATGTTGACAGTGATATAATCGGTTTACTAAATCATGCAATATTGTATTTTGTATGTTTTTTTTTTCCAATCACTTTACTGTCCTGTAACAATACTCCAGGAAGATTATATAATTATATGGTTACTTTCAGTTACTATAAGCTTATATCTAGGACAGCTGAGTGTATTCAGCTAAATCAGACATCTAATCTACTTCCCCTTTTGCTGGCACCCCTATCTTTATGGACTGCTCTCTTGATGCCCCCCACCTTTTCTCCACTCAGGAGAGAGGGAAGTATCCCTCCCCTGTCTCACAGAGAAAAACCACGGCCCATCCTACTAAGCTAAAGATCTGCCTAATGTCTAAAAGTTCTTTTGCCCTTATCCTAGTCTTTTTATTATGTCTGTGTCTTATTTATTCACTGCTGGATCCTAGGCACCTAATACAGTACCTGTCACAGAATAGGTCAATGGATATTTGTTGAATCAGTGATGGATTGAATGTCCTTGACCAGGGAAGGGATCCTGGGGAATGCAGGAGATTAGCAAAACCAGTCTGGCTGCCCACACTTAATAAGCCCTAGAAGGACTATCAGGCCTCCAATTCTTTTCAGCTTCATTTGGATTATGAGGCTAGTGTCCCATCCCATTTTACTTCATACCTTTTAATCTTCAGTCTTTGGTTAATTTTCCAATTCTGGGGCATCAGGAATGTTAGGCTGGACATTCTGTTGCAATAACATGCTAAAAACAACTCCTATTTGCTCAGCCCATGCTGTGTCCCAGGAACTGTGCATGTGTTACCTAATTTTTTACCACCACCCTGTAAGGTAGGGATTATAGTCTCCATTTTCACATGAAGCAACTAAATCAGATAGAGTTTAGGAAAGGTGTTCAAGAAACAACCAGGAAGCAGCAGAGTTGAAAAGTTTGAAACAGTCATGTCTCAACTTTTTGTGTATCACTAGTTTTCAAAGTGACTATATGTGGAAATATAAAAGACCATATAAATTAATGAATACCTTGAAATACATATTTTTAACCACCCTTTTTATTTTGTTACCGCTCTCTATACAGCTGTGCTGTCTTTCTTAAGTAAAACAACACCAAGTAAATTAATAAATATATCTAAACTTCAATACCTTTGAGACACAATTGCTGCATTCATATTCTGCCTCTCTGTCTCTGTCTCTCTCTCTCTCTCTCTCTCTTTCTCTCTCTCTCTCCCTCTCTCTCTTTTAGTTGAGAAGAATTAGTTTAAACTCAATTCATGGCTTATATATTAAATTTAGGTATTATTTTTTACATAATATAACATCTATGAACTCACCACCTAATAATCCAAGAACTATAGTATCACCTGTAACTAGTATCTACCTATGTGTGTTCCTTCCCAAACCCGACACCCTATCAAATTTCAATTCTCCACATGGCACCTCCATCCTCTTTCTTGAAGTAATCATTTCTTTGCCTTTCTTAATTTTCGCTGCATTCTCCAACAATGCAATGAGACAGAATAAACCTTTCTACCTTTATCTGGTTAGTCTTTGAAAGAATGAATTTGTTGCCTAGTAAATAACTGTGATGGTTAATATTGTCAACTTGATTGGATTGAAGGATGCAAAGTATTGTTCCTGGGTGTGTCTGTGAGGGTGTTGTCAAAAAGGATTAACATCTGGATCAGTGGAGCGGGAGAAACACACCTATCCTCAATCTGAGTGGGCACAATCTAATCAGCAGCCAGAATAAAAACAGGCAGAAGAACATGAAAAGACTAGACTGGCTTAGCCACCCAGTCTACATCTTTCTCCCATGCTGGATGCTTCCTGCTCTCAAACATCAGACCTCCAAGTTCTTCAGCTTTGGAACTCAGACTGGCTTCCTTGTTCCTCGGCTTGCAGATAGCCCATTGTGGGACCTCACCTTGTGATCGTGTGAGTCAATACTCCTTAACTCCCTTTTATATATTTATCTATCCTATTAGTTCTGTCCTCTAGAGAATCCTAACTAATACAATAAATATTTCCAGCTTTTTTCCCTGAAACTATACTGTTCTTTAGGATTTAAAAATCACCAAACGTTTTAAACTCCAGCTAGTCTTTCATAAAGAAAAAAATCGTAATGACCTAGACTTGAAATCTTAGTCATCTCTGATTTCACCCCTTTCCTCATATTCTGACTCTTTATTGGTATGTATTTAAAACATATGTTTAGAATCCTGACTTGAAGCAACCTAACTTGGGTCTATTATCTAATTCCACCTGGCTTCAAACTATTTTACTAAGGGATGTTAGGTTACCAATTTCCTAGCTAAGCCCAAGGCTGCAAAGACATAGACTTTGGGGACATGAAGCTGCTTGGTTTCCAGGATCTGTAACTTTTTGAACCATAGGCTCCCTATATGTGGCCATAAGAATAATTTGACCTCTGATACACCCAGGGCAGCTGGTGTAACCATAGCACCACACTTAGTAATCATGCCACTCATGATTATACAAAAAGGCAACTATTTAGAGAACCAGTTTTGTTCTCCCCACAGTGTCACAGCAGTTAACAGTTTGATAGACAAAGAGTGATTGTTTCATAGCCTATCTAAATCATAATAAGCATCCTACTAATATTAATTCTTTTCAGAATCCTTGAGTAATGTTTTCAGCATTATAATTCCAACTATAGGAAAACAACCAGGATTTGAGTAACCTTTAATGATTAAGCATTATATAAAATTTAATTAAATTCTTCTCGGGCTGTTGAGTGTTGGGCTAGACAGAGCACTCTCAAAGGCTAACACATTTTTAAGAATATGTGTCTACATTAGGCCAGTTTCTCCAAGCAAAGTCTGAGAGATTTGTTCAGCTGCAAATGATTAATTGAGGGAAGTATTCTTAAGAGAAAAATGCTAACAGAGTCAAAGAACCAAATTAAGGAAAGGGACAGACTTGAACAAGCATCTCAGGTAATGTCAAGCACTGGCCTGACCACCCCCATACCCAAGCAGGGGTGGGCTCTAGACAAGACCACATATTGCATCTCTAAGGCAAGGGACCTAGGCTTTTATACCCCCAAAAAGTCCGTCATTGGCTAAGACTCAGGGCTTGGAATAGTGGGTATTAACTTCTCAAGCATCTCTGAATGAGGTGGTTCACTCAGCCAAGGGCAATTTCCCAGAGAAAGTCACAGGTAAATCTATCAGATGCAGCACTTGCAACAGCCACAGATGGGTGCACCAGTGGGAGAATGAAATCTGGGGGAGGGGCCAACAGTGTCTACCACCACATCTAATACTCATAAACCTTAAACTCTTACATCTTTAGTCCCAGTACCCCAGAAACTCACTGCATTTTTCCTACAAATCCACAATTCTCCCCCCCAAAAAAAATGAAGAGGAAAAAAACAACGAATTCGTGACATTGAACAGGGACATAATACATTGAGTCACCCAGTAGGTAAGTTTAAACTTAACTTTCTGAATTGTAATGGATATCATGTACCTACCAATAGGATTTGGCTAGAAAGGAACTTTACCTCTGTGGTCTTTCCAAAAACCCACAACCCCAGTCTAATCATGAGAAAAACATCAGACTAATCCTGACTGGGGTCATTCTACAGGATACCTGGCCAACACTCCTCAAGGCTGTAAAGGTAAAGAAAAACAAGGGAAGCCTCAGAAACTGTCACAGACCAGTGGAGACTGGGGAGACACATGACAACTAAATGCAGTATGGTACCCTGAATTGGACCCTGGAACAAAATAAAAAAAGGGAGTTAATGGAAAAACTAGTAAAATCCAAAGAAAGTTAGCAGTTCAGTTAATAGTAATATGTAATGCTGATATCTTAGTTTTGACAAATATATCATGGTAAATTAAGATGTTAACCATAGTGAAACTGGGTGTGGGGTATGTGGCCATTCTTCGTCCTATCTTTGCAACTATTCTGTGAACCTAAAATTATTCCAAAATGAAAAGTTTTTTAAAAAATATCTAATTAAAACCAACAATAACAAAAGGCAACAGAGAAGTTGCCCCACTCTTGTCCTCTCATTACATCAGCCTCAGTATTATTTTAATTAAGAAGCATAAGATTCACACCATTTTCGAAGGGTACTTTGAATCACATTTATTGCCCTTACTTTGACATCTGACTCAGCTGAGAGAAAAAAGAAAAGAAAAAGAAGGAAGGAAGAGAGGAAGGGAGAAAGGGGAAAGAAGATGCTGACCCCAAGAAAATTATGCAAATTGGCTGAGGCAGCTAGTTGTTGAGATGGCAGCCAGAGCAAGATGAGGCCCCACGGTTTTGGAATGCTCCCCTAATGGTGCCCTAATCCTGTGAACTCTATCTCAGCATTCACACCTCCCCATTCAGGCCTTTATCATGTCACAACTGAACCACTCCCACAGCCTCCCAACTAGCTTCTCTTTCCCCCTCCATCCTGGAGGCACTCACAACCTCTACCATTCCACCACCTATACCTGACCTGACCTATCTTTCGCTAGTGATTCTCTTACTCTAGGCAACTAGGTAACTCTGCACACAGCCCATGATTTCTCAACCCACTGGGTACATTCTCCTCCTGGAATGCTCTCCCCACACATTTGTTTAAAAGCCACTTAGAGTTTCATGAAATCTCCCCTGATCTTCAGAGATGGAAGGGATTTCTCCCTCCTTTAATCTTTTTTAGTGCTTCTAATTATCTTGGTGTTTGCCCTATCTCCCTTACTAGATTGTGTGCTATTTGAAGACAAGACCACACTTCATCATCTTCCTATTCCTTACAACTTTTCTGTGGAATTAGGTCGTGCATTCAGTAAGGCATCAGAAAGATTTATTGACTTGATATGTCCCCCAAAAATTCAATTTAGTTCAGCCAATATTTTTGAATGCCTAATCTATGTAGGTACTTAGAATTGTTCTAGGTCTAGATTAGCTCAATTTTTTCAATAATTTTTCCTTAGCCAATATAATAACGCTTTCATGCACTTTCTCTTGTGCCAAGCCATGTGCTGTACACTTTATATGAATTATCTTATTTGATTTTCGCCCAACTCTATAGTACAGATTATTTTATTACATCCATTTATGAGGTGACTAAAAATAATGGAGATTAAGCATTTAGCCAAAGTCACTCAAATTTGAGTTTAATTCCCACTACTGTGATTTACTGTCAAGTTCTGAATGCAATGACTCTGCAATGTCCTTAGCAGATCAAAGTCTCAATGACTGTATCCTAGCTGAAATGCTAGTTTACTTGCAGAATATTAATAGCTAAATTAATAGATTAGGTTTATAGGAGATAGACCTTAAATTCTGCCTGCAGTGAATGATTATGGAAATTCTTTCCCTCAAATTATTTAAAAACAGAGCCAATTTCTCTGCTCTTGGGAATATAAGTTGACATAACCTTCCCAGAAAGCAATTTGTCAATACATAGAACAACACTATTTTTAAAGTGTGTTACGTTTGATCCAGCATTTCTACTTCTCAGAGTTAGCCTTAAAGAACCAATTAACAATATATGCAAATATTTTGCCACAAGGTTTTTACATTAACATTGTTTATGACAACAAAAACTAGTAAATATCTAAATGTCCAACAAGAAGAGACACAGTAACTAAGTTATGCTCCATCCATACAAAGAAACACCAGGTAGCCATTGAATGTTCCGAACAGGCATAGGCATAAAGAAATGATATTATAAGTTAATTTTTAAAAGCAATTTACAAGCGTGTATAATATCATTTTGTTAAAAGTGAAGGGTATACAGGATCTTGGCATCTTGAACAAAGAATTGGACAAAATGCACAAACAAAGCAAGAAAGGGATGAAGTGATTTACTTAAAATGAAAGTACACTCCACAGTGTGGGAGTGGGTCTAAGCATAGGAGCTCAAAGGCCCTGTTACAGAATTTTGGGGAGTTTAAATACCCCTAGAGGATTCCATTGGTTACTTCGGGTATGCCCTATGTAAATGGAGAAGATGAAGTAAAGTTACAAAGTCATTTATGGCATATGCCCTATGGAGAGGACATTTCCTGTTACAGCTGAAGTGTGAATCGGCCTTATATTCCCCTGCCTCCAGACCCTATTTTCCTGCCTCATCTCCCCCCTGAGAGATGTGATCCCCATAAATCTTTATGGGAGGCAGAGGGACTGATGGTTTTCTCTTGTAACTACTTCATGCTGGCTTGGGGCATAGTCCCTACCTATTGGGGATCACGGAACTCTTGCCCTGTTATGGCTAGTGGAGGCAGGGTAGCTTCTTGATGGCCAGGGGTGATGGCTTCACCTGGAATTGGATGGAACCTTTGTTGCATGACCATCTGAAGCTTGATAGTCTCTAGGCAGGAGGAAATGACTTTTCTTTTTTTTTTGATACAGAGTCTCACTCTGTCACCCAGGCTGGAGTGCAGTGGTGCAATCTTGGCTCACTGCAAACTCTGCCTCCTGGGTTCAAGAAATTCTCTGCCTCAGCCTCCTGAGTAGCTGGGATTACAGGAGCCCACCACCACACCCAGCTAATTTTTTTGTATTTTTAGTAGAGATGGGGGTTTCACCATCTTGCCTAGGCTGGTCTTGAACTCCTGACCTCAGGATCCACCCGCCTCCCAAAGTGCTGGGATTATAGGTGTGAGCCACCATGCCTGGCCGAGGAAATGAATTTGATTAAAAAATTTAATGGGAACTTCAGGGGGTGGATACCTATGCTGTTATAGAGATTTGCAGGAGAAAAAACAAAACCTGGTCTGTTCTGGAATCTACGTGTTTCCTTAAAGTCTTAGCATGAGCAACTCCATTTTGGTTTGGTTTCTCATGTCCTAGTGCATGAGCTCAGTTCAAAACAATGGCCTCCCATAATTTTGTTTTAGAAAGTTCTCCATTTTTGGTCAGGCTCTCACTTGGGTGAGAGTGTAACCAAAACTTAGGGCCTTAGCACCACTCTCAGTTATCATCATTTTGGGTTTCTCGTCTCAGCAAATCATTTATAGGTTATGGTGTTCTCATGGCTGCACATTTCTTTCAGCTCCTGTTATTCCAGTTGAAGAGAGACCATGTGACATTCTAGAGATGGCTGCATGCAAGCATTTAAAACCTTTGAGAGAATACAGCATACAAGGGAGACTATTATTATGACTATTGGGAGGATAATATCAAGAGTTTGGAGTATGTTCCTTACCCAAGGTCCCCATAAACCAAACCTCCTAAAATCAAATAGATCAAAGAATGAGCCAGATAAAGAGTTTACTCACTTGACTAAGCAATTTCTTCATCAATCCCCTATCACTGAATTTCTATAATCTTCATCTGATGTCTTTCTCCATAGGCCACAAGTGCCAGCAGCTGCACAGATACTTCTCTATTTAGCCAATTCTGTTATAATTTTCACAAGAGAATTTAGAGTCTACTGTGTAACTGTATCCTTTACAGTAGAATTTGCTATAGAACCTGTCATAAGGGATACATTTCTAATCATTGTTTCTTATACTTTAAACCACGGAAAAAGGACCTAACAAATGACGCCCTTTTAGAAGAATGAAGGCCTGCTGGCAATGCTCTCTTTAACCCATAATGCTGATTAAGAGGAGTGAACCAATGTATTGTTTTTGACTGATTATGATGCAATGCATGTACCATTAAAGTTTCTTACCTACATTAGGCCTTCATCATTTATCTATCAAAGTATAAGGTTATCCATGTCTAAGGCTGGCTCCAAACTTCTTCACAAATAAAAGTATACCACATAAGTGCACATAACAGACCCCTTTTCCACTTCTATTGTTCACAGAGGCATAAGCAAGAAAAAATATTCAAAGACAAGAGTTTCATGATAGTAGAAGTCTTAATCTGTGAACTTGGGAAAAGCTGTTCACATCAAGGATGCCATCCTCTTCTTGGGAGAAATTTTCCTGTTTAGTTTTATCTTAAGAGCCCCAATGGGTGCACAGCTCCAAGAGCATGGAGGGACCCTTCTCAGTTGTGAGACAATGAACCCAAAGTTCAAGGTCCCAAAGTTTTGTTGTAGTGTGGATGGCAAGGACAGTCTTTTTCTGATGTTTCCAGAAGATTCAAGCCATAAAAAACTTTCTTTAACTGGTGAAATACAATGTAGCATAATAATCTACTGCTATAACATCAGCCCCCTTGCATGGGAAAGCTTTTATACAACCAGAAAACATGCATTGGAAATAATAATTGAATGAAATCCCTTTATAAAATGTTTAAATATTAAATGGCCAACCAGGTGACCAAATGTGAAGCTTTAATTGTTTTCCCAGGAATATGGGATCAAGCATTGGTTATAAACTATTTTAAACAATTTCACTATTCGCTGGTTTAACACTAAAGTATTTTCTGGATATTTAATTAACTGTTTGGTTTTACTTGAGTTAGTAGCTTTATACAAGGAAATTTGGTTATTTCTGTGGCCTACAATAACTTAACAATAACTATAATTGTGATTGGTGGCATATACTTAGACATTAGAATTTTAGAAATCCCATACAATTTTGGAATATATATTAGTATTATCCACAAAAATGTAATCTAAATAAGATTGAACATCATTTTGGCAATCCCATGTACCTAAACACATCAAATAATCCTGTTTACCTCTCTTCTGGATGTTTTCAGGGGTCCTATGATCCATCCAGAAACCAGGCATTAGGAAAGACAATTTTGTAACTGAAGTTTGATTTTGGAATTCCAGATTACCATAAATTATTTATTTTGCCAAAATGATGATTCAGAAATTTTAAAGAAGAAAAACCTTTTATAACCTTTATAAAAATGGAAACAAAAACATTCTACTCTTTTTACACACCTAACATGTAAAACTGTTTCTAGTAGTCTTAATTGCATGTTACAGTGGTGACTCAACAATTTTAACTTTAATGTAAAACCTGGTAAGTTATATTCTGATAGGGTTTGACTGTTTACAGTATAGCTAGGGTGTGGACAACTCTGCATGTCCAGGCCTTACCTAGCTGGAAAGCAGGCAAGTTAAACAATTTTCAAAAGCCAAAGCAGCAGTTTATCACCTTAAAGCATTTAGCAAACCTCATATCTGAACATAATTTAGACCACATGTTAACATTTTGAAGACAATTGTATTTTACCAATAATCTTTAAAACCATCTTTATTTCCGAAAGATTGCTAAAGTCACATGAAGTAAAAAGCATTACACTTTCTACTTTTCTAACAAAATATTTGATTTAAGCTCTTATTATTAATAAACCAATTAATTAAAACTTTACACAGCAGATAAACACTGGCTTTTACTTTATATTTAACCAGTTTGCACAGAGAGAAAGAGGCCAGAGACTGATCGGTAAGAAATTCTTACCCTTTTGCCAGCATGCCAGGTTTCTGGGTTCTCTCTCCCTAAGCAGCCCTGGCAACCCTGCTTGACTATATGTAAACAAACACACTGCCATGAATTAAGAATACTCACAAATACTTAACAAATTTTGAGAAATTAGGCAGAGAGAGAGAAATATGACTCAAATTCTATTTATGAGAGTATACTCAATACACTTAAAGTATCAGGAAGCCTAAAATCCAAAAAGTTAGTTAAAGATAAAATGCTGGTGTGCTCCATTAATCCCTGCAGGCCCAACAAAGGTAGCTTAGGAATTCCATATAAATGGAATGGATAATGACTTGCTAGAAATGCATAGGAACACAGAACTGAATAAAAACCTTCCACTAGGAACTATAAAAAATAATTATGGTTTTATACATATGCATACACAAGCAAAGCCAGAGGAGAATAAATAGCAAGTGAATGAAAACTAGAAGCAAAATAAATAAGCGGAAAACCAACCCTAAATTTTCCTACTCAATTTACCCTGGAGGCTACAGTGTTACCTAGGGCCCCGGAAAACCTAGATAATGAATATTTTATTACTAATACACAATATCCATAAGTTCAGTAATATTATCATACCTCCTGTGCAAGTAAGAAATTCACTTTAGGCACATAACCAATAAGTACTCCAGCACTATCCATGCAAAACGGTAAACATAGTGTGAAGCAATGCAAGCGTGTATGTAAAATTTGACTCCACACTAAATCCAGATTCATGCTTAACTATATTTAAAAAAATTGTCAAACTTCTGATGCATTTTCACAATACTTCTTACTTTAATCAAGACTAAGAGCTTTACTGTGGAAATATTAGTCAAATGTTTCCAGTTATTTATCGGGTTTTAAAGAATATTTTATTATCTAAATTTTTCCACATCTTTCTCCCCTACTTGATGGTTCCTTACTACATTGTTTCATAAATAACTTTTCAAATATGTAATTTGAGCCAACTTTTAGATGACTTCTGAATTAGACAAAATTATTCTTTTTCCACTCATAACAAAACCCTTTCTGGCACATTTTGTATACAGAACTACGTGTTAACTAGAATTTTATCCTTAGTAACATAAAGCTTTAGTGAATCCCTAAAAAGCAAGAAATCCTGAACTATTAGATATGGGCATTTATACATAAGAAAAATTCTACAATTTTAGAAACATATTTCTTCATATTGCAATCCTTTCTTAATTGGAAATGATTCAGATATTAAATGAGCATCAAAAATAACTTTACAGTTTTAATTTACACAAAAAGTTTACCTAAAACAACTATCCTATCACTGTCCTTAATTTTTTACTTTTAACAAGGGAGATACGATACATCAACATACTTAAAATGAACATTGGTTTGGTCCAGAAAGGCAGGACAATTTGAGGCAAGGAGGCTTGGGGGCTATCAGATCACAGGTAGGAAACAAACGGTTGTTTTCTTTTGAGTTTCTGATTAACCTTTCCAAAGGAAGCAATCAGATATGCATGTATCTCAGTGAGACTTTGAATAGAATGGGAGGCAGGCTCACCCCAAGCAGCTCCCAGCTTGAATTAACACTGACATTTTAAAATATCTAGCAAAGACAAACATAAAATTCAGACAAAACATATGCTGACAATTCTAAAGGCATTTCTATTTTTCTTCCATCAATAATTTTAAAGCTAGCTTGTTTAGTAAAGTGATACTTTAAGTCACGTGAACTTGAAAATTGCTTAGACTCATTTACTAATTTATGAGTGCTCTTTTACTTATAAGCCAACTTGGTAGACACAACATGTAACAGTAAGTGTATATACAAATAAACATATCTAGACATGTATACACACACATAAACAAAGATCTAATAGCTTGAAACCTTAGCCATGAGACAGCAATAGAAGCTTCCCAGTTTTACTTTGCCCCAATAGATAATCCAATGAAGGCTGCGAACCAAAATTTTGGGTAAAGCAGTCTCCATGGCAGTTTCATTTTTAAAGGCCAAACCTCCCCAGACTCAAAAGAGCACTGGGACCAAACCATACCAAAGGAGGGCATCACACGTTAACCAGGCCCCCTGCTTAGAACCACAGTACAAAAGCCCGGATATATGGAATACCATTCCACTTTCCCATTAGACAGTAAACTCCAGATTCCAAACAATGCTAGGGCCAAGCAGCATTGCAACTGTGAGAGAAAATTCTAAGGAGGGCTTAATACTAGACCTCAGAACCTGTGCCAAGAGTGTCCTCTTTGGAGTGGTTGGGTTCGCAGGACCCACGGAGCGTCCTCCTGTGGGGTCCAGTCTTAGAGTGCCAGATGTCTCTGACCTTAGGTGGACACCACATGCAGATTTTCCCCTCCAGAACATACTGTGAGCTTTATAAGCATAGCCATGAACTGTAATGAGAATTGGATGCTGGGTGGGCCTTTTTGTTCCTTAGCCAGTTGAGTACAATGAGGGAAGAATTTTGCATAAGAAAAGAAAGTTTAAGTCCCCTGAAACACGTGTGAGTTTGCTTGGATCAGGGACCATGCATGGAAAACATAAAAAGAAGTCCTTCCCTCTTCGGGGCAGGGCAATTATAAACAGCTACTGAAAGACTGAGAAAGAAAGAAAAACAAACAAACAAACGAAAAAGACCCAGGTTCCTTAAGTGAACTGGGCCATGGTGGTCAGGCTTCTCCACATGAAAACCCCTTAGTTTCACTGGCCACAGCCAGAAAACTGCAGTTGCTTCCATGTTTAGCCACTGCCCACCACGGGTCCCAGGTTGGAAAGGAAAAGAGAGAGAAAGAGGTTCCCCTATATGGAGCAGAAAAGAAAAGGAGAAAGAAGAAGAAAGCCCAAATTTTGGGCTTGTCTCTTCCTCCCGGCTGGCTCACCAAAATATGTTAAAGGTGGAGGGTGTCCAGGTTCTTGGTGTCTTGAACAAAGTATTAGACAAAACGCACAAACAAAGCAAGGAAAGGATGAAGGGATTTACTGAAAATGAAAGTACACTCCACAGTGTGGGAGTGGGCCCAAGCATAGGAGCTCAAAGGCCCCATTATGGAATTTCTGGGAGTTTAAATATCCCCTAGAGGATTCCACTGGTTCCTTTAGGTATGCCCTATTTAAATGGAGAGGATGAATTAAAGTTACAAAAGTCATTTATGGTGTATACCCTATGGAGAGGATATTTCCTGTTATAGCTGAAGTGTGAATAAACCTTATGTTCCCTGCCTCCAGACCCTATTTTCCTGCCTCAATTTTTCTAAAAGAAATATATAAATATACAATAAATACTATATTGGCATACCACTTATAGGACATGCATATAAAATATAGTGTAAGATCATTCACCAGACACCTGGGTGGACAAACAGCTCAGTAAATAGACAGCTAGACAATAAGTTAGAGAACCGAGAAGGAAATATAGCAAAACAATAACAGTGATATTTTCTAGGATGTATGCAAGAATTATATGTGACATTAATTTTTAATTTTTTTAAATCTGTGTTTTCTAAAATGAACTTGTTTTACTTGTATTAAAATAGTTACCAAAAATTTTTATCTCTAATAAATTATGTCTATTAAATATCATTAGTCCTAGAAAATTTGCCATGTAAAACCACAACTTGGGGTAGCCGTCCTTCTTGCATGAGTCTCCCTAGTAGCTGGGGCTACTCTAGACTCCTAAAGCCTGTGTTAACACACAGCTTTTATGTCCTTAGTTTCTTCTATGTCACTGCTTCCAGATCTTGGAGGCTTAGTAAAACTTGTAACTTCCTTACTGTTATATTCATTTGTATATGCAAGAATTTTTCTCTCCAAGCAGCCCCCAGGCCATTTTGTCAATCTGCTAATCTGTCCTCAGATTTCATGCTACTTGGCACAAAAGTACAACATCGGAACTTGTAAAAGTAACAGTAGCCCAGCCTGGAGGGCCCATGTTGTAGGCAATAAATTTTCCTTCCTGGGTCTGTCTTTCAAAGCTTTCACTCCCTTAAAGTACACATATTTACATTTCCAAATGATACCATGTTATAGAAAATACCGCATGATTGATTGACAATAGCCCTCATGAGGAAGTTGTTCAACTCATAACAGACTTGTAGCAGATATAAAAGATGAAAAGAAAGGCTTTCATTTTTGTTTTGTTTTTGAAAAATATATATGCTATTATGATATCATTGTGCTTTTTTCTTTGAACTATTAATAGGAGAATGATGGCATTCAATTTGGAAACATCAAGTTATCCTGGCACTTGTGAACCCAAAGTGTCTGAGACAGGTCTCAATCAATTTAGAAAGTTTATTTTGCCAAGGTTAAGGACATGCCCGTGACATAGCCTCAGTAGGTTCTGATGACATGTGCCCAAGGTGGTCAGGGTACAACTTGCTTTTATACGTTTTAGGAATACATGAGAAGTCAGACACTATGTGTAGGAAGTACATTGGTTTGGTCCGGAAAGGTGGGACAACTCAAAGCAGAACTGGGTGGGGGGCTTCCATGTCATGGGTAGATAAGAGACTAACATGCATTCTTTGGGGTCTTTGATTAGCCTTTCACTGAATACACAATTTACATGTGACAGGAGAATACAGGAATAGTCACTTATGCTTTAGTCTGGCTAGGTGAATTTGCGTTTTTACATAAACACTAGAGCAGAAGAAGCAATCAGATATGCATTTGTCTCAGATGAGCAGAGAGATGACTTCCCCACACCTGTGAAGATAAGCTATCAGTTTACATTACCAGGGTAAAATTCAGCAGAACTGTCTCAGGGTAACGATCTTGAGGGCCCCCCCCCCAAGTAATTTCCTTGTGGACAAATTGTGAAGGAGGTATGCAGCTTTTTAAAAAAAATCTTTATAGCTATGTTATTTAGGAATAAAATGGGAGGCAAGTTTGCCTGATGCTGTTTCCAGCTTGACTTTTCCCTTTGGCTTAAGAGGTTTTAGGGTCCTGAGATTTCTTTTCCTTTTACTCATTCATGAAATAAAACCCAAATAATCATGATGTGGCACTAATCCCATTTGAATTATTTTATTAGGATTTTTTGAGTCAATATTTATAAATGAGACTGGTCTCTTCTTTTCTTTTTCTGCTAGCCTATTAAAGATATATTTTTTCCTTTTTTACTATTAAATCAGTGATTCTTAATTTCAAGAAAAGATTGATTCTTATTTAAGTCATAGAAGCAAGGTCTGAAACAGGGATTCTGTGCAACTGACTTATTGAGGGATTTCTCCCCAGAGAAACCTGTAAGACAGGAATGGAAGCAGGATGATGTAACCAAACAGCTTAGCAGCTTAGCCTCAAACCATGTTTAAATTTCTTTTTTCTTTCCCCTTTTCTCCTCCCCCTACTTCCCAGTCTTAAGATAAAACCTTGAGACAAAGTGCATGTATTTTACCTTTCATCTTGAAATACAGCCTCAGAATGAGCTGTGAACCTCCACTCCCTTTCTTTTCCCATTCTATTCTCATTTATTTACCTAGATGCTTGCTAAGCACACACCATACTCACTTATCTGGTCATATAATACAAAAATATTTCCTTAGAAGTTTCAGGGGCTAAGTCCTGATACAGACCAACACCTCCAACCTTGATGACACCAGATGAAACAATAATTCAAGATGAGCCATCAGAGTGGGTCATGCCACCTGACATAGCCTAGCCCGGCTGCCTCTCCTGCATTCCAAACCCTCTCTTTAAAAACCTCCGCATTCCCTCCACAAATGGAACAGTGAAAATTTTTGGAAAGAATACACCCACTCCTCCCCTTGCTAACATGGGTAATAAAACTCGCTCTCTTTTTATCACACCTCACTCTTGCTATGTTGGCTTCTTTTTACAAATGGCAAGCAACCAGACCCTTTTGCCAGTTATAATAGGACGAGGGGAAGAAGTATGTCAAGCTCCAGTTCACGTTGCACTCTAGACTACCCAGTCCCACAGGTAACACTAACACATAAATGATATCACAGAACGGTCCCATTTCAAGGCAAGGAAGATGGGTTTATGTACCCTCACTACAGTTAGTCATTTGATGTGGGCTGTCCCAGGAGATAGGGTACAAACTCTCAAGTATTTCTGGGTGAAGTAGCTCCCAGAGGCCATAAGCAGTTCTCTGAAAAGGGGGGAAGTGTAAGCCATTAGCTGCCAAGATTCACAGCAGCCCAGAGACAGGTACTCTGGACCAGTATAGGAGATCTAGGTGGGGCATTTCCTTATTTTTCTGTGCTCTGCAACAATTTAAATATAGTTAGAATAATCTGTCATTTACAAGACTCAAAGAATTTTCCCATAGAAAAGTATGAAATAGACATTTATTGATTGGAAAGATCTTTAATCATTTCCAGCTGTGTCTTTGATAATTGGTCTACTCAGATTTTTCATTTCCTCCTAAGTCAGCTTTGCTCATTTGTATTTTCTTTAGACCACTATCTATTTCATCCAAGTTTTCTAAAATTGTGTTATAAAGTTACACATTGTCAATCACCAGAATTCTTTTGATTTGTTCCTTTAGCTGGGCCTATCCTCCAGTTGGGGCTGCCACTGTGTTGTCCCTCTCTTTTTGGCAATTTCTGCCTCCTGAATTACAGGGAGTGCCTGTTCCCTTTGAGAGGGACTTTTTGATTCTTGAAAAGATGACCACTTGATCCCACTTCTGGAATTCATTTCCAAGTCATATTCTTTTTTTCTTCACCAAAAATACCTACTATTTTAGGTATAAACATTTACATATTCCCTTTCAAGCACACTCACTGTGTTCAGCCTGGAATAAAGTGAGCAAAGAAGAAATACCCTCCCCCTTAATCTTGGCTAGCAGTGATGCTTGCATGTCAATGTGTGACAAAATGGAACAAATCCACTCTTTCAGTGTTCACTCTTTCCCAAGGCCTTAGTTAGGCTGGACCTGGGGTCAAATACTAGACCCCTTGCTATGCTTAGAGCCTCCTAAGGCTTTATTAATGGAGGTGATGGTCTCTCACTGTCAACTTATCTAAGCTGGAATGACATTTCCCATAATTCCCTTATGTGGCTTAAGGTTAGGGTGCTCTACTGAGATTTACAAGAGATTTGGAAGGTGGAAGTGTATCCATGGCAATTTTGTTAAGCTCTGAAGGTGAGTGTGGGGCCAGGTGCTGATGCAGCTGATGCACATTGTCACTGACCTGTGGGTCCACCTCGCTGGCAAGGAGCGGCAGTGGGCTTACGGCTCTTTCAGCTCCTTCCAGATCTTTCCTTCGGCTTCCCCTAATCCTAGAGCAGATACATTTTCAGCTCCGTTGAGAAGGGCATCAGCGTCTTCTGCAGGTTGCCCTTGTCTTTGCGATTATATAAAGGGAGGGACAAACATGGATTCCAGCTCATCTTTGCAGGTTTTAGTTTGCCCTTGGTCTCTGCTATTTCATTTCCTCTTCCCTTACCAACTGCCATTTTGCAGACACAAAGGGACCATCCTTGCATAGACTGCTTATTAAGTTTCCAAGATTATGTGGGGCCCAATCCCTTGGAATTCACAGTTTTTATGATTGATCCCTGACTATTACAAATAATCAAGCTCATCAAGCATGTCTCCTTCTCATCATAAGGTGAATTTTTGTCTGGAAACTTCCTTACAGCCCCTGAAAATACACTTCTCCTGGGCCAACTCATAAATTTGTCAGATGCTGAAACCCATGGTGGGTCCAGTCTAGGCTGGAGTTGAGATTTCTTTGCCATGTGTATTGTTTCAACTAAAACTCACAACCCTTTGATGCAGGTATTATTTTTCCAATATTATAGACATAAAAATCATAGCTCACAGGTTAAGTGGTTATCTTAAGCTGACACAGTTAATAGGACAAAAGACATTTGCATTCAGGTCTCTCTGAATATAGGCAAGCACTATACTTTTTTTTTTTTTTTTTTTTTTTGAGATGGAGTTTTTGCTCTGTTGCCCAGGCTGGAGTGCAATGGTGCAAACTTGGCTCACTGCAACCTCCACCTCCTGGGTTCAAGCAATTCTCCTGCCTCAGCCTCCCAAGTAGCTAGGATTATAGGCACCTGCTACCACACCTGAATAATTTCTGTATTTTTAGTAGAGACAGGGTTTCACCATATTAACCAGGCTGGTCTCGAACTCTTGACCTCAGGTGATCCACCTGCCTTGGCCTCCCAAAGTGCTAGGATTACAGGTGTGAGCCACCACGCCCAGTCAGCAGGTGCTATACCTTCTATATCATGTGCAGAAGCAGTCAAGACAGAACTTGAAAAAAGATAATCAAAAGGAACAGTGCAAAAGTTCATAGGTCAGAGAGATTTCCCCCCATTAACTCACTTCTTTGAAGTTCCATACTCCTACTCTGTCTTTCCCCTCAGCCCCCAACATCTCCCTTTCAGCGGTGTGGGCCTCCATTATATCTTAAACTGCAGGCAACCAGAGTTTCGGAAATCTGGCCTAACCATTTCAGACACTTCTTTGTCCATGATAATGCTAACTGGAGATGCTCTTGACCACCATTCAACTTCACACAGCCTCTGATTGGTTCCTTCGTCCTTATCCATGTTTTTTTTTAAGTTGCACCTTCCTAACCTGACCTTTCAAGCATCATACAGTTTTAGAACAGAATGTGACCTCAGAGATAATTTCAGATACAACCTCTTTTTACTGGTAAGAAAACTGAACTCAGAGAGGGGAAGTGACCCTTTCAAGGTCATACCTTGTGATTGACAGTCAATATAAAGGGGAAACCCACTGTGTGATTATTCTTAGCAGCTGAGGGAAGTGCCAAAGAGTATAGCTGTGGAAGTGACGTGAATTTAGTACATTAAAAGATAGATTACCCTACTAACTTCTGAGAAGAACATCAAATACCTTCAGGCCTGTTACACTGAGCAGAACATTTTGCCATTGTCATACTTTGTTTAATCCCTCTGCCTCTAATGCCCACAAGCAGTCAATTTTTTTCCAATGTCACAGCCAGCTATGCTCTAACATTTCAGCAAATTTAAAAGTAATTACCTCAATAATGGATTAGTTGCTGAGTTTAATCATTCTGAAAAAGTACTTGGCTTTTCCATTTATGGAATAATAAAATGTTGCATTCCTACATGGCCTATCATTTAGAAGTTGCTAAAAATGGCAGGTCTTTGTTGACATAGACTGACATTAACAGCAGAAAGCAAATAGATGGATGAAGCCAGGGTATCCACTATAGGGAAAGAAGGCTGGTGACCAACAAGGAGCAGATTCTACGATTATCTAGGTAAGGGGTAACAGCAAACAAACAAAGCAAATCTGACATCCTGAGTTTCCTCAATAGACAGAATTGAATGACTAATATCTAATCAGTAGTTTCATAAATCATAGACTCACCCTCTTTACACCAACAAGATTTTATCTAAGTTCTCAATTTCTGCTAATCACAGTGAAATTCCTCACTAGCTCTGTTGAGTTCCACCTTGGGCAGAAATTAGGTTTTCCCTCTATCTCCATTCTGCACAGGATTCTCAAGCCCCCTACCCTATCTCTAGAAGGTGTGCAAGTATCTAGCATAATTACATTTCATATTATCTCTAGGTGATATGCTGGCAGTATATCCATTAACTATGTTCATACTAATGCTGTGAAACAAACTGACCCCAAAATTATAGGCTTAGAACAACAATAATGTGTTCTTATGAATCTGTGAACTGGCTGGCTCTCTCACTCATTCTGCAGCTCTCTGTGGGCTGGCTGATCCAGGCGAGGCTCAACACTCATCACTGCTCCACATGTTTCTCATCCTTCTCCTTAAGACTAGTAGCTTGGCATGTTCTTATGGTGATAGCAGAGACAGAAAAGCTGTTGCAGGAAGTCAGGGACCCTGAACGGAGGGACTGGCTGAAGCCACGGCAGAAGAACATAAATTGTGAAGATTTAATGGACATTTATCAGTTCCCAAAATTAATACTTTTACAATTTTTTTATGCCTGTCTTTACTGCAGTCTCTGAACATAAATTGTGAAGATTTCATGGACATTTATCACTTCCCCAATCAATACTCTTATAATTTCTTATGCCTGTCTTTACTTTAATCTCTTAATCCCATCATCTTCGTAAGCTGAGGATGTATGCCACCTCAGGATCCTGTGATGATTGTGTTAACTGTACAAATTGTAAAAACGTGTGTTTGAACAATATGAAATCAGTGCACACTGAAAAAGAACAGAATAACGTGATTTTCAGGGAACAAGGAAAGATAATCATAAGGTCTGACTGTCTGCGGGGTTGAGCAGAATAGAGCCATATTTTTCTTCTTGCAGGGAGCCTATAGACAGATGTGTGAGCAGGAGAAATATTGCTGAATTCTTTTCCCAGCAAGGAATATTAATAATTGATAACCCTGGGGAAGGAATGCTTTCCCAGGGGTAGGTCTATAATTGGCCACTCTGGGAGTATCTGTCTTATGCGGTTGAGATAAGGGACGAAATATGCCCTGGTTTCCTGCAGTGCCCTCAGGCTTACTAGGATTGTGAAATTCCAGCCTGGTGAATTCTAGTCTGACTGGTTGTCTGCTCTCGAACCCTGTTTCCTGTTAAGATGTTTATCAAGACAATGCATGCCCAGTGGGACATGGACCCTCATCAGTAATTCTAATTTCACCCTTGCCTTGTGATTTGCTCTGCCCTCTGCCTTGTGATCTTTTATTGCCCTTTGAAGCATGTGATCCTTGTGACCTACTCCCTGTTCGTACATCCCCTCCCCTTCTAAAATCCCTAATAAAAACTTGCTGGTTTTGCAGCTCAGGTGGGCATCATGGAACCTGCTGATATGTGATGTCAACCCCAGCGGCCCAGCTATAAAATTCTTCTCTTTGTACTCTTCCTCTTTATTTCTCAGACCGGCCGACACTTAGGGAAAATAGAAAAAACACCTACATTGAAATATTGGGGGCTGGTTCCCCCGATAAAAAGCAAAAGCAAATATTCTTGAGACCTAGTCCTGGTCTGGATATCATCATTTCTACCTTATTCTCTTGACCAAAGTTAGTTACATGGCCAAAACCAATGTCAAGAGGCAGAGAAGTACTCCTTGCCAACATTGGGTGGGCACTGTAAAGTCACATGGATAAAGAGAGGGGTAAATAACTGGGACCAATAACACAGTCTACCACAACAGGGTTATATGGGTTCTATGCCAGAATACTTTCTGCTCTGTTCCTAGTGCTTTGAGATGGAAATTCCTCATTCTAACCCCCACTCTAATGACTTTTTCTATTTCCTCACCAGTCTTTTGGAGTTTGTTTTTATAGTCAGAGGCTATATGAGCAGATTTGTTACATGAATATATTGCCTGATGCTAAGGTTTGAGCCTCAGTTGAACCTGTCACCCAAATAGTGAACATAGTACCCAATAGGCAGTATTTCAACCCTTTCCTCCCATCACTTTTGGATTCCCCAGTGTCTATTGTTTTCATATTTATATCCATGTATACCCAATGTTTAGTACCCACTGATAAATGAGAATATGAAGTATTTGCTTTTGTCTCTGCTTTAACTCTCTTGGGATAATTAGGCCTCTAACTGCATCCATGACATGATTTTGTTCTTTTTTATGGCTGCAAAGAATTCCATAGTATATATGTACCATATTTTCTTTAGCCAATCCACCTTTGATGTGCACCTAAGTTGATTTCATATCTTTTCTGTTGTGAATATTGTTGCAATAAACATGGAGTGCAGCTGTTTATTGCATTTTTTAGTAGAATGATGTATTTTCCTTTGGGTATATACACCAAGTAATGGAATTGCTGAGTTGAATGGCAATTCTATCTTCATTTGTCTGAGAAATCTCCAAACTCATTTACCATCTCACCAATGATGTTTAAGCATTCCCTTTTCTCTGCAACCTTGCCAACATCTGTCCTTTTTTGACTTTTTAAATTATGGCCATTCTGACTGGTGTGAGATGGCATCTTATTGTGGTTTGATGTGCATCTCTCTGATGATTAGAGATGTTGAGCATTTTTTCATTTTCTTGGGCAATGGTTTGTCTTTTTTTGAGAAGTGTCTATTCATTTGCCCACTTTTTAGTGGGGCTGTTTGGTTTTTTCTTGTTAATTTGTTCCCCATAGATTCTGAATATTAGTCTATTGTCAGATGCATAGTTTGCAAATATTTTCTCCCATTCTATAGGTTGTCTGTTTACTCTGTTGATAGTTTCTTTTGCTGTGCAGAACCTCTCCATTTTAATTAGGTCTGAATTGTCAATTTTTTGTTTCATTGCATTTGCTTTTGAGGACGTGGTCATAAACTTTTTGCTTAGGCCAGTGTCCAGAAGGGATTTTCCTAGGTTTTTTTCTGGGATTTTTTTTATAGTTTGAGGTGTCACATTTAAGTATTTAATCCATCTTAAGTTGATTTTTGTATATGGTGTGGGGTAGGGGTCAAGTTTCATTCTTCTACATATGGTTAGCTAGTTTTCTCTGCACTGTTTATTGAATAGGGTGTCTTTTCCTCACTATTTGATTACTTTGTCAAAGATCAGTTGGTTGTAGGTATGCAGCTTTACTTCTGGGTTCTCTATTCTGTTTTGTTGGTCTAGATATCTATTTTTACCAGTATCATGCTGTTTTGGTTACTGTAACCTTGTAGGATAGTTTGAAATTGGCTAATGTGATGCCTCTGGCTTTGTCATTTTTTGCTAAGCATTGCTTTGGCTATTCAGGCTCTTTTTAGGTTCCATATGAATTTTAGAATAGGTTTTTCTATTTCTGTGAAGAATGATGTTGGTTATTTCATAGAAATTGCATTGAATTTGTAGATCACTTTGGGCAGCATGAACATTTTAACAATATTGATTATTCTAACCCATAAGCATGGAATGCTTTTCCATTTGTTTGTGTCAGCTATGACTTCTTTCAACAGTGTTTTGTAGTTCTCCTTGTAGATATCTGTCAACTTCTTGGTTACATGTATTTCTAGTTGTGTGTGTGTGTGTTTGTCTATTGTAAATGGAATTATGTTCCTGATTTGGTTCTCAGCTTGAATGTTATTGGTGTATAGAAATGCTACTGAGTTTTGTATGTTGACTTTGTATCCTGAAACTTTACTAAAGTCATCAAATCTTTTGATGGAATCTTTAGGGTTTCCTAGATATAGAATCACAGCATCAGTGAAGAGAAATAATTTAACTTCCTATTTCCCTGTTTGAATGCCTTTTATTTCTTTATCTTGCCTGATTACTCTGGCTAGGACTTCCAGTACTATGTTGAATACAAGTGGTGAGAGTGGACATCCTTGTCTTATTCCAGTTGTGAGAGAGAATGCCTCCAATTGTTGCCCATTCAGCATGATATTGGTTGTCAGTTTGTCATGGATGGCTCTTATTTTGAGGTATATTTCCTTAAATGCATAGTTTGTTGAAGACTTCTGTCATGAAACAATGCTGGACTTTATCAAATGCTTTTTCTGTGTCTATTGAGATGATCATATGGTTTTTATTTTTAACACTGATTATGTGGTGAATCACATTTTTTGATTTGCATATATTGAACTAGTCTTGCATTCCAGAGATAAAGCCCACTTGATCATGGTTTCATCTCAACATGATTTTTGATGTGCTGCTGGATTTGGTTTGCTAGTATTTTATTGAAGATTTTTGTATCTATCTTCATCCGGGATATTGGCCTGTAGTTTTATTTTTCTGCTGTGTCTTTGCCAGATTTGGGTATCAGAATGATCCTGGTTTTCTAGAATGAGTTAAGGAGGAGTCCCTCTTCCATAATCTTTTGGAATAGTTTAAGTCAGATTGGTACCAGCTTTTCTTTGTATGTCTGGTAGTATTTGGCTCTGAATCCATCTGATCCAGGGATTTTTTTGGTTAGTAGACTTTTTATTACTGATTAAATTTCTTAACTCATTATTGGTCTGTTCAGGGTTTCTGCTCCTTTATGGTACAATCTTTGGAGGTTGTGTGTTTCCAGGAATGTATCTATTTCCTACAGATTTTCTAGTTTGTGTGCATGGAGGAATTCAGAATAGTCTCTGAGGCACTTTTGTGTTTCTGTGTGATCGGTTGTAATGTTACCTTTGTCATTTTTTATTGTCCTTCTTTGCACCATTTCTCTCTTTTTCTTTGTTAATCTAGCTAATGGTCTATTAATCTTGTTTATCCTTTCAAAGAACAAACTTTTTCTCTTGTTGATTCTTTGAATGATTTTTTTTGGTCTCTATTTCATTTAGTTCTGCTCTCATTTTAGTTATTTCTTTTCTTTTGCTAGCTGTTGGTTTATTTCGTTCTTGATTTTCTAGTTCCTTTAGGTACAATGTTAAGTTCTTAATTTGAAATCTATCATCTTGATGTAGGCATTTAGCACTATCAACTTTCCTCTTAATTCTGCTTTTGCTGCGTCTCAGAGGTTTTGGTACCTTGTGTCTCTATTTTCATTTATTTCAAAGAATGTTTTCATTTTTGCATTAATTTCATTGTCTACCCAAAAGTCATTCAGGAACAAATTGTTTAGTTTCCATGAATTTGTGTGGTTTTGAGGGTTCCTCTTGGTATTGATTTTTATTTTTATTCCACTGTGGTCCAAGAAAATGCTTGCTGTGATTTCAGTTTTTTGGAATTTGTTGAGACTTTTTTTATGACTGAGCACGTGGTCAATCTTAGAGTATGATCTGTGTGCAGATGAGAAGAATGTATATTCTGTGGTTGTTGGGTGGAGAATTGTGTAGATATCTATTAGGTCCCATTGGTGAAATGTTGAATTTAAGTCCAGAATTTCTTTGTAGTTTTCTCCCTTGATGCTCTGTCTAATGCTGTCGGTGGAGTATGAAGTCTCCCATTATTATTGTGTGGCTGCATAAGTCTTCTCTTAAGTCTAGTAGTAATTGTTTTATAAATCTGGGTGCTCCAATGTTGGGTGTATATATATTTAGGATAGTTAATCTTGTTGAATAGAACCCTTTATCATTATGTAATGCTCTCTTTTGTCCCTTTTTTTTTTTTACTGTTATTGATTTAAAGTCTGTTTCATCTGACACAATAATATTCACCTATGATTTTTTTGTTTTCTATTTACATAACAGATCTTTCTCCTTCCCTTCACTTTGAGCCTAGGGGTTTCATTACATGTGAAATGGGTCTCTTGAAGACAGCAGAAAGTTTAGTCTTTGTTTTAATCCAGTTTGCTACTCTATATCTTTTAAGTGGAGCATTTAGACAATTTATGTTAATATTTAGATTAATATTTAGGTTATTAGGTTAATTAATTAGGTTAATTAGGTTAAATAATTAGGTTAATATTTAGGTTAATATTAATATGTGAGGTGTTCTTTTTGACATGGTGTTGTTATCTAGTTGCTTTGTAGTCTTGATTATGTAGCTGTTTTACAGGGTCTGTGAGATATGTACTTACACGTGCTTTTGTGGTAGCAAGTATCATTCTTTCATTTCCATGTTTAGAATTCCCTTAAGCGTCTCATGTAGGGCTGGTCTGGTGGTGATAAATTCCCTTAGCAATTACTTGGCTGGGAAAGACTTTATTTCGCTTTCATTTATGGAGTGTATTAGGGCAGGATATGAAATCCTTGGCTGGAATTTCTTTTCCCTAAGAATGCTGAAAATAAGTCTCCAGTCTCTTCTGGCTTGGGTTTCTGTTGAGAAGTCTGTTGTTTTTCTGATGGGATTCCCTTGATATGTAATATAGCCCTTTTCTCTAGCTGCCTTTAAGCTTTTTTTCTTTTGAATTGACCTTGGAAAGTCTGATTACTATGGACCTTGGGGATGATCATCTTGTATGTATCTCAGAGGAGTTCTCTGGATGTCTTGTATCTGCATGTCAACCTCTCTAGTAAGATTGGGGAAATTTTCCTGAATTATATCTTCAAATATGTTTTCCAAGTTGTTACATTCTCTTCTCTCTCAGGAATGGCAATGAGTTGTAGGTTTGGTTGCTTTACATAATCTCATATTTCTAAGAGGCTTTCTTTGTTGTTTTTAATTCTTTAATTCTTTATTTTTGTCTGGATTGATTTGAATGACCAGTCTTTGAGTTCTGAAATTCTTTCTTCTGCTTGGTCTAGTCTGTTATTAAGGCTTCCAACTGTATTTTGAAATTCTTCCAGTAAATTTTTCAATTCCAGAAGTTCTTTTTGGTCCTTTCTTAATATAGCTATGTCATGTTTCAAATCTTGGATTGTTTTTCTGGCTTTGCTAGATTGGATTTCAACTTTCTCTTGGATCTCATTGAGTTTCCTTGCCATCCATATTTGGGATTCCATATCTATCATTTCAGACATTTCAATGTGGATAGGATCCATTGGCAGGGAGCTAATGCAATCCTCTGGAGGTGATGAAACACTCTCGCTTTTTGTATGGCTGGAGTTCCTGTTCTGATTCCTTCTCGTCTGAGGGAGCCAACACTTCTTGTTCTGTTTGAATTTGCTGTCATTTGGATGGGGCTTTGTATTTTTATTCTTTTTTCCCTTGAGTGTATGACTATGGGGCATGTTTTATATACAATTGGTTGGCTTTGTTTCTAGATTCTTTCAGAGGGCCAAAGCCCTATATGGGTTTCCTTGGTTGCAGATAGGTTCATGCAGTAGGTTTCAGATATTGCTTGATTTAGCAAAGTATTTTTGTTTGATGGTATAATTCAGGGTACATTCTAGTAGATAGCAAGTAAGAGTAAATTAAACAGATAGGCTGAATTAAACAGATAGGCTCTTACTCAGCTGCACTTGCCCTCAGTGGGACAGCAGTGCCAGAGAAACATGAATAGGGTACTTTATCAGCTCACACTCACTTTTGATGAGGGTGGAGCCACTAGAGAATTATGAGAAGCAGCCTCTTTCAGTACATGCTTACCATGCTCCAATGGGAAGAGCCACTGCTGCATCTGCAACAGTGCACTAAGGATGGGAAGTGGGGGATGAGAGGTGAATTTCTCTTCAAGTCCGGTCCCAGACCTTGATGATGCCCCCTTCAGCAGTTGCTGCCTGCCAGTATTTCCTTTGTCCCAAGGTGAGGGCTTTGGTGGGCTGTGCTCCCCCAATCCCTTAGAAATAGTCCACACTGAGGCTTAGGTCTCCAGGGGGTCTAAAACTCCCCTCAGAGACCCACTGGTCCCCTGTGCTTGCCAAAGTTAGAGCAAGTTGTGAGGTCCATATCACTCTTTATCTTTGCTTTTTCACTCTTTATCTTCATTTTTAGTTTTCATTCTATCCTTTCTCTCCCCTTCTCCCAAAGCAGTCTTACTGAAGTCTCTCAGATGGAAAAACCAACTTCATAAGCTTGCCCCTGAAAATTCAAGTTGCACATATCTTAAGTCTTCATTTTTTATTCATTAGGTGGGGAAAACAGGGATTCATCTAGATTTAGGTCCAGATGGATTCAGGCTTTGTATCTCTCTTCATCTTACCAGCTCTGGTCCTCTCTGTGTGCCATTATTCTTTAGACAGCCTCCTTCCATTAGTAGGCAAGATGGCCACAAAGAACTCCAAACTAACATCTGCCAGGCCCAGCACTTCCTCTCCCAAGGTGTGTACATCAATCCTGGTGACATCTATGATGATAGGCTGTTTATTAGGCATCAAATGTGAGCAAGAGGAAGCCAGAGTAAGCCCAAAGGATATTTGTGAGGCATTCCTCTGAGACTGCAGAAAATAACATTCACTTTGAAAAATTATTCAAATATTAAATTAAGTCATTTAACAGCACTAAAATCTTCAAATTAAAGAAATATTAAAAGTAAGATAAAAGATTAATGGTGACACTTGTTATAAAGTATTACTCTTCAGCTCACCTTTGACACAAGTAAAAGGAGAAATTGATAATGAAATTTAAGAATCATTAAGTGTATAATCCAGAAAATTCCAAATATCTTACTATAAGATTGGATCCTCGAGAAAACAAAAAAGTACATACTTGAAAAAGAAGTGAGCTTTTCCCCTACATGTTTCCTTTCCCATTCAGTTATGTGAGTTAACATGACAATCACGTTTTTATATTCTTTAATATTTCCCTATTTCAAATAGTAAAATCAAATTAAAGGTAACCATAATAAAGACAACATAGTTTTTGCTTCTTCCCAAATTTCCACATAAAAATGAACAGAGCAACTAGACACCAACACTAAAAACCAAGAACAATGCTTACGACAAAACTACACTCCAAGGTTTCCCTCAAATACAGCCAGGTCCAACCATTGGAAAGGCAAATAAAGGAATCACAAGTCAAATAGCTAGGGACATCCCTGATGCTCAGGCTTCCTTTTCCACTCTTGACCAGGAAATTACAAGATGAACTGTAACCTTCTACCAGGTAGGAAGATACCAAAACCCAATAGGTGGATGTGGAAATGGAGTCATGAGCCAACATAATGAGTCTCCTGCTGGCCAAATTTGGGACAGTTTGAGCTTCAGTAAAGATAAGAATTGCAAACTCATCAAATATTTTAAATTCATGAATTAATAATAATAATAATATCAAAAATTGGTCCTATTCAAAGGATGACAGAAAACAAATTCATTGTTTTTGAAAACTGGCAATTAAAGGGAACAAATTAAGGATCCATTTCACCTTTCCTAGGTGAACTGTACCACTGGGTAACTAATTAGTTGATGAAGGAGAAGTATCTCTTTATAAAACAATTCCGACTAGTAAGTGCAAATAAAATGATAGAATATCACCATTTTACAACACCTAAGTAATTAATGGACCTAGGCATCAATTCCTGCTAAAAAGAGAGAGAATAAATGAGACATTATGCACCTAATGATAATATATATATATCATCTAGAGTCTAGTCAAAGGGTGAAGTTAAGTCTGATAAAATTTCATTCCACTGTACATTTATAGGAAATACAGAAGGATGTAGTTGAACTATACCATGGTTATGCAATCCATAACATCCAGACTGCAAAATTCTACAGGTCAAATGACACAGGTGTTTCAGCAGTTAAATTGTAAGAGAAAAAAAAAGATGAAAGGTGAATCTCCAGATTTAAAAAGAGACTTAAAAAATTGTAACAGAAAAAAAAAAAGATGAAAGGTGAATCTCCAGATTTAAAAAGAGACTTCAAAATTTTTTTAATGTAATGAGAAAACTCAAACTATTATGTTAAGGAATGAACATTTGGGATATAAAACCATTAAGAAATGCAAGAAAGTTTTATTCAAAAGTTGTCAGTGTTTACTTTTGGAAAGAGAGAGGGCCTATGATTGGAAAAAGGCACATAGAAGCTTCCTGGGGTGCTGGCAACATTCTTTGTTGACCTGGGCAGTGGTTTCATGGGTGTTTGCCTTATAATAATTCACTGAGCTATAGATTTGTCTTCTGTGGTTGATTTTATCTACTTTTTAAAGTAAACAAAAAGGTGAACCAATTACTAAAACAATAAAGGTCAGTAAATAGAAATGGAAAGTAAAATAGTAAAGTCAAATTAAATTCAAAGTCATCTTTTAACTGGAAGACCAAAGTCGACGATCTTACAGCAAAAAAAAAAAAACAAAAAGAAAAAGAAGAGACAGCAAAAATAATACCCTAGAGACAGCAAAGCATTAGAGAGGAAGTTGCCAACAAGAATTCACATTCTAATCTCCAAACAAACACAAAGAAAGTAATAATATAGGTACTTTTTCAAATAAATTTTCAATGAATTTAATCAAAAAGTTGAAGATTTCCCCCTTACTGTACATGCCTGTATTCATAAAATGGGAAATAAAGTCCACTAATTGGAAATGTCCTTTTTCACCAGCTTTTCTGGAACAGCTCTGTTGTGGGAGGCCTGCAATGCATTTATCAGCCCTCTTACAGATGCCTCTCAAACTCTGCAATAAGCCATTCTCCCATAGTGAGAATAGTGGCTCCTTAGTGAATCAATTTAAACTAAGTAACAAAAATCGGCAATTCAATTTGTCCATCCTGTGACCCTTCAGGGTAGAAGGGGTTTACACCTCATCCTTTCTTGAAATAAGTTGCTCTTATCCCAGGTCAGCCAAAAAGGCTGAAATTTGAGTTCTTCCCCCAGTGCGGGTTATAGTAGCCCTGTTCAGTTTTCCTAACAAAACCCCTCTAAAAGCACAAGATGAGAAGTTTAGAGACCGTGCTAATTGTGGTGTAATTAATGGAGACCTTTCTTTGCCCATTCTGGTATCCACACCCTTTTCCATCTAATTGGGCAGTTCTTCCCACCTGAGCAAAATGTATATTCCCTCCACCTTTACATTGGTCTTGGCCATAAGAATGGCTGGGAATAAATTGTGGGGAAGAGTAACAATGTGCCAATTTCAAGCCTGGACCTTAAAAGCATCATATGTTTCCTTTTGGCTTCCTGTACTTCTGCCATTGACATGAGAAGAGTTCCCTCAGGTGGCTGCTGCCACCTTAGCCTGGGCCTCTGTTACATAGCAATCACTAACTGATACACAAATAATGCCAGTGCAATATGTGACTAATTTCTCCTTCTTTAGAATTGCAGCTTTGGCATGACTTGTACCACAACTGAAAATCAAAAGTGTGTCATTTTCCACAACATGTATCTCCCTATTTTACCTATTTTACCCTGTCCCTCGGCTCTCTATTGCAGACTGAAGGAAATGATAATGCAACCCAGTCTTGAGCAATAAAATTGTGTTCATTTTAGCCCTCATCCCTGGCCTCACCTTTTATTCCTTTTCTCTTGTCCTAATTGTGCAGTTTTATAATTCCATCTCTCACATGGCTTGTTGAGTATAGTACATGTTATTCCTCACATTGTCTTTTGCCTTTCTTCCTAGACAAGAGTTGGGAGTAGGGTGAAGAGAGAAAAAGGAAGAGAAAGCGTTTTGCCATTCATATTCCAGTTCAAACTGCATTCCACCTGCAGCCCATTTTGTCATTTCTCAACCATCACTCTTACCTGTGATTCATTTTTGCATGTTTTGTCATTCTCAATTTTGAAATTTCAAGACACTGCAGAAAAACATGTCAGGCAATAAAGAAGATTCACATAAGGAAAAAGCAATCCTGTGTTCCTCAACCAGATGTCTACATTGCAAGGCAGTGAAATTTCCAACAATCCTGGAGACAAACACACTGACACAAAAAGACATCCAGCTGGGACTCCTTTGCTGTCAGATGCCTATATTTCTACCTTCATTGTGGAAGTGTGGGACTCTTCCTCAGGGAAAGCCTCTCGCTACAGAGAGCTGGGCCATCCAGCATCACCACCCAAAAAGAGAGTGGCCCTAGTGACAGGTGCCACCTTCCCCTAGAAATTTCCCTTCTCACCTTTTTTTCTGGTTGAATTACAGCCTGATAGCTACCTTGGCTGGACTTCACATACCTGGTGCTCCAGAGCAGTGAAATCTCATGTATGGAACATCCCATATCTTTGATTCAGGGAATTCTTTGGATGATCACTTACTCACAAAGACTAAACAAAAAATTGTGTGACTATATCATCAATTTAGAACGTGCCAAAGTACCCGTATAAGTCACTGTCTTTAAATCTACCATTTGGTGACCACAGAAATGCTTACTGAGGAAAGGAAACTGAACATTAATTGGGTGCCCACTATTTCTTCAGTACTTTGTATACCTTCTTTAATTTCATTCTCATCACACCCCTGTAAAATATGTATTTTTATTCCCATTCTACTGATGAGAAAGATGAAGGTGCAAGGAGAGTCCGTTAACTTGCCTGAGGTCACATAGCTGGTAAAAGATGAAACTGCTCATGGGGAAAACAGAACATCTCTCCAATTTCACAGAGTTATTGTAATAAGAAGATGCATGATTTTATACGATATCATCTGGTACTTAGGTATGCAAGAAATGTTCATGTCCTCCTCCTCATCCCCCACCCCTACTTAACATGTAGGACTCTATTCATTCACCCACTCATTCATTCTTTCACTAAACTCATACTGAGGACCTTCTCTGCCAGAAACTGTGTCAAGCACCAGGAGGCCCTGCCCTCGATGATAGATACAGAGATAAAAAGGATTTACTCTCCAGGTTACACACAATACACTCAGTCGCTTTTCAGGAGGGCCTCTTGATTAATAAGAGCTTAACTCTAAATATTGACAGTGTCATCTGTCAGATCATTTTCCCACCCAGGTTTCCTGGTTACTCCAATGTGGGGATCAATCCCAGCTTTCTTTCCTTAGGCTGAAATGAGTTGTGATTTCCCCTGGGGAGAAGGTGGATGTGTATTTAGTAGAAGAGTAGATGGTCTCCAGTCAAGTTCTCCAGTCTTCTGCTCATTATGTCATATTGACATGGAACTGTTTAATTTTATCTCTTGTCTACAATAGTGAATGGGATAAAATCAAGTCAGATATTAGTTCAAATCAAGGTCTAGTTAATTCCTAATTAGCTTATCATGGTTGCTGTGTGTATAAAAGGCAGACCCTAATGGCAACTGCTTAAACTTCACTTTGTCTCACTTTCAGTTATTTAGATCTTTCTATTTTCCACTCCATAGCAAATCCTGCTAAAGCTCAGCATGGGCACTGGACCAGCAGGCAGATTTTAGCTGCTCAGGTTATGCTGCTGATGTCCTGCAACCGCAAGATACCCAACCCACCTCCAGCACCAGGCTGTACTCATGCTCCTCTCTCTCCCATACTTTGACAAGGCAGCCCTCTGACTCAATGCTACTCTGCCACTATCTCAGGCTCATATCAATCTCCTATTCATTCACTCATTCATTCAATTAACAAGTCTTTATAGAGCATTCACCTGTTGTCAGCTCTGTGCTAGGGGCTACCAGCAAAGAGAGGACACATCCCTGAGCTCAGGGAACTTTTGGCACAGTTAGAGAGGCAGATAATTCAACAAGGGCATGCCAAGCCATGTGACTGGAAATATGCTAAGGAAGATAAAAGTGCTATGATGGCATGCAATAGAGGAGCTTAACCCAGTTTAGGGAGAGCTGAGTTGACTTTCTAGAGGAAGTGACATTCTAATCATACACCTAAAGGATAATTCAGGGTTAACTGAACAAAATGAATATGCTTGGAGTAGAGGAGCATGAGGGAAAATGGGGAATAGAGAGAATGTCCCATGAAAAGTCCCCAAAGTGAAAGACAGATGGTGCTCTTGAGAAATTTTTTGTAATTATAAGTTCAATATTTTTGAATAGGAGAGTGGACAAGATAACTTCAGAAGGTAAGGAGACTTCTTCAAATCTCCTTGCTCCCCATGAGAGTATTTGGGCTTAATTATTAGCCAGGATCCCAACACAGGGCACGCTAGAGTGACATTGCTTATCCGTACCCTACTTTTGGAATCCTGGTTCATTCCTTCTATCCACATGCCCAAGGCCAGTTCAGGCAGTGAAGATTATTTTCAAAGATCTTAATTGAGGTTTTTATCACTTCTCTGTTAATATAGCTGTTATCTCTGCCTCTGTCTTCTCCAAATTCTGTCACATTGACCTCACTATCCTCAAAAAACTATGTAGTCTAGTGGGATGGATTAGATGTACATACTAGGTAACCCTTATGAAATAAGATACTCATGTGGTTCATTCTCAGGGTAATTCCAAGATTTAAAAAAAAAAAAAAACAGAGTGATGCAACTTAGATGAATTTTTAAGTAAGTCAAGGTGTTTCTTGACTTAAACACTAAAACTGGAGTGTCTTAAATGCAGAAAACAGGATCCAAAGACAAAATATATAGAAACACTTATTAAATCTCCCTTCTTTACAATCCACTTAACCTCACATGTCACTGCTAATCCAGCGCTTCTTTTTTTAAACATTACTCTCATACCCCTGTCCCACCCCTGATTTATAAAGTTTATTTCTCCAAGAAAAGAACTTCTTCCCCAGATCTAGCACTCATGTTCTCTTTACCTCTCTCTCTTTTTCTGTCTCTGTGGTTTAGCTTGTATCTGTTTGGATGCTTTGAACTATAACAGAAAATATGACTAAAAGTGGCTTAAACAGTAAGGATGAGTATATTTGTAAGAGAGCTCACTAGATTTCTAACAAAAACTTTTCCCCATATTTGGTTCAGAGATACACTATGTCTCCCAGCCTCTCTTGAAGTTAGATGAAGTTGTCTGTAAATTTTTATGTTCTCTTCAATAGAATATGAGTGGAAGTCGTATGTCACTTCCTGGCCTAGCCCATAAAAACCTCCTATGTGGATTTTCCCATGCTATTTCTCTTTCCCATGACTTGATGCAAAAGAGAAGGCAGAGCTACAGATGAAAAAACCCTGAATCCCTAAATGACCATGCGGAAAGGAAATATCCTCACTGACTTGAATACCACTGACCATTACATGAACAAGAAGTAAGCAATTACCTTAAGTTACTGGATTTAGGGGGTATAAATTTTTTATAGACACTTAGTCTACCCTAATACATTATTTCACTATACAAAAGAAAAGAGATAGGATTGAGTTAGCACCTCAATTGTGGATTTTCTACTTGTTCTGCTCTGCTATGTTCTCCTTGGTGTGTTGGCAAAATCTCCTACCATGGCTGCAAGATATCTGTAGCTGCAAGCATAATACCCTCACCCAATATGTATGGAAGCAAAATTAGAAGGAAGATCTATATATCCATATCTATGTCTATATGTGTCTATCTATATCTCTTATTGGAAAGTAAAACTTTCTCTAGGACCCCTCAGCAGACTTCCGCATCTTCTCACTGGCCAAAACTGAGTCTTATGTTCTCTAGTCATTAGTAAAGGAATTGAGAGCACCATGACTAGATAAAGCTAACTCTGATTTTTCCCCTATATTAGTTCCTTCTCACACTGCTATAAAGACATACCTGAGACTAGGTAATTTATAAGAAAAATGGTTGAATTTGTTTATGGTTCTGTGGACTGTACAGGCTTCTGCTTCTGGGGAGGCTTCAGGAAACTTACAATTATGGTGGAGGGTGAAGGGGAAGCAAACACATCTTTACACGGTGTCAGGAGAGAGACAGAGAGAAGGGGGACATGCTACACACTTTCAAACAACCAGCTATTGTGAGAACTCTATCACGAAAACAGCAAGGGGGAATTCCACCACCATGATCCAATCACCTCCCACAAGGCCCCACCTCCAATACTGGAAATTATAACTCAATGTGAGATTTGGGTGGAAATACAGAGACAAACCATATTATATCCTAAGACTGGAGAAATACCTCCTTAACTAAGGGCGCTGATACCTACCCAATTCCCAAAATGGATTCTGTTAGCAAAGAAGAAAGAAGGAACTGGTGTTACATAGACAATCAGAAATATGACCCAAACCTGCTTCTTCCAAGTATCCAAATTCTATATTATGAAGGCCTAATGAAGTAGTCTGTCATTAAGAGGATCCTAGTAGGAATTATAAAATGCAGATAGGCAAAATCTAAGTTTCTTTAACAGAATGGGGTAATGGGCTGGGAAGTCTAATAAATTTATAATATCTGTTGTGCTATAAATTATAATGCAGGGCATATAATACTAAATGGTATAGACAGAAACACGGATAAAGGACTACAGAAAATTAAAGGTGAAAAAGAGCCTACAATTGGAAAGATTGAAGGGGTCATTTGAACCAGGCCTTAAGAGATCATCATTACTTAATAGAAATATGGGAATGAAGTTCAAGTGAAAATAAGAACATAATCAAGTGCACATAAAAGGAAATTCTGAGAAGAGAGGAGAATGAAGTAGCAGAGAGTTCATATTTCATGTGCACCAGGAAGGCTGGAGAGCAAGCATACAGACAGCCATAAGAAGAAGGTTTCTCAATTGCAATATTTATCTTGACACTTCAACCAACTGCTTTCCTTCATACACTCAAAGCTCTTCCTCCAGGAGACTGTGAATCTGAGGCACCTGACTTTGCCCAGATCTTCTCATTTACCTCAGCGCTTCAGACTTTACCAGATGGATAATCCTTGACAACAACCAACCAAAGTCACTTCCCATCCCTCTCCCAAACTTAAGAGAAAGTTTACTCTATCCTCCATTCCAGCCTAGTATCTGCTATAATTCCTTGAAGAGAGCCTCCTGACCCCTCTCAATTTGATACTATAACAAAAATGATGTTCACTGCTTATAAATTTACTTTGCATTCAGCCCCAACTCATTGCCAGTGCTGTACCAATACCTCTAGCTATATTATTTTATTTCATTTTAATTCCAATATGATGATATTGATATTAATGTGTCCATTTTACAGATAAGGAAATGTAGGCTCCAAAAAGTTAAATCATTGGCTCATAATCACAATGCTAGTATGTGGTACAGCCAGGATTCAAAGCCAGATGCATCTTACTCTAAAGTCAATGATCTTTCCATAACTCCGCACTTTACTGATATAATGGCCAAGCTACATTTCATAAAAGGGATTTTCTGTTATTCTAACCTTCTTCAAAGTTGTCAGTGCTGTTCCTATATCAGAAGTTCCAGCAGGCAGTACATCATAGAAGGCTTTTAAAGCAGAGAATAAATAAGAAAAAAAGAGAAGAGTTTGACACAATCTTAGACAAGGACTGTAATGATAGAAGGAAGTGAAACTCATTTAAAGAAACTCATTTAAAAATTGGTTTTAGGATTTCATAAGAATCTCATGGAATCCAGTTGCAAAAAGTAGAACTTTGGGAATTGGACTATTCCTGAGTAGTTAGTCTCTCCATTTCTCTCTTCCTGAGCCCCTGTGGCCTCTAGGTCCAGGTTGGCATTGGTCATATGCTTCATTCTTCTTTTTCTGGAGAAAAACTTCTATGCTCACTCAGATACCTACCTAGGCGGCAGCCTCACTCAGCCTTTGGGTCAATCTGACTTTCAAAATCAACTCCTTAAAAATAACTGACTCTCATCTTTTTTCCAATGCCCATGCAAAGAAAATACTAACTCCCATCTTGATTAAATATTCTCCCCTAGCCTGTTTCACTGCTGTCCCATGAATTATAGTCCTTCCCTTCTAGAACTTCAGGCAATACAGATTGTCTAAGAAGAAGGTATGGTGGTGGGTATATTAGGAAAGTAGGGAAGAGTTAGTTATGGTGGAAATTAATGCAATGTCTTAGACTCTCCAGAAGGCTACCACTACAGAAAATGGCAGAGGGCTCAGAAATTAACACAGAAAATAAGTAAACCACTCCAAGTCATAACTATACCAGGATGGTGTATATTAATATTTATTAGTCTTAGCCACTATTTTTAAGTGCAAGAATACGTCTTATGCTTATGAAATATATTGACAGTGTGTTTTAAAGGATTCTAACTAAGGCCCATGGCAGCCACCATGTTTTTATAAATAAAGCTTTATTGGAACATAGGTGTACCCATTAAAGTATGATCTATTGCTGCTTTTACACTGTAATAGCAGAGTTAAATAATTGCAGTAGAGATCCTATGGCTCATAAAGCCTAAAATGTTTACTATCTGTCTCCTTATTAAAAAGTTTGCCAATACACTGTTCTGTATAGGATCACTATTTTCAACAATTAATTTACAAAGTCATTTTTAACTTTCTGAAGTACCACATAAAAAAAGGCTTGGGTTTGGTTTTTTTTTTTTTTTTTTTAACAATAATAGAGTCTATTAGAGTTACATAGGCCTTATATAGAAAATGGCCTTTTCAAGCTTAGCATTGGGAGATAAGATAGGTCTGGTCTCAGAAAACATAGAATTCACCAACATATGCCAGTGTTCTTCCATTCTTCACAGTACTTGAGGAGATATTTTGGAGGTTGGAGGTAACCAAAGCTTTCAATTGAAAAATAATATGGCTAGGTGCTGTGACTCACTCCTGGAATTCCAGCACTTTGGGAGGCCAAGGCAAGCAGATCACCTGAGGCCAGGAGTTCAAGACCATCCTGGCCAACACAGTGAAACCCTGCCTCTACTAAAAATACAAAAATTAGCTGGGTGTGGTGGTGCAAGCCTGTAGTCTCAGTTACTCAGGAGGATGAGGTGAGTGGATCACTTGAACCTGGGAGGCGGAGGTTGCAGTGAGCTGAGATCACACCACTGCACTCCAGCCTGGGTGACAGAGTAAGACTCCATCTCAAAAGAAAAGAAAAGAAAAATAATATATTCATGGGAAGCGAGGGGTATGTGTATGGTTACTACATTCAGGTAAAGTGTCACTTAACAGATTACCATTTTCACCCCTTAGATACGCATAAATACCATATCTTGGACTTGAAACCAGAATATCTGATGTTGAAGCCCTGGCTGCTACTCTTACAACCATGGCATGTCAGAGTTTCTCATCTCTCATCTGCAAAATGCAGGACCTTTAATGAGATCAAATGCAATGAAGAATGCAAAAGGGTTTTTATAGGCAGCTAGGTGCAGCACGAAATGTAATGTGTAATTAGGGATGGTTAGTTAACATTCCAGCCAACCTTTGATTACATTTAACTCTAAAATTTCTGTTGTCTAGGGCCCTAGACAATAGCAAAATACATTCTTACCACACCATGTAAGGTCTAGGTTTCAGGAATGAGAGAGAACAAATATTTGTGTGTACTCCCTCTGTGTAACTTCCTTGGAATACATGATTTCCTCAAATCCTCATAACCACCTTGTGAAATATGAATCATTATTTGCATTTGACAGATGAAGGGCAAAAGTTTAATATGTTTCTCCGAGTCCTTTAGGGTAACTAACTCATCCCAGTTTGTCTGGGACTCTCCTAGGTTAGCACGGAAAAACAAGTAAGCTGGGCCGGGCACGCTGGCTCATGCCTGTAATCCCAGCACTTTGGGAGGCCGAGGCGGGTGGATCACGAGGTCAGGAGATCGAGACCATCTTGGCTAACATGGCGAAACTCCATCTCTACTAAAAATACAAAAAATTAGCCAGGCTTGGTGGCGGGCGCCTGTAGTTTCAGCTACTTGGGAGGCTGAGGCAGGAGAATGGCGTGAACCTGGGAGGCGGAGCTTGCAGTGAGTGGAGATCGTGCCACTGCACTCCAACCTGGGCGACAGAGCAAGACTCCATCTCAAAAATAATAATAATAATAATAATAATAATAATAATAATAATAATAATAATAATAAAAAAATAAAAACAAATAACCAAACAAACAAAAACCTCTCAGTCCTGGAGAAACCACAAGAGCTAGTCATCCTAAAGGGAATAGCAGTAGACCCAGGCTTAAAACTCAGTGCTAAGTGTCTATAATTTGTGATCTTAGTAGCTTACTTGTCTACACACTCAATTGTTCTCAGTGAGCCCATTTTATAATGATGTCTCTATTGGATGTCTATGGGCAGTGACCAAGAACCTGTTCACTCACACAATGGGTTTCTTAGTCCTTAGTGAGAAGGATATTTTGCTCACAAATGCTTTAAACACAACAGAGGAGGGGCCCAGCCAGAGGTATTCTACCTAAATATTTTCCTTTCATTATTATTAGTGCAAAGCAGTTGGATTAGTCCTCCTACCATTTTCTGTCATCTCTCAAGCAAAAACCTAGGATGATGTTAGAAGATATCTGAAACACTGAATGGCTGTAAAACAGAGGGTTGGAGAGCAGCAAATCTTGTAATAAATTCAGTTATTCTCTGGCTATTTCTGTCCCACATCTATGCACTTACTTACCAGCAGCTAAGTAGGATCATGCTTTTCACTTTATTCTAATGGAAACATGTTTCTAAGTAAAAAGCTAAAAATGATTATACTGTGGTAGAAAGAGACTTCAACATACTAAATATTAATACCTCTGGAAGAAGTACTACCTGCTAGGTTCTCACCCAAACCTAATATATGAAGAAGGAGAACTCTGAGTACTACCTGCTAGGTTCTCATCCAAACCTAATATATGAAGAAGGAGAACTCTGAGGACTATAGAGAATAACAGATTTTACACTACAACCATCTCTCCCACTTATATTTCCAGCCCAAATCCTTCCTCTGAATGTCAGACTTATATCTCCTGCTACTTAGCAGACATCTCCATTTTGATGTCTCTCTAATAGCTATCTCAAACTTAACATGTCCAAAATCAAATTCACAGGCTGCCCTTGTACGTTGTGTGTCAGGGGACCCCCCAGTCCACACTCTGGCTTGATGACTGACTAGAAGCACTCACCGGAATCAGAAAAGCTCTTATATTCAGGCGATGGTTTATTATAGTGAAAGGATATTGATGACAATCATCAAAGGGAAAAAGTGCATGACCTGCTGTGTTAACCCTTTCCTGTGCAACTTGATTCTCCCTGTCTTCCTTATATATGTCAATAGCAACCTCATTTTTCCAGACAATGAAGTCAACCTTGGAGTGATTCTTGACTCCTCTTTTTGTCTCCCTTATCCCACATTAAATCCATCAGTAAATTCTGTTAGTTATACCCACATAATTTATTTATATTTTCAACCACTTCTCCCAACCTTGATCCAGGGTACCATTCTGTATCACCCAGGTTATTGCAATGGCCTCTTACCTAATTTCCATACTTCCATCCTTACTTTACCACAGTCTACTCTCAACACAGCAACCAGAGTAAATCTTTTATAATGGAAGTCAGGCTAGGTTCCCCCTCTAATAAAATTCTCCACTGCCATCCTATTTCAATGGCCCATGTCAATGTCCCAGAGGCATTCCCCCAATTACACTTCTGACCCTACCTCCTCCTACACTCTACCATGATCACTCCTTATCAAGCCATAGTGGCCACTTCACTATTCTTCAAACACATGTAGCACACTCCTGCCTCAGGGCCTTTGGACTTGCTATTTTGCCTGCCTAAAATGCTCTTCCCCAAATATCTGTAATGTCTATTCACTCGCCTGTTTCATGTTTCTGCTCAAATGTCAACATATTGGTGAATTCTACTCTGACCATTGGACGTAGAAGAATATGTCTACCATAACTTGACATAGCCCCTATCCTGTTTATTTTATGCTACATACTTATTTAACTAAATATTTACTGTCTATTCTTTATCTGGTTTATAACTAGATATAAACTTCATGAGGGCAAGAATATATTTTTGTTCACTACTGCAGCTTCAGTGTCCAGATAAGTGCCAGGCACATGGTTTATAAATATCCACGGAATTAATGAATGTGGTTCCCAGACAAGCAGCATCAGCACCACTGGGGAGCTGGTTAGAGATACAGATTCTTCAACTCCATCTCAGGCCTACTGAATCAGAAACTCTGGGAGTAAAGCCCAGCAATCTATATTTAACAAGTCCACCTGGTGATTTTGATGCAAATAAAGCTTGAGACCCACTGCTCTTATTCTTACACCCCTTATGTACAGATAATAGGGTTGGAGGGGCTAAATTAATCTCTGGGGTGACACACCTGGATTGTAACCACACATATGTCTGTTTCCTGAGGCTGCCCACTCAACCACAATACTGTGATGGTTGCATTCGAGGTTATTTTTCTCTCAAAGAAACGTTCGTATTTTCCTCCTTGGAAGGAGGCAACCTGCGCAATTTCCTACTCTCAAGGCATAGTAACCTCTACTAAGCAGTGCCAGAATGGGGCAAAGACTAAGATTTGTCAAAAGCTACCTCCCTGGAGGCGCAGTTGTTTTTTGGAATTCCTGTTTCCCCTGCGAGACATCCTCTGCACTTTAAATCAAAAGAGCAAAAAATCTCCACCCACTGGTTCTGCTAGGACACTTATTCCGGCTTCCCTCATTCCCAGCCAAGCGCATCCACCACTGCAGCCTCAAAATTGATTGTTAAAAGAAACAAATAAATGGAGCTCTGTGGACTTGAAAGGCCTTGGTGACAAAGCAGACCCACAAGCCAGACTCAGTCGGCCCCACCTGTCAACCTGAAATGCTAACTGCAGGGCTGGGGGAAGAAGTCCCTTTGAGACTACCTACAAAACTGCTATTGGAAAGCAGGAAAGCAGGAAAGCATCTTCCCTCTGCAGTCTGTGACCTCCCCACTGCTAGTGGTTAGCAATGCCACATCTTTTAAGGTGCTTAGTCCTTCTTGGCTTCCCACGTGCTTCCTTTCCTCCTCACTCTCCACGTTTACCTTCAGTAATAAACAGTGCTCCTGGTGAATCTTAGTAGGAAAAGAAGCCTAATCGGCATAGCCTTCCCTCAAGATTCAATAACCATAACAAGGAAGACAAATAAAGTTAATATTCTACCCTGTTGCTCTCACATAAGCCAACTGCTTCATTTCCTCCTTAAAATTCAGTCTCGCTTAGAATGTTTTCTGTCACACCAGGCAATCTCCTGAGGTTGAAAAATGGCAAGAGGAAATTGTCTGCACAGACCCAGGAACCTAATCCCTTTATTTATCTAAATGCTAATGCCCACAGCCCAGCAGACCAGGAAAGGAGAAGGCAGGTGGGGGAGGTCCGCCATCTGACTACTTCCAAACCTCAGTTAGAGGTGGCAAAGCTGCCTCCTCTTCAGCACTGAGCATTGTGGCTACCAACTCAGCATCTGTTTCTGGGAGTGTATCCACAGGAAGAACTTGCAAGAGGAGGCAAGAAAGCCTCAGCACAGCTAAATATCCATTTGGGGTCCTGGAGGCTCATAGGAAAAATCCATTAATCCAGGAACATGCATCCTGCAGCCACTAAGTCTCAACCAATGAAGTAGGCATAACTGCCTTTTCACCATGGTATAGTTTCTAAAAAAGCAGCAACATAAGAAATGAAATACAGAATAGAATAGAATGTTAACATAAATAGTGTGGCAAACACTTTAAATATATTGGTTCTTATGTGATGCACTCCAATTTCCCAAGGGTTATTTATTCAAATATGAGAGGCTGAGAAAGTATAGGTAAAAGAGCATTAAGCTTGGACGCTAGCAGATTTGCATTCAAATGTTGCCTCTAAGACTTACTCCTGGCTATTACCTTGAGTAAGTCAATTAAAGTTACTAGGCTTCAGAGTCCAATGTACAGAAGGGGCCACTGTGAGCAATGTCCTGGCTGCACGTTGGACTCCCCTGGGAAATTCATAAAACACTGAGGTCTTCTGTGATGTAACCTGGTCAGTGGAATTTGTTGAAAACTCTCCCAGATGATTCTCATAAGCAGTAGAGTATAAGTGCTACTGATTGTAAAACGTGAATGAGTTATAAATGTAAAACCCTGTCAGCTCTTGATAAGTGTCCCCACAACCTTTTTTAATGCTTATCGTTACTTCTATCAGAGAAAGAGCCCAGAAACAGAGAGTAGAAACACTCTAATCATCTAATCGTGTGATGTGCAGCTTATTTATATCTAGGCAAAAACACTGATGGTGTAACTGCTGGCCAAGAGTATTTTGAGGATTATCTGTGGATTTACAACTTTTTTAGGTCATCCACCACATCCCATGACAGACAGCAGGCAGTGACTATATTTAGCAATAAGACGTGTTAATAAACTTCAAGGTGATGTTGGTGATATAACCATAAAGGATGTAAGAAATTATTATTAGGCCCATAAGGAATTAAGGAAGTGTATTTTACCCTTGTGAGCACACTGAAGATTCATGCCTCTAAAATTAAACATTGAATTAGCTTAAAAAATAAGAAGTTTAAATCCAGTCATGATAACTACGTATTTAACCTATTTCCCAGTTGATATCACCCAATTACAATATTCTTAAGGCTGGGATAACTGCTCCCTAATTAGAGAATTCTAACAGAGCTTAAAGTACTATTCCTGCTCTGACAGCTGACACATGAAATTCTTCATTTTCTGTTTTGGCCTACACCAATTCTCAATTCCTTTCTTCTCGGTTCTCTATAAAATTTTGTATTCATTTTGAAAAATGAAACAAACAAAAAAGATAACATGAACATCTCAGCATTCTGGTAGCCTGAGGTCTTCCTAATCTCTTGGCTCTCTAACACACAGACAAATAAAAATGGCAGTGATAACCTGGAATGGTAAGTGGACTCAGAGTCTTCAAAACCCAGCTATGAATAAGCTAAGTGTCAGAGAGCATTAGTCATACGTTAATTTGAAAATGCAAGGTGTCGTTTATACTGCACTTTAGCAATGTTCAACGCATTTCTTATTTTTAGTCAGAGGAATTAATTTATGCTTGTTAATTGTAAGGAGATATGTGTTTTAGTTCTCTATGACAAAATATCTGTTTAGAATATTTTGAGGATGTCCCAGTTTGGTATACTTCACAGATCATACCCCGGCACTGTGTGTTTCTATATGGTAATGTGCACGGAAGGGAGGATACAAAGGAAACTCAAGTAGAAATGAGTCCGGAGGATTGATGGGTGAAAAGCTAAGGGCTTTGTGGGTGGCTCCATGAACCAGGATAACACAGAACATGTCCATTCTGAGAACCGACCATGAAATAAAGCAAAGAAGGAAACCAGGCAGTAAATGGCAATCCAGCCAGAGTCCGAGGAACCATAAACAAATTGAAACGAAGGAGCATGTGGACAAATCCTAAAGGGAATAATGGCAGTAAGGATGTGCACACACAAGAGACAAAAATAAATTCTACCCAGTGCCTGCACAATCAAGGAATGAATTACATGTTTTAGTTCCCTTCGTTCTATATGCAAGTCTCTGAGGACAACCTCTAATGATTCCTGTGGACATGCGCATACATTTTTCCCTTTTCTGTCAATCATAAGCTCAGAAAGGATTGAGAATGGAATGCACTGGAATTTTAGCAGCAAGCGATTTATGGAGAACACACATACCAGAACTAAGTGGGTCAGGGGTCCAAGAAGATAGGCTTAGCCCTAAAGGTGGGCCCACGGGGGTCAGGTGAACTGTAATAAAAATAATATTTACATTAATAAGTAATGTGTGACTCAGGAGACTGAGGCAGGAGAATCACTTGAACCTGGGAGACGGAGGTTGTGGTAAGCTGAGGTCGCACCATTGCACTCCAGACTGGTTAACAAGCTCAAAACTGCGACTCAAAAAAAATAATAATAATAAAAATAAGTAATGTGTGATGAATATGCACTTAGTACTTTAAATGATTTATTCTTATTTGGCATTCTCAATAATTTTACTAGTAAGTCAAGATTTTTTGAGCTACAAAAAACATAACCCTCTACCTAAACTTACTTAACCAGAATTTTTTTGTTGTTATTGTTTGACACAGAGTCTTGCTCTATTGCCCAGGCCAGAGTACAATGGTGTGATCTTGGCTCACTGCAACCTCTGCCTCCCGGGTTCAAGTGATTCTCTCACCTCACCCTACTGAGTAGCTGGGATTACAGGCACGCACCACGACGCCTGGCTAATTTTTGTATTTTCAGTAGAGACGGGGTTTCACCATGCTGGCCAGGCTGGTCTTGAACTCCTGGCCTCAAGTGATCTGCCCGCCTCAGCCCCTGCAAAGTGCTGGGATTACAGGCATGAGCCACTGTACCCGGCAAAATTTATCCTCTTAAAAAAGGAAGTCTAGTAGGTCACACTTCAGGATTGGGTTGACTTGGTCCTTTAACCATGTTATCAAATACCTCAGTTTCAATCTGTCCCCATGATGTCTCATGCTCAATGTTGGCTGTATCCTCAAAGTATAGCAAAATGACTACTGCAGCTTCAGGTTTTCACACCCAGTATCTAGATGGAAAAGGGACTCCTCAGCCCTCTCTTCAGGGTCAAGGAACTGCCCAGCAGAAGACTTCCTCTTCCCTCTCAGTGGATATAATTGGGACATGTGTCCATTCTTAAAGCAAAGGGTGTGAGGTTTACTTTGCCTGAGGTGCATGGCTCTGTGGAGGAAGGATATAGGCCTGCACAAAACTAGAATTCAGTTGGAAAAAACAACAAAGGAATGGATACTGGGTAGGCGGCAAACCATGGCCACTATGTGACAACTATTGTTATCCTCTGAAAGAGAAAAGGAAGACCAGGGAAAATTGAACACACTTCCCAAGGTCACACAGCGGTCAAGAGGCAGGACCAGGATGCCTTCCCAAAATGTCTGATTTCAAAGCCTACCCCTTAGGCCTCTGGCCATATGCCTATGTTGATAAAAGAGGAGGGAAATGTTGAAATCAAAAGATACTACCCAGGAATATCTGGCAGTTATCTTGAAAGCAGACATTCAAGGTCCTAGAGTGCTTTGGCATTGGATCCCTTGTGATCGGGACTCTAGCCAGTAGCTGTAACAAAGGGAGCAAAATTCAACCTTCTCAAATGATCAGGCCAAAAATGAGACGGAGAATTAGGATCCTAGACATGCACACAGGCTGAGGCACTGCAGCAGGGTGAAGATAAGCTCAGCAGATAAGAAGACCCCACTACCTCAGGCCGCATGACTAACTCCAGGCCCTGGGAAAACAGAAGGTGGACTGAAGTTGTGGTGAGACATAACCCAGGCAGGAGATGAGGCTCATCCAGCAAATCAGTGAGCCTGGAGAAGCTAGAAGCTGACTGGGGAAGTCAGGGGCTGACTCTGGTTGTGAAGCTCTAGTCCACTTTAAAACTAGCAAAATGGGGGAATCCGCAGTCCTAGAACTTTGCAATTTCCTTAGGAGTTGCTAAAATGCATAATAGGCAACAGGCACCCACCTTTCACCACCACAAGCCTCAAATCAGAAATGGACTATTAAGTACTTCAAATATCTACAACTGGAGCAATGGAAACAGAAGTGTAAAAATAATATTAATGATAATAACAAGGTCACAGTGGGATTTTTTTCCCAGTAGGGAGGCTGACAATTACTCAAACTCTGTATCATGTCTAAATTAATGACATAAAGATTTCCTTCAAGGACGTATTTGATACTGAATTTTTAGAACCATCCTTGAAAACACACTATTGTACTTCAGGCCCCTACTCGTGTCTGAATATGATCTTTTCTGACTGCTTCTCTTAGACATGAGGGCCCTCCTCTAATTCTGTTCTTGAGAAGGGAATGCCTAAATTAGTCACCTTAATGCAACCTCTGAAAACGCAAGGGTGAAGAACCAGTACTATTCTCCAATAATTGTATTCCTATAGAAAACATCTACACATTTCCCCTCTTGGGTGAAATCATTTATATTTAAATCAAAACAAAGCAACGTATGAAGCGGAAAGTTGAGCAAGAGGCTGGCTCATTTAGGCACCAGGGCCCCAGTTTCTCTTTAATTATCTGGACAGTTTGCAAACACGAAGAGTGGGTAGGAGGTGATGTAAACTCTCTGTGTATCATGATTTTTTTAAAAAAAAGTTTTAAACGAATCTTTGTATTATTCTTCTGCAATTTTCATTCACTGCTATCCTGTCCCTGCCATTCACCCAGCAACAAAGACTTTCTGCTCTACATGCTGCCCTCAGGGTAAGGTTGTTACAGCAAAAATGCATTGAAAAAGAAAGAGTAGTTGCACGACATGAAATTCCAAGCACACTTCTGAGGTCCTTGGTTAAAAGAACAAAACAAAACAAAAAAAACCAGTTGCTTTTAAAGAAGGGAATTTCTTTGCAAGAACCTGCATATTCAGATTAGCAAAAGAAAAGCATTTTATGGTTAATAATAGATTTGAGGATGAAGAGCTGGCTATCCCCATCCCGTTCTGAGAGGATTAGAAAGAATAGCTCAGGGAGAGATGTGTGTATCTTGGAGTGGGCAAGGGGACACAGTGAGGAGGTGGGAAGTGGAGAGGCTGGTAGGGACCTTGTGACCAGCAGCAGAGTTAGTGTCACAAAGCTCCTCAGAGTTGGCCTGGTAGAGGAGGTCGGTGGGCAATACTAGCAGTTATCAGGAGCTGAGTCAGTATCTAGAGATCCTCCACTTGCCAGGGGAGGATGTACCATACTATTACCTCTACCATGTACCAGTTATCCTTCTCAGGTCATCAATAAACAGGATTCAGCAGCAGTGATGAGCCTGTACATTGTCCAGCAAGAGTAACATCATTTGATCCCTCCCCCAATTTGCTCAGTGGTGTCTGAATTACTCCATGGGTCAATTGACCCTTGTCAATGGCCCAGAGCAAATGGCAGCCACATAAGATGCTCCTATCCTCCTGAAGATAGGAACCTGGATGCCTAGAAAGTTGCTGATGTTGAAGATGGGAAAGACTCTACTAGGGTGAATGAACAAACTTGTTTGAGATCCCCTCTTAAGTCCCTCCAGTGATGAAAGGATGTTATCTCTTCAACATTGTAGGCTTATAACTTTGGCCTATGTAAGCCAAGTCTACAACAACAGTTATAAACCTAACATGCATCAAATCTCCTCCAATAATATTGTTGTAGGACTTTCTCCTTAGTTCAGCTAAAACCAGGTTCTTGTCACATGACCATGAAAGATTAGGCTAGCAGACACTTTGAAGGGTGAGAACAGCAGGGTTTACTGTGTAAAAAAAAAGGAAAAAAATGGAAACAGGTACTCTCAGCAAAGCGAGAGTGCTGTTAGTAGGCTTCCTGCCTCACAGATTGAATCCCAGGTTCCCACCCCAGATCAGGAGAGGCCAGGTTCCTCCCCACTGCAAACAGCACAAGCTTCCATGGCTCCACTCCATTCTCCCAGTGCTCAGGCCACTCAGAGTTTCTCCAGGGAATCCTTTATCCTTGGCTGTCTTAATATAATAATTTCCTTCAGCTGCCACAAGTGCTCAGAGATTTGACCTGAAAGACTGAAAGTTGTTCCATTTCAATATAAGTAGTAATATGGGGACCAAACTTTCCAACTGAATCACTCAGCACATCCCAGCCTCAGAAAATCCCACGACCTCCCAAGACCTTGCCTGCCAGTGAGACAATGACTTAACCTCACAGGCCTCATTTCCTAATCTGTAAAGTGGAGGAGTTGGGCTAGATGGTTTCCACAATAACGGCTTCTATGATTTCCAGATTTCTGGGCTGGACTCCAACAGAAATCTTTCACTTTGATTTATTCTTGTCTCCAGGACTAAAAGCTGTGAAGCTAACTGGCAATCACCAAAAAGATCAAGAACTGCAGAGGAGAAGAAAGCCATCTGCCACTATTAAAGATACAACCAACACCTGGAGTTCCAGTGACTCCTGACATCCCGATTTCCTTGGAAGACCTGGCCACCTCCTAACTGATTGATGACCCCTGTGAGAAACAAAAAAACAAGAATATGAGCGAGAGGGGAAAATTCTTTGCCAGGTTGTCACTGCAGAGTTAACAGAAGAGTTTTCTTCTTGGAGGTAGGGTACGCCTCAAATGTGAGATGAGCTCTTTCTTATAATTCATTGGTTTGGGGCTCATTTATGATTCCTTAGTGACTCATGCAACTGATGTGAAATTCCTGAGGTTTCTAGAAATCAGAGGTCATACAAGGGTACCAAAGGCCAGATTAAGCCTGTGGACATGATTTATTTAGCCCACTCAGGGTCTTAATACTTTTAAAATAAATTGCCGATATTTGCCAGAGAGAAAGGCTTAGCAATTCTATTGGATCTCAGTAGCAGAGGACAAGAGGTCTCCACACTCCTCTCAGGACATGGGGCCTTCATTCACCTCAGTCTCCACCTGCTCACTTTACCTTGCATAGTCCTGGCCTGCCCCTGTAGGCTTTTGAATGTGTAAACCCTGTTGTGAAATCACACATATAGATCAAAACCCATATCCTCCAGCCTGGAGGGTTCTAGGAACTCACAAAATAATTTATCGACTTTCCTGTAAAATTCTATGCCTTTTACATGGATAAGTAACACTATTTCATTTAAGTAGAACTTGAAGCTGTTTGCATGAGAACAGTTGGCAGTTTATGCTGAGATTCCTCACAGTATTTTTGGGGGGTGGGTGGGGGGAGGCATGTGGTTAGTAAAATAAACTCCATGGGGAATAACACAAAACTTCCAAAGGGAGATGTCCCTGAGAAGACTTTACAGTGTCTCCTGATCTCCAGTGATTTTCTCATGCCCTCTCCTCCCATAGCTAGATCCTCCCTCCAATATGTGTTACATATTCAAGATTATAGCCCTGATTGCATTGTACTGTAATTATTTGATTAGAAATCAATCAACTTTTCTCACCTGGGAGCTTTTCTAGAGGACTAAAACACAACACCTGAAATACTTAGCTCATGCCTGACACCTAATAAGTGCTAAGTAGTTGAGTCCTCAAATTGTCTAGGAGCTGCTTAGGCAGTTGCCACACCCGTCACCCAACCCAGGGGCATTTCCAAGGACAGAGCCTTGATTCACATTATGTACGTATGTGTGTGCGTGTGAGTGTGAGCACACCACAGTCACAAACTGTCTGTGGCCTTTGTCCCTGAGATGGCAAATTAGTAGGAATAAAAACAAGCACAGTCAGGTTATATGCTAGTGCCCCCAGAGTAGCTCATCTTCCAGGTAGCACATTCCCCAATTCAGCTCTCCCCTTCTCTAACACAGTTCAGCCCTGTCAAGCTTACCAACTTATGTGGCCAACACATCACCTATAAGGTAAAGTTCCAGTCACTTGGCAGACATTCAAGAACCTTTACTGTCTCATCTCAACCCACTTTTCCAATTACTTGCCACGTGTCCCCCGCTTTTCTTTTTCTACTCCCTACCTTTGAGAATCTACAATGCTCTAGGGCCCTAAAATGCTGTGGCAGGTTCCCCAGCAGAGCCATATTTTTAACACTGCCATGTCTTTGCCCCTGCTATGTCCTCTGCCAGTAACGCCCTTGCTCCCTTTCATCATCTGGTACCAGCAGAACATGTGGTTAATGCCAGCTTCTCTGGCACAGTGGCTGAGCTGCAGAAACAATGCCTGAACAGTTGGGCATGTGAGTGCAAAGAACTGTATGCTTGGAACACAAGTGTGGGCCTCCATTATTGCTTATGCAGTGAAATGAAGGGGTAGATGGGTCATCATGCCAGCCACAAACGTGTGAGATCATATGGCATCGGCAGGAGCAATGACAGCCAAAAGACAGGGCTGCCCATTTCTGACCAGACTCCCCAGTTATACTGCTTCCTATTATTATGGGTACATAGTAGCTTCAGTGATGAATATGCAAAATAAACTATCTTTAGCTAAATGTAGACATGAACCTGATACAGCAGGTGGCACCTTCTTATGTGAATGTTCTCTCAGCAAACATACCACCCTCTGTCCTCATCCTGGAAGAAACGACTTGGGAAGTAATAAATTTTCAAGCCAGACTGTGTATTCTCTATCTGTGGTGCGAGACTGGAAAATTCTGTTAAATAGTGAAGCTTGCATTTTTGAGCTTTTGTTATATGTTAGGCAGTTTGCTAAGAACATTGCAAACATTAACTGACCTCATTTAAAGCTCACAAAACACCATAAATCATGCCTGTTCTTAAAGAGGGTACAGAGATGCCTGTGTGTTTATGACCTAAAGACCCTTGTTTGGCTTGGGCAATGCAGCATGCAGTGGTTAAGTCACATCCAATAGAGTTCTAGGAAAATGGCTTTTCTCCATTTTGGCCTGTCTAAGACTTTTCAAGAGGGAGAGAGAAAAGCTTGATAACTGCAGTAATTTTGCTGCCTCTGATTAAAAATCTGAAACCAAAGGCTGCAGATGAGGCAAGTAAGTCTAAGCCTGGTGTATTTTAGTATTTCAGCAGAAGAGGAGAGTTAGTGGGCAGATATAGAGGTCACAGGCCCTTCCAAGAGGAAACGGGGCCCATTCAGGACATTCCAACTGTGATGTGGGCCTGATTTACACTTAAATATATGGCCTTGAGTCCGTGTCTGCTGGGTTTCCCTGGCAGCTTTGCAGTCTATAAAATGAAGGCAAAGAAGCAGAAAGAAAGAACATTCATATGTATTGTGCATACCATGTGCCAGGTACTGTGGGAGTGATAACCACTCAGTTCATCTTGTTTGATCTTACAACTCTACCAGGTGGAGAATGTTATGTCTGTTTTACAGATGAGCAAACTAATTCAAAGAGACCTCCTATCTTCATCCTTCTTTAGGACTTTCAAAAGCTTGGGTCAGGGAGTAGGGAACTTTGATCTGTTTCTTTCTCTCCTCCCGAGATAAGCTAGCCAAGGAGACAGGGATTAGGGAAAGAGCAGTCTTACGTGGTCCTGTTGTGATCTGGCTGTAGGACCAGATAGTTCATTCTCATATGAATCATCATAAGTCATATGAATATGATACAGCAAAAGTTATCTATCACCTACTAAGTACTGTTTCAGGTACTCGAATACAAAAGCAAACAAAAGAGACATCAACCCTTGCCCCCGTAGAGCTTTCATTCTTTAGCTCAGGCCATTTCTGTGGGTTCTTAGGGACTCCCCATCATTTGAGGTAGGCAGTACCTCTCCTCCTCTACTTGCTTCCTGCCACATCAGCATCTGAAAGGGCACTTCCAGCCTTTTAGACTGTGGATGCTTAAGAGGAGGAGCTTTTCGAACTCAGCCCCAGCCCACTCCCTTCTACAGCCCGCTTTCCACAAGTTCACTTAGCCTTGCTCTTGGAAGTTTTGTGTCTTTGTGCCTTCTCCAGGAGAGTGGCACCAGCCATTCTCTTCACCTCTGGTCTTTACCAGACGGAAATTACATGCCAAGGCTTCTGTTGTACAAATTACAGGTGGTGTATACCAAGGCCTTTGAGGAGACACTTTGAAACCCCATCACTTGGCTTGAGGTGAGAGGATGCACTCTCCTCCTGATTCCTATGGAGAATGCAGAGAAGAAGTCTATTTTGTCAAAAAAAAAAAAATCTCCTCTCCAGGCCTCATCAACTTTTACCTTTTCATGGACTATGTATCTGCAATGACCAATGCTAACCACATGTGGCTTTTGAGTATTGAAAACATGATTAATCCAAATTGAGATGTGTTGTAAATTTACAGACCAGATTTCAAAGACTTGGTGTGAAAAAAATATAAAACCCAAAAGTAAAATATCTTCTTAATTTTTATATTGGCTACATGTTAAAATAATCATAATTTGATATATTGAATCAAATAAAATATATTATTATAACTAATTATGTTTAAAAACACTAACAATAACAAAAGAACCACAAATTACCTACATGGCTCACATATTTCTATCAGGTGTCACTGTTGTGGATGAACAATCTAATATGCGAAAGGAACCAGTTTCACAGCCTGTCTTGCATGTACGGCCTGAAATCTCTACTGAGAGCTTGCAGTATTGAACATCTATTACATTATATTGTTTTAGGGCTTTGGGGGCTCAGACTTCACAGAAAATTGAATTGTTACATCATTTTATATATGTGTTTCTCTGAATAGAACTGCAATAGTTTTCTTTAGATTCTTTATAGGTCTATCATCAGATTTTTTTATGAGCCTGTCATTCTTTCTCAAAAAAATTAATAATTTGTGTTTAGTATATTCCTAATATATTGTTGGATCTAATGCATCAGAGACCATTAAAACCTAGGATACAAGAGAAACACAGCAGGTTCTTGGTCTACAAACCCAGTAGTATTCCCAAGAGTTTTAAGAAATGCAACTAAGCAGTTGCCTGCCATCCATATATGGCACTCTAGGACTGAGACTCAATTTTTTTCTCCCTTACATGGTGTATTTTAGTATTTTACTATTTTCAGATACTAGATATCATTTCTTTTTAATTATACTTTGTTATTTTTGCCTCTAAAAATGTAACTCCATTAATTAATTAATCCCCAAAGAAACAGAAACACAAGAAGTAAAAAGAAATATGAAAAAGAAAAGAAAGGTAGTATCATCCATAACCCTTAGTCTTAGTGAATCTGGATTCATTTGGGGGATCTTCCTTTTGTTTTTTTTTTGTAGCCTTGAGTAAGACATTTGACCTCTCTGAGCCTGTTTTCTCATCTGTAAAATGTGCATAACTATGCTATATAAAAAATGTTTTTGAGAATTAAGAGAAATAATTAATTGGAAGAATTTTAGGCATGTTATCTTGTTTTTCTAATCCTATCAACCAAACATAAACACTGGTAATATTTTTGTATATTTTCTTCCAAGTATTTTTCCAATGCATAAAAATTTGATTGTAGTAAACAAAATATAGACATAATTTTAGTATGTTTTTCCAAATTACTAATATGAAGTAATTTTAGACTTACAAAAAAATGTAAAAATAGGAGTTTCTGTATATCATGCATCTAGCTTCCCTATTGTAACATCTTAAGTAACCATAGTAAATTATCAAAACTACAAATTAACATTTATGCAATACTTTAAATTACAGGCTTTATTTGGATTTCACCAGGCTTTTGACTAATGTATTTTATAATTGATAAATGTCTTGTGGCGGATACTTTGGTACTATGTAAATATCCTATTTCTCCTCAAACTTCTTCCATTAATTTTTGCATCCATTGGTGCCTCTTTCCTTACCTGCACCATTGTTAATAAGGCATTCTACTTGTGATTTTCTATTTCCTTCATTTTTTCTGCATGTTTTCATTGGAATTGCTCTGTAAGGAAGAGCCGCCCCTTCTCCCCTTCTCCTACTTTTGTTCATTTAGATATTATTGTATCACTATGGAGTCATGGATCTGGCATTTTATTATCTACTCATGTTAATTATTTTGCTTTTCAGATTGTTTCAGCTCTTGCCCATGGGTGTTTGTTTACTTTGGCTCCTGTGCCCTTTTAATACATCCTCATCCTTTTTGAACACAGTCTTACTATATTCTTGTCTCCTCCCAGGAGCACATGTGTTTTGCTTTGTTTTCTTCTATTCCCTTCCCGCAGATACAGTGGGTTTTCACCAGTGCCCCATGGCAATGATTTCTGTTCTTCCTCCTCCAGGCTAAGGGTTTTGCTCCATAGCAAAGACAGAGAGCAGTGTTTAAGGGTTTTGTGCCTGTCCTGTAGTCACTGCTTTTTATCTTCCCTAACTAGCACTAGGCTGGAAGTTTTCTCAGGACTCTTCTCTGTGTTTCCTGTGAGTGCCTGGTGTGTTTCGAAAAGAAAAGTCTGTAAGAGAATATAAAATCTCACTATGGCTGCAGCCCCAGGAGTTTCATACTGTCCCAGCAGCCCATATTTGGCCTCCACCAATTTGTCAACAATTCCAGCTGAAGTCTTCTTGCTGGAGTCTAGTGCTAAGCTCCCTGCAGGGGCCTGCCTATCTCCAGATTTTAGGCTAATTTGTTGCCCTATAACTTTAGTCATCTGACAGGTTTAAGAAAAGTTGAGAATTTGTATTCACTGTCTTTACCATTGCTGGAAGCGTTGGAGTGATGCTCTTTCCAACTCTATATTCTGAGTAGAACCCAGGAGACCCAGAAGGGCTAGGAGCTTACATTCGCTCTTCTTGGCAAGTTTTCTGCCTCCCTGGGTCATGGGCCCAAACCTCATTAGCCTAACCTTCTTGCTTAGTAATCATCCTAAAAACATGCAGAACTCCCCAAGTGCTATTAAGCTTAGCTTTTTATAATTACACATTTGGTTAACCTTTAGACCTCTCTGTTATTCTTCAATAGCTGCTTCTTGCTATTCTGGTTGAAATCCAGGGATCTTAGAATAGCATTACAAGTTCTTAGTGAAGATGCTGGTAAAAACAGGGATTTAGAGAAAACTGCTGATGCATCCCAGCCATGCCAGAATAGAGCAAGGGGCTGGTCAGAGAAGGAGAAGTCAATCTAAAACACTTGTGTTTGATCAGTATTGGGTGCCTGCTATGTGACAGGTACATGCCAGGCAAGGACACGAATTAGAATGACGTGAGTCTTGCCTCTACTACATCACAGTCCAACACATAAACAATTTTAATAAACTGTTATAAATACTATACCAGAGATATGTACAAATGTTATAAGAAAATATACAGGGAAGCAATTATTTTTCTTGGGGCATTCTCAGACAGCGGAGAAAAGGGAAAGCAGACCCTGAGATAAGAATCTGAGGGCAAATAATTTCTTTTGGAAATAATTCCCAAGAAATACCAGCGGGAAAGTGGGCAGAAGGAAAGGAAAAGAAAGGACACTAATAAAGGGCATGTTACCAAGGGGACCAATCTTGCTGCAGAGCCTGGGGGCCAGTGTACAACAGACACTTTAGAGTTATTCTGTCCAAAAGCAATCCTACTGGTTACGGATGAGAATTGCTGAGGCCAGGGAGCCAGATATTAAGTGAATTCTCCTGTGCTTGCAGTGAGCCTTGCACAGGCAAAATGGACTCTGTGACAATAGAGGGCTCCAAAGCACAGTCACAGGGACTGGCAGTTGGAAGTCAGGTTGACATGCACAGAAAAAGGAGTCAAGGGGACATGGGTGGACTTCTGACAGCAGTAGCTACATCATGTGTCACTTGAATTGAGCATTGAAGGATGAGTGGCATCAAAGAGAGAAGTAGGAGACATCAGGCAGAGGGACCAGCAGGAGCAGAGGATGAGAGACAATCATGTCACAATGTGGTCAAGAGAAGATGCATAGTTTAGAGAGGAGAGAACATTCAGAAAGGGGGTAAACAAGCCAGATGTGGAGGGTTTGATAATTATTCTGTGGGCAACAGGAACCATCAGAAAGGAGCAAGTGGGGAGAGATGAACAACTGAAGAATGAGAGGGGAGAGTCTGGTCAAGAACATGTTGTGATAATGTGTCTTTCTCTCTACCTTTCTTGACAGTGGCTTGGGTGAGAGTGGTAGAGGTGGACAAGATGATCCGACATTGGATCCTGGATATATTTTGAAGGTAAAGGCAACAGGATTTGTTCAAGATATGAGGAATGTGGGATATGAGGGAAAGAAAAGGACAAGATAATCAAAAAGCTAAAAGTTTGGGAAACTGAAAGAAGGGAGTTGACATTTACTGAGGTGGGAAAGACTGAGAGGAGAAGGTTTGAGAGCCAGAAAAGCAGGACAACTACAGGACATGGAATATTAGAGATACAAAGTAAACCTTGACATGAAGCTAGTCAGTTGCATAGAGGAGCTTTGAGCACAGAAGAGAGCCCAGGCTAGCTACAAATTTGGGAGTCATCAGTACATGGGCTTTGGATGGTATTTAAAGGAGGATGTGAGTGTAGATGGAAAAGAGAAATCACTGCAGTCCCCGGGAACTCCATATTTAGAAGTTCTAAGAACAAGGAAGAGTTGGAAAATGAGGTGGAAAAAGAGTGAACAAGCAGGTAGGAAGCAAATCAGAAGATCATAGAATCCCAGAATCCAAATGAAAGAAATGTTTCAAGCATGAAAGAGTGATTCACATGAAACAGTCACCAGATTTAGCAGCATGGAGATCACTGGTGACTTTGACAAGAACAGTTTTGTTGATGTAATAGAGATGAGAACCCAAGTGGAGTGGGTTTAAGAAATAATGGGAGGAGAGAGCATAGATACTGTGACTACAGAAAACTTTCTGAAGAAGTTTTGCCATAAAAGGAAAATGATATGGAGGCTGGACAGTGAGTGGAATTAAAATACATTTTTAATAATTTTTTTAAAGAGGGAAGACATCATAGCATGTTTATATGTATGGGAAGAGAGGGAAAACTAATGATGGAGGACAGAGAGAAGACAGTTCCCTGGAGCAGCATATTTGAATTAATGAGAAGAGATGTATCTAGTAGATAAGGAAGGGGTTGGTTTTAAGAGGAAGGCTGGTTTGACCCTGGGAGCAGGAGGATAGGTAGAGTGATGGGCACTGATGCAAGAATTTAGGAAGATATGCTAGCGAGAACTGGTGAACATTCTCTTCTGGTTGTTTCTGGTTGCTTAGTGAAAGAGTAAGCAAGGTCATCAGCAAAGATTGGGGGTGGGGGAGAAGGTATTACAAGTTTGAAAAGAATGAAATTAAGTGATAATAAAAATCAAATAATGAATAACAGGAGGTTATGAGAGTAAAGGGCCTAGAGCAACATAGTGGTACTGCTAGGCTGCACCAAGAGCCCATTTGACATTCATAAGACCAGCTAGCAGGTTCTGGCCAGGCTCAGCTACATTGGTAGAAGTGTGGTATAGGGTGAAAGTTTGTTGTAATTAAGGTAGGAGTTTCCCAGATTATAAACTTTAGCATGAATGCAAGGAAGTAATTATAATGATGAACTATAGAATCTTTGTTGGATAGAAATAAGGCTACAAGGGATGTAAGGGATGGTGGAAATTGACAGGATCAATTGACCACAGGACCAATGAGGTGAAGGAAATGTTGAAAATGGGGTGTGTTTAACACCATTCCAAAATTCAATGGCTTAAAACAACTACAATTATTCTTTCTCAGTTAGTTACAGTTCAACCTAAACTGATTCATTTAGGTTGGGCTGGGCTGGGCTTGCCTCCAAGCTGCAAACTAAGCCAGATTTGCTTCACGTGTCCCTCATTCCCCTTAGAATACCAGACTTGTCTGAGTACTTTTTTTTTCATGGAAACAGCAAACTTATAAGGTGCAAGTCCCATCACACAAGTACATGCCAAACCACTGCTTGCAGCATGTCCTGTTAATATCCATCGGCCAAAATAAGTCACATAGTAGAGAAAACAACAATGAGACTAAGAAGCTATAAGTACAAAGATCCACCCAAGTATATGTCACATCCCATCAAGTTGGCAGTCTCAGGAAGTTGCACACATTATTTTTGCCTAGGGTCAACCCGCCCTTAGAATGAGTGTTGAAAAGGAAAACATTCCCCTTGGAAACTGGGCCAAGCTTGAGAATTCTCAGGTATTTTTTATATTACTTCTCTGTATATAACATAATGACTTCCCTGCCCAGTAAGAAATCCTAGATTGACAGCTGTGACTTTTCTAAGAATAATATATGTAGAACAAAGGGAAGGAAAAGCAACTGGGCCCTGGAACCCAAATCCAGAACATGACATCATAGTCAGGAGGGAATGTGTGTGTGTGTGAAGAGCAGCAGCCCATGCAGGGATGCACTGCATATCCCTTGAGGTGCCACTCACAAAGATTACTGTGCAAATGGAGCCTCTGACAAGGATGCACTCACAGTTTCCCTGAATATGGGTGGGGAATAAATAGGGGTTCTAGGAAAAGTAAACATAAACTGCAGCCTATTCTTCTTTCCCATGAGACCACCTCGTGTATAACCAGCATAGTGCTTCACAACAGTAGTTATAATAATGCCTGCAAGTGACACCAGTAGGTCACTTTCAGCTTGCATAAAGTTTTTCAGTCCATTACTGTATTTTTTCCTTATAATAACCATTTTAGTGATGAAAAACAAAGTTAGGGGTAGGAAGATGGGAAAACAAAGCAAATAGTAGCAGAGCTGGGACTAAATGCAGGCCTGTATATTTCCAAAGCCCAAGCACTTACCGGTATGCCATGATTTCTTCAACAGCCTCTCTTCATTTTAATGAAAATTCACCAACAAACACTGACAACTTAACCAAATAGGCCAAGTACCCTGGGCAAGCTCCTATCTCAAGGCCGGAAAGCAGTGGAGCTCAGACAAGAAGTAGCCTGGACAGCTTTCCTACCTTCCGGCTTGCCTACTCCCCTCTCCCGGGAAATGCACTCAGACAAGCAACTACATCTGTAGGAGCAATCACATGGTTAACCCAGTGACAGCTGCTGTAATACATTCCCAACTCATCAAAGTTCTAACAAACAGTTTGTCTGCAAGAATTCAAGAAGAAGCATGTATGTTCTTTAGGCAAAGGACTTTTTTATAAAAGCAAGAAAAGAAATGATTCCTCAAGTAGATCCTAATGAAATAAGACGTCTCTCTGTGTATATGGGTTTGTTTTTTTTTTTTTTTAAAGAAAAAGAAGGTTCTCTCTAGTCTAAATAAACCTTGATGGCTCCCCAGAAGTTACAGCAGCCTGTTGAATAAACAGACAGCATTTACATTAACATTTCTTTAGTTCTGTTTGCATGCAGTGGTTTTTCTTACTAAAAATAAAAAACAATTCCGGCCCCATGATGCAATCCTTGGCTTCAGGAGCCTATGCTTCCTTTATTCTGTCAACTGGATTTTAGAGAGAAATTGGTATAAGTAAAGGTGGACTTAGGTGCACCTAAAGTAGCACTTCTCAAACTTTAACATGCATAATAATTATCTGGGAGGGGGTCTTAAAATGCAGATTTTGATTCTGATTCCATAGGTCTGGAGTACAGCCCAAAGTTCCGCGTTTCTAACAAGCTCACAGGTGATGCCATTTCTGCTGATCCGTGGACCTAACTAGGAGTAGCAATCATCTAAAATTTAGACTCTAGTGGATTCCGCATGGGTGTTCTTCAGGATAGGCCCTTATTTCTGGAGTCTTCTCTTTCTTTCCACTTTCATGCACATTGTTAGAGTCTACTCTCACCAATGCACTAGCAATTCCAAAATCTTCGTATCCAGTCCAAAACTTGGACTCTTCACCTGGGTGTCTCTCAACTTGACAGGCCCAAAATTGTGCCCATCATCCTCCTCACCACCTCTTATATTTGCGCTCTTGTTTGTTATTGTCTAATGTCCAATGGAACCACCACCCATATAAATGTTCAAGCCACACATTCATAAATCAACCCAAATTCCTTCCTTTACTTCTTTTTCATCACTTCAAATTTATTAAGGTATCATTTATGTATTACAGAATGCACCTATTTGAAGAGTTTATACTTCAGTAAATTTTGACAGCCGTATACATTTATGTTACCACACCACAATCAAAACATAGAAGATGGTCATCGTTCCAAAAGATTATCTCAATCCCATCCCATCCAAGGCCCCTAATAACCACTAATCTATTTTCTTTCACCATAGTTTTGCCTTTTCTAGAATTTCATGTAAATGGACTCTTGTGTCTGGCTTCTTTCACTTAGCACAATGCTTTTGAGATTTGCCTGGGCATGCATCAGTAGCTCAGTCATTTATATTGCTGTATAGCATTTCATTATATAAATTCTCTTACTTAGTCTCTGACTGGCTGGGAAGTCACCTTTTCCACTGGCGTGGAAGAGAAAAAAGCCAACAGAACTTGTCCCACTAGGATTAAGTGCAGTGCCAGGTTATCCCACACAGAGAAAAGAAAGCCGAGCTTATATACAAAATCAACTAGGTTTTTTCAAGCAGAATCTTTGATATTATTAATATTAAGTGTATACATACATATATTATTAATATTAGGTATATATAAAGATTATTAATATTAGGTGTATATAACACATATACACCTAATATAATTAATATTAATAATATTAAAGATTATATTTGCCTTCGAGTAAATATACGTAAACACATATGTTTTAGGGCCATAAGAAGTGGTTAACAAGTGAAGATACCAGATAAATGTCCCCCACACTTTTCTGTTTTACATTTTAGCTTTTCTCTCTGCATTGTGAAAAGAGATGGAGGCTACTTTAGACAAAATGCCCAGCATATATCAGGTTATGAAGGGGGTCCTGAGGAACTTAGGGCTTAGACCTAGTGCTATATAGCAGAAGCATAGCAGACTGCTTCAGGCCCTGGCTAAAGAGAAACCTGAAACAGAAATAACTTAACTTGCCACATTCCATCCATGGCAGCCTCCATCACCCGAGAAGAGGCAGCTACCAAACCCTGGGCTATTAAAGGCTGGATTTGATTATTTACTCTTGGTGTCATGACAAACTCATAAAAGATATAACACAAGCCCCCCAGTCAAACCACACTGGTTATCTCCAAGCTGGCTCCACAGGCTGACTTTTGAATGAAGGTGTTTTTATAAGGATGTGGTGTACGCTGAGCCAAAGGACAAAACCATTGGAAGATAGTTCATCTCTCAGTCCTTGTTTTCAGCAATTGCTAGGGCTGCAAATTTGGAGCTCGATAATGGAGTGTGCCCCACTGTCAAGTTCCATTAGATGGTCTGTGTGGTCTTGAAGTCTCGGGCTCTGTGAGTATAGTTTTGTAGATGATAGGCAAGAGAAACTATGGAAAGGGCAACCCCTCTGTATCAGCTGTTATCACAATAATAATCATCATCACTGGCCATCAGAGAAATGCAAATCAAAACCACTATGAGATATCATCTCACACCAGTTAGAATGGCAATCATTAAAAAGTCAGGAAACAACAGGTGCTGGAGAGGATGCGGAGAAATAGGAACACTTTTACACTGTTGGTGGGACTGTAAACTAGTTCAACCATTGTGGAAGTCAGTGTGGCGATTCCTCAGGGATCTAGAACTAGAAATACCATTTGACCCAGCCATCCCATTACTGGGTATATACCCAAATGAGTATAAATCATGCTGCTATAAAGACACATGCACACGTATGTTTATTGCGGCACTATTCACAATAGCAAAGACTTGGAACCAACCCAAATGTCCAACAATGATAGACTGGATTAAGAAAATGTGGCACATATACACCATGGAATACTATGCAGCCATAAAAAATGATGAGTTCATATCCTTTGTAGGGACATGGATGAAATTGGAAACCATCATTCTCAGTAAACTATCGCAAGAACAAAAAACCAAACACCGCATATTCTCACTCATAGGTGGGAATTGAACAATGAGATCACATGGACACAGGAAGGGGAATATCACACTCTGGGGACTGTGGTGGGGTTGGGGGAGGGGGGAGGGATAGTATTGGGAGATATACCTAATGCTAGATGACACATTAGTGGTGCAGCGCACCAGCATGGCACATGTATACATATGTAACTAACCTGCACAATGTGCACATGTACCCTAAAACTTAGAGTATAATAAAAAAAATAAAATAAAATAAAATAAAAAATAAAAGAAAAAAAAAAAAAAAAAAAAAAAAAAAAAAAAAAAAAAGAGCTCCTCTATGTAGAAGTGGAAAAAATATGGGAATGGCTACCAAAATCCCTTTGGAAGACTGAAAAATCCTTTAATCTAGTAATTTTTAATCTTCAGACTATTTCTTAACGGGATGTAAAGATATAAGCAATGATAATGATGTTAGAGCCTAGTGTTCCATGCAATGGGAAACAACCTAAATGTTATTTAAGACAGGAAATAACCCAAATGTCTCTCAACAAGGACTGATTAAACAAATAATTATATGATGATGCAATGAAATGTTGCTCAACTATTGAAACATAATAATGTAGATCAAGGGTTAGAAACATTTTCTGCAAAGGGCCAATAGTAAATATTTTAGCCTTCATGAGTAAGGTTATCTCCGTTGCAGCTATTCATCTCTGCCATTCTAGCTCAAAAGCAGCCAGATATCATACATAAATGAATAGACATGGCTGTGTTCCATTTGAACTTTATTTACAAAAACAGGCATTGGTCAGGATTTGGCCCTTGGACCATCATTTGCTGAAACCTGGTATAGATGATGTTCTCCTTGACATATAAAGATGCCCACATTATATTGATTAGTGAAAAAAAAATCACATTAGGAAGCATATAGTATCCTTAAAGAATAATAGCAACATATAAGCCTGGAAAAAGTCCTAAATGGCAGGGTTGTGTTTTACATTTTTTCTTCTTTGTGCATGTATTCTTTTCCTTCCCAGGGGAAGGGGAATACAGAAGAGAAAATGGGTTTTAACTTTAAAAAAAAAGTGATTGTACCAGAGAAAGAAGTTGTCCTAATGTAGAGATAACAATGGCACTCTTATTAAATAAAATCTTCCAGTATTTTGCCACTGTCAATCAACTCAGAAGCTGAAAATACCACATTGTCACCAGCCACAGTAAAAAGCTAAATTGCATTCATGGAACAAGTCCAACTCAAGCCATTTTTTAATTCAAGTATGACTTTTTCAATTTATCCTTCCAAATTCAGCCTGAGGGCTCCCCCCAATCTGTGATTCTTTCACTAGTCCGAAGTGGTGTGACATTTGACAAGTTTTTGACCCTGCAGAGTGAAGCCTTAGAATTCTTCTCTCTGAGCCCTTTCTGCAATAAAAGTTCACAATTTGGTGACTCTTTGTGGAGGGACCTTTAACTGTTGACAGAGAGTAGTTTCTGCCCCAGGATGCCTATTAAAGTTATAATGGTTATCACAGTTAGGACGTTGAAACTGTGGTCAGCTGCTGCCTATTCAGGAAGTTGTTGTGTGTCGTGGGTTGTTTCCTAAAGCCTGTTCCATTGTGGTCATGGGACGTGCACATTTTCTATTCATAACCTCAGCTAAGCTCAAGTTGACAGCAGTTTAAATGGAAATGGTGTGCCAGCTGAACAAGAACTATACTTTTCTCACTTGCTATCTAAGTTGGAAAGAGAGCCCACTCCAGAGAGAACAAATGAAATTTAATATATTATGGGGTTGGACTTAGGAGCAAAGCCAAAGTTGTTTAAGGTGATGTTCTCTTAACATAAAATTTGACTTTCAAAGATATAGCTCCAACTCGACATATCTGAGGAACAAGAAGTCTCTACAATTCCTGTCTGGGACTATGGAGTCTATGGTCTAGACAAGAAAGCAGCAAAGAGAGGCATTTGGCAGAGAGGCGGGGAGATAACTAATGCATGAGCATTCCATCATTTCCAGTGAGTTTTTGTTAAGGGAAAATTGTTCATTAAATGGAGAGCCAGAGTTCTGGGGTAGGAATGACAGCCCTAACATTTTCAGCAGGCATTTTTATCCCCCATCTCCTGATCCCAGCCTCTTCTTTGGGCCTCTTGGGGACCTCTAATGAGCTCTCCACAAGGCAAGATTCCTATTATCAAAAGAGAACGGGCTCACAGCTGACCTTTGTGAAATAATTTACCTTTTACCTGCTGTGTTCCTTCTTTAGAGAACAAACCACACCACACATTATGCTGTGAGCTAAAAATGGAACTTTCTGAGAGTACAACAGAGTGTTTGCTTTGTCCAGTAAGAAATCTGTGTTGGCAAAGAAATCAAGCCAGAAACATTCAGCAGAAAAAAAAAAAAATAGGGGGAAGAGGTTTTGTCTCTAGTGTGGTATTCTAGTACTTCCTCTTTTCACGTTTTGAGTTTCTTTGGCATTGTTGAGAATCTACACAGACATGAAATGCCATAAAAGGTCTTGATATCCAGTAGGGTTGGGGATGTACATTCCTTGTTATACCAAAATTGCCAGTAATTGGGCATTGTGTGTGTATGTGACTACAAAGCCATGCTTCTGTTGAGAACATTGAAAAACTATGGGTGTGGTTCAAAAAGAACAGGCTTTAACAGGCAATTGGAATGCTAGTCTGAAGTTGGCTCTCTTATTCCCTTAGCAAGAGGCAGGGGAAATGGGTCAAAGTCCATTGGGATGGGTAATGAGGGGACAACACCAGGGAAGACTCATTGGCAAAGGCTAAAGCATTTGACCCATTAACTGTCATTTACCAGTAACTCCATCAACATTATACTTCTCTTTTCTATCTAAACTGAAACGATTATTCAAAGCTTTTATTCAGATTTTCATTCATTTAACGTTCAACAAATACTTCCTGAGTTTCTATAGTCCTTGCTACCCAAATTCTGGTTCATAAAACATCAGCATGCACATCATCTGGGAGCGTGTTAAAATGCAGAATCTCAGGCCCAATCCCAGCCCTACTGAATCAGAATATGCATTTTAATAAGATCCACAGGAATTTGTATACATACTCAAGTTTCAGAAGCACTAAATTATGTGATTGATATTCATTGTATGAATAAATGAGTGAATGAACACCATTAGTTCACTAGAGGCTCCCCATCAGGATACTCCGGTTTTGCTGTGTTTACACAGGAGAATTCCCACCCCAACTCACCAACATCACCCAGTGCCATAGATCATGTAAGCAGGCTTGGTGCCATTTTACACTGGGACCTCAGAAACACATGGGTACAGAATTGAGGTGAGTGAACAGGAAAAGTGGGACCTTTGTGAACTGAAAGAGTGAGGGTTGCTGCCCAAATTTCATGTTGAAAACTTGGGCTTGATCTGGGTGAGCCATTTGCAAGGAGTTACAGCAGGCTAGGTTTTAGATTCTAGAAGGTAAGTTTGTTTTGGATTCAACCAAATGGGTTGGAGTCAAAGGCCAGACCAGGATTTGGGTTACAATCAGGCAGGTAACCCCTGAAAGAAGGTTAGAGGACAGGCTAACACAGGGACCTATGTGGATGTTCAGGGATCTGTGTGACATACCTGACTTAGCCCAGCAGGAGTAATGCAAGATCTTAACAGTTGCAAGAGGTGGGAGAAGTTTTGTGTGGCTCTGAGTTGGCCAGCAATATACTGCTGGCTGCCCTAATTAAGATGGGCCCAAAGTTTGAAGGACTGAGCCTGTAGGTTAGTAATCGATGGTGCAGACTGAGGAGAGGAGTTTAGAGAAAAGCTGGAGCATGCTTTCACCCAGAAGGAGGAGGGTGGTGAAGAGAAATAATGGCATCCCTGCACAGAAACAACATCCCTTTTGAGCTGAGTTTTGTAAAACTGAAAAACAGGGAGTTAACAGGTGTTACAGCAGCAAAGCTGGAAACTGACCACAGGGCATTTGCATATTCTTGCAGCTCGTTTAGTGTTACTATTCTGTCCACCCTTACTCAGTGGGCTCTGTGACAAATGAAACACAAGAGCTATGCAGATATTATTCATTTTTTCCCAGACTTCCTAGCCTGCCTTGATTATGCTTCTCTGCTGATATGTTTTGCTTAAGCAATGGTTTATCTCAGTACTTTTAAGCTAACTGAGGTGATGGAAGAGGAAGGCAGGAGCAATTGGTCAGGAGTCCCAGCCAATGATCAGATACAAATGCTTTCTTGTAAGACTAAGCCAAGTTCATAAACATCTGCTTTTCATCTACCAAAAACCTAGTTCCTCATTATCCTTAGACTCATCATTTCCCCCAACAGCATCCTCACAGTGTTGTTCCTTCCCACTCTCAAACCATGGTGTTCCAGGGCTCCTCCGATCTGGGCTCCAGGGATGGACACTGCATTCCCTTGGCCAGTGATTGGCTCAGGTTTGGCCCATGACACAGGCAATTGGCATATCCCATTATACCATCTTCTCCCAGCTAAAGCACTGAGTCTGTTACTCACTTTGGCCTATTAAGACTTGATTCTGGAACTTCCGTCAAACTGATAAGGGAATCTTCTGATGGCCTGGAAAGGGTTTCATCTCAGTGTTCCTGGGAACTATCGTGGGAAGAAGGGAACCTACTTGAGAGTAAGGCCATGATGGAGGAGAGCAAAGGCCAAAAATGAAAGCAGAAAGAGGCAGGGGACAGTAGAAAGAGAGAGAGAGAGAGACCTGTTGATATCTTCTTGCATTTAGCAATGCCTCAAGCTCGTCCTTTTGTGGACAATTATCATTTCAATTATAAAAGCCAATAAATTCCCTTTTACTTATTGAACCAGTTGGCATTCTATCTCTCGCAACTAAGAATTGAACAGGATGCTAGAGTATCAGCAGTCCTCTGACACTGTCGCACTGAAACAGACATCTTCAGAGCTGGACATCCGCAACAGAGGAGGCAATGCTGGCTGGGTCATTTTTTAAATGAGGAAAATGAGACAAAAAAAGTCAGCAAGTGCATTCCCTCATCTTTGGGAAATTACAGCTTAATAAAACTCATTGTTTCTATTTATTTGTTTCTTTGGTCAGCACATTGAACTTATCATTTCTCATGTTAGTCACCACCTTTAATTTACATTTAATCATATGATACTACATTTAATCATATGATAATACAATAGAAAGCACTACTATCTTAGAAAACTGAGGTTCAGAGTGGTTTAAGTCATTCACCTTAGGTCAAACGGCCAGTATATCTCTCACTTTGTCTCTGAAAGGAAATGCTTCAGTCCATTGACTTTTTTTCTTTCAGTCCATTGAGTTTAAGAGTCAAAATGCCTGACTGATTCTTGAGCCACTTAATTAGTAATATTACTTGAGCTCTCATTATATATCAAGAGTTGACATGAGCAGAGTTACCAAAGCACTTTGTGGAAAGTTGGGTCCAAATGAAAACATAAAAAAGCCTGGGTTGTGAGTAGTCTGGGGAGGCTCAGGCTCTAGTAGTAAAATAATTATTTAAATGCTATGTAGGCACCAGGTGCGGTGGCTCAAGCCTGTAATCCCAGCACTTTGGGAGGCCGAGGCGGGTGGATCACCTGATGTTAGGAGTTTGAGACCAGCCTGGCCAACATGGTGAAACCCCATCTCTACTAAAAATATAAAAATTAGCCAGGTGTGGTGATGGGTGCCTGTAATCCCAGCTACTCGGGAGGCTGAGGCAGGAGAATCACTTGAACCAGGGAGGTGGAGATTGCAGTGAGCCGAGATTGCATGCACTCCAGCCTGGGCAACAAGAGTGAAACTCTGTCTCCAAAAAAAAAAAAAAAAAAAAAATCCTATGTAGGCTACATTTCTGCTTTTGAAAAGAATTAATAGAGCATTTTTTCCTTACAACTATTTATAATCGTACGCATCAATGACACGCACAAAATGGCCACTAAGAGTAAGAGGCAAGGCAATAAGGCCCATATAGAATGTTTAAATCCCATAATTTTAATAATCTTATCTCTACGATATAAACAGGGTTTTGCTTAGTGTAAATGGGGAAAAAAAGCATGGGTATTGGAGCAATGTAAAATCTAGGTTCTTTTCCTTGCATTCTGCCTTTTTTTGTTTTTTACAACTAGCTGTTGTCTTCTTAATGCCTCTGAACCTCAGTTTTAAAAATATCTACAATAGTGTTAGTTATAACCCTTCAGAGTGGCTGTTATAATGAATAAATAAGGTGCCTTGCACAGTGCGTACCACATAGTAACCATTCAACACATCTCTCCCTCTCCAGGGGAAGGTAAGAAGACTGATTTTCTGGTGAGAATTTTAGAAATTATCCTCATGAACACATGGTCCCCTGTAAATCTAGCACTCCTTTAAATTGATCCAATTAACCTCTAAGTGAACAGAACTTCTGATTTAAATATTAAGTTATTTGTCAAACTCTTATTTGTGTGTTTGTTTTTAAAACTCTATATAGCTCCATAAAGCTTTTTAAATACTAGTTAAAGATGAAAGCAGAATTTTATTTTAAAGTTAGCAATTCATCTGTATTGTTTCTGAGGGAAATAAAATTAAAATGATTGTTCTATAAATACTCCTGAGACTGGGTTATGAAATCTACAGGAGAAAACTGAGAAACAAAGTTTCCATGACATTTCATATCTCTTAAAGTATGAAATACACATTAAAATATTAAAAATGTAGAAAAGAAGACAAGCTGTAATATTAAACAATATAAACAGTATTGACTCTTGAAGTCATTGTGTTATGTAGACAGAGAGAGATATTTTTCCTATTAGAAACAGAGTTAGACAGAGATAATATATGAAGAAATGCACCCCAAATTCTAGAATGAAGAAAAAGGGGGAAAAGAAAGAAAGACTTGAGTAGTGATTTGGAAATGTGGCCAACATGAATCTTCATGCTACCTCAATTATCCAATGACAATGGCAACCAGTAGGAAATGGTTACCTCAGTTATCCAATGACAATGGTAACCAGTAGGAAATGGTTACCAATGCAAGGAAGATTATGTCCTCCTTGAAGTGTGGGGTGGGGTGTGTATGCGTGCGTGTGTTTCTCTGTGTGTGTGTGTGTGTGTGTGTGTGTGTGTGTGTGTGTGTGTGTATGTTGTGTAGGAAGCGGGGGCAGGAAGGACAAGCATAGGAAGTAGAAGAGGCCAAAGAATTTTAGCGGCAATTCTCCCACTTACTCATATCCGGAACAAAGAACACGGCCAAGTGAGAAAGCTCTTCCTCCTCACGCATGCACTTTAGGGGCAAGCAGATTTGGAATAATAACCGTGACTTTGGAATAATCTTCCCAAACTGGAGCACCTATTGTCAAATGTTAATGGCCCTACTGACAAGAACCAACCAGGCAGTTGAGATCAACAAACGTGGGATATGACAACCTTCGCTGTCATGAAAAATATTTCCAATGAAAATAGTTCCTAATGTGTGACTGATCAAAGATGGTAAGCATTTGCGTAGAATTAAGTCATTTCTTATATATTTCATACTAAAAGTTAAATGTTTGTCATGAGAATTATTTTCCTGGAAAGACAGGTGATAAAATCATCTAAAAAGTTCACAGTGGAGTTAATAATCATAATTCAAAAGCATTTTAGAAATAAATTAGCAGGTGCCAAGACACTCATTACTTTGGTTGCGGTTATTTGGAAGAAAAAAAACACTCTCGGGAGAATTGGTGAAGGACCTAAGAGAAAAGCATTCCATCTGTCTTAGAGACCAAATGAGTGTCAGCCAGCCTTTTCTTCTATCACAGACAACATGGAGGTTCCCCAAATCTGAGATGACTTTGTGGTGAATGGAGGCCAGGCAAGACCATACCTGTTTTAGGGGTCTCCCCAGTTCCTGTGACATCTTTTTTTGGAATTCTGACCCCACCTTGATCTATAGTATAACAATGAAATCACAGAGAGAGGCAGCCCCACTCCCTAAGGACAGGAAGGAAGAGCCCCCAAACCATGTGAGGAGGCTGGGGAGATGTTGTGGACTGTGACTCTATCCTTTAATTATGCCGCAGAGCTCTGCCATCCCACTGAGAGCCACACCTAACTGCTGACTGGGATAGGAAGAGGAGGCAGGGGTGTGGTCACTGCTATTGACCACTATGCCTACTTTCATCTCTGCTTAATGGTGATGCTATTGCAGGATGCACCCCAGTAGCACCAATCAATGAATTATTTCCTTTCACATGTGTATCATGAAGAGGTTGCCAATCCACACTCTTTGACACAGATATTTTGGGCTAATACTGATTAGGTTGTTCATGTTCTGAAGATGCTTCAGATGCGGTTCCTCAGAAGTGCACCCTTGGATGGATTTGTCAGGAAGTATTGCCAGGAAAACCGATAAGTGAAGTCAGATCAGGACAGGAAGGAAGCCCAGCCAGGGATGCCTCATTAGGTTCAGTCCAACAAAGGGTGCCTTTGGCTCGGTTCTGCAGGGAAACTGTGAGAGCGAAGAGTACAACTCAGAGCTGTCCTAATCAGGAGTGAGGGTGCTGGAGGATTGGTTCCCATGCACCTCTTTCTCATGGGATAGGGGCAGCCTCTGCAGGCCGTTACTATTGCCAGCAGGAAATGCTGGTTCCACCAACCTGAGGACAGTTCCCATCAAAGACAGGCAAGGCTCTGTGGCTCACACCTGTAATCCCAGCACTTTGGGAGGCCGAGGCGGGCGGATCACTTGGGGTCAGGAGTTTGAGACCAGCATGGCCAACATGGTGAAACCCCGTCTCTACTAAAAATATAAAAATTAGCCAAGTGTGGTGGCACGCACCTGTAATCCCATCTACTTGGGAGGCTGAGGCAAGAGAGTTGCTTGAACCCAGGAGGCAGAGGCTGCAGTGAACCGAGATTGTGCCACTGCACTCCAGCCTGGGCGACAGAGCAAGACCCGGTCTCAAAAAAAAGAAAAAACAAAAACAAAGACAAACAGATGCAGGCTGTTGAAAAAGGAGCTGTACCAGGAGGCCAGTACACCAAGTACTGGGTAAGTCTGCTCTAGGCTGACATTGCACTTGAATTCCTTGCCACTATTATAGTGTTTAATTCTTGTGTCAAGCCTATGCTTAACAACTTTTTAAAGTGGAATCTACTATTTTCTTCATGATATAGATGTGAAAGCTAAGCATTAGAAAAGTTAAGTCCTTGGTCAGAAGTTATACAAGTAGAATATCATGGAGCTGGCATTCAGATCCAAGTCTATGTGTGCTCAGGGCCTAAATTCTTAATGATGCTTGCTTATTATATTATGTGCAAATAAATTTAGGAAATTCTAGCCTTTAAGTGATTTGTTTCTTGATCCTTGAACAATGTACAATATAAGTACCTATATACTTATGAAAATTACAAGTATTTTCCTGAGTTATATAAACAACTTTTTGGCACATCCCAAAGATGGTTAAAATGTCTGTGACAAACAGCATGGCTCAAGAGATTAAAAAAACAAGTGTATGTACAAAATAAATTTATGATATTTTAGTCTTTCTAGTGTGATGGCAAATTAAACCTGCATTATAGAAGCAGCATCATATAAAAAGTAAAATGAATATAAAATTATATGCTCAATCTTGAGAAGAGAGACAGAATCTTTAAATTTGGGAGACTTGGGAGACATTTTCCTTTATTCATGGCTTATAAGGGTTTTCTTTTAAGATTGTAGTTTGTATTTATATCAAACTATACTCTATAATTCATTTATTTAATTCCTGTTCTCTACTATATGAACATAATTACTGAGAACAATCAATATGTCCCCATTTGATAAATGACTAAAATAAGAATAGCAGATTGCAACACAACGAGTTTTAAGGAGGTGAAGGATGTTTACTATGATGCTACTGAAAGCTCCTCTGGCTTCTAGAGAAAGAATAATTTCCATTCCTGCTTCTCATTCCACTGACTGAGGTTTGTCTGTTTGCTTGGTGGATTAGAAATGATTTTCAAATAGCCTGCTGGATACATCTAACAGAATCCTGGGATGGGGACTGGAAACATTCTGGAATTTATGTCCTGCACTCTGAGGTCATTTTCATAAGACTACCACACAATTCTTTCTTCTCCAGACCATCGAGCAGTCTTCCATCAGAGCTGTTTGGGAGGGAGGAAGGAATCGGATGCAGTCTCTGGGCAGAAGAGCCATGATCCCACATGAGGGGGACGAATGTGTGCGAGCGCCAAGGTTCTGGGGGCCACACACCTAGGCAGCCAGGGTACAGGTGGCCATATGCACCTGAGCTCAGGGGCAAAGGAAGGCAGCGGGGAGGCATCTGCTCAGGACCCTGTGTGACACCATCCAGAGACCTCCCATCGAATATAGGGCTCTAGGCGTTTCTCCAGCCTTTTTATCATGTGGTAATTTGATATTGTGGCATTTGGTACTTCATGGCCCCAATTTTTCAGGTCTACTTTTTTTGCATTCTTTGGTATTGCACTCTGCGGCAGACACAATCCAAGGTGACCCCAATGACCTTGCTCTTGTATAATCCCCTTCCTTTGAGTGTAGAGTACACCTGTAACTCGCTTTTACCCACTAGAATATGGCAACAGGATATCATTCCTGTGATTTGGTTATAAGATTCTATCTTAGCAGACTAGAGAGAGAGAAAGAGACTCTCCTGTGGACCTTGAAGCAGCCAGCTGCCTTGATGGGAACTGTCTCCGGAGAGGGCCACATGGCAGGGGACTACAGGTGGCATCTATGGTATCTAGCTGCTCAGGACCTCAGTCCTACAAACACAAGGAAATAAACCCTGTCAATAATCACATGATCTTGGAAAATGATCCCCAAGCTCAGGTGAGACCCCAGACCTAGCCGACACTGATTATAGTTGTGAGACACTGAGCAGAGGACCATGTAAGCCCTGCTCAAACTTCCAACACACAGAAATTGTGAGCTAATAAATGTGTGTTATTTTAAACTGTTAAACTTATAGCAACTGGTTGCACAGCAGTGAAAGCCTCATACAGCTCCCCACACTAATGATAGATTTGACCGTGTGACCTGCTTTGACCATTGAGAATGAAGAAAACAACACAAGAAGTGGCTTGTCAAAATAGGAGTGCATTTCTGCATTCTCTTTTCAACTCTTGCTACTGCCACAAAAACACATCTGGGCTAAGTTGCTGAAAACACGTGTGAGACCAGGGAAGAGAACTGATTTGTCCCCTCTAGGTCAATCCTAAATCAGCTAGACTTCAGCCAACCTGCCAACTAACCATAGACACAGGAGAAAGTCTAGCAGAGATCAGTGGAGCTCTGCTCAGATAGGCAGAACTTCCAACTGACCCATGAACTCATAAGAAAAAAATAAATGGTTGCTACCTTAAACCACTAAGTTTTTAGGTGCTTTGTTATACAACATGTGTAGCAATAGATAATTGCTACAGGGACCCACCAATGAAAGCTGAGGTATGCATTTGAGCTTTCACACATATATGATTGCTTTCTGGAAATTTTTTTTTAATCAAAAGACTTAAGAGCATAAAACAAGAAATTGGGGAAGCTGGTGAGAGAAAAGAGATGATCATTTACTGTAAATTCTCAATAAAAGAGAAATCATTTTCCAATAAAATTGAAAATAACTTTTTAAATTATTTTAGCATTTTACAGGGCATATTTAATCATAGCAAAAATAAAAGCTGCTTGCATATCTTATATAAATCTTTTATAGAATCATTTCTTTCTTCTTCTCTTGAGGATCTCTGACTTTGAGGTCATTCTAGAGTAGGTGTGCTCATGAAGGAAGTGTTGCGGAGGTTTTAGAAAGATAGAAATCACGTACAGAGAAGTACTTCCCTCTGCCTTCCACAAGGCACACCATTAAATAACTATGGAACATTCATTCCCTCTAATAACACAGCTCTGTGCAGGAAACCTTGTTTGTTCCTTGGGTAGGAATAGTGGGAGGGGAAGAGGTGTCAGGGGAGAGACCCGCATGGGAGGGGTGCTAGAACAACAACAAAAAGATACTATGTTAGAGGCTAATAGGGAAAAAAAAGCACATTGCAGGTATTTTTGCTTCTGTGGGCACAGGCCTTTGTCTTGGATCCTGGGCTGTCCAAAAAATAAAAGCTCTGGGCAACATGAGATTAGGGGTTTCTCTTCCTTTCAGAGGACAGCTCTGTTCTTTTTTATCCTCACAAAGTCACCAGTGTGAACGATGGAATACAGGAAGCACTATAGTTTTTGTTTTGACCCACTAAATGTCAGTAAGCAAAATGCACCCAAAAATTTTTCAAGTAATTTTTGTTTTTCAGTGTGGAAGAGTGAAATAATAGAATCTTTCTACAGCCTGATTATCAACTGGTTTGCTTGCAAACAGCTAAAATTGCTTGCAATGTTTCTTTTCTAATTTAACTGGTACAAGTATATTCAAATCTGCCTGCACTTATCCATTTACATCTCACATATACTTCTTGTAAAATGTGCATTGTCAGACAAAATGGGCCTGAGCCCATGGATGAAAGATGGGGAACATAACCCCTGGGGCAGAATCACACTCACTTAATGGCAGATAAAACTGCTTCTTTGAGGAGTCTAATGTCTTTGGAATGCCTCCTAGGGATCCTGTCCTACGGATTCCACCAGCCAGCAGGTTATGAAGAGACTTTGGGGCCTTTTGCTACCGCTCTGGGTGGTCAACTTGTTGGTGACGGTGCCTGGCTAAAAGTTCAACAATAGCTGCATGCTGGGGAAGCATCTGGTCAGCTGTTTCTGGGAAACCCAGCAGCAGGAATCACGGAAGGCTCCCGAGCTACCCTTTGCCATTGCTCACCCCCTAGTGGGCAGCCTGCTGGGCGACCCAGGCACTAGGGAATTTCTTGCCTTCTTGCTCTCCAACTTCTCAAAACATAATTTCTATTTGAAGATGTTCCACCTCCATGAAAGATCTATCCTTAATCTTTAGCAAGTCAAGGTTTCCCTTCTGAGTACTTATACTTATTAACCTCCCTCAAAGTAAGGTTAGGTTCATGTAAATACTTCATGTGTTTTGTCATGACATGAAGTATCCCTAAACCAGCTCCATTTCCTCCAAAATTCACTGCAGTATGAGGCAAACACACAGAATATGGAGGGCAACAGTTTTAGCTAAAATTTAATAGCCATTTACAAGCTTTATATTCTATTTCAGAATCTTGACTCAAATGGCACTTGAAATGCAGAGCTAAATCATGGGTTAAGAATATCATTTTGTAAGTGACCTTCACAGTCTGCCTTAAAGGTGCCAAGGCCTTAAAGCAGTTGTTCCTCTTGGTTTGTTATTTCTGGCACAAACTTCTCTCTGCATGTTTTATGGGACCAGTTTTTCACATGTTTGCAAAAACTTCGGCTAATTTTTCATTTGTGAACTCACCATATCAATTCCAAGTATCCATCTGGATTTGTTGATTGTCAAAATGACAGTCAGCCATAATCCTCCATACATAAAGACAAAATTCTATCTTTGTTTAGGAGAAAGAAAGGTAAGCTATTTCCAAATGACAGCATTTAAACAGTCACGTACTTCTGTTATCGCTAAATACAGTAGCTGGGGCCAGTGCACATCTTCACAGTACAAAAGGAAAGGAGAGAAAAAGGCAGTTTCTCATGTTTTGAGGAATAACATTCAGTTTTGAATTAAGACTACAGTTCATTTACTTTTAGGATAAAGCAATGAACTGTATCTTAAATTTTTTATATTATTAGACAATTGTTACATACATGCAATAAAGCATCTAGTATACCTCACATAGCAAGTATGCAGCTGTGATTTTAGGGTACGTGATCTTCATTTTTAAAAACAACTATTGCCCATGAACTCAGAAAATATGTAAATTGGCAATATCCATCAGACACCCCATGAAACTCATAAAATCTTTCCTGTCCCTCTTGCAAATCTCAAAACAACATCACAGCAGGACTATAATCAACCACAACAGTCATATTTACAATATGCAATTTACTGTAATGACACACATAAGAATTCCTTTATCACAAAGCTGTTTCCCTGAGAAATTTGTGTCTTCCTATCAATATGAAAAACAGCGTTCAAGTGTAAGCATATTGTTAGCAACACATTTCAACTGAAAAAATAATCTACCCAAAGCTGTCAGTTCCTACAAAAGGATAATTAATTTAATCTCAAAGATATCATGTAAGTATATATGAAATTCATTTATTACATTTAGTTGTTGAACATGAAGAATTTTATATTTGGACAAAATTTCACCCAAGGAGTCAATGTCAATATTCGGAAGCATTAAGCTTCCCTTACGTTGGAGCCCTTCATAGCTGTAACTCCAGGGTGCCAAGAAGCTGTTTCAGATAGATTTCTTTGCATTGCCTCTCCAAGTGATTTCAGTGCTCATGAAAACCATCATAGAAAAAGTAAAAGGCAATGATGAAAGTTCCTTAAAAAGAAGTTTTTCCTGCCTTCAGACAGGAGCTAAAGTCATTTCTAAAGGAACCCAGCATATTGACTGTGCATGATTCCTCACCACTTCAAAAAAAGAGAAAAATAGCAATACATACATGCTATAATACATCAAATCAAAAAGAGGAATGTGGGTTCTATGCATATTAATACTGATAAAATTCACTAGCCAATATTACAGTCTTCACACATCTTAAAAATGAGTGGTGATTAATTAATGATATTTCTGGAATTGTACATAATCAGACCTGTATTTGTTTTTGGACATCAAAATTCATAGTATTTAATGAGTCATAGATGATACTTATAGGAAGACCTAACTCTTAATCAATTATATCATTTGAGTAAATTTCCTAACAGTGTTTCTTAATTGTGTTCTGCTTTAGAATGCCTAAACATTCTGTAAACACTGCCTAATGCCATACAAGTGTCCACAATAAACAAGCAGCATTTCTCTAGGTTTCTGAAATTCATCCACAAGCAGTGGGTCCAAGTGTCCACGTCACTATTCCCTTGAAGACTCCATTTGAAGACTACATGCCTGGAGGAAGATAAAGTTAACAAGCAAGCAAATATTCCTGCTGCAGTCACTTCCCTGAGAATGAAACATTTTGCTTTTAAAAAGCAAATTAAGGTTTCAAGTACACATAATTCAGAAAGAGCTGGTGGGTCGAAACATAATTAACGGGAGCATTTGTGTTTCAAAAGTAATCTGAAAAGACTGATTCATATTCTATTCCATGCAAATATTCAGTTACGGAAATTAGGTGCATTCATAGGAATTTCATTGCACAACAAATCATTAAAAATTATACAAGAGAAAGGGAAAAAATATATAAATGCAATCAAGAAAAGATTAAGAGGTCTATGAAGTTCATGTAACAACTCCTTTGCACTAATAGACAGTTTGGAGAATCAAAACAAAATGATCATTCTTGGTCATGAGGGGAGGTGCTCCATATTTGTGTTAGAAAGGCTTCTGAAAAGTTAACTTCTCTGTTGGGATGTGACTCTATGTACAAAATGGTGCTTTTGCCAGAGCCTGACTTTCTCTTAGAGACATGGGAAAATATAGACTCAGTGATTGTGGTAGTTTAGGGAGAATTCAAATAGAGCATATTCATACTTTTAGCAAAACAATACATCTATCCACATAGAGTTGATAGGCCTGAAGCTGTTGTTAAAAAGGACAGCTTCTGCTTACTTAACTTTCACTGACTTCTAGCATAATAAATGCCCATTCCTATCACCTAAAAGAGTTACATGCAATGGCTGGGCACAGTGGCTCACGCCTCTAATCCCAGCACTTTGGGAGGCCGAGGCAGGCAGATCACCTGAGGTCAGGAGTTTGAGACCAGCCTGGCCAACATGGTGTAACCCCATCTCTACTAAAAACACAAAAATTAGCTGGGCATGGCAGCACATGCCTGTAATCCCAGTTACTCGGGAGGCTGAGGCAGGAGAATTGCTTGAACCTGGGTGGCGGAGGTTGCAGTAAGTTAAGATCTCGCCATTGCACTCAAGCCTGGGCAACAGAGTGAGACTCTGTCTTAAAAAAAAAAAAAAAAAAAAAGAGTTAGATGGAAACATTTTGCTCACTTTCTGGTCAATAAGGCCAACTATATACACTTTAAAACATCTTCAAGTAAACCATTTATCTTCCCTTACCACGGTACACCTTTTGAATACTATTCTTTCCTAAATTCTGTTTACTATATACTACCATTTGGGAAATAACTTGATTTCAAACTCTCACCCCACAATTAGAATTTGTGCCCCTCCAGGTCTGTGCTTCCTGCATGAAGAAGAAATGTGCCCCTTTCATACACTGAAAGATAAAAAGAATTATAAGTGCAGGTTCAAATTAACTTGGAACAGAAATAAAATTTTGCCTGGGTAAATCAATATCATAGCATTTTGATTTTATGAATTTCACATATGGATAGAATTAGTTTGAAAGCTGAAACTGAAATTTTCATTACTGTATTTGCATCTATTATCTTACATTACAGTGTATCTGTAATTGTTAATTTGGCTTAAAGAAAGATCCATTGACAATCTTCAAAAGCATTAGTGCATGATTAAAGGGAATTTGGATATAATTTAAGTATTAAATATGCTCATTTAAAAATAGTGTAGATTTTCATACTATACAGAAAGAAGGTTATGGTCTTTCAACCACTGTAAATACATTGAACTAAAATCGATTCAATCATACTAAAAAAATTCAGTGTAAATAAAGATGACAGAACTCCATGAAAAGTAAATAAAAAGTATAATTTCAACTTTCAGATTACTAATTATGTAGAATAAATTGCTCTTTAGGTAGCTAGAAGTGTAGACAGATTTCGCAATAAGGGTATTTCTTGACATTACACCAGAGTTTTAAGAAGCTGATTGAAGAGAAGGAGTTTAAGCCCAGTGAGAATCTAGCAGATTTTCATCATAATTCTCCCGGCATAAAGGATGATACACAGTTTGGCATTCTGATTTCACTTCCACTGAGCTGCCTCAATGAGTAAAAAAGGGATTTAACTTATTTTCATTTCAAAATCCTAAACAATTCATAAACAATTTAGGTAATTGTAATAAGGAGGGATTTAGGATGAGGAATATTGCATCTTTTTCATAGATTCTATAAACTCTTCAAAGTGCTCTAAAAATACTATAAGTTTGATTAGCAGCAAAGCATTAGTCTAATCAAAACCTCTCTCCTTCCGCCCTCATATATAAACATATACACACACTGTACAGCAATATATTCTATTAGTCTAAGTTAAATCTGACAGTTTGACAGTTACCCCCAGAGGCTGTGCAAGGTTACAAATACTGTCTACACTGTATCACAGTTCAAGACCACTAGCACCCAAGTGGTTAAGCGAGAACCAACCCATCCATTAAAAAAAAAAAAATTTAATCACGTATTTTGAATTTCTTTAAATGTAAAAATGGAGGATACAGTGAATCACCCAATATATTATTCTGAGTCCTGTAACTGTCTTTATCTAAAATATTTTTTACATATGGAAGGCTAGATGTCTTTAAATATACTTTTAGCAATTCTGAGTATCAAATGTGCCTTTGAAAAATATGACAAGTTTTTTTTAATGTTAAGGAAAATTCTGTAAGAGAGTTTTTTTGTTGTTGTTTTTGGGTTTTCCCCCCACCCTCCAAAAGATGAATTTTGCAGCATTTTCTCCCAGCAGCACACTGGTAGCTCTGACATCCTGTATATAATGTGTTCTGGCAATGAAGCCCTCAAGTACCGCAGCTGTCATATACTCCAGCACAGGACCCCCAGAAAGAAGTCCTGCAGGCCCCATGGCATCTTGGTCTTTTCCACACCCTCTAGCAGCACCCAATCCTTGGGCATCTTGCAATAGCGGCTGAAGTCCAGAACTTGAACTTCACTGAGAAAATCAAGTCCACTCAAAATGCAGCATTTTCATCTTTTGGTTGGGTGATTCTTGGTCCCCCATGGATAGGAATGATACCTATAAGATTCAGAAGTGGAAAGAATTCTCTATAGTTACAAATATTTTAGTTCATACATTCAATTTCAAAAACTGGGGCTCAGGCATATAAGTAAATAAATCACAGTAAATAAAAAGACGATTATTTTTGTTAGGATGGGGACATTTTTAAAAAGCTGCCTTTGGCTGAAGTCTGGTGCTAACAAGGCCTTTCTCAAATTATGAACTCAATAGGAACTGATAACACTTTGTAGTAGAAAAACAAATATTCATTCAAAATAGCTTGTATACTTGAATACCTGTGTAGGTTAAAATAACTAATTTACACGCTTATCAGTCAATTGGGGAAATAAAACAATTCAAGTTGATTCAATGTAGATTTGTTATCTTGTATACTGTTATTTCTCAACACATTTTATTATTAAAAATAAAATATTAATGTAATACATAAGTATATTCATAAAGATTATATGCTCATTATCTGTTTATTCATGACTCAAATGATTTTATCCTCACAAACAACAATGATAAAATTAAGGCATATTAAGTTGCATCCTTCTGGTAAGCAAGCTAAATGCTTATGTATATAAAACGTAATTTATCATACAACCATGCAAATGATCAAAAATAGAGCCTGCTTTGGGAAGAGCTATGAGGCTGGCCAAGCCTTTTTGACCTTCTTTAACTTTCTTTACACAGCTTTCTTCCTTCCAACTCAGTCCTAGCTCCCTTTTTCCCAGAAGCCCAGAAATGAGAAATACCCAACCTTGGTCAGAGGTCCTTGCTGCTCTTTCTGTTCCTGTTACCATTTTCTTTTCCTAATGCAGCATTTTATGCCTGAGACATTCTTCCTAACTGTCCAAGCAGTCTCCTCATGATTTAAACAGTTCCAGAAATCTTCCTCAAAGATAGCTAACAGATAGATAATGGCTTTATCCTGAGACTTTCAGTCTGAAAATGGCACCTCTCTATTCTCTTCCTTAACTAAATATAAACCCTATAATTTAAACCAAAAATGTACCTTATCTTGAATTAATCCTTTAGTGACTGGCTGGCTAGATGATGTGTGTACTATTCAAACTGATAGTCTTAAATTGTAAACTTGAATAACACCGAAATTATATATGTAACTTTCTCAGCACGGTGCTTAATTCATTTAAGAACAAATTTTGCAATGACGATGATGACAATGATGACCATGTCAATGAGAACAACAGAGATCTGGGTAGACCCTGGTGAAGGAGTGAAAACGGTGTTCCTCATTTCCAACCACATAGCTAAAACAGCTTTCCTCAATTGTATTCCATGTAAAGAGTGAGGAAAACACTGAGGTCAACAAACAAGGTCAACAGATTTCTTTCTTATAGTACATCTCAGAGTCTTTAATATAGTAATAGGTGTCAACATTCTCCAAATATAAAAAATTGTACATTCTGAGTTTCCCAAATATATGTGGCCATGAAACTTTATTTTTCAGAGACTATCTATTGACATCTTTGATAATATTGCCCATTCTATGAAACCTATTGGGGAAAAATGCAGTCTACTAATTCTAAATACTGATTCTAAATACCTCTACATATGCTGTGACATTTAGCACCCTCCATCCTTTGTGGAAAAAAGCATGACAGTACCAGCTAATCTGATTTGTACTTGGAGTTATGTGTTATTCACAGTTTGTGGATTAGTAGGTGCTTCTAATTGAAGCCTGACTTATTTCTTGGAAATTATTTTGGAATACTAGTAAACAAAGAGTGGCTTTAGGCACAAACAAGGGTTATTTTTACAAACAAATTCTGGAGAGTTTTTCTCCCAAGATATGTTCTATCATTGCTATTAGAAGCCAAAAGGGGGTCGGGTGTGGTGGATCATGCCTGTAATCCCAGCACTTTGGGAGGCCAAGGCAGGTGGATCACCTGAGGCCAGGTCAAGATCAGCCTGGCCAACATGAAGAAACCCCGTTTCTACTAAAAATACAAAAATTAGCCAGGTGTGGTGGTGGGCGCCTATAATCCCAGCAACTCGGGAGGCTGAGGCAGGAGAATCGCTTGAACCCAGGAGGTGGAGTTTGTAGTGAGCCAAGATCGCACCATTGCACTTCAGCCTGGCCTGAGCAACATAACGAGATTCCATCTCAAAAAAAAAAAAAAAAAAAAAAAGAAGCCAAAAAGGGAATACCATGGATATATGGATTTTTAAATGTGATTCATTTTAATTTGGAGCACTTTAAGAAAATTTAATGCAATACCCAACTTATATTGCTTAAACTTGACTGTTTCATCATACCTTCATAATAGATTCACAATTACAAATATAACTGAATAATTTTTTGCCTTTGTTATAAGGCATCTTATTATCTGTTTATCATAATAAGAAAATTTGCAATGTCTTTTAATAAAGCCATATGTCTTTGGAACTAGATCGGTTTAAAACCTAATGAAAGTAGAATTGAAAAAGAATAATGATAAATTCCAAAATAAGACAAATATTTTTTAATAAAGGGAAAATAAAAGTTCTTGTAAGAGCTTCCTTAAGTTCCTTGCACACTTAGTTTTTCTTGATATTTAAATGATTTTCTGCAAAAAATATGAAGACATTCCTTGCCCATGATCCCAAGTCTCTGAGAAAATGCAGATAAAATGACAAGAGTCATCTTTTCCCCAGTACAAGCCAAGGGCACTTGAAATAATGAGGCTCACAGTTAAAAACAGAAACATTCATACTATCCATGATAGTATGCTTATGTATGTAAAATGTAATTTATCATACAACCATGCAAATGATCAAAAATAGAGCCTGCTTTGGGAAGAGCTACGAGGCTGGCCAAGCCTTTATGACCTTCTTTAACTTTCTTTACACAGCTTTCTTCCTTCCAACTCAGTCCTAGCTCCCTTTTTCCCGGAAGCCCAGAAATGAGAAATATCCAAACTTGGTCAGAGGTCCTTGCTGCTCTTTCTGTTCCTGTTACCATTTTCTTTTCCTAATGCATATACTCAGCCCTTGAATAGAAAATGAAAATTCAAAAATCTCTCCAGGGATGGTGGGAGGAGAGTAGTTGTGGAGATGGTAATTTCTATTGACGGTATATCTTTAGAAAATGAGAATTACTCATTGTTCCTCTGCAGTTACAAATCACAACAGATCTAAATTTATAAAGGTAGTATTTTGAAACTGTTATCAAGTCAAAAGAGCAAGTAGTTGAATAATTTTACTTGTGACTCATAAGAAAAACTCCTTGAAATGGGAGAAGTAGAAGAAAAAGGAGAAGAAACACTGGAGACTGAACTAACCTTAGAAAAGAATCTAATTTCTATATAATGACCTTAACAGGATGTTCTTGAGCCCTCTTTCTCTTCCCGTTGTTACTAGTCATCTTTGGTGAAGACTTCTGGAATAATTTAAATAGTGGTCACAAAATAGCTTCAATAATTGAAAAGGAAGGCAGTCCCTCCAGGCATAAAAGACCACTTTGAGAGAATATACTCCAAAGGACTATGCCTCCTAAAACAACTGTGGCCCAGATAGAGTGTGTGTGTGGATACTTGCAACCAATTTGATGACTCAGCTATGAGTAGGCTCCTTAGGTAAGTCAACAGACAACTCTTGTGTAGCAGACATTGTAAACACCCATACCCCTATCTATTCCACTTCAAAGCACGCTGGCAGATTTCTACCTGCTAATATATAAAGAAATTCAATAATGGAATACCTGCACTTCTTTTCCTGAGGATTTCTCTGACCCCTGGAGTCTTCTTTGTTCATATTTACAAAAGGCCAGAAAAAAACAGGGCATTAACACTTCCTAGGGAAAGGCCTTAAACAATGACTGATGGAGATTGGAGGATAAATACCTCAGCTCTCTCACTCTTTGTGTGGGATGGCCCTGGTACATATTCTATATCAGCTCTTAGATTTCCCCAGTGGGATCAGGCTTCAATCACCTACAATGCTAATTTGCTTGATTATAAAACCTTTCTTGAATAACTTCATAGTAAACTAATTGTACTCAAATTGTTGTGCCAACACTATTTCCAAAACTAAAATTATAAAAATTGATGCAATTGATAAAATAGCATATACTCTTAGAACACCAACGATAGCTATATTGGAAGATAACATACAGCTCCAGTAAATGGAGGTTTTTTATTTAGGGTAAACAAATGGCAACATACAATAGCAAAGTCTCTTCTCCACAAATATATCTTAAATTCACAAGAAATGATTCTTTGTTCAGTTGCACTTTGTCCCTAGCCTTCTGTGCAAATAGTGGGTAGATTTAAGTGATAGGAGTGAGTTTTCAGCTCTTCTAGAATGAGACAAACAAATATTTGATGTTTAAAAAACCAATCTAGAAATGCTTTTTCCATTTACTTATATTTATGATTTTTTATGGGAATAAATTTCTACTAAGCAATCACCCTTTTTGTTTCAACTGAGAATACAGCAACTGTGTCCACACAAAAGATGGGCACATATATTCTACTTATAGATGTATCTAGTCTAAGCCAAGATATTTTATAAAAGTATTTAAAATAAAATCTGAAAAAAAATCCCTCTGGAATAAAGGATAAAGAAATTAGATCTAACATCTGATGACCTCAATTCATCTTTCACAATTGAAGGCAAACTCTAGCTCTTACCTGTTAGATGTAAAATTGTAATAGCCACTTTCCTCAAGGACTTCTTCAATCACAGTCTAAAATTTTAAAAATCAGGTTAGTATTGAATTAGAAGTAACAAAATAAAATCATTCAGAGACACTGCAAAAACCTCACCTGCATCTGTTCATATGTTATTCCTTCCTCCAATTCAATGCTGGTTGGTAAACCTAAAAAAGATAAATTATGGAAAGTCTGACATTTGGGTTCACATTTTCTTAGTTATTCTTTACTGGCAATTATGACTTCAACCACAGGGCAAACAGGTCAATTTCTTAATGATAAAGATGGAACAAGCAAATTCCAAAGCATCTGCCTTGGCTTTGAATATTCAAGTGTTTTGTTTTCCTTTCTTTAATAACTGACTTCCTTGGGCATGGGCATCACAAAATGATATATGAAGATTAAGGGGCATTGCTCATAGTGTCCAATAAAGTTAGAGGTGTGTGTGTGTATGTGTTAAGGGCAAGTGAGGGGTGATTCCCAATGCAAATTACCTGATGGGTGTTTTCTGATTAAGAAACTCTCCCTAATCTACAGGCTAAGAAGAATAAATATACGTTAGAAAGAAAATTGATTCTTACAGGGAGGCAGATACAGATGTAAAGAGACCAAAGATCTGACCCTTTCATATAGCTGCCTAGAGGGAAAAAATATATTTATTGCCAGAAGACTTTTAAAATGTTTATTATTACTATTATTATTATTATCATCATCATCTTGTAGAGATAGGGTCTCACTATGTTGCCCAGGTTGGTCTTGAATTCCTGAGCTCAAGTCATCCTCTTGCCTACAGCCTTCCAACGTCTGTACATTATAAGCATGTGCCACCATGGCTGGCCAGATTTTTTTTTTTAATTTAATTTAATTTTAAGTTCCAGGATACATGAGCAGGATGTGCAGGTTTGTAATATAGGTAAATGTGTGCCATGATGGTTTGCTGCACCTGTCAACTCAGTAGCTAGGTATTAAGCCCAGCATGCATTAGCTATTTATCCTGATGCTCTCCCTCCCCTCACCCACTCCACCACCCCAACAGGCCCCAGTGTGTGTTGTTCCCCTCTCTGTGTCCATGTGTTCTCATTGTTCAGCTCCCACTTATAAATGAGGACATTTGTTGTTTGGTTTTCTGTTCCCGTGTTAGTTTGCTGAGGATAATGGCTTCCAGCTCCATCCATGTCCCTGCAAAGGACATGATCTCATTCCTCTTTATAGCTGCATGGTATTCCATGGTGCATGTGTACCACATTTTCTTTATCCAGTCTATCATTGATGGGCATTTGGGTTGATTCCATGTCTTCACTATTGTGAATAGTATAGCAATGAACATATGTGTGCATGTATCTTTATAAGGGAATGATTTATTTTTCTTTGGGTATATACCCAGTAATGGGATTGCTGGTTCAAATGGTATTTCTGGTTCTAGGTCTTTGAGGAATAGCCACACTGTCTTCCACAATGGTTGAACTAATTTACATTCCCAGCAACAGTGTAAAAGCATTCCTATTTCTCCACAGCCTTGCCAACATCTGTTGTTTCTTGACATTTAAATAATTGCCATTCTGACTGGCACAAGATGGTTTCTCATTGTGGTTTTGATTTGCGTTTCTCTAATGATCAATGATGTTGAGCTTTTTATCATATGTTTGTTGGCCGCATAAATGTCTTCATTTGAGTAGCATCTGTTCATGTCCTTTGCCTACTTTTTAATGGGGTTGCTTTTTTCTTGTAAATTTGTTTAAGTTCCTTGCAGATTCTGGATATTACACCTTTGTCGGATAGATAGATTGCAAAAATTTTCTCTTTCTGTAGGTTGTCTGTAAACTCTGATGATAGTTTCTTTTGCTGTGCAGAAGCTCTTTAATTAGATCCCATTTGTGAATTTTTGCTTTTGTTATAATTGCTTTTGGCATTTTCGTCATGAAATCTTTGCCCAGGCCTATGTCCTGAATGGTATTGTCTAGATTTTCTTCTAGGGTTTTTATAATTTTGGGTTTTACATTTAAGTCTTTAATCCATCTTGAATTAATTTTTGTATAAGGTGTAAGGAAGGGGCCCAGTTTCAATTTTCTGCATGTGGCTAGTCAGTTCTCCCAGCACCATTTATTAAATAAGGAATCCTTTCCCCATTGCTTGTTTTTGTCAGGTTTGTCAAAGATCAGATGGTTCCAGATGTATGGTCCTATTTCTGAGTTCTCTATTCTGTTCCATTGGTCTATGTGTCTGTTTTTGTACCAGTCCATGCTGTTTTGGTTACTAAAGCCTTGTAGTATAGTTTGAAGTCAGGTAATGTGATGCCTCCAGCTTTGTCCTTTTTGCTTGGGATTGTCTTGCTGGACAGACTTTATGATGGTTGATCAGAATTTGGTATACCAGCACCTTAACACACTCCGATGCCACCCAAAGCCGTGTTGACCAGCTTTCACTCAAACCAATCAACACTGACATGTAGAGGCCTAGGCCACTTCTCTGCCAATTCAAATAGAGAAGAGAGAATGGGTTTAGGGTCAAGAAGAGATGTGAAAATGTGAGTACTGGTGGCTCATCTTTAAAGGCATACCCCACAGTACTGGCAGGCTCTGCTGTTTTTGCTTTTGCCCAGCCAGCTGTGACATGGGCCAAGCCTAGTCAGCTCTGGAGTGGGGCATCCAGCTGCCCTGGGGGGAGTTTGTCAACTCACCCTCAGGTTTTTGAGAGATTTTTATCAAAGTTCTTCATTTCATCAGAGTTTCTATGATGCGGAGAAGTTTGACCTGCAGATAAACTTCCCTGTCTTGGAAATGATTTTAAAAGCAAATTACTTTAAACAACTTTTTATCTTGGATTTCTCAGAGATTATTTTAAATAAAATTCTGCATACATAGGGTTTAGCTTTATCCCAGAAGACCAAAGGAAAGTTTGTCAATTAATTCATGAAATAATTTGTTCAGTCAGCAACAAAAGCACAACAAAAGTGAGCATTTTTTCCAAGCTAAAGAGATGGCAAGTCTTCATTTAACTGTAAAATCTTCACTTCTATCCACTCCTCCAAGTGACATAGCTACCGTTTATAAAGATTCAAAAATTATTTAGGAGTACTGAAACCTCAGAGTAGCTTGAAAGCTTCCTCTTAGAATTCAGATATGACAAGAAGAGTTCAATTATGCTGAGCCCCTACTAATAGACAGGCAGTTTTTATTTTTACTCTAATCCTCACTATAACCTTGTGATGCAAGTATTTATCCCCATTTTACAGGCAAGGAAACTGGGGTTCAGAGAGGTTAAATAGTTGTCCATAGTCAGCTACTAAATGGTTTAGCCAAGATTTGAATCTAGGCACCCAGGTTTCCAGAATATGTGCCTTTAAATCCCTATGCTATACTGCCTCCCTATGTGAATTTTATGTAAAAGAGAAAAAAATTCAAGTGTCTAATGTGGATTCTTTAGGTGAGTTTCAAGGGTTTCTCTATTTTGAATATTTAAACTCCTTATTTCTGCTCTTTATCTCCCTACATGCTTTAGGGAATTTGATTTCCCATCATCAGATAAGCAAAAAGAAATAAAAGGAAATACAACTCACCCACACAGATTCTGCTGTTTGTTTATGATATTAATAAATGATCAAGGAAGCTGCCACAACTGGGTAAGATAAATTTCAGGGAATTTCTAGATTCCTACCATATGTGCCTTCCAACTATTGCTATAAATAATCAAAACAAGCTCTATTTAAAAAAAAATTGGAGATAATCTTTTAGAAATAGCTGTTGATCCAAACAATATATTTCTTCATGAAAGCCAGGTTACCCATGTTGATCACTATTACCTGTAGGGTCATTTGGGGACAGGCTGTTTCCACCGGATGAACGATGTAATAAATGGTAATCTGCTGTGAAAAAGTTGGGCTCAATCGGTTCTGGAGATCCCTGAGATAACTGAAATAGAAAAAGCAAAATCACATCTTAGTTTACACTCAGAAGGAAATGGCAGGAGACCTCTGTGTGGGGTTTTTCATTTCCCTATGTCTCTGCACAGAAAATTTAGTGTTCTGTGGTTTTCAATCCCTTGTAAATAGATAAAGAAATAATCTTCTTTCCAAAAGAATTTATAAATTGGATGCAGCAAAATTACAGTGAAAGCAAGTTGGACAATTCTCTGGTCATATGAAAAAATATACTTTATGGCCTTATGAGAGCAAAAGAAAAATGAATATAAAAATACTGGCATGAAGCTGGGATATCAAGATGTTATTTTTATCAGGCATGGGAGGAATAAACTCCAATTATTCAACAGAACAATATGCTTAGCCCAAATCACTATTTTTTTTTCATGTATCTGCTTTGAATAATTCCTTTTTGTTTGACCAAGGAAAGTAAGTTTCTTTTTCTTTTTTCTTTTTTTTTTTTCTGCAACAGTGTCTCACTCTGTCGCCCAGGCTGCAGTGCAGTGGCACAATCTCGGCTCACTGCAACTTCCACCTCCATGCTCAAGGGATTCTCCTGCCTCAGCCTCCCGAGTAGCTGGGATTATAGGCACCCACCACCATGCCCAGCTAATTTTTGTATTTTTTTTTTTTAGTAGAGATGGGGTTTCACCATGTTGGCCAGGCTGGTCTCGAACTCCTGACCTCAGCTGATCCACCCACCTTGGCCTTCCGAAGTGCTGGGATTACAGGCATAAGCCACCGCGCCTGGCCAAATAAGTTTCTTAATACATTTTTCGAAATTACTATTAATTAATTTTAATCTCCAAATATTAATTCCCAGCACTCTGATGGAAAGAGTAATTTGCCAAATGACGGTATTTATTAAAGTTTCAATCATTTAATGCCTTTCTATAAAGCTGAATTTTTAAAGTAGAATTTTAGACCGTAAACGTTTTTCAACCTCCTTTCACCTTTAATTCCAATTATCACTTGGGCTGGCCAAATTTTAGTGCCTAAATTACTTTTAAAATATAAATTCATAATAATAAGTCAGAAAAAATGGCATAATTTGTACTATGCTATAGTAGTTAGCTTGTATTCATATACTTTGTTTATGAGTTAAAATACATCATTGTTCAATCACTTGAGAAAACTATTTGCAATAGACACTACATTTTAATAATATATGCCTACCCTATGACCCAGCAATCTGACTCTTAAGGATTTATATGAGAGAAATAAGTGCATATGTCCCATCAAAAGACATGTATAAGAATATTCATGCCATCTTTTTTTCATAATAACTAAAATCTAGAAAAACCCCAATTGTCCGTGGAGAAAAGAATGGATAGATATATATCATGGTGTGTTCATACAATGGAATTCTGCAAAGCAATAAAAAAGAACAAACTATGGATACTCAGAGCAACACGGTTCAGTGTTGGAGAAAAGAAGCCAGAAACAAAATACATAGTGTATGACTTCATTCTTAGAAATTTTCATCATCGGTGATATGGTTTGGCTGTGTCCTCACCCAAATCTCATCTTGAATTGTAACTCCCACAATTCCCATGTGTCATGGGAGGACCTGGTGAGAGGTAATTGAATCATGGGTGTGGGTCTTTCCTGTCTGTTCTCGTGATAGTGAAAAAGTCTCGCAGGATCTGATAGCCTCAAAAACTGGAGTTTGCCTGCACAAGCTCTCTCTCTTTTTGCCTGCTGCCACCCGTGTAAGATGTGACTTGCTCCTTCTTGCTTTCTGCCATGATTGTGAGGCTTCCCCAGCCACGTGGAAATGTAAGTCCAATTAAACCTCTTTCTTTTGTAAATTTCCCAGTCTTGGGTACGTATTTATCAGCAGCATGAAAATAGACTAATACAATCAGACAAAACTAACCAAGGGTAACAGAAATCAGGTAATGATTACATTGTGGCAGGAGATGTAATGTGGCCGTACAAAGGGGTCTTCTGCAGAGCTAGAAATATTCTATATATTGATGTGGGTGGTGGTCGTATGGGTGAAAATGTGTTCATAAAACTTCATGAGGCTGTATATGTACCTCATTGTACTCACTATGAATTTATACCTTAAAATATTTTATATTAGCAATTAAAAATTAATTTTTTCCATCAATGGACTTTGGATATTGTAAATACAAATCATTTGTGGGTTTCCTAGTCTCCATGTTGACAAACACCTACTACCCTCTAAGGAAAAAAATATATGATTATATCCATTTTTATCAGTGATAACTGATAACTGAGGTAATTGGATCATGGGGGTGGTTTCCCCCATGCTGTTGTCATGATAGTGTGTGAGATCTCACGAGATCTGATGGTTTTATAAGTGTCTGGCATTTCCCCTGCTTGCACTCATTGTCTCTCCTGCCGCCCAGTGAAGAAGTGAAGAAGTGCCTTCCACCATGATTGTAAGTTTCCTGAGGCCTCCCCAGCCATGTGGAACTGTGAGTCAATTAAGCCTTTTTGCTTTATAAATTACCAAGTCTCGGGCATTTCTTCATGCAGCCTGAGAATGGACTAATATATAACCCATCTGTAATATGACAAGATTGTAAGATTATAAATACTGTAATACAGGAAGCCCTGACAGTCACACACTTAAAAACTTTCTCATCTGTGCTGCAGGGTTTCATGGAGGTAGCCCTGAGCATTCTGTATATCTCATATCCCAGCTTGTAGGTGGCTACAAATAAGCTTTTTAATGTCTTGTGATGCTGAAAATGATTTCCTGGTATTACCTTTCAAATGACTTCAGATGGAATTTTTCATATGGTTTAGCGTAGGAGTAACTGGCTGCCTGAAATCTCATCCTAATTATAAAAAGCTTACTTAATTTAATTATTAAGTTTATACCTTGGAATTCTAAAGATTTCAAAGACAGAAAGATATTTAAAGCCTCAAAAAAAATTACATGAATTGTGACTTGGAGAGGTCAAGATTGCTATTTTAAGATGACAAGGACAAGTCATCTTTCAGGGTTCATCTCAAACTCTGAAGAGAGGAGTTTTCATTTCCAGTGCTTATGTCACACTGGTAGTCTCACTGAGCTTAAGAACTGGAAATTCTTAGAGAGATCGGCACACGGATGAAGGCAAGGACTAAAATTCATTTTTTGACGAATCCCAGATACACTGACTTTCATTCTAGGAACTTCCCAGAACTACTTTTTGCAGTTCAGTTTCTAGATATACACATTGTTTTAGCAAACTATTTTTTGCCCCCAGTGTATGTTGGACAGCATGGTTTATGATCTGAGCAGGATGCAGAAATAATCTGGTTTCTGTGAGACTTGCAATCTGACTAGGACAACAGGATAATAATGAGCAAAAATAGGGTGATATCATAAATCATGAACCATGAAATGAAATAGTGATTTGTAAACTTACAAAAAGAAGGGTCCTTCATGAAGACTAGCTTGGTTTTTTTAGAGGTTCTGTAGAAGAAACACTGGAGCTGATCTTTGAAGGATAAATTTAGGTAAATCACAGCAATCAAAGTGGACATTCCAGGTAGGGGGAACTTGGAGGTAAAGGTTGGGCATTGCATATTAATGGAAAAATGATGAAAGGGATATGACATGATTCCATGTTATATGGGCATTCATGATGAAATGAGGAAAACAAGTTCCATTCATTAATTTAGTATTTTTAATCAATTATTTTGTGCCAAGCACAGATCCAAACAATGAAAAAACACATTAATGGATAAAAATTATACTCTTGGAGTTCGCTAACTACTTAGGGAGAAATATGTCTGTGAAATGTCCACCTAGATACATGTAAAATTGCAACTGTTCTAAATGCATTGAAAGACAGGTTTGTGACTTTAGGAGGTAGCAGATAGATTTGACTTAGTCAGCAAAGGCTTCCATGAAAAAGTGACATTTATGCCAAGAGCTGAAAGAATGAGTAAGAATGAGTAGATGGGGCGAGAAGAACATTACAGGCAGAGGAAAAAGCATGTACAAGACTACGAAGGAAGCAGCATGCTAGATAAACAAATTTTAGAAAAGGCCTGGTGGCTGACGTGGAGACAGCAAGGGGCAAGAGTGATACAAGATGAGGGTGAACAGAAGGGCAGGAGTTAGACCTGATTTTGGCATTTTATACTGAGTTCCTTGAAGGATTTTCTGTGTTGTGTGTGTGTGTGTACAAGTGTGACATGATCTGTTTTGAAAGGTTCATCCTGGATGTAATACACAAAACAGTTTAAGTGGGGTTGGGAACATCAGGGTGAATGCAGACAGACTATTAAGAGGCTCCTACAAGTAAGGGGGGCCTGGAAAGCTGGATCCCAGAGTTTAGATGGTGAGACAGAAAACAGGAATCTACTAAGGTTTTTGAGTATGCTAATAAAAAAATGCTTAATAACTATTAGTCTGACAAGATAGATTGGAGAACAAGAAGATCAGCAAAGAAGCTGTGACACTAATGCAAGAGAGAAGGGCCCAGAGCTTAGACTAGATGGCAACCAAAGGAAGGAATGGATATGGAAGACTGAATATTCTTATTTAACAATAGTAGTACTAATTGACATGTATTGAATACTTACAACATTCTAGACACAGTAGATATTCTAGCTGATTCTTACAACTACCCTCTAAGGCAAGTATTACCCCCTTTTACAAACAAGGAAATGGAGAAGGAAAGTAATTTACACAAGAAACAGCTATTAAGTGGCAGAACCAGGGCCAGAAGCTAGGGCTGTCTTACATCAAAGGTCAGAACCTTAGTGACTACAGACTACTCAGGCATTAATGACTTAGCGGGTAAAAGAAATGAAGCAGAGCAGGTGAAAAAGCGTGAGGTTTAAAGAATTAGCTGAAGGAAAACGGATGCTTTCAAGGAAACTGATGTGGACACAGGAAGGGAGGAGAAGGTGGTGAGTCTAATTCCCGACATGCCAGATGGCAAAGTAAATGTTCACCCAGCAGGTGGAAATATGGAGGACACAGCAGAACATCTTTAAGCAGAGGCCCCAATGGCTAGATGAGGCCATGAGATGGTTCAGTAGTCCAATGCAAGTGCTGTGTGAACCCTTTTTTTTGCCTCATGAGCATTCAGCTTATAGTTGTACCTCCTTTTTAGCATTCAAACTCTGTTTGAAAGAATGTGTAAGAGCCTCCTTCTGAGTTGACAATAATAGGGCCCTCCTGCTCTGAATAGACACCTACAGTTCTAAAGAGCAAATGACTGAATATACTTTCGAACTAAACTAAGTAAATATATTAAGGAGAACAGACTGTATCATTGTTACTACCTCTCCCCCCAAAAAACACTGATTTTTGAGCAAGTATTGAGCAATTTTATCATTTATTTGGTCAATTGAGAATATAGTACTTTCTAGGCAAAACCTAAATAGAAAAAATAAAGAAACTATACATGTAATATTTATTAAATTTCCCAAACAACATCTTTTTCATATGATAAAATAGGGTTATCCTCACTGTAGAACAATTACACACAATATTTGGGAATCTAATCAACTGAGGTAGAACTCTGAAGGAAACTGAGCCAAACATAAATAAAATGAGGTGCCAGAAGTGAGAAAATTTTCAACACATTTCATCACTCTGCACTCGCCAGTCTTCTGGTCTTACTTCCCTCAGATTTTCCTTATCTTCTTTGACTGAACTACACTATTATAAGATACAACATATTGCCTAATTTTTTTATCTTTTCTAACATACAGCTTCTCCATATGAGTTTTTATTAGCTTTCTATGGGACATTTTGTTAACAGAAATGTCCAGTATTCCTACTTACTATTTTCTTATACATACACACACAAATGCACATATGCATGTGGACCCATACATGCATGGCCCATCACTGGCTCCACCACACTTTCTAAGCCCCAGGGATGTACACCTCACACTCATCCCCGTTTCTGCCAAAAGTATTCCTGTTGCTGTGGTGTTTACATTTCCAGCAAGGATTGTGTTCCTAACAGAAAATCCCTAAACTAAAAGAAGGCTGAAAAACCACTGTTCTACACTACTTACAACCAGGAGCTCATCCTCCCAGGAACTTGACTCAACACTGAAGGTGATGTCAAGGAAGAGTGAACGGTGGCTTGACCTGGCTGGGAAGGAGAGCCCTGCTATAGGAGCTTCTCTACTTGTTCAAAACAGGTTGCTGCTGGGCACTGCTGATTCACAATGCCTCCATGGGGCCCTAATAAGGGTTGTGCAAACCTAAGTCATGATTATTATATGCATAAAGAGCCGTTAATTCAAGTCTGAGCACCTAAGCAATCTGCCTACTTGGAGAAGAGCTGAAAACCTGGAGTTAGGAATTAAAGGAAGTGCCAGCTGCTAAATAAAGCAAACTTGGCCTTGCTGATCTGCATTGAAACAGAGATTAGGAACTAAACAGAAATGTCAGAAAGGCCCATGCCTACAGGAAGCAATCTGGGTAATAACACAGGGAAAATGTTACTGGGTTTTGTCTGGGCTTTCTTATCAAAAGCGTGATCTATAGAATTACAGCATCAGTAACATAAGGGAACTAGACAGAAATGCAGAATATTGGGTCCAGGATACAATTGCATCTGGATAAATATTTGGCCTATTAGATAACCTGTCTTTCTAATAAAAAGTCTCAAGCCTGTTGGATATACCATAAGTTCACAGTGGGCAGGTACTATATTTTATAGGTTTGCCACTCAAAGTGTGTCCCTGGATCAGCAGCAGCAGCAGCCATCACCTGGAAGATGATTGGAAGAGCACAATCTCCACCCTTCCCCAGTCCTACTGAATCAGAATCCACACATTAACAAGATCCCCAGATGATTGATATAAACAATAAAATGTGAGAAACCCTGATCCTACCAGGCCACTGATTCTCACCCTTGGCTGCAAATTAGAATCACCTGGGAGCAAAAAAAAAACAACAACAAACCTTGATCCAACTCCTAGACAGCCAACTAGCCCCTATTGTGTCTTAGTGCAAATTAGAAAAAGTCACTCCCTTCTTCCGGAGGACGCAACCCCAGTCAGTCTCTTCATCCAGGTGCTCTTGAACAGAAAATAACCTGTCCAATTCTAACTGGCAGCTTTGATGGGAGAGCTGTTTTCAAAATGCTAATGCCCAGTAATTGATCTAGGAGAAGCCCGGAATACACTAAAACAAACAAACAAACAAACAAAAAACCCATAAATATTTTTATTATAAAAAACTTCAAACATTTACAAAAGTAAAGATAACAATTCAATGAATTCCACGTACCCGTCACCCAGTTAAAACATGTTCAATCTTGCTTCATTTAAATCTCCCCCACTTCCCTTCCTACCTTGTCTCACTCTCAAGAATTGGAAAGCAAATCCTGTACAACATATCATACTATCCGTAATATTTCAGCATGGCTCTTTAAAAGAGATGGATTTCTTTTTAAAAAACAAAACCACAATATAATTATCCCACCTAAGAGGTTATTGATTCCTGAATACTGTCATGCACTGCTTAACAACAGAAATCCATTCTGAGAAACACATCATTAGGCAATTTCATCATTGTGCAAACATCATAGAGTGTATTTACACAAAACTAGATAGTACATCCTACTACACACCTAGGCTATATGCTGGCAATAGGAGCAATAGGAGCCTATTGTTCCTATGCTACAAAACTATGCAGCATTTTACTGTATTAAATACTGTAGGCAACCGCAACACAATGGTATTTATGTATCTAAACATATTTGAATACAGAAAAGGTACAGTAAAATTATGCTATTATAATCTTGTGGGACCACTGTCATATATCCAGTCTATCACTGACCAAAACATCATTATGTGGTGCATGACTCTCTAACAAATATATAATCAATGTTTTAATTTTCCCAACTTTCTTGTAAATATATATTTCAAACACTTTTAGAGTTTCTATGTTTAAGTCAGGAAGAAATAATTCCATATATTGCAAGTGGTTATTTTCCCTAAAATGCTTTAATCTTTACAGGCAATCCCTCTCCGCTTCTCCACACTCTTTCTCTCCCTTTTCTTCCCTTCTTCTCTCCTCCTCCCCTCTTCCTGAAATTTATTTATTGAAGAAAACAGGTCACTTTTCCTATGGATTTCCTGGCTGGATTTTGCTGATTATCCCCCTGATGTCATTAAACATGTTCTGTTGTCCCCTTATTTGCTGCAAGTAGATAGCTAGATCCAGAGCAGGGACAGACAAACTTTTCCCGTAAAGGATCAGATAGTAAATATTTTTGGCGTTCCAGGCCATATGGTCTCTGTAACTGCTATTCAACTTTGTCTGTAAACAAAAGCAGCCATAGACAGTATTAAGTGAACCTCTGCAGTTGCGTTCCAACAACACTTTATTTACAAACACAGGCATCAGAAATGATTGGCCTGAGGGCTGTAATTTGCTGACTTCTAATCTACAGCCTTAATCAGATGTAGATTCAAGCTTTTAGCAAGAATATTTCATAGACAGTGCTGTACACTCCCATCAGGTGGCATATAATGCCTGATTGTCCTTCTTGTGACATTAACGCCCATTGGTGATCATATCTAGGTGCTATCATTTAAACAGGGACTGCAAAACAGGAATATTCTTTATCCCTTTGGCACTTATTAGCTTAAGTACTTCTACAATAAGAAACTTTTCCTCTCAATGATTTTGTTAACATGCGATAGAATTCATAAAGGAAAGGCAGAATAAAAGCTTTCTTCTTTCCTATGTAAACAATTTTCAATATAATAAGCTGGTTACTTAGCATCTTCCAAAGGTAACCAATGAGGGATTTTTTTTTTTCTTTTTTGGTATTATGAACTCTTGGGTTTAAACCTTATTTAATGCTTTCAATTTATTATTCTTATTGATGTTCCAATTATCCCATAAATAGCCAGTGGGAGCCTCTTCAATTTGGCTCTTGAGAACTTTTGATATACTCTCAGTAGTCCTTGACACCATACTTACTATGCTATCTGTATGTCCAAATATTCCAGTCTAATCTTGTACAGTTCCTGCTCTAGACCAAAATCACCTATATCCCCAAGGAGTCATGGGTGGAGGAGCTCATTGCTGCTTGATTAGTTTCTCGACTATTTCAATGAAAATATTAGGAAATGTGTATATTTTTTAATAGATGAGATTTATCATGAACTCATATTCATTCACACTGATACTTCCAATTCCAATTTAGATGAATCTCTGCTATCTTGCTTCTGTTTCCCCTTTCCTCCATGCTGAAAATCCTAGTTCCCAAGGGTACCTATACAATTACTTGGTTGCTTTACTCCCCTCGCAATTCTAGCCAAGATTGAGCAGACTGGATTGAAGACTAACTTAGGTGAGGTATAAATAAAGAGCTTAATGTCTTAGAAAAGGCCTTTTGCACTTTTTGAATCTTCTGTATCCTTCTGGGTCTTAGGCTATTAGTAAGTAGGCACAGTCATCCCATAATGGCTCCTTCAAACTAGGGACACAGGGCCCGTGGGTTTTAGAAGTTTCAGTGAGAAAGGTAGAAATCAAGTGCATTTACGGGCTGTCACCACTTACTGCTCCTATGGCCCTGGTATGGGGTGACTGTGTCAGTCAAAGGCTAATTGGCCACTCCTCTATGGTTACACAGGGAATGAAAAATCCATTTATGAACAGAAGTTGTTGCTATCAAAAGATTATACCAGAAAAGGGGTAAAAATGGAGGTCACAAACTCTTCTCATTTAAGTTTAGATGAAGGCAGGAAAGTTACATATATGAATATATTTTATCAGTATACCAATAAAGAATGGAACAACTATATATTATACAGAATATATATTAATGTATTATATATCCTATCTCCAATTATTAAACATTAAGTACCTACCACATGCCAGGCACTGTGCAAGGCCCTGGGGAATCAAAGATAAATAAGACACACCCACCAACTTTGGGGGAAACAGAATGTAAGGTAGATAAAAAGCTATTTAAAACACAATAATACAGGTGAAAAAGTGGATTCACCCATAGAGAAAGGTAAGATTAATTCTGGACAGGGAAAATTAAGAAAGGTTTTTTTTTTTTGTCAGAGCTATTTTTTTCAGTTTGGTGGTAAAGAATAGGAAGTGTTTTAATATCCCAAGCTGAGGATTTCTTTAGCACCCAGGAGGCCTGCCTCTCTGACTAAGAGGATACACCCCCATGAAGGTATCATCCAACTTCATGGGGAGATGGCGCAAGCCTGAAGCTGCCTGTAGAGGAATGGAACCACACTTCTGTTGATCATGAGCCCTAAAGCAATATATAGGGCCTTTCCCTACCTAAAGGTCCATACAAGATGTCCCAAAGACCACCATGGGCTTGTAGTATCAGACAAGAGAACCATGGCAGTCTTTATAGGAGAGTATAATCTGCCTCTTAAACAAGTTAATAATAAGGATGAGTCTATTCCTGAGGGTTCTCTCACCCATGCTTCCCAAACATCTCCTACCACCCTACCAATTCCTGTTTTTATTTTCCCAGACGAGGTGTATCAGAAGGTAAATGCCCAATGAGAGATGCTGCCACAATACACAGGAAGGAAGACAAGGAGTGGGTGGGAGAATTTAACAAACAAAATCTTCTCTATCAGGAGAGGAAAGAAAGTGAGGAAGAGTTGCAACACCAAAAACATAAGTAATAAACGAGAAAATAAAGAGAAGCACTGATGGAAAATCACTCAGTGGGAGTTGAAGCCACCTTTATGTCTCAGACAGTTTGTAGCAGATGCTTTCATCTCATAAAACTAGGATTTCTGTTAAAATAAGTCTATGCTCAAACCAGATTATTCTGACCTTAATAAGAATATAAAATAAGAATAAGAGTTATATGACCTTAATAAGAATAAAAAACCAAGCAACATATTATCTTTTCATGGGAGATTTAAGCTTTTATCTTTTAAAAATGTGTTTATTATGATACAATATATAAATATCATAAGATAAATATCTGAAGCCTCTTCTACTGCTTTGATCTCCTTCAGCTTTGTTTCTTGGCCCTATTTGCCAACACAACCCAGGAAAGAAACCTTGCTCTCTAATCTCTGATGGAGCAGGCTTTATGTTTTGTTTACCTGCAGCTGTGTCTTTTTCCCCCATCTGTTTTTGGTGTATGTGCAGATACCAGTGATGTGAAACAACAAAGCTAAAGAATGTTGTTTGCATTTCTTATCAAAGAGCCTATCATATTTTCTAAATAATGAGTAAGTTAATGCTGAAGCTTTGATGCATTAAAGGAACGTGAAACCTTAAAGGAAAAGTTCACTGGCAGCATGACTATGCTACCCATTTAAAAATATGATGAAACTTTTTAAAAAATATGAAATTGGAGTGCTACCAATTGTCTTTACCTAGGTGGGCCTGAATTGCTTGTACCTTGGGCCTTTCAGGGGAGCTTATGGCCACTTCCAGGGCTGTATCGAAAGGTCTACCAACCAGGACAAAGGGATTTTCCAATATCAAGTTTTGTTAACCAGAGGTAAACAATTTTCTTTCTGCCCAGTTGATTTAGTATTTTTGTAGTTTAGTTGCTATATGTATGGACAGAAATGTCTGCTAGTATCTAAGGTCTAGAAGATTGTAGACTATCTAAGATGGAAAGAACCTTAGAAATAGTTCAGTCAGCTTTCATAGATAATAAAAAATCAATGGCCCCAGATGGTTAAATGACTTCTTCAGAGTGACAAATCTCAATTTTGGAGCTTATTGAAGATTATTCTAATAAAATATCAGAATATAATTCTCTAGAAGAGGCTAAAATATACACATTTCAAATTAAATATTACTTTTTCTTAGGAAAACATACAAAAATACTGAAAAAGCTATCCATTTGTTATCTAAAAATAAGGGCCACGGAAATAGAGAAAATCAGAAGCAAAGACATATCCTCAATTTAGTATGTAAAGCAGCAATAAGAAACTTTAATAGAGGATAGAGCTTAAAGTACGAAGTAAAGGAGGTATAAAATGTACCTCTTATGATGTGGTTTTGTCAGCAAAAGAATTCCTATATATAGAATACCATACCTTTTTAATTTCAGATTTCAAATTACAAGGGTTACTCTGCTGGCTGAAGAGGGATTTCTTGAATCTCTCTATAACCCTTCTTTTCAAATTGTGGTGCAAAGCTGGAGGAAGCTGCATAAAATAAGAAAACAATCATTATAAACAAATTGTTAACACTACACAGCTGACTACAAAAAGCATTCGCTGAGGGCCCATGTAACAATATTCACTCAATAGGACTATGTAAGAATTTAAATTTTACTGCAAATAGCATGACTAGATGCTATAATTTTTACCCTGCGATTCAGAAGGAATATATTATTTTGCTCTTTTTCAAATGGCTGCTTCCATTTATCTTATTGTTTCTTCATTGATTGATATTATTTTTCATTTAACAAATTATTCATTAATTGCACACATATACTGAATTTTGTGAAGAACAGTCTTGACACAGAATGGTGCACTTTTATCAGATGTTTAGGTGCTTATAATATGCCTAGAACTATGCCAAACACTGTAGCCTTGGTACTATAGGATCTGACACTTTGGACCAGGAAATACATATCTGCTTTAGTAGTATATATAGTCAGATGCCTGTCTTGGAGTGCTCCTGAAAATTCAGCTGCAGAGAGGTCAGATTTAGGTACCAATCATTCCAGAAGAAAGAGAGGATAGATTAGCATATATTAAGACCAGACTAGGATGAGTTACATTTAGTAAGTGAGTAGTAGAAAGTCATGGTAGGACCTTAGAAAACATGGTAACAAAAAAAATGGGGATTAAAAAAATGATTTGTCATGCTTTGTAGGTTGGATCTCTACAAGAAAATCAAAAGTCCTGGAAAGCACAGAAAGATGAAGTGACATTTAGAAGAAGGATAATAGAAAAGAAATTGGGTCAGGATTAAAAGGGTCTCAGAGTGGAAATAATATTTGGTTTTGTTTAAATTATGGAAAGAACTTGAAGGGAGAGAAAGAGGAACCAGTCAGAAAAAAGATGGCTAAGTGGAAAGGAAAATGTGATAGTAAGAGATCTCAATATTAAACAAGAATATAATTCAAAGCTCAGATCAAAAGAAAGAAGAATGTATCAGAAATAATTATTACCCCAACCCTGCTCTATTTTCTAGGCTCCTTTACAGGCTTAGTTAGTACCATGTGACTACTTTTGGTCAATAAAAATGATGTGTGTCACTCTGAGGATAAGACAATTCAAAGTCAGTGTGTTTTCTCCACCACTGTCCTCCCTACTGCAAGGAGCTTGGCATTACCATCCTATTCTGACTGCACAGCCACAAGAAGGAACAGGGCCACCTGAGCAGCCCGAATGGAACTGAGTAAGAAATAAACCTCTATTGTGTCAAGCCAAGGAATTTCAGGGTGTAACTGTTCGTTCAGCATGACTTAACCTTATCTTATTTACTCAAGTTTTGTCAGACAGGAGGACATATAAAAGATAATGGCAGAGCAAAGAATAGGGCCTACAGGGAGGGGCTCACAACACTGATTGCACAGCCAAATAAAAACTTTTCATCATCCCAAATATAGTAGAATGTAGGGCCCATTATGAAGTACTGTAATTATATAAAACAGGAAAATAATTCAATTGAAAAATGTTTTTAAAAATATATCTTTGGCTGGGTGCAGTGGCTTATGCCTTTAATCCCAGCACTTTGGGAGGCCGAGGCAGGAGGATCACCTGAGGTAAGGAGTTCAAGACTAGCCTGACCAACATGGAGAAACCCCATCTCTACTAAAAATACAAAATTAGCCGGGCATGGTGGTGCATGCCTGTAATCCCAGCTACTTGGGAGGCTGAGGCAGGACAGTTGCTTGAACCCCGGAGGTGGAGGTTGTGGTGAGCTGAGATAATGCCATTGCACTCCAGCCTGGGCAATGAGAGCGAAACTCCATCTCAAAAAATAAAAAATGTATCTTTTATCCTAGTGTTTGAGTCAAAATACGTTAATTAGCGAAGAAATAAGACTCTTCTGGAGATACTGAAGCACTTCAGTGTACTCTGAAATGTTTTGTAGGTTGGCAGCACTGAGTCTCCTCTGACCTCTTTTCAGGTCAATATTATAGTTTCTTTTGCCTTAATCCAGATGGGATCCCTTCCTCGGCTCCCAGCAAATAGTCATAATTATTATTGTCCTTTCACATGAAATGAAAGGAGGAAATTTAAAAAAATGTGGAATAGAGAAAGAAAAGAGAGGAAGGGGGGTGCAGGGAGAGAGAGAGAGATTTCTCAGCATTAAGGAGCAAATCAAAGACAGATGAGAAGGAAAATGAGTATAAATGATATATGTGTGTGAGAGAGAAAAGCAAAAGAGAAATGAATTTAACTTAGAATAGAAACAGACATGAAGGTGAGGAGCATGTGCATGTATATTCCTAGCAGGAAGATGGGATGGAGTAATGAGGGGACCAGAAAGTACCTGGACAGAGCACAGGTTTGATAATTCCCTTTTGTAATGCACCAAAAGTTGCCACTTCCCCAAACCAAACACCAGAGGGCAGTGTTGGCCCAGAACCCTCTAGCTGCTGCCCAGCTGACTGCAAGGGGCTGTCAAACAGAAAGGCAGCGAGCCTTCTCTGCTATGACAAACTTTTGAAAGTGTGGAACACCAGTGGGCTCATAGCTTCCTTCAAAGGGGACTTAACCCACTACTGGAAGCTATGAGTATCAGATTATTAATTCAGGTACTCTGAGAATTCTTGCGATTTATTTAACTTGAGAAGCCTCTAGTTAAGTTAGAATTGTTTTTACTGCTCCTGATGGTCTGAATTAAGCCTCAAAAACTCATTTGAGTAAGTTAACATTCAGTCAACTTAAGCTGCATATATATTAGAAAGCTATTGATCTTACTGGAATAATTATTACAATGGACAGCACCCCATCTTTGAAGTTTTTTCATACAAGAATTTAAAATTTTACACAAAATGATGACTCATGCATAGTTTAATTGCAGGTGATATAAACATAATAATATATTATACGTAAGGACTATAATACTAAGAATAGAATATTAATGTCTATGATTCATTTGAGCCAGACACTATGACTACTCATTTATGCGCAGTCTCACTTTTTTCTCCACGACAAACTTATAAAGCAAGTACTATTTTATAGGTGAGGAAGTCAGAGCTTAAAGACATTATGTAACATGCAAGAATACTTTCTGAGCAGCGTCTTCTAGCACAGCCATTATTCTAGAACAGATGCCACCATGACTAGCATTACTGTAGGATAGCACTTTATAGTTTAGAAACATTTTCAGCCAGGCACGGTGGTTCATGCCTGTATTGCCAGCACTTTGGGAGGCAAAGGTGGGAGGACCGCTTGAGCCCAGGAGAGTTCAAGACCAGCCTTGGGCAACATGGCAAGATCCATCTCCAATAAAGAAACAAATAAACAAACATTTTTACATACTTTATTTCATTTGAGGCAAGTAGTCTCATAAGCTCCCCCATCTTACAAATGAAGAAAGTGACTCTTAAAAAGATAATTACTTCCTCAAAGTCACACACCTAAAAGCTTGGTTTTTGTTTGCTTGTTTTTACTATACTACACAAAGTAACAAAATAATGAAAGCCGATCTGCATGTTTTATACTAGGTTTTCTCAAACTTGCATAATATTAATATTGGAAAAGAATATATAGATTTCTACATATGGAAGAATATATGGATTCTTTTAAAGAACTTGCTATATTCTCTAGTATCTCCAAGAATACATCAGAAGACTATCCATTGTTCACAGGACTCCATTTGATAAAAAGTGATTTAAGTTAGTTCCTAATTCTATTTTTTAAAAAGTTATTTTGACATTACTGCATAAGAGGATATTTCCCTAAATGCTAAAACAGAATGTTCAAAGACTGTTATCAAACTAAATACACAAAACATAACACTTCTCTTAGAATTTACAAACCCTGAAAATGGCAGTCAATTTAAGAAATACAACTTTATCCTAAATATCTTATTCTGTTAAATCTAGGTCACCCTTGCCATTAGTACAGGAGATCCAGATGAGCAGGTATGGATGGTTCTAGTCTTATCCATCACTACTGCTGAAAAAACACAGAACGTTTCACCAATGACAGTCAGTAGTATAATTTTCATTGGAGGACAACACATTGCTATTCTGAACTACATTTTTTTCCATTGGCAATAACTGTGGTTGTGAAGACAAACAATTCAAAGGCGCTTCAAATAAATGGCTTGCCTGTTCTCTAGGAGATCGATTTTTTTTTTTTTTTTTTTTTTTTTTTGAGATAGAGTCTTGCTCTGTCACCCAGGCTGGAGTGCAGTGGCGCCATCTCATCTCACTGCAAGCTCCACCTCCCAGGTTCACGCCACTATCCTGCCTCAGCCTCCCGAGTAGCTGGGACTACAGGCGCCCACCACCACGCCCGGCTAATTTTTTCTATTTTTAGTAGAGACGGTGTTTCACTGTGTTAGCCAGGATGGTCTCGATCTCCTGACCTTGTGATCCACCTGTCTCAGCCTCTCAAAGTTCTGGGATTACAGGCGTGAGCCACCGCGCCCGGCCCCAATGTTTAATTTTTAAAAGATGCTATATATCCTGATTTTCAAAGCATCTATTTAACAAAACAATCTAAATGTAAGTATAAAGTTAAATCCAGTGCTTCACTGGGCTGTGCAGGTGTGACCTAAGCAATAACACATAAAGACTCATACTCAAAGGTAACATATGTACTTTAGTCACCTTATATGTCCAAAGGTAGATTTGGGGTTCCAGCAATAGAAGTAAACCACTGATTTCATACTTAGCTTGCTGGTCTTACGATTACCATTTCAGCTTTGATAAAAACAGAGGTCAAATCAGTTAGAAAGCAAGGTAAGGATTTTAACATCCTGCCTTCTAAAATAGTTGCTTTTAGATGATTTTCACTGATCTGTCTCCATGGAAACGAGACAGAAAAGGCCACCACCAACCAAAAGTAAGAAGTTTTCCTTGTTAAGTTCATCTGCTGGTTGTCAGGAGATATGTGGCCCCTCAGTTTAGGGCAGCTACCAAGTGTTAAGTCTGAGAGAGTTTGACTAGTAAATAAATATGTGAAAATATTGTCTTTTTGTTTGTTTTTCCAATTCATTCTTACTTTCAGTCTTCCTTTGCAATTAGCAAAGTAACTGATCTTGGTCTTTAACCTATAGCAAATACACTAGTATAATATTTACATGTATTTTTCTTTTTTATTTGAAAGTCATTGACTTTGTTTAGCACTATAAGTTAAAGTTCCTCAAAGAGGAATCATTCCCGACTATGTGCAATGTCATAAACTTTAGAGTATTCTGGAAATACATTTTAAAAATCACGATAGTTATATTTGAACTTGTAGCAAGGAATGCCATTCTGCCAAAAAAAATGAAATCATTTGTTACACTGGCAGTTCAAGAGCATAATAATAAGATATTTATAATAGTTTTACTCTTGCTTTAAACTACTTTGAAATCCAATAAGAAAATGGTATACATTATAAAGTTTTTTATTACATAAAAATTAGCAAGACAGGCATATGAAAACTATATTTAAATTTCAAAGGATATTTCTCTCAATTGAATAGTTAATAGTTAAGAGAACTAAAAAGCTATTTAAAGCTATTTCCGTAACACTAAAGTTAAGAATGCTTTTTCCATATTTCTATATCAGTATTTAAATGGACATGCATTAATATAACCACTTTACTCAATATAGATATGGCAGATTATATTTTGATGTATTAGTCAAGCTTCCCCCAATATTTCCCTGTACTCCTTCACCCTCTTTTACGTAATTAGTTAGACAATTCTGTGGTTGCCTAAGAGAAAGCTTGACAGCAGAAAATAGAAAAGTGATCAGTTTTAGACTCTTGCATCTCCAAAAGGCAGCCATCGGGAAAGAAAAAAGAACACCAGAGTTTGGACAAAACTTGATAGATAAGACCCAGGCTACTCAGCCCCAGGCTTAAAGACTACCCAGGCTAAAGGGAAAGCAAGGAGAACTCAGAGGTAGGGAGACACCAAAGAAGGCGGTTCCTTGTCTAGTCCCCTAGGTTAAGTGTGTCAGTAAGCAGCCTGTCAGCTCCAAGTCCACCCTTTCATTATCCAGCTTGTGATACTGGAACATTTCTCCCTTGCCATCTAGCAGGATGCTAAGCTCTATCAGAAGAGAGCCCTGGAGGGATGCTGAAGGAGGATGGATCTTGTTTCCTGGCTCCAGTGATGCTCCTGCGTTGCCTTGCTGCGGCAGCTCATAGCAAACAGCACATGTGGGACCCCTAGAGGTTGGTGCTAACCCCCAGTCAAATCCAGTGGCACCAACTCTGCAGGTCGCTCCCCAGAGAATTCCATGGAGCAACACCTAACTCAGGGTGGCCTCCCCTGGTCCCATGGAGGGTGCTACCCAGCACAATACCCTCAAGTGCTGATTCCCAGTAAGTTCCAGGGCACAGTACCTCACTGTGGAGGGCTTGCCCAGGTCCCCCAGAGGGACACTTCGCTTCAAGTTTCTCCAGTATAGCACCTTACTAATTTTTCTGATCTTTTCAGTAAGGTCAGGACTTCGACCTAGTGTGGGAGTGCCCAATTCTATATTTGTTCCTTTCTTGGGTGCTCTGCCTCAGCCCTAGAGGTTGTGACTTCTTTTTGTGCTCTTCCTACATCCTTTAGATTTCTCTTCCCCTCCCTAGTAGATAATACTCATCATAGTTAATAATTCTTTACATTAAACCTTCCCTGTTGAAACTATGGTATGGTTTCTGACTAGACCCTCACTGATACAGATACAGGTTTTAGGAATGTCCCAGAAGAGCCCATACAGATAGGATTTGGGAACTGGTTTGACTGTGCCCTTGGAACTGAGCCCAGTGCTGAGTTTTGTTTGTTCCTTTGCTTGTTGCCAATAGGACATGGGATGCTAGTAATCCATGGCATGCAGTTGCATCACAATTAATCAGGTTATCCTGATGAAGTGCCAACTGAAGCAGGTGCCTTGGAAGCCCAAATAGCTGCTGTTCTTGACTAGTAAACAGTAATGAAGAACACAAGGACTATGGCACAGAATGGGTTCTTTTGAATGCATTGGAGCACTTACAGAAAGAAAATGACAAGCTTGGGTCCTTTACAGCTCAGCTGAAGTCATGGTCTGAGACGTGGAAAGATCCCAAGATAGCCCTAAAAGAATCCATTGCTTTCTTCTGCTACAGTGCTGATATGGCTGATAATCGAAATTTAATCGAGCAGCTTACTAAATTACAAGGTCGGATGAAGTCACATGTTATCAAATTTCTCATGTGAAAGTTAGAAAAAAAAAGAATTCTAAAACTTGGAATAGGAACATCTTGTTGAGACTACCCAAGTAAAACTAACAATCCTAAAACCAAGGTCACTCTGAGCCTTCATAGCAATTAAAAATAGCTTGCCACTCTGTGTCTGAGAACATGAACCTTTCTTTGCTTGAAAACCCTATGATAACCTCATCTAGGACAAATGTCTTTAAAAGGGATGTTCATTTCCTCATGAGATCCAACACAATGAGGGTCAAATCCATAACTAGGGTCCTATTTCAATATGATCCAGGGGAATTCATGTACACCATGACCCAGTATGAAATAGGAAAAGAATTGCAAGATTTTGCTATTACATTTCAGCAGCAACCCAGAGAACATGTACAGGAGTGGATTCTAAGAAGGGTAGGCCAAGAAGGGTAAAAACTATAGCACTAGATCAGGCTGAATTCATTGATATGGGTGCACGTACTACAGACTCCAGATTTCACATGTTAGTTCATGCAGCTGGAAGTAGTTTAACTGGTTGTTTGAGTAAAACTTGTACTTAACCATGGTCTGTGTTTGATGAGGGTAAAATGCCAGAGCTTCTCTGGCATGTAAAGGGGTGATTTCAAAGGCTCAGAGAGACGGGCTCATTGGGGTAGATTTACCATGTGTGACTTGCACACCCACTCCCTAACCACATTCAGCAAGAACATCCAGAAGCCATTCCTTTCACTAAGACATTGAGAAATACATTGGAAAGGGGAGCACCAGCATCCTTGAAAAGCCCTGTGGTTGCTCTCCTTTGGAGGCCAGGTATGACACCGAACGATACATGATTTCAATGTATCCAGTTGTCAGGGGCCAACTGACAGCACTTGACCACTAATAGCAAACTGAGAGCATCTTCCATAAAGGGCAGCAGGGAGGTACTATTATTTAGAATGCCTTAGCCAACAGAGATCTTTGGCAGTGGTTAGTTGACTAGGGTGTTCCTGGAAAAGAAATAGATGGTCTGCCTATTAAAGTATTCCTTGATCAGTTTAACAGAAAAGATTATCTAGGTGTGGTAGACAGAAACCTGCCCTAAGTTGCCATTGCTACAGTGAAGAGTTATAGCTTCTCACACAGTTTCCAGATGCAAGTCAATTCAAAGACTCAAAGCCCCTTGATTAAGTGGAAAGCTGGGACCCCTTGAGGAAGGCCCCTGAAATATTACTACAAGTGCACACTATACATTTTCCTCCAAACCTCCCCCAAGGAGAACCGCAGCCATTTACTAGAGTGACTGTTTACTGGGGAAAAGGAAATACACAGGCTTTCAGCAAATACTAGACACTGGTTGCAAACTGACATCAAGATTCCTAGAGTCTTATCATGTTACTGTGGTACACCATTTTTAATGATTTTTTGTTTTGGGATGTTTTGGGTAGGGATGGGGGTTAGTTAAATGAAATATGAGCCCAATGGGCCCAGTTGGTCCATTTAACTTGTGGTATTTCTCTTCAGTATCTGAATATTTAGTTGGAATTGCCAAAACTGGCAGCTGACAGCATCCCCCATTGGTTCTTTGAATCTAGAGCAAGGCAATGTTTATGTTTTGCTCGTGGATGTATCCCAAGTCCCTAGAATAGCATCTGGCACATAGTAGGCACCTAATAATTATATGTCAAGTGAGTGAATGAATGAATAAACCACATAAGATACACAATTTTAGACTTCAAAATAACAGTGACTTTCATGTCCAAAGGTCTTCTGCACTTCTTTGTCTAAAAAAAAGATTTTATTAACCATATATAACAGAGCCTTCAAGTTATTTCTAGACATATTTCTGTCAATAATTAATAGCCATTTTTTAGCACTGATTATTTTCTCAGTGCTAGGAATCACTGAGATTTACAAGTAGAAAATTTTAACAATTCTGGATTTTGTGTGGTTTTGGCTTTCACTCTCTGAAAGGTCCTATTTTCAACCTAGCATTCTCAGAATTAATGTGTGGGCACTATTTTCCTCTTTCTTTCTTAGAGTAAAGCTGCTTAAGAGCAAAGAATCCCAACTCCGTCTCCACTTGCACCCCTACAGGAGGGCCATTTATGGTGAAGTTTGGTTTGTTTGGGCACTAACAGTAAGAGAGGATGTTAGGAATCATAGGGAAAATCCCATATATTTGCTTTGTTACTCTACTGCCTTCCCAGCTCTGCTGCTAAACTAAAGTGTCCCCACATGTATGTAGCTGGGGAGGATAAGAACAAGAATTCAATCTAAAGTCCTCCAAAATAGTTCTTCAGCAATATTAGCACCAAACTTGCATTTAAGATGAAAAGGAAATAAAAAGCTAGAACACTGACCTGTGTGATATAGATTATTTTGTGCAGCTGAATTAATATCTGCTGAATAGGATCACTGATCTGACGCACTTTCCTCTGGGACACAGCAATTCCTGCTGATGCTGTGGGTGATAAATTTTGTAGTTAGTCAAGTTCTCTTTCAAAAGTTACATTAGTGAAAAAATGAAGTAAAATTCTAACACAAATTTTAAAGCAAAGACTTCACCTTATCAATGAGACAATATGCAGAGACCCTGTAATACTTCAACATTTTATGACATGGAATAAAAAATATCTTCCCTTTACTTCTCAGACTTCTAAGTAACACAATGATATTATCTATAATAACATCTGAAAGACTGCTTATCACTTGGATATTTTGCTGGCAATTACAGCAGGCTGCCATCAGGAGTCAGCAGTGCCTTAGATACAGTAGCCACTGAAAAGCCAGGCTTCAGACATGTATAGTTAAGAGGCTATCATGCTTTTAACTTTTAAATTCATTATGCCTTCCATAACATATTTTAAGACTAATTTTATCAAAACTATAAAATGTAATCACTGAACATTCTTACAGAGCAAAAAAAAATGAAAATTCTTTTAGCTAGAATTAAATAACTTTCAAACCTTTGATTATTACAAATTATAATTTTCACATAGATTTCTCTCCATGTCTAAGTAGGGCACATTTATAATTTATCCTGAATTCTCATCATACAGCCACACCACCTTCACAGTTTTCAGACTAATTCAGTGTCAAATTACATATTAGTTGCTTTCCCAGCGTCCTCTGCCATAGCCACAGTCTGTTCTTAACCTGAGGACTATAAAACTATTTAAAGGAATGACTCTTTTCTCTAGATTACCTACAAGGCCACCTCTGCCTCTTTTCACCCACAGAACCACACTGGATAAAACAAAAAGAGACTTCAGATATGTGATGTGCATTATCTTCCTTCCTTTCTCTTCCTTCTCTTTCTCTTTCCTTTCCTCCCCTTAACCTAGAGTGTGCTTTCCGCAATAAAACTTCTCTTGCTAATTTCCTTTTAAAAAAAAAAAAAAGATGAAAGTTCCAAAGACCCTCTTTTCTTCCCTTCACACAACATTGAGCTACTATGAAGTTAAACATGAATATAGTTATTGCTTTAACAACAGCTAAACATCTTTAAAAACGCTTCTATTATAAGCACTTCCTGAGAAAGCTTGCATATTTTACCATAAATATTTTGTTTTCAAGACATTTAAAGAGAACATTCAATGCAGTCATTTAAAAGAGTCAACTTGTTTTATTATAAGCACATGAAAATGTATATTTAAGACATAAAATGCAAAAAAGAATAAAATATAAACATTCAAAGAAATACTACTTTCTTTACAGATATCTTTACTGAGTTAGTTTAGAATTTAGCACAAGAAATAATCTAGTTCTAGCTCATCTGCAGTTAATACCTTGTTTAAATGTTTGAAATTTAAAGAGTCTCTATCCCATGGACACAATGTTTACTCCTTTTAATATGAATTATTTGATTATTAATATGAGGTTTAATAAATACCCTTGGGATAAAAATGTAAAGAGGCAAATAGAAAGAGTTAATGTAGCTCTAAAATAGAAAACAGAGAGCTGGAGTTGTCTGCTCCATCTTGTGGAGATGGCCAAGTGTACACATGCCATATTTTCTACAGTAGTGCTTCTTGGAGAAATAATTCTTAAAATGTAACTGTTCGTCTAGACCCAAAACAAATACTAGACAGTGTGTAACATGACCAAGTTGTTATTGCTACAGAAAAATTAACTTTGCATTCTCTGAAAATGGAGAGCTTGATTTTTTAAAATCATTTTTATACTATGTTTCTGATTTGTAGATGCAACATTCATAGTTTATAGATTCATAGATTTTAATGAGTTAAAATCTCACAACATGGCAAAGAGTTCTTAGATCTGTGATGACATTTTGAATGGGATATCACATAGGTTTGACTCTACCTTGCCACAAGAATGTGCCCATCTGTGGCCCTAAATACAAAAACAAAGAGTTAGCTAGAATGTCTTCCTTCTGAATTAATCAACTATGCAATTTTTTTAACTCAAAAATTATTTTTATTGAGACCCTTTGACCACTACCCTCACAATCCCAACACATCCTTGACTTCTGGAAATACTTTTGATTACTTAGTTATTAAAAAATAAAGTTAAAAATATTTAATTACGCATGCCCCTATAAAAACAAGCAAGCAAACAAACAAAAATGTTAGTTGTACAAATGAGATTCAAGGCTCCCAGGAGCCACCACCCATCACAGCCACCTCCCCAGAAATAACCTGTGATATCAGAGGGGTGTGTTGACTTCCACTCACTTCTCTATCCATTTACATACATAAATGTACACTTCAAAACAGTGTTTTTCAAACCATACTTGAGTCCTGAAGCCAATTTTAATGTTATGATCAGCATTTTGAAAAATGATATCAAATGAATCGGAACTAGATTTTAAAATTTCAGAGTACATTGGAAGGGTCCACTCAGCCAAGACATAAAATGCGTTTTCTATTGATAGTCATTTCCAAGCATTTGAAAGCTACTATTATGGAAAATCTATAGCAGTCTGTCCGTCCTCCCTTCCTCCTTTCCTCTCTTTCTCTCTTGCACTCTTCCTCCCTTCTTTCCTCCCTCCTTCCTTGCCTTCCTTTGTAAACAAATGGTGACATATCACATCACATAAACTGTTGTACAATTTATTTTTTTCACTTAGTCTATCATGGAGATGGTTTATTATCAACACATGCAGTTCTAGCCCATTCTCTGTAACCGCTGAAGACTACTATGTGTCCTGGATGCACTGTAGTTTACACAGCCACTTCTGTCCTAGTGGACACTTCCTTTGCTTTCAATTTCTCATGATAATAAGTGATGCTGCAGTGAATATACACCGGCATGCCTCATTGTGCGTAAGTACAAGAGTTATTTTAGGGTAGACACAGTGAAGTGAAATAGCTGGACCCAAGGATACATTGTAACAAATACATTTTTAAGTGGCTGAGTCAATTTACACTCTGACCAGAAAAGAATCCATTTTTCTACACCTCGGTCAACAATATATATTATCAAACTTTTCCACTGTGCCAATCTGATTGCTTTTGTATTTATCTAAACGCTAGTGAGGTTGCTGTACTTCTTTGGTAAATTTCTTGCTTGTATCCATAGTTCTTTGTTCTTATTGATTTGTAAATGCTCTTTAGATATTCTGAATACTCATCCTTTTATTACATTATTAAAAAATTGAAACAGGGTCTCACTCTGTCACTCAGGCTGGAGTGCAGTGGCATGATCACAGTTCACTGCAGCCTCTGCCTCCTGGGCTCAAGCAATCCTCCTGCCTCAGCCTCCCGTGTAGCTGGGACCACAGGCATGCACCACCACACTTGGCTAACTTTTATATTTTTAGTAGAGACAGGGTTTCACCACATTGGACAGGCTCGTCTTGAACTCCTGGCCTCAAGTGATCCACCCACCTCGACCTCCCAAAGTGTATTTTTATTCTTCATTTAAATGTTATTAACTGCCAAACATTTGGCAAATGTTAGCCATAACATTTTGTCTAGCTTTAAAAACATTCTCTCTCAGTATATCTTTTAGATTAGCCCACTGAAAACGCTACACTTTCTGACTGTTCACCAAAAAAAAAAAGCAGCATATATTTATATTATCAATTTTATACTGAGAATATTTGTATTAAAACAATTTTTTATTAAAGAGACATCGGTGAGGCTGATCACAGTTCATGTGCAATGTCAGTCATACATAATATGCCCATGATTCATATCTATGTGGTATTTCCTACTGCAAAATATATACACAATATTTGGTCTCCTTAAAATTTAAATAAAATCAAAGTTTAAAATATTGGGATACTTTGTATTCTTTTATAGTTTTTATTAAAATAGTAAATTTGGCTAGTGTTTTAAAACTTAGAAGGAAACTACGAAATTTCTTATAAGAGGCAATTTACTTAAAAGCGTCAAAAAGTCATTACATAATTATATTTGCTAGCTTACTCTGTTGCAAGCATGACGCTAAAGAGCTATTTTGTTTCCCCTTTGCAGTGTTAGGTCAGAGGACTTGCAAGAAGAGCAGTCCTTCTTTTTTAGCAAGAACTTGGGTGAGAAACTGGGAGGTGTTTTACACATTTAGTCTGCTTTAATCCACAGAGGAGACTAAATGCATAAAACACCTCCCAGTGCCTGTAAACTGTCTGCTCCTTTATTGGTGTAGATTCTACCCCCATTTTACAGATGAGGAGACTGAGTGCTGTGGTCTAAATGCTTCTGAACCACCAAAATTCACAGGTTGAAATCCTAATCCCCAAGGCAATGGCATTTGGAGGAAGTGAGCTTGGGAGGTGATTAGGTCCTAAGGGCGGAGGCCTCATGAATGGAATCAGTGCCATTATAAAAGAGGCCAGAGGGAGGTGGTCACCCCCTTCTACCATGCAAGGACACAGCTAGAAGGCGCCTCTGGTTACTGCAAATACAAAACAATATCTCCTTCCCATAATGAAATATTATTTCTCTTCTTAAAAGGACTGCTACTTTTAACACGATGTTCTATCTATCTCTCTCAACATTTAATTAATTATTTTTGGAAAGCATGTAGACATAATAAGCTGGAAGCATTAGGTCTTTACAGCTAGTGCTGTGCACTACATTCTGCTTTAGTATATCATTGCATAATAAAATAGCCAAGTTAGTTGCCCATCCCTGGTGCTTTGACACTTGACACTTGACACATACTATATGTCCATTCTATTGAAACTATAATTCACAATATACACTTTGAAGCTGTTAATAACTACAAATTAAACCCAAAAAAGTGGGTTACACTGTACTCTCCCAATTGATCAAAATATGGTATCAATGCATTATTTTTCTGAATTCTCTCAGCTAAGGATCAGGAACTTTTGGACAACTGGAGAAAAAAAGGGTTAAGGAAGGAAATCCATGAAGAAGCAAAAAATATATTGTTTTCATGAATGGGGGGCCAAAACACACATGAGCTTCTCTATATTGGACCAACAGTGTTGTCAAACTACAATACAAATTTACTCTCACCTCTTTACTATCATAACAATGAAATAAAGTAACGTAATTGTAGTTCAAATCTGTAAGTGTTCAGCAATCAATCCCTGTGTCCCTGGTTAGATGAAGAATCTTGAACTCATAAGGATTTCATAGAAGGTTCACCCAGACAACCATGGATGTAGGCTAAAGAGCAAATTCAAATGTTAATTTGAGAAGACCAGGAAGAATTAGAAGGTCTTCGATAGCACAGGAAATGTATTGGGTGTGAGGGAAGTTGTATGTGAGTGTGGGTTCTTAGGAGAAGGAATAATTCCAGCAAAGAGTGAAGTCAGCTAAGTGAGGGCTGCAACTGAAGAACAGCAAACTGTTCAGTTTAGCTGGTGTGCAGTACAATAAAAAAAGTACAGTATGTATACAGCTGGAGAGGTAGCCAGGGACCATACACGATGGTGAGAAACAATAAGGCTGACTGTATTTCAGGAAAGGTGATCTCACGGGAAGAGGATCATACAGTTGAAGTCAGAGGCCTGGCTTGCATTGCAATATGGTTTTCAGAAAGTCACAACTTCTTTGGGCCTTAGTTTCTTCATATGAAATGGCAGAATGGTAAAAATGGGACTAGAACCAAGGGGGCTGAGGTCATACACGTTGTGGGGTGAATCAATCTACAGTGCACTGTAGCTGTTTCCACATGGGGAGCAGGAGCCAAGGACTGCTGAAGCTTGGGACTGAGACACTGAGAATATGATGTTCCATCAGAAGAGAGAGGGAAGTGACAGAGGATATGATGCATGGACAATGGAAACTTCCCAACACAGACCAGTAGACCATTCTATAATCAGACAAAAAGTGTTTGGAAGGAGCTTGGCAGTCTAGGCCTAGATGCCCCTGCTACCCTAGCCTCCGGCAGAGTTTCTCACAGAATGGCAGGAAGCTGAGTCAAAGCATCAGCTCCTTTCACCTCTGGGTGATCAGGCAACAAACTTCCTTTCATTTGAAACTTCAGGAATAAGCTGTTTAAAGGCCAGAGGCAAGGCTGCTTTGAAGTCCTTAACTCTTGAATTCTGGCTGAGCCTCTTTTAAGTAATGTGTCTTATATTCCCATAATGGGTAATGTCACAGTATATTTAACTAACAATCTACACCAATAAAGGAGCAGACAGTTTACAGGCCTGTAGCGTTAGAGGTTAACCTGCAGAAATTAATATACTGGTATGATTTTACACCCAGTCAAGAACTTGATCACAAAAATGGTATCATTTTATTGCCCTATAGAAGTTCTACCAGTCTTACGCTTAATTTAGCAATCTTATGTCAGCCCTTCTTTCTTGCCTAACTACATAAATCTCTGTTCTTCAAATGCTCTTGAATCAGCATTTTTGTCTTCCACCTGGTTCTATCATCAATGCATTGAATAAAACTCAGACACTTGCCAAAGAACAACTTTAAGAATTGTGCTTTTGCACCCCAATATAAAAAATAATAAGTAGTTATATAAACAGAAAAATTTTTAATTGACACACTATATGAAACATCCCAAATAAATTATTGAATCCATACTGAGCAGAGTCAATTAAGAATGAACAAGGTTCCAGCTATAGTGGAGGGCAGGCAGGTATCCCAGAGAGAAGAAAGAGGCCTCTTGCTTTCAGGAGAGGGAACTGCTGTAGCAACCATTATAGAATGGTTTGGACACAGCCTTAGTTGTATCAACATTTTTCTTGAAGAAAGGGAATTAATAGAAGCTTAATGACTGATTCAATGATTAATACTCCCTTATGGTTTAAATGTACTCTGAGATCCTTAAAAAAACTACTCCCCAGACAGGAGCCAACACATGGATAGATTCTTAGCTACTGGTGCTTACATTTCTACACAGGAATAATTTGATTAGATGTCCATATGTATGTCCAAAATGGTATGGCTCATGTGCAACAGACTCCACATGAACCTAAGGTCTTTGATATCCAGGTTTCTTCTTCTTATAATTGGCCCTTCTGTCACTGTCCTCAATTCTCAAATTGGTCAATGCAACAAACTAATTCAAAGCATATTTGTAAATACTTTTAACATATTTTTAAAATCCACTATAAATTACTAATAATGGCAATTTGGAATTTGAGGGTGATGCTTTTCGCTGTTAATTCAATTATTTTACACACCATGCTACAATCATCACCCAAGTCATGCTGACCTACCTCCCTTTACTCCTACCAGAGAGTGGGATACCTTTCAACCCTTACTTCCTTTAGCCTTTCCTCCCAGGCAGAAACCCAAATGGCATGAGTGTGAGTTGCCATTTAACAGGTGATATGCAATTTGGATTTAGGCTTGAATTGGAACCACCAGTAACTCTTGTGAGATGAGTATCCATTTGAAAACACATTACCCTAAAATGACCATGAAAAAAATCTACATCTCCAAGAAGCATCCTCCTGGGACCCTGTACACAGTCGTTTGGCACCTCCCTTGGCATGAAGAATGAGGAAGCAAATAATCATTGGTAAAGGAAATTTCTTATCTCAATCTGAAATCTAAAATATATATGTATATATTTTAATATAATAAAATAAATTTAATAAAAATAAAATATTTTAAAAGTCTAATACAAAAAAATCAGTGATTCCCTCACTGCTTCTGATTACTTATGCAGTTGCTCTCAATACAATAGCAAAGATAAACAAGAGTTTATACAGTGATGGGTCTAAATCAGTTACTCAATAAATAGTTTTCAAGGGCCTGATCTCAGAGGAAATACTCCAAGGTATTTACAAGTATACCTCATTTCATTGCACCTTATTATATTGCACTTCAAAGATGTTGCTTTTTTTAAATTTTTTTACAAATTTAAGTTTTGTGTCAATTCTGCATTGAGCAAGGCTACTGGCACCATTTTTCTAGTAGCATGCATTTACTTCATGCCTCTGTGTCACATTTTGGTAATTCTTGCAATATTTCAAACATTTTCATTATTAGATCTGTTGTGATGATCTGTGATGACGGATCCTGCATGTCACTATTGTAATTGTTTTGGGGCACCACAAACTGCACTCATATAAGATAGTAAACTTAATGGATGGATGTTGTGTGTACTCTGACTGTTCCATCAACCAGCCATTCCCCCATCTTTCCCTTCTTCATAGGCCTTCCTATTCCCTGAGACACAACAATACTGAGATTAAGCCAGTTAATAATCCTACAATGGCCTCTAATTGTTCAAGTGGAAAAAAGAGTCACATGTCTCTTACTTTCAATCAAAAGGCAGAAATGATAAAGCTTAGTGAGGAAGGCATGTCAAAAGCCAAGATACCAGAAAGCTAGGCCTCTTGCATCAAATAGTTAGCCAAGCTGTGAATGCAGAGAAAAGATTTTTGTGGAAAATTAGAAGTGCTACAACAGTGAACACATGAATAATAACAATGACAGCCTTATTGCTTATATAGAGAAAGATTTAGAAGATAAAAGATCAAACCTGCCACAACATTCCCTTAAGCCAAAGCAGAATCCAGAGGAAGGCCCCAACCCTCTTCAACTCTATGAAGTCTGAGAGAGGTGAGAGAGCTGCAGAAGGAAAGCTAGAAGTAGTAGATGTTGGTTCGTGCAGTTTAAGGAGAGAAGCCATTTCCATAACATAAAAGTACAAGGCAAAGCTGTAAATGCTGATATAGAAGTTGCAGCAAGGTAAGATCTTCTTATGATCCAGCTAAGATAACTGATGAAGATGGCTACACTAAACAATAGATTTTCAAGGTAGACAAAACAGCCTTTTATTGCAAGTAGAGGCCATCTAGGACTTTCATAGCTAGGGAGGAGAAATCAAAGCCTGGCTTCAAAGTACAGGCTGACTCTCTTGTTAGGAGCTAACGCAACAGGTAATCTTAGGTTGAAGCCAATGCTTATTGACCATTCCAAAAATACTAGAGCCCTTAAGAATTGTACTAAATCTATTCTACCTATGCTCTATAAATAGAACAACAAAGCCTGGATGAAAGCACTCTGTTTATTGAATATTTTAAGCCAACTCTTGAGATCTACTGCCCTGAAATAAAGATTCCTATCAAAATATTGATGTTCTTTGACAAAATACTTGGTCACCTAAGAGCTGTGATGAGAAGGTACAGGATATTAATGTTGTTTTCATGTATGCTAACATAACATCCATTCTGCAGTCCAATGATCAAGGAGTCATTTTGACTTTCAAGTCTTATTATTTCAGAAATCCGTTTCATAAGGCTATAGCTGCAATAGATAGTGATTCCTCTGATGAATCTAGGCAAAGTCTATTGAAAACCTCCCAGAAAGGATTCACTATTCTAGATGTCATTAAAAACATGTATGCATTTTAGCTCCAGATCAACTCCAAGAACAAACTAGGAATCCTGAGAGGATTCACAGACCCTCTGAAGGAAGCAGACTGCTCCTGCAGGACCTAGGAGACACCCCAAATGCTCCAGCTGCAGCAAGATCTGCCCAAGGAGAGTCTGAGCTCTGGCACACCTAGCTCTGCCCCCACCTGATGGTTCTTTCCTACCCACCCTGGTAGCGGAAGACAAAGGACGTATAATCTTGGGAGTTCTAAGGCCTCACACACCGCTAGTCCCTCTCCATGCTACCATAGCTGATGGTCTTTGGAAAACACCACCTCCCGGAAGGAGGCCAACCAGCACAAAAACAGAGCATTAAACCACCAAAGAACCCTTATGGAGTCCATTGCAACCCCCGCCCCACCACCTCCACCAGAACAGGCACTGGCACCCACGGTTGAGAGACCCATAGATGGTTCACATCACAGGACTCTGTGCAGAAAACCCTCAGTACCATCCTGGAGCTGGGTAGACTTGCTGGGTGGCTAGATCCAGAAGAGACACAACAATCACTGAGGTTCAGTTCACAGGAGGCCACATCCATAGGAAAAGGGTAAGAGTACTACATCAAGGGAACACCCCATGGGACAAAAGAATCTCAACAACAGCCTTTAGCCCTAGATATTCCCTCTGACAGAGCCTACCCAAATAAGAAGGAACCAGAAAACCAGCCCTGGTAATATGACAAAACAAGGCTCTGTAACACCCCCCAAAAATCACACTTGTTCACCAGCAATGGAGCCAAACCAAGAAGAAATCCCTGATTTACCTGAAAAAGAATTCAGGAGGTTAGTTACTTAGCTAATCAGGGAGGAACCAGAGAAAGGTGAAGCCCAGTGCAAGGAAATCCAAAACACAATACAAGAAGTGAAGGGAGAAATATTCAGGGAAATAGATAGTTTAAAGTAAAAACAATAAAAAATTCAGGTAACATTGGACACACTTATAGAAATGCAAAATGCTCTGGAAAGTCTCAGCAATAGAATTGAACAAGTAGAGCTCAAAGACGAGGTCTTTGAATTAACCCACTCGAACAAAGACAAAGAAAAAGGAACAAGAAAATATGAACAAAGCCTCCAAGAAGTCTGGGATTATGTTAAACAACCCAATACCAAGAATAATTGGTATTCCTGAGGAAGAAGAGAATTCTAAAAGCTTGGAAAACATATTTGGGGGAATAATTGAGGAACAATTCCTAGCCTTGCTAGAGACCTAGACATGAAAATACAAGAAGCACAAAGAACACCTGGGAAATTCATTGCAAAAAGATCATCACCTAGGCACATTGTCATCTGTTATCCAAAGTTAAGATGAAGGAAAGAATCTTAAGAGCTGTGAGGCAGAAGCACCAGGTAACCTATAAAGGAAAACCTATCAGATTAATAGCAGATTTCTCAGCAGAAACCCTACAAGCTAGAAGGGATTGGAGCCCTATCTTCAGCCTCCTCAAACTAAACAATTATCAGCCAAGAACTTTGTATCCAACAAAACTAAGCATCATATATGAAGGAAAGATACAATCTTTTTCAGACAAACAAATGCTAAGAGAATTCACCACTACCAAGCCACCACTACAGGAACTGCTAAAAGGAGCTCTAAATCTTGAAACAAATCCTGGAAACACATCAAAACAGCACCTACTTAAAGCATATATCAAACCCTCTAAAACAAAAATACAAGTTAAAAAGCAAAACCAAAAAACAAAAAAAAAACAAAAGTACACAGGAAACAAATAGCACAATGAATGCAACAGCACCTCACATTTCAATACTAACATTGAATGTAAATGGCCTAAATGCTCTGCTTAAAACATACAGAACCACAGAATGGATCAGAACTCACCAACCATCTGCTGTCTTCAGGAGATTCACCTAACACATAAGGACTCACAAAAGTTTAAAGTAAAGGGGTGGAAAAAGGCATTTCATGCAAATGGACACCAAAAGTGAGCAAGGTAGCTATTCTTATATCAGACAAAAAAAACTTTAAAGCAACAGCAGTTAAAAGAAACAAAGAGGGACATTATAAAATGGTAAAAGGCCTTGTCCAACAGGAAAATATCACAATCCTAAATATATATGCACCTAAAACTGGAGCTTCCAAATTTATAAAACACTAATAGACCTAAGAAATGAGAATGGCCAGGCGCGGTGGCTCATGCCTGTAATCCCAGCACTTTGGGAGGCCAAGTGGGCAGATCATGAGGTCAGGAGATCGAGACTATCCTGGCTAACATGGTGAAACCCCATCTCTACTAAAAATACAAAAAATTAGCCGGGCATGGTAGCGGGCGCCTATAGTCTCAGCTACTCGGGAGGCTGAGGCAGAAGAATGGCGTGAACCTGGGAGGCGAAGCTTGCAGTGAGCCAAGATCGTGCCACTGCACTCCAGCCTGGGCGACAGAGCGAGACTCCATCTCAAAAAAAAAAAAAAAAAGAAATGAGACAGACAGTAGCGGGGACTTCAGTACTCCACTGACACAATTAGACAGGTTATCAAGACAGAAAGTCAACAGAGAAACAATGGATTTAACTAAATACCTTGAAACAAATGGACTTAACAGATATATACAGAACATTTCATCCAACAACCGCAAAACATACATTCTATTCAACAGTGCATGGAACTTTCTCCAAGATAGACCATATGATAGGCCATAAAATGAGCCTCAATAAATGTTTAAAAATTGAAATTATATCAAGCACTCTCTTAGACCACAGTGGACTAAAAGTGGAAATCAACTGCAAAAGGAACCTTCAAAACCATGCAAATACATGGAAATTAAATAACCTGCTCCTGAATGAGCAATGGGTCAGAAACACAATCAAGATGGAAATTTAAAAATTCTTTGAATTGAATGACAATAATGACACAACCTATCAAAAGGTCTGGGATACAGCAAAAGCATTGCTAAGAGGAATGTTCATAGCCCTAAACAACTACATCGAAAAGACTGAAAGAGCACAAACTGACATTCTAAGGTCACACCTCAAGGAACTATAGAAACAAGAACAAACCAAACTCAAACCCAGCAGAAGAAAGGAAATAACCAAGATCAAAGCAGAATTAAATGAAATTGAAACAAAAAATATACAAAAGATACATGAAACAAAAAGCTAATTCTTTGAAAATATAAATAAAATTGATAGACCATTATCAAGATTAATCAAGAAAAGAGAGAAAATCCAAATAACCTCACTAAGAAACAAAACAGGAGATATTACAACTGACACTATGGAAATACAAAACATCATTCAGGTAACTATGAACACCTTTAAGAATATAAACTAGAAAACCTAGAAGAGATGGATAAATTCCTAGAAAAATACAACCTCCTAGCTTAAATCAGGAAGAATTAGTTACCCTGAACAGACCTATAACAAGCAGTGAGACTGAAATGGTAACTTAAAAATTACCAACAAAAAAAGGTCCAGGACCAGAGGGATTCACAGCAGAATTCTACCACACATTCAAAGAATTGGTACCAATCCTTCTGACACTATTCCATAAGATAGAGAAAGAGGGAACCCTCCCTAATTCATTCTATGACGCCAGCATCGCCCTAATACCAAAACCAGGATAGGACATAATCAAAAAAGAAAACTATAGACTGAAATCCTTGATGAATATAGATGGTAAAATCCTTAACAAAATACTAGCTAACAAAATCCAACAATATATCAAAAAGACAGTCCACGATAATCAAGTGGATTTCATACCAGGGATACAGGGATGGTTTAAAATACACAAGTCAATAAATGTGATATACCACATAAACAGAATTAAAAACTAAAATCAAATGATCATCACAATATATGCAGAAAAAGCATTCAACAAAATCCAGCATCCCTTTATGATTAAAACTCTCAGCAAAATTGGCATACAAGGGACATACCTCAATGTAATAAAAGCCATCTATGATAAACCCATAGAAAACATAATACTGAGTGGGGAAAAGTTGAAAGCATTCTCTCTGAGAACTGGAACAAGACAAGGATGCCCACTCTCACCACTACTCTTCAACATAGTACTGGAAGTCCTAGCCAGAGCAGTCAGGCAAGAGAAGGAAATAAAGGGCATCCAAATCAGTAAAGAAGAAGTCAAACTGTCACCGTTTGCTGTCAATATGATCATTTACCTTGAAAACCCTAAAGACTCCTCCAGAAAGCTCCTAGAACTGATAAAAGCATTCAGCAAATTTTCTAGATACAAGATTAATGTACACAAATCAGCAGCTCTTCTATACACCAACAGCAACCAAGTGGAGAATCCAATCAAGAACTCAATTCTTTTCACAATAGCTGCAAAAAGTACAAATACTGGCTGGGCGTGGTGGCTCACACCTGTAATCCCAGCAGTTTGGGAGGCCAAGGTGGGCAGATCACGAGGTCAAGAGATCGAGACCATCCTGGCCAACATGGTGAAACCCTGTCTCTACTAAAAATACAAAAATCAGCTGGGTGTGGTAGCACACACCTGTAGTCCCAGCTATTAGGGAGGCTGAGGCAAGAGAATCACTTGAACCCGGGAGGCGGAGGTTGCAGTGAGCCAAAATTGCGCCACTGCACACCAGCCTGGCAACAGAGTGAGACTCCATCTCAAAAAAATAAATAAAATAAAATAAAATAAAATAAAATAAAATAAAATAAAATAAAATAAAATACTTAGGAATATACCTAACCAAGAAGTTGAAAGACCTCTACAAGGAAAACTACAAAACACTGCTGGAAGAAATCATAGATGACACAAACAAATGGAAACACATCCCATGCTCAGGGATGAGTAGAATCAATATTGTGAAAATGACCATACTTCCAAAAACAGTCTACAAATTCAATGCAATCCCCATCAAAATACCACCATCATTCTCACAGAATTAGAAAAAACAATTCTAAAATTCATATGCAACCAAAAAGGAGTCTGCATAGCCAAATCAAGACTAAGCAAAAAGAACAAATCTGGAGGCATCATACTACCTGATTTCAAACTATACTATAAGGCCATAGTCACCAAAACAGCATGGTACTGGTATAAAAATAGGCACATAGACCAATGGAACAGAATAGAGAACCCAGAAGTAAACCCAAATACTTACCAACCAATCTTCAACAAAGCAAACAAAAACATAAAGTGGGGAAAGGACACCCTTTTCAACAAATGGTGCTGGGATAATTGGCTAGCCACAAGTAGGAAAAGAAACTGGACCCTCATCTGTCACCCCATACAAAAATCAGCTCAAGATGGATTAAGGACTTAAACCTAAGACCTGGAACTATAAAAATTCTAGAAGATCCTAGATCTTCTAGAATTCTAGAAAAATCCTTCTAGAGATTGGCTTAGGCAAGGATTTAATGACCAAGAAACTAAAAGCAAATGCAATAAAAACAAAGATAAATAGCAGGGACCTAATTAAACTATAGAGCTTTTGCATGGCAAAAGGAACAGTCAGCAGAGTAAACAGACAACCCACAGAGTGGGAGAAAATCTTCACAATCTATAAATGTGACAAAGGACTAATATCTAGAATCTACAACAAACTCAAAAAAATCAGTAAGTAAAAAACAAACAATCCTATCAAAAAGTGGGCCAAAGATATGAATAGACAATTCTCAAAAGAAGATACTCAAATGACCAACGAACATACGAAAAAATGTTCAGCATCACTAATGAGCAGGGAAATGCAAATCAAAACCAAAATGCGATACCACCTTACTCCTGCAAGAATGACCATAATCAAAAAATCAGAAAACAGTAGATATTGGCATGGATGCAGTGATCAGGGAACACTTCTTCACTGCTGGTGGGAATGTAACTAGTACAATCACTATGGAAAATAGTGTGGAGATTCCTTAAAGAACTAAAAGTTCTTTAAGCCAGCAATCCCACTACTGGGTATCTACCCAGAGGAAAAGATATCATAATACAAAAAAGATACTTGCCCATGCATGTTTGTAGCCACACAATTCACAATTGCATAATTGTGGAACCAACCCAAATGCCCATCAATCAAGGAGTGCATAAAGAAACTGATATATATATATATATATATATATATATATATATATATATATATATATATGATGAAATACTACTCAGCCATAAAAAAGGAATGAATTAACAGCATTTGCAGTGACCTGGATGAGACTGGAGACTATTATTCTAAGTGAAGTAACTCAGGAATGGAAAACCAAACATTGTATCTTCTCACTGATATGTGGGAGCTAAGCTATAAGGATGCAAAGGCATGATAATGATAAAATGGACTTTGGGGACTTGGGGGGAAGAGTGGGAAAGGGGTGAGGAATAGAAGACTACAAATATGGTGCAGTGTATACTGCTCAGGTAATGGGTGCACCAAAATCTCACAAATCACCACTAAAGAATTGTACCCCAATAACTTATGGAAAGAAATTTAAAAAATTTAAAAAATTATGATGAATGGTCAAAATATCAACAGTAACAGGAGTTTGGAAGAAGTTGGTTCCAACTCTCATGGATGACTTTGAGGGTTTAAAACTTCAGTAGAAGAAGTAATTGCAAATGTAGTAGAAATAGCAAGAGAACTAAAATTAGAAGTAGACTGAAGATGTGACTGAATTGCTGCAGTCTCATCCAAAAGCTTGAATGGATGAGCAGTTGCTTCTTAGGGATGAGCAACAAAAGTGGTTTCTTGTGATGGAATCTACTCCTGGTAAAGATGCTATGAACATTGTTGAAATGGCAACAAATAATTTAGAATAGTCTATAAATTTAGTTCATAAAGCAGCAGTAGGTTTCAGGGGACTGACTCCAGTTTTTGTAAGAAGTTCTACTGTGAGTAAGATGCTATCAAACAGCATCGCACGCTACAGAGAAACTTTTGTGAAAGACTGAATTGATTGAGCAAACTTCATTGTTATCTTATTTTACAAAATTGCTACAACCACCCCAATCTTTAGCAACCACCAGCCTGATCAATCTGCAGCCACCTACATGGAGGCAAGACCCTCCACCAGCAAAATGATTATGTCTTGTTAAAAGTCTCAGATGATCTTTAGCACTTTTTAGCAACAAGGCATTTTTAATTATAGTATATATATTTTTAGACATAATATTATTGTGCACTTAATAGACTTAGTATAGTGTAAACATAACCTTTATGTGCATTGGAAAACCAAAAAATTCAGGTGACATGTTTAATTGTGATATTTGCTTTATTGCTGTTGGCCGGGACGGAACCTGCAATATCTGTGAGATACACCTATATCTATCAAAGTTGCAATGAAGGTGCTTACAATCTGGTTGGAAAACATAGTTAATACTTCACAAATCCCAACAATGTATATAATTATATGCCAAATTATATAGTATAGACTAGTATCATAGAAGTTTTGACTAAAACCTGTGAGCAAATTTTTATATGATTAAAAATGCTATGCAACATAATAAAAGAAGGTATGTACTTAAAATCACTTTGGCAATTGTGAAGATGAGTTTTAAGTACTTTATGTTAATAATTAACTTGAAAGTAAACTACTAAAAGTTGTTCGTATAAGGACAACTAGAATGTTAGCTATGCTTTCTAGAATATTTGAGCAAAAAATAAAAAACATTGACAATTTGATTTAGATTTGCCTTTACTAACAAAATGGAAACATAAAAATAGATTCATAGTCATCCAATAGGAAAACATAATTAAGGACCCAGAAATCATAAAGTGACAATTTCTATTCAAAATGCAGTGCATAAGAACCCATACATCGGTTCAGCGCCTGGGTGTCAGGTGCTGTCTAAATAAAAACCTGAGCAAGGGAGGGGAAAATGTCAGTGTTAATCCAGTCAAATTAGGCCAGATTTTTAGTTGACATTATATTTGCACTTGAAAATTTAGGTTTGACTTACACACCCAAAAATTTACATTTGACCCACACTAATAGAATCCATAACATTATAGTATGTACTTGAAAAGAACACGTTTCCTGTGTTATATTTTTGTGTGATTTAATTTTCACAAATATATATCATTTCCCTTGTCTTGAAAGGAAACGATTATTTCTTTTTTATACAAGACAGACCTGAGACCTTTTTCCCCAATTCCAAATACTTGGTAATATCCAGTTGTTTGATTAACTGATTTGACTTTACAGACCACAGAATCAATCTATTTTTAAAGAACTGGGGACACCTACACAGCCTAATTTCATTAGTAGGTATATCAGGTATGAAATAGTCCAGTAGGAAACGTATTCCTTTTACAGTTTTCTTTCTGTTGTTTATATCAAGGATTAAGTTTCAGTATCGTGCAAGTATGTTTTCATCATTTCTCAAATATTAGGTAATGTTCCTTTACAGCAAAGACAACAGACCTCAGCATAAGCAGAAAACAATATCTACCTGGAATTTAATGTTGTCTTTCTTAGATTTGTATTTACTTTTACAATGGTTATCTACTTATGGCAAGTGATACTATACTGGTTCTCATTTACAGAAATAATAACAACTTTCCTCTAAAAATGAATTTAAATTGAGTTAGTCGATGTAAAGAAAAATATCAGGAAAATTATAGTACATATAGTTCTCAGACATAGGCAAATTTGTACCATGGTAATTCACTAGTGACTAAAGCTGGGAAAACAGAGCTAAAATAATTAACATGTTAAAATGTTTCTTCATTCAGTTATTCATATTAATTACTGGTAATATTTTCATTTGTATAATATATGAATTCCTAAGTTTTCTATTGGCAGGGAATTGCAATCTATTATTTAATTGAAATAATTTGTAGAAAATAAATTATTGATACAATTTAGTAATAAAAGATAGAACAAGGGGATTTTTAATACAAGTAATGTAAAATAGTTTCATTGTTATTTGTTCTAGAAGAGTTTGGAGGTACTGCTGTTATTACCATGACATGAACCTAGAAGTTCAGCTTTTAGGAGTACCATACAGGCAAGATCATATTACAATATAGGCACTTGGCACTCTAAAATAATGGTTCCAACCCTGTATTCTGCCATAATACATGGGAAATAATGTTCACATACTAGATATATTCCTGGGGAAATGCTCTGATTTTGGCAAAATTCTCCCCTTTCTGCTTTTTCCGGAACATTTAGGCAATACAGGGCTGTAAATGTTGGTTATGCATAAGTTCCAACATGTTCCTTTCTATCCAAGAAAGCGAGACCAAATGTTAAGTAAATGAAAATACACTAATATAATCAGCTTATTTTTTTTAAAAAAATAAATCATTCACAAATTTAAGTGCTTTACCTATTTTTCATAACAAATGCTTAAGGTATAACTCGCTACTGACAGGACCAACAACGTCTCATGACACCTTGGTCCAAACGTACTACTTTATTGTTGGACTACCAGATTAATGTCACTTCTCTATACTTTAGTTAAGACAGAGATACCAAGGTAATGACTGGATTACAGCATGGTTTGCAGATGTGGTGACCTAAGTGAATGGCACTGGCACCAGCTGTTTATAATTTGATAAAGCAACCAATCATCCAAATTGACTTGCAACACTTAAAAGGTATGAGTTTTATAGTTAATGGAAAAAACCTTCATATGAAGGTTGAGAAAAATAAAGTTCTCATTTTCTGACATGAAAGTAGAGTAACTCTCAGGTGGTAACCCAAATGTTCCCTGTGAATTAATGTGTTGTACAATATTAGCAAAACCTAACCACTCTTTTTATGTACAAAATCTAGCACTCACTGATAACAAAATGGCCAGGAGTGGTGGCTCACATCTGTAATCCCAGCAATTTGGGAGGCCGAGGTGGGCAGATCACTTGAGGTCAGGAGTTAGAGACCAGCCTGGCCAATATGGAGAAACCCCATCTCTACTAAAAATACAAAAATTAGCCAGGCATGGTAGTGGACGCCTGTAATCCCAGCTACTCGGTAGGCTGAGGCAGGAGAATTGCCTGAACCCAGGAGGAGGAGGCTTCAGTGAGCTGAGATCATACCACTGCACTCAAGCCTTGGCAACACAGGGAGACTCTGTCTCAAAAAAATAAAAAATGCTTTTGTGTATTCTGATACAAGTTTTAACAATATATGAATCAGCAGATTTTAAAGAATTAGATGATATAGCAAACTGTAGGGATAAGAAAGAAATGTATGTAAACTCTGCCATAATGTAAATAGTTTGTTTAAAGGTCCAGAGATCTGATCAGTGCCACCGACATAAAATCAAGTCTTGCACTGAACTAAGTCAACATACTGTTTAGGAAAAAGAATTTCTAATATGGATTACAACAGAACTGTCAATTGCTTACATATATATGTGTGTTCCATTCTTGCTGTTGGAACATCAATTAATAACAATCATCTTAATTTCATAATTATATTTTGAACTTACCTTTTCAAAATAACAGGAGCAGAGCATGGTCAACATGATAGTTTCAGGCATCTTAATAAAACCATCATTTTTGGCATCTATGCTGACATTGTAATGGCCTCAAACTGTCAATAACTCATCCAAAGCAAATTTAATAAATGTGGAGACATGGGCTAACATTACAGTCAGTTTGCCTATATTCACTATAAACATTAGCTCTACAAAAGAATGTGAATCAAGGAAGCTGAAGTGAAAATAGCATTAAACAATAATCCCAAATTAACCAATAGTAAAGTAGAACTCTATGCTCAAGAGTTGTATGCTCACACATATGATAAAAGCATAATCATCAAACTTTTTTCTGAATTGTCTAGGTTTAGCTAATAATTTAAATGTTACTGATGGACTTTGGTCCTCTTTCACAAAAATTAGAAACATTAACACATTCTTCCCAAACCTCTATTAGAAACTTTTATGTTTAAGGATCTATAATTTTTCAATTATTAGGGAAACAATGTGATATGTCATTTTAATCGTGGGCGGATCACCTGAGGTCAAGAGTTCAAGGCCAGCCTGGCCACCATGGTGAAACCCCATCTAAATTAAAAATACAAAAATTAGCCAGGAATGGTGGCAGGCACCTGTAATCCCAGCTACTCAGGAGGCTGAGGCAGGAGAATCACTTGAACCTGGGAGGTGAAGGTTGCAGTGAGCCGAGATCGTGCCACTGCACTCCAGCCTGGGTGACAAAGTGAGATTCTGTCTCAAAAAAAAAAAGAAAAGAAAAGAAACATAAATAAGTAAAAGATAATTATTTGTGTAAGGGTAGAGGAGATAGAAAAAAATATGACTTACTTTCTTCATTCTACATGTATCATGTAGGTGTAGAGTTTACAGAAATACCTATGTAAAACATGGTTACTATTTTTTGTTTGTAGGTATGTACTTGAAGCATCAATAGGTCAACTGGTTAACATTCCCGCCACGGCAGAAATGCAAATTTTGGAAAAAACAGCCCATAATATTTCAACCAACAGTGAACACAGAAGGCATTTTGTTACCATCAAATCGCCAAACTAATAATGGTGAACAAACAAGGCAGAATTCTCCGCTCTTTGTATTAAAATTACCACCCAAGCATCGTTCAGACATCTCAGGCCCAACTATAATTCTGCATTTGCCCATTGTGTGCTTAACATCAATGTGATCTAGTAAGTACTACCATGATCTTTGAGATTTCGAAGAATCACAGCAGGAAGGCTATGGGACTGCCACCCTGTCACTAACTCAGCCTCTATTTCCTTAATGTGGGCCCTGAGCATGTGGGGTGGCACTTTCAGAAGCAGGTCAAGAGGCAGCAAAGCTGAAGAAATAAAAGGGGGAAAGATATGAAACTGTAACATAAATTACATTGAATTTTAGAGAGTTGTGTTTGATTTTATTGCTACCAACACTAAGTTACCTGGTCTTGGTCTTGATCCTGTTCCTCCAGTGAAGTCCCTGAAAATAGAATTACAGGCCATTAGAATGACCTGTTCAACTTGGATTTGACAAACTAAGAGCCTACATCTTGCTATGGTCTACATTATAAAGATTAATAGAGATTATTTTCCCTCAAGATGCTCTCAAGAGTTTAATTAAGAGGGAAATAAATATATTGCAATAAACAGTACAATTGACATTCTACTGACAAATGACAGAATCGTCCCACCACAGTTTTTAGGCTCTAAGTATGACTAAGAGCCTAAATTTTAGGATCCTGAATAATTTTCTAGTTACACTTAAACTCAAAATATGATTTTGCACTAAAAGGATATAAGATTTAAAATGTTATATATAGTATTTTCTATGATTTGTCCCTGCTCTATTAAAAAAACAAAAAAAACCTTATACCTCCTCCTATAAAATGTTTTTTGCATTGAAAATAATTATCTTTCCTAAAGTTGCCAGTGTTATTAACATCCCTTGTTTGCCTTGCCCCAAAATTCTAGGTTATTTGATCATTTTACGAGTTGGTCTCAGTGTCTTCTACTCTGTGGAGGTGGCCTTAGACCCCACCAGGGATATCTGTAAATCACCTTCAGCCTTGTTTTTTCCACTGTACCCTAGAACCAATTTTTCTTTTTTTTTTTGAGACGAGTCTAGCTCTGTCACCCAGGCTGGAGTGCAGTGACGCGATCTCAGCTCACTGAAACCTCCACCTCCCAGGTTCACGCCATTCTCCTGCCTCAGCCTCCCGAGTAGCTGGGACTACAGGTGCCCGCCACCACGCCCAGCTAATTTTCTTGTATTTTTAGTAGAGACAGTGTTTCACCATGTTAGCCAGGATGGTCTCGATCTCCTGACGTCATGATCCACCTGCCTCAGCCTCCTAAAGTGCTGGGATTACAGGTGTGAGCCACCACGCCCGGCCTAGAACCAAGTTTTTAATAGTTTTCTGGAATGAAATAAGAAACATCTGTGCCCTGACAAGTTGTAAGAATCATTCTTAAACTTAATGAAATCCAACAAAAATATATCATACATGTACTAGGTATAAGGCACATGATAGGTTATTTGTTAAGTAGGAATAAATATAGGAATTCAAATACAAGTAAACATGGCTGATAATTCTCTTGTCCCAACCTTTTCGTTTTAATCATAGAATTTTTGATACATGCATGCAACACCTACCTAAGTTATTAAGCGTAACAAAATTGGCACTCATTTACCTACCACCCAACTTAAGCACTAGAATAATACCAAAATCTTTGCATCCACCTATGAGTTTCTTCCCTGTTCCTTTCCATTCCCTCTTGATCCTCACCAGGCTAACACTCTCTTGATCTCATAATATATTTTGTTCCATTCTGAGCTCAAGTTTCCAGAGCCTTGAAAAGTAAATGGAACCTGCCAGCCTTTAACAGTTTATATACTTTCCCTAACCTGAGATAAGGAGCATGTTTAAAAAAAGAAATGAAGCTGATCCTGCCCTCAGAAAGTTTGAAAAGAGGCATGATGACAGCAGTGCCCATGTGTAGGCAGGACAGCCCCAGGGCTGAGCTGAGGAGCAGAGCATCTGTTCCAGTTCCTTGTATGCCTGCACAAATGCCATACCCCAGCAAATGCTTTCCGAATAACTTTGCCCCTTACCCTTCTAGATGAAGCTAGTACTGTCTAATGGAAACCGATTGTAAGCATCAAACATAATTTTAAGTTTTCTGGTAGCCACATTTTCAAAAAGTAAAAAGAATAAAGTGAAATAATTCTATTTTATTTAATCAAAAATATCCAAAATATTATTTCAACATATACAAATTGAAATCTTATTATTTTACATCTTAATTAATATTAAACAAAATTAAAAATTCAGTCCCTCAGTTGCACTGGCCACATTTAAGCTGCTCAAGAGTCACATGTGCCCAGTGGCCTCCATACTTAACAATGTGGTCCAGGCCCTTCCTTAAGTGTTGGTCATTGTCTTCATACATTTATTACATTCATGCCATGTAGCTGCTAAACCTGCAATACCTCCTGAATCCCACTCTCTTAAAAAGTGAATAAAAATGCAACTTGTGGCAAACTTGTATCCATCAGGTTATACATGTTCTTGAAAAGCTGATAATCACTCACATGATGAGTTTGCAAGATGACTATTCCAGATGTCCTGAAGAATCTAACGTTTCAAACATTTTTACATATTAACAAATGTTATGCATAATGTGTGCTAGTGGGATATGTGACATAGAACACCCTGACAATGCTGAGTTGCTGCCGCTTTTGCTATTCCTTTATATAATTTTAAATTCCTCTTTAATAAACTTTAGGGAATCTTCAAAAAGAACAATTACACATTCATTCATTCATTCAAGAAATATTTATTAAATGCCCACGATGTGTAGCCACCATGCTAGACACTGGAGATGGGATGGTGAAAATAAATAGTTTCCACAGTCTTAGAATTTACAAGATTGCATAGAGATAGCAGAAAATAAAATGTCAATTTCTCTGGAAATTATATCACTAACCGCAAGAAAATATAGTCATCTGAAATTTCAAAATAGAACAGACTCATTGTCACCAGAAGTGACAGCTTTTAACTATGCAATTGTTGGGTTCACAGATGGACAAATGGTTGAAATTATGCAGAGCCTGGGGGAAGTCTGCCTCTAGATTGAACCACATTGAATGTTTATGCCCAATAGAGCATTACGGCTACAGAGGGTGGTGTTCCCATCGTATCACAAGCTGGAAAATATACCAAAGTGGTTTCACACAGAGAACATTCCAGAAATAGTTTCTGGTGAAGAGGCTTAACATATTACTGTTTGTGTTCTCTGAAAATTTTGAAATGGGCATTGACCAACAGCACTTCAGGCCAATGGAAGAATTTCAGAAAAATAGAAGGCTGAAAGAATTCTAAAAGGCCATCCCTTCCAGCTCTCTTCAGACCTAGTGTGACCTCATCTGGAATTAATAAGGCAAAAGAGAAACTGAAGTGCTGAAAATGAGTGTTAGCCTACAATTTCCACCCCAAAACACTAACAGATAAAGTGAATAATCTAGGAATTAGCATCGTAATTTTTTAAATAGACTTTTCGCTGAATTAAGTCAAGAGCACGGTGAATTATTTGGATAATAATTTTGCCAGCAGAGTCCTGGCCAAGAAGAAGATGAAGCCCTAGAATATCATCTCTCATAAGAATTCCTTGAAATATGTATCTGAACAAAGAAAACATTTTCAAATACATTATAAGTGTATTCCATCATTTAATTCAATTGTGAAAAGTATCAATGCTATTTGATATTGATAAAAATAATTAAACCTTATGAAATGAGAGGTTTGGCTTACAATAGTAAGGTAATGCCTTCCGAAACTACTGCAGCCACACCATGTGAGCTAATGAGCATTTTATAGCTGAAGCTCTCTTTCAGGCAGTGACATTCATAAATATGTCCTGTGTGAATAAGCAACATTATGTAGCTTTGAGCTCTCCTATTTATCTATAATGTTAATAGAGTTGGTATCATGACAACAAAGTAGTATAATGCTCCTGTGGCTATCCCCTCCTACTCCAATAACAGCTAGAAACAAATGAGCAATAAACCAGGAAAGTATAGAACTATTACAGAAAAGAAACAAAGTGGTCTTACTATGTGTTTTTTTGTTTGTTTGTTTGTTTGTTTGTTTTAAGGCTGTTGGAGTGAGACATTAGCAGATGGGCCAGGTTGATTCTAGCAAGGAGTAATCATGCAGTATTTATTCAACCAAAGTAAAACCAGATACAGATTATGAAAAAGATGGAGGGAGAAGAGCTATAAGTAAAAATAAGCAAGACTTCCGCTTTTAAGAGGCAAGATCCACAGGTCCTGAAAATACACGAGGTCTTTCCAGTCACAAATATGAAGCTGAATTGTCACAAACATCCACAATCATCTTCACATATAAAGACTTAGAAAGGCCTGGCACGGTGGCTTATGCCTGCAATCCTACCACTTTGGGAGGCCCAGGGGGGTGGATCACCTGAAGTCAAGAGTTCGAGACCAGCCTGGTCAACATGGTGAAACCCCATCTCTACTAAAAATACAAAAATTAGCTGGGTGTGGTGGCAGGAGCCTATAATCCCAGCTACTAGGGAGGCTGGGGCAGGAGAACCGCTGGAACCCAGCAGGCCGAGGTTGCAGTGAGCTGAGATGGCACCACTGCACTCCAGCCTGGGTGAAAGAGCAAAATTCTGTCTCAAAAAAAAAAAGATTTAGACTTAGGAGCACACTGCCAAATACAATTATGCATACACTGATGAATCAAAAAAGTTGTGAACCACAGGCATCTCTGATACCACAAACATCCAGTGTCTCAAACCAGCCTGCCAACTATACCCTGTTGCCTTGGTGACAGAAGGCAAGCAGACGTGGAGAAATCTGGTTGCCGGAGCAACAGGATCCTTTAAAAAAAAAAAAATGTGCCTTAAGCTGTGGCTATGGCAAAGGCTGTCAGTAGGCAAGATTTCAGTCCTTGGTAATGAGATAAAGAATTTACACTGAGATAACAGTCACAGTCATTCATCTATTAATTAACAAGTATCTGTAGGTTGGTACCTATGTGCAATACACTGTGCCCTGGAGAATGCAAAGATGAATTAGGCATAGTTTGGCGCAGGCCTGGCACACAGTAATAAATATCCATCAATTAAACAAATGAATGAAGGTTCTTAAGATGGTCGTAAAACAATGACTAAATTTTACTAGGACCTGAGAATATGTGACAAAGAGGCTGAAGCCCCAGTGAGCATTATCAAGTTCCACTATACAGAGTATTTTATTTATAAGTTGAAATAACATGCTATGACTTGCTGGATTAGAATCCTCAATGTGTATATACTAGGTCAGCCTATGAAACTCGCATAAAAACTGGTAAAAGTCAAGCCCATTCTTAATGCCTTCCTAGCAAATAGTAATAGATATAAAAGATTTCATATCAAGTTTGAAAATGATTAAAGTTGGAAATTTCAAAGAAATTGGGGCTTATTCCTCTCTTGATCTTGCCATTAACTATATTCCTTAAAAAAAGTTTTATCAACTGATGATGGCTTGGATTCCGAGGTGCCTTCCAGTTCTAATATTATTCTCCAGCCTTGAGACTTCAAAACTTTTCTGAGCAGGCAGGGGCTATCCCTCCTAGTTCCATTTGCTCATGTTGTATCCATTTGTCTGGCTCATTTGCCCAAAAGCATATCCTAAGTTATTAGGGAGTTACGTTAGTTTTTCCGCAAGCAATTGGTTTAAATCTGGCTCCTGATATCTGATATCTGACCAAAGTTATGAGTTTATGCTTAAGCTTTCTCTTGGTACTATTAATATTTAGCCAGGGCCACGTCTGACTTCTATATTTTGGAGGCTGTGGTCAGAACAGGTATGTACTTCCCTGTGACTTCTCTCATTGGGCCTTTTTAAAGAGTCAGTAAGGGTCCCCAAGTGGGAGAGCTGCCTAGGGTCTCCTTGAAATTGTTATACCATTTTATACATGGCACAGAATAGGAAAAAAAAAAAAGAAAAAGAAAACCCTCTACAGGCTTGATTTTCAATTTATTTTTATTCTATTATGTAGCTTTGCTATCTTCTTTTATATTCAAACTTCTTATTTAGCTTCTAAATATTTTGCAGGATGGGTTCACATTTCACATTAATAAACAAAGAAACCCAGGAAAATCCTAAACAAATTAGACTGCAAATAACTTTAGCTCTATTTAACGTTCTTTAAAGAATTATAAATACATTTTGGGATTGTCTCCTTTTAATTCAGAGAAGCCCCAGGGATTACCTGGGAGGGAGTCAAAAGTTATTAATTTTCTCTCCTCTTATTTGGCATAAATCAAAGGCTGTCTTTTATCATTTATTTTCTTCTGAAGTCGGCCCTTGTCTTCCCATTTTGCTGTGAGCTCCCTGAAGGAAGACAGCTTGTCTTAAACAAACCTGTGTTCCCTGGTGGCATGTCACGCTGTATTACCACATTTCATGGCACAATTTTACAAATGTTGCTTTAGGTCAGGTCCTGTTCACCTTGGAACATACTTTCCAAAACATCAACTTCAATGTATGGGCCACTTTCCATATCCATCTGTTGACTTGGTCATAACCCCAAGTTAAAGCTTGTTCTATACCCCTGTTTCAATGATCTTCAGATTAAACCTTGCCTTTCTGCTGATTCTAGCTTATCCAATTTGTTATAAAGTATTTAGTTAATGACTAGCTTTTTAAAAGCCATCTCAAGCTCTAAAAGATATAGACCATATGGGGTTTTTGTTTGGTTTTGAAGGGGTGGACATCAACCGGATTTGTGCAAATAAGACAATTTTCCATGGATCCTTTAAAAAAATAGTAGAATTATTTTTGACAGGGCCAAGATACCTACATTCATCTGATTGGAAATTGTCATTTTAACATAAAACTCACTTAATTGGGAGTACATCATATATCATAATTTACTTTTGAACTAAAATACTTGCTTTGTTAGCAATAGAAAGTCAGTAAGTGAGGAATGAGGAATGTTGGGTACTAGCAAGCCCTAAAGATCCTTTGGAATATCTTCTAACTCAGATCTCCAGTCCCCACAAACACCCACTGTGGTTCTCTTTGGCATTTTGGAGTACTTTTCTTTCCCCTGCCCTCCCCATTACTTCTGACCATGACTCCTCTGCACTTTGGCCCACTAAAGAACGTCATGAGGTCTTACAGGGTTTTATCGAATATCTTTCTGATAGATCATACACCCTGTTGATAAGTTTTCCTTGGGTTTTTATTCCCAGAAACACTGGAAAAAAAGTTAGGAAATTAAAAGGCTCCACCCTAACTCCTCCTGATCTTCATTTGAAGATAAATGTATCAGTGATGCATCTTTGACTAAACAAGAAAAGGATTTGTCTATAGAAACCTTCGTTTGTCACCTAACTGAATCCCCCAGGAATTTGCTGAGCAGGTTCTTCTGAACTTCATTTATGTTATGTGATTCCCAGCACCCTCAAACCCAGAGGTAGATCCAGGTGGTTCCATTGAGGCTGCCCAGCACTAACACCTGCTCCCTTCAGCAAGCACCCCTGATGGACTAGTCAAGGATCTCAGCTCTCCTCAAGGCAGTAAACAGGAACCTGATCCCAGCCAGGCCAATCTGGCTCTCTCTCTCTCAGGATTTTGAATCCTAAGAAAGGTGACATGAGAATGGAATAAACAAGCTGGGAGTTCATTTATCCCAGAGTTCCTGTGCCCTTATAAGCCTCCCAAAAATGTCTCCTTTATAGACTTCAGGGACTGAACTGGCTCCTATGCCTTCCCAAGCTTGATCCTCCAGAGTCTAAATTACACAAGCCCCACAATGACGTCTAAAGAACCCCCTGTCACATAAGTTAGCTAAAGTCAGGCTCCTTTGCTTGTATCCAAAAAGCCCTGCCTGCTATAGCACATCGCAGCCTTAGCCTTTTGTTACACAGATGCTGCCACCTCCTGAGTGGGGGTCATCCCACAGCTCTGAAGAGCCCTGCCTGGCATCACCACTTATATGTGGCCCAACCTCAACAGGTGCCCCAGCCTCAGAGCAGTCTGGCAGTCCTTCCACCATTCTCTGCCCAGTTCTCATCTCAACATTGGCTGCTCCTAGCTGAATATACTCCACAAATCTAGACAGTCCTCTCAGCTGTCTAGAATATTGGCCTAGAATATCAACTAATACATAGAAACTGGCTGGGCACAGTGGCGAATGCCTGTAATCCCAGCACTTTGGGAGGCTAAGGTGGGTGGATCTCCAGAGGTCAGGAGTTCGATACCAGCCTGGCCAACATGGTGAAACCCAACCTCTCCTAAAAATACAAAAATTAGCCAGGTATGGTGGCAGGTGCCTGTAATCTCAGCTACTCGGGAGGCGGAGGCAGGAGAATCACTTGAACCTGGAAGGCAGAGGTTGCAGTGATCACGCCACTGCACTCCAGCCTGGGTGACAGAGCAAGATTCTATCTCAACAATAATAATAATAATATACAGAAACCATAAAGTATATTTCTTCCTTAATCTGCCTTTCCCTATTTCACTAGCTTAATTTTATCTTCACCTCCCTTTCTCCAGACACAAAGAAGGCGTTGCCACTCATCTTTTCCAGGCCCACTCCTCTGGCTCTGGTCTATGATGCAACTGTATACTGTCAGTTATCTCTTTTCCTCTCTCATTTCTCCTCTCCATTGGTCTCTTCTCCTTCCTCTGTCCCAAATGCCCTGAGTTCATCCTGATTCTAGGAGGTCCTTTTCCATCAAACATTCCCCACCAGCTCATTCTCCCAGCTCATTTCTCAACTTCTTAAATGCCTCCTATCTCTGCCTCTGGAACATTGTAATCAAGGTTCTGCTCCCTCTAATCTCACCCAGTGCCAGTGAAGGTCAGGAGAACTTGCAGAAGGCTCAATCTAATAGTTTTGTTTCAGTCCCTACTCTAAGAAACAACTGTCACTGACACAGCTAGCTGTCCCAAAATAACAATTTTGCTTTGCCTTTAAAAGACAGTCTCTCAAACATATTTCACCATCCCTTGCAACTAGCTGTGGTCATATGAGGAAGTTCTGGCCAATGGTATGTGAACAGAAGTGATGAGCATAACATCTCGGTCATATCCTTAAAAGGAAGAGGGGTGTCTCTACTTCCCCTTTCTTCTTCTTGCTGGCTTGGAGGTAGGATGCGGTCTCATAAGTCATATTGGTCAAAAAGATGAAACCTATACCCTGGGGATATGGAAGAACAAGATATAAGACCAGGGCTCCAGATGACCTCATGGAGCACAGCTGCCCTACCCCGCCGGCCCACCCTTGAGCTCAGAGAGGCTAACTGATTTGCTCAAGGTCACAAAGCTAGAAAAAGGCAGAGCTAGACTAAGACCCAGGTCCAAGATCAGTACCTGTTTCAGTATGCTACTTGGTGAACTATAAACAGTTCTGGGCAAGTAAGCTCTAACTCCTATTTCCGCAGGCACATGGAAACTTCTGGCTATCAGGTTTCAATTCAGCTGAGTTATTACTCAGCTCTGCAAAATCAAAAAATATTTCTAGGAGTTCAATTTGCACCTACCTTGTTTGGGATTGTCTTTCTCCTCCTGAAGCACTAAAACTTCTCTTTAAAATGTCTGAGACGAGAAAATAGAAATAACTTTACATTATTTCCTCTGCAAATCTTTTATTTTTTATGTTTTAATAAAACAATACTGAACAACAAATACTGGTGAAGATGCAGAGAAAAGGGAACTCATACACTGTTGGTGGGACTGTAAATTAGTGTAGCCATTATGGAAAACAGTATAAAGGTTCTCGGCCGGGTGTGGTGGCTCACACCTGTAATCCCAGCACTTTGTGAGGCCGAGGTAGATGAATCATGAGGTCAAGAGAGCGAGACCTTCCTGGCCAACATGAAACCCCGTCCCTACTAAAAAGTACAAAAATTAGCTGGGTGTGGTGGAGCATGCCTGTAGTCCCAGCTACTCGGGAGGCTAAGGCAGGAGAATCGCTTGAACCCAGGAGGCGGAGGTTGCAGTGAGCTAAGATCGTGCCACTGCACTCCAGCCTGGTGACAGAGCGAGACCCCGTCTCAAAAAAAAAAAAAAAAAAAAAAAAAACTTAAAATACATAAATAAATAAAGTTTCTCTTCAAAAAACTAAAAATAGAACTTCTATATGATCCAGCAATCCCACTACTGGTATATATCCAAAAGAAGGGAAGTTAGTATATCAAAAAGATATCTCTACTCTCGTGTTTATTGCAGCACTACTCACAACCACCAGGATATGAAATCAGACTAAGTATCCCTCAGCAGATGAATGGATAAAGAAAATGTTTAAATATTTAAAAATAGCTAGAAGGGGAGATTTGAAATGTTTCCAACACAAATAAATGATAAATGTTTGAGGTGATCAATATCTGAATTACCCATACAATGTATAATTTAATGACTACACATTCTATGCATATATCAAAATATCACAAGTATCCATAAATAGGTACAAATATATTATATATCAGAAAAAATTTTAAATAAGTTTTTTATAAAATTCAAAATAATAAAGAATATATATATTCCATGAATGGCTTTGTCTATAAACACTCTCATATTGTTCTAAAGTCAAACTTATCTCTGTAAATGGTAGGTAGGAAATATTCTAGGCTTTGCAAGCCATACTATGTCTGTCACAGCTGAATTCTGCTGCCATTGTAGCATGAAAGCAGTCAAACAACATTCAAGAAACAAACATGGCTTTATTCATGGTAAACCACAATAACAACAACAAAAAACAATACTGAATTTCGGTTACCTGAGCAATTGTACATACTGTAAAAATTGTCTTTGATTATGAAAGCATGAACTAAAATATGTTACAAATTGTTATTTATTTGTCAGGTTTGTTTAAGGGCTTTTTCTCTAAAGCAAATGTGCTAAACAAACAAAAACAACCCTGTTATTAATATCTAACAAAACACAATAAAATGTCATGCAATAAAATGTCATAACCATCCTTGCCAAGTTACCATATGCAAATTTAAGGGTCAAGCATCTCTTTCCTACCTCCCCACTAACCCTCCCACCATTGCTGCCAGGTATATAGAACACTGAACTTATCTCAAAACAGTCAGTAATAAACTTCTTCTGGAATTTGTTATACATGTTTATATGCATAAATATTTTTTCCCATATGAGCTTCATGTTTTCCCAATCACAAATTAATACACCTAGAAGGCAGGGATCTACGGAGAAAATAGGACAGAATATTGAAAACTGGGGTTGTCCCAGAAAATATGGAACATCTAATCATCATTTCGATGGACCAATTAAGTTTGGAAAGGACAAAGAATGTAGCTAAATCCTTAGGGTTCTACTTTGATCCTTAGAGAAGCTATTTTAAATGTTCTTTTATGAGATTTTCATAGTATAGTCACTGAGGAGAGAGAATTATTTTCACTTAATTTATTTCAGAATATTTCTATCTATGGTTTTTAATATTTTATCAACTTACTCTTTTTTAAAAAAATTGTTTCCCTTCATTTTCTATTTTAACTTCTCTTTAAGTTTCAGGTTTGTTCCATGTATTTTATTCTATCTCTCTTTATAATCTTTAAACTTTATCTAAATATACCTTTTCCTTTTCTTTCCCATATCCCAGTATGACTATTTTCTTTACTGTTTTAAATTAAGAGTCAAGATTAACATTATGGACGGAATTTATATGTCATATTTTTAATAACTCTAAAAAAATTTCTTTTATTTTATTGTTTTAAATGTAACACATCCCTTTAGATTTATATAAATAAAATTGCACAAAAATTAGTCTATACCAGGACCAATTTCTTCTACAGGCTTTGAATTCATCTAACCAACAGGCTCATAAAAGGTCATGTCCATTACTCCTGTGGTTATTTGGCTGTCTCCAAGTTAGATATCTTGACTCTCTAGTTAGAACCTGCAATTGCTGGTAGAAATAGTAAAACTATTCATTTGACAGCTGAGAAAATATAAAACCACTGTGCTGGCTAACCTTTGGGCTCTGTCAGAGAGACAGACACATCTGTCCTAATTAGCACTGCACCTGAAAAACAAACCACTGGGTTATGTATATGGTGATATTTGCTTGACTCAAGTATGATTTCCAAACCACTGTCTTCCGGAATCCCACAAACAGCAAATTGATAACAGAAAGCTTACTGAATGTAGATTCTTTCAGAGGGCTTGAACTGGAGCTGCTGGAGTTATCCGAAATGTCCAATTCATCATCTACCTCTGAATATGTATCTGCACATTAATAAAAACAATAAAAAAGCAAATGAGTCTTGAAACAGGAAGGAGTCCAGAATACATTCATGTTGACACACTGCCACTAGCAGTACCTACGTTGACACACTGCCACTAGCAGTACCTTTCTCAGCATTTTCCAGGTTGAAGTTATCATCTGACAGGATTTCGTCACAGGCCCTGTCTTCGTCTTTACCATAGGAGGCCTGGAAGCCTTCAGGGGGCAGGTCTGCGCTTTCTGAAAGTTCACTTTTCAGGCTGGCTGCTCCACTGCTGCTGCTACTCAAACTTGCCTTCTCAAAGGTCTCCTGGAAAGAGAAATTCAGTTTTTCATAGCCTCTTTCTCTATCCTTCCTTCTATAGGACCTAAATCTTGTTAGAACATATATTAACTGCTTCAAATATCAATATAAATGTTTGATGCAGAAGACGCATCAGTAGTTCCACCTATACACCTGTTACAGAATCTATTCAGTCCATAAATACAAAAAGATGCAGGTCTATAAGCTACATTGGATCAAAAAGGATGGAAGTGGCAAGAGTGTTCAGTAGAAAAGGCCCATATAACCCAGTAGCGGGGGGAAATATGTACTTCTAGAAATAGACTATATTAATTTAGGAGAAATTTCTCTCCCTTAAGTTTTTTCAAAAACATTTGCTATCAAATCCTCTCAGTACCACAGCAAATAAGTAAGGCTTATTCTCTTCAAAACTCCAGGAAAATTAGTAGCAGACAAAGCCAGGCCATGGAGAGTGAGAGGCAAGGTTTTCCAAAAAAAGGAGCTACAGAGAACAGAACTTACAAACCACTTGGGACTCTACACTACTGCCTGGCTTGAACACTCTCTGCAGAACTAGCCACAGGGTCCTCCTGAATCCTCCAAAACGGATGGATGCATTTCCATTATGATAGCACTACAAAGTCATCAATCTGGTTGTGTAATTCCATATTTCCCTAAATAATAGTATTAGAAACTGCAAAAATTATGTCTCAAGGGTCAATAAAAATTAATTAATTAATGCCACTGATGCTGGAAGTTTTCATTTTTCTAAGAGAAAGACCGTGCGGAAGGAATGACTATGAATCAGTAAAAAAGTACCACTTGTTTCTTTACCCAAGCAACTCCTAAGATGTTCATTGTATGGGACTATTCGCAGCAAGCGTGAAGAGCCTTTTTAGGCCGTGGGGCTAAACAGTGCTGGCAAAGTAAAGCTACAGATCAGGTAGACAAAAAGACAAAGAAAGGCTGTGATGGAGGAAAGGATAACAGGCAGAGAGTGTGAGAAGAAAGAAAAAGGTGCATTTATTGAAGGGGAAAGAATTCCCTCTATGAATTGTGTCCAAGATGATTTAGTCACAAATTACCTAGCACTTCTTGACTAAAAAGGCTCCAATGATGCTCATTTCAGAGACAGCCTTATTTATTTCAGATTTATGTGTTTTTTATTTTTTTCCTACAGTAAAATGACACAGCTCCAAGGCACAGGTTTCTAAAAACTCCATAATAATAGAATTTGCAGATGAAGAAAACCTAAGATCTTAGGGATAACTAGAATCAGAAATAAACCTCTAAAAGCTTTCATATATTTATGTTCTATAGGTAAGATGAAAAGATTTTTAAAATACAAAAAACATTTGTGCATTGCAAACTGTCTGATCAATTGCTGTTTATTTCTTTTCCCTGAGATTCTTTTCAGTGATTCTTCAAAGTTTCACCAAGCTCCTTGTTTTGTTGAAGTTAATTTGCAGGTGAAGAAGTATTTTAACTTTGATTTTCCATAATTAGTACATCCAATGTTCAAAGGCTGTTTTATGACTCTGAGTTGTTAATTTCTGCTTCTGAGGTCCACCCTGGTTGGCTAACTTACAACCTGAGACAGGAAATGCTTTGGCCGCTCTCTGGCAAAAGATATATGCTACTCAGAAATTTTTCCAATGCCTAAGGCTAGTATCGGGCTTCTAAGTCCAGCCTCAGCTCTGCCACACTCAACCCCTGATACCAAATCCAGGAGCTCTTTCTAAGGCTCAAAACTTTATTGCAAAACCAACTCAACTTCTTCCATGCCTACCTCTTTTCTTCGTCCCAAACCACAAAACCCTTCTTCCTCTAACTATCCTCAACTGAAGTCATTAGAAATTTACACAGAAGTAAAAACCCAATTCAAGGCCTTTTCCTTCTTATGACCTTTTTTATTCTAAGTAAATCATCTTCTACCCTATCCTGAAGACCACAGCTGGCATCTGCAACCTTTTCAGGACTTTACACCCAAGATGTGTCAACATTACCAAGGTTGAAAAAAGATGAAGGAGAATTTTTGAATTGAGAAAACTTTTTATTCTGTCGATGCAATTAAGATGCTGGAATTCAAATATCCCTAAAACTAGTAAAACTTTAACAAAGGCTTTGTGTCTCTTAAGAACAGGCATGGATAAAACATCAGAGGAAAACATTTTTCTTTGAACAAATGAAGAGTCAGGAGAAGCTGGAGTCCCCGCTGAAAAAGGCAATTCGAGACTTAAGGACGCTGGACTTGCAATCAAAACCCAAGAACCAATTGGGTCATAAATCAATAGTCACTTGTAACTGCCAAAATTTCATCCACGGGTAATTGACTGTTTGCATAAATTCTGATAAAGGGGAATTTACAATCTGAGAGAGATGCTTTTTCAGACTCTGTATGCATAAAAATATGATAATATAGATGGATAGTTTGGGTTTAAAATTTGTATTTCTAGGCCAGGCATGGTGGCTCACTCCTGCAATTCCAGCACTTTGGGAGGCTGAGGCAGGTGGATCACGAGGTCAGGAGATCAAGATCATCCTGGCTAACACAGTGAAACCCTGTCTCTACTAAAAAATACAAAAAAATTAGCCGGGCATGGTGGTGGGCGCCTGTAGTCCCAGCTACTCGGGAGGCTGAAGGAGGAGAATGGCATGATCCCAGGAGGCGGAGCTTGCAGTGAGCCGAGATTGTGCCACTGCACTCCAGCCTGGGTGACAGAGCAAGACTCTTGTCTCAAAAAAAAAAATATATATATATTTCTATAACAATCCCTTGCAGCAGTTTTTGCTTCAAAAAAAAATTGATATAATTTTTGACCTTGCCATAAACCATATGCCACACATTTTCCCTACTGTGATTTCTGGAGTTTTTCACTGTGAGTATTTGAGTATCCAACTCTTTATAAAATTGTTCCTTGAAGAACTGGGGGCACTTTAGTCCATTTTAAATCCTTTAGTGCTTTGCACAATGCCTTACACATAGCAAAGGCTCAATAAATAGTTGAGCCATTAAGTTGTCCTCAGAAGACACATCCAGCAAGTACATTAACCTATTAAAGGGATTTAGGCAAGAAAAAAGGCAAAGTTTTTGGAGACAGAATTTGGCTGCTATAATCTTTTTCACTTTCTAATTACTAAGATTTTTCAAGGAGTAGGAGAGGGAGTTAACTAGTTTTTTTGGCATCTGCATGCATCTATCCTAGGAATGGATAGACACATTCCGGATATCAATACGGCGGCAAGGAGAATACAACGCAAATCACACAATAAAATTATCACTGATATGGAAATCAGCACCATTATAGAAGATGCTTCCTGTCACCACGCTAGTATTGGCACAATTATGTTTAGCTCGGTTTTGCGCATTATAATGTAATATTTTTATGTGTGCAGCAGATCATAATACATTTTCAGTTGAATAGCAATTCTAACAGTAACAGACTGACATTACCCAAATTAACTGCTACAGTAGGAAAATTAAGGGCATCTATTTTATTAAAATCAGTGCAATTTTTAAAATTGCCAGAAAGTTTTAGGAGAGAAAGAAAATCAAGAAATAAATATAAAGCATAACAACAGCTATATCCTATAGATGCTTTACTTTAGAACTCTAAAAAATGCACTATTTCTTTGTGTTCTGAAATATTCATATTCTATTAGGTATATTTTTACCCAGTTTCTTCCATCTGTTTTGTTAATAAACTGTACCCTTAAATATCTCAATTTAGTGCTACCAGGTGCTAGAAATTCATCCAGCTGAGGTGATCTTTTATCAGTGGCACCGCATTCTATGCTTTTCATGGATGATTGCACAAAGAAAATTCAAACTAGGAGACAGGCCATTGACTGCATACTATTGTAAATAAACTTAGTCCCTACATTTTAAGGTATATTTTTAAAAATCAGCCAGTGTGGTCAGATGATTAAGGAACCTTGTGGACTAGACCATAGCTGAGTGAACTGCTCACTGTAGTGGTGAGATAGGAACCTTTTCTCCAGGCCTCCCTATGGAAGACTTGGCTTTGCCACATCAGAGAGGTGGGCTGATGGAATAAGCCTGGAGCCTGGTCCCACCCCCTACCCAGTGGTAGATGGAAATCTTTAATCTTTGATCCTGAAAGTTAGTTTTTGTTTGTTTTTTAGAAATAGGTTCTCACTATGTTGCCCAGGCTGTTCTTGAACCTCCGGGTTTAAGGGATCATCCTGCCTCGGTCTTCTGAGTAGCTGGAAATACAGAGGCACACCACTGTGTCCAGCTTTCCCAAAATGGTTTGGATGGTAACATCGTCTATTTTCATCAGGGAATCTTGAAGAATTTCCCTTCTCCCATTCTCTACATACAGTTAAGAGAGCAATAGTTAAATCTAAACCAGAAAAACTGGTGTTTTGGGGCCCTAAAAATAACTAATTTATATGGATTATATAATAAAGAAAATATTCTCTTTAGGTTGGATCTTATTTATTTTGAACTTATTAAATATTTACACAAAGCTAAAAATTTTACTGTCATGACATAGTTATTATCTCATTATTATACTATCTTAATTAGAACGTCTTAAAAGCACTATTACATATTAATGAGCTGTGATTAAATTAAATAAATTAGGGAATAAATTGGTCATTACAATTCAATCTAAAACTCCAGTATCAAATTTATTATGGTTAAAAATGTTTCACTGTTATCCCATAACTAACCTAGTACTGTATCAGAAATGAGTGGATTTTCTATCACTTTTAACTCAAATACAGGTTTTCTAGAAGGAATAATACTAACAAAGAGGAGAAGGAAAACAATGTCATAATCTGAAATTATCATTTGTTAAGAATACAGAAGATCTGGTCCATCACAACAATACTGACCACCATGTTTTTCCAAGACAGCAGACTAACATGCCAATAGAACTAAATGTATATACCAATATATTTAAAAGCATTTCAAATGAGGCCAGGATCAGGTAATTCTATTTAACATTTAAAAGAAACAATGGGGGCTGGGCGTGGTGGTTCACACCTGTAATCCTAGCACTTCAGGAGGCTGAGGCAGACAGATCACCTGAGGTCAGGAGTTTGAGACCAGTCTGGCCAACAAGGTGAAACCTGGTCTCTACTAAAAATACAAAAATTAGCCAGACATGGTGGCAGGCACCTGTAATCCCAGGTACTCGCAAGGCTGAAGCACGAGAATTGCTTAAACCTGGGAGGCGGAGGTTGCAGTGAGCTGAGATCATACTACTGCACTCCAGCCTGGGCAACAGAGCAAGACTCTGTCTCAAGAAAAAAAAGAAAAAAAGAAAGAAACAATGGGCCAGGCATGGTGGCTCATGCCTTTAATCCCAGCACTTTGGGAGGCCAAAAGTGGACCGATCATTTGAGGTCAGGAGTTTGAGACCAGCCTGGCCAAATAGTGAAACCCCATCTCTACTAAAAATATAAAAATTAGACAGGCATGGTGGTGCGTGCCTATAATCTCAGCTATTGAGGAGGCGAAGGCAGGAGAATCACTTGAACATGGGAGGTGGAGGTTGCAGTGAGCCAAGATCACACCACTGCACTCCATCCTGGGTGACAGAGTGAGACTGTATCTCAAAAAAGAAAGACAAGGGAAGGGAAGGGGAGGGGAGGGGAGGGGAAGGGAGGGGAAGGGAAGGGAAGGGAAGGAACAATGTACAGAGAACAATCAAGTGGGCAAGTTTTAAGAAATTTTTTGTTTCTCAAAAAAACAATGTCATTGAAATTTACCAATGCTTAAGGAATTAAAGAGTATGGAATTAGAAATGAGTGGTTATCAACAGGAATGAAACACCAAATTAGAACCTCATTGACTGTTTCATTTTTAACACAGAGTTACATAAGGAAAGGTCTAGTTCTTGTTAAACTGCACATTTTGCACATGTTGTCAAAATTCCAAACTGATTAATTGCCAGTAGAGAAAGAATTAAAAGTCAAGAAAAAGAGTCACCATTGTCTTTTGCTTGGCCCACTGCAATCTCTTCTTAACCAATTTCCCTGATTTCATTCTTGGCTCTCAGTGGTTTATTCCTACTCAGCGGCCACCTATATCATTTTAAAGCCTAGTGGTGCCACCTTGGCTTGCTCAGAACTCATATTACTCAAGTGCATGCCAGGGACTATGGCACCTGCATGTCCAACTGTCTCTCCCTGCTTCACCGCACGCTGGACACACAGGCCTCCTTGCTGTTCCCCGAGCTTGGCAGGCTCACTCCTACCTCAGGATCTTTGGTCATGCTACTCCTTCTGCTACCAATGTTGTGCCTTCAGATATTTGCAGAGGTTATCCCTTTAATGTACAGTTGACCCTTGAACAACATGGGAGTGAGGGGCACCAATACTCCATGCAGTCAAAAATCTATGTATAACTTTTAACTTTCTAAAAACTTATCTACTAATAGCCTACTGCTTACTAGAAGCTTACCAATAACATAAACAATTAATACATACTTGATATGTCATATGGTAAATATAGTTTATCTTCCTTGTGATTTTCTTAATAACATTTTCTTTCCTCTAGCTTGTTATTAAGAAAATCACAAAGAAGAGAAACTATATTTACTATTCATTAAGTGGAAGTGGATCATCATAAAGGTCTTCATCTTTGTCATCTTCACATTGGGTAGGCTGAAGACGAGGAAGAGGAAGAGGAGGGGTTGGTTTTGCTGCCTCAGGAGTGGCAAAGGCAGAAGAAAATTCATGTATAAGTGGATTCATGCAGTTCAAACCCACATTGTTTAAAGGTCAACTGTATTCAGGTCTCTGCCCAAATGTCATGTAATTATAAAGCCCTTCACTGACATCCCTATTTAAAATAGCCTGTCTCCCTGTGTCTACAATCACTTTCTATTACCTTGCCTTCTTTTATTTTTGTTCATAGCACTTAAATATAGTTTTATTTATCTATTATTTGTCTTCTCTCACTATGAAGGAGGGAGTCTGTGGCTGTTTGGTTCACTACTGTATCAGGAGAATACTAGAATAGGTCCCAGGAAAGAATAAATGCTTACTAAATTTTGTTGAATAAGTAAAATAAAAGACTGATTTTTTAAAATGTTGCCAAGATTCTCCATGTTAAAACAAGGGGTAAAAATAAAAATTGTAGGTATGATTTTTTGAAGAAATTAGACAAACTTATTCTAAAATTAATAAGGAAATACAACAGACCTAGAACACCCAAATCAAATTTGACAAAGAACAACAAAGTTGGAGGACTTACAGGGCTTGTTTTGAGACTTATTAAAAAGCTACAATATCAAAAGATACAGAGTTTCGGTGAGATGGGAGGATAAGTTCAAGAGATCTATTGCACAGCATGATGATTATACTTAATAACAATATACTGTATTCTTGAAAAATACTGAGATTGGATTTTAAGTGTTCTCACCACAAAAATTATACTGTGTGGTAATGCATATGTTATGTGGTAAAGCATATGTGTGGTAATGCATATGTTAATTAACTCCGTTAAGCCATTCCACAATGTATATATATTCAAAACATCATGTTGTATACAATATATATAATTTTTTGCCAATTAAAATTAAAACATTTTTTAAAAGCTACAAAAATCAAAACGGTGTGGTATTGGTCTAAGAAGAGACATATAATCCATGGAACAGAATAGAGTTCAGAAATAGACCTGCAAGAAAGGGGAACCCTTGCAGACTGTTGGTGGGAATGTAAATTAGTACAGCCACTATAATGAATAGTATGGAGTTTCCTTTAAAAACTAAAAATGGAAATACCATATGATCCAGCAATCCCATTGCTAGGTATTTATACACAAGAAAAGAAATAAGTATGTTGAAGAGATATCTGCATGCTCATTTTTATTATAGCACTATTCACAATGGCCAAGATTTGGAATCAACCTAAGTACCCATCAAAAGATGAATTGATAAAGAAATGGGAAAATTTTCAGTCATAAAAAAGAATGAACTCTTGTCATTTTCAACAACATGGGTGGAACTGAAAGACATTATGTTAAGTGAAATAAGCCAGGCACAGAAAGAGAAATACAAAATGTTCCTACTTATACGTGGGAGCTAAAAAGTATCGAATTCATGGAGATAAAGAGTGGAATAATGGTTACCAGAGGCTGGGAAGAGGAGAGGAGAGGGGGGATAAAAAAGGAACGGTTGGGTACAAAAATACAGTAAGATAAAAGGAATAAGATTTAGTGTTTGGTAGCAAAATAGGGTGGCTATAGCTAACAATAATTTATTGTATATTTAAAATAACTAAATGAATGCAATTGGAATGTTTCTAACACAAACAAATGATAAATGTTGGAGGTGGCTGATACCCCAATTACCCTGATTTGATCATTAAACATTTTATTCTTGTATCAAAATTTCACATGTACACCATAAATATGTACAATTATTATGTACTCAAAATAATTAAAACTTTAAAATTTAAAATTTAAAAATATTTATAAACAAAAAAGAAAAAAGTAAGTAGATCTACATATATATTGTCAGGCAATTTTCAATAAAGATGCTTAGCAAAATCCATGGGAAAAGACTAGACATTTAAAGAAGTGATGCTGGAAAAACTGGATACCCAAATGACCAAAAAAAAAAACCAAAAAGTCAATCTCCTCATTATTCTATACACAAAATTAAATCAAAAGGGATCATAGGTCTAAAACATTTACAAAAATATAAAGAATCTTATTTTTGCAACCTTAGGGTAGGCAACAATTTCATTACAAAGAGGCAAAAAACACTGACCACCACAAACAATTACATGAATAAGTCTTCATCAAAATTAAAATTTTCTGTTTATCCAAAAAATGTCATTAATTTAAAAAAACAGGCAAGCCATAGACTATACAAAATGTTTGCAATACATATGTTTGACAATAGGCTCATTATCTGGCATATATAAAGAACTCCTACAAATCAACAAAAACAGACAAGTAATCCAATAAAATCACAGGCGAAAGATTTGAACAGATATTTAACACATACACATACACAAAGATATATAAATAGCTAAAATCAAACATAAATGTGCTCAACCTCATTGATCATCAGGAAAATGCAAACTAAAACCAGAAAGAAGTATCATTACACCTCAAAGGCTAAAATCGGAAAGACTGACAATACCAAATAGTGGCAAGGATGTGGAACGTCTAGAACTCTCATATACTGCTTCTGAAAGTGTTAAACAGTACAATTTTGAAGAACTATTTGGTGCTTTCTTTAACAGTTAAACATACAACTACCTATAACCCTGAAACTCTATTTCTAGGTCTTTATCTAAGAGAAAAAAGTTATAAACATTTTTGTATGGGTCTTTTTGTAAATAGGTTTTCAACAGTGTTAAGAAATTCCAAATCTGGAGAAAACGTAAGTGTTCATCAACAGGACAGATAAACAAATTACGGTGTAGTCATATAATTTAACACTGCCTAGCAATATGAACAAATTACTAATACACACCACGTGGGTGAATCTCATAGATATTTTGTCATGGAAAAAAAGCCAGCCACTAAAGAGAACATGTGTTTGATTTAAATGAAGTCAAACAACAGGCAAAGTAATTTATAGTGACAGAAATCACCAGTCTACGTCCTGGGGCAGAGAATTGTATAGAAAGAGGCTTAAGGGAACATTCTGAGGTGAGATAAATGTTCTAACTCTTGTTTGGGGTGGAGGTTACACATGTGCCAAAAGCCACTGAACTAGGCACCTAAAGATGTGTACATTTTACTACATGTAAATTATATGTCAATAAAAAAGAGAGAATTGTAGTGTGGATGTGAGAATTGTGTCTGTATTTGTGAGGAAGCCTATAAGGCATTGCTTTATTTTCATATAACATAATGAGCATAGAACATTTCCAAAACAAGTCATGGTTTTTCCTGATATTTCTCTTCCTACATCATTACTTGTAGCATTTTCACAGCCTTGGGAGAAATTCAGTCAACAATTAACCAGACAATAAAAGCAAAGATGTTCACAAAAATATTGTCCTTTAAAAATACATCATTTTCTACATGGCTTAATTTAATCTCCTAGCAGAGGATTGCAGACACATGACTTTAGTGGTGTGCTCAGCAATTGTAAATGACATATGGTATAATAAAAATAAAGCAACCCAGATAAATAAATAGCACATTTTTTAATTTGCATTAAAAAAATGAGAATCTAGATGCTTACATATCTGTTCAATTCTTATATGCTCAACTTTAAAGACATCTGAGAATTTATGAAAAATATCAGTATCTGTCAATGTCTGCTAAAAATCATAGATTAGAAAACTACAATAAGAATTTTATAACAAAGAAGTGAAGTTATGAACAGTTTGTGAATTTAAAAAATAATATTTGCTAATAATTGCTCTACCAGCCTGCTCCTCCAAAGTAGATGGAATTTAAGATGACACTTATGTATGCCATATTTTGACTCTGGCAATATCAAATTATCATAGGAATCTTTTTTTAGATTCACCAAAAGCTTAGAGAAAATTTTTAGGACTCACTACATGAGCATTTACTTATTGTCATAAGCATGAAACAATTTACCAAGATCAGATATTTTTTTTGGAAAATAGTTTGGGTAGGAATGTGGAAGATGGCTAAGGGAGGGAGATGATCCCTGATAATCTGGATGGAACTGATTTAATCAGGTGGCAGGTCTCCAAAGTGGAGCTGAGGCATCTCTGAGATGAGGAAGAGATTCAGCCTGTGGAAAACAGCTTCAGCCCATGACCAAGATTTCCAGCCTGTTCCTCCTGCCAACCATCCCTATGGATTTTGCACTTGCCTCGTCAGTCCCCACAATCATGTAAGCCAGTTCCTTGCAATAAATATCTGAATATGTATCTACTGCTCGTTCTGTTTCTCACATTTTGTGCAGGACTGTCAATGTATATGACATATCAGCATCCCTGGCTGCTAACAGTGATAAACAACAATTATACCACCCCACCCCCAGTACACACATTCCTTAATGGCCCCTAGTGGACAGTGCAGAGGTGATATACTGACTGAATCACTTGGTAGAAGTAAGGAAAAAACTAGAGACAAGAAAGTTGGATCTTGCAATGATATAATGCAAGATACTGAGAATGAGAACTGAAAGGATAAGATGGATTTGCCAGACATTTCAAAGACAGAATTAGTAGAGCTTGCTAACAAAATGAATACAGGATTTCAGAGAGAGTGAATTGAAGATGTCAAGGTTACAATTAAGGTGATATGAGGAGACAGAACATGGCTGATCAAGGGAGGAGAATCCATTCACTGTGGACTTGCCGAGCATAAGTACCTGTTAGACATGCAGGTGAATGTTCGGTTCAAAATATAGGTCTGGCACACAGAGAGACTGAGATCAGACAGGCAGCTTTGGTGATCTCCAGCAAATGGGTGTGGAAATTATGTTGCGAAACACATCCCAACATATTTTGCCTTCGCAGAAAATTTTGTGCACTTCTCCAGAGCTCTTTTCTTCTACTGTTAAGACCAGTTTATGAGGCTGAGATTTATAGACCCAGGAGAAGACAGGGGAAAAGAATACCTGGAGAAAAAGAAGGATATAATAGATGCAAGGGTAGCTTCTGGCAGAAAGGTGCGAACTGGAAATTTCTTCTGGAGCTCAAAATAAGAGCCTGCCAGAAGGAAGAGAAAATGAAAGAGCAAGTGCAAGCCTCCTTGTTTTTCCTTCTCACATCCACTCCAGCAGATGCGAACCTTGGGATTAGAGTTGGGCTGTTGATGGAGATACACGGAGAGTTTGAGGGGGAAACTGGGGCACAGACAGAAAAGACCGGGAGCTTTGAAGAAGCTTCATGATCATCATAACACTATATACATAAGGCCCATGAGAGCAGAGGCCTTGTCTATTTTGCTAACTGTGGTATACTTTGTACACATAGTGCCTGACACCTATTAGGCACTCAGTAAATACTTGTTGAATGAATAATTGAATTGTAGGCACCTGGGACAGAAGAATAGAAAAGGATGAAGAAGGCACTGGAGCTGATGGGGCTGAGATAGGGTCCCCTAGTGCCAGTGAGTTCCCCATGGGCTGTGTGTGGTGTGGATGGGAATCCAAAGCCCCCATGTGTCTTGTGCCAATGTAGAAGACAGCTCTGGGGCTGGCAGGTGAGTTCACTTGGCCATCACTGCACTGAGGACCACAGAGTAGGCTGCTTAAACTAAGAATGCCAAGAAAGTCACAATCAAGACTCAGAGGATCAAAAATAGTAACCCCAAGGGGAGAGTTGGGGCATCATGGGTAATTCTTTGGGTTTAAGCCATGATGATAAAAGAGGCCATGAGTTACAGATGCCATAAACATTTAATAAGGACAGAGGTCAGCATCCAAAAATCACAGGGTTCATGTCATCTAAGTTCAGCAGGGGCCAATAGAAGAAGTCCAGAGCCCCTGCCCCTCTCTCATCGACATGGGGATGCTTAAGCTTTCTCCTGTACTCTGTTGCCATCTTCGGAAGAGGACACGGAGAAGAGAACCCTTGGGATGGCAAAGAAACTTTTAGACCAAAAGAGAACGACATAATTGATCCTGACTACTACTACCATTTTCTGCTACCAGCACAAACAGGGGTTCAAAACAAAATGATATATAATTATAGAAAATAAAGTTTCCATCTTGCACACCAATTTTTACCCAAATTCATATGAAATGAAATACCATGGGACTAGATGGAAACCAAGGGAAGCGTAAGAGAGGCAGAACCTTTAAAGTTAAAAGGCCAGGGATGGAAGAGAAAATGAGGAAGAGTATTCAAAGAGAGAAGACAGAAACCAGGACAGAGGAGTGTAATGGAAAACACTGGGGGGTAAAAAACATTAAAAAGCGGGTATGTACAATAAGAAATAATTAGCCCATAGTGAGGCAGAGCTTGCAGTGAGCTGAGATTGTGCCACTGCACTCCAGCCTGGGCGACAGAGTGAGACTCCATCTCAAAAAAAAAAAAAAAGAAAGAATTAGTTCATAGTCTGTCAATTTGCTTGTTAGGTATTTTGGAGAAATTCAACGTTTTAGTCCACGTTACCCACAGGATTTAATTCAAACAGCTTAATGAGGTATTCACAAACATCCATCATCTAGCTCCAGCCTACTTCCCCAGGCTTTTCAAACTACACATATAAAAATATGCATTGTCAATCAGCAGACCCAATTTTTGGTCCTGGGGCTGTCCCTAACTAGCTGGATGAACTTGGACAAGTCTTTTAACTTCTCCTGATTTCCCTTTCCTTGTGCAATTAAAACATAAAACAATTCCATTTCTAAGTTTGATTCTTAGTATTAAGTGAGCTGAGCTGGAGTTTCTGCACTTAACGTTATTCTTTTCCATCCAGGAGTGACTTCCTTATTTAGTTATCAAGACCCTATCTTTGTTTGGCTCTGAGATCCTCCCTAGGCCTCATTAATTCATTTCCCTCATCTCATTTATTTACCCAAAATGTTCGGAATCATTAGAAAGTTCCTCCTGCATATGCACATCTATCTTGTCTTTCCAAGTAGATTATCAGTTACTTCATGAATGGGGTCATTGTTTATAATTTTTTATAAGCTTCACTATACCAAGCATAATGCCTTACATTCAGAAGACATCCAACAAATCCCTGTTCCTTCATTATTAATTATATACCACAGGCATTTTCAATCTTTCTCTCTTTCTGTTATAGATGTGAAAGCAGTTCTCCAAACTGAACAAACTTATTAAACTAGTAAAAAGAAATCATCATTCAGCCTTTAAATAGGGGTGGTGAAGATAAACTTCCTGTCAAATATCACTGGAAAAGTAGTTGTGATTCCTGCAAGTCTCACACTGACAGCATGCTTCTCTCATTAATTCTCTTCAGTCTCCCTGGAACACTCAATTCTGCTCCATTTGTACACATAGAAATATGCTTTTTTCACCCATTTAAATGTTAGCCTAAAGCTGTCTCTATAAAATCCCAATAATTCTAATGGAATTGAAGTTTTCCATTGATTCTCCAGGTTTTGTCAGGCTGAATTTCTTTAATACACACTATTGTATTTGTTGGAAAAGATATAAGCAGTAGACTCTTCAGAAATGTCTTTAATTGATTTTTCTGCCAGGGATATAAGATCGAAAGGGTAATGATTCTCTGTGTTCACTACACTGTGAACAGTGCCAAAACATGGATAACGATTTTCACTATTATGATGCCACAATACCCTCTACATGACAATATTCTAATTATTACACATTTAAGTTAAAATTTTATTTCCTTTTACTCTACATGATTCTTATCATTCTCAACTCTATACTCTCCTTATGATCTCTTATTTTAAGTTATAAGAATCAGAAAACATTCTTCAAAAGGAAAGGTTTGGTTCACTTTCATAGTGGGTAAACCACAGTACATAGAGTGAACTTTTTAGTGAAGACTTCTCTGTTCTTCTAAAATATATATTAGTACTTACGTTTACTAGGCCACTATAAAAATTGCCATAATTAAGAATAGACTAAAATATGAAAGTAAATAGAATACTTCCCCATGAAATAGAAACCTTTAATGTTTCTTATCAATTGTTTGCTTACCCACTAATTTGCAAAATTTCAGTAATTCACAGTGGATCCCCTTATTGATATTGGGAATTCATAAAGTTCTACTGAACCCACTAATTTCTCTTTCCCTTGACTATAATTTATCACTGGATTGTGTAACTGCATTATTGATAATAACTGCTCTGGGAGAACTTTCCAGTATATCTGAAATGAGATAATCATAATACTGCTTAAGAAAAAAAGAGTCATAAAATTTTACACCTATAATTTTTCTTCAGCAATGGTGTAGATGTAAGTTTTTAAAAATAATAATTGGTCCCCACTGAGAAAAATGCCAATTAACTGCATACTGTCTTTTGATGAAATGCAATCTTCCTTCTTGCTTCTTTAATAAAGCTGCATTTTTTCCTTTTAGTTAACATTTGGTTAACCTTGAAATGAAAATGTATCAGTAGACTTAAAATAGTGCGAAAGGAGAAAGTACTGTATGACTATTTAAAGCAGGAATATAAACTTTGCTTTGAAGTAAAGCATTTCTCTATGGTCCATAAAAACCTGAATGCTCAATGAGGGCACTGAGGCTGGCTAGCAGCAGGTGCTAATATATATGCATTAACTGTATGCCTGACATAAGGATTTAATGTAGAGACTACTTGGACAAGTCAGCACTAGATTAACAAGTTCCATCAACAAACTATTCTTCTAACAAAAGCTATGCTCATTTATATGACTGATGCTATCTTACAATTTATGCCACTTTTAAAGTCATACAATATATTCAAACACATTAACTCATTTATCCTAGTACTCTCTGAGGTAGATAATATCCTCTACCCCTTAATTTACGGATGAGTATACAACCTCTGGAACATTAAAATCCCTCCCTTGGTTTCAGAGCTTTCCCTTTATTTTACCTGGCGATAGCCTGAAATCTATATTTCTAAAGCTAAAATGACTCTCCAAACACATATGGAAATACTGATAGAGGAAATTATATGGTATCTGGGATTTACTTCAAAATAATCTGGGGAAGGAAGGAAGTAGGTGGGAATAGAGATGATACAGGATTAGCCCTTAATAGCTAACTGTTGAAGCTGGGATGGGTACAGGAAGTAATCTTTGCATTTATAAACGTTTGAAGTTTTCCATAATAAAGAATTTTTTAAGCTGAGAAGTGTAAATAAATAGATAAGTAATGGTCCTTCTCAAGGTGTTTTGCTAAAGATAACAGACTTTCTGCTGTTAGATTGTAAACTAATGCCACTCAGCCCCAAATCAGCCACATGAATCTAATATGAAATGACTCTTTCACATACAACTGGAAATAAGCTAAGTAACTCTGCAGTGCAGAACTTAATAATAGAAGGCCCCAAATACCTAAGATATATAGAAATAGCTAAATCTCTTGCATTTTAGTCTACTAGGAATACTCTATTTAGAATGCAACATGACATACATAGAATGATGCATTGTTGCCTAGTTATTATGAAGTCAGGTAGTAAAATAAAAAGCAAAGTGAGCTCTAACTCCCCTTCTGAGATTTAACTGTGTTCAGTAAGGGCTATAACTCCAAGTTATATGCTCCTTTACATAAACATATAACTTAAATAATCATCATGGAATGTTCTGCAAAATTACATCTAGGCTCAGCATTTAAGGCAATGAAGATGAAAGAGTTTCCTTCCCAAATGAAAACTAGATTCAGTCTTCAACTTCTGGATTCCAAATACCTTAAGACAAACCCACTAAACAGTAGTACTTTCCTTCTTTTCAGAAAGCAGTTCACTGGAAACACTGTTATTCAAGAAATCAGAACTGCCTCTTTGAGACCAACTTCATACATAATTTTACCAGCTGAGATGGAGCAGGTCCTTAGGATCCTGGGAAGGAATTTAATGACCAGGTACCCTAAGAAAGAGTTTTATGATCCAATTGCCTTGGGCCCACCCCCAGAACAGGAAAAAAAAAAAAAGGATGAAAGTCCCCTTACCAGGTCGCCACTGGGTGGAGGCCCAAAGCATGAGCAAACAACAGAACACTGATTGTGATTGCAACAAAGACACAGAAGAAAGAAAATAAGAGACAGCAACAAGAGCATCACTGGCACCATTGCTTGCACATGTGGATATTTGTAGCTTTGGCATCTCTTTTCCAAGCAATGTTCAGAAATATACTTAAATATCAAAACAATCTAAAGGTTCTTGGCAAGAAAAATAAGACATATTCTGATTTGAAGCATGGCAACATTATTAATACCACAAATGGCAATGAAAGAGATTGCAAAGTACAATACGAAAAATTTTAAAGGCAAATGTTATTTCCTTCTCTGAATTAACTCACATATTCATACATATTCCCAAAAGTTGCAGTCAGATTGCTGAAGAAATTAAATATAAGCATTCACTGCTAATTTTACAGTCTGTAACTTAAACTTCGCTAAGAGAACTTTGTGATACCTCGATTTTTGCAAAAATAAAATAAATTATGGATTCATTCTTAGGAAGGTCAGTTATATTTATTTTAATTTGTATATAAGATACAGAAATGGATATAAATATGTAACTATACTACTGCAATATTGCATGTAACTATTTTTCTAACTTTTGATGAATGTTCCTTAAAACAAGCATGAACAACTTCAGACAGCCCATTAGAGTGCATCATGAACCGATTGAAATATTTGCACTTACGTGAGATAGAACAGCCAGCTCATGGTGACATGTGACGGTGTTCCGGTTGGCTTCCATAAAATACCTTTGTGTGCGTCTTCGTTCCCGTTCTAGCTTCTTTTCCAAGGACAACTGGGATGTAGATAAGTTGTCTAAATATTTCATCATGACATCTGATATCATCGAACTGACTTCTACAATATCTGGACGAGCTTCCGCATCAGGAGTGAGGCACCTAAGATAACATGAGATAATTATAACACTCTGGTCAATGTTGGGAGCAGGCCACAGAGTGTAAAGGGTCAAGGTTAAACTCCACTGTGTGTCCACTATGGTATTTTCACCTAAGATAACCTGGGATAAGATGGATATCAAGCACAGCTTTGAGTCCAAGACTTCTCAAAAGGCATTTGGAAAGCTAAGGAAGGAAAAGGAGTCAGCGTTATTCTCTTTGCACTTGGGCTGGAAGGTAAGGGTTCCAGGCTGAGCATGAAGATGCTCTTCGGGTCTCAGGATGGGCAGATGGGACCATCTTCTCCTGCATGGGTTGGCTGCTTTCTGAAATCACTGCCAACTCACTGGCAGGTGGAAAAAAAAAAAAAAAAAGCCCAGTGTCTAAACCTTTCATTAGTGTGGATATTCTAAATTCTTAGACTGCAGATGTTTAAGCTGCTTCAAGGTAATATTAGCAGCTGAACTATCAGCTGAACTTTTTTAAAAATAAAAAAAAAGCAACGTAAACTAGTTTTATAAATTATATAGCTACATATTATGGTACATGGGAATGGAAATGACCTTCGTTCTCCTAGCATATAGTCATCTCCTTGCCCAAGGTTACTCTCCTGGTCCTGTATTTGCCATCACTGGAAAAGGCACCACAAAGAAGATGCAGTTTAGCATCATAACTCAGCATGCAGGCTCTGGATCATTTTGCTGGGGTTTAAAACCTCATTTACCATTTATTAGTCAGATCCTGGGCAAGTTACATAGCTTCTAAGACTCAGATAGCCCACCTGTAAAATGGGATAATTATAGTACCTACCTCATTAAACTGGTATGGTGTTTGAACGAGGTAATCTCTGTGAAGTGCACATGCATTGTAAAATTTCAATAAATTGAAAAGAAAATCCACACTTTTATGTATCCTCCATCCCTTCCTACATTTAACAAACACCAAGTCCTGTGACTTCTACTTTCTAAATATTTCTTGAATCCACATCCTTCCCCTGTAATCCCACAGCTATTTGGCTATTACAACGTCACTTACTTGGACTACTGAAAGAGTCTCCTAAATAACACACTCATTTCTTGCCTACCTCTGGTCTGTACTGTAAACTGCTAACCAGAATACTATTCCTAAATCTGACTATATTATTTCTCTACTCAAAATTCTTCAATAGTTCTCATGGTCCAATAGGATAAAATTAAAATTCCCAGAATGCTATACAAGGTCTCTCTTGAACTGGCCCTTAACTTCCTCCACTCTTTCCCCTCCTCCAGCAACACATCCAATGCGGCTACCTGCACTTCCCCAAATAGCACCTGTCTCTCCTATACCCCCATTTCTTTGCTTATTTTATTCCATATGCTTGATTTTTTTTTTTTTTTTTTTTTTTTTTGCCCATGGTATCTTATCTTTCCCAGCCATCATCTCAGCCATCATCTCTTATATACTTGCCAAAATCCCACTATTTTTCCAGGCTCCATTAGGAATACTTTTGGACTGCCTTCAGACAGATATCCTGAGCCCCTTTTGTACATTCTTTTTGCACCATTTGCACTTAAGTACTTAAAACTATTGTAATTATTTTACTATAATGGTCTGTTTCACCACTAGACTGGAAACTTCTAGAGAAGAGGGACATGTGTCCTCTTCACTATGATCTCCCAGCATATACAATGGAATCTGAGTCCTGATAGGTATTCAGCAAATGAACGAATGAATCAATGAATAAATCCACAAACAAACTCAGCGTAACATCTAAAAAGTTTACCTACCCATAACCCAAAATATTTGGCCATAGACTTTTGGATTCCCAGGAACATTTCCTACCAGAAGTTCCAGGATAGTCTCGTTGCTCTGAAATGACTCCCTGCTTAGGCATTTCAGAGAAATTCTTTTTTTTTTTTTTTTTTGAGACGGAGTCTCGCTCTGTCGCCCAGTCTGGAGTGCAGTGGCGCAGTCTCGGCTAACTGCAAGCTCCGCCTCCCGGGTTCAGGCCATTCTCCTGCCTCAGCCTCTCCTAGCAGCTGGGACTACAGGCGCCCGCCACCACGCCCGGCTAATTTTTTTGTATTTTTAGTAGAGACGGGGTTTCATCGTGGTCTCAATCTCCTGACCTTGTGATCCACCCACCTCGGCCTCCCAAAGTGCTGGGATTACAAGGGTGAGTCACCGCGCCCGGCCTCAGAGAAATTCTTAACAGCAACTGAATCAGAGTCATAATACATGCTAAAGATTGTCTACCAATGATTCTGTAAACAAATAAGCATAAAATCTGGTCCTAAAAAAATTGAGGATATTCTCACCTCATCCACTTTGTCCCCACTCCACTCTGAAAGGCCAGATGGAAAGAATTAGAAGGATACCTTATTCAATTACATTCATGTCATGTTTTAAGATACAAAGAATTGAAAGGGGTGAAAAATATAAAGATCCATTTGTCCTTGGAGCTAGCTGAAAGTATTAACTTTGTTAGTCCTCATGACTGCTTCTGAAGCAAAGCACCAGGCAGCTTATGCAACCAGGCACAGAGAAAGAAAAATAAGGCAATGATTTTAATAGAATATTTTATGCATAAAAGGAAATGTTCTTCCTTTTTAAAAAGTAAACAGACAATATTCTCTTAATAGTACACTAGTAGGTAAAAATAGTAATCCTAGTACCGAGCAGAACAAAAAAATATATTTATTTTCTTCCCCAAACTCCTCAGGGTTGCTAAGTTATTCTCCCAATTTGAAGGCCTGCTAGGAAAGACAAGTTTCAATAACAAATGTGCTTGTATACCACATGAGCAAACAGGAAAAAGGAAAGATGCTGCACATTAGAAATGCAAACTGTGTGAGCTCTACTTGACAAGGATGTGAAAAATAATGAGAAGATAGTAAAATAGAGGAAAGAAGATATATATGATTAGAAACAATATAATTTTTAGGAATGATTATAATAAACATTTCTGTCAAGAGCTGTCTTCTATTTCAAAGGCTCTATCAAATTACTAAAGATTGGCTGTGAGCCTGATCTTTTGCTGAGTCATAAATGATCATTAAGAATACTTGCCTTTATGTGTCCCTTGCATTGTTGCTTTAAGAAAATACAAAATTTGAGTTTGTTCCCTAATTCTTTCAGAACTCAATTTTTTAATACTGAAAATCCAAAGCAAATTAAATATGCAATTGCATATAATTCATGATTGATTTCAGTTTTAAGTCAAATTTTCTAAAGATAAAACTTTATTTGGAATGTAAACCCAGACAATGAGGAGTCTTAACTTTAAATGAAAATAAATTTATTACAGAATGCACCCTGCAATCTTAATTTATTATCAGATATAAAGTTGAATTGTCAGTTCTAACTTATTGTGGCATCTTAGTATTTTGAACCAAAAGCAACCTCAAATTGAGAAGCTCTTTCCCTCAGCAAAGCCTTCACAGATACTGGTCTGCGAAATGCTGCTTACTATTTGAGAGTTAATGAATGTTCCAGGTCTCAGATTACACGTCCTTTTTTCAGAGAAACTTTTCGCCAATTCCCAGAGTAAGACAGGTCCTTCTGTAATCTCTCATTGCCCCCTTTACCATTTTTCATCACATTTATCACAATTTGCTTTATAAACTTCATTCTGTACATAATACAATATCATTATTAATACTAATAATACCTAATTTTATAGAGTGCCTACCACTTGCTGGGTACTGCGTTAAGTGGGTCAGAAGCACTATCTTATTTAAGCTTTAAAACAAGCCCATGAAGTTAAGGGAGGAGACCACCCTCATATTGTCTTATGCCCGATTTCTGCCTCCAAAGAAAGAAGTAAAAACTAAAAGGTAGAAATGGAATCCACAGGCAAATAGCCCAGCACTGTGCCCTGGACCTGTTAGTTAAAAATCAACCCCTGACCTAACTGCTTGTGTTATCTATAAATTTCAGACATTGCATGGAAAAGCATCATGAAAATCCCTGTCCTGTTCTGCTCTGTTCTGATTACCAGTGGATGCAGCCCCCAGTCAAGTACCCCCTGCCTGCTCAATTGATCACGATCCTTTCACACAGACCCCCTTAGAGTTGTAAGCCCTTAAAAGGGACAGGAACTGCTCACTCAGGGAGCTCAGTTTTTGGAGACGTGAGTCTGCCGGTGCTCCCAGCTGAATAAAGCCCTTTCCTTCTACAACTCAGCATCTGAGGGGTTCTTGCCTGTGGCTCGTCCTGCTACAAAGTAATTACTACTGCTACCCACACATCATAGATGAGAAAATTGGGCCTCAGGGAAATTAAATTGAGTGGAAGAGGGGGCATTAGAATCTAGTTGACTCCAGAACTTGGTGACGCTCTAAACCTTTACACTCCAATGTTGCTATCTGACTCCCCTACTAGTATGTTAACCCCAAGAGTCCTGGGTAGCCATAGCCAGGGTCTATTAGTTTCAGAAGAGATTTACAGTCTATTTGCCCAGATTCACAAAATCAAAGCAACGTCTCTGAACCTTGTTATTTGCGCTACCTTTCCCTCGCCCTTTGTGGCACTCAAATACCTATTAAAAGGAGAAATTAAATGAGCAAATATGGTACTTTTGTCTTGACACCTCTGACGACTCTGTCAATTTTTAATGTACTTTCCAAAAAACAACAGACAACAGGAACAAATCACAGAGATGAGCAGTTTAAATATATTTGGATTCATTAGCAACAAGGCATGATCCAGTGTTTGTGGAATCAAATGATTTAAAGACAGGTTCGTCTCATTTCCCATAATACTAACCATGATGATTGCCAAAATTGCTCAAGTATTTACCATTCTGCAAGCCCTATCCTAAGTGATTTGCATATGTTACTTTGTGTAATCATCACATCAGCCTAATGAGACTGGTACTATTATGATTCTCATTCTACTAGATCAGAAAACAGGGACGCAGAAATAATGGTCAAATCACTCTTTTTTTTTATTTTTATTTAAAAAAATTTTTTTGAGATGGAGTTTTGCTCTTTTCACCCAGGCTAGAGTGCAACGGCTCAATCTCAGCTCATTGCAACCTCCACTTCCCAGATTCAGGTGATTCTCCTGCCTCAGCCTCCCGAGTAGCTGGAATTACAGGCGCACACCACCAGGCCTGGCTAATTTTTGTATTTTTAATAGAGATGGGGTTTCACCATGTTGGCCAGGCTGGTCTCAAACACCTGACCTCAGGTGATCTGCCTGCCTCAGCCTCCCAAAGTGCTGGTATCACAGGTGTGAGCCACCGCACCTGGCCTCAAATCACTTCTTAGAGTTTGCAACTGTTTACATGACTTAGCCCCAGGTAGGCCTGTCTTCAGAGCCTGAGGCCTTAAGACTGTAGATTTCGGCTTCACTGTTGTTATATAGAAATGCTAGTGATTTTTGCACATTGGTTTTGTATCCTGCAACTTCGCTGAAGTTGTTTATAAGCTTAAGGAGTTTTTGAGCCAATACTATTGGGTTTTCTAGATACAGGATAATGTCATCTGCAAACAGGGATAGTTTGACTTCTTCTCTTCCTATATGGATGCCCTTTCTTTCCCTTGCCTGACTGCTCTGACCAGTACTTTCTTTCTTTTTTTTTTTTTATTATACTTCAAGTTTTAGGGTACATGTGCACAACGTGCAGGTTAGTTACATACGTATACATGTGCCATATTGGTGTGCTGCACCCATTAACTCGTCAATACTATGTTGAAGTATTGTCTTGTGCTGATTTTCAAGAGAAATGCTTCCAGCTCTTGCCCATTCAGTATAACATCGGCTGTGGGTCAAGCCAAGAGCCAGATCAGGCATGCAATCCCATTTACAATTGCCAAAAAAAGAATAAAATACCTAGGAATACAGCTAACCAGTAAAAGAGCTTTACAGAGAGAACTAGAAAACACTGCTCAAAGAAATCAGAGATGACACAAACAAATGGAAAAATACCCCATGCTCACAGATAGAAAGAATCAATACCATTAAAATGACAATACTGCCCAAAGCAACTTGTAGATTCAATGCTATTCTTATCAAACTACCAGTGACATTCTTCACACCACTAAAAAAAGGATTTTAAATTTACATGGAACCAAAAGAGCAACTGAATAGCCAAGACAATCCTAAGCAAAAAAAAAAAAAAACAAAGCTTGAGTCATCATGCTACCTGACTTCAAACTATACTACAGGGCTACAGTAACCAAAACAGCATGGTATTGATACAAAAACAGACACATAGACCAATGGAACAGAAAAGAGAACCCAGAAATAAGGCTGCACACGTACAACCACCATCTGATCTTCAACAAACCTGACAAAAACAAGCAATGGGGGAAAGATTCCCTATGTAACAAATGGTGCTGGGATAACTGGCTAGCCAGTTGCAGAAAACTGAAAATGAACTCCTTTACAAAAATCTGAACTGAACCCCATATACAAAAATCAACTCAAGACAGATTAAAGACTTAAATGTGAAACCCAAAACTATAAAAACCCTGGAAGACAACCTAGGCAATACCATTCAGAACATAGGCACAGGCAAAGATTTCATGACAAAGATACCAAAAGCAAAAATTGACAAGTTGGGGGCCAGGTGCGGTGACTCACGACTGTAATCCCAGCACTTTGGGAGGCCGAGGCGTGTAGATCATGAGGTCAGGAGATAGAGACCATCCTGGCTAACACCGTGAAACCCGTCTCTACTAAAAATACAAAAAGAAATTAGCCAGGTGTGGTGGCACAGGCCTACAGTCCCAGCTACTCAGGAGGCTGAGGCAGGAGAATCGCTTGAACCTGGGAGGTGGAGGTTGCAGTGAGCCGAGATCACACCACTGCACTCCAGCCTGGGCGACAGAGCAAGACTCCATCTCAAAAAAAAAAAAAAACAAAAAAAGACAAAATTGACAAGTGGGATTTAATTAAACTAAAGAGCTTCTGCACAGCAAAGGATACTATCAACAGAGTAAACAGACAATCTACAGAACAGAAGAAAATTTTTGCAAACTATGCACCTGACAAAGGTCTAATATGCAGTTTCTATAAGGAACTTAAGCAAATTTACAAGAGAAAAACAACCCCATTAAAAAGTGGGCAAAGAACATGAACAGACACTTCACAAAAGAAGGCATACATGTAGCCAACAAGCATGAAATAAAGCTCAACATTACTGATCATTACATAAATGCAAATCAAAATCACAATGAGATACCATCTTATACCAGTCAGAATGGCTATTATTAAAAAGTCAAAAAATAACAGATGCTGGAAAGGTTCAGCGAAAAAGGAACACTTATGCACTGTTGGTGGGAGTGTAAATTAGTTCTACCATTGTGGAAAACAATGTGTAGTGATTCCCCAAAGACATAAAAACAGAACTACCATTCAACCCAGCAATCCCATTACTGGCTCTATACCTAAAGGAATACGAATCATTCTATCATAAAAACACATGCACACATATGTTCATTGCAGCACTATTCACAATAGCAAAGACATGGAATCAACATAAATGCCCATAAATTCTAGGCTGGATAAAGAAAATATGGTATATACACACCATGGAATACTATGTAGCCATAAAAAGCAACAACATCATGTCTTTTGTAGGAACATGGCTGGAGCTGGAGGCCATTATCCTTAGCAAACTAATGCAGGAACAGAAAACCAAATACTACATGTTTTCACTTGTAAGTGGGAGCTAAATGATGAGAACACCTGGATCCATAAAGGGGAACAGCAGACACTGGGAGTTATTGGATGGTGGAGGGCAGGAGGAAGGAGAGCATCAGGAAAAATAGCTATTGGGCACTAGGCTTAATAGCTGGGTGATGAAACAATCTATACAACAAACCCCCATGACACAAGTTTACCTTGTATAACAAACCTGCACATGTACCTCTGAACTTAAAAATTTTAAAAAAATCAATTAAAAAAATAAGACTGTAGATTAGTATTGTGCCAAAGAAAGAAAGGTTTAGATATCATCCTACAAAAACAGGTGAGGAGTAATATTAGCACAAACAATGGGCTAGAAGGATAAATCAAAGGGAAAGGGGTACAGCCACAATAATACATCTATTATAGTTCATCAGAGATGGGGCTAAGTGCTAGTATAGATACCAACCCAAGTTTTAAAAGACTCAGAAGGCAGATGAAAAAAGATTCTATCTGGGGTGACTCTAGAATTTCTACAATCCAAAATACTCAGTTTGATGGGATGGAGAAATCCCATCAACTTAAGTACCCAACTTAAGTACTCAAGATGCAACTTAAGTACCCAAGATGGTACAGAAATAGCAATCAGCCAGATACACGAGTCATTTATTCATACAAGCAATATTTATTAAGGGTCTACTCTGTGCCAGCCACTGCTTTGGGCAATAAAAGCTACAAATTAACTGACTAAGTCCCTGCTCTTGAGTTTCCATTTTGGTGGGGAAGAGACAGACGATAAACAAAACTCATGTATGCACATGTATAATATGTCAGGGATGATGAGTGCTGTGAGCTTTTTAAAGCAGGCAAGGAGGTTAGAGAGTACTGTGAGGTAGTGGGGCCATCAGGGTGGGGAACATTTTAGCAGAGACCCAGAGGAAGTGAGGGCCTGTGTCACACATATATCTGAGGAAAGAGAGTTCTAGGAAACCATGAAAGCAAGGGCAAAAGTCTAGAAGGAGGGTGCATGCCAGGACTAGTGGGAAGCACCATGTGGCTGGAGCAGAGAAAACAGAAGGGGAAGTGGGAGGGAGCATGGGTGACAGGCCAGCAGGGATTGGCCAAAACTTTGGAAGTACAACTAAATAATGACTTTCATTAAACTCCTGCTATAGTGATAGCTGGAGCTCCTGATTCTCTATGAAAAATTATGATAAATCACATTATCAGTTTAAAAATGGAAATTAAAAAGTACCTGCAACTTTATCATCTAACATGGCTTTTTGTTTCATGTGTTCTTGTCTGGCCTTTTTCCAATTTTTTGCATATTTTTATGAGGTTTGTCATGGTTACAAACAGCTTTACATCATATTTGTCTTACCCACATATCATAATGTGTTTTACAGGTTGTTACAAACCCTTCCAAATAATCGTTCTAGTGGTTGCATAATAAGTGAACGCTCTACTTCCTCTTGGACACTTAAGTAGCATCCAAATAGTCACTGTTACTGATGATGCACAAACATCTTTCTAGATTTGGATTATGTAGGGACTCTTTCTCTTCATGACCTTTTATCCATAAATAGTGATTTATTATAGAAATGAGGTATTTCTTGATTGTCCCTACATGTCTGAAGCCGCAAGACTAATTACCTGCTGATGGTGTCTGTTACTTTTTCAGAGTAGATACCTTCTGGGACTGGTTCATATACCGCCTCCACTATCTGCAAAACAAACAGACTAGAGTGATGGAAGTAAAGGGGCCACGGATGTCTTTGAATAGTTAATACTTGACCATAACCTGAGAGTTACTAATTAAGCAGGATAACTTCACACATAAATTTTAGTCAGAAATCCCGACCAAATAAAACATTTGCATCAATTAAACAGCTCTTGAACTGGAATTATATTATCCAAGCTGAGTTAAAAATTAACCTTAGATTCATAATAAAATGGTGTATGGGATAATATAAGGTGCTGGATTGTGAGTAGTCCAGACTGCAATTAAAAATAAAAGACCAGCTGGGCGCAGTGGCTCACGTCTATAATCCCAGCAGTTTGGGAGGCCAAGGTGGGTGGATTACCTGAGGTCAGGAGTTCAAGACCAGCCTGGCCAACATGGTGAAACCTAAAAAAAAAAATAAAAAATTCGGGCATGGTGGCACATACCTGTAATCCCAGCTACTCAGGAGGCTGAGGCAGGAGAATTGCTTGAGCCCAGGAGGCGGAGGTTGCAGTGAGCCAAGATCATGTCACTGCACGCCAGCCTGGCTGACAGAGTGAGACTCTGTCTCAAAAATAAATAAATTAAATAAATAAATAATAGAAGACCAAACGTCTTTTTAAAAATAATTTTGTATTATAAATAAAGACAATTATAGAGGGAAATAAGCCATTACATGAGATATATATTTAGAAGAAAGCGGAAAAAATAAACTGGATCATGCAGTTAATAAAAACAATTCTTGCTTTTAATGGGCAGTTATATACAAATCACAAAGATCTGTTTAATAAGAAAAAGAATTGCATTTTTAGCTACACGAGACCCTTCTGTCTCCCAGCGTTGCTTACTTTTGTAGCCAAGGACAGCATGTTAGTGCTGTAGAAGGGGGGACTCAAAGTCGCCATCTGATAAAGGATGCAGCCTACTGCCCAGACATCAGCCTTCTCCCCATACGGCTCACTCTTCAGTACCTCGGGGCTGAAGTAAAATAAGGACATTAATACATGCTAAGGAAGGGAGAATCCGCTCAGAAAGATCCAATTTTCAAGCTTTATTGGAGTTATTTTTTAAGTATCTGAAATGTTTAACTTAATCACTATTTCAGGAAAGGATATCAAAAAGTCTGTTTGAAATTTCCCAGCCTTAGATGAACCAGGAAGCATATCAATTCCAGCTTAAGCACTAAATACCAGTAACTCATATAAGTATCACCTAGTATGCATCCAAGGGTGTTTATTTCCAGAAAGAGCAAGCCCACTGTGGTAGATGGAGTTGCTGGCCCCAGTTCTTTGCTGCTCTGGGAGCTTCTGTACATCCCATCCTTGTGGTAGCCTCTTCTGGGCAGTGCTCATCATCCATTCCTGCTTTTGGCTTTGACTGTGTTTTCTTCCTTTGACCACCAATGGAATGTGGAAGTGACAATAACCTGATTAGAGCCTCAGTCTGAACAGGTACTGAGGGCTTCCATTTATCCTTCTAGGAGCTTCGGTCCACTACCAGAGGAAGAATGTGTAACAGGTAGCTTCCACCCTTGCAGCCTGGGCCCAGCATAAGACACACAGAACCAGTCTGCCCCCAGACAACCCATATACCAACAGGGTGCAGGAGAACTAGCCTAGCAGGCTCACATACCTGTGACTCTGAAGTTGAATGCCACTGAGACTTTGTGGTGACTAATGATAAGGTGTTAATTTGGAAAAAAACTGACTGATAGAGCCTTTCCCTTTGCTATTCAGCTCTAGCATATAAAGTAGGGGGAAGACCATATTTAAATATGTTGCGGGAAATGACAATATCTACCATGTTCACTGCTTCTGAAATTGCCACACAATTTAAACAACATTTAAATAATTTGCAACGGTTCATGAATCTATTTTTTAATTTAATTAGATTTAATTTTTGTGAAGGCGAGTGTAGTTCCCTTGAACATTTTGTACTAATAGAAGCTTCCTCTAACATATATGTACACTAAAAAACAGAGTACTAAAAGTACTCAACACACACACACCCTAAATTAAGTAGCTTGCTAATTCAGTTCCATAATAAGTACTTGGGTCTGGCCTCAGTACTCTAATGGAGTAAAGATTAATATAGTTAGCTTTGACAATGGCTAAGGTATAAAGAAATTTATAAATTGGCATCAAAACAATCAAGACAGGTATACATCAGTATTGACTTAAAAATAATCAACAAATTACTGTTCTTGAGAGGAAGAAGAATTCCTAGTTTAAGATTTATAGTATGTATTTGCAAAGAAAAGTATGATTTCTAGGTCTATCAGTTAAGCATTTTCATATTTAGTGTTTTTCAGTTCAATAATACGGAAATGGGGGAATTGGGGCTGAGACTTCCGCAGGGCTCTGCGGTTCTAAATGTACAAAAAGTATTCCCTGCCATCCCTTTATCAACTGCTCATGTTAAAAAAAAAATGCTTTAACAAGAAGAAAACATGCTCAACACAGAAAATGTCTTTGGCTCCCCACAGACAAATTTCTCATATTCTCATCTACTGAGATCTCAGAAGATTTGCTTCATATTTCCAAAAGATCACAAAGCACAAGCTGTGAGTGTTCCACCCATATCCCCTCAAATCCCTTTTGCATTTCCTATCTTTGGTGTGCTTTCACTCCCCACAGCCAGCACCTGCACTTGTTTGGAGGACAGCTTTCCATTTTCTCCTCAAAAGATAAATTTTCTTTTTTTTTTTTTTTTTTTGTTGTTGTTTTTTTTTTTTTTTTTTTTATTATACTTTAAGTTTTAGGGTACATGTGCACATTGTGCAGGTTAGTTACATATGTATACATGTGCCATGCTGGTGCGCTGCACCCACTAACTCGTCATCTAGCATTAGGTATATCTCCCAATGCTATCCCTCCCCCCTCCCCCCACCCCACCACAGTCCCCAGAGTGTGATATTCCCCTTCCTGTGTCCCTGTGATCTCATTGTTCAGTTCCCACCTATGAGTGAGAATATGCAGTGTTTGGTTTTTTGTTCTTGCGATAGTTTACTGAGAATGATGATTTCCAATTTCATCCATGTCCCTACAAAGGACATGAACTCATCATTTTTTATGGCTGCATAGTATTCCATGGTGTATATGTGCCACATTTTCTTAATCCAGTCTATCATTGTTGGACATTTGGGTTGGTTCCAAGTCTTTGCTATTGTGAATGATGCCGCAATAAACACACGTGTGCATGTGTCTTTATAGCAGCATGATTTATAGTCATTTGGGTATATACCCAGTAATGGGATGGCTGGGTCAAATGGTATTTCTAGTTCTAGATCCCTGAGGAATCGCCACACTGACTTCCACAATGGTTGAACTAGTTTACAGTCCCACCAACAGTGTAAAAGTGTTCCTATTTCTCCACATCCTCTCCAGCACCTGTTGTTTCCTGACTTTTTAATGATTGCCATTCTAACTGGTGTGAGATGGTATCTCATAGTGGTTTTGATTTGCATTTCTCTGATGGCTAGTGATGATGAGCATTTTTTCATGTGTTTTTAGGCTGCATAAATGTCTTCTTTTGAGAAGTGTCTGTTCATGTCCTTCGCCCACTTTTTGATGGGGTTGAAGGACCTCTTCAAGGAGAACTACAAACCACTGCTCAAGGAAATAAAAGAGGATACAAACAAATGGATAAACATTCCATGCTCATGGGTAGGAAGAATCAATATCGTGAAAATGGCCATACTGCCCAAGGTAATTTACAGATTCAATGCCATCCCCATCAAGCTACCAATGACTTTCTTCACAGAATTGGAAAAAACTACTTTAAAGTTCATATGGAACCAAAAAAGAGCCCGCATCGCCAAGTCAATCCTAAGCCAAAAGAACAAAGCTGGAGGCATCACACTACCTGACTTCAAACTATACTACAAGGCTACAGTAACCAAAACAGCATGGTACTGGTACCAAAACAGAGATATAGATCAATGGAACAGAACAGAGCCCTCAGAAATAATGCCGCATACCTACAACTATCTGATCTTTGACAAACCTGAGAAAAACAAGCAATGTGGAAAGGATTCCCTATTTAATAAATGGTGCTGGGAAAACTGGATAGCCATATGTAGAAAGCTGAAACTGGATCCCTTCCTTACACCTTATACAAAAATCAATTCAAGATGGATTAAAGATTTAAACGTTAGACCTAAAACCATAAAAACCCTAGAAGAAAACCTAGGCATTACCATTCAGGACATAGGCATGGGCAAGGACTTCATGTCCAAAACACCAAAAGCAATGGCAACAAAAGACAAAATTGACAAATGGGATCTAATTAAACTAAAGAGCTTCTGCACAGCAAAAGAAACTACCATCAGAGTGAACAGGCAACCTACAAAATGGGAGAAAATTTTCGCAACCTACTCATCTGACAAAGGGCTAATATCCAGAATCTACAATGAACTCAAACAAATTTACAAGAAAAAAAGATAAATTTTCAATGTCTCTTTTATAAGGGCACTAATCCCATTGGTGAGGGCAGAGCCCTCATGACCTAATCACCTACCACAGGCCACATTTTCTAATACCATCACGTTGCAGATTAGGATTTCAGTATAAGAATTTTAGAGAGACACAAGCATTCAGTTTGTAGCAGACTTTCCTCTTGAAACACTGCTATGTTTTTCACTCAGCCAGTAAACATGACTAAGCACTAGTGACTAGTAGAAGTACTAGTCACTCTTCTACCTGCTTGGAATCTGTTCTCATGGGGCTCACTTTCTAGTAAGGGACAGGAGGCAGAGAAGATATAAAATAAAACACAAGAAAATAACTTAAAAGTAAATGATGTTGTATTTTAATAAGTGAAAAATGCTATAGGAAAATAAACTCGACTAGAATAAAGGAGGTCTGGAGAGGAGGTAAGGTGGCAAGTTGCAATATTAGAAAAAATGGTTCCTTCCTCCCTCTCAGATACCATATAATGACCCTTCAGTGGCTTCCTCCTTCATTCACTCATTCATCTTCTCTTCATACTTTACTCTCTCCTTGGATAATTTCATTCACATCCAAGTCTTCCATTGAAACCATATGCTGGTAACTCGCAGACCTAATTTCCATTCTTCAAGCCCCTCAAGTGCGCACAGAGATGAAGGCTCTGTTACAAACCACTGACGAAAATAGGGTTAAAGCAGTGGACTCTAAACAATTTGCCTATTTTATAAATTAGAGTGGAGAACTCATCCCAAGTCAACAATGTTTATTTTCTTGAATTTCAAGCACTGTTTCTGAGGTGTACAAAACAACCCTGCAGGACAAAGGCCTGAGCATCTGCAACAGGAAGATAGCTCCCTGGGAGATATCTTAAAGCCCTGGGCCTGTGACTGTCTTTGCCCCCACATGACTTCCTGGGAAACATTTCTATTTATTTTTCTACTTCCACTTCTGCTGCCATTTGCACTTCAAACCTAGTCACTTCAAGCAATCCTTTTAAATATGTGTGTGTGCTATGGGAGCTTTTTCTTAATCTGCAAGACTCCAGGGTGACTACTCTGCATCCCAGGGAACCTTTCTGATGTCAAGAGCTAATGTTTCCAGGACATCTGCTGGCTTCAGATTTGCCCCTAATTCCTGGTGTGTCCAGCATTACCACATTAGCAGTTAAATTTATCCTCTAAATGCTAGTTCTTTCCTCAAAAGATAAGATGATAATATTTGACAACTAAGGGTTTATAAGAACTAGCTTATTTTCACCACTAATGAGCTGAAAGAAATACTAGGGCACAGGTATGAGAAATTGAAGAAGAAATTAAAACCTTAAGAGAAATTGAAAAACTATCATTGAAGAAGTAACTCATTGACAATATAATGATATAGCATCTTGGAAACAATGACATTTAGAGATGTCATAAAAGAAAATGTTCCCTTAATAAGTGTTAGAAAATATTAATAAAAGAATCTCAAGGAGTTTGGGACACAGTGAGGGCTAAATTGTTTGAAGACTATTACGAAGTCTATTTTAGAAATAAATAAAAATAGACTTACTACTGTAAGTCTATCTTATTGAAGTTATTTATCCAATAATATTTGCTTCACTAGGTAAAGAGAGAAAAGGGATTTCTGCATCCCACTGCAATGTGTTAATTCTGAGTCTATTAAAAAGTACATTTAGTTCTCAGGTATTGGCTATCACACCTTCATCTCCCGGGAGTACCTTAAATACAAAGGAGAAAGAGAACTAACTTATCACTGTTACTGAAAAAAGAACATAAACCTTCTGTCTGAAGGTTTAAGATCCACTATTTGTGCACTCAAGGAGGCAAAACTCTATCTAAACTCATGAGGATAAAATTCTGACCTGAGGTGACATAATTAAGTCTGTGTGCCAGTAAGTACCATTTATTTAGACTGAAAATCAAATGATGCTCTAATTATAATTCATTGTACAGCATGTAGCAATATAGGATGAATAAAATGTGTGTGTGTGTATTTTTGTGTGTATGCATGTATTGTGGATGTCTGTGTGTTTGTATGTGTATGTGAATGTTTGTGTGCATGTCCATGGATATTTATGGTTGCTGAAGGTTGGTAAACCGTTGCCGAGAAATGGCTCAAAAAACCATCACTATGGTACGATAGGAGTTAATGAGAACTAATGAGGGTGCGGAAACTTGGAAAAACCATGGGGATATAAATCTCGGTGCATTTTCTGGAAAAAGTGAGCAACATAATATTCAGATATATGGTGAGATAAGCATAGCTTAGCAGAGAAGACACTAGGCAGAATCATGAATGTAGAGAGATCCATCCATGCCTTGATCTTCTTCTATGAGGTCCTACTTATTATAAGCACTTAATAGCATTGATAAAATATAACCTCGTCCCACAAGGGCCATAAAAATTAAAGAGCACCCTGATCGGCCTTATGGCATTCTCCACTATGGAGGAGTAAAGGGATTGAGCCAGAAAAGAGACTGGAAGCCTGGACAAGCCCACTAATGTGGTGATCAGGGAAATGAGAAGATGAAAGCCACAGGACTTCAGAATTGATTGGATGTGGGGAAGAGAAAAAGAGAAGGGAAAGATGATCCCCTCCTTCTCTAGGATCCCAAGTATTTGGTTCTGGTGACTAAATGGGTATAAGAGTCATTAACACAGATACAGGGGGAGCAGATGTGCAGGAAGAAATGACATCAATTTGGAATATATTAATTCATGTATGTCTGCAAGATCCACAATTGGGGATATTCAATGGGCAACATCATTCCAGATGTGAAGAGTCTCTCAAAACCTTATCCTCAGAGCATGTGCTGTCTATAAGCCTGGCATCACGGAAATGTTCTCAGCTCACAGATGACTACTGCCGTTACGCAGTTAGTTAAAAAGATTTGATACCTAAACAGCTCTAACTTTTCTGAACACAAACCTCTTACAGAGAGACAAGAGAATTAGATGACACATTCAAGAGCTGTGGAATAATATACTATGCCACTAAAAGAAATTGGCACACCTTTAACACAAATTTGAGAGCCTGCCTGCTTTTGGACGGCATCCAGCATTGACAGCTTTATCCACTAAAAAATAGGACAGCCAGTTAAATTTGAATTACTTTTAAAAATGCAATAGTTGAAAAATATGCTAAAAAATACAGTAAACGGGACATAAACTAAAATGTTCATTGGTGTTTATTCAAAATTCAAATTTCATTGGCCACCCTGTATTTCATCTGGCAATCCTAAATTGCAGTATTATTCATGTACCCTTCTTTGTTAGTGTTTAAGTCATCTTTATTCTAGAAAGGCACAAAAAGAGCTATTTAAACACTATCTATGGTTTTCTGCACTTACTTTACAAAAATAGCAAAGCAGGATGTTTATATTGGGCATTTGGGACACTTCTCTAAATGCTTTCTATTTCTCTCATGTTGCATGAAGCTATGCATTAACATGCCTTAACCACCAATGAAATCAATGATTTAAAAGCTCTTTAAAATATAAGCAGCAGCTTAAAGTACAAAACACATTTGAAGATATGAAATGTTAAATTCAGGCCTAGTTTTTATAAACATTTTTACCAAATGTCTCTGTAAATGTTAAGTTAAATAATAAACAAACTGGAGTAGAAGCCATCAGAATAGCCTCCTTAGTCCCACAGCAAAGGTGGGCCACGACTGGTTTCTAGATGCCAAACCCTCTTATTAGGTCACCTAGCTCCTGTGGATTGTGTTTAGGGACATGCATGTGAACAAAACCAGAATATCTCACCCCCAAAAAACACTTCTTTGGCATATTTCCATATAGCTATTCAAAGGAACTGCAAACCACAGAAATCTTCTTGAAAATCTGTCTTTTGTGGAGAATATTTGCATCTGTAGAGAAAATCTACATTCATGAAATAAACAGCTAGGGTTTCTCTGAGCCCACCCCCACCCCACTCCTATCCGAATCCAGGAAAGATTAACTCACATGAATGAGAGGGAGAGTATGACACCTTTGAAAGTCTGATAAGAGACATTTTACCACAGGCCACCATCTATTTTTTCTGAGAACTGCTACCTGTGAAATTTCATGTGTCTTAGTCTGTTTTCCGTTTCTGTTCCTTATAACAGAATACCTGAAACTAGACAATTTATAAAGAAAAGGAACTTGTTTCTTACAATTCTGGAGGCTGAAAATCCAAGGATGAGGGGCTGCATCTGGTGAGGGCCCTCTTGCTGGTGCAGACTTTCTGCAGAGTCCCGAGGCACCATGAGGCATCACACGGCAAAGGGGCTGAGGGTGCTCACTTGGATCTCCCTCTAGTCCCATTCTCATAATAACTCATGAATTCCTTAATCCATGAATGGATCCTCATGATGCACTAGATCATAAGGGCTCTTCTCTCATGATCTAGCGATCTCTTAAAGGTCCCATCTCCTAATACTGCCACATGGGGAATTAAGTTTCAACCTAAGTTTTGGATGGAACAAACTTTCAAACCATAGCACTCTGTATAACGAGACCACCTTCACTAGCCAGGCCTTTTCTTGTCCCTCCCTCCCATAACCTGTCTTGCACAATCCAAGCCCCTATTCCTTCTGCGACTTCTGGATGGTATAAAACTTCAGTCATCTGGCCTTTCCTGAGTTTTCATATTTCATATTGTTCTTATGTACACATGTGCAAGTAATAATTTCTATACCTTTCTCCTATCAATCTGTCTATTATGCATTTGTTTTATAGACTCAAATTATCAAACCTTCAGAAGGGTGAGGAAGGAGGAAGTTATCTTCACCCCTACACATGATTCAGACCTCTAAATAACATTTTATGAACCAGAGTGACAAGACACTCCACCTGGAAGAGTTGTCAATGTCCTTTTTATGAAAGAGTGGTAGATAACTGCTACAACTAAAACCAATCCATTATTTGATAGATTAATGCAATACTTCTTCAAGTTAGGGAAACATTTTATATCTAATATACATAAATTTCATAACAGTAAAAAGCAGAAGAGACTGACACTGCATTATGCAAACCAGGACCTGTGATTACCAGTGTAGCTGTTGATCTGCCTTTAATTAGTTTCTTGTTTTTACTGCAAAATGATGAGTCAAATCAGACTCAATTTTCATTTCTCCACTAGGATCAGTGGACATTGACAGAATGACACAATTGATTTCAGATCATTTCATGCGACATTCCAATTTATGTAGAATCTGTTCATGAGATAATAAATGTGCAAGTGCCATGAAAAATACTAAGTACTATACAAATGCAAAGTGGCATTATTATTACATAGAGAGATCTGTCACATTTCATAGGGACTGTGACAATAAGTGAGCTAGAAAAAAACAGGCAGCAGAATAAATATGGTAGTGAAGAACGGACTGTCATATTCCTGAATTCTGAGGAGTTCTGAGTGGACAACCAAATAGTTGACCCTCAGTCTATTAAAGTCAAAGTCAGATAGACCAAGAACCTTTACTATTATAGGTAAAAATGTTGGTAGTGGTGACAGGGGTGTCAGTTGTCCTTTCCATTAGGTCCAGTTTGGTAAAAGCATGTATGATCTCAAAACACGAGTGGCAGCCTACTCTCACCCTGTCCCACCCATGTTAGCCTCCCTCCTGATCTTTGCCCCTAGTTCATGGAAACCCATATCTGGCATGTTTACTCGTTCATCTCCAAGCAATACTATGTGCCAGGAGCACGTAGTAGAATACAGGAGCAAACAAACACACACAAAATACCTGGCCTCATGAAGTTTACATTCCAGTAAAGGAGACAACTAATATACTAATTAATTGATTGATTGATTGATTGAAAATTTATTAGATGCCATGAAGAAAACAGACTATTTTTTAAAATAACATTTCTCATGAATTGACTTTTAAACTGTTCTGTGGCCTTAATAGGCTGTTTGACTTTGGAGGTGAGGTTGGGTAGATATTAATTTCCTCACATCTGTAAGACAGAGAGATAATTTGTAATATCTATTCCTGTTCCAAATGCTATGTCTATCGATTAAAGACTAAAAATACCTTTGTGACAGATATGCACAGTTTTAAGATAAAGATTACATTTGTTTTTCAGTGTGGTTTAATCGCTGAGGACAGAGTCAACAATATTTTCCAAATTAAAATTTGTTCTATCAAAACAAATTCATGAACATGTAAATAATTTTTGATTATTGCTTTGGTACAGTATTAAAATCTGTGTTTTAAGATTTTTAAGCAAAATAAGGTATTTTTATTTTAACAGATAGCTAACGCATATTTCAAAGTGACTTTTAAGAATTATAGATGTCTTAACCTGAATCATCACCATATTTGCTCAAAAAATGCTGCACAAACTAGATCCTAAATCTGTAATCTTATGTGGCTGAAGAACAAAAGAAATGTATTCCTCTTTCATCTGTGAAGCAGAAGTTCCCTCACTGAATATGCGAAAACCAATGGCCATGGCCTTCGACAGCTTCCTCACAACCAATTTCACTCTGTCTCCCTATTCCCATTTGCTGAGCAGATACAAAGACATCTGTCAACAGAAAACACAGATTTGATGACATTTGAGGACCAAGGAATGTCCTTTACCCAAAATATCTTCTCTGAGGCCAATGTGTGAGTTCTCACAATTAGTGATTTATTCTTCTATGTTATATAGTAGTTATTTCCGGGAAGTAGATAAGGAGAAAATGAGGAAGAGGGGTGAAAACATGGGGAACCCAGGGCTTGAGTATGTTTGACAGTGACTGTTGGTTGGTGGTGGACTAAAAGATAATAGCTTGATAAGATACTGAGGCCAGGGCCACACAGGGAGTAACTTTATCGTAATTTCCCTCAAACTAGAGTGTGAGACGGAGGCAGGAGAATAGAGTGTGGAGGCAGGGAACATAAGGCCAATTCATGCTGACTTCCTAGAACTAAATTAAATGGAAACACTTTAGCTATGACAGGAAATATCCTCTCCATTTACATTGGGCATACCCCAAGTAAATGACTGTAACTTTACTTCATCCTCTTCATTTACATAGGGGATACACCAAGTAACCAATGGAAACCTCTAGAGGGTATTTAAACCCCAGAAAATCCTGTAACAGGGCTCTTGAGCCCCTATGCTCAACCCACTCCCACCTGTGAAGCATACTTTCATTTTAAATAAATCTCTGTTTTTGTTGCTTCATTCTTTCCTTGCTTTGTGCGTTCTGTCCAATTCTTTGTTCAAGATGCCAAGAACCTGGACTCCCTCCACTGGTAACAAGATAAAAGACAGAGTAGGGGGAATAAAGAAAGAAGGGGTTTCAGAGAGAGGAACTTTAAGTCACATTTTATTAAAACTGATCTTTGCTGTCTGTACCTCTGACATGACAACAAGCCGTTTTCCTTGGTATTTTGCTTTGTTGACATTCTGGTTTGCCATAATTGGTCATCGTTTCTACTAACGTGACCAAAAATTAAGGTTTGAAAAAATGAGCAATTGTCCAATATATGACTCCTAGGTTTTATAAACCAAAACTAAAATTTTAAGCCCCTCGACCGAATCCATGGACCCATCCTGTAGGCCAAGGGAATTCCAAAGAAACCTGAAAAACTAGTTCAGGCCGTGATAGGTAAGGGTGCTCAAACATGCCTCATTATAATCTCCTCTTTTTGGAATTCAGGCACAGCTGATCAGCATTAACATTACAACAGAGGTCTTAGGACTGATCTTTGTAGGAATAAGATACCAAATTCCAACCTGACTCTGGTGTAGCATCACACGACAGATAGCAGGCCCTGAAAAAAATCAAAGTATTTTACCCCAAAATATATTCCTTTGACATATTTTTAAAGGCCCTGCAAAGCTGTCTCTTGTGGGGGAAATGCATTTTGCAGAGAATCTCCTTCCCTTTCCAGGTCTTTTTCTGATCCTGAAGAGATTAACTGAGAGTCTAGAACCTTTTAAAGGTAGGAATAGAAAGCATTTGCCATCTATTGCCTCTAAGGGCAGCCACCTATGCAACTTCATCTACATGATAAGAACCTTGGTCTCCACAATCCCATATCTTAACCCAGACACTTGTTTCCACTGATTCCAGGTCTTAGATAATATCAGTTTTAACTAATCATCAATCAGAAAATCTATGAATCCCACCCACGCCACTTGCTTCAAGTTGTCCTACCTTTCTGGACCAAATCAATGTATACCTTACGTATGTTGATTGATGTCTTAGGTCTCCCTAAAACATGTAAAACCAAGCTGTAACCCAACCACCCCTAGGCATATGTTATCAGGACCTCCTGAGGCAGTGTGACGGGTCACGGTCCTCACATGTGGCTCAGAACAAATCTCTTCAAGTATTTTACGGAGCTTGGCTTTTTTCATCAATAATTTCTAGGTAAAAGTTAAAAAGTGAGAGTCCATATTTACTCCCATTTTACCTGCACTAAATCGCTAGTTTCCCTCCTCCTGTAAGCAAGAAGCTGAATGGCCTACCTCAGCTTCCCTTTACTTATTCAAGTCACTCAAATGCAATGCAGGCAGCTTTTACTTTCTTTCTTTTTTTTGTTTTTCCTATTTTTGTTTAATTTATTTAAGACCACCTCCTCACCATTTCCAGAGAGAAAATACAAAACAAGAAACAGACTTGGTTTCGAATACATAACCAGGTGCTGGAGTTTAAAGCATTACTGATAACATTGTTACAGAAGAATGGCAGCTTACTTCACGGCACTTCAGTATTCCTGAGGAATAAACATAATTTCTCTTGTCCTCCCACTGGGATGTTCTCAGGTGAAGTCACTGCTCCTGCTCTTTGACATATTTTCCGTGTAGAAGATATGGAGCCTGGAAATCATGTGACAGTTGGAGTAAGCCATTCCTAATCCCATGCCAGAACGGAAGGCTAATGGCCACATTCTTCTTTTAAAGAAGGTGAGAAGACAATTCCTAATCCAAAACCAGTGCCTATCTTCACGACCACATCCGCCAGGCACCGGTCCCACTTCCGGCCAAGCTCCAACTCCGACCTGTTCCCCACCGGCGCCTCCAGCTTTCCTCTTGGCCGGCTTCCCGCTCCAACCCCTGCAAGTCTCGCGAGCTATTTTCTTTAAAAGCATTACCCTTGAAAACTTCCATAGTTTCGGCTCTTAACACCATCAAAATTAGTCTTAATCTCTGAACACATAAAGATAATCCTTTCTTCTCTCTTTCTGCACAATATAGATTTTCAAAACAGAGGGAAATAAAGCACTTTATTTAGTTCCAGATTTATTGTGTTCCATTTAGGAATGAACTACTATCTGGGTAACCCATGGGATGCCAACTCTATATGGAGAGAATAAACTATTTTAGCAATGGACCTGGTGTGGCTGAATGAAATGACACTTCAAAATTGTAGGACTGTGGAAAACAAGATATTTGCTTTGTGCCTTAACTTCCTTTCTTATACAATATGAAAATGACCTGTTCAGTGTGTTATAAGAATTGCCAAATGCAATACATTTTTAAAATATAAGGCATAGAATATCTTTATATTTACTCAGATGAGTTTTGACTCTTCTTTCCTTGGATGTTGGCAGTTTAAATGAGAGAAAGGCAAAAGGTAAACAAAGCTGAAATAAGGATTGTACTTTATTTTGTTTATCACATTTAAAGAGTGTATGAATCCGTTCTTGCACTACTACAAAGAAATACCTGAGACTAGGTAATTTAGAAAGAAGAGAGGTTTAATTGGCTCACGGTTCTGCAGGCTGTACAGGAACCATGATGGCATTTGCTTCTTGGGAGGCATCAGGAAGCTTCCAATGATAGCAGAAGGCAAAGGAGGAGCCAGCACGTTTTATGTGGCCAGAGCAGGAGCAGGAGAGCGAAGGTAGAGGTGCTGCACACTTTAAACAACCAGATCACACGAAAACTCACCATCATGAGAACAGCACCAAGGGAGAAATTCGCCCCCATAATACAATCACCTCCCACCAGGCTCCACCTCTAACATACGGGATTAAAATTCAACATGAAATTTAGGTGGGGACAAAGATCCAAACCATATCAGAAAGTATACCTTGATTGTACCAACACTAAAGTTTCACTGATTTTAAATTGACATACACATTAATTTAAAATTTTTCTCTACTGTCTCAAATTTATGAAAAGTATAAACTAACCAGCTTTGTGAATGGGGTCATTGAGAAAGAAAAGAAACAGAAAGAAAAGAACCCCTGCCCAAGAGAAGGGTCCTTAATAGTCAAAGAAAAGACAAATAATTCTAGACAGTATCATTACAAATTCAATACAGTAAATATAGTTGGATAAATATATATTGAGTACTGCAGTCTAAAAACAAAACACATTATCTTCAAGGAATTCATAAAACTTACATAAACTTTTCTATATATCAGGTGTGGCAAATTCTTTGGTGATCTATTGAGAAAACACTTTTACTAGTATATATGCCCTTGTATAGTCCCTCCATACATTATTTCTGGTTTTGGCCATGTGACTGGCTTTAGCCAATGGAACATTAGCAATTGTGATGCATGCCTGTACATGCAGGCTATATTTTCAGAACTCTACCTCTTGGAACATTCCCTCTCAGATTCCAACCACGATACTGAAAAAACCAAAGCCCAGTCTAGCCATTTAAAGAGAACACATGGAAGTAAACCAAGAACCCAGCCAATATCCCCAGGTAAGCTCCCAGCCAAAAGCCAGTACCAATATCCTCCTTAAAAGAGATTCCTCCCATTCCAGTTAAGTTGCCCTAGTTAATGCCTCACGGAGCAGAGATAAGCTGTTATTAATAAGCCCTGTTCAAACTGCAGAATTTGAGCAAATAAATTATTATTATTGTATTAAACCAATAAGTTGGGGATAAATGCTATGCAATGATTATCTGAATCATCAGAGTATGAACAATTTATCAATTTATTCTAAACTATAATTGTACAAGCTGTATTCTGACATAGTAAAGCCAAATAAAATATAAGCTTTGAATAAAGAGAAAAAACCAAAAACTTTGAAATAAAAAACATTTTATAAATTACTTATGAGTGATAAAGATAAAAAAATTTTACTGACAGGCTTCTTAGAAAATAAGGACAATGAAAATGATGACTAACCTCTGATTTTTTTATCTTGCCCAAATTCCTATCTAAGGCATCTGGTGAGTCATGGCCTCAGATGGGTTTTATTTAACCCTACATATCATGATTTACTTTCCAACCCAACTCTAGCATAACATTACAAAACAAAGAAGAAAATCCTGTATTCGTCCACTCTCGCATTGCTATAAAGAAATCCCTGAGACTGGGTAATTTATAAAGAAAAAAGTTTTAAGTGGCGCACAGGCTATAGAAGAGGCATGACTGTGGAGGCCTTAGGGAACTTTGACTCATGGCAGAAGGTAAAGTGGGAGCAGGCATCTTCGCATGGCCAGAGCAGGAGGAAGAGAGAGAGTAGGGAGGTGTCACACACTTTTAAACAATGAGATCTTGTGAGAACTCTATCACAAAAACAGCACCACCAAAGTGGGACATCCGCCCCCATGACCCAATCACCTCCTACCAGGCCCCACCTCAAACACTGGGAATTACAATCCAACATGAGATTTGGGTGGGGACACAAATCCAAATCATGTCACTTCCCAACTCATTCTGTGAGGTCAGTATTAACCTGCTACAAAACCCAGGCAAGTAAAATCACAAGAAAGAAAACAGACCAATATCCCTTATAAATATAGACACAAAAATATTCAATAAAATACTAGTAAACTGAACCCAGCAACATATAAAAAGAATTACAGTAGTACCCCCTTATCCAGGGAAAATATGTTCTAAGACCCCCAGTGGATGCCTGAAACCAAAGATAGTACCAAACCCTATACAAACTTTTTTCCCTAGATATACATATCTATGATAAAGTTTAATTAATAAATTAGATACAGTAAGAGATTAACAATAACTAATAACAAAATAGAAGAATTATAACAATATTCTAGCATCACTACTTTGATGCTTTGGGGCTATTACTAAGTAAAATAAGGGTTACTTGAAGAGAAGCACTGAGATACCATGACAGTTGACCTGATCACTGAGATAGCTAAGTGACTACTGTGTAGATAGAGCATGCAGTGTGGATACACTGGAAAAAGAGCAGATTCACATCCCAGGTGAGAAGGAGCAGGACAGTGCAAGATTTCACCACACTGCGCAGAATGGTACGCAATTTAAAACTTACAAATTGTTTATTTCTGAAATCTTCCATTTACTATTTTCAAACTGCAGTTGACTGAAACTGTGGAAAGTGAAATCATGGATAAGAAGGGACTACTGTGGGCTGGGCGCAGTGGCTCACGCCTGTAATCCCAGCACTTTGGGAGACCAAGGCGGGCGGATCACAAGGTCAGGAGTTTGAGACTAGCCTCACTAACACAGTGAAACCCTGCCTCTACTAAAAATACAAAAATTAGCCGGGCTTGGTGGCGCATGCCTTTAATCCCAGCTGCTCAGGAGGCTGAGGCAGGAGAATCCCTTGAACCTGGGAAGCGGAGGTTGCAGTGAGCCGAGATCACGCCACTGCACTCCAGCCTGGGCAACGTATCAAGTCTCCATCTCAAAAAAAAAAAAAAAAAAAGACGGGACTACTGTGTATACCATGACCAAGTGGGATTTGTCTCAGAAAAGCAAGGACGGCTTAAAATACGAAAATCAATCCAGGTAAAACATCATATTAACAGAATGAAGTCTAAAAAAAAAAAAAAAAAAAGGATCATCTTAGTAAATGCAGACAAGAGCATTTGACGAAGTCCAACTGTCTTTCGTGATAAAAGCACTCAGCTAGGAACAGAAAGAAACATCCTCAGCCCAATGAAAGACATCTGCACAATTCTCAGGTAACATTGTGCTTCACGGTAAAGACCAACAGCTTCCACTCAGACGGGTAAATAACATGAATCTTGAAAAACACACATATACATACAACCACCTATGTTCTCCCTCAACACAAGAAGGGTAAGAGATTTTCCACACTCTCCACCTTTTCTTAGTGCGTATGCCTTAGAAAATTTATAATTGTTCATTCTTTCTCTGCCTCTTTAAAATGAACTCTGTAAGTCTTTCCAAAACTTAAATAAGCCTCTTGTCAGTGTTATAACCCAGGAACCTTTTCCTTAAAGGCGTAGCCACCATCTCTTTGAAATGAAGCCAATGAGGAAGACCATGCACCTACCAGGGGAGTTTCCATGGGAGGGTGCAGCCTAACTCAGCAGGCACCTGGGTCCAAACTACAAACCTACCTCCTGTCATAAAGATATAATAGATTTGTTTTTCTTTTGGATTAAGGCAATTAGTAAACACAGATGCCTACCCCAATTATCAGATGAATTTAGGATGAACTGTGTGTGACAAATGGTGAGTCAAGTCCTCTTGCTTGAAGACTAGTTATCATTTATCTTGAGAACATGTATGACAAGGGTTACATCTGCTTAGCTGTATGAGATTTCTTTCTGTCTTTTCTATCTCTTTAGTGGATTGCCTATGTTGAAAATGACATCTGGTTTCATGTTTATTCAAAAATCCAAACTGTTTTCTTTTCTACTTTTGGGTTGAGCTTGTCTGGGTTGGCAAGAGATTTTGTTTTTTAATTTATATTCCCCTAACACTTCTTCAGATCAGGAATAAGACAAGGAAGTCTGCTCTTACCACTTCATTCAACATTGCACTGGAATTTCTAGTTGAGTCACTTAGTCAGAAAGGGAAATAAAAGGTCTCCAGATGGGAAGGAAAGAAGTAAGACAATTTCTATTTGCAGGTGCTATGATATTTTGTGTAGAAAATTGCAAGAAATTCACAAAAAAATTACAGCTAATATATGAGTTCAGTAAGTTTATAGTACACAAAATCAATATGCAAAAATAAATTATATTTCTATACTCTAGCAATGAACAATCCAAGATGAAATTAAGAAAACAATTTATTTACAATAGCTTCAAAAAAACCCAAAACTTAGGGATAAATTTAACAAAGAAAGTACATGACTTGTACACTAAAAAGAGCATAACATCATTGAAAAAAGTTTTTTAAAAAAGACCTAAATAAATGGAAAGACATTTTGTGTTCAGAAATTAGAAGACTTGCCATTGTTTAAATGGCTGCATTAGTTTCCTCTTGTTGCTGTGCAAATCACCACAAATTCAGTGGTTTAGAACACACATCTTATAGTCCTGAATTGCTCTAAATTGGTTCTTGCTGGACTAAAATCAAGGTTTTGGTAGGGCTGCATTTCTTTCTGAAGGTTCTGGGAGAGAATCTATTTCCTTGCCTTTTTCCAGCTTCTAGAGACTGCCCACATTCCTTGGCTTATGGCTCACTTTCATCTTCAAAGTCAGCAATGGCCAGTCAAGTCTTTCTCACAGCATGTCACTCTGGCACTTAATCTTCTGCCTCCCTTTTTCATGTTTAAAGACATTTGTCATTACACTGGGTCCAGTAGCCTCAAATCCATCTGCTACCTTAATTCCCCTTCACCATGTAACATAACATATCCATAGGGTCTAGGGATTATACTAGAATGTAGACATCTTGCGGGGGTGGGGGGATCATTTTTCTGCCTATCACAATTGGCAAATTGATCTACAGATTCAACACAATTGGCTTTTTTTTTTCTTGCAGAAATTGACAAGATGATCCTAAAATTTATCTAGAAACACACGGGACACAGAACAGCCAAGATAATTTTGAAAAATAAGAACGAAGGACTCATACTTCTTGATTTCAAAACTGACTACAAAGCTACAGTAATTAACACTGTGTGAGACTGGCATAAGGATATGCATATAGATTGATAAAATAAAACTGAGAAGCCCTTGAGAAATAAACCTTATATATATGGTCAACTGATTTTTGACAATAATGACAAGAAAATTCAATAGGAAAAGAAGTTATTTCAACAAATGGTACTGGGACAACTGGATACACACATGCAAAAGGATGAAGTTGGAACCTTACCTCATACCATATGCAAAAATTAATGCTAAATGAGTCATAGACCTATATATAAGAATTAGAACTATAAAACTTATGGAAGAAAATATAGGTGTAAGTCTTTGTGATTTTGGATTACACAATGGTTTCCTAGAATGACTCTTAAGCACAAGCAACCAAATCAATAAGTTGGATTTCATCAAAATTGAAAACTTTTGTGCCTCAAAGGACATTATCAAGACAATGAGAAGAGAACACATAGAAGAACACACTTACAAATCATATATCTGATACATATCTGCTTTCCAAAATAAGTAAAAACTTTTATAACTCAATAATAAAAACACAAGTAACCCAGTTTAAAAATGGGCAAAAACAAAGTTGTTAAACTTCATGAGTTACAGAAAAATGCAATGAAAAACCATAGTGAGATACCATGTCATACCCACTAGTGTGGCTATGATCCAAAAGACAGATTAAATAATAACTATTGGCAAACATGTAGGAGATTGGAACCTTCACATATTCCTGGTAGAAATGGAAAATGGTGCAGTCACTTTGGAAGACAATTTGGCAGTTTCTCAAAAAGTTAAACATAGAATTACCATATTGAGGAGTATGGCTGCAGGCCAAAATCCTATGTATTATCTTTCAGGCAGGACCCTAGACAGTTACAAGGCTTTGCCCGGCAGACCTCATTGGGGGAAACTGCCATCTCCACATCAGACTTGGTACACAGCTAGTATGTTACAGCTTCTGGAGGGATTTGCAGCCAAGAACTCACTGCCTGGTCCCTCCACCCCCACTAGCCCTGCTCATAGGCTTCTCTGCTTTCCTAGCTCAGGCACTTCCATTCAGAGGCTTCAGTTCAGGCCCTTTTCAGGAGTCCCAGTTGAGACCTCCTTAGGGAGGGCTTGGCTGAGGCAGTGCTTTCAGCTACTAGTGATACTTCTCCATGTTGAATGAATAGTTACATACATCGTAAAAGTATAAAAACATACTTTTTCCAGATAGTGGAAAACTTCCAGATAGTGGTTACCTCTGGGTAGGAAGGGGAAGTAGGATGAAGAGGAGCCTTCAATTGACTCCGTAACATTATTTCTTCAAAAAACTTTTCCTGGCCAGGCGCAGCGGCAAATGCCTGTAATCCCAGCAATTTGGGAGGCTGGGGCAGGTGGATCACCTGAGGTCAAGAGTTCAAGACCAGCCTGACCAATATGGTGAAACCCCGTCTCTACTAAAAATACAAAAATTAGCCAGGCATGGTGGCCGGTGCCTGTAGTCCCAGCTACTCTGGAGGCTGAGACGGGAGAATTACTTGAACCTGAGAGGCAGAGGTGGCAGTGAGCCGAGATCATGCCACTGCACTCCAGCCTGGGCGACAGCGAGACTCCGTCTCAAAAAAACAAAACAAAACAAAACAAAAACCTTTTCTTAAGAATATATAATAAAGCCATAATGTAGTAAAACCTAGTATGCATAAATGGGTATTTGTTACACATATGAAATATTTCATAATACAAAAGAATGAAAAACATCGAAATAATTCTTAGCCCCAGGTGGTGAAATTATATGTGATTGTGATTTTAGTTTTTTCTTGATATGTATATACATTTTTTCAAACTCTTCCAACCAACATGAATTTCTTTTATAATGATAATAAATAATACATGTGTTTCACAAAGAGGTATTACTACCCATAACTTTACTTAAGCAGAGAGCTATAAAAATATATTTTGGTTAAACTGTAATATATGGCTTAAAAATTGAACCAGTATTAAAATCTCATTTTCATGTAAAAAAAAACTCTACAAATATTTTAATAGTTCAGCTGAGAAATGCTTTTATTTTTCAAACACAAACCAAAATTTAAAAGCTGAAATTTACACATGTCCAAATTGTAAGAGCTAGTCAGGAACTGAAATGCAAATAATTACATCTTTAATAATTATTCCTATTAAGTTTTTTTTTGGCAACATGACCTTAAATAGCCCAGGATTATCTGAATGTGGTCATTCAAGCTATTACTATAAATTACTCAGTGTAGAGGTATAATTAATAATTAATAGAACTTTTTAGAGCTAGGACATCTAATTCAACAGTTTCCAATGATTTTCTAGAACCCTTTCTTCATATTAAATAATGTGCAGAAGCTCAACATGTAGAAGAAGCCATAACAAAGGTGCTGTGTTTGAAGCTGGGAGCTGCATTCTGAGCCCTTGCTTGCTCCCTTTCTCACATCTTTATCCTCTTCCTCCATCAACGGCTCTTTCCTGTCTGGAAACAAGGATCGTCAAGTCTCCTGATTTCTAACCACACCTCCTGTTCTCATATTTCATCATAGCACAGTTTTCCTCTATTGGCTGTTGCCACAGTTCTACCTACCATTGCTTGTCATGATCCCCCTGTACCCCAGCCCTTACCACTCCCCTGAAACCTCTCTGGATAACCATTGTCCATCTGCACATCCAAGGGATACTCTTCCATCCTTTACATGGACGCATATGAAATCACCATATAAAAACAATTCTCAATACCTGGCTGCTCTGTAATACTACTGAGCTTAGAAAAGCATTGCGTTCCTCCTTGGGAACTTTCTCACATCGTGTCTGACACTACTTTCTTCTAGTTTTTTTTCTTTTGAACTTCCTGTCTGCCTACTCCTTGTAAGTCACCCCAACCTTCCTGTCTCTGTGTTTGCCTCTTAAGCATTGTGGCTCCTCAAGGTTTTATTCATCACTTGTCTATTTCACAGCAAGTTTCACACAGATGCTGATGACCCTATGTCTCCTTACCAGCCAGAAACACTCCCCTGAGGCTCCAGAAACATATTTGGGTTGCTTATTGGACATAACAGTCTTACCATCTCAAAAGCAATTCAAACTCAACATACTCAAAACTAAATTAATCACTTCCTTTTCTCTGCAAATTCTATCCATGTCTTCTCTAATCATCAGGAAGTTTTGTGGGTTGGATTGTGTCCCCTGAAAAGATATGTTGAAGTCCTAACTCACAGTACCTGTGAATGTGATCTTGTTTGGAAAGAGGATCTTTGCAGAGGTAATCAAGTTAAGATGAGGTCATACTGCATAAGGGTGGGCCCTAATCCAATATGACTACTGTACTGAGAAAACAGACACACAGGCATAGACACACAGAGAATGCCAGGTGAGGCAGAGACAAGAGTGATGTCTCTTGTCAAGTATTTCCCTTCCCAGATCTGTCCTGTCCCAACTGCCTCCCCGGCTTTTGGTAGCCTGTTCAATGGACAGTCCCATTTCTTAACACTTTCAGCTGTCTGGCTTCTTAGGGTGAGGGCTGGCTTCCAGCATGAGTTCCCTCATGGCAGTCTGGTGAGAGCTGTAGCAGCTTCTGTACCCAGGCCCCTGCCAACTGCTCTACAAGAGGTGCTGGCTGCATACTCCCGCCCCCACAACACTTCCAGTGGGGTTGAGTAACCAAAAGAATCTGGAGGTTAAATAAGGCCTATGGGCAAACTTTCATCAATGAGAGACAGGAAATGAATTATTCTTCCTTCCCTCCCACAATCGACTCTTCTAATGCACAGAAGTCCCATAAGATCTGTCCAGAGACATCTCCCATGACCAAGTAAATGCTGCTTCTTAATAAAGCTGTGACAAGCTCAGTAACAGTACATTGTATTTGCTGTCCTTCCTTCCCTTCTTTGTTTCTTGTTTTTTTCCTTACTCTCACTACCCTGGGATTACTACCTCTCCTCTCCAATAAAAAGCTCACATGTAAGCTCCGTTTTCTATGGAACCCGGGCTAAGATAGCAAGTTGCTTAAACATCATTTTTTCTCTTCTAAAAATAGAGATAATGATGGCTCTTCTCATAGGACCACCAAAAGTATTATATTAGACAATATCTGAAAAGCACAGTAACTTGAAATAGTTAGTGCTCACAAAATGTCACTTGTTACTATTAATTATAACTACATGAAGATCCAGAGCTATTTTTGCATTCTTCTCCCACTGTGTTAGTCCAGGTTCTCTAGAAGGACAGAGATAATGGAATCGATATGTATATAAAGGGGAGTTTATTAAGTGTTAACTTACACAATTGCAAGGTCCCACAATAGGCAGTCTGCAGGCTGAGGAGCAAGGAGAGTCAGTCGGAGTTCCAAAACTAAAGAACTTGGAGTCCAGTGTTCAAGGGCAGGAAGCATCCAGCATGGGAGAAAGATGAAGGCTGGGAGGTTAGGCCAGTCTCTCTTTCCACACTTTTCTGCCTGCTTATATTCTGGCCATGCTGGCAGCTGATTAGATGGTGCCCACCAAGATTAAGGGTGGGTCTACCTTTCCCAGCCCACTGACTCAAATGTTAATCTCCTTTGGCAACATCCTCACAGACACAACCAGGATCAATACTTTGTATCCTTCAATCCAATCAAGTTGACACTCAGTATTAACCATCACACCCACTTTGTTACAGGAAGAAGAAACTGGAGAATGTGCACATAATGTCCCCTCTTTTCTTTAATCCTTATTGTGCTACATTAAAAACCATTACCACTGTACCTTGTGCTATAGAAGCATTAAAGTTCATTTACACAGGAAAACACTTATTAAAGGCTGTTAGGAAGCTTACAAAGTCCCTGGAGTACCCAGCAGTCAGGCTTGAAGGCCATACGGGGAGGGACAAAGCTTTAGCCAACATTGTATTGGGTCAGGCACAACTTGTACCACTGACAGTGGAAAGTAGACCCAATCCTGCCATCTTCCAACACCACCCTTTCCCCTGGCCCAAACTGGACTCTAGCCAATACATACTTTCTCCCATTTCTCACTTGCAAATCCAAGTCTTGCTGACGTAATCTGATTGATGGAGTCTAAGTCACATGGTTGTGTTTCAGCTGCAAGGAGGCTAAGATTACACATTTTTCTGTTGACTTGCTTAAGGAAAAGATATTCATAAGGTAGGAAGTCCCCCCCAGATATAGGAAATGAGTTCATAAGATTAACTGACCAGCCAGAAAATATGACAAATGTACACTGTATGTCTACTTGAAGAAATGTCCCAAACCAAATAAAATACGGTTACAATATTTTTTTTTTTGAGACGGAGTCTCGCTCTGTTGCCCAGGCTGGAGTGCAGTGGCATGATCTTGGCTCACTGCAAGCTCTGCCTCCTGGGTTCACATCATTCTCCTGCCTCAGCCTCCGGAGTAGCTAGGACTACAGGCGCCCGCCACTACGCCCGGCTATTTTTTTTTTTTCTTTTTTTTGTATTTTTAGTAGAGACAGGGTTTCACCGTGTTAGCCAGGATGGTCTAGATCTCCTGACCTTGTGACCTGCCTGCCTCGGCCTCCCAAAGTGCTAGGATTACAGGCGTGAGCCACCGTGCCTGGCCACAGTTTTTAAAAAAAAGAAAGAAAGAAAGAAAGACTGAAAGAGAAAGAGGAAGGTGGGAATAATCTACTTATTGAGGGAATTCTGGCAAAGTATATTCCATGTCTAGGTAGTCCATAGTGCACTAGCTATTTCTTGAGTGGACCTAACGGCTGCTGCAGAGGTCACAGTAACGCTTTCAGATGCCCTGGGCAAAGTGGGCTAAATGCTTTTTAACTCTGGGTCACCTCTTTCTAGCCCTCAGTTGACTCCAAAGAGTAATTACAACTCATAGTGAACAGAGGCAAATTCGTCTCAGGCTCAACATTAATAATTTACCATTAGTTATAAATCTTAAAAGAAAACATTCCCTGGCCAATGCACATATCTAATATTAAGATGATAAGATTTTTATTCTTAGAAAAAAAGATATATGAAAAAATGGAAATAAAAATACTTGAAGGAGGAAAACAAACCACTTCTATCAACTATATCCTTATCAGTTATACCACAAAATAATCTTATTATCAAACACACAATCCTAAAATTACAGGTTATTTCCCCTCCTGTATTACATATGTATAGAATAACTAACCAAGGATTTTTAATTCTTTCTTCAAAGTGTATATCCTACCTCCCATTTCTTTTTATTCTCATTGCCAACAAGTCCAAATCAGCCCACCCCTAAATTATTACAAAAGCCTTACTCCCTTAAGTGCTTTCATTCATTTATTCATTCATTCATTTATTCATTGAACAAGCATTTTCTGAGCACTTGCTATGTACCAAGTCCTCTTTTTCATGGATTATTTTTCTAATGGGAAAAATGACAGAATGCTAGTAAATTGGTAGAAGCAAACTAATGGAGGTGTAGAAATTGATACATGACAGAGAATTGCTGGAGTGATGCCCTTGAGGAAATGGACAGACAGGAGGAGGGGTGGCCTTCACCAGGACCATGGAAGCAGAGTCGCATGAGAAAAGGTCGGTTACAGGAACACAGGTATGGGTAAGGGGAAAGACATGGAAGCAGGAGCTTGTGGAAGTTCTCTTCCATAGCTCCCAGCTTCTCCGCGAAGTAGGGAGCAGGCTCATTAGCATAAAGGTTAGAGTCAAAACTTCTTCCTCCTGCCAAATCCTCCTAATCCAAACATTAATTATAGTCAAACACCTCCTCCTCAGACATCGGGCACATATTGACTTCCCATTTCACGGACCTCCTGCAGCCCCTTCAACTCCTGTGACCTTCCCAGGCTTGCTCTGCTGTTCCCTACTGACATGGTGGCTGAAGGGGTACAGGATAAACCCTTGATTCCATCATAACACACATTGTATGTCAGCAATTCAACGGCATAAAACTTGAAAGTAAATATCACTAAGTAGGTGATACCCATAACCAAGGAAACATTTATTTTATTCATATGAACAGGTATAAACAGAGAATAATAAAAATGTTTTTCTAATTGTACATAAACAGTAGAAGGTCCCTGTTGATCTGAGAAGTGCCATAGGCATGGCTACTTTGCCTATAGCCCTTGGCCACTCTTGAGTGGTATAATAGCGTGGCAGGCAATTTGAGTAAAAACTGCTTTGTCGAAAAGCATCCAAGTTAAAGCAGATCTTGTTTAAACTCAGACACTGACACATATAAGGGCACAATAACTTCTAGCTAGTTATTATTACTTTAATGGTCAGGAAGAAACTTGCAATAGTCAAGAAGTGAACATTTTCCTTGATAAAATGAGAAAACGATCACCAATGAATATTCCTAGTCACTGGATATTCTACATATTAATCATTATCTTGCTACTAAGAAAAACTTTCTGTCCTTTCCTTTTTCTTAATGCTGTATCAGGCAAGACCAAGTTTAAATTTTCACTTCCCAATTTACTAGCTATGTGATTTGGTTATTAAAGCAAAGATATTAAACCAACCTCCACTTCTTACACATCTTACTCTCTTCATTTCCTCATGATGACTTAAAATAATATATTTGGAATTACCACTTTCCCTCCCATTGCTCAGATTTTGTGCTCTCTTCAGACCCTCTTGCTATCTCCTGTTATAGAGAAACTCTCTGGCCCTATTTTCTCAGTGGTCCAAAACAATTTCAGTAAATAATGTTAGCTAGATGCTGTTGTTTTCTCCTTTTAAGGAGAAAATGTGGCAATTAGCACATTCTGCTTATTTCTACCATGGCCCATCACATCTTGGCAATATTTGAAAGCTGCATAAAGAGGTTTCATGCAGGACAACGTGATCTAAGAGGCAGGAGCTAGTGGGAGCAGGTTGTTTCAGATGAGAAAATGGAGGGCATCAACCTATAGACAGCCTTCCTGGAACAATTTAGAATGATTGTAGCCCCACAGGAGGAGCACTCCCCAGATTCAGGCTTGCACAAGAGGCAGAGTGACAATTCCTCCCTACTTGGAACATCAACGTTCCTACAGATGAAAAGAGATGCCTGTCTGATCTGAATAGCTGGAACTCTGGGATAGGAGTAAGGCTGGGAGGTGGATTCCTTTCCTGCTGGCCTGGCAGAGGAGCTGAGGTAGCTCCCACCCTTCTCCCTGATAAAAACCTCAGCACATCTAATTGAGAGCTCCCCCAGCCACCTTCATGGAGACTGGGACCTCTAGGTATTAGCACTGGGTATTACATCTACGCACCTGACCTAGCTACAACTGGTTCCTACTCAGGGATACCCCCCCTACTGGCCTGAAGCGTGAATCATCAACTCAGTAAATAAAATACTAGGGGAAAATTAAATAAATAAATAAAGTTTGCACCTCAAGAGAATGAGATAAGCTTCAAGATATCCCTGCCATTCCAACCCAATAGAAGACAGTGAATTTGCCCACACACCAAACACATAATTACTACAACCAGCATCTAGGAAAGCCAGTGCACAAAGTCTACAACTTAGGAACTCATACAGAGTCTTTACCCCTAACAGTACAAAGAATCAAATTAGGCTATAATAAACTATAAACATTAAAGTCTGATCCTTAAAAGGAAAAATAGGAACTCATTGAAAAACAGAGTTAAATCAAAAATAAATTCAAGAACAATCTGAAGAAACAGTCTACCCAAATGAGAAGGAACCAGAAAAGTAATTCTGGCAATATGACAAAACAGGGTTCTATAACACCCCCAAAAGATCACACGAGTTCCACATTAATGAATCCAAACTAAAGGGAAATCTCTGAAATGCTAGATAAAGAATTCAGAAGGTTGATTATTAAGTTACTCAAGGAGATAACAGAGGAAGGTTAAAACCAACATAAAGAAATTTTTTTAATCTAGGAAATGAATAAAAAATTTTCCGGAGAGATAGATATCATAAGGAAAAACCAATCAGAACTTCTGGAAATGAAAGACACACTTAAGGAAATACAAAATGCAATGGACAGTTTCAACAATAGACTAGAACATGTAGAAGAAAGAATTTCAGAGCCCAAAGAAAAGGCTTTCAAATTAACCCAATCAGTCAAAGATAAAGAAAAAAGACTCAAAAGACATGAACAAAGTCTCCAAGAAATATGAGATTATATAAAACAGTCAAACTCAAGAATAATTGGTGTTCCTGAGGGAAAAGAACAAATAAGTTTGGAAAACTTATTTTAGGGAATAATTGAGGAAAACTTCCCTGGCCTTACTAGAGATCTAGATATCCAAATACAAGAAGCTCGAAGAACTCCTGGGAAATTAATTACAAAAAGATCATCACAAAAGCACATAGTTATCAGGCAAACCAAAATCAGCATGAAGAAAAGAATTTTAACAGAAGTAAGACAAAAGCATCAGGTGACCTATAAAGAGAAACCGATCAGACTAACAGAAGATTTCTCAGGAGAAACCTTACAAGCCAGAAGGGATTGGGATCCTATCTTTAGCCTCCTTGAACAAATTAATTTTCAGCCAAGATTTGTATAGCCAGTAGAACTAAGCTTCATAAATAAAGGAGAGAGAAAGTCTTTTTCAGACAAACAAATGCTGAGGGAATTTGCCACTACGAAACTAGCACTACAAGAAATGCTAAAAGAACTTCTAAATCTTGAAACAAAAGTTCAATGTGCACCAAAATAGAACCACCTTAAAGCATACATCTCAGAGGGCCTATAAAACAATAATACAATGTAAAAAAAGTATCTAGGTAACAAGTAACATGATGAATAGAATAGTACCTCACATCTCAGTATTAACAATGAACGTAAATGGCCTAGATGCTCCACTTAAAAAATACGGAATAGCAGAATGGATAGAAAACAACCAACCAAATATCTGCTGTCCTCAAGAGACTCACCTAACACATAAGGATTCAAATAAACTTAAAGGACAGGGGTGAAAAAAGATAATCCATGCAAAAAGAAATGAAAAGCAAGCAGGAATAGCAATTCTTATATGAGACAAAACAGACTTTAAAGCAACAATAGTAAGAAAAGGCAAAGAAGGACATTATATATTGATGAAAGGATTAGTCCAATGAGAAGACATTACAATCCTAAATACATACGCACCTAACACTGGAGCTCCCAGATTTATAAAACAATTACTACCAGACTCAAAAAATGAGATAGATAGCAACTCAATGGTAGTGGGGGACTTCAATACTCCCAATAGACAGATCATCAAGACAGAATGTCAACAAAGAAATGGTGGACTTAAACTATATCCTAGAACAAATGGACTTAACAGGTATTTACAGAACACTCTTCCCAACAACTGCAGAATATACATTCTTCTCTTCAGTACATGAAATATTCTCCAAGATGGACCATATGATAGGCCACAAAACAACTCTCAATTAATTTAAGAAAGTCAAAATCATATGAAGTATCTTCTCAAACCACAGTGGAATAAACCTGGAAATCAACTCTAAAAGGAACCCTCCAAATCAAACAAATACTTGAAAATTAAATAATGTGCTCTTGAATGATTAATCAATATGAAAATTTAAAAATTATTTGAAATGAATGATAACAGTGACACAACTTATCAAAACCTCTGGAATACAGCAAAAGTGGTGCTAAAAGGAAAGTTCATAGCATTAAATGCCTATATCAAAAAGTCTGAAAGAGCACAAATTGATAATCTAATGTCACACCTCAAAAAACTACAGAAACAGGAACAAATTAAACCCAAACCCAGCAGAAGAAAAGAAATAACAAACATCAGAGTATAACTAAATGAAAGTGAAACAAAAAAGTACAAAAGATAAATGAAACAAAAATCTGATTCTTTGAAAAGATAAACAAAATTGATAGGCCATTAGTGAGACTAACCATGAAAAGAAGAGAGAAGATCCAAATAAGCTCAATTAGCAATGAAACTGGAGACATTACAACCAATACCACAGAAATAAAAAAGATCATTCAGGGCTACTATGAACACCTTTACATGCACAAATCAGGAAATATAGAGGAAATGGACAAAATCTTGGAAACATACAACTCTCCGAGATCAAATAAGAAATAGAAACTCTGAACAGACCAATAACAAGCAGTAAGACTCAATCAGTAATAAAAACACTGCCAACAAAAAGCCAGGACAAGACAGATTCTCAGCTGAATTCTACTAGGCATTCTAAGAAGAATTGGTGTTGATTCTACTGAAACTATCCCAAAGATAGAGAGAGAGGGAATCATCCCTAATTCATTCTAGGAAACCACTGTCACCCTAATACAAAAACCAGGAAAGGACATAACAAAAAAAGAAAACTACAGATTAATAACCCTGATGAATATAGATGGAAAACTTCTCAATAAAATACTAGCTAACCAAATCCAACAGCATATCAAAAAGATAACACATCGTGATATGATCATATACGCAGAAAACCTAAAAACTCATCCAAAAAGCTCCTAGATCCAATAAATGGATTCAATAAAGTCTCAGAATACATAATCAATGTACACAAACCAGTAGCACTGCTACACACCAAGAATGACCAAGCTGAGAATCAAATCAAGAATGCAACTCTTTTTACAAAGACTGCAAAACAAATAAAATACTTAGGAATATACTTAACCAAGGAAGTGAATGATCTCTGCAAGGAAAACTACCAAACACTGCTGAAAGAAATCAGAGATGACATGCACAAATGGGAACATATCCCATGCTCATGGATAGGAAGAATCAATATTAAGAAAATGACCATACTATCCAAAGCAATATACAGATTCAATGGAATTTCCATCAAAATATCATCATCATTCTTCACAGAATTAGAAAAAAAATCCTAAAATTCATATGGAACAAAAAAAGAGCCCACATAGCCAAAGCAAGGCTAAGCAAAAAGTGTAAATCTGGAGGCATCACATTACCAGACTTCAAATTATACTACAAGGCTATAGTTAGCAAACAGCATGTTACTGGTATAAAAATAGGCATGGAGACAATGGAACAGAATAGAGAACCAAGAAATAAAGCCAAAGACTTACAGCCAACTGATCTTCAACAAAACAAACAAAAACATAAATTGGGGGAAAGGATACACTATTCAATAAACGGTTCTGAGATAACTGGCAAGCCACATGTAGAAGAATAAAACTGGATCCCCATCTCTCACCTTAAACAAAAATCAAATCAAGATGGATCAAAGACTTAAATCTAACACCTGAATCAGAAAAACTCTACTGGACATTGGCTTAGGCAAACAATTCATGACTAAGACCCCAAAACCAAATGCAACGAAAACAAAAATAAATAAATGGGACCTAATTAAACTAAAAACCTTCTGCACAGCAATATAAATAATCAGCAGAGTAAACAACAGACAACCCACAGAGTGGGAGAAAATATTCACAAACTATACATCCAACAAAGGACTAGTATCCACAATCTACAAGGAACTCAAAACAAGTCAACAAGAAAAAAACAAATAATCCCATCAAAAAGTGGGCAAAGCACATGAATAGACAGTTCTTAAAAGAAGACATAGAAACAACCAGCAAACATATGAAAAATGCTCAACATCACTAATCATCAGGGAAACACAAATTAAAACCATAATGAGATACCACCTTACTCCTGCAAGAATGGCCATAATTAAAACGTTTTTTTAAAAAATCCAAAACAATAGATGTTGGTGTGGATGTGGTGAAAAAGGAACATTTTTACACTGCTGATGGGAATGTAAACTAGTACAATCACTATGGAAAACTGTAAGAAGATTACATAAAGAACCAAAAGTAGAACTACCATTTGATCTAGCAATCCCACTACTGGGTACCTACCAAAAGGAAAAGAAGTTGTTTTATGAAAATGCATGTTTGTAGCAGCACAATTCACAATTGCAAAGATATGAAACCAACCTAAGTGCCCATCAACCAACAAGTGGATAAAGAAAATGTGGTATAAGATGTACAAAGAAGAGCTGGTACCATTCCTACTGAAACTATTCCAAAAAATTTTAAAGGAGGAACTCTTCCCTAACCCATTCTATGAGGCCAGCAACATCCTGATACTAAAACCTGGCAGAGATACAACAAAAAAGGAAAACTTCAGGCCAATATCCTTGATGAACATCAATGCAAAAATCCTCAACAAAATACTGGCAAACTGAATCCAGCACCACATCAAAAAGCTTAACCACCACAGTGAAGTAGGCTTCATTCCTGGAATGCAAGGTTGGTTCAACATACGCAAATCAATAAATGTGATTCATTACATAAAGAGAACTAAAGAAAAAAAACAACATGATTATTCTCAATAGATTCAGAAAAGGCTTTCAATAAAATTCAACATCCCTTCATGCTAAAATCTCTCAATAAACTGGTATTGAAGAAACACACCTCAAAATAGTAAGAGCCATATATGACAAACCCACTTCCAATATTATACTAAATGGGCAAAACCTGGAAGCATTTTCCTTGAAAACCAGCACAAGAATGCTCTCTTACAACTCCTATTCAACATAATATTGGAAATTCTGGCCAGGACAATCAAGCAAGAGAAAGTAATAAAGGATGTTCAGATAGGAAGAGAGGAAATCAAACTATCCCTGTTTTCAGATGACATGATCCTATATCAAGAAAACCCCATTGTCTCATCCCAAAAATTTCTTAAGCTGGTGATCAACTTCAGCAAAGTCTCAGGATACAATTCAATGTGCAAAAATCACTAGCATTCCTATACACCAACAACAATCAGGCCAATATCCAAATCACAAATGAACTCCCATTCACAACTGCCACAAAAAGAATAAAATACCTAGGAATACAGCTAACAAGGGAAGTGAAGGATCTCTATAAGGAGAACTACAAACCACTGCTCAAAGAAATCAGAAAGGACACAAACAAATGGAAAAACATTCCATGTTCATGGATAGGAAGAATCAATACTGTGAAAATGGCCATACTGCCCAAAGCAATTCATACATTCAATGCTATTCCCATGAAACTATAATTTGACGTCCTTCACAGAACTAGAAAAAGCTATTTTAAAATTCATATGGAACCAAAAAAGTGCCCAACTAGCCAAGGAGATCCTAAGCAAAAAGAACAAAGCTGCAGGTATCATGTTACCTGACTCCAAGCTATACTACAGGGCTATAGTAACCAAAACAGCATGGTATTGGTACAAGAACAGACACATAGACCAATGGAACACAATAGATAATTCAGAAATAAGATTGCACACCTACAACCATCTGATGTTTAAGAAACCTGACAAAAACAAGCAATGGGGAAAGGATTCCCTATTTAATAAATGGTGCTGGGATCACTGGCTAGCCACAAGCAGAAAATTGAAACTGAACCCCTTTCTTATACCACACACAAAAATCAACTCAAGATGGATTAAAGACTTAAATCTAAAACCCAAAACTATAAAAACCCTAGAAGAAAACCTAGGCAATACCATTTAGGACATAGGCACTGACAAAGATTTCATGATGAAGATGCCAAAAGTAATTGCAACAAAAGCAAAAATTGACAAATCAAATCTAATTAAACTAAAGAGCTTCTGTACAGCAAAAGAAACTATCAACACAGCAAAAAGACAGCCTACAGAATGGGAGATAATTTTTGCAAACTATGCATCTGACGAAGGTCTAATATCCAGCATCTATAAGGAGCTTAAACAAATTTACAAAACAAACAAACAACGCCATTAAAAAGTGGGCAAAGGACATGAACAAACACTTTTCAGAAGAAGGTATACATTCAGCCAACAAGCATATGAAAAGCTCAACATTACTGATTATTAGAGAAATGCAAATCAAAACCCCAATGAGATGTCATCTCACGCCCATCACAATGGCTATCACTAAGAAGTCAAAAAATAACAGATGCTGATGAGGTTGTGGAGAAAAAGAAATGCTTTTACATTGTTGATGGGAGTGTAAATTAGTTCAACCATTGTGGAAGACAGTGTGGCAATTCCTCAAAGACCTAAAGACAGAAATTCCATTCGACCCAGCAATTCCATTACTGGGTATATACCCAAAGGAATAGAAATTGTTCTATTATAAAGAAACATGCATGCACTATTCACTTGTTCATGCACATGTTCATTGCTGCACTATTCACAATAGCCAAGACATGGAATCAACGTAAATGCTCAAAAATGATAGACTGGGTAAAAAAAAGTGATACATATAAAGAAAATGTGATACATATACACCATGGAATACTATGCAACCATAAAAAAGAATAAGATCATGTCCTTTGCAGGAACATGGATAGAGCTGGAGGCCATTATCATTAGCAAACTAATGCAGAAACAGAAAAACAAATACTGCACATTCTTACTTATAAGTGGGAGCTAAATGATGAGAACACATGGACTCATAGAGGGGGAACAAGGCACACTGGGGTCTACTGGAGGGTGGAGGATGGAAGGAGAGAGAGGATCAGGAAAAATAACTAATGGATGCTAAGTTTAATACCTGGGTGATGAAATAATCTATATAACTAACAATGTAACAAACCTGCACATCCTGCACATGTACACCTGAACTTAAAAGTTAAAAAATAAGTAAATAAATAAATGAAATATTTTTAAGAACAAAATGTATATATACACTATGGAATACTACTCAGCTATAAAAAGGAACAAAATAATGTCTTTTGCAGCAACTTGGGTGGAGCTGGAGGCCATTATTCTAACTGAAGTAACTCAGGAATGGAAAACCAAATATCATATTATCGGGGGAACCAGCTCCCAATATTTCAATGTAGGTTCTATTTTCCCTAAGTGTCGGCCAGTCTGAGAAATAAAGAGAAAGAATACAAAGAGAGGAATTTTACAGCTGGGCCTCCAGGGGGTGACATCACATATCGGTAAGTCCGTGATGTCCCACCTGAGCCGCAAAACCAGCAGGTTTTTATTAAGGACTTTAAAAGGGGAGAGGGTGTATGAACAGGGAATAGGTCACAAAGATCACATGCCTTAAAGGGCAATAAAGATGACAAGGCAAAGGGCAAAGCAAAGATCACAAGGCAAAGGGCAAAATTAGAGTTACTGATGAGGTTCTATGTTCAGCTGTGCACATATTGTCTTGATAAACATCTTAAACAACAGAAAACAGGGTTCAAGAGCACAGAACCAGTCTGATCTCAAATTTACTAGGGTGGGATCTTTTCCCCACTCTAATAAGCCTCAGGGTACTGCAGGAGACCAGGGCATATTTCTGTCCTTATCTCAACCGCATAAGACAGACACTCCCAAAGTGGCCGTTTATAGACCTCCCCCCAGGAATGCATTCCTTCCCCTGGGTATTAATTATTAATATTCCTTGCCGGGAAAAGAATTCAGCGATATCTCTCCTACTTGCATGTCTGTTTATAGGCTCTCTGCAAGAAGAAAAATATGGCTCTATTCTGCCTGACCCCGCAGGCAGTCAGACCTTTGGTTGTCTTCCCTTGTTCCCTAAAATTGCTGTTATTGTATTCATTTCCAAGGTGCACTGATTTCATATTGTTCAAACATGCATGTTTTACAATCAGTTTGTACAATAGTGGTCCTGAGGTGACGTACATTCTCAGCTTACGAAGATAACAGGATTAAGAGATTAAAGACAGGCATAAGAAATTATAAGAGTATTATTTGGGAACTGATAAATGTCCATGAAATCTTCACAATTTATGTTCAGAGATTGCAGTAAAGACAGGTGTAAGAAATTATAAAAGTATTAATTTTGGGAACTGATAAATGTCCATGAAATCTTCACAATTTATGTTCCTCTGCCGTGGCTCCAGCCGGTCCCTCCGTTCGGGGTCCCTGACTTCCCACAACATCATATGTTCTCAATTATTAGTGGGAGCTAAACTGTGAGTATGCAAAGGCATAAGAATGATATAATGGATTTTGGGAACTCAGGAGGAAGGGTGGGAGTGGGGTGAGGAAGGGTGGGAGTGGGGTGAGACTATATATTGGATAGAGTGTACATTGCTCAGGTGATGGGTACACTAAAGTCTCAGAAATCACCACTTAAGAACCTATCCATGCATCCCAAAACCACCTGTACCCCAAAAACTATTGAAATTTTTTAACAGTAAAGAAAATGGTGGGCATCAAATCATCAAGTCATCCTTGCAAAACCAGCTCTGATATGTGAAATTGTATAAAAAGGGCTGTGTCACCAATAATACACCATGCTTTCCGCACCCTCAAGAGTAGAGAAGATTAGTGAGCTGCATACAGCAGAAAGGTTGTAAATACTATAGCCAATAACAAAATATTCACCAACAAGTGTAGTCAGGGTTTTTTATTTGGGGATTAAGAAGGGGATGGTGTGCTAGAGGCTAACTTTGCCACAGATAACTTTTGTTTTCTTATTTCTAATTTAGTTTTAGCCAAGAATACGTGCCCTGTGTAATATGAGTTAGGGAAAAGCTGGAAATAATTTGCATATCTAAAAAAAGGAGATTGGCTGAATGAATCATGATTTTAACCAAGTATTGGGATTCGATCCAGATATTAAAACTGAAGCTATAGAAAAGCACTCATTAATATCAGTATTTGTGTATGTGTGTTTGTGTGTTCACATAGAAAGGAATTTGGAATCTGGACAATAAGCTATTTTCTGTGAGTTTTTTCCATTTCTGGGTTAGTAGGATTACGAATATTCTTAATGGGATTTTTTCTTCATTTTCTGCAGAGAATATACTGATTTTCTAATAAGAAAACAATATAAGAAACTTTAATCAACAAATTATAAACTTTTTTCAGATTTGAAGTTTTGTTGTTTTTATTTTGTTATATGTATTCATATTCCTTTAATTTCTAATTCACTTTTGTCTGTGATGTCTGCTTGACTTGACAATATTTTCAGATATTTCTATCTGTGATAGGATCATAAAATATATGCCATTGGTAACCTATTTTTTTATTTAATATTGTAAATATGCTTCTGGGTCAACAAATACATTACTGTATTACCAGCTTAGTGTTATTTATCTAACCAACCTCCCCTTTCGTGTGTGTGTGTGTGTGTGTGTGTGTGTGTGTGTGTGTGTGTGTATGTGAAGCAACGAAAGCACAGATTTATGGAAATGAAAGTACACTCCACAGAGCAGGGGCAGGCTGAAGCAAGCAGCTCAAGGGCACTGGTTACAGAATTTTCTGGGGTTTAAATACCCTCTAGAGGTTTCCCATTGGTTACTTGGTTATACCCTCTATAAATGAAGATTTGGCCCACAACTAGTCTGATTGGTTGCAAGAGTCAACCAATCAGAGGCTAAAGTGAAGTTAACAAAGTTACACATGAAGACTTGGCCCACAACCAGTGATTGCTTGTGGGAGGGGACCAATCAAAGGTACTTTCCATTTTTCATCTGTGATGCAGTGGAAAGGGGCCAATCTCCCATTTTAATGCATAATTCTCACAATTGGCTAAAATGAATTAAGAAATAAAATGTCAAGTTCACAAAAAAAATTAAAATAACTAAGAATGTTAAGTGCCCAGAAAGAATGTAAAACTTCCTGAATATTATCAATAGATTTTAAAAATCAGTGATGAGAAATATTCAAATGTAGTAATTTTGTATTTTGATTATATTGTCACTGAAACTAATTTACTTTCAAAATTTTCCCAAATTGGCTGGAGCCCAATGGAAGGGAAGCTCCAGCATTTGTAGTGAGGGTAATTGTGGGTAGGAGAAAGGGAGAAGAAGGCAGACTCGAAAATCTCTGTGGAAGGGGGAGGAGAATTTATAATTTTAATTTGCTTCATCAGTCCTGAAGTAAATAAACCCGTCTTTGGAGAATAAAGAAAATCTGTAAGTTAAAAATGCAGCACTAAAATCACATTTTATAAGAGACTTGTATCCCTCCTCATCAGATGGGTTCACATGACTTTCCTAAGATATTGAAAGGTTTTCTATCCGATCTTTGTATGTAATATCTAGAAGTCTGAATCAAAAGGTTACAAAAACTAGGAATGAGCAACGAAATTTAGGGAAAAAAGGCTTAAAATAACCTTTCAGTACATGAAGAGTCATTAAATGTTGGGTAGTGACCATTTGCTTTGCCTGGCCACTAAACCCAAAAAGAATTTCAAGTCATAAGAGAAAAACTTCAATTATATGTAGGAACACTAGATTTTTTTTTATTTTCTGGCTATAGAAATGTTCATAGGCCAAAACAGTAAAAATAATTTATAAAGCACCTGCCTGAGAGTCTTTTTCTCCCTCAGTCTGTTATGAAGATGGTAAAAAATGAAATAGATGAGCACATGTTACAACTTGGCTTCAAGAAAGGACTCAAACTAAATGTTCCTTTTCAGGTTTCTCTAATCCTACTGTTTTATGGTCTCTATTAAGAGGACCTTAATGGGAACCAATTAACTGTAAATACAGTGAGGAGTCTGGGCAATTAAACAAATGGATTATGTTCACCCAGTGATTACACTCCAGTCATCAAATGATTTTCCAGCATTGCCTACTCTGAGTCACAAATACAAATTAAATTCAGATCCAACAGCCTTGAAATTTCTCATTATACATCAACTGCCATTTGCTTGTCTCTAATGATTTTTTGTAGAAAAAAAAAAGCTGGCATTATAGGTTGACATCACATATTTTGTATTTGTATTCAAGCCAAATAGCACTAGCTTTTAAAATTCAAGTACATAACTAAATAATTATGGTGATTTCACAAAAAAGATAATACAATCTCCCAATAATACATAATTATACAAATGCCTTTCTCTAAATATAAAGTCACATAAAAATGTGTATTCCTGCTCCTTAACAGACTAAGAAATAAAAAGAGACAGTTGAGCAACTTCCATGTAAACATTTGATAGTCTTTATTCAAGGTAGCAGAGACCCTCACAGGAGAATATTCTTACCTCATTCTGATTTACTTTTATTACTATCTCATCTTTTTTTTTTTTTTTGAGACAGAGTCTCACTGTGTTGGCCAGACTGGAGTGCAATGGCATAATCTTGGCTCACTGCAACCTCTGTCTCCCAGGCTCAAGCAATTCTCCTGCCTCAGCCTCCCGAGTAGATGAGATTAAAGGTGTGCACCACCACGCCTGGCTAATTTTTGTATTTTTTTAGTAGAGACAGGGTTACACCATGTTGGCCAGGCTGGTCTCGAACTCCTGACCTCAGGTGATCTGCCTGCCTTGGCCTCCTAAAGTGCTGGAATTACAGGCATGAGCCACCATGCCTGGCCTATCACATCTATTTTAAAATGATCATTACCTCATCAGCCTGGTATTGCTATTTTGTTTGCAAAGTTGGTACAGGGAGTAGCACCCCAGAACTACAGGGAGGCAGACAGTCTCTCTGGGCATGACTGGGGGAAAAAATTCTCAACTCAATGTAACTGTGAGGAAAATCTAAAAACAGACTTCAGGGACATCTTTAAAGACTTCCAAATATTCAGCATAGAAGAATTTGTTCAGAGAGCATGGGGGGAAAAATAAGATTTTTTCAGACAATCTGGCATGTACAGACTTTGAGGCCACCCTACAACCATATCTCTGTTGTGACAGTCAAAGTTGTTTTCATTGTTAACTTGAAGCAGATGTTGTAGGTGTCCTATTAACATCCCCTGACCCTTACTTCTTGCGAGCACACTGGACTGAATTCCAACCATTTGCAGGTTTGTCTGAGGATTTTCTTTAATCTCATGACTTTCTGTGTCTGCAACATGATGAGCCTGAAGTGCTGATGAATTACTGTACCCCAGAAACAGACCTTACCCAGTGACTTCAAGAGCAAGTGTATAAATACTGCTCTTTCTCCTTTTGGGTATTCAAATAAATGGCTCCCAAGTACCTCAACAGATTTGAGTTCTAATTGCCCACAGTGGTAACTTGCCCAAGAAATCCTTTATCTGCTTACTTCCCTACCCTGTCTCACTTCCCCTACTCTTTTATTCATGTTTCCTAGGATCACCTCCAGAATAAACCACTTGCACTTCAATTCTTTTCTCAGGGTCTGCCTTCAGGGCAACCCAAACTAAGAGACAAGAGAAAGAAACCCAGCAAGGTTAGGCAAATAGGGGACTTTATTGATAGGCTCCTGTAAGTGCAGGAAGAGCAAAGTTGCAGCTGGGACTTAAGAAAATGGAATCTTGAGCCTGGACATTGCCATCTCTTATTCTAAGTATTGACCTCATGCTGTCAGACTGACTTCCTCCCTGGCTACAACCATGGCCACCAAAACACTGCTGGGCCTTTTGCCTCCCAGCTTCAACTTTTAACTGAGCCTCAGCTCAACACGTTCTCAAGAAAGAATTCTGAATGGTTAAACTTGAATCAAGAAAACACTTCTACTTTTAACATTTTGGGCTATAGGGACATGCATACTAGAATTGTTCCACCATGTAAGGCCAAGGAGGCAGGATCTCTAAAGCAATGGGACTTTTGGCATTGATACTTTTTTGAGTATTCCCAATGTATAAGCCATTTAAACCATGTGCTTGAAGTAAAGGCAGGGAAGAAATATTTTCCTAAAGAATGAGGCTGTTGCTTCCAGCCTGACAATAGGTAATGTTTATTAAATCCCTGCTATGCTACAGATAATACTATCTACTTATCAATCGATTGATCAATCTATTGCCATCCATCCATCCTTCCATCCATCCATCCAACTATCTTCTCAATCCTCATAACAACCCTATGTTGTAGAAATTATCATTACTGCCCTCTGCCCCCATTTCAGGTGAGGAAATTTAGGCCCAGAAAAATTAAGTAGCTTGCCCAAAGTCAAACAGGAAGGTGTAGATCCAGGATTGGGCCCAGGCAATCCAGGTCTAGAGTCTGCACTATGTCCTGTTGGCTCCTAGGGGAAGGGACAGCCACACATCACAGTTGCCCACTGTGCACAGATGCACCCATGTCCACTGGCATCTTACTTCTCTCACTGCTGAAGTTCTGAGCATTATTTACTAAATTTATGAAGAAAGTACACTTTGTTATGAAAATTACAGATGAACTCAGAAGAATTAAGGTGAGGAGGAGCTGAACAGACTGAGAGGCAAATGCTTTACTGAGGAATAGATGTGGCCTTCCTGGAACCCTAGAGTACTAAAATGAAATTGACCAATATATGTAAAATCTTCAAAACTTAACTGCCAAATGTGAGGATCCTAGAAGTATGCCTTTCAGTGAAAATGAAGGTTTTAAAATGGTTGAGTATTGCCAATGTATCAAGGTTACATAAAGTTAACATTTTAAAATCTTTATTTTGACATTTTATGATAGGCCATAAAATTGTCACAGTTTAACAGTTTATTGTCTTGTTTTAAAATGTTTTAAAGGATTTTTTTAAAATCCTTCTCCAAAGAGACGCTTGAATTTCAAAATATTGGCCTTCTAACTAATATTCTACTATTTTAGAGAAAACAATTTCTGGCACTTCAAAGGAAGGTTTTCTTGTGTTAGCATCGTGTCATTACTTCTAGGGTTGTTATGAACAGTCTGAAATGCCAAGATAAAAAAGTTAATAATTAAAATTAAATATAAAAATTAATAAAGTACTAATAGCTAAATGAGTTAAGAAATAAATTGATGTAAAGGGATATATGACTGGTAAGGTCACTTGGAGTAACTCATTCACAAGAATAAGACAAATTAAATGTAGCCCTGCAAAATAATGAAAATGTTTATTTAATTCTTTTGCCCCTAATATGGTAATTTCACTTTCATATTTCCCCATTGTTTGAATCCTCTGACTTCTCCACTCTTTCCATTATATGTTTACCCTCATCACCTTGCTATCTTTTCTCTTCTTTCCTTTTGATTTCTTGTGACCATTTTATCCGTCAACCAGACTCCCTTCTATACATATACTGTCATAATGTCTGAATTCGAGGAAAATATATCTGTTTATAAAATTCTTAGTTAGTGCATAGAATATGGCACATTTATTACATAGAAAACAGAGCATCCACCCCAGCCCCAATGGCCTTTCCCTCGAGTTCTGCAGCTCTGTGCTGGGAGGTCCCTGTTCTACCCTACTTTCTATATTATCCTGGAGACTCATTACAAGCATCATAGGGTTTTCTAACCCTTTAATCTTCTACACTTGACTGACACCATGGGTGTGTGTGTGTGTGTGTGTGTGTGTGTGTGTGTCTGTGTGTCCGTGTCCCCAAATTAAATTGAATTCTTCTAGTGGTAAAGAACTAAGTCATCTGCTCCTGTGAAGTAAATATTGGAATATCCACTTGAGGGACAGATAAAATGATGAATACACATCTCTCCTTCCCTTTTCCCAGTTTCATTCCACAGATATTCCCCCAAAAAAACCGCATTTCCATCAAGTAACTGTCAGGCTGAGAGATACCCTGTGGCTTTACAATGCCAAGAGGAAAATTCTAGGTCTTCCAGTGTCACAGCACAAACTCAACCCAGCCAAACTATAGCTCCTGCTTTTCACCAAATACGCTGAGCCTATTCAGAATTGAACTGAAAGATTTAATTTTCACAATTCAAAAAGACACTCTGGAGATACACCAAAAGTTTGGAGGCACAGAGAAATAAAACACCTATTTTACAGAAGAATTAAAGGCATTGAACATCCCCTAGCAGGGATGTGGCCCTATTCTACTAGTTGCCCAGTCCACTGTTATGCTGGGCCAAGCCCTGAAGTTTCTTATTGTGTCTGTTATTAACTTATTGCCTGTTGTCTCTTAATGTATTATTCAATAAACAATGGAATCCCTTTAAATATTTCTCCTTTAAAGTGAGCACAATATTAAGCTTTCTCTATACATGGATTGGAGGGACACTGCAGGAGGAAGAGGTTTCCTGCAATTTCTGACATGGGCCACGAGTAGGCAGTATAGGTATAGGACTAACCAGTAGAGCCTATCCCAACCATAGCCCATTCTCCCTCTGCAACCCTGCAGCCTCAGCCTGGTGATCATTTTTCTTCAACCTTCTCAAAACAGAAACCAGAGCCCCTGTGTAGCCTGCACCCTCTGAAGGCCTCCTGCTTGTGCAGTTCCTGGACTCGCCCCCTCTTCTCCCTTCCCTGTGGCCTTTAAACTCTGAAGGGCACCTGTGGCAGCTGGACTCCCACTATGTGCCCACACCGCAGATGCTGATGCCTTGCTCCCTCACCTGCACTTCAGAGGGTTGCTCCCAGCTTGCCTAGCAGCTCCAGAACAGCTTCAGCCTGGACCATCTAGCCAACTTTTCTGCTGTCTATTGGGCTACCACACTTTTTCCAATGAAATCTGAACCCCTTCCAAGTTTATCCTTCCTTGGTACTGTCACTCAACCCTAAAGTACCATGTAGTTTTCTTACATCTTATAGTTACTCTTTCATCATAATTGTTCTTCATATTAAACTTCCCCTATTTAGCCCACTGCATCATTTCTATCTCCTAGTTGGATCCAGGCTGCTATACTTCATTCTAAGGAGATGTGGGGCTAACGTGCCAACCGTTAGTGTTTAAAATAGACTATTTCTTTGTTTCACATGTCTTGATTCCTGAAGCCATTTGGGGGATTCTTCTTCTTTTTTAAAGAAATACGGTGCTGCATTATGATTTGTTGAATATGGCCACAAGTACCATGCACCTGCTTCCATCTAGAGATAAATGTATTTCACACATTTGGGCTGGCTCTTATGTGCTTTGACCAACAGAATATGGCAGAAGGGATGTTTAGTGACATCCAAGGCTAGCCCCAATCGGGCCTTGCAGCTCAGCTTTTACTTTCTTGGAATGTTACTCCACTACTGTCATGTAAACGAAAGGCCACCTGAAAAAGATCCAAGGGACTCTAGCCAAGCATCAACACGAACTGCCTTATTAATGAAGCCATCTTGGACTGCCCAGCCAAGCCAATAATTCAGCCAAATGCATCCACATGAGTTCAGGGGAACCAACAGAGGAATGATCAAGCAAACCTATATAAACCATCGTGGTTTTAAGCAACTAAATTTTGGGATGGATTGTTATGCATCCAATACATATCTGAAATATACATCTCTCCATCATCAAATGATTCTAATTTCTTAATTATTCAATAAATTAATTTGTGGTAAATACATGAGGAAACTTCTTTTGACCACACCCCTCCCACCCTCAGAAAAACATGTTAAAGTAACACATCTTATCACTATGTATTTCCTCTTGAATCTTGTTCCAATAGGAAATGGGAAATACTATACATAACCACTAGGTATTAAATGTTCAAAATGACAAAGTAGATAAATAAACATGGAGAAGGAAATCTAGTGCTTATGATTCACTTTTACTTGTAAAAGTAAAGACTATAAAAGGGCAAGAGAAAAAGAATATAGAGACTGAAGATAAATGATTCTGAATTTCCAATTGATAAAAGAAGCAAGGACTTCCACTGACAGAATCAATCATCAGAGAGCTTTCTTTCTTGCGTTTTGTGATTCTGAGGAGTTCAGAACAAATCAGACTGAAAAATGCATAATGTACAATGGCATTATGTACCTACATTCACCCTTTTTTATTATGACTTTTAGGTTCAGGGGTACATCTGCAGGTTTGTTATATAGGTAAACTGCATGTCATGGGGGTTTGTTGCAGATTATTTTGTCACCCACCAGTAAGCATAATACTCAATAGGTATTTTTTCTGATCCTCTCTCTCCTCCAACCTTTCATCCTCAAGTAAATTTAGATTTTTTAAATTTTTTATTTTTAACTTTACTTGTAAATATATAGTAGGTGTATATGTTTATGGGGTTTATGAGATATTTTGACACAGGCATGCAATGAATAATAATCACATCACAGTAAATAGGATATCCATCACTTCAAGCATTGTGTTAAAACAATCTAATTATACTCTTTCAGTTATTGTAAAATGTATAATTAAATTTTTTTAACTATAGTCACCCTGTTGTGCTATCAAATATTAGCTCTTATTCACTAATTCTATTTTTTATACCCATTAATCACCCCAATCCCCCCAACCCCTGCCCACTACCCTTCCTAGCCCCGGTGACCATCCTTCTATGTTCTTTCTCCATGAGTTCAATTATTTAATTTTTAGCACCACAAATTTTTATTCCCACACAATTTTTAGTCCCATATTTCACTTCTTCGGTTAAGTTAATTCCTAGGTATTTTACTTTATTTGTAGCTCTCATAAATGATATTACTTTCTTGATTTCTTTTTCACATTGTGCGCTGTTGGTGTATAGAAATGCTACTGCTTTTTGTATGTTGATTTTGTATCCTGCAGCTTTACTAAATTTGTTGATCAGTTCTAATAGTTTTTTGGTGGAGTCGTCAGGTTTTTCCAAATATAAGATCAGGTTTTTCCAAATATAAGATCATATCATCTGCAAACAAGGATAACTTGACTTCTTCCTTCCCAATTTGGATGCCTTTTATTTATTTCTCTTATCTGGCTGCTCTGGCTAGGGCTTCCAGTACTATTTTGAATAACAATGATGAAAGTTAACATCCCTGTCATGTTCTAGATCTTCAAGAAGAGGTTTTCAATTTTTCCCCATTCAGTATGATATTAGCTGTGGGTCTGTTGTAAATGGCTTTTTTTATGTTGAGGTATGTTCTTTTTGTACCCAGGTTTTTTAGGGCTTTTCATCATGAAGGGATGTTGAATTTTATCAAATGTTTTGTCAGCATCAATTGAAATGATCATATAGTTGTTGTCCTCCAGTCTGTTGATACAATGTATCACATTGATTGATTTACATATCCTTGCATCTCTGGGATAAATCCCACTTGATCATGAGGAATAATCATTTTAATGTATTGTTGGATTTGATTTGCTAGAATTTTGTTTATTTTATTTTATTTTATTTTATTTTTTTGAGACAGAGTCTCTGTCACCCAAACTGCAGTGCAGTGGTGCGATCTCAGCTCACTGCAACCTCCACCTCCTGGACTAAATCATTCCTCCCGCCTCAGCCTTCCAAGTAGCTGGGACTACACATGCACACCACCATGCCTGGCTAATATTTTGCATTGTTAGTAGAGACAGGGTTTCGCCATGTTGCCCAGGCTGGTCTTAAACTCCTGCACTCAAGCAATATTGGCCTGCAGTTTTCTTTTAATTTTCTTTTCTTTTCTTTTCTTTTTTTTTTTTTTTTCTGGAGGCGTCTTTGTCTGGTTTTTGTATCAGGGTAATACTGGCCTCACGGTGTAAGTTTGGAAGTATACCCTCTTCCTCCATTTTTTGCAATAGTTTGTGTAGGATTGGTATTAGTTATTCTTTAAACATCTGGTAGCATTCAACAGTGAAGCCATTGGGTCTCAGGTTTTCTTTACTGGGAGACTTTTCATTATGGCTTCCATCTCACTACTTGTTATTGGTCTGTTTGGGTTTTGAGTTTCTTCATGGTTCCATCTTGGTAGGTTGTATGTGTCTAGTAATTTACTTACTTCTAAATTTTCCAGTTTATTGGCACATAGTTGTTCGTGGTAGCCACTAATTATTCTTTGAATTTCTGCAGTATCAATTGTAATGTCTCCTTTTTCATCCCTGATTGTATTTATTTGGGTCTTCTCCCTTTTTTTTAGTCTGTCTAAAGGTTTGTTAATTTTGTTTAACTTTTCCAAAAAACAACTTTCCATTTTGTTGATCTTTTGTATTGTTTTCTTCATTTCCATTGCTTTTATATCTGCTCTTTATTATTACTTTTCTTCTACTAATTTTGGGTTTCATTTGCTTTGGCTTCTCTAGTTCTCTCAGATGCATCATTAGGTTATTTATTTGAAGTTTTTCTTCTTTTTGGTTTAGGCATTTATAGCTACAAACTTCTCTCTTGGTACTACTTTCACTGTATCCCATAGGTTTTGGTATGTTGTGTTTCCATTATTATTTGTTTCAAAAATTTTTTCAATTTACTTATTTATTCATTGACCCACTGGTCATTCAGGAGCATACTGTTTAATTTCCATGTGTTTGTAGAGTATCCAATATTCCTCTTGTCACTGATTTCTAGTTTTATTCTATTACAGTCAGAGAAGATGTTTGATATTATTTCAACTTTTTTTTAAATGTTTTAAGACTTGTTTTGTGACCTAACATATGGTTTATCCTTGAGAATAATTCATGTGCTGAGAAGAATGTATATTCTGTAGCCATTGGATGAGATATTCTGTAACTATCCATTAGGTCCATTTGGTCTACAGTGCAGATTAAGTCCAATGATCCTTTACTGATTTTCTATCTGGGAGGTCTGTCCAATGCTATGGGGTATTGAAGTCTCCAGCTATTATTGTTGATAATGGTTTGGCTACACCCCACCCAAAATCTCATCTTGAATTGTAATCCCTATAATCCCCACATGTCAAGGGAGAGACCAGGTGGAGGTAATTGAATCATGGGGGCGATATCCCCCAAGCTGTTCTCATGATAGTGAATTCTCATGTGATCGGTTTTGTGTTTGGTAGTTCCTCCTGCATTCATTCTCCTTCCTGCTGCCTTGTAAAGAAGGAGCCTTGCTTCCCCTGTCTTCCACCATGTTTGTAAGTTTCCTGAGGTCTCCCCAGCCACGCTGAACTGCAAATCAATTAAACCTCTTTCCTTTATAAGTTACCCAGTCTCAGGTAGTTCTTTATAGCAGTTTGAAAACAGACTAATACAATTATATTTTTGTCCATCTCTCTTTCTTTCACTCTAATAATATTTCTTTTATATATCTGGGTGCTCCAGTATTGGGTGCATATATATTTACAATTGTTATATCTTCTTGCTGAAGTGACTCCTTTATCATTATATAATGACTTTCTTTGTCTCTTCTTACAGTTTTTGTCTTGAAATATATTTTTTCTGATATAAGTATAGCTACTTCTGCTCTTTTTTGGCTTCCATTGGCATGGAATATCTTTTTCCTTCTCTTTATTTTCAGTCTATGTGTCTTTAGAGGTGAAATGCATTTTTAATAGGCAACAGATCATTGCGTCTTAGTTTTTTGTCCACTGGGCCACTCTGTCTTTTGATTGGAGAGTTTCATCCATTTACATTCAATGTTATTATTGATAAGTAAGAACTTATTCCTGCCATTTTGTCATTTATGTTTTCTGGTTGTTTTGGGGTATTCTCTTTCATTCTTCTTTCCTGTCTTCCTGTTAGTGAAGGTGATTTTCTTTTATGGTATGATTTAATTTATTACTTTTTACTTTTTGTGTATCTGTTGTATGTTTTTTGATTTGAGGTTACCATGAAACTTGCAAATACTATGTTGTAACCCATTATTTTAAACTGATGATACTGATTGCATAAACAAACAAGCAAAAAGAAAACATAAAAACTGTATACTTTAATTTTGTCCCCCCACTTTTTAACTTATTGTTTCTCTTTATATGTTATTGTGCTATGTCTTGAAAAGTTGTTGTAGTTATTTTTATTGATTCACATTTTAGTCTTACTTAAGCTAACAGTAGTTTATATACCACAATTACAGTATTATAATATTCTTTGTTTTTCTGTGTATTTACTATTTTTTTTTTTTTGAGATGGAGTCTCTCTCTGTCACCCAGGCTGGAGTGCAGTAGCACGATCTCCACTCACTGCAAGCACCGCCTCCCAGGTTCACGCCATTCTCCTGCCTCAGCCTCCCAAGTAGCTGGGACTACAGGCGCCCACCACCATGCCCGGCTAATTTTTTGTATTTTTAGTAGAGACGGGGTTTCACTGTGTTAGTCAGGATGGTCTCGATCTCCTGACCTCGTGATCCACCTGCCTTGGTCTCCCAAAGTGCTGGGATTACAGGTGTCAGCCACTGTGCCCAGCCTGTGTATTTACTATTACCAGTGAGTTTTGTATGTTCAGATGGTTTCTTATTCCTCATTAATGCCCTTTCATTTCTGATTGAAGAACCCCCTTTAGCATTTCTCATAGGACAGGTCAGATGTTGATGAAATCCCTTAGCTTTTGTTTGTCTGGGAAAGTCTTTATTTCTCCTTCATGTTTGAAGGATATTTTCACCAGATATACTATTCTGGGGTAAATTTTTTTTTTCCTTCAGCACTTTCAATATGTCATGCCACTCTCTTCTGGCCCGTAAGGCTTCCACTGAAAAGTCTGCTGCCAGATGTATTGAGGTCCATTGCATGTTATTTGTTTCTTTTCTCTTGCTGCTTTTGAGATCCTTTCTTTATCCCTGATATTTGTGAGTTTGATTATTAAATACCTTGAGGTAGTCTTCTTTAGGTTAAATCCGCCTAGTGTTCTATAACCTCCTATATATGCAGAATATAATATATACATTTAAATGAGTACTATCCTTTCAAACTTTAGACTAACAGGAAATAACAATCACTATTATCTAGTGAGTGCTTACCATATGCCAGCCAGGCACTGTTCCCAGCATGTGACATGTATCACCTCATTTAATCTCACAATAATCCTAGGACATGGGCACTATTATTATCATCCCCAGGTTGCAGATGAGGAAACTGAGGCACAGAAAAATTCAATCATTTAAAACTCTCAATAGCCGATCTAGAATTTAAACCCAGGCCATCTGATTCTAGAGTTTGTGCTCTTGATAATGCCCTGTCTCTGTCAATACCATGGTCTTTTTCCAATTATGCTTATTTTTGAAAATCCCTGCCCAAATCTCATATTGAATTGTTATTCCCAGTGTTGAAGGTGGGGCCTAGTGGAAAATGACTGGATCATGGGGGTGGATTTCTCATGAATGGTTTAGTACCATCCCTTTAGTGCTGTTGTTCTGACAGTGAGTGTGTTCTCATGAGTTCTGGTTGTTTTTAAAGTGTGTGGCACTTCCTCACTTCCCCTCTCCTGCTCCTGCTCTGGCCATGTGATATGCCTGCTCCCCCTTCACCTTCCACCATGAATGTAAGTTTCCTGGGGCCTCCCCAGAAGCCAAGAAGATACCAGCGTCATGCTTCCTGTGCAGCCTGCAGAACCATGAACCAGTTAAACCTCTTTTCTTTATAAATTATCCAGTCTCAGGTATTTCTTTATAGCAATCCAAGAACGATCTAACACATCTCTTTTTTGAAATTTCCCTCAGGGCCACTTTATTGGTCACTGAAGAATACATATTTCTGTAATATATAATCTTTACACATTTTATTTTGTTAAAATGTTTAACATCCTACTTGATCTCATTTACTCACTGTTGTAGTAACTATGTAATATATAAAGATAAAATAAGCAAAGAGAAAACAAAATAAAATAGACCCTACCATCAAGGTACTTACTATCTCAAATGAAAAGCATTTTCTTCAGGCTTTATTAGGGTAAAAATCAGAAAAGTTCAAAGATATACTAGAACTCAATAAAAATATACACTAATTTTTATCATATTAATATTAAAAAATGACTTGTTTTCACTTCAATTATTCAAAGTATTTCTTAAGATTCTGCTAGTCAACTCCTCTAGGTCCTGGGGAAACAGTGGTGAACAAAGGAGACGCAAGTCCTATGCTTATGGAGCTTGTGTGTAGTGGAGAGACACACTATAAGCCAATTCAAGTACAACATAAGGTCAGGTAGAGGCAAGACTATGAAAAAATAAAGCAGTCTGAAGGGAGGTTGCTATTTGGGGCAAGTGATCAGGGAAATCCTCTCTACATAAGTGGCATTTAAGCAAAGAGCAGAATGAAGTAAAGAAGTAAACTCTGCAGCTATCTCTGAAGGAAGAGTATTCCAAGGAGGAGTATTTTGGAGATCTGAAGGAACAGCAAGAAGGGAAAGGACAGGGAATTAAAAATTTGTTACAACAAAAAGAAATAATTTTCTTTCTAATATGTTATTTCCACTAATGTTTATAATCATGCAAGTACTTGATCATTCATGTAGCAAATATTACTTGTGAGTTTTAAAGTACCAGACTTAGGACTGCTGGGGATTGTGATGAACAAAATCATAATTGCTTATCACAAAATCAACAAAAAGTTCAATTGTGTGAAGGAAAAGTACATAGAGTGTGTAGATCAGAGGAAATAGACCTTGTCTAAGGGGGTTCAGCTGAAGGCAGGTAAGAATTAACCAGATGACAAATAGAAAAGAGTATTCCAGGCAAAGGGAGCTGCATGTGCAAAGGCCCTGTGGTCAGAGGGAGCCCAGATGAAACAGCTAGGAATTGTTAAAGTTTGGTTTGTGGTAAAGCTGAAGAACTTGGCAGAGGCCAGAGAATGCAAGGTTGTCTGCTTGTGGCCATACTGAGGGCTTGGTCTTTGCATGAGCAGCTGGAAGTCACTTAAGTGTTTTAAGCCACTTAAAATTCTCAAAATTTTGAGTGTATTATAGCTTTCTTAAGAATTCTATCAACTTTATGTATCAAAAAAATAATTTTTTTAAAAATTTAAGAAGTGCAGTTAATAGGCATGCTTCACTTTGTCTCTACTTAATCAGTTTTACCTACAGGTTTATTTTGATCCATCCAATTTAAAGTTCATGAGCTTCTCTTCTAATTATCTAGTGTCATAATATGAATGGGATTATACTAAGCCATAGACTAATAATTCCCATTCCAGGAATAGTTGAAGTTTTCCATTTTTATTGGAAAACTTTTATTGTATTTTATACATCATACTAGCTTCATAAATCCCATATATGTTCTGTGAAGAACTAGCTGAAAATGCTTCCCAGAGCCTCAAACTCTATACTCTTCCCAAAAAATGAAGTTGAAGATGGTGTCTAATTTTCTTCTCTGGAATTGGAGGAAGACATAGAGATAAAAAATGGAAACAAGTACCATATTTGGATATTTTTTTCCCTTGAGAAGGATAACAAATACCTGCCTAATAATAAATCACATCAGATGAATGAAAAGAACCTTTACTGACCTTCTGTTCTAGTACAATCGGTCCAGCAATGTGCCCACAAACCCTTTATCTAGCAGCTGAATACAGAATAAATGCTCTGAGGCACTTCCTACAAGAGTTGACAAAGAGACCTTTCTTCCATTCAGTAAGTTAATATCTGAGGAAGCAAAAGCAAATGGAAAGGGCAAAATGACATGGGGACATCAAACTCTGGGGACCCTGCAGGGAAGGGAAAGGGGTGCCTAGGCATCTCTATGGCATCCAAATGTCCACATCCCAGGTCCACATTTATAGGCTCAGACAAGCTTAGAAAAATTAATGAAAATAAGAATTATAGAATTACAAAAAAATTCTAGAATGTCGGGACCCTAGCCAGACTCCTACTCACATTTCCAGTACAAGTCTATGGCATCATACCTCAAGCAATGGCCCTCCAGCTCTCTGCCTGGAATGCCCCAGCCCACGCCCTGGCATGCCATAAGCACCTGGGCATAAGCTCCCCAGAGCAGCCCTCAGTCAGATGCTGAGGGCTCCCCCTTGTGATTGGAAAAAAAATACTCCAACCTCTCATCCGGTGCGCAGGGCAACTCAAAGACATCCTGTACACCAAGCTAGTCCAACCCCCGGCCCACGGACCGCATGTAGCCCAACATAAACTCAAAAATCTTTTTTAAAACATTATGAGATTTTGGTTTTTTTCAATTTTTAAAAGCCCATCAGCTATCTTTAGTGTCAGTGTATTTTGTGTGTGGTCCAAGACAATTTTTCCTCTTCCAATGTAGCCCAGAGAAGCCAAAAGATTGGACACCCCTGCTTTACACTATATCCCAGATAATACTCTATGAACCTAATTATTAATGTTCACTGTACTGGCTGCTTTCCCTCCCAATCTCACTTCACCACTCTCCTAATAGTGTTTCCTGGGACCTCCTCCTAAATAAACAATTTCACTCAAATTCTTGTCCCAGATTCTGCTTTTGGAGAATCCCAAATTAAGAAAGAAACACAATATGATGTAGGACTGAGTTCTTTTAACTCCATACTCAGTTAAGGACATCAAAAACTAGCAAGAAAGACGGTTTGTGAGCCCAAATTCATAGTAAAACCTATCAGACAAGAGGCATTTCTAATAACTCGGAGAGATGAGAGAAGGGAGTAGAAAGAAATTTTTAAAGCAATTTAAAAGAATAAGAAGTTGACAGAAAGATAAATGGTAGTAAGATATACTTTACATGCTATTAAAACAATCATAGTACACATACATGAAATAATAGCTTATCTATATGAGTAGGTTCAGCTTACAAACCCTTCAGTTAATTTAAAAATTAAATGAAAATGTGAAGCCGTGTTTGCGCTAATACGGCAAAAAAGTTGGCATGTTTTGGATTTCTTCCTACGTATTCTATGGATTCTGTCTCTTTCTCTTACACACACACACACACACACACACACACACACACAGTTGATACTATCATATGAGCAATTCTAAACTTAATTCAAAGTCTCAGGAATAAAAATATGCTTTCACCAAGTATGACCAGCAGAAATTTAAGTTTGTGTTTTAATTGTTCTGCAATTTGACAATCAAATCTGTTCAGAGATATATGATTACTTGACACTTTTATGATCAAATTTTATTGTTTATTTTATAAAAACAGTACACAGTGAAACAAAAGAAAATTATTCTTCTCTCAGAAAGTAACGAGTAGGTCAGCCTTACTGTTAAGAGGATAAGTAGACATCATATAAGCTTGCAGCTTACAAGGTACATGTTAGCCTGCCACAGTTTCTTTGCATCTTCTCATGAAACCACTTTCAAGAATAAAGATGTAAAACATATCCAGTAAGATAAATGAAAAGTCACCCTCTTAAAACATTATTCTGAACACTTCTGCATGAAAGGACTTTGTAAAATTAGGCTGCTATTTTTAGACAATTTCTACTCTTCCTCAAGAAGAGTCGTGTTTAATTCTATCCCCAGGACTCAATTGTACAACTATAGGCTAGATTTAAAAAAAAATAAAAGTGTCTTGATTGCTTGACCTGTTGAATCAGATTTCAGAATATTTCCCTGAAATCTGCTTTTCTACTCTTTACCATAACTGTTTGCTAATTTCAGCAGATTCAGACAAATGACATGTGATCAGCAAAAGAAGATTCTTACTTCATAATAATTAATGGCTTGCAAAGGAACCCCCAAAGTATGCCAAAGAATTTAAGTGTCTCGATTTATCAAAATATAAACACTCATTTATCTAAGAAGCAATTTACTTTGTAAACATATGTCTAAGTATACATATCATTATTTATTCATTCACACAATAAAGTTTATTCAGTGCCTATTATTTGCCAGATACTAGGATAGGTATTAGTGTACAAAAATCCTTGCCCTGCACTTGAATGTTTATAGGTAGAAAAGAGAAAAAGAGTCATACATACAAGAGGGTACAATAAAATGTTCCAAGTATCATGTTGGGTAGCATATCTATTACTTCATTCTCAGATTCATTAAACAACTATTGCACACCTACTATATGCCAAGGATCATTGCAATTTACAATTGATATAAGTAATCCCCATGAGGGGCATGATACCTTAGAAGAAAGATTATTTTTGTGGTGGTTGTTTTAAGCATACATAATGATCCACAATTCTAGTAATGTGTATTACCTAGATAATTGAAAAAACTTATAAAATAAGCTTTCTTTCCTGAAATTCTCTTTCCTTTGCAAGTCAATAATATAAATGAAAGCCTAAATCAGTTAAGTATGATGTTTGAGAGCCATAAAAGAATTGTCCTTACCAAGAATACAGGATTGTTCCAACCACAGAGGTGAGTTTACTGTTTTCTTGTTTTTGCTTTGCCAGGCCAAAGTCAGCTACAATTCACAAAACAACGCAATATGTTACTATATTTTCCCAGAGTTATCATTGTTCCTTAGCATTTGACAATCTACACAATAACTACTACACTTCATAACCAAAGGCTTTTCTTTTCTTAATGCTATATATTTTGATATAATGAGGTTTATCATTTTAAAAAAACATAAAATAAGTCTTGCTGACTGAAACATAGGACAAAGTACTTATTGAAACTGTGATTCCATTTTTTAGGTTATCCTTTATAATTTTTAAGTAAACAGAATGAATCTAACATTTGGCATAGGGCAGTCATGACCTTGTCAGGCTAAAAGAAAAGTAAGGTACACCCAAATAAATACCATGAAGGCCTGAAAACCTAAAATTAACTGGCATCAACGTGTACTAATCACAGTACAAGTATGTTCAAAATAATCTCAAAATATTTATATATCAACAACATATTCTGATTTTTATCACAGAACACCAAATATCTATATGTAATATTAGCACAATCTTGTACTTTTCAAAATATCTTCAGGTACTTCTCTTTTTTCTCTCTTTTTTTTTTTTTTTTTTTTTGAGACAGAATCTCACTCTGTCACCCAGGTTGGAGTGCAGTGGTGCGATCTCGGCTCACTGAAACCTCTGCCTCCCAGGTTCAAGCAATTCTCGTGCCTCAGCCTCCCAAGTAGCTGGGATTACAGGCACGTGCCACCATGCCCGGCTAATTTTTGTAGTTTTAGTAGAGACGTGGTTTTACCACGTTGGCCAGGCTGGTCTTGAACTCCTGACCTTGTGATCCACCTGCCTTGGCCTCTCAAAGTGCTGGGATTACAGGCGTGAGCCACCAGGCCCAGCCTGTCTTTTATAAACCACTCAACAACTTAGGTCAAAATGATAAAAACAGATATTTTTCCTATCCATTTGCTACAGATTCACAGATATTTCAAGAAATTTAATTACCAGGATTGCACAAAAAAGACAATGCAGAACCAGTGCAAGAATTCAAGTTGTTTTTCCAAATAAGCTTTGATATTCTCAATATCATGTTGTAAAGCACAGCAAATGCTCATGGAATTTCACTGGAACAAACTTCAATGCAGTATTTGATTATATATACTAAAATACCTTTCAGGTCAAAAATATTCCAAAGTCATTTCATTTCAAAATAATAAAAATTCGCATTATTAATAATAATACACGTTTACTAAACAACAAGTTTATACTAGCATAAATTCAGCCACTTACATGAATTGCCTCATTTAACACTCATAGCACTCTGAAAGACAGGTATTATCATTAGTATAGCTTAGTGCTTAAAAGACAGGACTCAGGAACTGGACAGCCTCAATCTGAATACTGACTCTATTATGAGCAACTTGAGTAACCCTGGGCAAGTTATTTTATCTTGTTTTCCAATAGCTTTCTTTTTTCTTTTTTTTTTTTTTTTTTGAGACGGAGTCTCACTCTGTCACCTAGTCTGGAGTGCAGTGGCGCAATCTCGGCTTACTGCAAGCTCTGCCTGCCGGGTTCACGCCATTCTCCTGCCTCAGCCTCCCAAGTCGCTGGGACTACAGGAGCCCGCCAGCACGTCCAGCTAATTTTTTTATTTTTTGTATTTTTAGTAGAGACTGGGTTTCACAGTGTTAGCCAGGATGGTCTCGATCTCCTGACCTCATGATCCGCCCACCTCAGCCTCCCAAAGTGCTGGGATTACAGGCGTGAGCCTCCATGCCCGGCCTCCAATAGCTTTCTTATCTATAAAATAAGGATTATAATAATATACTGCTGATATATATTGTAAACAGAATAGTATGAAAGTAAAATTTAAATAATTTAATATATGCAAATGTCATGTATGTATTATATATATTTTTTATTATACTTTAAATTTTAGGGTACATGTGCACAACGTGCAAGTTTGTTACATATGTATACATGTGCCATGTTGGTGTGCTGCACCCAGTAACTCGTCATTTAACATTAGGTATATCTCCAAATGCTATCCCTCCCCCCTCCCCCTACCCCACAACAGGCCCTGGTGTGTGATGTTCCCCTTCCTGAGTCCATGTGTTCTCATTGTTCAATTCCCACCTATGAGTGAGAACATGCGGTGTTTGGTTTTTTGTTCTTGCGATAGTTTGCTGAGAATGATGGTTTCCAGCTTCATCCATGTCCTCCAAAGACATGAATTCATCATTTTTTATGGCTGCATAGTATTCCATGGTGTATATGTGCCACATTTCCTTAATCCAGTCTATCATTGTTGGACATTTGGGTTGGTTCCAAGTCTTTGCTATTGTGAATAGTGCCGCAATAAACTTACGTGTTCATGTGTCTTTATATCAGCATGATTTATAATTCTTTGGGTACATACCCAGTAATGGGATGGCTGGGTCAAATGCTATTTCTAGTTCTAGATCCCTGAGGAATCGCCACACTGACTTCCACAATGGTTGAACTAGTTTACAGTCCCACCAACAGTGTAAAAGTGTTCCTATTTCTCCACATCCTCTCCAGCACCTGTTGTTTCCTGACTTTTTAATGATCGTCATTCTAACTGGTGTGAGATGGTATCTCATTGTGGTTTTGATTTGCATTTCTCTGATGGCCAGTGATGATGAGCATTTTTTCATCTGTCCTTTGGCTTCATAAATGTCTTCTTTTGAGAAGTGTCTGTTTATATCCTTCACCCACTTGTTGATGCAGTTGTTTTTTTTTTATTGTAAATTTGAGGGAGTTCACTGTAGATTCTGGATATTAGCCCTTTGTCAGATGAGTAGATTGCAAAAATTTTCTCCCATTCTGTAGGTTGCCTGTTGACTCTGATGGTAGTTTCTTTTGCTGTGCAGAAGCTCTTTAGCTTAATTAGATTTCACTTGTCAATTTTGGCTTTTGTTGCCATTGCTTTTGGTGTTTTAGACATGAAGTCCTCGCCCATGCCTATGTCCTGAATGGTATTGCCTAGGTATTCTTCTAGGGTTTTTATGGTTTTAGGTCTAACATTTACGTCTTTAATCCACCTTGAATTAATTTTTGTATAAGGTGTAAGGAAGGGATCCAGTTTCAGCTTTCTACATATGGCTAGCGAGTTTTCCCAGCACCGTTTATTAAATAGGGAATCCTTTCCCCATTGCTTGTTTTTGTCAGGTTTGTCAAACTTCAGATGGTTGTAGATATGCGGCATTATTTCTGAGGGCTCTGTTCTGTTCCATTGGTCTGTATCTCTGTTTTGGTACCAGTACCATGCTGTTTTGGCTACCGTAGCCTTGTAGTATAGTTTGAAGTCAGGTAGAGTGATGCCTCCAGCTTTGTTCTTTTGGCTTAGGATTGACTTAGCAATGTGGGCTCTTTTTTGGTTCCATATGAACTTTAAAGTAGTTTTTTCCAATTGTGTGAAGAAAATCATTGGTAGCTTGATGGGGATGGCATTGAACCTATAAATTACCTTGGGCAGTATGGCCATTTTCACAATATTGATTCTTCCTACCCATGAGCATGGAATGTTCTTCCATTTGTTTGTATCCTCTTTTATTTCATTGAGCAGTGGTTTGTAGTTCTCCTTGAAGAGGTCCTTCACATCCCTTGTAAGTTGGATTCCTAGGTATTTTATTCTCTTTGAAGCAATTGTGAATGCGAGTTCACTCATGATTTGGCTCTATGTTTTTCTGTTATTGGTGTATAAGAATGCTTGTGATTTTTGTACATTAATTTTGTATCCTGAGACTTTGCTGAAGTTGTCTATCAGCTTAAGGAGATTTTGGGCTGAGACGATGGGGTTTTCTAAATATACAATCATGTCATCTGCAAACGGGGACAATTTGACTTCCTTGTTTCCTAATTGAATACCCTTTATTTCCTTCTCCTGCCTGATTGCCCTGGCCAGAAATTCCAACACTATGTTGAATAGGAGTGGTGAGAGAGGGCGTCCCTGTCTTGTGCCAGTTTTCAAAGGGAATGCTTCCAGTTTTTGCCCATTCAGTATGATATTGCCTGTGGGTTTGTCATAGATAGCTCTTATTATTTTGAGATAGGTCCCATCAATACCTAATTTATTGAGAGTTTTTAGCATGAAGCGTTGTTGAATTTTGTCAAAGGCCTTTTCTGCATCTGTTGAGATAATCATGTGGTTTTTGTTTTTGGTTCTGTTTATATGCAGGATTACGTTTATTGATTTGCGTATGTTGAACCAGCCTTGCATCCCAGGGATGAAGCCCACTTGATCATGGTGGATAAGCTTTTGGATGTGCTGCTGGATTTGGTTTGCCAGTATTTTATTGAGAATTTTTGCATCAATGTTCATCAGGGATATTGGTCTAAAATTCTCTTTTTTGGTTGTGTCTCTGCCAGGCTTTGGTATCAGGATGATGCTGGCCTCATAAAATGAGTTAGGAAGGATTCCCTCTTTTTTTTATTGATTGGAATAGTTTCAGAAGGAATGGTACCAGCTCTTCCTTGTACCTCTGGTAGAATTCGGCTGTGAATCCATCTGGTCCTAGACTTTTTTTGGTTGGTAAACTATTGATTATTGCCTCAATTTCAGAGCCTGTTATTGGTCTATTCAGAGATTCTACTTCTTCCTGGTTTAGTCTTGGGAGGGTGTATGTGTCCAGGAATTTATCCATTTCTTCTAGATTTTCTAGTTTATTTGCGTAGAGGTGTTTATAGTATTCTCTGATGGTAGTTTGTATTTCTGTGGGATCGGTGGTGATATCCCCTTTATCATTTTTTATTGCGTCTATTTGATTCTTCTCTCTTTTCTTCTTTATTAGTCTTGCTAGCAGTCCATCAATTTTGTTGATGTTTTCAAAATACCAGCTCCTGGATTCATTGATTTTTTGAAGGGTTTTTTTGTGTCTCTATTTCCTTCAGTTCTGCTCTGATCTTAGTTATTTCTTGCCTTCTGCTAGCTTTAAAATGTGTTTGCTCTTACTTCTCTAGTTCTTTTAATTGTGATGTTAGGATGTCAATTTTAGATCTTTCCTGCTTTCTCTTGTTGGCATTTAGTGCTATAAATTTCCCTCTACACACTGCTTTGAATGTGTCCCAGAGATTCTGGTATGTTGTGTCTTTGTTCTCATTGGTTTCAAAGAACATCTTTATTTCTGCCTTCATTTCGTTATGTACCCAGGAGTCATTCAGGAGAAGGTTGTTCAGTTTCCATGTAGTTGAGAGGTTTTGAGTGAGATTCTTAATCCTGAGTTCTAGTTTGATTGCACTGTGGTCTGAGAGACAGTTTGTTATAATTTCTGTTCTTTTACATTTGCTGAGGAGTGCTTTACTTCCAACTATGTGGTCAATTTTGGAATAAGTGTGGTGTGGTGCTGAAAAGAATGGATATTCTGTTGATTTGGGGTGGAGAGTTCTGTAGATGTCTATTAGGTCTGCTTGGTGCAGAGCTGAGTTCAATTCCTGGATATCCTTGTTAACTTTCTGTCTTGTTGATCTGTCTAATGTTGACAGTGGGGTGTTAACGTCTCCCACTATTATTGTGTGGGAGTCTAAGTCTCCTTCTAGGTCTCTAATGACTTGCTTTATCAATCGGGGTACCCCTGTATTGGGTGCATATATATTTAGGATAGCTAGCTCTTCTTGTTGAATTGATCCCTTTACCATTATGTAATGGCCTTCTTTGTCTCTTTTGTTCTTTGTTGGTTTAAAGTCTGTTTTATCAGAGACTAGGATTGCAACCCCTCCCTTTTTTTGTTTTCCATTTGCTTGGGAGATCTTCCTCCATCCCTTTATTTTGAGCCTATGAAATTCTGGGTTGAAAATTCTTTTCTTTAAGAATGTTGAATATTGGCCCCAACTCTCTTCTGGCTTGTAGAGTTTCTGCAGAGAGATCAGATGTTAGTCTGATGGGTTTCCCTTTGTGGGTAACCTGACCTTTCTCTCTGGCTGCCCTTAACATTTTTTCCTTCATTTCAACTTCGGTGAATCTGACAATTATGTGTCTTGGAGTTGCTCTTCTCAAGGAGTATCTTTGTGGCGTTCTCTGTATTTCCTGAATTTAAATGTTGGCCTGCCTTGCTAGATTGGGGAAGTACCCCTGGATAATATCCCACAGAGTGTTTTCCAACTTGGTTCCATTCTCCCCGTCACTTTCAGATACACCAATCAGACGTAGATTTGGTCTTTTCATATAGTCCCATATTTCTTGGAGGCTTTGTTTGTTTCTTTTTACTCTTTTTTCTCTAAACTTCTCTTCTCGCTTCATTTCATTCATTTGATCTTCCATCACTGATACCTTTTCTTCCAGTTGATCGAATCGGCTACTGAGGCTTGTGCATTCATCATGTAGTTCTCGTGCCTTGGTTTTCAGCTCCATCATGTCCTTTAAGGACTTCTCTGCATTGATTATTCTAGTTAGCCATTCATCTAATTTTTTTTCAAGGTTTTTAACTTCTTTGCCGTGGCTTCGAACTTCCTCCTTTAGCTCAGAGTAGTTTGATCGTCTGAAGCCTTCTTCTCTCAACTCGTCAAAGTCATTCTCCATCCAGCTTTGTTCCATTGCTGGTGAGGAGCTGCATTCCTTTGGAGGAGGAGAGGCACTCTGATTTTTAGAGTTTCCAGTTTTCCTGCCCCATCTTTGTGGTTTTGTCTACCTTTGGTCTTTGATGATGGTGACGTACAGATGGGGTTTTGGTGTGGATGTCCTGTTTGTTAGTTTTCCTTCTAACAGTCAGGACCCTCAGCTGCAGGTCTGTTGGAGTTTGCTGGAGGTCTACTCCAGACCCTGTTTGCCTGGGTATCAGCAGCGGAGGCTGCAGAACAGCGGATATTGGTGAACAGCAAATGTTGCTGCCTGATTATTCCTCTGGAAGTTTTGTCTCAGAGGAGTACACGGCCATGTGAGGTGTCAGTCTGCCCCTACTAGGGGGTGCCTCCCAGTTAGTCTAATCGGGGGTCAGGGACCCACTTGAGGAGACAGTCTGTCCGTTCTCAGATCTCCAGCTGCGTGCTGAGAGAACCACTACTCTCTTCAAAGCTGTCAGACAGGGACATTTAAGTCTGCAGAGTTTTCTGCTGCCTTTTGTTTGGCAATGCTCTGCCCCCAGAGGTGGAGTCTACAGAGGCAGGCAGGCCTCCTTGAGCTGCGGTGGGCTCCACCCAGTTTGAGCTTCCCGGCTGCTTTGTTTACCTACTCAAGCCTCGGCAATGGCAGGCACCCCTCCCCCAGCCTCGCTGCCGCCTTGCAGTTTGAACTCAGACTGCTGTGCTAGCAATGAGCGAGGCTCCGTGGGTATAGGACCCTCCGAGCCAGGCACGGGATATAATCTCCTGGTGTGGCGTTTGCTAAGACCGTTGGAAAAGCGCAGTATTAGGGTGGGAGTGACCTGATTTTCCAGGTGCCATCTGTCACCCGTTTCTTTGACTAGGAAAGGGAATTCCCTGACCCCTTACACTTCCCGGGTGAGGCAATGCCTCGCCCTGCTTTGGCTCATGCTCGGTGCACTGCACCCACTGTCCTGCACCCACTTTCCGACACTCCTCAGTGAGATGAACCCAGTACCTCAGTTGGAAATGCAGAAGTCACCCGTCTTCTGCGTCGCTCATGCTGGGAGCTGTTCCTATTCGGCCATCTTGGCTCCACCCCCATGTATGTATTATATATAAATACATGTAGTAGAGTATTGAATAAATGATGTATATTATTATTTAATTATCACAATTACCCATTTGATAGATGAGGAAATAGGCTCAAAGAGAATGTGTGACTTGCCCAATGTCTCACAGGGAGAAATTAACAAAGTGAGATATTAATCTGGGGTTGCTTGATTCTAAAGCCCCAAATCTCACCAAGACACTGCCAATATAGAAAAATAAGGACCAGATCAATTCAATGATAAACTCAACCAAACTTTTAAGAAATATATACCAATTCTACACAAACTCTACCAGAAAATAGAAGAGGGAATATTTCCCAAATCACTTCATAAAGCCAACATTACATCATTCTAAAACCAGTCAAAGGCATGACAAGAAAAGAAAACTACAGAACAAGAGCCTCATGAACACAGACACAAAAATTATTGACAAAATGTAAGTAAATCAAATCCAGTGACATATAAAAAGCATAATACATAATGATCAAGTGGGGTTTATGCCAGGAATACAAGGCTAATTTGACTTTTAAAAATCCATCAGTGTGAGTTCAATAGAAGCCTGAACACCAGCAGTATGCAATATATCCATGTAACAAACATGCACATATAGCCCCTGAATCCAAAATAATTTTCAAATAAAAATTAATTGGCCAAGCCTGGTGGCTCACACCTGTAATCCCAGCGCTTTGGGAGGCCGAGGCAGGTGGAACAACTGAGGTCAGAAGTTTGAGACCACCCTGGCCAACATGGGGATATCCCATCTCTACTAAAAATGCAAAAAAATTATCTGGGTGTGGTGGCAGGTGCCTGTAATCCCAGTTACTCAGGAGGCTGAGACAGGGGAATCACTGGAACCCGGCGGGCAGAGCTTGCAGTAAGCCAAGATCACATCACTGCACTCCAGCCTGGGCAACATGAGCGAAAATCAGTCTAAATAAATAAATAAATAAATAAATAAATAAATAAATAAATAAATAATAATTTTAAAAAATCATCAGTGTAGTTCACCAGATCAGTACATTAAAGAAGGAAAACCATGATCATCTCAACAGATGTGCAAAAAGCGTCAGCAAAATTCAACATCTATTCCTTTCAGCAAAATAAGAATAGTTGGGTATTTTCTTAACCTGATAAAGAGCATCTACCAAAAAAAGCTGTAGCTAATAATCTACTTAACCCTGAAAAACTGAGTGTTTCCCTTTTAAGTTCAAAAACAAAACATGTCCACCATTCTCAGCATTCCTAGTCAACATTCTATTGAAGATTCAGGTAAGTACAATATGTGCATATGAATTTTTGTGGGAACATAATTTTAAATTTCCCTTTGAAAAATGCCTTGGAGTGGGATTACTGGATCATATTATAAGCATGTGTTTAATTTGATTTTATAAAAACTGCCAAGTCAAAATGTTTTCCAGTTTTTTCTCTCACCAGAAATTTGAGCGTTCCAGTTGCTTCTGCATCCCCATCAGCATTTAATGTTGTCAGTTTTTGTTTAATCAGCCATTCTAATAGGTACATAGTGATATCTCAGTATAGTTTTGATTTGCATTTCCTTAGAGCTTATTTGTGTTGAACACTTTTCATGTATTTATTTGCCATCTGGGCATCTTCATTTAAAGAAATGGACCACTTCATGCATTTGCATGTCATCCTTGTGCACGGGCCATGCTAATCTCTGTATCACTCCAATTTTAGTATACATGCTGGCACAGTGAGCACCTGGGTATCTTCCTTAGTGAAATGGCTGCTCAAATTTTTGCATTTTTCATTAGGTTATTTATTTTCTTATTTTTAAGTTTTGGATACAAATTATTTGTCAGATATACAATTTGCAAATATTTCCTTTTTTTTTTTTTTTTTGAGACAGAGTCTCACTCTGTCATCCAGGCTGGAGTGCAGTGGCGCAATCTCGGCTTACTGCAAGCTCCGCCTCCTGGGTTCATGCCATTCTCCTGCCTCAGCCTCCCGAGTAGCTGGGACTACAGGTGTCCGCCACCACGCCCGGCTAATTTTTTTGTATTTTTAGTAAAGACGGGGTTTCACAGTGTTAGCCAGGATGGTCTCGATCCTGACCTCGTGATCCACCTGCCTCGGCCTCCCAAAGTGCTGGGATTACAGGCGTGAGCCACTGCGCCCGGCCTACAATTTGCAAATATTTTCTACTAGTCTGCAGCTTATCTTTTCATTCTCTTAACGTTTTTCAAAGAATAGAAGTTTTAAACTTTGACTAAGTCAAATTTATTAGTTTATTTTACATGTTATGGCTTTGATGCTGTCTAAGAAATATTTGCCTAGCCCAATACTGCAAAGACTATATCCATTTTTTTCTTCCAGAAGTTTCATAATTTAAGTTTCATATAGTGCTATGATCCAAGCTGAGCTAATTTTTATATAAGATACAATATGTAGGTTGAGGTTCTGATTTTTTTATGGGGATTTGCAACTGTTCCTGCACCATTTGTTGGAAATAGTCCCTTCCTCTCTCCGAGCACCAGATTTACATATTCATCTGGATAATCAAAACTTTCACTTAAGTGTCTCCTAGGCATCTCAAAATTAACACACTCAAAGAGAATTCTCAATCTTAACCCAAACAACTCCTCCTTGGTTTCCCATCTCAGTAAGTGGCACCATCATTGACCTAGGTACTTTCCTTAGTTCTTGTGCTAGCTGTCAACTTATTCCCTTTCAGCATCAAATCCACCCTTCATCATTGCCCTGCTTTGTTAATGGAGCTGGACCTTGATAATGTCTCTCCTTCGCCAGCTGGCTTGATGTAAAGCTTTGTCAGTAGAGGGTGTGCTGAAGAGAAACTACAGGAGAGGCTTCTCTTCTTTTCCAGGTTCTGACATGCTTCCTCTCTTTCCTTGCTCCTGTAGCACTTGTGCAGTGTGCAGGATGCTTAGTGGTGCTCACTTCCCCTAGAGGCAGCTTCGTAGACAGTTCCACTGGCACTATATCCAGCTTCCTGGCAAGTTTTGCAAGCACCCCAGCAGACAACATACCATGAAATTCTGCTGGCATCTCAGCTGTTTTCACAACACCTCCACAGGTAGATTCCCAGTAACTTCTACCGGCATTCTAGCCAGGCTCAGTCTAGTTAGTCTCAGGAGCACCCAAGCCAACAGCTTCCTACTGAGTTCTACTCATACCCCAGAAAATGGCTTCCTGAAAAACATGGTCATCATTCCAGGGGCAGCTTTCTGTTTGACAGCTTTATCCTGCAGCATTTCAATGCAATTTCTGCCATCTGTGGGCTATAGTCATACCCTCTCCAACAAAGTCTGGATCTCAGCCCTTGAGGAGAGGGGCTGTCTTAAAATTTGCTCCTTCTTTGTATAGTTTGCCTCAGCCCTAGAGGTAGTAGCTGCTTATATATGTATACCTCATTTTATTGTGCTTCACTTTATTGTACTTTGCAAATATTGCATTCTTTTTTACAAATTGAAGGTTTGTGGCAACCCTGTATCCAGCAAGCCTATGAGCACCATTTTTTCAACAGCATCTGCTCACTTTATATGTCTCTCACATTTTGGTAATTCTCATAATATTTCAAACTTTATTATTATTATATCTGTTATGGTTATCTGTGATTAGTGATCTTTGATGTTACTATTGTCATTGTTTTGGGACACTACAAACCATGCGCATATAAGACGGCAAACTTAATTGCTAAACATTGTGTGCATCCTGACTGCTACATTGACTGGCTGTTCCCCCAGCTCTCACTCTCTATGAGCCTCCTTATCCCCCTAGACACAATAATATTGAAATTAGGCCAGTTAATAACCATACATTGGCCTCCAATCATTCAAGTGAAAGGAATAGTCATACATCTCTGACTTTTGATCAAAAGCTAGAAATGATGAAGCTTAGTGAGAAAGGCATGTCCAAAGCTGAGACAGGCTGAAAGTTAGGCCTCTGGCATCAAACAGCCATGTTGTAATGGAAAAGCTCTGGAAGGAAATTAAAAGTGCTACTCAGTGGAGTGGCACTTCTGAACACACAAATGATAAGAAAGTAAAACAGCCTTATTGCTGATAAAGAGAAAGTTTAAGTGATCTGGACAGAAGGTCAAACCAACACATTCCCTTAAGCCAATGCCCAATCTGGAGCAAGGCCCTAACTCTCTTCAATTCTGTGAAGACTGAGAGAGGTGAGAAAGCTGCAGAAGAAAGTCTGGAAGCTAGCAGAGGTTGGTTCACGAGGTTTAAGGAAGAAGACATTTCCATAACATAAAAGTGCAAGGTGAAGTAGCCAATTCTGATATAGAAGCTATGGCAAGTTATCCAGATCTGGCTAAGACAGTTGATGAAGGTAGCTACACTAAGGAATAGATATCCAATGTAGACAAAATTCCCTTCTACTGAAAGAAGATGCCATCTAGGACTTTCATAGTTAGGGAGGAGAAGTCAATGCCTGGCTTCAAAGCTTCAAAGAACAGGCTGGCTCTCTTATTAAGGACTAATGCAGCTGGTAATTAAGTTGAAGCCAATGCTTATTGACCATTCTGAAAATCCTAGGGCCCTTAAGAATGTTGCTACATATACTCTGCTTGTTGTCTATAAGTGGAACAACAAAGTCTGAATGACAGTCCTTCTATTTGCAGCATGGTTTACTGAATATTTTAAGCCCATTGTTAAGAACTACTGCTTAGTAAAAAATTCCTTTCAAAATATTAGTGTTTGTTGACAATACACCTCATCACTCAAGAGCTCTGGTGGATATGTAAAAAAAGATTAATGTTATTTTCATGTCTGCTAACACAATATCCATTCTGTAGTCCATAGATCAAGGAGTCATTTCTACTTTTACTAATTCAGAGATACATTTCATAAGGCTATAGCTGCCATAGATAGTGACTCCTCTAATGGATCTGGGCAACGTTTACCTCCTGGAAAAGATTCACCATTCTAGATATCATTAAGTACATTCATGATTCATGGGAAGAGGTCAAAATATCAACATTAACAGGAGTTTGGAAGAAGTTGATTACAACCCTTATGGATGACTTTGAAGGGTTCAAGATTTCAGTGAAGAAACTCACTGCAGATGTGGTGGAAATAACAAGAGAACTAGAATTAGAATCGGAGCCTGAAGATGTGACTGAATCATTGCAATCTCACAATAAAACTTGAACGGATGAAGAGTTGCTTCTTCTGGATGAGCAAAGAAACAGGTTTCTTGGAATGGAATCCACTCCTGGGAAAGATGCTGTGAACGTTGTTAAAATGACAAGAAAAGATTTAGAATATTCCATAAATTTAATTGACATGGAGGCAGCAGGGTTTGAGAGGATTGACTCCAATTTTGAAAGAAGCTTTACTGTGGGTAAAATGCTATCAAACAGCATTTCATGCTACAGACATTTATTTTGTGAAAAGAAGAGACAATCTCTGCAGCAAACTTCACTGTTGTCTCATTTTATTAAATTGCCACAGCCACACCAAACTTGAGCAACCACCACCCTGATCAGTAAGCAGCATCAAGTCATGACCCTCCACCAGCAAAAAGATTATGACTTGCTGAAGGCTCAGATGATTGTTAGCACTTTTTAGCAACGAATTATGTTTTAATTGAGGTATGTGCCTAAATTGCTTTTTAGACATAATACACACAAATAGACTATTGCACACAAATAGACTATAACATAATGTGAACACAACGTGTACAAACTGAAAAACCAAAAAGTTTATATGACTTGCTTTATTGCAATATTTGCTGTATTGTGGTGTTCTGGAACAAAGTCCACAGTATCTCCAAGGTATACCTGTATATGCTATTCCTGTGTTCTTTATTGGGTTATCTTTAACTCTTTGTAGTTAATCTTAGTACTAGTTAAAAATCATTTTAATACATGAAACTTGTCCTGTTAAAATTACTCGGTTGTTCCTGTCTCATGAATGAGTCCTGACTGATATAGTTCCTCACTTTCCTTTACCACAGCAAAATCCTATTGTTTCTACAAAAAGTTTATATATATAGTGAATTAGGCCACCTCTCATCACCTCCACTGAAGTTGTAGTTTTGAAAAATGTTCACCAGTTCTTTAACATTCCTCCCTTCAGGAGGTGAATCTTAATTGTCCTTCTCTTATGTGTGGATGAGACTTGGTAACTCATGGCTAATGAACTGAATATAGCAGAACGGATGAGATGTTACTTCCAAGGTTCGGTTATAAAGAAACTACAGCTTCCAATTGTGTTGTGCTCTCTCTTGCTCACTGACTCTCTCTCAGAACCCAGCAACCATGTAGAATAGTAAAGGTTATTCTGCTGAAGAGGTTATATAGAGAAGAGCAGCCCTCAAGGATAAAAGGCCAAATGGAAGAGAAATGAGGCACTCACTCCAGTCAAAACCCAGAACCCATTGCCAGCCATGGTATTGAGCCTTCTTGGAAGCTGACCCTCCAGCCCCAGTCCAGGCTTCAGATGATGCATCCCTGGCTGACAGTTTGACTACAGCCTCATGAGAAACCCTAAGTCAGAATCACCCAGATAAACTGCTCCTGGACTCCTGACCCTCAGAAATGATAAGAAAATAAATATTTGTTATTTTAACCCTCCAAATTTCTGGGGAATGTGTTACCCAGCAATGGATAATGAATACAACTGCCATCATCCGTCCATGCTACTGTGACGTCTCACTGAGGCTACTGAGCTATTCCTCCCGAACAGACTCCCTCCCTCCATCTCTCCTCATGAAATATAATTCTCCACTTCAGGTCCAAAAGGATCTTTTAAATATCTAAAGTTGCCATCACGAGTGTCCATTTACTCATTTGTCACTACTTACAAGGTTAAAACTCTACAAAGACGTTTGATAAATACTAAGAATAAAAGCCAAACTACTACAAGGTCTACACGACCATACATGATCTGGGCGTTCAGAATGACTTTTCTAGTACACACTATAAAAAAAAAGTCCTCTCCTTCAATATTCTTCTATTACATTTATTTAATTCTTAACATATTTCATTATCTGAAATTACTTTATGTATTTATTTAGTATTTTTTCATTCATTTAGGGTCTGTCATTTCTAACTAGTATGAAAGATCCATGAGAGGACTTTGTATTGCTTATCCCTGTAGACTGATGGATACATATCTTTTAATACATGTATATGTACATATATAGGCATAACTATATGTATATCCATCTATCTTTCCATCCATCTATCTATCTTCTATCTATCTATCTATCTATCTATCTATCTATCTATCTATCTATCTACCTATCTATCTGTCTAACCTCTCCACCTAATAGTACTATTCACATATAGGACATATTAGAAGACTAAATCGTATAAGGTGGTGTTAACAACTATTCACAAACTAGATGGCTTGCTATCTTTCCCCTTTTATGTACTGGAGAAAATTAGTTAAAATTAAGCAATCACTATACAGAAAAAAAAAAGTATTCAATATTCACAACTTCAATATTTTTAGGGAGCCCACTATAATTTTAGCATACAATTCTTGACCAACTTATAACCAAAAATAATGCTTTGGCTTTTCTTTCTAATGCTATGTAAGAGTCATCTTATTCTTACTAAAATGCCATTTATTTTGAAAGGCAAAAACTGAGGAGCATTACAATGATTTTATTCACTCCAGTTAATTTAGATAATAGCAGACACTTGGACAGATATCCATAAAAACACAGAGAGTTGAGAGGTATTCTTAAAATGAGCAAAAACTAATATTGTTTGGACATTTGGGAGACCTGGGTGGTAACAGAAATGTTTCTATTACTCTTTCCTCATTTGTGATCATATTTGGAGAAGAAGAAAATGTTTTATTTCAGAAATTGTACTCATAAAAGCATTCATGTGCCATTACAGGTATTCAAAATGACAATAGAAAACATTTTGCATACAGCACATTATGAAAAAAAAATAGGATCCAAAGAAATTCTCCCCTTTGACAGGACAAATGATACAGAAAATGTTAAATTCTATAGCATGTTTACACTATAGCCCTACAATTACCAGCCTTCAGATGGAAAAGTTGTGTGTGCTTTGGCTGAGTCCCTAGATTCTTGCTCTCTGGTTTTCAAAAATGGCCTATAAAACTTACCTTACTGTTTGCAAAGGATTGTTTCAACAACAGCATGACAATAGGTGAAAAGCAGTTTGAAATACTGTATAGATGCAAGGTATTCCCAACCCTATCCACAGGGAACCCAGCTGTTCACAACCTTTCACCCATCACATATGTGTCAGTGACTTCCAAATTCAGCTGTAAAGTCCCAGCCTTTGTCTGGGGTTTCACCTCCAGCCCTATAAAGCACCTGCCACTTCCCACCCAAGACTGGGCTCATCATTCAGTCATCAGGGATATCCCAGTCAACCAGATGGCATCTCATCTTCCCCATTTCCTGGGCTTGAAATCTTTGCCTTTTCTCACTTGCTGCTATATTCAACCCCTCACCAGCTCTTGTATCTGCATCTTTCTTTTGATTTGTCTGATTATAGTTTAAATGTGCCAGGAGCTTAGGCTCTCACTCTTCCTGCAAAAAAGGGGATGCACTTCTTTAGAAAGCTTTTCCTTTTAATCCATCCTACAGGGTATTTGACAACGAAACAATCTACCAACACCTGCCTTCATCACATCAGGCCCCCACTTATGTACCAGAAGGTCTTCCGATTGCTATTTTTTACAAAGTTTCCAGCTGCCTTATCTGGACTTCATGATTGTCCATTTACTCATTTGTCCAACACTAAGAGCATATGTTCTAGGTGCTGAACCAGGTACTCAAGATAAGATGATAACCAGGTCAAAAACCATCCATGATGACACAGACTTTAGGGACCAGTGGTGTAGATACACATTAAATAAAGAATCACACATATAAATGTAAACTTACAGTTGTGATAAGATCATTAAAGAAGACTGACCTTCAACAAATCCCTGTCCCACTGACACTTCCTTCTCTGAAGGTCACTCAGATTCTAATCTCTGCCCCCCAACTGCTTCCTAACCTTCCCCCATATATGGGGTTAAGAGAGGGTATTATAAGGAAAACAGCTGATTGGGAAAAGCCTCTGTGACAAATGGTGACTGGGTTAACATCTGAAGGAAGGCAGACATTATCTAGGTAAGAGGAGAAAGTGAAGAAGAGACTTCCAGGCAGAGGAAATGGCATGCTCAAAGGCCCTATGGTCAAGGGAAAATGGTCTACTGAGGAACTGCGTGGCCAAATGGGGGTTATTGACAGGCTATGCAAGACCCTGCAGCCATGTTCAGGTGACTGACCTCTCTCATAATTGCCCAAATTAAAATGTCCCCTCCAACAAACTACTCATCCTTGTACAGCACTTGACCATAAGCATCTTGGTGCCTTTCAAACATGTCTTTTTCGTTACCTGAAATGGCTTCCTCTGAGAGAATAGTAGAGAGAGACTTGGTTAAGAGATGACCTCTAGAAGTAGACATGGTTCATTGCTGACACTGTCAATCTACAAACAGGGAATTTAAGCAAGTTTTCTAAACTCTCTAAACCTTTTTCACTATCTTTAAAAGGCATCAGAGTATTGAATGAGAAAATGCATATCTATCCTTTTATCACATAGTAAATGCTCAAGGGATGTAGCTATGGGTGGTTGTTCCTTTTCTTCAAAGCATAGCTAAAAATTTTTATCATCTTAAAGATGTCTTCCCTGAGTAAAATGAAAATAATTAATGACCTGACAATTTCGGGAAATGATTATTTGAAACCTCTATAATACTAGGCAATGACAGAGGAGTCTACTTGAGCACAACTGTGAAACAGGCCAGAATAAAGATCTCCAGCTCATTTACCACTCTACTCTTTCCTGCTGCCTCAGTAAATGGAATGGCTAACCTACAATGTCCACAGCAACAGGACCATCAGTAACATCCTCTCAGTGCAGGAGTCAGTGAGGGACGGGAAGGAGTTTCCCAGGATAATGCTCAGAGTTTTCCCTCAACGAACCCCTGTCTCACTGACACTTCCTCCTCTGAAGGTCATTCAGATTCTAATCTCTGCCCCTCAAACTGCTTCCTGACCTTCAGCTAAATGAAGTCCAACTACTATTAATATTAAAATTATTTCTAATTCAACAAATGGCATGCTAATTAAGTCTAAAGTAGATATTCCTAAACAAAGAGTAGGCGGCAGGTGTTTGGTGTTGGTGTGCCAGGGACCCCTGTACCATGCCACTTTCCACTTCTCCAAAGCTTCCTTCTCCAGTGCAGACTCCACCAGGGATGAGGGAGAGGGAAGGAACTTCTGTTTCTCAACAGCATCATTATTTGCTTGATTTTATTGATGGAGTTATGATGACACAGAGCTTCATGATGAAAAATTCAACACTTGATAAAAGAATGCTTTCTGAATTCTAGGTAACTCCATATCTGTGGTACATAAACATTACCTAGCTCTAAGATGTGTATCAACAGACTGGATCCTTGGGAAAACTAATGTCCTTAGCTCAGACTCAAATAGACACTGTATCTGGGGTTAATGGGAAGTAAACCACAGAGGGCTCTTCTAAAATCATTCTTCAGAATGGGGTTTGTTTCTGGTTATTCAGTTGGAATAATGGAGCTCTGTACATATAGCTCTAACATTACATAAAAGTGCCAAGGGCCAGACTCCTATAAGGATGGGAAGTCAGGGGTGCACTCTCTTTTTTTCACATATGCGCACACATGCAGGCATACACACACACACATGCACACACACACATACTGTGTGTGGCATGATACTAGTTCTTAAAAGGCCTAGGATGGAGATCAGGGCAGTACCTCTGAAGCTCCAATGGCTTTAGTAGACTTAGCTGGCTGGAAATGCTGATGACATAATCAGAAGCATAGTACTCTGTACCACTGAATTAGTCTCTACAAAAATAGGTACTACTGCCTACTCACTATGTTTCTTCAGAAAACACACTTTGGGAAAACTCACAGAGTGAAAACAACTCATCCAGACGACATCACACATCAGATTCCACCCCCTTCAGTTAAAAGCTCTCAGAGAACCAAATCATATCCCAAATACACACTAAAATGAACTCTACTGTATTAACCTTAGTCTTCGGTGTTTTTATTTGGCCTTATAAACCTCAATTATGAGGTTACTATTTCCAACTTTCACCTAAGGTCATAAAAATTTGGTGTCTCCTTCTGTGCTCACCCAGTTCACTGTCTCATCAGAAAAGGATAACAATTGTCAGGGTTGGAAACTAACCCCATCTGGCTCTAACTTTGTCGAATTCCCATTCTTATCTTTTTCTTGTAGCCAACTTAAAAATATAGAATCTGAGAAATGCAGAATGACCCACCAAAGGTGTAAGAATCTTTAAAGTACTTCAGAAATTGGATTTGACTGAATTTCCTTTGACATTTCCTTTTTATGTTATGAGACCCAATGGCAATACAAGGCAACTGTGATAACTTGACAAAAATATTCTTACTTTCTTACTAACATGAGGCCAATCTGTTGACTGAGAAAAATTCCATGGTGATCCTTCTTACAACAGTTGCTATGAGGGTATTTAACACAAGTGGCTCAATATTCTGTAGTCTTTTAAGAGTACTCAAGTCGTGTCAGCTCAAACTCTATAGACACTATATCCGGTTAACGGGAAGTAAACCACAGAACAAGTTCAAAGCAAGGCATGTCGACAGACCTACAAAAACCATGAATAGAGTCCATCATATATGTATTTGACCAGGAGGTTTTGTAAGTATATGAGTAATGTGCACATAAGGACTTTGAGTTCCCTATCAGAAATGCAATACTAACTCTTTTTTTTATATAATGACACAAATTTCTCAGCCACAGTTTAGCCAACCAATAACAATTAAAAGTCCTCTAATCCTCTGAAAAATTTAAAATACTGAAGATTCTGGCAATACAGGGTAGGTCCAATTCAATGTCTGAAACTTTGGTGGCATTCAAGAAAGTAAAATTTTTTCTTTGAGTTACTGTTTGCTAAGATGACAGTGGGAACTGCTTGGACCTTTGCCCATGTGCGCATGCAATTTCTACATTAATATTCAACTCCTCTTGTTTTAAGCACTCTTTCTAGACAATCTTGGCTATCAGAAGGAGATCTCAAACCCAGGTATCACCTCAATCTCTGCTCCCTATTTGTAAAATGGCTTCTGAATATTTCCACCTGGATGTGTTTTTGTTCATTTGCTCATTAATTCATTCATTCTTCTATTCATTTGGTGAATAAAAATATTAAGTGCTATCAGAGAAAGAAGGTCAAGAAAGTTCATTTCTCTCACCTCAAGGAGAAGATGGCAATAAGCCAGTGTTTTCAATACTTTGTGCCATGTGCTATGAGACAGGCAAGCCCAGTGTACTAAGGGGTCCCAGAAACTGGACATATCAGATGTGGATGTCAAAGATGCCCCCTGGAGGAAGCGCATTTGACCTGAGTGGCAGAAGGGAGGAAGAGCATTCCAGGCAGAGGGATGGCATGTTAGAAGTCCCAGAGGCATACAGCCACATCCTGTTCAGGAAAGTGCAATCTGTCCCAGGAGGTCAGAGCAAGGAGCAAGGAGGAGATTACGAAGAAAGGGCTTTGGGTGCCATAAGGAAACTAAACTTTATCTTAAATATTATAGGCAATTACTTGAAGGATTTTAACCAGAAGAAGAGCATAATTAGATTTTAACTAAGCATGTCCAAAACCTTACACCTAAATCTCTGCCAATGGCAGAGCAATCTTCACAAACTCAGCCTCTTTCTCAACTGTTCTCATACCTCACATCTCATTAACTGGCCGACAAATCTTTTTAATTCTAGGTCCCAAATAACTGCTGAATTGAGCCCCTTTTTCACATTCTCTTCTCCTTCTGTCATTGGAAAAACCCACATCATGACTTTCCTGGACAAAAGTGCAAGAGCCTTCAGTGGCAAACATTGTGGGCCAGCTCTCCAAAAACCATCAACCAAATCCTCTCCCTTTCTCATCTCCAACTATAGAGGCTGGAAGCTCACCTCAACAGTCTCTCTTACAATGAGGAGTAGTCACATGACTTGGTTTCAGTCAACACAATATAAGAAGGCTAATGGAGACCTTCTTTGGAAGATTTTCTTTAACAGTAAAAGCAGATGAGACAGCATTTGGAGAAGACAATTTTTTTTTCTAGATTTTACCCAAGCAGCCACCTTGCCTCCCATCTTTGAATTTGGTAATAATGTCTGGAGCTCTGGCAACCATCCTGTGACTATGAGATGACAAACATATGGAGAAGTCAATCTGCTGGGGATACTGGAAAGAAAGGACAGAAAGGCCTAGATCACCCTAAGCTGCTGAACCCACCCTGGAACTACTCACTCTCAGACCCCTTGTTGTGAGATAACTAAATATCCTCATGGTTTAAGCCATCGTTAGTCTGGCTTTTTGCACCTGAACATATCCTAACTGATACATGTCCTAAACTGAGTATCTGGGTCCAGTCTTTCCCCAGCATGCTCCCTCACCTGCCATTTTAATAATCCTTCTACCTCCCAGATCTGATCATATAATTTCTAGTCTGAAAAATCTCTGAGGATAAGTCTTTGACCAAGCTCCCCACCCACCAAGGCTCCTTCATCTCTTGCCACATCAAACACCTTGATAGTTCCTAGACACACTATACTCCTTCATGTCTCTATCCTCTGCATGTGCTATGCCTCTGCATTAACTGCTCTTACCCTTCCTGCTTAACTCTGCACCAAAAGATCCCTAAGGCACAGTTAGTCACATTTTCCCCAGTGCTTATATAGCTGTGATAGACTATATAACTATTCACTCATATTCTCTCGGAGGAGGAATGCATCCACATCCTGCTACACCTGACTTTCTTTGACCAATGAAATCTGAGTAGAAGTAACATGTGTTACTTTGGGACAGAAGTTTTAAGAGCCACGGCATGGTTTCCCATGTTCTGTCTTTCCTGCCTCTGGGATGTAGAAGCAAGTACAGAGGAAGCTCCCTTATTGACACATAATGGACATGTAGCATTAGCAGGATAGGAGTCTTGTTAAGTCAGAGGCAGACAAAATTTTCTGTAAAGACCAGATAGTAAACATTTTAGGCTTTGCCTAAATGGAACAAATATGGTCTTTGTCATGTATTCTTCCTTTTTCAACAAGCATTTAAAAATATAAAAACCAGTCTTAACTCACAGGACATATAATAATAGGTCACAACTTGATTTGTCCCACAGGCTGTATTTTGCCACTGTTTTAGGCTGTATTTTGCCACTGTTTTAAGCTGTTGAGAATTTCAGGTTACTTATTACATGTTACAGTATTTTGCATATACATTCTAGCCTTCATCACTCTGTAACAGAATTATAAGCTTCATTAAGACAGGGGTTATGTCCTTCATGCTTGCTGTGCTCACTTGTAGGATGTGTCAGCTAGGAAGGTAATTGCTGAGTGAATAACAGACGTTTTCCCCATAGGACTGTGAGCTCAGGGAGCAGAAACCATGGCTTTTCATCTTATATCTATCCCAGCAATGCCTGACCTGTGATAACATTTGAAGAGCCTTGGAGCCTTTGATAAACTTTACACTGAATCAGGTTTTTTCTTGTTGTTATCATCAGAGCAGGTGCCAAATATCACTTGAGAAACAGAAATTCACATAGCCTGTTTGTTTGCAAGATGAACATGTGACCTTCTGTGTCATGTACTAAAGTCCATGCCTGAAATCTATTAACTATAATTAAATGAGTTTTGTTTTTTCTTTTCCTTTTTTATTTGAAAGCAGAGGAGGCAAGCGGACATGGAAGGTTTACATTAAAATAAGGGTTTTTGAAAAGGTCAAGAAATCTGGAATGGTGGGTTCAAGGGTAAGTTCAGTTTTACCAAATTCCCTCAAGAGTCATTTTGTAATGTGATGGCACAATATGGACCTTATTTGGCAAGTGACAGTATTTAGGGCAAATGTTGACTGTGTCTCACCCCATGTACCACTGAATCGGGGTCTGTTTCCTTGGATGGTTTCAAAGGCTGCAAATAAATGGAGAACAAGACCTGAACATGTGTCATGGCACATGCCATCAAAAGATAGTCTTTCAAATGGAAATATATTTAGACTTAAAAATATATAGCATTTGCAAAACCAAGCATAGCAGAATATGTGAGTACTTTCTATTCTGCTTCCTCATCAAAGCAAACTCCTGCCAGCATGCTTACTATAAATAAGTGCAAACCAACCTCAATCTTAAAACATTTAATTCACCTATATTGAGAAAAATGAGAAGATGAAAATTTTAGTTTTCTGAAAGCTTTTTTTTCTGATCACATTTTCAGTACACTTTGTCTCATGCATCTTAAACATCATTTGGCAATTCTGTGTTTCTTTTCTGGAAGTAAATAAACCTTCTAGCGCAAGCAAAGAGAAAAATAAAACATAACAAGGCTGCCCCTCTGTGGTGACATGCTTTCACACCCACAGCAGCCAGCCCATTCTCACAGGCTCTACTAATTGCAGCTGCATTCCACTTCCTAAAATATGGAAATTTTATACACTTACTTTTAAATTAATGCTGCAGGGTTTTAATTTAACCATAATCCCTCTTAAAGATAAGAGACTAATGGACATATTTACATTATATCAATAGAGATAGACACTGAAAAATATTTCAGCACTATTATATTTAAAGTATTTTTTAAAGAATGACATCAAATCTCTGTGGATTATCTTTTCAGTCATAAAATCATTTTATAGTCACTGAAAATAATGGGAGTACATGAATGCCCTAACCACACAATTGCTTTAGTGAAGAGAAACTAGACTAGGCTAGGATCCCATTCTGAGCTCACTAGCTTCTGTGTCTGAAGGCTGCTAGCCTCACCAGTATGCCACCAACCTGTGCTGCTTCTTTATTTGACACTAGGAAAATACTGCTTCACTTAAAGCTAAACGGCCTTAAAATCTGGAAGTAGGCCGAGCGCGGTGGCTCACGCCTGTAATCCCAGCACTTTGGGAGGCCGAGGCGGGCGGATCATGAGGTCAACAGATCGAGACCATCCTGGCCAACATGGTGAAACCCCGTCTCTCCTAAAATACAAAAATTGGCTGGGTGTTGTGGGTTAAAAGGTGAATTGACCATATGTTTTTATCTCCTCTAAATCTCAAACCCCCTAAAATGGAAAAAAAAAAAAAAAAAAAAAAAAGCTGGGAGAGGGGATATTCTTTGGAATGTTACTAACCCACAGGAACAATGAGAATGGGCTTGGCAACAACAGAGGATGAGATATTCCAATAAATGTGTGGCAGATGGAAAGCAGGTAGAAGATGGTGTCAGACTCAGCAGAGCAAAAATGCTACCCATGCATCTGAGGAGGAAGGCTTAAGGGAGCCCATTTAACCCTGCAGAGCCCAGGGTGCCATCCAAGGGAGAAGAGAAGCAGAAAGCTCAATACATAGAATTGAGATCAAGTTCCCAGGTGCCCTCCCACATACACACAGCCAGTAAATCAAGCACCCTCTGCCACTAACAGAAAATATTCATTTTTCAAAGAAATAAACCAGCAAGGAACCAAGCACGGTAGAATTCGACGAAAATTTATAAACTGAATGTGGTTCCTTGAGCCCCGTTTGTTGACGCTGCTCAGAATGACAGCAAACAGGCGCACATACCCCCAGGCAAGATACTTGAAGAGTATTCTCTAGAAAAAACAAAGTTTAGATACTGATTTTGGAGTCTTCAAAGGAAAATTTCCATTTTATTATAATGAAGGGCACCAGATGACAGCCTCAACTGGAACTCGCAGTGCTTCTGACAGCCTTTTTCATGCCTTCCTCAAAATTATTAGAGACCAGCCCAGGGTCACAAGACAGTTGAGAAAAGCCCCCAGCCAGAAAGACAGATAATACTAAGCAGGAATAAAACATGTATATATGCTACTGTTTAGTTATATATGTTTTATATGTGTGTGTGTATATGTGTGTGTATATGTACATATGGTGTGTGTGTGTGTGTGTGTGTGTGTATATGTATATGCATATATATATATACCTTCAGAAGATGCAGAAACAATTCAGGATGCTAAAGAAAAAAAAGTCTATATTACCCTGAGAAAGAATAAAAACAGGGTTCCATAAAAATAAAACACAAAATAAGACAAAAATTTTTGAAATTAAAATATGATAATATAAATTTAATATTCAATGGAATGGAAAAGAAAGTTGAAGAAATAATTATAACAAAGAGACAAACATTAAAAACTAAGATAATTACTTTTTAAATTAGGAGATCATTTTGTACATATGGTATCTAAGACTAAAAAGATTCTAAAAATGAAAACAGAGAGAGCAGAGGGGAGAAAAGTAGTGAAGAAATAATGCAGGAAAACTTCCCAGGACTTAAATTTTAAGTCTCCAGATTGAAGAGCACACGTGGCTACAGACACATTGAATTTTAAAGACCCATCCAAAGCAGTGGATAAAGGGAACATTCTGAAATTTTCCAGAGTGATAAAATACCTCATGTATCAAGAAATAGGCCTCAGAAGAACACTGGATTTCCTGACAGCAAAACTAGATACCAGAAGACTAGAGAAATGCCTTTAAAACTTGAGAGAATAAGAACTTTCATCTGAGAATACATACACCAAGCCAAATACCAGTCCAATAAGAGGGTCCCATAAAAATATTTGTAGCAAGCGAACATCCAAAAAACATAACGCCCAAAGCACTCTTTATTAGAAAAGTACCAGAAGACTTACTTCAGCAGAGCAGGGAAGTTTACAAAGAAAAAGACACAGAACATAAGAAATGGAGTCTACAATCGGAAGACCAACAAACAATAGTTCCATGATAATGGCTGTGCAGCAGGCCTAAAGTGAAACCCAGAGTACACTGCAACAAGCAGCTGCAGGAATGAGGAGTCCAGGAAAACAAAAGTGGGAGTACTTATCATGTTTGACCATGTGGAAAATAGTACTGAGAGGGTTTTATAATTCTTCTGGAAGATTTGGAGAAAAGTAAATAATAGGTACAAAGAAAACTGGGAACACAAACAAAAAAGAAGGCAATCATTAACTCTGAGAAAAACAAAACTACCTATGAGAAAGGATAGGTAATCAACATCGAACAATAATTACACAGCAGCAATAATGTAAACATTGAATATTGACTTAACATAAAATTCTGCTGTAACTGTACTGGCAGGATAGTAGATGGGGAAGAAGAAGAAAGAAAACTAAATTCTCACCCATTACAATAGAAAATCAAATACCATAAGAAAAAGAATAAAAAGTGGAGACGTGGCCATTTTGTGGGAACAGAACTAAAGTTTCAAAGGGATGGGGCATAAAACTGTTTTTCTCTATAAGCTTTTTATTTTATAAACTATTTTGATGCGTGATAATGATTAAAGAAAGTAAATATAAGTTTAGAAAAAAATAAACCAGGCTACTGCAATAAAAGATTAAGCTTAGTACATTTAAATGTAATGAAAGGAAATGATTACAGCTAATCTTCATAGGAAAATAAAATGCAGAGTTGGCTATTACTCAGAAAATATGGCCTGAACAGCCATTTAAGGAGGATTAAACATATTTGTTCTGTTGTATATATACATAAATGTGTTATATATATATATATATATATACATAACTGTGTTATATATATATACATAACTGTGTTATATATATATACATAACTGTGTTATATATATATACATAACTGTGTTATATATATACATAACTGTGTTATATATATACATAACTGTGTTATATATATACATAACTGTGTTATATATATATACATAACTGTGTTATATATATACATAACTGTGTTATATATATATACTATTTGTTATAAAATTAAAACACACAATTTATAATAATCCTTATTAACTTATAAATTGACATTCCAGCAAATAAATAAATTATAAAAAATTTTCAGGAAATATAAGTTCAATTTATAAAAAGAGAAAACATAAAAAGCCTAAGGTAAACAAAGTTATAATTAATTTCAAATGATTAAGCAAATGTGTGTCCAAGATAAAGATTCACAGTTATTTTCTCTTTTTTTATTTCACAATGCATTGGCTTCGAAATATTTCCAAGTAGCTTTGTATTGAAGGTTATCTAGAGTTTCTGTTGTAGGTTGTTTTTTATTTTTCAACAAATATATTAATATGATGTTCTACTTACGAAAATTTGGACAGTAAATCTTATCATCATTCCTGAACACATGTTGTTATAGCAAATGTGTACATTTGGAATTGCCTTCATGGGTACTGAAATTCTAAAACCAAGGGACTCAGCTTTAGATGCTGTCATATGTTGTCATATGACATCAATGATGTCTCCACATCAATAACATTGATGGCAGTAGTCTCCAGCACTGAGTTTCTAAGGCAACCCAATGGGAGTAGGGGCAGCAAAAATATTAAGACCTCTATTTTTATTTTTAAATGTATTCCTTTATGTTTTATTTCTGTAGATTTTGTTATTTACTACAGAATCTTTGTTCAGTAATATATATGTATAGAATTTATACATAAGCCTATGTATATTGGCAGTGTATTCTCAAAAAATTTTTATTGCTGGGATGTTACGGTGAAAAACATTTGGAGACTGCTGGTTTAGGAAGGTGTCTCCCTAATTGTAGTTAGTGAACCATTAAAGTCCATGAGGGTAACACAAGTGTTCATGAGGCAGGCAGGAGAAAGCTAATATGTCATCCTAAGCTAAAAACTTAATTTTAAGTTATGAGTAAGAATTCAACAACTGGGAGGAGAAAGTAAGCCTTCTCATTTGCGAAATTTTATCCAACATCAGGCCTACCTGCTACAGATGAAGTAAATTGTGATAAAAACTCTATGTTGAAATATACAAATGGCTAGAGGATTTATAGCCCTCCATATGTACATTTGTCACTCATAAGGCACAGACTATGGTAAAATGGTTCAAAACAATGTGCTCATGTGTTGGTCATAAAAGCTTTTGTTGATGAGGCAGTGTTCTACAGTAAGAAAAAACCTGAAAACCATTGATTTTGGAATTAAATACTTAAGTATTCTAAGAGTACTTCATTCCCTCATATGGGCAAAATATAGCTCAGTCATTTAGAACTATACTAGTCACTGTCCAACATGGTAGCCACTTATCACATAGGGATGTCTAAATTAAAATTTAGTAAAATTTGGCCGGGCATTGGGGCTCACACCTGCAATCCCAGCACTTTGGGAGGACGAGGAGGGTGGATCACACAAGGCCAGGAGTTTGAGACCAGCCTGGCCAACATGGTGAAACCCTGTCTCTACTAAAAATACAAAATTAGGTGGGCATGGTGGCGGGTGCCCATAATCCCAGCTATTCAGGATGCTGAGGTGCAAGAATCACTTGAAACCCGGGAGGTGGAGGTTGCAGTGAGCTGAGATCGTACCACTGCACTCCAGCCTGGGTGACAGAGCAAGACTCTGTCTCGAAGAAAAAAAAATTAATTAAAATTTAAGATGTATTTCCTCAGTCACACTAATCACATTTCAAGTGCTCAATAGCCACATGTGGCTAGTGGCTACTGTATTGGACAGCATAGACAAAGAACATTCCCATGAGTGCCAAAAGTTCTACTGGACACTACTACTCTAGGATAGTATTCAGGAATTCTTCAGTTAAAAGTTTAAAAATCTTTATACTTACTAACGGTTACTTTGTCCTTATCCCCCAACATAATGTTGTTTGGTGTCAGATCTCTATGGACAATCCTCTTCTCCTTGTGTAAGTATCGAAGAGCTAAGCACAGCTTGAAACAATGAATAGAAAACAAATTTTATTTCCCCCAACATACATATAGCCAAAGATGACTACTGCACGTCTTTAAGAAGCCAGCTCAGAACATTACTGTTTTAAGAAAAATTTAATGAAGATAAAAGCATACCTGTATAAATATTTTCCATAGTCTTTCTTCAGTAAAATGGTGATGTTTTTCCTTCAAAGAACTGAAATGCTCTCCAAGCGGGGCTCCTTCTATCAGCTCCATAACTATGTACAACCTATCATCTATATAAATATCACAAAAGGTCACAGAAATTTAAACTCAATACAGGCATCTTGAAAAACTTTACGAATGAGAGTTCAAGCTTCCCAGTGTCTGTGCGGGACACTAACACTAAAGAATTAGGGATGATGTGCTAAAATATGGATCCACTCAGCCCTGGAAGAGGTGGAGGTGAGGGGGTCTTAGGGAAACTGGGGCCCAGCCACAGTTATCTTCTGGCTACAGACAACCCCTTAGCATAAGTTTACACTGGCAAATGTATCATTTTCTATGTATGCCAGGATGTGGAATGATTGAAAGGTGCCACAGAGAACAAGTAAATGATCTCCAGTCATGGAGGATTCCCTGAAGAAACCGTAAGCCCATCCTTCCTCCCAGTAGTCTAAAATTTACGCTCAAATCAAGTCAGACATTCAGAAAATTGCATTTTCAACTGTATTGTTTCATAGTCTGATAGATTTACCTTACAGAATTTTACACTGGAATAATGCCATGGTCTTGCAATGACACAGTTGAAAATAACACACATGATAGAAATTTCTGTTATGTCTTTCAAAAGCAAAAAAAAAAAAACAAACAAACAAACAAAAAAAAACAAAACTGGACTTCTCCAGGTTTTATCTTACAGATACAGAGAACTTCATGACTGATTGTGTTTGTCTTTTTGCTTTGGATGCCAAAAAACAAAGGAGCAAATTCTACTTCCTCCTCTAAAACCAATAGGGTTTATTAACAATGGGATGTGATATGTGTCTTTTGAAACCTTGGGATGTATACAAAATATGTGTGTAGAAAATGTTGACAAAAATGGAATCATGTTCTGTAATTTATGCTTTTTTTCATTAAGCAGCCTTATATTTCAGTACACACAGATCCATACCATTCTTTCTGCTGGTTGTATGGTATTGCACAATATGGGTATACCATAATTTATTTAATCATTTTCCTACAGATAGACATTTATATTGTTTCCAATTTTTCATAATTTCAAGAAATATTCATTTATGTACCAATACTACCTCTAGCTTTATTTTTAATTTTCTCATCCTTCATTCCTCTTTATTGCAATTTCCTAATCTATTTTATCATATTTTATGTATTTTTAAGCCATTTCCAATTCTTTTTTTTTTTTTTTTTTTTTTTTGAGATGGAGTCTCACTCTGTTGCCCAGGCTGGACTGCAGTGGCGCGATCTTGGCTCACTGCACGCTCTGCCTCTGGGGTTCACGCCATTCTCCTGCCTCAGTCTCCCAAGTAGCTGGGACTACAGGCGCCCGCCACGACGCCCGGCTAATTTTTTTGTATTTTTAGTAGAGACGGGGTTTCACCGTGTTAGCCAGGATGGTCTCGATTTCCTGACCTCGTGATCGGCCCATCTCAGCCTCCCAAAGTGGTGGGATTACAAGTGTGAGCCACCGCGCCCAGCCTTTTTTTTTCTTTCTGAGGCAGAGTCTTGCTCTGTGGCAAAGCTGAAGTGCAGTGGCGCGATCTTGGCTCAGTGCAACCTCTGCCTCCAGGGTTCAAGCAATTCTCCTGCCTCAGCTTCCCAAGTAGGTGGGATTACAGGCGCCTGCCACCACGCCCAGCTTTTTTTTTTTTTTTTTTTTTTTAAGTAGAGACAGGGTTTCACCATGTTGGCCAGGCTGGTTTCGAGCCCCTGACCTCAAGTGATTCGCCAGCCTCGGCCTCCCAAAATGCTAGGATCATAGGCGTGAGCCACCGTGCCCGGCCGCCATTTCCAGTTCTTTTTGGAAGCTGTCAGGTAGTAAAAAACGTTTTTGTTTTTTATATTAAGACAATTTATATCATTTCAGTACAAGTCTGAAGCCAACCTTGATTTTTTTGAAGGGATATACACTAAATTATAGAAAATTATTTTAATATCAAGAACAAATGGCTAAGGGGACAGGATTTACTGCATGAGTTTTAGCACTGAGTTTTTCTGAGTCATCTAGGGGAAGGGAGATGGGTAAAATTGTAACAAATGGCAAAATACACACACAAAAGGTTTTCTTAAATAACAATAGCACTGAAAAAGAGGTAGTCCGGAAGCCCCAGTCATTGCCTTATGTCTCTTTAAATCATTCTTCAAGTGGAGATTTATTTCGACATTTCATATGTGACACATATCATTAAAGCTTAGCAATACTTGTATTATTTCTGTCATAGGCCCTACTTAAAAAAAAAAAAAAAAAAAGAGTGGCTGAGTTTAGCTTTATCTGTTTTGGTTCTAGTTCAGCATTCCATCATACCTGCAGAAAGCAAGCCTGGCTGCCAGAATCAGTCTGGGCTCCATCGCCACCTTTGTGGCATTTACCTGAACTTCAGGTAAAAGAAATCTCAAAGACCTAGCTCTCTCCAACTTATTTTGGGGATGGAAAATGACACCTGAGTCAACAAAAACAACTTTCTTTTCTTAAGGAAACCACCATCCATTAGTTTTCTTTTTCCTTGATCCTATTAAGTGATTTTTTTGTATATGAGAATAGCAATAACTATTTTGGTTTGTTCATGCGTTTTTCACACAGGCAGCTAAGTATTTTATAACTATCTTCAGGTGACTGACTAGGTCACTGTTTCACTAGTCAAGAAAGTGATGCTTAAGACCATCTACTGTCATATTAACAAAAAAAGGTCAATAAAATAGTTGATTAGGTTTCTTTTGTGACATTCTGATACAAAAATATATGTGACAAAAATGTTTCCTTATTTAGAAATATCATGAAAACTCATACTTACTTTCCAGAAATGTTTTGTAATAACGTACAATGTTGGGATGATAAAGCTATAAGAAAATAAATAACAAACATGTATTGCACTGCTTCAAAATACAAGTTTTTTCACTGACTACTTAGTTGGACTTCATATTTGAAAACTACAAAGAAATTATATTTATTTACAAAACTAAGCATTTCAAGATATCATCGAACTGAGATTGTTGTGATTTTTAAAAACTTGTTGCTTATAAACTGATCTGAAAATAGCAATCCTCTATAGCTTTATTAAATAAAATTAAAAACGTTCTATCACCTAACTTTACTATCGAACTTAACCAAGAGAACTATAGAGGTAGAAGGAACCTTAAGAATTCCTTTAGCACACCTTGTCACAACCCGACACACAGACTGTATAAAGGAGAAAAGTGAAATGCGGTAACTTCTGTTGACTACAAATATTCATTGTTCTTTACCTCTCTCTACCATCTAAATATTTATGGAAAGTTTGTGCCTATTTACACTATTTCTGTCTTTCTATGCTCTCCAAAATGATTAGTAGAAAATAACATAATCTAAGAGTCGACTCAGTTTAAGTCATAATAACAGTTGACAAGGACTTCCTACTTAACCAAGCTTTAGTCAGGCTCCTCTGAGTCCTCTTCGTGACTAGGCCTCATCCTTGGTCTGTCAGTTTTAGCAACTTATATCCTGCTAAGTCAGTTTATGGAAAAATTTCCCACCCTTGACATCCAATTAAGTTTCTCATCCACTCACCCTTGATATCTAACCAAGTTCCTCTTAGTAAACTTCCATCCACTGACCCTCCCTCACCCTGACCATTGGCTCTGAGTCCCCAGCTGTCCAGTCCTCGAATTCAGAGTTGGGTTCAATCTCTCTCCTCTATTACAATAGTTTGACTTCTATTGCAATAGTATTGAATAAAGTCTTCCTCACCGTTTTTAAAAAATGGTGCAATTTCTCTTTGATATAAGTTAAGAATGTTAGTGGAATTTCTAATTTTTTAATTAAAAAAGATCATTTTCTAGAAGAATGCTAATAATTTTGTAGTTTTTGCTTATAATTTGAGTTTCTAGATAAAATTTGTCTTAGAACAGTCACCATCACATCAACAAATGGCTTGCTTGCATCTCTTTTTGGTCTTTCTGCACGTCTTTTTGAAGGGAGATTGCTAGCTGTCCACCAAAAACCTGCTGTCCCATTGCAATACAGTTGAAGCTGGACATGGCTTCCCAGTTAGAGAAGATTTCTCAGCCTCCCTTGAAGCTGGGGGTGAGGCTACCACTCAGTTCTGACCTGTGGAATATGAGAGGAAGCATGTGTGCTTCCTGTGTGAACTCTAAACCTTGGGAATAGCCCTCCATGATCCTCCTCATCTCACCTTGGATGTGAGCATGGCTATGGCAGTTTCAACCACACAGATGAAGACAGTGCACTAGAAGGTAACAGCACAAGAAGAGAGAAAAAAGCCTGCATCCCCAAATGATCGCATGGAGCAGAGAACACCTTCAACCTGGTTTACTCACTTTGGGATTGTTCCGTGAAAGAGAAATAACCCACTGTACTGTGAGTCCTCTTTCTAAGCACCTGCATTTGGGATCCTCTTTGTTAATGCAGGTTAATCTTAATGTACTCTCCATTCTAGCCCCATTTGTTTTGCTTCTGCCTGCCACTACCTCCTCCTTTAAGGACTCAATGTTATCATCCTTTCCATCAGTTTGATCCTCTAGTGAGAGGGCAATTTTGAGTTACCTCAAAGCCCAAGCATATGCTTCCTATCTGACCCTAGTTTGACAGTTTCTTTTCTTAGGAAATGTGCTAAAACAAATAATCTACTGCATCAACTAGCAAGTGGCCAGCAGATCGTAAGCAATATGTGACCAGGTAACCAACCAGAACCATATTCTGGACCTGGCTCACCCACAAGGACTAAAACCAAATTTGGGTCCAGATGAAAACACTGGACTGGCTTAGGTCAAAAGCCCTGTTCTAGCCTTGTGCTACAATGAAAGAGCACACTGTGGAAGGCTAGATGACCATACAAACACATGAACAAACTACACATGAACAAACTTTTTAAAGTCTAGTCTATTAGTATATAAAATCAACTATAAAATAAACAATTAATGATAATATTTACTATAATGTACACACTGGAGTAGAACTATCGATTTTTATGAACAAAGGTCTCCTTGTTTATGGAATTTGTTACATCCCAACACAGATGCTATGCAAATGTGACCAGTGGAGGACAAAAGCAGCAAAGCTGATAGTGCACCACAGGAATTATAAATGAACAGTATTCGTGATGAATGTGCAAATAAGGAAGGCTGAAAAAGAAACCAATGTGTTCTTGGATCACACAAAGAAATTCCATTTCTCTTTGAAATGTTTATTCTTCCTCCTCAAACAAACTTTCATAATGAGAGTTAATTGAGCTGTTACATTATATCAGAGTATTCTGCTCATGCCAATACATAATAACCCAACTTGAAAATCTACATTTTAGATCTAATAAAGTCATATTTGAGGAATGTTAACAGCTTGGTTCCATTTGGCAAAAGTCAAGAAACTCTTAGTCATATTTCTATGTATGTAACTAAGTAACCAAATATCCTAAAATATAAGGAGAAAAGAATAGATATGCTCACAATGAAAAGAAAAGGATTTCTCATATATGATGCATTCTGTACTGTAAATCCGATTGTTTTGCATCCATGACCCTGATATAAACTCCAGACAGTGTTTTATGCTTCAATGTCAAGCCTTAGGAAAAAAGCTGGCAAAAATATCACTGCTTCAGTGTCAATTATTTCACATGGAACTAGTTCATAAGCAGCATGGACAAGAGCACCACAACTCTACTTTCTTGCAATGACATGTATTTAAGAAAAACATCTTCAGAAACAAGGAAAACATTTACCTGCTCTTTAATTATTGTTAATTCAGAAACAATATTCCTTACGCTGCTGTCTCGATCTTTCTTATCCTTTCCAAATGCTGGGTTATGTAAATTGACCTCTTTCATTGCTAAAAGATTTTGACCACTATGCTTTCTAACCTAAAATAAAGAAAAACACAACAACAACAAAAGGAACAGGGTAAAGAAGGAGAAGAGAGAAAGAGGAAGAAAGAGATAGACTAACAAAGTCACATGAGTAACTAAGTCATATAAATAAGTCACAGAGCATTTAAAGTTCCAGCTGTATTTACATTAAGCTCAGCTCAAAACATCAAAACACTGGTATCCCCTGGGTCAGTCTGCAATACTTAGTAGCATTTTTTAATTTAGAGATTGCATCATGCATTGGGAGAAACTATTTTGAATACCTTTGTGAGAGATTAATAATGCCTTTTGTCTTAAAAAGTCAGTGGCCAATTTCTAGAGCTTACAGCTAAAACAATATTAGTGTGGCTATCTCTGTTGGACAAAAACAATCATTCTAATTTTCATATCTGTTTGCTATTTTTCAATGACAAGAGTTCTAATTCAATTGAATATCGGTGTGCAAGTGTGACATCCGGTTTGGTTGGGAGTATCAGAAATGTTCCCCAAGGGGAAAGTCACCTTGTAAACACAGCCAAAAGCTCCACTTCCAAGATGATCCAAAATTGCATAGTTGCCTATATATTTCAAAGGAGCTTTGTTCTGATTAATGCTTTCAATATTTTCAGCAATTTGCTTCAGTTCATCCTCCTAATCAAAATATAAAAAGGAAATGGGTTTCTGTGATAAATTACATCCTGACTACATAGCAGCCTGCCAAAATATTGAAAACTCAGGACTTACCACTAATAAATTCAGCTTGGATACCAATTCTTCATAAGCACTGATATCACGTACATAATGCCCTATGTCAATGAAGATCTCAAACAAGTCTGTGGGGAAAAGTCTACAGAGAATATTACACACACTTAAAGTAGAACTTGGACACAGTTGATCATTACTTCCCTTTTTTATTTTTTTGAGACAGAGTCTCACTGTGTCACCCAGGCTGGAGTGCAGTGGCACGATCTCAGCTCACTGCAAGCTCTGCCTCCCACGTTCACGCCATTCTCCTGCCTCAGCCTCCCAAGTAGCTGGGACTACAGGTGCCTGCCACCATGCCCGGCTAATTTTTTGTATTTTTAGTAGAGACGGGGTTTCACCATGTTAGCCAGGATGGTCTCGATCTCCTGACCTCGTGATCCGCCCGTCTTGGCCTCCCAAAGTGCTGGGATTACAGGTGTGAGCCACCGCACCCGGCCCATTACTTCCCTTTTGAATGCAGCTCACTCACTGATTAATTACATGAAACAAATTTAACTTCTTTTGGTTATCAACAAAGTTGGGGAAATAATATTCCCCAACTTATCTCGAAAAAATACACTATTTACAGTTTTTGAGAGGTAAGAAAAAAACAAATGGAGAAGAAAGTTCTAGAGATCTGCTGTACAACCTTGTGCTTACAGTTAATAACACTGTACACTTAAAATTTTAAGAAGGTAGATGGCATGTTAATATTTTTACCATAATTTAAAATTAGATATGATACAGATTATACAAAAATCTTACTTGTAAGATATTTGGGGGTATAGGCATTGAATACATTAGAAGGAAACATTTATTGGGTGTTTTTTTGGGTGTGGAGCACTTTCACAAATGTCATTTAACTCAGATTTTAGTAAGAAGTAAATACTAACCCAACTTTTAAATAAAAGTTTCATGAAAATAAAAATACTGGTACATGAAAAATAAAACAAATAAAGAGATTCATTCATCATTCCCAAGACACTGGTTTCAAGGGGTTTTAAAATCTTTGAGTTCACTAAAAGGGATGATTTAGAGCTCTGAAATGAAAGATTATAAAGAATAAGTAGCTGGGTGTGGTGGCTCACGCCTGTAATCCCAACACTTTGGGAGGCCAAGGCGGGTGGATAACCTGAGGTCAGGAGTTCAAGACCAGCCTGGCCAACGTGGTGAAAACCCATCTCTACTGAAAATACAAAAATTAGCCAGGTGTGGTGGTGCATGCCTGTAGTCCCAGCTACTCAGGAGGCTGAGGCAGGAGAAGCAACAGGATGAGCCTTTGTCAAAAAAAAAAAAAAAAAAGAGAACTAATTTTACTTCATTTTCCTCTAAATCCAAACAGTATAGAAATAAAGTAACAACATAAAATGCTCCATGCTTTCTGCACTTGATCTCAGCCAAAAGGCCGAAAAGTGACGCTCCATGCTTTCTGAACAAAAAATACTATATTAACTCAATACTTTATGTCTATTCTGCCTTATTAACAAAATTTTAATAAAAACTTGGGCCTATGATTTTGGCTAACCCACCTAACTAAATGGTGTGCAGAACACCACTGAGGGAACCAGTGTTTGCTTCCCGAAATGGTGACCTTTTGGTCAGGCTCACCAACACAGTATCTTGACCCCAGAACATCCAGCCTCCCCTTCAAATGAGCTCCTACACCATCAAAGACACACAAAAAAACAGTTTGTTTTCCCTTTGATTAAATTCCCTTTGATTAAAGTGAAATTACCCGATTGACTTTCAAATTTCTAGCTGGAAAAAAAGAAGCTCATATTTTAATGCCATCTTTTAAAAATGTTAATATCTTTAATTATCAAAAAGAAAGCTAAAATCACAGCAGTCACATGTAATTAAGGGGAGTTGTATTGATATAGCAATTTATGCTCTTTCATCATCATTCTGTTAATATTCAGTGTGGCTGGATACTGAATCACTACAGTAGCTCACTTCTATCTGTGAAATAAGAAATCTGAAGACACATGGTTTGCATACTGACGCATTATTTTCCTTCTGTTGCATCTAAGCCAAGTATGTGAAAACAGTTCAATCTAATGATCTCCTAAACCTAATGATCACTTATATTTCTCTAACCTCATACCTTTTAAAGAGTGGTCTGTTTCTTTCCATACTGAAGAGAAATCTCAAGGCTCTGAAAGCATAACACTAGAAAACAAAAGGATATGTGATTCTCAAATGGTAGCTCAACAAATTAAAACATTTTCAGGAAAGAATTAACAGGAAGTAAACATTAACGTGACTTTATTGTAAGTGGCTGGTCCAAGTTGGAGCCAAAGCTTCTAACTGAAAACAAAAAACACCAACACCTGGGGTCATTCCTGTATTTAAAAAGTGTTTATGTTGTAGAATGCAGGGAATATTGGCCTTGCTTCACTTGGTACTCGTCATTAATTTCTTTCTAGAAAGTACAAAATGAGTACAGAGACAAGAAATAAAATTCCGATGCTGAGAAAACCAAATGTCTAAAGATTTCCAGGAGCTCAAGGTTTATTTTGTTTCTAGCCTGCTATGTATACCTCAATATTTATATGGTTTCTGTGAGAAAATAAACACTAGAAATGATGACATATAAAAATAGCCGCAGGCACACTGGATTCAAACTTGACAAATTGGTCTCTTGAGTAAAGAGTCTTAAGCATTCCCCAAATAGAACAATCTACACTAACTCCCTAGAACGCTCAGAAAGAGGCCTGTGAGCCTTTACCTAGGAAAAATAAACATCTGACATTTTGCAGTACTGAGAAAAAAGAGTGTGCCCAGCCTGCAGCTGTGCCTGCACAATAGGCCACCATTGGAGTGATCAGGGTTTGGTGAATCAAATCTGGGATCATTTCCTAAAATCAGTGATCTGAACACAGAAGGGTCCCATACAAAATTGCCCAGAGAGGTGAGGCCGGTAACAAAATGACATGAAGGAGCCAGGTGAGAGCAGTGGAGACTGTGAGAAAGGGAGAGCATGCATATTCCTCAAAAGCCCTCCATCTGGAATTCTAAAAAACCCTCTACTGGCTTAACGAAATGTCTCTGCAGGATGGGTTTGTCTTTATCTGTTTAACAGCACAGTGTCATATATCTGTGATGCACTGAAGAAATCAAGTCCCATGCCTGCACCTTCCCGTTGGTAGCGCTCCAAAAACCCCTGCCTGCCAGCACAGAGACACCCCGAAAGAGTCTGCTGGGTTTGGCCATCATTTTGGATGATAACTCTTAAATCAGATTGGAGACAAAGGTTGTTTCTTTCTTCCTTTTCAAAATGACTTGGGGGAAAAAAAAAGATGAGCTACAACTATTGCAAAGACTAACTTTAAATCAGATTTTGACATTAGGGCCACTGCCCCCCGCCCCCACTCTGCCAATACCCACTCCTCAAAAACGAACATAGAACCCTGCGTAACTGTTCCCCTTTCTTACATGTGAGCCCTCAACTCCTGGAGCACTGCCTCCCCAAACCACACACCCCAGTTCCACTGAGCAGCTCACCCTTTACTCAGCTCTCCCAACACCCACTCCTCAAAAATGAATGTAGAACCTGGCTAACTGTTCCCCTTTCTTACATGTGAGGCCTCATCTGCTGGAGCACTGGCCCCCACAACCACACACCCCAACCCCACTGAGCAGCTCACACTTCCCTCAGCACACTCTAAGCTCACAGCTTTCACACTTGGTGCATGCTGTTCCCTCTGCATGGAATGCCCTTCCACCCTGCAGCAGATGCCATTGGTGCCCCACCCAATATCCCCTTATCCACTTGGCAAGTCCCTTCTCATCCATCAAGATCCATGATGGCAAATAATTTTCCCCCTGTTGTTATATTCTGATACATAAGGAATGCATATTTTTTTAAAAAAATAGAACTTATTGATAAGCAAAGAAACACCTAAATAAATCACCTAATTCTCCCACACAGAGAAACCACTGTTAAGCCTTCTGTATTGTTTTAATATTATTTGATTCCATGCCAGTCTTCCTTGCCAGATATTTTTCCCTCATAGTCAGTACAGGGACCAGTACTAACCTAAACATTCTAAAAATCATAGATCATTTTACCATAGTTACCCAAGATTTCAATAACTTGATACTGAAGGACAAGAGACATGTTTATTACCTGTAATAGATTACTTTTTGCTGCATTCTTTTGCTTATTTGGTAAAATTAATTTTGCTATTGTATATACACCATTTTCCTGAAAGAATAAAGGGGTCATACTATGAGTGACAACACTGTAGTGATACACAAGCAAAAAGAGGCAAATAAACAATCTCAAACATTAATATCAAAGAAGAAATATTAGTATAACTATGGACCTTGAAGTAAACATTACAGGACAATATTTAAAATGTCAACATAACACTTTTAAACACCAAAGAGTACAACTACAATTTTAAAATTTCAACTGTCTGTGGAGAATCAAGATTATAATAAAGTACATAAACGTAAAGTGATTCAAATACCTTAAAAACAATGAGAGATTAAAAAGGGACAGAGTAAAGGTGTCCCAATATCTTAGATTTATATCTTTGATATTTATTTATATCCTTAATTACCACAACCATAAAGGGAGAAATTATATTCCAGTTATTAATTTATGTCTTTATTATAATCTTGACATCTTTCTAGATTTTTTAATTGAAATATACACATGAAGGAATGAACAAATAATAATACCTTACAGCCACTTTTCTATTATCTAGTAAATATATAATGTACTGATCTTTACTGTGTGCAGGCATTCATATTATAACTGCAAAGAGCTTTATTTGCCTTATTGCATCTAATCTCTGTAACAACTCTGTGAAATTAGTCTATAATTTCCTTGTTTTATACATGAGAAAACCAATACTTAGAGTGGATACATTATTTTTTTAGAAGCCAAGCCAAGAAGTAATAATTCCAGGAATTGAACCTCAATCTGGCCAACTTCAGATGCCCTGTTCTATCAACTACCCCCTGATCTGCTGAGTTTCTCTTATGTCCTAATTTAATCATTGATGAGCTGATCCCTTACTAACATGTACGGATCTTGAAGTTGGATATTGTAATGACACAACCAAAAATGTTTTCTCTGTAAAATTCACTAAGTAGGAGGTAACTTTTGTGATAGAAACCCATACAAGGGTTGTACATATACATGTGTATGTTTATTAATATAGATCTATTAATTTATATTTATGTGTATATATACATACACACACAAACATGTATATATAGCTGTACATATAGTAGATTAATTAGTGGATTATACTTTGCAAAATCAGTTTCTTGGCAATAAATATTTTGTTTGCTGTGTCTCAATCATCATTTTTAACTTAATAATCTGATGCATAGTCTTAATCAAAATGATTGCTGTCCTTACCTTATGGTATTCTATACACCCAGAATTAATGCAATTCAGAGTATCCCTTTTAGAAAGAAAAAATAAAAGGGACCGCACATAACATAATGAAGAAACATCAATTAACCACATGTCAGTCCTTTTTAAGTCAAATGAGTTAAAGGAGGAAGGAGAAGAATATAAAGTGGAACTTTATTAGTTAAACGAGAAATGTTAAAATAGTTTTAAAATCACATGATGGGAATCCCAAAACCTATGTTCTGGGATACAGACTGCACCACAAGGTGAGTTGATTATGAATGGTTATGGAGACCTGACCTTGAGAAGGAGTGCTCTCACCTGAACCACCTGGTGGGCATTGGTGTCATTGAGCACCAGCTCAGTGAGGGCAGCACAGCAGGCTGGAATGACAACAATCAAATGCATAGTGTGCATCATTACAATAAATATACTATCACATAAATACTCTTACTCCACAGGGTATTTTTATTATTTTGCTATTTTTATTAGCAAAGTAACTTCTCAAGAAACACTAATTTTCCTTTTGGCACAGCTCTGGAAGAAAAGAAGTTGACTTGTAATGGCTTCTAATTCTCCTCCCCATGTAATTCATGTGCGTGTCTATTCCACTGCAACCATTTATTGAGCACTTTCTTCGTACCAGGAGGCAAGTATTGCATCTGTCCATTTCATTGTAATCCCCAGTGCCCAAAACATGCCTGGCACTTAGCAGGTGCTCAACAAATATATCTATAATGGTTGATAAATAAAAGAATGCTTTAAATATATTATTCAACTCAATCCTTATAATAAGAGTATGCACTGTGATTACCACTGTTACTGGTGAGAAAACAGTTTCAAAGAGTTACTAGACTAGGCCACACAACCAGTAAGTGGAAATGACCAGGAGTGCAGCCCCAGTCTGCCAGACGTTAAATCCCCAGCCCTAAGCAGCACCACTCTTGCCTCCTGACAGCCACTGTGGCAGCCTTTGGTGGTATTTTGCACTGAGATACTTGTGCTCTCAGAAGTATGCCAGACTCTATAGCACAGAGCTCCTATAAAGGATAATTCCATTTTACTGTGCTGAAGATTTTACATATATTCCCACATAATTCTCACAATGATCTTCTATCATTGATACCATGATTATCATCACCATTTTACATAAGCAAAACTGGAGCTTGGAGAAATTAAGGAACTTTCCCAAGGCCATATAGCCATCAATGAGGGTGGAGCCAAAACTCAGACCCTACTCTTAACCGTTTATGTTTTTAATTTTTATTTTTCCATTTTTATTTAGGTATTAACATGGTTTGGCTGTGTCCCCACCCAAATCTCATCATGAATTGTAATCCCCACAATTCCCACATGTCATAGGAGGAACCCGGTGTGAAGTGATTGAATTATGGGGGTGGGTCTTTCCTGCACTGTTCTTGTGATAGTGAATGAGTCTCACAAGATCTGATGGTTTTAAAAATGGGAGTTTCCTTGCACAAGCCCTCTCTTTGCCTGCTGCCATCCACTTAAGATATGACTTGCTCCTCCTTGCCTTCCGCCATGATTGTGAGGCCTCCCCAGCCATGTGGAACTGTAAGTCCATTAAACCCCTTTCTTTTGGAAATTGCCCAGTCTCAGGTATGTCTTTATCAGCAGCATGAAAATGGACTAATAGAGTAAATTGGTACCAGTAGAGTCGGGCTTTGCTGAAAAGATAACAGAAATTGTGAAAGTGACTTTGGAACTGGGTAACAAGCAGAGCTTGGAACAATTTGGAGGGCTCACAAGAAGACAGGAAAATGTGGGAAAGTTTGGAACTCCCTAGAGGCTTGTTGAATGGCTTTGACCAAATGCTGATAATGATATGGACAATGAAATCCAGGCCGAGGTGGTCTCAGATGGAGATGAGGAAATTGTTGGTAACTGGAGCCAAGGTGACTCTTGCTATGTTTTAGCAAAGAGATTGGTGGCATTTTGCCCCTGCCCTAGAGATCTGTGGAACTTTGAACTTGAGAGAAATGATTTAGGGTACCTGGCAGAAGAAATTTCTAAGCAGCAAAGCATTCAAGGGGTGACTTGAATGCTATTAAAGGCATTGAGTTTTAAAAGAGGAACACAGCATAAAAGTTTGGAAAATTTGCCATCTGACAATGCAATAGAAAAGAAAATCTAATTTTCTGAAAAGAAATTCAAGCCTGCTGCAGAAATTTGCATAAGTAATGAGGAGCCAAATGTTAACCCCCAAAACAATGGAGAAAATTTCTCCAGGGTGTGTCAGAGACCTTTGTGGCAGTCCCTCCCATCACAGGCCTGGAGGTTTCAGAGGGAAAAACGGTTTCATGGACTGGACCCAGGGTCCCTCTGCTGTGCGCAGTCTAGGGACTTGGTGCCCTGCATCCCAGCCACTTCAGTCATGACTAAAAGGGGCCAAGGTACAGCTTAGGCTGTTGCTTCAGAGGGTGGAAGCCCCAAGCCTTGGCAGCTTCCATGTGGTGTTGAGTCTGCTTGTACACAAAAGTCAAGAATTAGGGTTTGGGAACCTCTGCCTAGATTTCAGAGGATGTATGGAAATGCCTGGATGCCCAGGCAGAAGTTTGCTGCAGGGGCGGGGCTCTCATGGAGAACATCTGCTAGGGCAGTTCAGAAGGGAAATGTGGGGTCAGAGCCCCCACACAGAGTCCCTGCTGGGGTACTGCCTAGTGGAGCTGTAAGAAGCAGGCCACTGTCCTCCAGTAGAATGGCAGATCCACTGACAAGTGTGCACAGTGTACCTGGAAAAGCCAAAGAAACTCAACATCAACCCATGAAAGCAGCCGAGAGGGAAGCTGTACCTCACATAGCCACAGGGGCGGAGCTGCCCAAGATCATGGGAACCCACTTATAGCATCAGCGTGACCCAGATGCAAGACATGGAGTCAAAGGAGATCATTTTGGAGCTTTAAGATTTGACTGCCCTGCTGGATTCTGGACTTGCTTGGGGCCTGTAGCCCCCCTTTGTTTTGGCCAATTTCTCCCATTTGGAACAGCTGTATTTATCCAATGTCTGTACCCCATTGTATCTAGGAAGTAACTGACTTGCTTTTGATTTTACAGGCTCACAGGCAAAAGGGACTTGCCTTGTCTCAGATGAGATGTTGGACTGTGGACTTCTGAGTTAATGCTGAAATGAGTTAAGACTTTGGGGGACTGTTGGGAAGGCATGACTGGTTTTGAAATGTGAGGACATACGATTTGGGAGGGGCCGGGAGCAAAATGATATGGTTTGACTGTGTCCCCACCCAAATCTCAATCTTGAATTGTAACTCCCACAATTTTCATGTGTCATGGGAGGAACCCAGTGAGAGGTGATTGAATTATGGGGGTGGGTCTTTCCTGTGCTGTTCTCATGATAGTGAATGAGTCTCACTTGAGATCTGATTGTTTTTAAAATGTTTTTTTTGTAAAACCATTGAAAGTGCATGGAGTTTCCCTGCACAAGCCCTCTCTTGCCTGCCATCATCCACGTAAGATGTGACTTGCTTCTCCTTGCCTTCCACCATGATTGTGAGGCTTCCCCAACCATGTGGAACTGTAAGTCCATTAAACCTCTTTCTTTTGTAAATTGCCCTGTCTTGGGTATGTCTTTAGCAGCAGCGTGAAAATGGACTAATACGGGTATAGAATAAGCTATGTAACGTAAACACATCTTAAGTGTAAGGCTCAATGAGATACTACATATCTATGTGCCCTGTAACCATCCTCCACCCAGAGGAATGTGTAGGCTATATTTCCAGTTCTCAAAGGCTCCTTGTGCCCCTTCTCAGGCACTCACTCTCCTATAATTCCACATCTAAGTAACTGTTCTTCTGAATTCTATCACCGTCAATCTCATCCACTCTTTGAATGATTGCTAGAAACACTCAGAGCTCTGAGATTCCACTGGATTAGACTTCTGGGGAGTCTTCAAACAGTAAACCCCCAGCACAAGACCTTGTACTGAGACAGGGGCCTTTCAGAGTAAGCAGAAATGGCACTTTGAGGAGGAGCTCCTATGTCCTTGTTTTCACACCATCTATGAAGAAATATCTTCTGTATTCTTCAGGAGAAAATAGTAGACAGCAAGGAAAGCCTGCCCTCTCCCACTTCCCCACTCCCTCATTCCCTCTCCTGCAGTCTGCTCTTTCCCCTCAGAGTCTCCCTGTCTCCTGCTGGCCCATACCACACCTCTCTGCTCCCTTTCTGTGGGCCGCTCTAGGGCACCCAAATTGGCCAATAGCACTCAGACCGCACTGTAGCTCCAGTTGTCCCAAAGGCCAGGTGCCCCCAGGCAGGGCACAAACTGCATGACTGCTCAAGGTGGCCCTGCCAAAAAGCATTGATGCATTGCTGCTCCTGCTTGCATGTGAAAATCCTAGACAGGGCAGCATCTTTCAGTCTTCTCTTTGGAGCTCAAGAAGCATGGGGAAGGTACTCTCTTGCACCTGGTGAGACAAGTGTGTGCACTGTAGATTCCCCCTTATGTAGGGTGCCCTGGGATCTAGAAAATTCTAGAAAGCATGATTCTGGCCACAGATCAAGCTGCATCCCCTAATCCAGCTTTCCTCATAATAAAGCTAATGTTTTGTATCCTTATCTCTGACTTCTGTGTTTATCTCTTGCTAGGTTCAGAACACAGAAGACAAAGAAACATTTGTTGTATCATTCATCTGCAAGTCCAACACTGGGACCAAGAAGTTTCTGGCATCCATGTGGATTTCACTTTACATTTTTGTAAACTTCTAAATTTTGCCTACTTAACACTACTACACTAATCTATGATAGTGAATAATAATACAACACAATAAATTATAGCATATCAAATAATAAAACATAAATACCTGCTTGAAGTGAGAAAGTATTTTCTTGTATTTCCCTAGGGCTCAAGTCTTCTGATAAATGAAGCTGCTGGATTCGGCCTGCAGCATTTGCACTGGACAGGCTTCCAATGGAGGAGTGATCAGAAACAAAATTTCTGTCTCTGAAAAAGAAAAGTTAATGCATAGACCATTTATCAATTTCCCTTCACCGTCAGTCCTTTCTGTGTCACATTTAAGAAATCTTTGCCTCCCTCAGGTCATGAAGGCATCATTATTGTTTCACTTTCCAATCCACCTGGAATTGATTTTTGTGTATGGTGTGTGGTAAGAACCATTTTTTTATGGTTACTGATTTCTCACTATTTATTGAAAAGTGTCCTCTCCCCACTGCTCTACATGGCCACCTTTGTTTTTGAATTTTCTATTTTCCTGGAGTTGATTCACCTGAATACATCTCAGTCTTGATTATTCTCAGTTTCCTTTTTCCATGAACTTTCAATCTTCCTTTATTTTAAGAAAGTTCTCTCCTATCATATCTTGGAAATGTTTGGCCCTTTTCATTTTACTCTGTACTTCAGGGATCTCAATTGTCCACATGTTGAAAACCTGTCTTCTTCTATTGGGCGTATCTTTCATTTTCTAATTTCTTTTATTCATTGGTCTTTTTCTTCTGCATTATATGTAATTTTTTTCAAGCTTACCCTACATTTTACTATTTCCATTTTTTTCTGGTGATCTAGCAATTTATCGGTTCTGTAGGTGTTATTCAGTCCTTGTTTTCTTTCCTAGCTCTGCAGTCTTCTCCCTTTTTTGTGTCCAAAAATTTGTTTCATCTTTAATCTCATTTCATAAATTCATGCTCTGCTTAATGTCTTTGATGAAATAAAGCATTGGCTTTTCTGTTTACTCAGTACACTTTCTTCCATAATAGTTCTTCATCTGTCTTTCACCTGCTTTGTTCCCTTTTGTTTTACATAGTTACCATTTTTTTCCATGTATTTATTTTTTATAGCAGCAACTCTACCTGAATTTCTCTGTGCCTAAATGTAACATGGATGGAGTTTCCTTGACTTCCCTCTCATGTCATCTGGGTCCACTAGTGTCCTCCCTGCAATGAGCATGGGGAAGGTAATGGAGCTAGGCCTAGGGACAGTCACAGGTGGTGATCTTATCTGTCAACATGATTCTCTTAAAACTCAAATTGTAGGGATCTCTTCACCTGATCAAGAGAGCCCTTTGGGAGCTGCCTTTGAGTTTGAGATGGCAGGTGAACAGGCATGAGAAAGTGTCCCAGAAACTGCCCTGAAAACAGTGTTCTTCATACTCCAGCCACAAGACAGCCTGGAAACGTCTACCCCTAATGCCAGCTGCAGTCAGCCCAGGGTCAGGCACAAGCTCTGAAAAGAAACTGTTTATCCAGCTGGGGTAATAAATTCTCCCAAAGCACCAGTACATATTTAACATAGAATAAGAGTTAAAATATGTCATTGTCCTGGGGAAAAGTTTGCTAACATTGCACCATCAAAATGGACTGGAAAATGATACTTTAGATGTGAAAGACCTCTTTTTTACCAAGGATAGTTATGACTTCAGCAAAAGAAGAAAGCTAGATTCAATTCTATATGAGAAAAAGGCAGGTTTTGTCTTTGAAATTCTGCTTAACTATTACAGAATTTCATTTTATCCTTATGAAAATAGCTGTTCTCCAAGAGGGCAACCCATACCTATTATAATAGGTATGATTGTCCAATAATAAAGAATAACCACCACCATGATCATCATTACCATCGTCATCCTACAAACCTAAATAAAAAACCTTTGGCAATTGTAATTATTTTGACCAAGGGGCTGGCTTATTATGTCACAGCACTAATGAATGACTTATAATTTATACTATAAAGTAATTGATATTTTTATGTCACATTCATGAAGCAAGTGGGTTGTCAACAGTCTATAAATTTTTCCTTTGTTTAGGTAATGACAAATATTGTTAACAAAGCTACTGTTCATGTCTGTACAGTCTATTCTTATGCTTCTGAATGTTCCTTAAGAGAAAATGAAGTTGGTAACACACAGTTCTGCAATATCGCTGGAAGCATAACAAATACAAAGTCATAACAACATTGATTTGATAATATCTAGTTATATGAAAATTGATAAGTCCCTCTGCTTTTATTAGAATGAGCTTTATTTATGTACTGCAGATCATAAAGACGATCCAGTTCAAGGAGGCATACTCATTTTTAACTTTGGTTCAGCACCCATAGAACTGAATTATACTTTATAACAATATTAGGTAATAGAATCTTCCCATGGATGGTACCACAAGATATTATTATTAAATACTTCAATCTATTTAATTCAGAAAATACAGAAGTTAGTTTGCAACGTACTTCTAGAGAATTTCAATTGGGAACAAAACTATCCATTCTCCGTGCTCCTGACTTAGAATGTCACTGGAATTCTACTTTTAAAAGAGAGATAATGCCCACCTTAGAGGACCGTAATGAAGATTAGAGAGAAAAGTAGAGAACTGGACTAGAGTTAGTAACATGGCAACCACTTGATTAATGATATCATCTTTCAAAAACAAGGATTGTACACCTGCTCCTTTCATATAGGCTTTGTTTTCTCTTTATAGATAATAACATATGTGCACACACAAACATTTTAGGAAAATATTAGTAATCATTATACTTGGAATGACAAAATGCATATACTAATTCAAGGAAAAGGTGGCAAGACAAAGGTTTTTTTTAGGTTACTGGATTTCCATTCAGCCTTCATTATATTTGCAGATTGATGGCCTTCTACATTCCCAGCACTGTACTGGAGGTTGGTGATGCAAAGATAAATATATCTGGGTCCCCAAGGAATTTAAAAGATGAATGCCCCTGACATTGATTTAGAACATGCTTGTGACAAGTCTAGATGACTTTGGAAAGCATGAATTACCAAAGAAATCCCAAAGCAGGAGGGAATGAGGTGACACACACCAATCTGCCATCTTGTCACAGAGTCCCCAGACTTCAACAAACAGGGCAAAGTAGGCCAAAGCCCACTTTTACTCACCCTTGTAAAATATGAAGAAGCTGTTTGATGCCTCCCCAAATGCGAATTTCCACGCTGGTCTCAGGGTCCTCACAAACCTGTACCAGAATCCAGACAATGCTCCAGAGGAGCTTCAAGTGGTCAGAGTGGAGCAGACTGAGGAGGACCGGTATCCCCTCATAGAGCTTCACCTGCTCTTTCACCTGGGGCTCTGCACAAAGTAGGCGCAGCAACTCCGCTGTTAGTCTGAAAGGGGTACAGAGGGTGGGGTGAGAATCACAGCATCATGAGTTGATTACTTTACATTAAGACTAAAGCTATCATCAGTGCATGAAATATAACCCTAACATTTTGTAAGTCATGGGTCAATGTGCCATTTTCTGTAAGGAGCCCGATCAAAGCCAAACACTTTTAGCTTTACTAACTGTACAATCTGTGTCACAACTACTCAGCTATGCTGAGATAGCATGAAAGCAGCCATAGACAACATATAAAAATAAATTCGCATCCCTATGTTAAAATAAATCTTTATTTACAAAAATAAGCAGTGGAATAAACTTAGACTGTAGGTCATAGTTTGCAGACCACTGTTCTAAATTATAGGCTCGTTGCATCATCGTTGGTCTGATTAAAAACCTACTGACCAGCATTGGCAGGGCGTGGTGGTGTGTGCCTGTAATCCCAGCCACTTGGGAGGCTGAGGCAGAAGAATTGCTTGAACCCAGGAGGCAGAGGTTGCAGTGAGCCGAGGTCACTTGCCACTGCACTCCAGCCTGGGTGACAGAGCGAGACTCTGTTTAAAAAACAAAAACAAAAACAAAAAACAAACCTACTGACCAGCAAATAGGTATCAAGGACAAACAATGACATCTGCATTGTGCTAAAGACTAAAAAAAAAAAAAAAATAATAATAATAAAAGCCTTATTCTAGTCTTCAGAAACTTACTATGTAATTGCAAAATAAGACATTCTTAGAAAATGTCAAAAACACTACAATGCAGGTAAGTTAAGGGCAAAGCACTCAGTTACTATATACTCAGTGCAAAGTGCATTAAATTGATGGTAAAGACACAAGGTTCAGCTGTGCCATGAAATATTATGATGATAAACGTTTTATAGAATCATCCTTAGTCCTCCAGTTTCATACTCTAAACACTCCCCTCCTGGATGGTGTCATCCATTCCCATGATTTCAAACACTCTTTCAACCCTGTCATCATGATCTCAGCCCAGGCATTGCTCCTAACTTCCAGAAGTTTTAGCCACATGGATATTCCACAAGTACTCTCCATACTACCCCTAAACTCAAAGTCATTAGCCTCCTCCCCAGGTCTATTCTTCACCTTATATCCCCGATCTTGACTCATGGCACCACAATATTTTCAGTCTTCCAAGCCACAAGACTGGGAGTCATCAAGACACATACTCCTCTTTTCACACTCCTCCACTGTCAATCAAGAGCTCTTAGTGTTTTCTATTTCCTGGGCAACGTTGGGATTCTTTTGAACACCAGGCAGCTAGGTAACCCCACTGCTCCTCCCATCCTTGTAATCCTTTGTCATGCTCAAGATATAAATCCCTCTTTCATCTACCTCTCCAATATTCTCATTCTCATACGGCTTTCTCATTCCTTTCCCCTGAGCTGATTACCTATGGCTCCTCTCCCTCCCAAATTTTGTGCTCTGACATTAATAATAAATGTTCCTTGATAAATAGTATTCTTTACCTTCACGAACTTTCCCAGCCTCTCTTTGTTGTAAGTGGATCTCAATGTGTGGATATAAACAAACACCCCCACCTCACTCCCACATACACTGCTATCAAAGTGATCTTTCAAAAAACAAATTTGATCATGCTTAAAATGTTCCCATGAGTCCCCATAATGTTCATGATAAAATTCACATCGTTATTTATCAGAGACCATCATGACCTGGATAAAGGTGTCTTGTTGCCTTATCTATAAAATACGGGAAAAATAGGGTTAATGTGCAGATCACATGAGTTAATAAGCAAAGTGCTTAGAGCAGGTCTTGGCATATAGAAAACACTGATCAAAGTTAGCTACATTTTAAATTTATCATTAACTATCTGTTCTAGTTCTCTGGCACTTTTGTTCTTATGGTCCTGCTGTGCCCAACCATCACATTCCTCTAACACACCCAATTTCATGCCTCCATGTCCAAGCACATACTGTTTTTATGTTGTCTCTCTCTCTCTGCCTAGATATCTTCTCTTTCCTCCAGGAAACTTTGCATGACTCCACATTCTAATTGGGAAGTCTCTGCTCCATGTTCCCAGAGTACCCTGTGCATCTGTCTACCGTATCAGTTATAGCACTGTTTGACCCTCTTCTACACTACATATTTATAACTTATTCATCTTTGGTTTTCAACACCTGGTACCAAGCTTGGAACCTTGTTTGTTCAGATAACCAAGTCTATAAGTATTATCTATATTTAATGCTCTTTTATGAGAGTTTTGAAGAAGAATCCAAAAGGATTTACTATGAGTTAAGTGTCAGGGCTCCATTGCTGGAGATTTCTTTTTATCTATTTTGCCTCTTTAGAAAATTACTCAACTAAATATCAAATGATATAGATTGCAACTCTATTTAAGTACAATCTAATAACTATCTGGATAGTTATTAGAACAATATGCAGTTCAAGTAAAAATGAATCCATTTTACTCTAGATTTTGAGTTATCATAGCAGGTGATCACAAAACAAGTCAGTTGCTATCTTATTTTACTTGCCTTCATGCAAATGGATTTTAGCAACCTAATCACTTATTGTAATATACAATTTGAAATTACTAAAACTAGAGCCACCTCAGAGTTTCTTTCCCTAAAAAGGCAGGATATAAATAAATGCAATAAACAAAACATTAAAAATGATATCACAAAAATTTATTTCATCAGCTTCTATGCCCAGATCTAGAAGTAATGCAGGACTAAACATAAATGGATATACTTCTTTGCTCTATTTTCTTTATATAAACTTAAACAGAAAATAAATGCCAAGCTGACTCATCATATTCAGTTACAATGTAAATAACATGACGTAATAAAAATAATAACAAGTGTATCTGTCAAATAAAGGCACTGCATTGTCTTTTTCTACTGTTAGCAATCCTACCTTTTAGAAAGCAAGTCATATTCATGTAAAATCATCAACAGATTTTCTACAATGTTGAGTTCACTTATCTTCTCCCTACATTCTTGACTATAAATTGAAAAATATTAGCAATTACTAAAAGCATATTTTGCTAGATCCATGTATTAGTCCTTTTTCAAACTGGTATAAAGAACTGCCTGAGACTGGGTGATTTATAAAGGAAAGAGGTTTACTTGACTCACAGTTCAGCATGGCTAGGGAGGCCTCAGGAAACTTACAGTCATGGTGGAAGATAAAGGAGAAGCAAGGCACCTTCTTCACAAGGCAGCAGGAAGGATAAGTGCCGAGCCAAGGGGGAAGAGCCCCTTATAAAACCATCAGATCTCATGAGAACTCACTCACTATCATGAGAACAGCATGGAGGAAATGGCCCCATGATTCAATGACCTCCACCTGGTCTCTCCCTTGACATGAGGGAATTATGGGGATTACAGGGATTACAATTCAAGATGAGATTTGGTTGGGGACACAAAGCCTAACCATATAAATTTATTTATTTAATATCCTAGCTCCAATATTATCTTGGGAGAAGAGATCAAAAAACAAAAGGAATCATATGTTATTCACAGAAAAGCAATGGTCCACTTATTGTCATAAAAACATTTAAAATAATCATGACATTTATAAGAGGAAAGATCTTCTTGAAAATTTTTCAAAGCCCACAGATGTTTGAAAACGTTCTGTATGTTAAAATTCACAGGTAAGAATGAATTAAGATGGTCAGAAAGATTCAACTGCCAAAGAAATATTATGGTAATTTTGAAATTAGAAGTAACTGAGGGTTAGATGAAAAGACTAAATATTTCCAGTCAGGAAATAAAAAGAAAATTTTAAACTGCAATTTGCCTTTCCAGTTTAAATTTTTAAATAATGCCTTCTATCCAGGATTCTCTTCAACATGTTATTTCACACTTATTTATCAAGAAATTGTATTAAGTAGTTGACAAAGTAACTGATTATTTTGCATCCTTACCACCTAAATTGCTATAGTAGCAGAACTGGAAAGTATATTAGAATACACTACTTACCTTTCTGCTAAACTAGCCAGAGCCAGAAGGGAACCCAATAGAACATTAGTATCTCGGGCACCAAGTAAATTTACTAATGTCTGAAAAATGAAGTAAAATAAAGTTTAATTATATAAGTACTACAAGCTTCTTTTTTCAACATTAACATTAATTTATTTTCCATTACCAGCTGCTTGAATGACAAAATGCTTCCCTCTTAAGATCATATAGGCTTAACTGTTTTTTTTTTTTGCTTAGTAGTTTATAATGTATGTGCATATACAATTAAGCACAAACTATATATAATGTTAAAGCTGCTCTCTCTTATGTTTTTTTCTTAATGTTATCTACTGAAATTTTTTCATGGCATTAAATATATCTTTATAAACACTTTTTGTCAATATAATCAAGTTGTTTATTTTATTATGGCTTTACCCATAGAATAGTGAAAAAAATTATGCCCTATCAAGCCTTATGCAGCTTCCTTTTTATTTTTTGCAGTCAATATAAAAGTTTATCTTAAAAAGAGTTTTATTAAACATTCAAAATATCCAGTTCTTTACAGATGGCAGGAGTCCATCTCTCCTTACTTTGGAACTCTTGATAGTAACCTCTTGTAGCCATTCCTTGCCCAGGACAGGAAGAAAAGGCATCAAGCTACATGACCAGCCTGGTTCTCATACATCCTTCTATTTCCATGTGCCCAAGTATTCTCTCCCCCTTCTGATCCCACGCTGGGAAGAACCAGGAAGATTAATGACATAAATTACAATAGTGGTAGTGATCAGCCATTGAGAACTCACTTTGAGCCAGGCATTGTGCTAGGCACTTTCCAAATTATGAAACGATTTTTCAACAAAATATTGAAACTTTCATTCTTTTGCCAAACTAAACAAGATATGAATACTATCGAGCATTCCATTTGCCTCCCAGATTTCTAATTGATGTTGAAAGTGCATCACTGATGCTCCCAAGCATCATCCTAACTAACATGACTTAGCTGGAAGTCTGTAGCTTGTCAGTGGCTTTCCCTGAATTCTCGTTAAGGCAAATTTTCTTATTTGGAAAATTCTCTACATTTTCAGAATGCGGAGTGCCCCTGAAAAGTGCCTCCCAAAATGTCTCAGGTCAGAGCTGCAACCTGCGCAACAACGGCTAAGGTAATTTTTATGTTTCCAGTATATGGATTTTTTGCCTTTATGATTTCATTTTATCTTAATGAAGTTATCATTATCTTTATTTGTCTGATCCTTTCCTCTTTTTCTTCTCTCTTTCTTCTCTGTCTTCTAATGTTTCCCAAACTTCAATCCATTACATATCATTTTCACATTTTTTGCCATATTCAACTAACATCTTTAATGTTAACTCAAAAAAATTTTTTCCAATTGTAAGCAATAATACCTGTGAAATAGCTGGCTACTGAAACAAAAAATGTTGACCTGTGTATCACCTAGAATCATCCTCTAGACCATGAGCAGCATGTGTTAACACATTTTAGGCAATCTTGCTCCCATATACACTAGAAAGTGGCTTCCCGGGATATGAAACTCAACAGGTTTCTGAAACTTGGCTCCACATGGCTACAGTCTAAACAGTTTTGCTATAAATATAGTCTGTTTTGACCTACAATGGCAATCATATATGGTTCAAACTAATATAGCCCCACATGCCATATGGAATTTATATGTATACATATGTACATTTTGTTTATTTCTGTTGACTTATTTATAAATGCACACCTAGGGTGTATTTATACATAGCTGGGGCTTTTCAAATAATATTTAAGTAATAAACCTAGTTGGTATTAAATGGCATAGGAAAAAAAAGAAAAGAGTTCCAGAAAACTTGTATTTATTATATCTCTATTAACTTGTAATGCTGGTAAAGAATATAAAAGGGTTGACAAAGATCCACAATCTCAGGCCAGGCTGGTAGGTTTGTGGATTCTAATTACACATGACTTAACCGCAAAGGCTCTGAACTTCCCTAATGTGAACTATTGCCATAGGGAGCTGAAGCATTAACTCTTTCAGGGGCCACTCACCTTGTGGGCTCCACTTGTGGTGACCCATTCTCTTTGATCTTTGACTGCAGCAAGTTTTTGAAAAATATCTATAAAGGAAAGAAAGAGCGCAAAGAGGCATCCAGAGATTAAAGGGGGAGTACTTCCAGGAGCACAGATCTGCAGTGCATATGGGCAGGCAGAGAAAGGTCAAAGGGAACACAGCACAAAAGGAACAACAGATGCAGGAGCAGCATGGCTACTTTTTTACCCCAAGAATTACTCCTCAAGCTCCACTGGTATTTATTTTCTAATATTATTGTAATAATGAAATATAAAAATACCAAAAAAGGCAAACCTCTCTTTCCACTTGAAGTTCCTTAACATCATTACCAGTTCAAAGTGAGGCCTATTCTTCAAAGATCCTCTCTGTGAAGATTTCAACTTATAAAGAAGAGAGGGAAGGCCAGCAAATGAGAGGAACCTGCACGTTTCCTCAGCTGAGGAAAATAGTCATCCTCAAAGAGACTTCCTAGTGCCCAGGGCTTGCCATAAACTCTTCTCTCCCTGGATCTGAGAATCACTGTGCTGCTCCACAAGCAGATATGAAGAGCCAGTCCAGTCACACAAAGAAAACGGACAGGCATCCCACACGGCAGGACGTCTGTGACTCATCAAAGCTGGAGTGCAGGACAGCAGGGCTGGGAAGAGCCTCCAACGGGAGAAGATTGAGTGACTAAGGAATACCTCACACTCACAGTCCAATGTTTTCACATTCGCAGCATCAGATAAGGTTTGTTGTTATTTTTCTTTTTCATGCTCTGGATGTTTCAGATTCTATGAGGTAGGCAATCATGATTAACCCAACTTTATAGAAAAAAAACTGGATAGTCTCTGACATTTTAACAGAAATAAAAAGACGCAAAAATAGATTTTACCAAAATTTGCTTTTATGGAAGCCTCTCTTGCATTAAATAAATTGTGCTTTTCAAGGTAAAGGTTGTAATCTAAACATCTTTCTTCTGGCTGTATGTTGCCACTGAATATAACAATTGGCCTGGATGCTCAACACCTGAGCTGTGTGTGCGAACATTAATAAATATTTAAAGTATCCTTGTTTCCTGCTGCAAACACCATACTGCTTTTTCTAGCAAGTCCACAAAAATGGCTGTGTCCCTGCAATAACACTTACATGTCATGTTGACCAGCTTGTCCACAGTGTGCTGCTCTTCTCCATAGCCGAGGTACTCATTGGCTACAATCTCCATATACTGCATGAAGGACCAAACCAACAAGCCAGTCAGGACACCAAAAGCACCCAAGGAAGCAAGGAACAAGATGCTGCAGTTCTTAAAATAAACTGTAGGTGGCAAAACAGATTCATCAAATAATACTCTCATGCTCCTGGAACAGTTATCGCTCAAGTGCAAAAGGTGACTGGGTTTCTAGATTCTTTGGCTTCTCTTGCGTGCTATGAAGTTGAGGGAAAGACCATCTCAAGACTCTATAAACTCTCAAAAGTCTCAAAATGACTCTTAACTAAGTAAGTTTGTTGTGTAATTTAGTATCCAAATACAAGATACATATAAGATACATAATACATAGTATATAGAATGTTTATTCTTCAATGTATCTTTTTAGGAGAATTTTTTATAATACATTGTATATATTTTACTGACGTATATAAGCTCTGAATATATGTCTAACCAGCATACATGCAGTTAGCAATAATCAGAATAAAATGCGTACTGAGTAGTCTGATAATTCTCACTGTGGATAATGATTATAATAAGAAACAGGCTCAGGGAAACAGGTAATTTCTAATATTATAATGGAAGTTAAAATGGATAAGAAGATGCTTTGTAACATAATCTTATGAAATATTAAGTTATTAAATGAGGTACACCTCTAGTCAATTTAAAAGGTTCTTGAAAACAAAAAATAAACATGAATCAATTTTCTAAGAATATAATAAAATAAAGTAGATTTAATGTTAAATTGCCACCAACTTAATCTTCCATTAATTATTCAGAATGAGTTTGCAGGGCCACATGTTTATTATGAAAATCATTCTTTCTGTAAACATTATACAGGTTTTAGGAGACTAGCCTGTTCCAACTCAAAAACGTGATCAGAAATTTTGTTTTATTCCAGCCTGGCCAACATGGTGTAACCCTGTCTCTACTAAAAATACAAAAAAAAAAAAAAATGATCCGGGCATGGTGGCGCATGCCTGTAATCCCAGCTACTTGGGAGACTGAGGCACAAGAATCACTTGAACTTGGGAGGCAGAGGTTGCAGTGAGCTGACATCACACAACTGCACTTTAGCCTAGGTGACAAAGTGAGACCCTATCTCAAAAAAAAAAAAGAAAAAGAAAGAAAAAGAAATTTTGTTTTATTGTATTAATAAATGCAAGCCTCTGAGTTGCTCAGTATATATATTCACTTGCTTACCCTCGCTCAGTAGTTAGCAAAGCAGAAAAATAAATAAGGTCAAGATCATTCCTTTCTTTGTCATCTATTTATTAGTATTTTAGTGAGCACAGTAATCATTTTCTTGTTTGAAAATGTTTTGAACATCTTCATAATCAGTTTATTATCTTGCCAGGCCCAGTGGCACACACCTGTAATCCCAGCTACTCAGGAGGCTGAAGCAGGAGGATTGCTTGGGCCCAGCATTTTGAGACCAGCCTAGGCAACATAGTAAGACACCGTTTCAAATATATATGCATATATATATACATATTTCTTTTCCTCCCACCATATGGTATATACAATGCTAAGGGCTTCAGCCTTCCAGCCATCGCCCCTTTTGTTGTTGTGAGGCGGAGTTTCGCTCTGTTGCCCAGGCTGGAGTGCAGTGGTGCAACTTCAGCTCACTGCAACCTCCGCCCCCCAGGTTTAAGCAATTCTCTGCCTCAGCCTCCCGAGTAGCTGGGATTATAGGCACCTGGCACCATGCCTGGCTAATTTTTGTATTTTTAGTAGAGACGGGGTTTCACCATGTTGGCCAGGCTGGTCTCAAACTCCTGACCTCAGGTGATCCACCCACCTCAGCTTCCCAAAGTGCGAGGATTACAGGTGTGAGCCACCGCACCTGGCTGCCTATTTCTTATTATTACTAGCTAAAGACATGTGACCTTTTATAGCACTTTCTCATTTCATCAGGCTGAGTAAAGTGAGCCCAATTAGCCAGAACAAAATGTGGTGGGTTCCTCCCTGCTCTGTGAGTATCATGCCTCACACTCACACTTAACGCTGTCTGTCCCTCTCTGGGGCAGACAGCATAACATAGGAAAGCCACCTTCTGTCACATACCCTTTTAATTCTTGCTCATAGCAGGCACAAAATGAAAAGGCAAGACCAGCCACCACAAAAGGAATCTTACCTGAGCTAGGTTTTCAATCCCACCCAAGCTATGGAGTATTTCCTAATAAAATAAAAGCAACAAAACACATGTAAATGATGAGGGTGGAGGGGGAAGTATATTTTACATGCAATTTCTTTACTAAGTTGTCATATTTATAATTATATTGTGAAGGTCTACATTCTAATATAAATACGGAAAACTTACAGTATGTCATTCATACTACCTTTAAAATAAACTATTAATAAATATGAAAGTTGGGTTGAGATCAAGAGAATAAATCTGTGCTCAGAACCGCAGCCTGCCCCTTCATTCTTCTTAACTCCTCCTGTGTCATCATAAAATGTTCGAGTTGAGAAGAGCCATTAGACACCATTTCATTCAATATTCTCATGTTACAGATGAGGAAAACCAAGACACAGAAAGAAAACCATTTTGCATAACTGACGAACCTGGATGAGTTCATCACCAAACTCCAAGAACCCTCCGCTAGGTCTCTGCCTAGTGTCCATGAACCAGCAGCACCCTCATTACCTGGGAGCTGAACAGAAATGCAGAATCCTGCACCCACCCCAGACCTACTCAATCACACTCCGTTTCAACAAGATCTCCAGGTCATACGTACGTACAGTACAGTTTGGGAAGCATTGCTCTAGGACAGAAAGAGTTTCTCAAAATTATTAGATGAATGATCTTATTAGACCCATGCTCTAAATAAATGTAAAGATAATTTTTGACAATGTCTCCTGATACAGGACTTTAAATTGTGAAATGGACCAGCCTAGAGATCTACTAATAGTAAGTGCTCTTAGGTTAGCCACATTGTCATTTATCTATAGACAAATATTCTCAGGTGGCTTTAACCTGCTTAATTACATCTGTATTGACATCTCTCTCCTTACTTAACATGCCCACAAGGAAGTTATTTGAAACATAAACAAGAGCCATAATTTCAATTCTGGGAAGTGCACAGGGACGAGTACATGAGCGTGGGAGAGAACAGTCTAGTTCTCCCATGAAGCCAGTGAGTGGGCAGACTGGGAAAAGGCACAGGGGCCTTTTTCTCTCAAGGCCTCCTGGGTCAAGGTTTCCATACTCTGTATAAAGTGAACTTGGAAATACTGAACACACTTACATCTAAATTAAATTTTAAAAGAACATTTAGAACTCAATTAAAAATAGTTCTATGACTACCTACTAATTTGAAGCCTCATCAATGCTATTCACTCTAGAAGAGCTATAATTAAAGAGCACGAGAATATTGTACATATGATCTCTATTTATGGTAGGAGGTTTTGTACACATAAAAATTAAAATAACATTTAAAACCAGTTATATTTATTCAACAAACATTTTTTCCATTCCACCTATGTAAAATCCTTGAGTTAGGCTCTGGAGACACACATATGTAGATGGCAGGAGTGCTCTTTGCTGAGCTGTAAGCAAGCATAAGGTGGGTATACAAACAACTAGAACTTAAGACAGAACGAGATAAGTGTTAAAAGTAAATTATACATGCAGTGTTACGAGGCGCCAGAATAGAGACACCTCATTCCTGCTGAGAGGACTAAGAGACACCTCATGTGGGTGGTGGTCTCTAAATGGGGACTGGAAGGATGGATGGATTTGCCAAGTAAAGATCGGGAAGAGGTGAAAATAAAGGAGATTCCAGCAAAGAGAATAGGAGGCTCAAAGGTGAATAGAAATTGTGCAGACAAAACATCAAGACATGCTGTAATTCCGAGAGAAGCAGTTCCGTAACTCCATGGAGGGCATTACTGGGAAAAAATGTTAGAAAATTAGGGTGGATTCACACTGTGGGAGGACTTAGATGTGAGCCTGAATTTGAACGTTTTCATGCAGACCGTGATACCCAATGAAAACGTGTGAGCAAGGGACTGGCCAGAATTAGCTGTGGGGACTTCCTTCTAGTCATAAAATGAACTGGAGATGGGGAGCGTATCAACTGGGAGCTCAGGTGGGGGTCAGTGACAGCAGGAGTAAGAATGGAGAGAAAGGGGTAGTATTTGAAGCGATATGATCAACGGAACATGAAGAAAGATTGGAAGAAAAGAAGCAAAGTCAAAGACATCAGTCTATTTAAGTGGGAGTGGCTGGGCACAATGTCATAATTAACTAACACAGGGGGAGAGAAAGGAATAGGCTGAGATAGAGCAGAGGACTCTATTTTGGACATACTGCAGTGCCGCAGGCCCAGGTGAAAAAAATACAACAGGCCACAGAAAATGAGGTGAGGGCAAAAGACTAAAATCTGGGAGTTATTCACATGAAGGAGATTCATCTGAAGCTTGGGAGTGGGAAGACACCAAGGAAGAGAATAATGTTTAAATGGTCATGGTAATGTTATTTTTAAATGTTTGCCATGACAATAAATTTATTCAATAATTTTGATGATATGGGACTAACTCAATGTTTCCTAAACCATGTCCTGGAAACAGTCATTTTATTTTGTGCAGTGGATGGAATTAGGCATTCTACCAAAAAAAGAAAAAAGAAAAAAAAAGAAAAGAGAGAGAGACAGAGAGAAAGAGAGAGTTTTATTGTCCAATCAGCTTGGGAAATGTAAGGTAAAACAGATTTAACAAATTCTCTATCTCAGGACTCTTTGGCGCTGCTGAGCACTATAAGTCTCTAAAAGAAGAACTAGTGTGCAGCTTTTTCTAAACATCCCTAACCAAAGCACACTTCGTTTCCCAGGACACGTATTACTCCTGTGGAATAAAGTTTGAGAAGTGCTGCTATAGAGTAGAAGAATGAGAAAGACGCTTACTCCCTCTTAGAGAATTTTGTCATTATGTTATGTACTCAAGAATTTAACCTTCATTTATGAAATGAATATTTTCCCTCCATGCTCCCATGGAAAGTGGAGCAAGGCCAGGAGATTGCTCACAGACCCTGGTCTTCCTTGCATTTCCTTTCCTTATACCAACAGGACTGTACTAACCTGAGAGTGTAAACTAAAGAAAACCATGACTACAAGGTATGTATACACATGGGCTTAACACTTCTAGTTACTGACCTGAAAAGCAAATATGACTGCAAGCTTAGATTACAGCAATGCGCCCTGTGTGCCCTTTTAGCCCTCAGCATCTTTCACTTGTCACAGGCCAGAGGGCCATAAAACTGGTTTCTATATTTCTGAGTCTAATGACTTGGAGAAAGTTCCCTGGGTAATCTGAACTTTAGTTCAATCTGTAAACTGTGAACAATGTCCTTCCTAAGCTTACCCCCTGAATTGTTCCTTTTTTAAAAAAAATAGACTCAATAATATAATACTGGTAAAAAGTATGTTTTTAAGAATGGAGCACATTTTGCCAATATATTTTTATTACAGCCAAAACTGTCATTTCCATTTAGGGCTCTCATCCTAAGCCTACGTGGCAACTAAATCAATGAATGCTGAACACACTGCATAACTTTTAACACTGAATCACTGACATGACCATTTACTCCTCTGTTCAAAAATCATCAGTGGCTCCATAAAGTTTATTTATTTATTTATTTATTATTTATTTATTTATTTTGAGACAGAGTCTCCCTCTGTTGCCCAGGCTGGAGTGCAGTGGCGCGATCTTGGCTCACTGCAAGCTCCGCCTCCCGGGTTCACGCCATTCTTCTGCCTCAGCCTCCCCAGTGGCTGGGACTACAGGCGCCCGCCACCACGCCCGGCTAATTTTTTCTATTTTTTAGTAGAGACGGGGTTTCACCGTGTTAGCCAGGAAGGTCTCGATCTCCTGACTTCGTGATCCACCCACCTCGGCCTCCTAAAGTGCTGGGAGTACAGGCGTGAGCCACCGCGCCCAGCCAAAGTTTATTCTTTGGTTATGATTTTAATGCCCCTCTGTGGACTGGCCTTTACCTATCTTTCTAGGTTTGGAACAGTAACCACTCTTCTAAAAGGTTTGGTATACTCGATTTGTAGGAGGATGAGAAAAAAGGAAATACAAGAGATACTTCTAAAGTTTTCTACCGTAAGTCTGACAAAATATGGTGCCATTAAAAGAATCAGGAATTGATTCCAAAAGTTCAAGGATGAGGGGAAGAATTGAAGAGCTCCATTATAAAGTTATTGAGTATAATATGCTACAATTGCTGTTCTCAAAGTTTTGGTCTCAAACCCCTTTACACTCTTAAAAATTACTGAGAACCTCAAAGAGCTTTGTTTACATGGGTTAGAATGTATCTGTTTATATTTATTGTATTAGAAATTAAAAGTGAGAAATTTTTAAAACATAAGAATACACAAGTACACATGTTCCATCAGCTGCCAGGGCCATGATGTCATGAGATGTTGTGTAGCTTAGGGAAAATCCCACAGCACACATGTAAGAGAGTGACAAGACAAATAACATCACTGAGAATAATTTAGCATCGTGTTGAAGATAGCTTTGATCTTGTGGAATCCCTGAAAGGGTTTCAGAGACCTGTAAACTGTACACGGGCCCACACTTTGAAAACCATTATGCTACTGTGTCATCAAGGTGGTTGTCTAACATGTCTCTGGAAACTTGGGACTTAAAGGGGAAAGTTTGAGGCTGTAGATATGAACTTGTGAACAAACAGCAACAACAAAAAGATAGTTGAAGCCAAGAGCTTGGAAGATATGGGAGAAGACAATAAAGAAAAAAAAAACTTTGGGGAAGGTTATTTAGGAAGACAAGGTTAAGAATAGGAACGTGTAAATAATACCCAAAAAATGCTGAATAAATGCTAGAGGTTCTCAGGATCAGTACAGGCAAAGAGAAAACGTGGTACAGTGTGTCTCCTGCTAAAAACAGGTTGGGGAATGTAAGGGCTGAGAGAAGTCTACTCAATCGCACTATTTTTTATTATTGTTTCTAACATAATTACAATTCAGGATCTTTTAAGGTTTTCTCTTTATCTTTGATAAGCAATGTGCTATGGCTTCACTATAATGAATCCAGGTGAACATTTATCTTTATCCTGCTTGGGACTCGAGCTGTAACTGAAATCTCAATACGTGTCTTCGTTTAATTCTGAAAAACTCTAAACAATTATATCTTCAAAATGGCTTCTCTGTCATTCCTTCCAGTCTTTCCTGGCTGGAACATTCACTAAACATATAATGGAAACTGTACTAGCAGGAAAGATCCAGTCTACAAGCCACCAGTTTGCAACCTCTGAGTCGAAGAATGAGGACTGCAGCATGGCCCAGTGTGGTCTATTTAAATGGCTTCCAGAGAGAACCTTGTACATAGAATTCAATGTGCAAGTTATGCAATACATCAGTCCTGGTGGAAAGGAACTGGATTCAGGAGACAGCCTGACCTTTCAAGAAATATAGTATGAAAGTAGGAGGAGGACTTGAAGGAATAGCTGGGTCAAGAGAAGGACATTTTTATGATAAGGAAAAATAGAGAGCGGGTAGAAGGGAAAGCCTTGGCCAGGAAGAGGAATATTACTTCTGAAATATGAGGGAAGTAGAGTTGCGGGATAACCCAAATATTTCAAACAAAAAGAGAAAATAAGATAGCTCCCACTGGGATGGCCTTGGGCTTTCCTGTAAAACAGAGGATGATATAATTTGATGAGAATAATGGGGGCAGGAGAGGGTTTGGCTGAGAAAAGTGAAGATGGCTTGGAAGAGCCGCTATGGACCCTGCAGTACTGACTGAACAAGAGAGGAAAGGAACAGATACCCATGAAAAAGGCATGCTGAGAGCCACTGGCGTAAGTCGCAAGTTGTAGTAAACCCCAGCATAGCTTTGTGACTTCAGCCAACAATTCTTGGCACCTCAAGATGTTAAACAACTGCCTGAGCACGTGGTCTTCTGTGTGGAAAGAGTGCCAGGGAGGACAGACTCGGAGATAATTCCCTTCTATGGAAAGGCTGGCCAGCAGGACAATATTCGTTTAATATGTGTCTTGGTCACAAAATCTCATAAAGTCGTCTCTGAGTTTTTTCCTTCAGAGGGCAATACAATCAACCCTGTTCAATCCACCCAGAATGAGATTAAAAAAGACAGAACTTCAGATGGGAGATCAGCAGAGTAAGACACTCTTATCAACAGATTTTCTGAACAAACAGAACATCTCTAGGACAAATATTTGCTAGTTCAAGTCAGATTAACTGGACCTTCCTCCTGGAAAACGTTATTAATATTACACATATAATGTTTTCATCTAAACTGAGACACATTGGAGAATAAAAGACGGCACTATGAATAATTAAGTGGGAACAGTAAGCACATAATAAGACTGATCCAGGCAAAAGGAAACTTATGGCCCATGCTCATTTATACATGACCCAAACTGAATTGCGATAAGCAGCTCAGAAATGCATGGAACACACAGTTCTGTATGGTTGGTCACAGGAAAATAAGGATGCTTACCTACCCAGAAAACTGTGAGCAACAAGGACAGAAAGCCATTTCAAGGATGCCCTGGCTCACATATCCAAAGGGCTGTGGTTAGCTAAATTACAATAGCACGAGGCCAGTTTAGAATACAGTATGAGGAAGAGGACGATTCTTCTAATGGAAAGATGTGTAGTGCCCATGAATCCCAGAAGAGTCCAATCAGAGTAGGCTCTGTGGCTGGTTGGTACCAAAATACTTTCTCAAATGCCAAATATGGAAAAGATGGTTACTTCTGAAATACGAGGGAAGTAGAGTTGCAGGATAACCCAAATATTTCAAACAACAAAGAAAAAATAAGATAGCTCCCACTGGGATGGCCTTGGGCTTCCCTGTAAAACAGAGGATGGTTACTTTTCCAAACTTGGCACTTAAAGGAAACATATTCTGACTCAAATAACAATTCATCAATAAAATCGAGTTCAAAATTAAAGGTGTGAGCTTCCTAGTAGCTTACGAGGGCAGGGCATAAAAGGAGACACTTTTTCAGTTAAAAAAAAAAAAGTGTTAAGTAAGCTTTTCTTTAGAGCCTCACAGCTAAAGCACTATGTCTTTGCTACTCAAAGTATGGGCCATGAACTAGTAGCAATAGCATCCCTGGGAAACTTGTTAGAAATGAAGAATCTTGTTTATACATACTGAGTCAGATTCTGCATGTACAAGATGTCCAGGTGATTCCCATGCACATTAAAGTTTGAGAGGCACTAAAAACAGAGGCCAGGCATGGTGGTTCATGCCTGTAATCCCAGCACTTTGGGAGGTAGAGGCAGGCAGATCACCTGAGGTCAGGGGTTTGAGACCAGCCTGGCCAACATGGTGAAACCCCATCTCTACTATAAATGCAAAAATATTAGCCGGACATGGTGGCACGTGCCTGTAGTCCCAGCTACTCAGGAGGCTAAGGAGGGAGAATTGCTTAAACCTGGGAGGTGGAGAGTGCTAGGATTATAGGCGTGAGCCACCATGCCCAACCAGGAAAAGATTCTTGACCTCAGTGCCCTCCTTTGGGACAAGCAGGAGGCTCCTTGCTCACCTCTAGCTCAAATTTGACTCTAGAGGTTGGGAAGGGATTGACCCTGGAGCAGCTAGTAAAGCTCCATTGGCTGCCTCTCAGCCACATGAGCAGGCCATCACTCATCACTGCTGACTTTGACCTAGGGAGCTGCTTGGCCTTGAACATGTTTGAAGATGTGGCCAAGTGTATACCTCCTTGAATGGTAAATGGTTTAAAATGCCAAATAGCAAAGAAAACATAGACCAAAAAGTTCAATCCACTTAATCCCATAAGTAATACAACAGAAATACACAAATTTTTGGTCCCCATTAAAGCGCTCCTCTCAAATCTTTTTAAATAGTAGATGAGACATTCCCCATATATGGAAGCTATTGAGTTGTGAGAGAGAAAACAAAAAGTAAACATGGACTACTTCAAAGAAAAGCCCACCAGTCTTTTATTACAACTTTATAACAAGTAAAAAAAAAAATTGTATTTTTCCAACCAACCTGATAACATGGATCCCTCATTAGTAGCCTCAGACAGATTAACACTCTCAGAAAATGAATAGATGGGGCTCGATTAACCCACTCTCTGAAAGAAGAAAACAAGAGAACATGTTCACGTTTAAAATCCCAGTGTGGCAATTCATAAAAATGCAAGGCTATGAAGGAGTATAAAGAACGCACTAAGCACTTAGTTAATTTGCACTGGGGACTGTTATTTGGTACTTGAACACTTGACTCATTTTAATTCAAAACACATTTAAACTATCTTTTTCAGTGTGGAGGAGAGGCCCCCCCCAAACTTATTTGGTTCATGCCACCACCCTTACTGACTCAGTAATATTTCATAGTACCCTAAGATCAAACGAAAGAGCTAAATGTTCCAAAATTTAGGTAGGTCTAACTTGGTAAGAATTTACGCCATAACCAATTGGTATCCACTTGAAAAAATAATACATTACATCAAAAGATTATTTTCATAACCACACTTACTTATTAATGGGGGTGTGTGCATTAGTGGAAACAAAACAACTTCTCAAGCCTGGGAATCAGTTTGGACTTCACCATCTTTGTTTTCTCTTCCCCCTTTCATAGAGTACTTGTTTTTTTATCATAGCAACCACTGAAAACTCAGCTTCTGAAAGATATACCATCAGCTAAAGGAAGGCAGGATGACCTAACATTGAAATCACAAACTGCCTTCAGTTGTTCATGCTGTATCTGATGGATGTTGAGTAGCACTGAGGGTGTTTTTGGTTTTGTTTTTTAGAAAATTGAAAATACCTCACAGTGTCCCCTGGGAGTTCTCTGCAGCCCTGAGGCAGTTTGGTGCTCAGTTTGGGAAACACAGGGATAAAGTATTTTTTTAGATTAGTTTCCCCAGAAGCAGACCCTGAGATGAAGATTAGTGTGTGCAAATTAATGACTGAAAACATGCTCTCAGGAGAGGCCAGTAAGAGAGTGGGAGAAACAGGAAAGGGAAGAGGAGAAATCCAAGCAAGGGTATCACATCAGCCAAAATCTCCCCTCAATCCGAACAGTGGGGCTCTGGAATGTAAGTTACTGCTCAGAGTTGTCCCATACTGAGGCAAGGGCACTGGGCTTTTCTACACTACTGAAGCTGTTGCCATTCGCTAAGAGCTGCAGGAGGGACTGATGGAGCATTCCCAGACACTCCCACTGGCTCTCTGTGCCTGCAGGCAAGGTAGACTCAAGGAACCTGAGGGTGGTTGGTGCAAGTGTTGTTGGACAGGAAGGTGCCAAAACCAAAAGGGTGAGAACGGGAGGATTCTGGGCAAAGCACCAATACTACCCTACAGTTCTATAGTGAGATTCAGCAGAACCCTTTGAAATCAAAGTCACAGTCACTGGAGAAGTCATATTATGACAGAAACTGAAGGTGTATTTGCCACAGGTCTGTTCAGAGGGGGGAAAAAAAAACCTGGATTTTTACTTCAAATATTGAATATAGCCAATATCCAAAATACCATCATCAGATTTCTAAAGAACTATTTAACTTAAAAGTATCACTTCAATGTCATCAAATGCTACAAGTATTCACTCAACTACCTTTTGAGAGGCTTTCAAAAAGTATGTTTCTTTAGCAAAGAATGATTTAGTTGCATCCTTCAAAGGTCTTTAAAATAAGGACAATTGCAATTTTGCAATGTTTTTGAAAGAAGCCAGACACTAATCAAATTCAGAGGTGGTCACAAGGCCTTGCACCCAGCAGCTAGCAGCTACTCAAATATATATGGATGACCAATTCTCTGATTTAAACCAGTGTGGTAAAGGTAGGCACATTTTAGGCACCTCTCACTTAGATTTAAACCTAAGGGAGCATATCAGTCAAGGCAGAATCCCTCCACTGTCATGCCTCTATGAGCTCAGAAGGTGAGGTTAGCTTAGAAGTAGGAAGTCAGGGTAGGGATAGTCTATGCTCTTTGGTGACACCCACATCCCTTCCTGACCCTGCTGGGCCACTGTGAACAATTTCTATTTTGTCGCTCAGCTGTCCCACATCCAGTTATAGCTAGTAGTAAATGCAGTCAAAATGTTAAAGCTTTTCAGTCAGCTCCTAATGTTGCTTCATAGGCCATAGAACGTGCACAATGCAAGGTGCATTTCACATCAGTTGTTGAGGATACTTGTACCCAAAGAGTTGGAGCAACAGAGCCCAGACTGAAACTAGAACCCATGGCTTCCTGAATCTCAGTTTGATAGTCAGCATGTCTGAAATTGACTTCATGAACTCCCCCTCAAGCCTGATCCTTCCAGTCATCTAGGTAACCAGACAGAAACCCTTGGTGTTTTTCTTGCCTCCTCTATTTCCCTCACATTCTTTGCCAATTCCTCAGCAAATCCTGTCTGCTCTACCTTTAAAATATCTGCCTCCACAACCTATCCACTTCTCACTATTTCCTCCACCACCACCCAGGATCAAGCCACCACCATCTTTTGCTTGAGCCATTGCAAAAGCCTCCTATCTGGCATCTTTGCTTCCAGCTTTGCCCCTTCCTTTACTCTCTCACATCTGCCAAGATGATTCTTTACAAACACAAGTCCATTCACGTCACTCCTCAGCCCAAATCCTCCAACAGACCCCATCTCGTTCAGAATAAAAACCAAAGTCCATACCATGACTCATAGGCCCTCCAGGGCCTGGCCTCCCCATTACACCTCTGGCCTCATGTCTTTCCACTGCCCCTTGTTCACTCCCTCCCAGTCATGCTGACCTTCTCATTACATGGCTGGGCCAAGGTCCAGTGCCTAAGGTGCTTCCCATGAAAGCCTTTTGTGGCTTTTCAACACTGGAACCTCATAAAGAATTTGAAAGATGTTCTCCATGATATGAGGCCAGTCACCTGCAGTTGTTCTAACCACAGTGTATGTTGTGCAGAAGTGGCCAACACAGCACAGACTGAACTCCTGAGGTGAGAAAGAGAGGCTGAGTGCTGCCATGCACTGGAACTTGGAAACAGAAGGTGGTCCTGGCCAGGTGACACTTGCTCACACTGCCCTTCAAGCTAGTTCCATAGTGGTGCTTGGTGCACACGTTAACAAAAGCCTAAAACACAAAGCATCTTCTATTTCATACTCAGCCAAGAAAAAGCGAGGGAGATAATGGAAGCTATTCTAGACTAGAATCTATATAATTTCTCCCACATCTCCCACCTCCACAGCTGAGCTGATTGTGTATCCAGCAAGAATAAAGATCTGCCCCCTTGTCAAACACAGCAATTACTTGAGTTGTGGACCCAAGCCACTCATTGCCTGGCCTGTCCCACACTGATCCTCTGCCTCTGGGTACAGTTCATCTCTGTCTCCTCTATGATCCTGAGAAATTCAACTCTGCCCCCAAACCAGCACGTCTCAAACCTGAGTGAATGAGAACCATCTTCCTCAAAGTTAGGATGAACATTTGTAGTGACTGCCACTAGAGGTGCTACTCCCCACCCCACCCCACTCACACTCCACCCCAAGCCACTCACCATTCCTTCCATCTACAAAGACTGACTTCATGGGAAGGAGGTTGATAGGTAAGCTCTTCCCAAAGTCTTATACTCCTGAGTGCTCATTATAGATTACAGTCCCCCAACAAGGCCTGGCTCTGTGGAGAGATGTTGAGTAAGATGTCCAAAGAATATCACTGGCTGAGGATTACTCTTCCTCCCATCACCAAGACTCTTGGCAGCTATGCTGCCCACCACAGTTGCCATCAACACCTTGGCCCCTCCTCTGGCCCAAGCACCCTGTCAGTGACCCCTTTTTGCCAAGGGGACAAAGCCCAGTTTCCTCTGAAAATAGAGTCAGGATTCAACCAATCCCAAAACTGCCAGCCAGGCAGAATTATCCAAGGCCACATCCAGGATGTACTATGGGTTCATCCTGACTTCAGATCAGACATACCCTGCATTGGGAAAAATAAACCAAATTTGAAATACATTTTGAACTCAAAATGATCATCTATGGGGGCACTTACTAAAAATATGGTTATTCTAAAGCTCCTAATACAGAGAGGATATCTTTAATCTTTATAATTAGGAAGAGGGCACATGACAAGTTTCTCTTTCAGGTGCTGGGTTAGCTAAAGGCAGCATGTAGCCTGAATTATAGGGCAAAGATACTACATCCCAAAGATCTAACAGAAGTAATGATCAGGTTGCAACAGCTGCTAGCAACCTAGTGATGTTGAATGCTAATTACTTTTCATTATTTAAAGGAAAAGCCATGGGGCATTTTAAGAGATGATTCACGCTACAAATATGTGTACAGTTGGTATTTTTTACTGTTAGCCATATACAATCATCATGAGGAAATTTCATGACTTTTCCAGTGATTTTTCATATTAATATAAATATAAAAAGTTTGTTTCCTTCCCACCTCCCAGGAAAAAGAAAAGAACAAAAATTCCAGAATAGTTTTTTTTAACTAATAAAGAAGTGTATATAAATGAAGAGTTCCAGAAAAATCTCAGAGTTGAAATTTCTGTTCCAACCAAATGGAATTTTTGTTTTGTTTTGTTTTGCAATTTGGGAACTGAAGCCCAAAGCTATTAATATTTCTACGCGGCCTCTGCTGCTGTAAATGTAAATAGAATTCCTGGTGTCTGAGTCCTCTGGCTTCTCATCTCTTTGCGCTGACCTCTGAAAGAGCAGTTGTTCCTTCCTTGGCTCTCAGCCCTTAACCCACTGCAAGGACGGAGCACATGGGATGAAGTGCTGGTGTTCAAGGAGAATTGCATGCTCTTCAAGACTATACACACATATACACATATATACATACATCTGTTTGCCACCAGCTGAGGGACTAGGAAACACACAGCTTAGTGCAACTGGAGAATTACAGTGAATAATAGTGACAGATTGTAAAGACAGGCACCTTTATTTTACTGACTCAGCAATTGTGGCCTGGAGGAGCTGAGTGTCTGGCCCACAGCTACACAATAAGTAATAGAGCCAGGTGCCAGACTCCCATTCCAGTGCTCTTGCCATCCCTCCCCTCCACCTAAGTCTATACAGGGATGGCTGAAGAGAAAGTGACTCTGCAGATATGTTTAATATGGGAACAGTAGCATTCAGCAGAGTGGCATGGGGGCAGCCCTGAGAAACCTGTCTGCAAAGATAGTATTTCTCTAGAGGCCATGTCTCAATATAGCAGCCACACAGAAGCAAATTCATGAGCGGGCAAATATTTGTCCCCTCTTATGACTGAACTTATGCCACTGTTTTCACAGGACTATTAATACATGGCAGCGTGATCAGCTCCTGCCACCCCTGTCCGTGACCACCTGCCATTCTGCTGTCAGCATCAGGTGCCATCTTCTGCCATCAATATAAAATGAAGGAAAAGCACCGGAGACACATTATTTGAAAAGGGAAAGAGTAGCCAGGGTTTCAACTTCTTACACAGTAAGAGAAACAAATATGTGATGTGAGGGTTCCAAGTAAAAAGTCAGTCCACGAAGCTGTGCTATTATAATGAAGCAGGGTTAACTGAACCCAGGAACTGATGCAAATGGCAGAAGTGACAATGTTGACTGTATTTGTAGCACACTCTGTCTTTTTCATGTCACAGCCCTTTTCATGTTGTAGTAGTTTTCATTAACCACAAGACAAACCAAAACAACCTGCCATCTTTGACTCATTAAAAACAGAGGAATTCAAGCCTATTTCAAAACACATATCACCTCAAATTCATAAGACAGAGTCCAATTTTTTTGGATAGCTGAAAAAGTAAAATTCACATCTATGCAAAACTTAAAAAAAAAAAAACAAGAATATATGTGAAGAAATTCATCCTAAATGATTATTTAGGGAATTCTCACTGACTTATTTTGCTATTCTTAACAGGTCTTTGTTCTTTCTCTGTGTCCCCTACTAAATCTAGCATGAAATGTACACCCAATCAGAAACCCATCAAATGGATCATGTTGGCCCCTAAAATCAGGATATAAATGCATTCTTAGAGGTATTTCTTCTACATAATTAATGAAAATTTCAGAATATTTTCAAATATTTAGTATATACTCATCACCTGTGATCAGCCAAGTACTGTTATAAGCCCAGGAGTACAGCAGAGGAAAAACCCATGCACTTGTACTCATGGAGCTTACATTCTGATCACAAAAACAAATAAAAATGCATATCAGGTGGTGGCCAGTGGAGAATAATCAAGGTTAAGGATTTAATGAGTACTGGGCATGCTATTTTAGGACAGTCACAGAACAGTTCTTTGATAAGATTAGCATCTGAGTTATTTGAGGGATTGATCCATATGGATGTCTAGGTCAGAACAGCAGAGTAGTTAAATACATAGTCCCTGAGGCAGGAATACTGTAAACTGCAAAGAATAGCAAGGAAGCCAGTGGGGCTGGAGCAGAGTGAGCAAAGATAGAGCAATAGGGATTGGGGTGAGAGAGACAGGAGAAGCCAGAGCTTTAACGGCCTTGTAAAATAAGAACAGGGCCTTTGGATTTTTTATCCAGGGAAGTCACTGGAAGGCTCTGGGGAGAGGATTGACATAATCTGAAGGAGATCTTGAAAAAATCCTTCTAAATTCAACGTTGAGAACAGAGTATAAAGAGCCAAGCATCAAAAGCAGGGAGCCCTGTTAGCCTACTGCAATAGTCCAAGCAAGAGATGATGGGGGTTTGGACTAGCTGATGGGGAAGACTAAAACTGAGGCATTCTCACACATTGAGTGAGAAAACTCAAAAGTACTGTTTTAAACATGTTAACTTTGAGATGCTTAAAGAAGGAAGAGCCCACAAATCAATATGTATAACAAAAGATGAATTTACAGCAAAGGAGAGTGATATGGATTGGCTGTGTCCCCACCCAAATCTCATCTTGAATTCCCACATGTTGTGGGAGGGACCTGGTGGGAGGTATTTAATCATGGGGGCAGGTCTTTCCTGTGCTGTTCTTGTGATAGTGAATGAGTCTCATGAGATCTCATGGTTTTAAAAATGGGAGTTTCCCTGCACAAGCTCTTTTTGCCTGCTGCCATCCATGTAAGACATGAATTGCTCCTCCTTGCCTTCTGCCATGATTGTGAGGCCTCCCCAGCCACATGGAAATGTAAGTCCATTAAACTTTTTTCCTGTATAAATTACCCAGTCTTGAGTATGTCTTTATTAGCGACGTGAAAACAGACTAATACAGAGAGTGTACTTAGAAGGCCCCATTTCTTGGAGCTAAGTGGATAGGAAAATTTAGGAAAGGCCAGGTTTCACAAGGCTGTTTGGGGATTGGTTGATTTTTAGCTGTGGAAATGCGGCTCCCAGGATGTGACTGTCAGTTACTTCCTGGCTCTCAGAAACTTATGTACTCATGAGAAACTGTCATTTATTGATTTGGCCAGGTTTAAAACTGGTTCTGGTGGTTACCTGTAGCCAAGGAACAACCAGTTCTTTCCTGGGAAGGTAGGAACATTTTCACTTCATGCCTATTGACAGCCAAGTGAATGAGCTACACAAGAAGCAGTAAGTCTGGTTACCAAAGTGATACTTTTCCCTGGTGCACACCTAAAACAAATTTTAAATGTGCATTGATTAGTAAAGAACAAGGGAATCCGTGAGGCATTAGAGAAAAGAGTACCAGCCATGGCTTTGTCTCAGGACCTTGGACCTTACCTGCTCATCTCCCACATCTATCAAATGAGGCTTAAGAAGGTTTTCTTCAGAGTCCATTCTACCTCTATAATTTCATGACTTTTTTGGTATATATAGTCATCCCTTGGTATCCTCAGGAGTTCCAGGACACCCACGGTTACCAAAATCCACAGAACCTACACATATTCTCACATGTACTATAAATCATCTTAGATTACTCATAATACCTAATATGACATAAATGCTATGTAAGTACTTTTTATTGTTGTGTTTTTTATTGTTTTTCCTGAATATTTTTTAATCTGCAGTTGGTTGAATCTGATGATGCAGAACCCTTGGATATCAAGGGCTGACTGTGCCTGTGTGTGTGTGTACATGTGTGTACACATTTACCTAAAATACCCTAGATAATATTGCATGAGAAATAATAATATAAGAGCTAGATATTTGCTCCAAGTTAGGTGATGGGAAGAAGGGAAATCATCATTTGCTTGAGGACTACATGAGATCTTAGGTTGTTAAAGCTTATTTGCTTCATGTCTATGTTTAAGGTTGTGAAGCTTTGAGTAAAAGAGAGAAAAAAAGACAAATTTCATTCTCAAACAATGATCCAGCTGTTTAAAAAGTTCTACTCTGGGTAAAAGCAGAATGTAGTTTTGTATGTGCATAATAATCTATCAGATAAGTGAAGGAAAAAAGCATAAAATTGTTAAAAGATTAGAAGGAAATGTAGCAAAAGTTAATATAGCTGTTTCTAAGGGTGGTATAAATAGTAAGTTTTCATGTTTTTATAATTTTCTGTGTTTTCCAAAATTTTTAAAGCAATCAAAATAATTTAATGCAAAGAAATTCCAAATGAACAATCTTAGCCTCAATGTTCACCTAACAAAACCAGTGTCAATGGCTCGAGCAGGGGATAAAAGACTATAAAGAGGTGGAGACGGAGTGCTTCAGGCAGAGGACTACCACGGTCAAAGGATCAGAGGTGACAAAAAGAATAACTTTCATAGGAACAGAAATTTCACTCTGACCTCAATGAGTCCAGGAAAGACACTGGACAGAATAAAGAGATGAGGCCAAGAAGGAACAAGATCTCAAAGAACTATGTGAACCAACTAAGGAATAGGCCGTTATAACATTTTTTAGTACCTAAAGACACAAACCTGGCTGGATGCAGTGGCTCACACCTGTAATCCCAGCACTTTGGGAGGCCGAAGTGGGCGGATCACCTGAGGTCAGGAGTTCAAGACCAGCCTGGCCAACATGGCGAAACCCTGTCTCTACTAAAAAATACAAAAATTAGCCAATCGTGGTGGCAGGCACCTGTAATCCCAGCTACTCGGGAGGCCGAGGCAGGGAGAATCGCTTAAACTTGGGAAGTGGAGGTTGCAGTGAGCTGAGATCAGGCCACTGCACTCCAGCCTGGGTGATAAAGTAAGACTCTGTCTCAAAAAAAAAAAAACAAAAAAAAAAAACACACAAACCTAAGACTTTTGAGGCCTTAATGAAACTTTATCTGTGCCCAGTCTATGGTGCTAACTTGAACATCTGTCTCTAGGGAGGTTCTGAACTATCTGACAGGCTTTACCAAGGTGACCAGGCTTCTCCTTTCTTAGGCAATAAGGAACCTTCAAAGGTCTCTATTGGCCTCTGTACTGGCTGAAGAGATAAATTCACAGAAAAAGCATCTCTTCATTAGCTTCATCTATTTCAAGAACTTATTCAAAACACTGAAGAGATTGTCCCTGCATCCTAACTTCTGGTCCTCTCATCTAACCTCCCTCTGCGATGGAGTCTGGATAGTCAATGCTGAGGACCAGGTAAAGCTTGAAAGGAAAAGAGTCACTTGCTTCATGATCTAGGTCCTGGAGCAGATATTGATAACGAATTGTCTGATAGCTAAACACATAACTATATTAATCCTCTTGGTTATAAGTATCTATGATGTTCTCAGAATACTTTTTATGATAATTTCTAATAACGTTGTGATGTTTTCTCCTAATTCAACAAGTTTTCTCTTATACATCGTGGAAACATTTCTCACCTAGACTTCCTACAGACTCATTTCCAAAATTCTTCAAATTTGTAGCAGATATCTCAGGAAACTGGGGTATAAAATAATAAGGATACTAACTTATTCTTTTCAGAAAAGTAAATTAATTTTTTTGCAAATAAGGTCATACTAAATGGTTTCTTCCAACTCATTCCAGCTAGAATGAGTACCTTGGACAAGTTTACCTACACAAAAGTTACAGGCAAAGGAAGAGGCATATGCTGGTTATTCTAGAACGATAGTACCAGAACGAGGCCAGTTAAGTAAAGCCACTTCAAAATAATACCAAATTTCATATTAAAGAGCAGGAGGAAAGATTGAAACAACATCTTAAAAAGTAAATTATGAAACCAAGATGTATTTTATTTTACGTTTAACAAAATTTAAGTTATACTGCAACATTGCCCTGGTAACTAGAGCAAAGCAAGAATAAACTCTGCTGACATTTTTGGAACACTTTTTCTGAAAAAATATTCATATAACATGATCCAATTCTTTCTTTACTTTTGATTTTGCAAGAAAAAGAGGTTTATTTTTGTGAATATATTGGAAGGATTCATTATTTTTTCCCAAAGTTCTCTCCTATTCTTTGTTTTTCCAAACATACCTTCATCATTTTCCTTGTTAACACTCTCTTCCTTCATTGTCAGGTGACCTATTTCTGCCTGAGTCTTGTTTGTCATATTCCACCAGCTCAGCTCCATCACTTTCAATAACTTCATAAAATTCTACAACTTCAGCCAGATTTGCAAGTTTGTTTCACAAATACATAATATTTGCCTTGTAATACGGAATCTTCACGTCAGCAAGGAATGGACTAACAAAGAGGAATTCCAGAGAAGCAGATATACACAAGAGATCTCTGAATAGAGGTCAATTTTATAAGAGGTCAATTAATTAGAGAATATGATAATGTTTTGACAACTTCCCTACACAGCTCATAACAACCTGGTCTTGGATACCAACGCCCTTTGTACTTACCCGTTCAGGCAGATGAGATGGAAATGGAATCAAACTCTACTACACACAAATGACGTCACGAGAGAAAAAAAGATTGGAAGACCACAATTTGTTTCCATATCTTGCCACACCTTGAGATTCGTTACCAGGAGTAACAATTCAAGAGAGCTGACTAGGGGCATTTTGTACTTGCTTCCTCCACTAAGAAGAACCAATATAGTGAGTAGATAATTATGCTTCAAATAGGTCACCCAAGAGAGAATACTGGAATTCAGTAGAAAAGTGGCAGGCAATACCTAAAGTAAAGAAGGAGAAGGAAGTAAGGAAGCCTGCTTAGCCAAGATCAGCTGTGAGCCAAGGAAGACTACAATACAGGGAAAGGGTGAGTGAGAGACCCTCAGTAGTCCACATTATCACCATGGACTCCTGCAATCCTAGCCATGGGAGAGCTCCTTGACCCATGGCCAGGTGCGGTGGCTCACACCTGTAATCCTAGCACTTTGGGAGGCTGAGGCAGGCAGATCACTTGAGGTCAGGAGATCAAGACCAGCCTGGCCAACATGGTAAAGCCCTGTCTCTACTAAAAATACAAAAATTAGCCCAGTGTGGTGGCAGGCACCTGTAATCCTAGCTATTTGTGAGTCTGAGGCAGGAGAATCACTCAAACCCAGGAGGCAGAAGTCGCAGTGAGCCCAGATCGCATCATTGCACGCCAGCCTGGGCAACAAGAGCAAAACTCCGTCTCAAAAAAAAAAAAAAAAGAACTTTGTCTTCAATAGACTGAATGCTATCCTGCAACCCAGTAGCACCAGGGCTGAGGTGCGGGAGAAGCATGAGCTGCTGCCCTCAGGGCTTAGGCACAAGCAACCGTGGGCTACCATACCCAGGTAGGAGGCATGATCAAGATGCAGGCTACAACCAGGGCTGAGCAAGGCACCATTCTAGAGCCCTACCCCCAACAGAGTATGCACTATCCTGGAAGCCAGCAGTGCTGGGACAGAGGTGCAAGAGAAGAGCTGGCTGTTGACCCCAGGGCTTAGGAACAAGCAACCATGGGCTACCATACCTGGGGCTGAGGCACAAGTGGCACACATGCTTAACATCTGCTGGCCTAGGCTGCCATCACTAAAAACATTGCCTCTCCACCAACACCACCCAGTGGCATTCTGCCAGTGGCCTAGAGGTTGCCCCATTCCTGCCTACCATGGCCAACACCTGTACACAGAACTGCAGGGCCCTGAGGACCAGCCAGCCTAGCCCAGCTTCACCCTCCCCTCCATGCCAGAGCATACAGTCCAAGGGCCAGGGGATTGCCCAGCCTAGTCTACCACCACTGGCACCTAAACCCTCCTCCCAAGGGCCTGAAGTTGAGCTTACCCACCAAGCCACTACAACCACAGCTGGCACCTACCAGCATGTGCTGCCTGCAGGCCTGGAAACTAGTGTGCCTAGCCCATTGCAGCCACCACCAACACCAGCATGCATTACTTGGGACTTAGAGGTTAGTCCTACAACTGCCACTACCATCACTCAAACATACCAGCTGCTCAGGGGCATGAGAACCCTTCTACCTGTCCAGCCCATGGTTGTCACTACTGGCATCCAAGTAAGCCACTTGGAGGCCCAAGAATAGACCCAACTGGACCTGCTAACACTAGTGGCAGTGTATGCCATCTAGGGTCCCCAGGATAGGCATGATATCCCACTGATGCCTCCCCAGGAGACTGAAGACTAGCCTACCTTGTGTCCCAGTCTCCACCAAAACTACACCCCAGCCTCCAATAATAACTACAGCCTAAGCCACTGGGGAAATCTCAGATATCACTGACACTGTTTATAGAGAAAGAAATCATACAGAGACTGCACAACTGTACTCACCCAGAATCAAAACCAAAGTACCCTACCCAACCAACATTATAGATTCATCCTCAGGAAAAAATCTTCCCATATGAAAGCCAATTTTAAAAATTAGAAGTGACTATTATACCAGATGTGCAGATGTCAGTGTAAGAACACAGGAAACATGAAAAAGAAAGGAAATATGACACCTCCAAAGGAGAACAATGATTATCCAACAATAGATCCCAATCAAAAATAAATTCAGAAAATCATGGAAAAAGAATTCAAATTGTTTCAAAAGAAGTTCAGTGAGATATAAGAAAAGTCCAAAAAATATAAATAAATCAGAAAAACAATTCAGGATACAAATTAGAAATTTACCAAAAACATAGATATCTTAAAAAAAGAACCAAAGTGGCTGGGCACGGTGGCTCACACCTGTAATCCCAGCACTTTGGGAGGCGGAGGCGAGTGGATCACCTGAGGTCAGGAGTTCAGGACCAGCCTGGCCAACATGGTGAAGCTCCCTCTCTACTAAAAACTACAAAAATTAGCTAGGCTTGGTGGCAGGCACCTGTAATCCCAGCTACTTGGGAGGCTGAAGCAGGAGATTCGCTTGAACCTGGGAGTTGGAGGTTGCAGTGAGCCGAGAATGCACCATTGCACTCCAGCCTAGGTGACAGAGTGAAACTCTGTCTCAAAAAAAAAAAAAAGAACCAAATAATACTAGATCTAAAGAGAGAGATAGACTCTAATACAATAATAGCGAGGGACTTTAAAACCCCCACTCTCAGCAGTAAGCAGAGGTTCTAGGTAGAAAATCAACAAAGAAACGTTGGATTTAAACTGGACATTAGACCAAATGAACATAACAGACATTAACAGGACATTTTATCCAACAACTCAACAACTGCAAAATACAGTTCTTCTCCTCAGTACATAGAACATTCTCCATGATAGACCATGTTAGGCTAAAAAGTAAGTCTCAACACATTTTTAAAAAGTGAAATCATATCAAGTATCTTCTCAGAGCAGAATGGAATAAAACTAAAAATCAATAACAAGAGGAACTTTGGAAACTACACAAATACATGGAAATTAAACATTTGCTCCTGAATGACCATTGAGTCAATAAAGAAACTAAAATGTAAATAGAAAAATTTCTTGAAACAAATGAATGTGGAAACACGACATACCAAAACCTGTAGGACAAAGCAAATGCTGTACTAAGAAGGAAGTTTATAGCAATAAAATGCTTACATCAAAAAAGTAGAAAGATTTTAAACAATCTAATAATACACCTCAAGATACTAGAAAGGCAAGAACAAACCAAACCCCAAATTAGCAGAAGGAAAGAAACAAAAAAGATCAGAGCAGAATTAAACAAAATAGAGGCTAAAAAACAACACAAAGCATCAATAAAACAAAAAGTTGGTTCTTCAAAAAGATAAACAAATTAATGAATCGCTAGCTAGACTAACAAAGACGGAAAGACCCAGACCAAAATCAGAAATGGAAAAGGAGATATTACAACTGACAACACAAAAATACAAAAGATCATCAGAGACTATTATGAACAATTATATGCTAACAAACTGAAAAACCTAGAGGAAATGGATAAATTCCTAGAAACTACAACTTCCCAAGGTTGAAGCAGGAAGAAATAAAAAAACAACAGACCAATAATGAGTAGCAAGATTAAATAAGTAATAAAAATTCTCTTAAAAATGAAAAGCCTAGGACTGGTGGATTCACTGCTGAATTCTACCAAACATATAAGGAAGAACTAATATCAATCCTCCTGAAACTATTCCAGAAAATTGAAGAGGAAGGAATTCTCTCTAACTCATTGTGTGAGGCCAGCATTACCCTAATAACAAAACAAGACAAGAATAGAACAAAAACCATGAAAACTATAGAACAGTATCCCTAATGAACATAGATGTAAAAATCCTCAACAAAGTACTAGCAAACCAAATTAAATAGCGTATCAGAAAGATAATACATTATGACCAAGTGGGATTTACACCAGGGAAACAAGAATGGTTTGGCATGCAAAAGTAAATAAATGTTATACATCACATCAACAGAATGAACGATAAACAACATATGATCATCTCAATAGATGCAGAAAAAGCATTTGATAAAATCCAATATCCTTCCTGATTAAAAACTCTCAACAAACTACGCATAGAAGGAACATACCTCAACATAATAGAGGCCATATAGAAAAATATCAACTTCAGCCAATATCATACTGAAGGTTTTTCCTCCAAGAAATGGAACATGACAAGGCTGTCTACCTGCACCACTCAAATTCAACATAGTACTGGAAGTCCTAGCCAGAACAATAAGTCAAGACAAAGAAATAAAAGGCATACACATTTGGCGGGGGGGAAAGGAAGATGTACCTCTTTGCAGATGACAGGATCTTATATTTAGAAAAACCAAAGACTCAGGTATGAAAACTAAATTCAGTAAAGTTGCAGGATACAAAATCAACCTACAAAAATCAGTAGAATTTTTATACACCAACAATGAAATAGCTGAAAAAGAAATCAAGAGGACAATCCTATTTCCGATAGCTACCAAAAAAATAAAATACCTAGAAAAATAATGTGACCAACGAGGTAAAAGACGTCTACAAGGAAAACTACAAAACACTGATGAAAGAAACTAAGGAGGACACAAAGGAAAGACATTCCATGCTCGTGGATCAGAATATCATTAAAATGACCATACTACCCAAAGTAATATACAGATTCAATGCAATCCCTATCAAAAGATCATATTTCACAGAAATAGAAAAAAAAGAAATAAAATTCATATGAAACAAAAACCAGAAGAGCCAAAGCAATCCTGAGCAAAAGAACAAAGCAGGACCCATCACACTACCTGACTTCAAAATATATTACAAGGCCATAGTAACCAAAACAGCATGGTAATGGTATAAAACCAAACATATAGACTGATGGAACAGAATAGAGAACCCCAAAACAAATCCACATATTTACAGCCAATTGATTTTTAACAAAGGCACCAAGAATATTCACTGCAAAAAGGACACCCTCTTCAATAAATGGTGCAGAAGAAATTGGATATCAGTATGCAGAAGAATGAAACTGGACCCCTATCTCTCTCTCACCATATACAAAAATCAACACAAGATGGATTAAAGACTTAAACATTAAGATTCAAAACTATGAAACTACTAACTAAAAACAGAAAACACTTTCCTATGAAACATAGGAAGGTGTAGGCAAAGATTTTTTTTTAGGGTTTTGATTGCTAGTTTTTAATGTTTTTCTTCTTTTATTATTATACTTTAAGTTCTAAGGTACATGTGCACAACGTGCAGGTTTGTTACATGGGTATATATGTGCCATGTTTGTTTGCTGCACCCATCAACTCATCATTTACATCAGGTATTTCTCCTAATGCTATCCCTCTCCCAGCCCCCCAACAGGCTCCGGTATGTGATCTTCCGCTCCCTGTGTCCATGTATTCTCATAGTTCAACTCCCACTTATGAGTGAGGACATGCGGTGTTTGGTTTTCTGTCCTTGTAATATTTTACTGAGAAGGATGGTTTCCAGCTTCATCCACGTCCCTGCAAAGGACATGAACTCATCATTTTTATGGCTGCATAGTACTCCACGGTGTATATGTGCCACATTTTCTTTACCCAGTCTATTATTGATGGACATTTGGATTGGTTCCAAGTCTTTGCTATTGTGAATAGTGCCGCAATAAACATACCTGTGCATGTGTCTATAGTAGAATGATTTATAATCCTCTGGGTACATACCCAGTAATGGGGATTGCTGGGTCAAATGGTATTTCTAGTTCTAGATCCTAGAGGAATTGCCACACTGTCTTCCACAATGGTTGAACTAATTTACACTCCCACCAACAGTGTAAAAGTGTTCCTGTTTCTCCACATCCTAAGTTATTTCCTGACTTTTTAATGATTGCCATTCTAACTGGCGTGAGATAATATCTCATTGTGGTTTTGATTTGCATTTCTCTGATGACCAGTGATGATGAGCATTTTTGCATATGTCTGTTGGCTGCATAAATGTCTTCTTTTGAGAAGTGTCTGTTCATATCCTTTGCCCTCTTTTTGATGGGCTTGTTTTTTTCTTGTAAATTTGTTGGAATTCTTTGTAGATTCTGGATATTAGCCCTTTGTCAGATGGCTAGATTGCAAAAATTTTCTCCCATTCTGTAGGTTGTGGTCTAGGCAAAGATTTTATGGCTAAGACCTCAAAAGCACAGACATTAAAACAAAAATAGACAAATAGAACTATAATATACTAAAAACTTCTGCACAGCAAAGGAAGCAATCAAGAGAGTGAAGAGACAACCTGTTAAATAGGAGAAAATATTTACAAACTATTCATCAACAAGCGACTAATATCCAAAATATACAAGGAACTCAAACAGCTCAATAGCAAAAAATAAGCAAATTATACCATTAAAAAGTGGGCAAAGTTGCCTGTTCACTCTGAGGATAGTCTCCTTTGCTGTGCAGAAGCTCTTTAGTTTAATTAGATCTCATTTGTCCATTTTGACTTTTGTTGCAACTACTTTTCGTGTTTTAATCAGGAAGTCCTTGTCCATGCCTATAAATGGGAGAAAATTTTTGCAATCTACCCATCTGACAAAGGTCTAATATCCAGAATCTACAAGAAATTTAAACAAATTTACAAGAAAAAAACAAACAACCCTATCAAAAAATGGGCAAAGGATATGAGCAGACACTTCTCAAAAGAAGACATTTATGTAGCCAACAAACATATGAAAAGGAGCTCATCATCACTGGTCATTAGAGAAATGCAAATCCAAACCACAATGAGGGCTGGGCACAGTGGCTCACGCTTGTAATCCCAGCATTTTGGGAGGCTAAGGTGGAAGGATCACGAGGTCAAGAGTTTGAGACCAGCCTGGCCAATATGATGAAATCCTGACTCTACTAAAAATACAAAAATTAGCCAGGTGTGGTGGTGTGCACCTGTAGTCCCAGCTACTTGGGAGGCTAAGGCAGGAGAATTGCTTGAACTCGGGAGGTAGAAGTTGCAGTGAGCCGAGATCGGGCCACTGCACTCCAGCCTGGGCCACAGGGCGAGACTCCATCTCAAAAAAAAAAAAAAAAAACCCACAATGAGATAGCATCTCACGCCAGTTAGAATGGTGATTATTAAAAAGTCAGGAAACAACAGATGCTGGCGAGGTTGTGGAGAAATAGGAACACTATTACACTGTTGGTGGGAGTGTAAATCAGTTCAACCATTATGGAGGACAGCATGGTAATTCCTCAAGGATCTAGAACCAGATATAACATTTGAACCAGCAATCCCATTACTGTGTAATATCCAAAGTATTATAAATCATGCTACTATAAAGACACATGCACATATATGTTTATTGCAGCACCATTTTCAATAGCAAAGCCTTGGAACCAACCCAAATGCTTATCAATGATAGACTGTATAAAGAAGATGTGGCACATATACACCATGGAATACTATGCAGCCATAAAAAAGAATGAGTTCATGTCCTTTGCAGAGACATGGATGAAGCTGGAAGCCATCGTTCTCAGCAAACTAACACAGGAACAGAAAACCAAACACCGCATGTTCTCACTCATATGTGGAAGTTGAACAATGAGAACACATGGACACAGGGAGGGGAACATCACCCACTGGGGCCTATTGGGTGGTGGGTGGCAAAAGGAGGGAGAGCATTAGGACAAACACCTAATGCATGTGGGGCTTAAAACCTAGACAACGGGTGGATAGGTGCAGCAAACCACCATGGCACATGTATACCTATGTAACAAACCTGCACGTTCTGAACATGTATACCAGAACTTACAGTAAAATAAAATAAAATAAGTGGGCAAAGGACATGAATTGGCAACTCTCAAAAGAAGACATACAAATAGCCAACAAGTATATGAAAAAAAGTTCAACATCACTAATCATCAGAGAAATGCAAATCAAAACTACAGTGAGATATCATCTTACCCCAGTTAGAACAGCTATGATTAAAAGACAAAAAACTAACAGATGAGGATGTGGATAAGAGGGAACTCATACACTGTTTGTGGGAATGCAAATTAGTACAACTGCTGTGGAGAACCTTATGACGATTTCTCAAAAAAATAAAAATAGAACCACATGATCCAGCAATTCTGCTACTGGGTATCTATCCAAAGAAAAAGAAATCAGTATAACAAAGGGATACTTGCACTCACATGTTTATTGCAGCACTGTTCACAAAAGCAAAGATATGGAATCAACCTTAGTGTACACCAACAAACAAATGAATTTTTAAAATGTAGTATATATATAAAATGAAACATTATTTGGCCATAAAAAAGAAAAAAATCACATCATTTATAGCAACATGGATGGAACTGGAAGGCATTATGTTAAGTGAAATAACCCAGGCATAGAAAGACAAATATTATGTGGTCTCACTCATACATGGGAGCTTAAAAAAAGTCAGTCTCATAAAGATAGAGAGTAGAATAATAGATACCAGAGTCCAGGAAGGGTGGGTGAGTGCAAGGGGGGATAAACAGGTAGGTTAACGGGTACAAATGTATTGTTAGATGAAAGGTATGAGTTCCATCATTTGACAGCAGAATCGCGTGACTATAGTTAACAACAATGTATTGTCTATTTCAAAGTAGCTAGAAGAGAGTTCTCAACACATAGAACTGACAAATCCTCAAAGTGATGTGGGCACCTCAAATACCCTGACTTGATCATTACACATTCTATGTATGTAACAAAATACCACATGTACCCCATAAATATGTAAAATATTATATAGCAGTATATTATAAATAAATACTATTATAAAAGGATTTTTTTAAAGATTAGTTACCATTGTGTAACTAGCAGTAACCCCAGGCTCAGGGATGATACTTTCCCTTGTCCTTTGAGATTTACTGTGAGGTATTTGCAGTGTTACCTTATCTGACTCTGGATTAACAAGTCTTTTCCAGTTTCAGATGCCATCTGGCAATTTCATTCTGAGAATGGGGGAGTAATCACAAATCAATCTTAGGAAAACACAGAAAGGAGGTGTCCACAAATGTGATTTAGGGAAAAGCTGGAGTTGGGGTAAGTAAAATAGAAGAGGAACATTATCACCAATTGGGTAGACATTGAGAAATGAGTTGAAAGGGGTCACACTTCACAAATGAGACTAAATTCCCAATAAGTCATATTTTCAGGGCAAAATTGAGTAGCATAACACGCTGAATGTCTTATCTACAACCATAATTGGACCAAGGACCCAAATTCCCACCCACCCCTCAATCTCATGCAGCCTTTAGTTAGTTGTGTTAATACAAATTGTGTATATTTAGTACATTTTCCTTTATTGTGTAATTGTCTTGCTGATCTGAGTAGAATTTGAGTCCCCAGGGAGAAGAGGACCACATGTCCTGTTAATTTTTTTAATTTCACCCTCCTGTCCTTCTTCACCACTTACTTCCTCCCTTCCTTGCACACAGTACATGCTTACCATTTTGTTTATCAAATTGAATCTAAGCCTTCAACCCAACACTAAATCTCATGTTTGCAAAGAAAGGGCATAACAAGCCATATCAGAAAAGGTCCTGAGGTGTAATTCTTCTATAAGTCTAAAGTTAGAAGGGAAGAAAAAAAAGGAGGGATGATCCTGGCTATTTTAGCAAGGTTACATGGGGTGAGGCACAATGGAAAACCTTTATATTTAAGCCATCTTTTACCCAATGCCTTTAGAATAGAACTGAACATAACAAGCTGTCAGCAGCCACAGGATGACATAAAAGGATGCCCTTGATGTTCAACATTCCTGAATTCCATCTCATACTATGAAAGCAAAGAGATCTACAATTATCTCTTCCTAGTTTGAAGACTTCCAGGTACTGCTCATGTTACAAGCCAGTAACTTCATCCAGCCTAAGATGCTCCTTTAATCACTAAGAATTTTTAAACACCCTGAAAAGAGATCTCTCGACTTTAGAATTGTTGAGATCTTTTTCAACTAGTTGATGCCAACCAGTGCCCGGTTATTTTCCCTAACAATTTCTGCATCTAGTGCCTTCCCCCAAAGTATTGACCCAATAAATAGTCTACTGGGCATCTCTTGAAGAGTCCATGTGAGCTGGCTTTAAAAAAAAAAAGAACTTTATTTCCTAATACCACCTTATGCATAATGATTCTGTTATTACCATTGTTTCACTCCATTCAATCTAAGCAGAAAACAGTTGAAATATATATGTAACTTCAGGTTCTTTGCAGTGTTCATTAATCTTTGAACAATCTTTGAATGTGTAATCGAGAACTGAACAGTGACCCAATTACATAACCTTGGTAAAGATTTTAGGCTTCTTGTATAACTGAACAGTGACCCAATTACATAACCTTGGTAAAGATTTTAGGCTTCTTGTATCATCTGAGCCAGTCTAATAATCCTCTGCTTAAATTAAGTACAAAGGGATGACAGATGCAGTCTCAATTCTGTATTGTTTTAAACAAAAGTAATGTATTGGACAGTCATTTAAGTCCAATACTTAAATACATAATACTAAATGACCCCATCTAAAAGATGGAGATATGAAGTCATCACTTAAGCACGTATTGAGTAGCTGACTCGTCATGGAGGACCTGTCAGAATGCTGTTCTACTTAAAATCAGCTATTGCACTGGGCCAAGTCAGAGTTTTATTTTGATCAAGGTATTAAATTATTAATACTCCTATTTTTATTTTTCACCATAGAAATAATGTTTTTCCATTTTCACTGGGATGGAATTCACATATCTCAATCAAATCACAACAAAGTGACAAGGAAGATTTAAGGTTCTTTATAGGCATTTTTCAGCTGATGCATCTGTGAAGAGTATGCGCCTCCTGAAAAGAGCAAAAGACAAGACCCTATAATGACACACTGTTAGGAGCCTCCTTTGCATCTGGCAGCAGCATACCCAGCTCTTCTATGAAGCAGCTCAGAACGGACAGAAAATTCGGACCTGACTGCAATCCAGCAACAATCAATGGCTCCCTGAAAACCCCTGATATTTGTGAGAGAGAATCCAGAGGACTTGTTAACTAATCCTTCCTCTACAGTCCCAACACTGCACCTGTGTTAAGAAGGCAAAGAAAGGAATGTTCGATTTGGTCCTGAAAAGAAACATCTTTATGAGGCTGTGGCTGGATGTTACACACTCATCCTTTCTTTCCTCAAGATCAAGGCTTGCGCAGTCCATTTAATCAGTCATTAAATCACTGCAAAAGTGCAGCATAAGAATGTTGTCCGTGGTGTTGTCCAATGTCTCTTTCATAAGGTCCCACACAATAAATTCCTCCTTGAGTATCCAAACTCAAAGAAAATAAAGAAAACATGATAACGAGTGTTTTCCCATTTTTCCTTATCTGTCATAAAATTCAGCTAAATTCAGTACCTAATCAGTGATTTTAATGAGATCATCTGTAATGCCTACTCATTTGCCTCCTTCTTTCCTTTAATGACATGTTCAATCCTGTAAGATGTTTCAAATCATGTTCTAGAGACAAGATAGATGACATATGCCACTCTTCAGTAAAAGCCTGTTTTCCAGGAACAATCTTACCTGCTTATGAGTCTATTTTTCACCAAGGCGGTAAAGATCTCCTGAAATAGTTTACGCTGAGGATGTTTGCTGAAATTTCTCTCATTCTTGTAGTTTATACTGAGACAAAACAAACAGAAAAGGATTTTGTAATAGAGATCAGGCTGTCTCAAAGTTGCCAGTGCAGACAAAGATCATCTATATTCAGGTAACATTTTTATTATTACTAACCACTATACTAATGAGGATTCAGGCAAATATTGAAGGAGCCTTGCGTTTAACATGTTGCTAAAAGCAACTATCAGCTGTTAAAATAAGAAGTAGAAATTCAATTATAAGGTTAAAAATAAAATATAGTCAAGCATATGTATTTCCTTTTATCATATTCATTAAATTATTCCCTATAAACACTAATGGCTAAAATTGGTTGGAGGGAAGAAAAGGGTAAATGGAGAGAAAGAATGATTGGGGCACATTATTTAGACAGCTGTGTAACAGGAAGAGAAGAATTCCCTCTCCACTTTTCCACATACCCTCGACCCCACTGGCTGATCTTGCTATCAACACCAGTGGTTATCATTTATAATACCTTCTAGATAAGAAGAGTTTATTAACACAGTTTATGCACCTTCAGCCATGTTGACTGTCACTGTTGATTGTTTATATGGTTTTGTGTGTGTGTTTAAAAAATTCTGAGATATTCCAGCTTCAGCTTCTTTTTGCTGATCTTACAGCCCACCAAAGAGGTTAAAAATACCTCTAAAACATTCTATTTTAAAACTAGAAAAGGATAAGAAAAAATGAAAGGGTCACATTGCTACCAAATACATGATACAATATTTTTGTGCATAATTAAATAAAACTAATTTTCAGATCTAGAACAAATAAGCTGGAATTCCATGAACATACAACCTCAAAGGAAAGGTGTGTAACCTTATGTTGCCATGCGTAATGTTCTGCCTTCTCAGTCTTTCAGATGCCATTGGACAGCATGTCCCCATCCTAGTCACCTGAGGGCTGTAATGGTTTCTTAGTACACGGGCACTGGTACTCACTATATGACAATTTTTTAAGTATTTAAGTGTTCCTCACTAAAAATATATTTTTAAAATATGAACACATGAAATGTCATGTAACTTTCCCATACTATTAAATTTGTTGTCATAAGATGACAGGGAAACAAAAACAAAATCTAGGCCAAATAAACAAATGATCCTTCTAGAATATTCATATTGATATTTCATGCCACTCACTATTTACATGGTACTTAGTGCCAAATGACCCAAGCACACTGTAAAACTGAGAGAACCAGCTCCCGAGAGGGGAGTGGCCCACAAGAATGTGTAGCTTTGCAGAGGTCTGCTTGGCAACAGAGATGAACATTACCTGACACTTTCAATGTTAGAGGTGTGCCGCAAGCCCTTCAACTGAAAACCTCAGTTGTTTTGACAACGATATACTTTAACCACCACATCTGTTCACAGCAACGGCTCCTTTTATGCCATCTCATTACTGGCAAGATCTAGACAGACAAAGATTGGGACAAGCCTAACCAGGTCAATAATCTGGAACCACTTCCTCATTGAGCAATGCCAAACGCATGTCAGCATAGGGTCCTAAATCTCCCAGGTCAGTTCCACCTGTACCCATTAAACCTGTTATTTACATATTATTTCTGGGAATGGTTTAAGCACTAACTGAAAATATTAAATTAAGAATCGCTATGGTAAATTTTGAAGCGGGTTTTAAATTTTAGCTCCTGGGATAAACTTAAATAAAACTGTGAGCTAAGCAGAATAAGTTGCTGAAGACGAAGGAGATGCTGGATTTCTTACCTAAAATTTTCAAGTTCAACAGCTTCTGTGGATTCATGCCACTGACCCCGAGCTCTGTGTCCACCCGCCCTGATGGCGGGCTCAGACTTCGTCATGCTATTTTGGGCACTATCGAAGTTAATGGCTGGAAGCTACAGAAATAGAAGCATAGAGTACATGAGGATCACAATTCAGCACGGGATAAAGAAAGTAACAAAATATGGGGAGGATGAAGAGACTGAGATTTTTTCCAGGCCAATAATTAAGATAACAACCCTTTCAAATGTAAGGGTTTTCCAAGATTCAAATCAAGTGTCTTTGACTTAAACATCTACCTTACACTGTTTTATTTTTCTTCATAGCTTGTAACACCACTTGTCATATCTGACAGTTATTTATGTACTTTTAGTCTCCCTTGATTACAATGTCACGTCAACACAAGCAGGAACTTGCCTGTTTTTGTTCAATGCTATTACCCCAGCACCTAAAACAGATATAGGTTTGGGGTGACACCTGGGCATCAGGAGGTTTTGAAGTTTCTCATGTGATTCAAACGTGCAAGCTGACTAGAGAGCTCCTGGATCCAGGTAGAACACTCTGATATAGAGCAGAGTGCCCAAATTGAGAATGAGTCATCATACATTCATTCATTCTTCAATATTTACCAGGTGTACACACTATTTTCCTGGTGTTAGGGATATAACAATAAAGAAGATTCTACCACTTTTAATCAGTCTGAACATCCTGATTACTCAATCATATTTATAAAAGACATTAAAATATATTATCAAATTTACCATAAGTAAAAATTTAACTACAACAACTTCACTATGCTTCACTTGCAATAATAAATTGTCAGGTTATCAGTATTCAAATAGTTTCACTTACCAGTATTTGTCTATAATTGGGGTAACCCTAAGGTTTCTGATAACACAATAAAGTTGGGCATGGTATAGACAAATATCCTGTTTTTTCCAAAGTACAAATGAAGGACGTTCTATAATTAGCTAAATTATTACAGATGAGGTAAGCAGAGTATAACATAACAAAAAAATCATTTTTCAGTAAATTTTTCCATTTTATATATTACCAAAGTTATAATATGTTGCACTTGTTGTCTTATTTCACTGAAGTATTTAATGTAAATCAGTATGAAGACATCATTTTCAGCCAGGCGTAGTGGCTCATGCCTGTAATCCCAGCACTTTGGGAGGCCCAGGTGGGTGGATCACCTGAGTTCGGGAGCCTGACCAACATGGAGAAACCCGTCTCTATTAAAAATACAAAATTAGCCAGGTGTGGTGGCACATGCCTGTAATCCCAGCTACTTGGGAGGCTGAGGCAGGAGAATCACTTGAACTCAGGAGGCAGAGGTTGCGATAAGCCAAGATCGTGCCATTGCACTCCAGTCTGGGCAACAAGAGTGAAACTCCGTCTCAAAAAAAAAAAAAAAAAAAAAAAAAAAGACATCATTTTTTTATTCAAAGAGAATATGCCTGACTTTTTATAATGTCAGCTTACAGAAAAATGGATTATAATAAAGACATTGTTTAATAGTTAACAAAAAAACTAAAATCCTTTTTTATCATATGCCAGCCACAGTCAGATTTTCAAAATGTTAATAATAAATCTTCCATCCTATAAAACTACTTTTCTATCTCAATTCGGTCAGCCAATCTACAACCACCAAAAGACAATAGGCTGAGCCAGCAATGCTTAGTGGTTAAGAGAACAAATTCCCTGGCCAGATTCTATGAATTTAAATCTACCATTAACTAGCTGCATAATCTTAGAAAATTTACTCAATCTCTCTGTGCATCAGTTTCTGTATCATTAAAATGGAAATAATAATAGTATATAACTCTAGGGTTATGAAAATTGCATGAGTTACTATTTATAAAACACTTGTTATGTGTCAAGCATAGTTCTAATTGCTTTGTACATACTCTTTTAATCCTCATAATTATTCCTATTATACAGATGAATTTTGCTAAACGAATAAAATTTGTCATTACAAATTAGGTGATTTCTGAATATGAACTATTAATCCAAATGATATCTAACATGAAGTAGCAGCACAAGCAAATTTTCCCATATTATACTCAAAATATCATGATATACCGCATAAAAGAAGTAGGTTTTCCAGGCCCAAGAGATTCTAAACCCCCTTACCATTAGTACAACTCCTAGAAAAGTTTGCAAGAGAGAAATTAGCCAGCACAGAGAAAGCAAGCCCAGGTGATTCCAAGAGAGGAGTGGAAAGCTGCCGCAGCTTGCAGCCATTCCCTTTGCAGGCAGAGCAGGTGGCCTGTATCGGAAATCAACTCATGGAAAACGGGTGGATAAGATGGATTTGGCATCGATAGTTGCAAAGACCAGGAACCTAATAGTAGGCACCTTGAAGCAAGTAGCACTTCATATGAAAGAAATGTACATTCAGAATCCGGTTCAAAACCTAGAGTCTTTTCTCTTGGGTCCCCAGTTTGTCTATCTTCTGTGTGTCTGATCTCTCCACACCTGGGCATCTGCAGCCTGTTACTCCTGATCTTGGGTCAGGGTGTGACTTAACCTCCTGACAAGCACTTGCCCAGGCCTTCCTGGATAGAGTTGTTCATTCCTTTCCTGGTGGCAATACCATGCTTACCTCTCTTTCAAAACTTATCTCAGGCTAGTATAATGTATAGCTTACGCAACATCCTTTCCCCTTGAATTTGGCCACCCTGAGGGCAGCATCACATCTATTAATCTTTGTGTTCTTAGCACCTCTCACAGAGCTGGGCATATTGTAGGTATTCAAATGTGAAGCTGTGGAACAAATGCTCACTTTGTTCCCAGTCTCTTTGCCAAACTAATTCATCTGCTAAACCACCTTCAGAAAAGTTCATCCATTAATTCAGTGTATTTGTTGCAGACACATCATATACCAGACATTGCTTGAGACACTGTATATATACAGTAAGCAGAACAGTCATGGTCTCTTGTCTTCAAGGAGCTTACAGTCCCATGGGTCACGGAAGGGGGTTGCAGTCCATGGACCAGAATGTCAAGAAAGTCGTGTCACTTCTGCTTGCAAACTTCAACGTTCTCTGTTGCTGATGGAATCAAGTCCAAAATTCACAGATAGGCTTTCAGACATTACATAGTGTCTTCCAGCTTTATTTATCGAATAGAAATGTCTAGTCACCCTTTTACTTAAATGCTTGTCATTTTCCTTCCTTCAGATATTTGATTATTTTACTCACTTCACCTAGAATGCCCTTTCTATCAATTCCACTGACGGAAAAGCAGCCTATTTTTTAAGAACCACCTCCTTCCCTGTCATTCAAGCTAAAATTGGCTTCCTATTCCTCAAAAGCTATATGCTCACTGCATGCATCATTCAACCAGGATGGTGTCTTGCCTTATACCATAATTATCTGTGCCTACTCCCGCTCTCTCAAAACATAAGAACCACCACCATGCCTTATACGTGTTCTTTCTACAGCATCTATCAAAACCTTTATTTCAAGACAATTAATAAGCCCATAACAAATTAATTTTCTTCTTTCTTCCATCTTTTTTTAAAATTCCAAATAAATTCCTTAGCTTCCTATGGCTCTAAATGTGGAGGAAGAAAATAATCTGAATTCCAGGTCTCATCAGGTTGCTTCAAGATTTGTGAAAAGCTCTGGTGACATCTCCAATCAGCTTTGTAGTTTCACTTTGCCTCAGTAATCCTGGGGCAGTTCTTTCTCTTGAGTTATTGGGTTTTCCTGGATTATGATTATTCTAAGCCTGCTCATCCTGAAGGAGGCCTTTCTGCCTCTGTGTGTCTCTGTCTCCAGTTCTGTCACATTATGAGACTGTCCTAGAGATATGCAGAGATACACAGAGTGTAGGTCAGGACAAAGAACAAAAGTAGAACACTGGAACACAATGGAACAACAGGGGAAGTAGCCTCGCTCCTTAGAGATCCAGAGGAAGGGCATTCAGTTCTCTGCACTCTCTACCTACAAGGTAGATTTCCTCTGTAACCTGAATTTGGCCAGCCTGGTTCATTTGCAAAAAACAGGCCACAACTTGTTAGCGCAGAAATGCAGCTGAGTGGGCCTTAATCACAGGTTTCACTTTTCAAATTGAGTACTGAAAATCTCCGAACCAAATATGTTGCCCATGTGTATATTTTGTTGAGCATTTCTGCTTGACCCCAACTCTACTTTGCTCCCAACCCTTGTTTTTCTCTTATTTTGGGCCCTGGTTTTAATGTATGACAACCTATCACACTTTCTGTCTCTTTATAAGCTCTTAATGACTCTTTCTGGAACAAGCAAAGTATAAATAAGTGTAACTTGAGTTATTTTCTCCAATATCTTCCCTCCCTATAAATGTCTCCACATTATTTTACCAAAAGGAGAACAGGGTAACATTTCTTATTTCAAAATTACAAATGAATGAAACTTTTATAAACACAATTAGGCATTAATTTTGTAAACCTAAGGATCTTCATTAAATTGACAGTATTTTTATTTTTTTAGCACCATCTATTTTCTGAATAACTCAAGCATTACAAATATACATTTTTGTACATGTGAAAGATTTTACAAAAATATATGCCATGTAAAGTTGTCCCACAACAGATTGCAAATTTGAAAATTGGTTAAAGGGGGAAAAAAATCACTAAATTAACTTTAATTAAGCCTGCCAGGTGTTATCAAGCAAGCGGTGTTGAAAGGGCACACGAGAGATCCAGTCAGCATAAACTTCAAAGTTGGAAAATTAGAGCCAGAAAAACTATATTGGTTTTTGGTTTTGGTTTTTTTTGTTTTTTGCCCTGGCTAGGAGGTTATACATCCTCATGTGGTGACCCATTTCTCAAGTCACAATTCAATTTAGCAAAATCTGGCCAAGAACTCATCAAATATAGTGAACCAGAGGCAAAAGTCAAAGTTGCTGGCATTAGGAAATACAAGATCTTGTCAGGAAATAAGACACGTAAACAAGAGTTTCCAAAGCGCAGGAGAAAATAATGCCACAGCAGTAAAAGAAGGAGCCTTGGGAAGACAGAGATCACCTCTAGAATGGAAACTATATGGAGGTAATATCATTAGAGTTGGGTCTTGGAAATGGGTGAGATTTTATAAGAAAGAAATTTAGGAGAAGGAAATAGTAAAAGCAAAAAGTAGAAGTCTTTGATATTATGGTTACATCACAGGATGTACAGTGGGAAAGAATGGGCACTACACTCCAAACTGTATGCCTAGCCATCTTGTTTGCCTCTTTAAGAAAGAACGGACTTAATTTTGCAAGTCATTTAACAGGTATCTCAGTATTTAGAAGCACACACTGCAAAGATAGGGTGTCTGGGTTCAGAACTAGACTTCACCAATTAGGAGGCTGTATGATCTTGGGAAAGTCACTTGATTTCTTTGTGGCTGTTTCCTCATCTGTAAAAATGGGAGTTGTAATTATTAAGCAGGGTAATGCAGGTAAAGCAGCGGGCACATAGAAAGTGTTCCCTAAATACGAACTATCATTATTTGGCTTTTACATGCCATCAAATCATTTTCCAGTATAAGCAGATAAAAATGCTATAGTTCTCTGGTAAATGTGATTGATATAACAAAAACTGTCAGGGCTGGATTACCAAACACCAGAGCTCTTAAACAGATTTACTTAAGCAAGAACAATGTAGACTTTAGAGCCAGACTACCAGGGTTCAAGTCCCATCCCTTCCATTTATGAGTTAAGGTGCTAAATAAGTGTCTGCTATTTTCATTATTATTAGCATTGCTATGCTGTTCCCCAAGCCTCCCTGGATGGCCTCTAATGTCATCACTTTCCAAAGTCTCACAGGTGCAAAACCAAAATGAAAAGTTTGGAGATAAATTCAAGCAGAAGTACCATTTTTTCTCTAATAAGAACATGAAAATGCTACTATAAAAATAGCCAAAAATCACTCCTTGCCCCTCTGTTTGGTGAGGTACATTGTGCAGCAGCCTCAAGAGTGGCACTGTAGCAAGGGGGCAGGATTGGGAAGAGTAAGGGGGAAGGAGGAGAAAAATGTGGTAGAAAGTGCTTTGAAAATAACAATTTCCCTAAAGCTCAGAAAACCAAAGGTTGGCCGTTCAGTAAAAGAGTATGCAGTTTGTTTACAGACCGAAGAGGAAAGGGTTTGCTAAGTAGGACACAGGGTGAGAAGCATAGGCTAAAGCAGGGCCTGGCCTGAGAGACGAATGTGGATGCCAAATCTTGGCAAAGCCTGAACCAGGTGTCAGAGAAACAGCCAGATGAAGAAAGAGCAAAGATGTGAATAATGAGCAAAGAAAAGCAGACATATCATTCATAGATATGTTAAATGGAGCCCTTTGGAAACATATGATTTTTCTTTTATTACCAAGTGAACATTCTTTGAAAACGCTACCTGTTGTTTGCTTGATTGGACGTTCAAAAGGCACCGAAGTCTTTTAAGATCTGAATAGTCCCTAGGAGAGAGAATAACACAATGTGAACCCACAGAAGGCTCCAGGTGAACAAGATCGTGTTACCCACTGATGGCATTGCCACTTGGAGGCCTGCTTTTATCAACTGGAATGAATACACACACTAAACATTTTCTTTAGAACACTAGAAATGACCAGATGTTTCAGTAAGCACTGTAACTCTGAATAGTAGTTGTCAAGAGTCTTCTCTATTTCTCAAAAAGCCATTAAATCTGTTCAATGGCCACTGCCTGAGTTAACAATTAGCAAACACTCAGTAGGGAGTTACCTGATGGTGATTTCTTGCTGTTTATCAGTTGATTTTTCTGTGGTCTTCACCTTTTTATCTTGATCAGGCATTGTAAAACATCAATGCCCCAGAATTAACATCGCATTCCTTTAAAATTAAACCAGAGGGAAAATTTTAGTTGGGTTGCGTGTGCCAAAATATTCTCAGTTAATACAGACAAAACCCACTTATAACATCTATTTAAACATGGAAAACCTAGATTTAGTTCTAATACAATAATAAAAGTGTTAATATGAATACCACTTACTATTTATCATTCAAAGGACATTGGGAACATTTAGGGCATGCTTTACCCTCACTCAAAAGATAAGTATGGGTTTGCCAGTAGACAAAGAACAATTGGTTTGCTTTTATTTTTCTTAATCAATTTCTAATGCAATTATTTTAATTTTCAGAATAGAAATAGAAAGTTGAAGATGCCCATATTTTCAATTACATAACAAATACAAAATTAAGTGTGTTCTATGGGTTTAATTTGACTGGATGTAAAATTTTCCAACTGTGCTTCAATGCCACGGTTTGACTTCAATGTGTTGTTCAGGCATGAAAAAGTATGCATTATTGTCTTATAATAGCATGCTTCAATGTATTGTGAAATCTATGGTCAAAATCCAAGTGTTTCAGAAGTATTTAGAGGCAAAAGGAATGTACCAATGGGCATTTCACTTCCACTGAATCTAGTGAAATTTAATTTTGTGAAATGCTCAAAGACAGTTTAAGGATTTAAAAATGATTTTCCCAATATATTTGTCATATTTTTGACAAATAGTTGGGCTACAATTAAGAGCCAGGGACCAAGTCTCTCAGCACAGGAGCACAACAATAACAGGTACAATATTAACACTTTAGGATTGTACCAAGGATATAACACCACCTCTTTCATTCAACAAATATTTATTGACCCTTTACTGTGCCCACTCTCAGACTGAAAACTGCTAAAAGGTTAAAGAAGCTATTACAGGTATGCGTTTCTACCACAAGCAAAAAAACAAACAAAAACCCACTCGTGAACTTTAAAACATGTTTGTGAGGTGTTCAGGTAGAGATTTAGCATCTATTTTTACTCTAAAAGAAAGAAAGAGAAGGGAGAAGGGAGAGAAGGGGAGGTAAAAAGAATGGAGGATCTGCAAGGTAGTGTTTAAAAGCCAAAGACCCAAGTGCTTTTAATATGCAAATACAAAAATGCCCCGTAAGTTCTAAAATAAATGGAAATCCATTCAAAATAAATAGAATCTAACTTTACTCTTCCCTCAAATACAGAAGAAATACTCTACATAGCCACACTGTCCTGCTGTTGGCTTCGAATTCCTGCTCAAACTATAGCTACAGACTATAGTTTAGAAGCAGAAAATAGAAGCCGCAATGACAAGCACAGGAGAGCCTATGGAGAAGCTCACAGGCTTCTTCTGCTAGAAGGGGATCGCGTTTACCACTATCAAACTCGCTAAACACCCTGTCTTATTCTCTTGCTTAATTTCCATAATTGTATTGAACAAGTATGTGAACAGGAAATAATGATCTAATCGTTATATCTGTTTGAGATCAGCATGTACTCTGTGAGCTGGAAGGCTGAATATAAATGACTCTTTGGAAATGTTGCACTTAACTAAACAGTAAACAAATTCACCAGTATCAGCAGAAACAGATAATTGTCTTTAGGATAAAAAACAAAATCCTTTCCATTTAATGGCTGCTTAAATGGAGATATTCTGAAAAAAAGCTTTGAGAAGTTGGGAATGCTTTAAAATAGTTAACCTAATCCCATTTTAAATTAACAAAAATGATTACATTATACTAATGTCTACACTATAATACAAAATGGGAGATGGGGGAAGGAAGGGCAGTTCATATGTTAAGTTGCCCAAAGGCAGACAATGTATTAAGAAAGCATTCCCAACAGAGGTCAGGCAAGGGTGCTAACACAAAAGCTCTCTAGAGGGTAGCTTTGGTCTAAGCCCATGGAGGAATGCTGCAGTGTAGATTAGTCCTCAGAGTTGTCTAAACTGAGAGAAGTGAGAGCCTGGCTCTCATATTCCTGTAGCCTTCAGTCATAACTCCCCAGGCACTCCTCTCTTGTGGTAGTGACTCCAAGTCACTTAGAGGCAGTCCTCTCAAAAAGACATACAGAATCTAGCTGTTAAAGCAGAACATTGAAGCCAATACGAGGACACACAGTCCCAAGGAATGGGAGAGGCTCTGGGCAGAGTGCCCACATATATCCACTAAAATCAACGACTCCATGTGGAAGAGCTGTGGGTAATGAAGGTAAAGGATCTTTGCTATGGATACAAACTAAGCAGCGCCTGCTGCATTAGCTTCCAACTACTGAGTTGAATTTCCCTCTTTCTTTGCTTGACCTCGCCAGATGTTGTTATGATCTCATGTCCTAGCAGCTCAGTCCTTGGTCCTCCTCCCTTCTCTATCTGCCCCCTCTCCCAAGGATCTCTTGCAGTCCCATGGTTTTACATACCATCAGCAATTATAAATTTATATGTTCAGCCCTAACCCCATTCTGACCTCCTAAATTCACAAAGTCACTATATGGATGCCTAATGAGCATCCCAAATTTAACATACCCTAAACAGAACTCTTGACCCCCACCCCCTAGTAACAAATGCCCCTAGTGCTCCTCATCTTGGTAACTGGTACCACAATGGCTCTCTAGACAAAAGTTCAGGGGACATTCTTGGCTCCTCTCTTTCCTCTACCTCCCATATTCAAGCCACCAGCAAAACTAGTTAGCTTTCCCTTCTTTCCACTCCTACTATCACCCTACTCCAAGCCACCATCTTCTCTGCCTGGATGACTGCCACAACCCCCTCAAGAGTCTCTCTGCTTCCACTCTTGCTCCTCTACATCCTCAGGAACCCCAGGGAATGCTTTAAAATGTAAATCAGATCATACCACTCTGTGGCTTACAACCTTCCTGTGGCCTTCTATTGGACTTGGCTTCCAACCATGACTTTCACTGCTCTGAGCTTGCCTCCTCCCCTCTCCCTCTTGCTTCCTCCACTTCAGCCATGTTGGCTTTCTAGAGAGAAACATGAACCCACGAACATGCCAAATGCTATGGTTTGAATGTCTATCCTCTCCAAAATTCATGTTGAAATTTAATTGCCACTAAAACAGTATTAAAAGGTAGGACCTTTGAGAGATAATTGAGCCAAGAGTCTGTCCTCATGAGTGGGTTTAGTGCATTTTACAAAGGGCTTTCAGGAATGAGTTCTCTCTCTTTGCTCTTCTGCCATGTAAGAAAAAGTGTGACTCCCAGAGAAAACAGCATTCAAGCCTCCATCTTGGAAGCAGGGACTGGGCACTTACCAGACACCAAGCCTACTAGCACCTTGATCTTGGACTTCCCAGCCTCCAGAACTGTTCTTTATAAATTACCTAGTCTGCCAGGCATGAAGGCTCATACCTGTATTCCTAACACCTTCAGAGGCTGAAGTGGGAGGATCACTTGAAGGTCAAGAGTTTGAAACCACCCTGGGCAACATACCAAGACTCCATCTCTACAAAAAATTTAAAAATAAGCCAAGTGTGGTGGTGTGTACCTGTAGTGCAAGCTTCAAGAAGCTGAGGCAAGAGGATTGCTTGAGCCCAGGAGGTTGAGGCTGCAGTGAGCCCTCATGGTGTTACTGCGTTCCAGCCTGAGCAACGGCACAAGATCCTGTCTCTTAAAAATAAACTAATAAATAAATACCCCAGTCTGTAGTATTCTATCATAGCAGCACAAAACAGACTAAGACCATTTGTGCCCATGAACATGCCAACTATATTCTTGCCTTAAGCACTTTCTGCCTGCTTGCTGTTCTTTTCCCATAATCTCACACTGGCTTCTCCATATCCTTTGGGTTTCAGGTCAGATGTGCTCTCCTAAGTGGGGTCTCCTCTGATGAGTATCTGTGACATATTCACCCCCACACACTCATACTTACCACAGCACTCTGTTTTCTTTCCTTCTGGAGTTCATCAACATCGGAAATCCTCTTGTCCATTTATTGACTTCTTTGAACTAGCTTATAAGCCTCCTATGGCAGGGACTGTGTCTGTTTCATCCACAAATATGTCCCTGACACATAGAACAGCACATAGTGCATGACACAGTGTAAGCATGGCATAAGCCCTCAAAAAATATGTATCACAATCTGTAAGGAGTGACTTATTTTGTCAGTTATTTGCTTTTAACAGTTATTTTAAGGCTTAGAACCTCCTCTGACATCCCAAGTCTGGTGCTCCTTCTCGATGCCCACAGAGCAGCCTATACTCCCCACATATTGTTATTATGTGGTAATCAGGAAAATCCAATATCAAATGTATGGGTTTGCTCTGGGAGGTTTTGATGTTGCAATTGCCTTATTACCACAGAAGGCCAGGAACTGGGCTTCCACTATTCACCAGAGAATGGTGAGTTGTAGGCAAATAATAAATATTTATTGAATGCAATGCCTAATAAATGGATGAACGGATAAAAGGATTATTTTAAAAAAAACCTGTGTTATTACTTTTTTAGGTCAACAAATCGCTCATAAAACTCTTTTATAAATAAAATCAGTTGATGAGCATTTGTGATGTTGTAATAATCCTGAGCACATTCAGGAATTATTCAGTCATTGGGGGAAACTTAGAGTTCTATATAAGAAAATACTCATCGCTGTGCTTCTGAAACTATCTGTAATAAAGAACTCTTTAATTTCCAATCTTTTATGGACTGATACTTTTGGTTCAAATCCTGTTCAGTGAGACAATGCCACTGGTGATGTGCCTAAGATGTCATGGCAATGCTGAAGTGCTGTAAATATTTCTAAACTCTTATTCTCAATTTCTGTCTTTATCTGCTCATGGACCAGTGACACACCAGTCTGAATATCACCTGAATACCACTGGTCTGGATTATTAAAGTCTATCTTTTTAAGTAACAAAACTGTTTTCACAGCAACCCTAGATGAATCTCTAATTGAGAACCACAGCCCTAAGTACAGAGTCTGAGGGGACTAACCCAGAAATTGACAACTCCATGACAACCAGGAGAGGGCGAGAGTGAGGCTGGGAAAGGAGAACTGTGGCCAAGCAGTTAAAGCTCAAGGTGGACTCTCCATTTAAACCAAAGCAATCTTACTTCTCTGGGGTTCTGCATACAGTTTCATTAGAGAAAAGGATTCTATTGCTAAAATAAAAATAGAAAACCACTGATTCTCTAACACTTATTCTACCAATGAGATTAGGCCAAAAACTTTGGCTTTTTACAAAAACTTTTGGCCTTATCTGTAAAATAAGTGTTAAGAGAATTTGCTACACAAACACTTGTACCTATATGGGTTTTTCTTCCATTCTAATGAGAAGGTGGAAATTAAGTTTGTTATTTTGTTATATAGGGAGTAGTCACAGTAGTGAAAGATTATATATAAAAACCAAAGGCATGCTACTTTAAAAACAGAAACTTTTGGTGTCTTTGCTTTTTTTGTACACCTCAGTCATGGGACCTGAATACCATCTCAGATGGGAGAGAAGAGACTTTTCCAAACCTCAGGGTTTGGTGCGTACAGCCCTAGACAAGTACAGCTATAATCACAGTTATGATTCATTGTTGAATTTTTAAATCCATTTTTTAAAAGAAACTCTCAGAAGTAATTTCTATCCTCTATTGTTTGAAATTTGGGTTAATGCTAAAGAAGTCCCTAGAGAGGCCCCTCATTTGCTCGTGATGTCTTGGTAATTGCTGAGTAAACACATGTGACAGAGAAAGAAACACATGCCATGGCAAAATTACCTGAGTGTAATTAATCTAAATTGTGCAATATTAACCTACTAACTAAATAACATAGGGAGTATTTGTGATATGGTTTTCAGATCTCTACCCAGAAACCCGTTTTTATTCCATGGTTGCCTTAGCTACTCAAAAGATCCTCAGGTGGCCTCATATTTACTAAATATAAAACAGAGTCATTTGAATCATTATGGTAAATCGCCCACAAATCCACAAATATCTTTTTTTTCCTACTAATCACTCAGGTTGCATCTTTGTAAATACTCCATTTTATTTACTACATTTACTAATGGTTAAAAACGGTACTTATAAAGTAATAACAGGCCAGGGAGTGGTGGCTTATGCCTGTAATCCCAACACTTTGGGAGGCCAAGGCAGGCAGATCACCCGAGGTCAGTTCAAGACCAGCCTGACCAACATGGTGAAACACCGTCTCTACTAAAAACACAAAAATTAGCCAGGTGTGGTGGTGCATGCCTGTAGTCCCAGTTACTCAGGAGGCTGAGGCAGGAGAATCACTTGAACCCAGGAGGCAGAGGTTGCAGTGAGCCGAGACCGTGCCACTGCACTCCAGCCTGGACAACAGAATGAAACTCCATTTCAAAAAAAAAAAAAAAATCAATCAATCAATCAAAAATAAAGTAATAACAGTGAAAATACATCAGATTAAAGTTAATTACCATTTTGGCTATGTCAGGTTTATTATTTTGAAAAAAGCACTAAAATAAACTGCAATGAACCCTACCACAAAAGGAAGTTAGAACTTCCTGTACTGACAAGAAGTCTCTGTTTCTTCTGATGAATAATGATTAACCTTTCATTTTAGATGACAAGTTACAGTTCTGTCTGTTTTCAAAGGGACATATTAAAAGAATTTAGAGAACTTTCAGCCCCATAACTAACTAGAAGTACAAAATGGAAAATCATTTCTCTAATTCCTTTACTGTAGATATTTTTCTAAAAATTCCTCTAATAGTGATTCTTTGAGAAAAGTAGTTAAAATAAGATAAAAAGTCACATAGAGCAGCCAGAGATAAGACAAACATGTTAAAATGCACTGGTTAAATGTTTAGTTCTCAGTTTTGATGACTGTAACATGGTGATGACAAATGTCAACATTAAGGGAAGCTGAGTGAAGGGTATATGGGAATTCTGTGCTGTTTTTGCAGTTTCTATGTTACGTCTAAAATTATTTCAAAATACACACTTAAAATGTATTCACCACTTCAGCAGTTTATGTAGTTAAAGTGCTTTGAGAATAAAGAAACAATTTTCTTTTTGCAAAGAATATTTGCACTAAATCTCACAAATATACAGTGCTTGGACTTTTCAAATTATGTATGCTTTAGAAAACTATAAATCCTCCACAGAAAATGTCAAGTTAAATTGGTCAAATTGCTGGAAAATAAACACACACACATTTTCAAAATAAGGTGAGCAAAAAGTTGAGGAAATCCTGTAAGAAACATAACTTGCTAATACCCATTACAGTTTAAAAAGGACATCTGGTTCTCTAGTCTAAACTGTTGTCTTGATTTTATCCCTTATATTACATTGTTATTGTTCTTCAATGGGAACTATATGTGGAGTTAGCAGAAAAGAGACAGCTATGACAAGAATAAACCTCAGAGAACATGCAGTATCAGGACGTCTAACACCCTCCAGGCCCAAGAACAGAATGTAAATGAATGAAGAGAGGTGTAGAGAGTGGTAGAGCTTCGGTCACACATGAGAAGGCACATTCTCCCAAGAGGGATTCAAAAGCACATAAAAAATGAAGCAAAACAAGAAAAGACACTTGCACAAAATAACAAAACAAATGTATAGGTCACCAGTTGCAGACCATGATTCAGCTCCCTTCTACTAGAGGAGGAAATTAAGACCCAGAGAGGAAAAATGTGTCAAAGGCCACACTGCATCTTTAGGAGTGAAGGAGAACAAAGCGCACTTCACCTTCAGGATCTAAATCTTCATGGAAAACTCTAAGGCAGATGGGAAAAAGAGAACTTGTTGATATTGGCCCTTAGCCAAGGGCAGAGGGTGATATAACAACAACTGATGTTTGCATAACTTCACCTCCTGGACCCTGGGGTGCTTGCAAACATCCATTCATTCATCCTGGTTCACTCATGTGAAATATGTAGGTGGTGTGTTTTAATCATCATAGAGTGGTAAACAAAGACACGGTTGGTACAGAATCTCCAAGGGCAGGAGTGTGTCGTCAGCTAAGGACAAGCATTATTATCATGGCCTTGCTCCTGAGTCAGTACATTTGCCACCTTCCTTGCGCAAATAGTCAATACTTTAAGCAATTTTCTATTTTATATGTAAACAAGCACTTGGGGATAAAAAGAACCAAGAATTCTAATAGTATTCTAACCCTCTCCCACTTAATCCTCGAAATAGTTACTGACCACCTGCTATGATGATGGACACTCCTTTAAGTGCTGATTTTCATTTTCCTCTGGCTAATACTGGCCCATGTTGGTCTGAGGGCTGCTCCAAAATTAACTAGAATATGTGACAACAGATACCACTATAACCTCCCTATTTTCTGATTTATTCTCATTCCAACTTATATCTTTTATTGTAAAGGGAAATCTGCAGATATAAATGTAGGTTCTGTGGATCCCCTCCATTGTCATTGCATAATGATATTTGTGGTATGCTATGTCTGTGCCTTGCGTAGCTGCTACAGCATCCAATTCTACTCATCATATGGTTTACAATGTGCCTGTGTTAGAGCAAATGAACCTGAGACTTACATATTAAGCAGCAATATTGAAAAGAGGAAAAAAGGTCCAGATGATGTGAAGGAAGAATTTATATTAACCCGTCAACAAAAATAACTAAAGTAGCACACTAAATTTCTCTTTTCTCATTGACCCCAAATAGAATATGAGTATATTCTATTTCCTGATTTTGTGAGAAACAGAAAGGTGAGAATTATATTTATTCATTACTCCAAGAAATATTTATTGAGTCCCTAGTATATGCCAGGCACTGAGGATACAACACTGAATAAGACATGGTTCATAATGTCTTCCAATAAAATAGTTAACCATCATTGTAATAAGTAATAAAGTAAGTACAGATTCAACCCAAACCCCTAGAACTTTCACAAGTGAAGAGAAGACTGAATCAACAAATTGATGTTCATATGTTTGGTGGCGCTGCAAAAACTAGAAGTACTTTCTGAGCTATAAAATAAAATTGAATTTCATCTAATAACATTTTATTTCAAGTGCATTTTATTATTTACTGTGCTCTGACTGTGCACAAGACCACTGGGCACTACAAAAAAAAAAAATCTCTTTACAATCCAATGTGTGTGGGAAATCATAAATATGTAGGGTAAAGCATATGAAATTGCTGATAATGTCTCTTTGTAAAAGAAGACATTTTTTAATGGTTTAGGCAAATACAATGGATTAAATAAGAACACTAGAAGTGTCAAAAAGCAGAAAAAAATGTCCAAATGAGATTATAAACTGAATGAAATCAGAGGAAAGATTATAGAAAGATTTTGTGAACTGTGAACTTGAAGAAGGTCCAGAAGGATGGGCAGGGGGGTGAACAACGGGCCTGGCCAGTGAACACAGGGATGCAGGCAAGATGCTGAAAGTGGCTTGAGGACACAGTGAGTAGATGAGTTGAGCTGGAGCTAAAGGATCTGGAAGAAGGCAAGTGTTGGGAAAAGGAGTAAGTGGCAGCCTTCAGTCTGCAAGCCAGCTTACGGAACTGCTAATGGCTAAGAAGTTTGGAAGCAATGCTATTCTTGGAAATGTAAAACATCTATATGCAGATCATTCAGCTTATTATCACATTCCATTAATCTTTGGCCAACTCTTTTGGATAAAGAGGAATTGACCTGAGATAATGTTAGAGTGTCCATGGAATTCAAAGAACTGCATTAAGTAGCAGGAACACCAGAGGTAATTATATGAGGCAAGGAGAATGCAAACATATTAGGTGGGCGCAAAAGTAATTGTGGTTTTTGCCATTACTTTCAATGGCAAAAACTGCAATTACTTTTGCGCCAACCTAACACATTCATTCATCCTGTCTCAAATAGTCCCAAATAAGACAGAGTCCTTTGGCATGGACGTCAGAAAAATGACACCTTCCTCTTCCTCACCCCCGTATCTGATATTTGGCTACTAAGTCCTATTTTTCTATTAAATATGACACTTATCTGTCCACCGTCACTGCCAACGCCCTAGTCCAAACTTACATCAGTGCTCACCTGAACTACCATTATCACTTCCTAAATGATCTCCCAACTTCCAATTTCTCCCTCTCCCCAACTACAACAAAAAAATCTATCTCCACACATCAATAAAAGCACTCTTTTTATGGTACATATTTGACCAATTATGCCCTTATATGCTTCCCATTTCTCCTGGGATAAAAAGAAAATTTACCAAGGTCTGAGAGGTGCTGCGTGCAATTGGCGCTCCTGGCCACCCAGCCAGCTGTTACTCACACTTGGTCCTGAACTGCCACCACAGAGTTACTCCTCCTGAATATCCCCAGGCCTTTACTCCTGGACTCAAGGGCCACAGTGGTATGGAAAGGCTGGATGTCGCATCCTTCATGTCTCAACTGAAGTATCCATTCTTTGAGCTGACCTCCTAGACAGGGTCACAACCCTGCCAAGCATTGCCTTGCAGCTTTTGACAAACAGGCTGATTCAGGTCATAATTCAATAAGTACATATTTCCATCTCCATTAGTTTACTGTAAACTAGTCAAGCATATGGAGGACAGCTTTTTGGCTCATTCCCAGTATCTAGCACATACTTTGTAGTTTACAACAAAAGAGGGATTTAATAAATAATTGCTGAATGAATCAATCAATGAACAAATCCCAAGTTAAATGTGATTGGGAAGCTCCAAATATAACTGGAATATCATGATGTAGATATGGAGAGTAGAGACAACGAAAAAGAACAGCAAATAAGTTTGCCCCAGCTGACCAGTATCCAGTGATTGCAGCATGTTGATTTGACAAAATCTCTCCATAAATACAAGGAAGCCACAAAGAAAAGAATATAAAGTATTACATTGATGTTAAAGATGGACTACCTCAAGTATACATGAACAGGACAATAAGGTTTCCTAAAGGAAAGATGAGTATTCACATTGTGTCAAGTGTAGCATACACATGTGTATTATATGAATGCCACTGTCTCCACTGATGCAAGTTGACAAGTCTGGGAATGTGAATTCTTCTGGTTATACCACTGGAATATAGTCAAAAAGAATAACAGGGTTAGAGGAGACTTGGTTTCCACTTGCCCACTGAGTGACCTCAGAAATGTCACTGGAGTTCTCTGATTATTTTCTCATTGACCAAAAATTAGAAATAACAACATGCCTATGACAAGGTGGCAGTCGGGACTAAATAAAATAGTGACACCTCTTTAGAACCGTCAACAACTAGATAAATATGTTACTGTTATGATAGCTGTTGTAAGTATTAACTTTTTTGTGTGTGTGTGGAGAGTGCGGTCTCACTATGTCGCCCAGGCTGGTAATAATATTACTTCATTTGAAGAGTTTGTGTATTTACTTTATTTATTTATTTTTTGAGATGGAGTTTTGCTCTTGTCACCCAGGCTGGAGTGCAGTGGCACAATCTTGGCTCACTGCAACCTCTGCCTCCCAGGTTCAAGCGATAGCGATTCTCCTGCCTCAGCCTCCCAAGTGGCTGGAATTGCAGGCGCCCACCACCATGCCTGGCTAATTGTGTGTGTGTGTGTGTGTGTGTGTGTGTGTGTGTGTGTGTGTGTGTGTGTGTGTGTATAGTAGAGACGGGGTTTCACCATGTTGGCCAGGCTGGTCTCAAAGTCCTGACCTCAGCTGATCCACCCGCCTTGGCCTCCCGAAGTGCTGGGATTACAGGCGTGAGCCACAGCACCCGGCCATGTATTTATTTTAAATCATTTGTCTATATTCATTGACTTTGACTCATTAATGAAAAATACTAGAGATAAAATTAAAAATAGAGTTTAAATTCAATGTCACAAATGGTTTTCATTTTAATTTTTAAAAACCTATTAAGGGTTATTCTTACAAGCACATTAGTATATTCATTTAATCCTCAAAACAACCCTCTGAGGTGATTAGTATTATATCTCCAACTTACAGATGAAGAAACTGAGGCACTAAAATGTCAAGGAACTTGGCCAAGATCTCATACCTAGTAATAACAACAGTCATAATAAGAGCAAACATTTACATGGTAGTGCCAGCACTGTTCTAAGTGCTTTCTATACATTACCTAATGTAACACTCCTAATGAATCTGTAAGGTAGCTACCCTTACTGTCCCTAATTTACACATGAAGGAAATGAGGCCCAGTGAGGTTCATTCATTTGCCAAGGTCCCACAGCTGGTAAGTGGCAGAGCAGAGATTTGAAGCCAGGCAGAACCCTTCCTGTTAATCTAATGCAGTACTAACTCTCATTTATTGGTGGCATTTATCCAGCTCTCTATTCACCTAAGTGAATTTTCTAGATAAATATTTACTTCTTTAATAAAGAAATATTATTTTATTCATACTTTTCATATTAACTGTCTTTTGCAAAATATACTAACTACTGTGGAACATTTTCCTCATGGCCCAAGGTCAGTGTTATGGCTGCTGTGCTTTATCTGTCCTGCTTGTAGTTTTTACTTTAATTTTTACAGGAGGGCTTAGGTATCTTTTGTAGACATGAGCCAGTCAATTGTCATTTTGTCACTTTGATTCTGCTGACTGCTTTGAAGCTAGAATCTGTGTCTATCATAACTATTTCTAATATAAGATTTAATAAGCTTTGAATTGATGCCAACTGTATGGACTTAAGTCCATGACTTTCATTATGACCATGGCAGATTTTAGCTGAGATGAGGGGAGTTTGACCTATAGATAAGTAATTATTTTACCAAATAAAAAAACTATGTATTTTATCCAGTGCTCATATTCCTGTTTTTTTGTTTTGGTTTTTTGTGTTTTTTTTTTGTGTTTTTTTTTTTTTTTTTTTTGAGATGGAGTCTTGCTCTATTGCCCACGGTGGAGTGCAGTAGCACGATCTCAGCTCACTGCAACCTCCTCCTCCCAGCTTCAAGTGATTCTCCTGTCTCAGCCTCCAGAGTAGCTGGGATTACCAGCACGCGTCACCACACCCAGCTAATTTTTGTGTTTTTAATAGAGACGGGGTTTCACCATGTTGGCCAGGCCGGTCTCAAACTCCTGACCTCAAGTGATCCTCCCGCCTCGGCCTCCCAAAGTGAGCCATCATGCCTGGCCATTCCTGTTTTTTAAATCATGATACATATCAGGCATATACATGAGTTTGTTTAAAGTTCACTTTCATCTAGAAGATGAAATCTTTCAAAATGTAAGACTTATTCCCAAATCCAAGCCATACACCCTGTCCACAAGCTGATGATTACTATTCCCTCATCCTGCTTTACTTATTTCTCTCCTTGTATTGTGTTCCAAATAGAACACAATACAAATAAATAACATTTACATGCTCCTGAGGCATACTGACCACTGTTCTAAGAAATTTTTCCATATTAATTCATGTAATGTTCACAACCACCCCATTTTACAGATGAGGAAACTGAGGTGCAGAAAGATTAAGTTAACTTGCCAATCCCATATCTAGGATTTGGGGAGCTAGGATTACAACCCAAGCAGTCTGGCTCCAGAATCTGTGTTCTATGAACTCTGCTCTACTGCGCCCTGAGAACTGTCCTAAGAGAATAGTGCCTTTGTTTTGTTCACTGCTGAAGGCCCAGGTGTTCAATAAATATTTGTTGACTGTCTGGATGAACTTCCAGCTCCTCTCTGCCTATCCAAGTGCTCAACCCAGTTCACTTTGACTTCAGCCTCAAAGCTTGACTGGCTGTGACAGGCAGAGTAACATTCCAGGCCCTTCTTCCACCTCCTGAAGACTTTATTTGTTGCACTGTCTTTTGGCTCACCCTCACTGGGCATGGAGCCCCAAACCCATTAGATGGTCAATAAATACTCACTGAATGATTGAGACTCAGAGCTGTATCAGAGCTGTCGCCAAACACAAAAGTTTGTGATCAAGTACTATAACAACAGGATGGTGTCCTAGAAATTGCACTTGACTGAATCAAAAGATTGATTTTTACCTTTTGTAAACTCACCATGACAATTTCACAGCTCTAGACTTCAGTGTGTTCATTTTTTTTTTTTTTTTTTTTTGAGACGGAGTTTCACTCTTGTTGCCCAGGCTGTAGAGCAGTGGCGTGATCTTGGCTCACTGCAACCTCCGCCTCCCGGTTCAAGGGATTCTCCTGCTTCAGCCTCCCAAGTAGCGGGGATTACAGGTGTGCGCCACCATGCCCAGCTAATTTTGTATTTTTTGTAGAGATGGGGTTTCACCATGTGGGCCAGGCTGATCTTGAACTCCTGACCTCAGGTGATCCACCCACCTCATCGTCCCAAAGTGCTGGGATTCACGGCATGAGCCACCATGCCCAGCCCAGTGTGTTCATTTTTAAACGTGAAAGCTTACTATATATAAAGCACTATACCTTTGGTATGAATTATGTACATATAATCTTTAAAAGAATCCTATGAGCTAGGTGCTATTATACCCCCATTGTGCAGATAAAGAATCTGACTAGAGGCTAAGTAATTTGTTATGTGTTACACAATTAAAATGCTAGAGCTAGGATTCAAACCCATGTATGTATGACTCCAAAGCTTAGCTCTTGCACACCATGCTGTACTGTCTCTCTCTTTACCATTTTAAGCTTATGTCATATAATAACAGCTACCGTGATAATGATTATGGCTTGAACTATAAACTGTGAATTGAAGTAGTTTCCAATTACTAAGGGTCTTGAAATTAAAGTAAAACCTGTACCTTTTATAACATTTTTTCAATATTTACCTTTTATAAGCAAAAGCTTCATTGGCCATTTCTGACTTTTCTGGAAGAAATAAAGATACCATGGCAAACAGTAACTTCTCATTTTAGAGATTCAGTCAGTTAACAAGTATTTGTTGAACACCTGTTACGATGTCTTGCACTGGGCTAAATGCTGGATATATATAACAATAGTGACTGAGACAAAGATGGTCTCTGCCGTCACAGAGGCAGTCCAGAGAAAGAAACAGTAATCAAGCAACATACAGAAAATGATTGGGGAGTGAGAGCAGGAGTGTGGGGGTGCAAAAAGGAAAGTCCATTCCAGGCAGTGTGAGCAACAGGTGAGATAATTACACACAGGAGAGAATGTGACATATTCTGGGAACAATCAAGATGGAACTGCTGATAGAAGGCCTAACTAAAGATTGGATTAGGGTAATGGGGAATCATTGCAGGACTTTAAGTAGGGAAGGGAAATGCCCTTATGTGCGTTTTAAAAAGATCAGTTTAGCCGGGCACGGTGGCTCACGCCTGTAATTCCAGCACTTTGGGAGGCTGAGGCGGGTGGATCACCTGAGATCAGGAGTTCGAGACCAGCCTGACCAACATGGTGAAACCCCTTCTCTACTAAAAATACAAAAATTAGCCAGGCGTAGTGGCTCGCGCCTGTAATCCCAGCTCTCTGGAGGCTGAGGCATGAGAATTGGTTGAACCCGGAAGGCGGAGGCTGCAGTGAGCTGAGATCGCTCCACTGCACTCCAGCCTGGCAGCACAGCAAGACTCCTTCTAAAAAAGGAGTCTTTTTTAGAAGGACTCCATATATATATATATACACATATATATATATCAGTTCAACAATGGTGGGGAAAAAAGTGGATTGGATAGATAGGGCCAGACTAGAATCGGAGAAGCCAGATGGGTGTTGAATTTAACCAACCGATGGTGGAAATTGAGACAGTAAAAATAGAGATGGTAATGTGGGAATTGATTCAACACCTATTAAGAAGGGATAGTCTTGATAATTGATAGAGATGCAGAGGAAGCAGCAGTAAGTGTCATGGATGTCGTCTAGAGTGTAGTTTTTGAAAGCTGAATGGATAGTGATGCCCAAAATAGGGAATCCAAGAGCAGCAGCAGACATGGGGAAGATGGCGTTCAGGGTTGCACATGTGTGGCGTTAACTTGGCAGCTGGATTTTGGGGTCTGACAGTTAGTAGAGCAGGCTAGGTTCCAGTTGGAGACTTTCTAATCATCGTCAGATAGATGGTGCCTGAGGCGAGGAAGTGGAAGGGCTCACCGAAGTAGGGCAGAAAAGCAGAGGGGCAAAGTCAAAGCAGCATCCTGTAAGGAGAAGGCAGAAAAGCGACGCTCATAGAGATGAAGAATGAACCTCCAGAGGCGTCGGAGCAGATTGGAAGAGACACATTCAGGCTCCATTTAACCAGAATAATTCCGTTATCAAAATGGAAGCGCCAAGAAGCATCGTTGATGGCGCTTTCCCACCATCCATCCGTCCAACACAAACCCACCTGCTTTGAAAAGACTGCCTCACGCAGTGACTCACTTACCCACCACAGCCGCATTCTCTACCTCTGCCTCTTGTCTAGTGAAGCTGGCTCCCGAGGCTTCGGGGCCGCTCCACAGGGACCTGAGGACGTCTCCCCGGAGACCCTGACTCAAGCTGCTCGCCGGCACAGCCGAGCACCGGCTCCCGCCTACTCACCGCGCGGGAGGGACGGTCCCTCCTTCAGGCCAATCTCCTTATCATTGTCCCTGCTGCTGTCACCTGCTGCTGCAGACCGGGGGTCCCGTCCAGTCTCAGCCCGTCCCGTCCTCCCCCCAGCCTATTCCCGGTCCCCTCAACCTCAGGGACACCGCGGCCAGCTGCACCGTTGGTTTTCCAATCAAATCCTCCTCCAGGCCACCAACCAGCGCTGGCCAGGCCAATGCCGACAATTCTTCCTCCGCCACCTGGGGCGCCTCAGCCAATCGGGAGCAGCCATGCTGCGCAGTGCAGAACGCCATAGCGACGGATGACGCCTGCCGGGGAATCGCCGTAGCAACCAGAGACGCGCTAGATCCACCACCAAGCTTGCAAGCAGAAGAGGCAGCAAGTGATGCTGAAGGCTGTGCTGCAGCCACTTCACCGGAACCTAGAGCTACCTGTGAACAGGTCTCCTACACGTTGAAGATTTTTCTGGATTTAGGGTGTCTAACCTTTGATGGGAAAGGGCAGCTTCATCTTGGAGTGTTTACTTTCAAGAATTGCTATGGGCTAAAAATCAATTCTCTTTAAAAGCAAAGATTTAATCTGATAAGGAATCAATGCAGCATGCTAAATACCTTTCATATGGCATGAAAACGTCTTCAGTTACTCAAGCCACAGGCAATGAGAATAAGGTGCCACAGCACCGTATTTTTCACAAAAAGAGTGACCTGGGATTCAAGAAACCTGTATAGTATAACTATCGCCAGTTCGTTTTGTGGCTTTGGGCAAGTCACTTCACCTTTTGTGAAAGTCTGGAGCTTCTTTAAAATTTCTGAACTGCATTAGATAACGCTTTAAAAATATACCTGACATTCTGTAACTTTAAATAAATGAAAAATGCCAATCTATTAAGTGCTTAATTTTGTGCCGGGCACGATTTCAAATTCTTTCCTTATTTCACTTAGTTATAAAATGGAGGCACAAGAAGTTTCCTAAGTAGTCCAGTATGGCAGAGCTAGTGATGGAGTCAGGGTAAAACCTACTTCGAGTCTGGTCTTAACCACGATGATGCTCCTTCGACGATTTCTTCGAGTACTGGGCCCTGTTCAACCTCATCTTGGTATCACTAAACGCTCGTGTGTGTGTCTGGTGGTTACATCTTCCCAAACTGGATTTTAAATGAATACAGTGAACCCTAACGTTTTTCTGGTGTGGATAGTAAGTAGGCCCATTGGATTAACAATACTTAAGCTTGGGTAATTGAAAGCATTTTTTAAAATGAAGACGGTCCTATTTTGGAAATGCAGAAAGGCGAGATGAAAGCCAAACTCTGGTGAGTATAGCAGAACTAATTAAACTTCAGAGATCTAAAACAATCAGGATTAATGTTACCAATAAAACAAAACAAGGTGACGGGGCAGGAAGACCGATGCTGAGTAGAAAAAGTATTCTGTACATACATTCTAAATGTTAAGCAGTCGGCCTGGCTTGGTGGCTCACACCTGTAATCCTAGCACTTTGGGAGGCCGAGGCAGGAGGACCACTTGAGGTTAGGAGTTCGAGACCAGCCTGGCCATCATGGCCAAACCCTGTTTCTACTAAAAACAGAAAAATCAGCCGGGCATGGTGGCACATGCTAGTCCCTACTACTCAGGAGGCTGAGGCACAAGAATTACTTGAACCCAGGAAGCAGAGGTGCAGTGAGCCAAGATCATGCCACTGCACTCCAGCCTGAGAGACACAGCAAGACTCTATCTCAAAAAATAAACATTAAGCAGTGAGACATGACTGCACTGAACTTCTCATCTTCACCAGAATACCAATTGTGCTTCCCATCTTTCCACTACTCAGTAAAATTAAAGTCTTAAACTAATGTTTTGGCCATCCCAGAATATTCCTGAACTTCCCTGAAAGCTGCAGCGATTAAGAGGCAAGAATGACACTGCCTCTAAAAGACACATACACTATCATCTCAAATGTTAAGGGTCCCTCTGTAAAATGACACAAAATAAAATCCCACAAGAGATCTTGCACCAAGCTTATAGCTTATATAGCAAGGCTCAAAACTATGAAAACATATTTTTCTAAGGCCTTTTTTTAAATGAAATGCATAACGTAAATTATACAGTTCAAAAGTAAAACAGCATAATGTCCTAACTACAGCATAAAGGTAACAAATCTGCATGTAAGTAGATATTCAGGATCACCTCAACAAGAAGATAAAACCACTTCCCAAAATTTATAAATACTTTAGCCCAATGGTCTAGAACAAGAAAAGGCTATTCACACACACACACACACACACACACACACACAATCTAAGTGGAGGAATGAGAATGATCTTGTAGACTGAAAGCAGAAGGCTGAGTACAATTTGAAGTAAAGGCAGAACTTAAATTGGGCTTTGAAAGAAAAGCAGAAAGGTTTTCTAAACAGCAGAAATGTTTTCATTAAAAGCACAGAGGTAGGAACGTATGGGTCAACCATGAAAAGAAGTGATACTCAAGAGATCAGATATGCCTTTATTGGCCAGATCAAAGAGAGCTAACTCTTTTCCTCTCTCCTCTTGCAGAATCTCAAAGGTCTGTAGCTAGGAATTATAAATTGACAAAAAAAATTTTCCCCTAAAATAAATGTAAACTACATTTTCAAATGAAATTTCCAAAAACATAAGTGTCTATCCCCATCTTATTCCAAAGGCTATCAAATTCATGGTGAGGTTATCAGATGTTTTTCAGTGCAGAAAACACAAAAGGAAAGTGTTCCACACATGCCAAATGAAAAACAAACCAAGACCTGTAATTTGCTATTAAGGAAAATAATTCCTAATAAACTAAGTCACTAAAAACAAAGAAAGAGGCCGGACGTGGTGGCTCACACCTGTAATCCCAGCACTTTGGTAGGCTGAGGCGAGCAGATCACGAGGTCAGGGGATCGAGACCATCCTGGCTAACACGGTGAAACCCCGTCTCTACTAAAAAAATACAAAAAATTAGCTGGGCGTTGTGGTGGGCGCCTGTAGTCCCAGCTACTCGGGAGGCTGAGGCAGGAGAATGGCGTGAACCCAGGAGGCGGCTTGCAGTGAGCAGAGATCGGGCCACTGCTCTCCAACCTGGGCGACAGAGCAAGACTCTGTCTCAAAAACAAACAAAAAGCAAACAAACAAACAAACAAAAACAAAGAAAGAAAAGCCCTGGAGAGTTCGGTATTATCATGCAGATCATTACACATCACGCAGCAACATTTCTAAAATCGGGGGGAATAAATGGATCAGCCTTTTCTTAGCTTTAATATCAATTATTTCTTAACTATCAAACACCTTTGTGAAACAAACACTATTTTATTTTTTTCTCAGTGTTTCCTCTTTTCTCTCTCCTACTGAAGCCTAGGAATATTAGGAGGCCGGAAACAGACATCACTCATTTTCCTTCCTCTCCTATCCCATCTCAAGCTGAGAGAGAGATGTGGCTCTTCTAATAATCAGAGTACAAAGTAAAGACAATAGCCAACAACTAATTAAGTAGACTTTTATTGCTCAATCAACTTCAGTAACATCTCCAAAAAAATAGTTTTCATCTAACAATTATGAAACAAATTTGAAAGGCAGGATGATTCACAATATAGACCCAGTAGAGGCTTATACTTCATATAAATGAAAAATATCAGTTCTACAATTTAAATGTTTACTTTGGATTTTATTATAGAAGAAAATATCATTGTAATTATAAAAGCCATAAAAATTGGAACTGTATTGTGAAATTACATCAAGGTATCAGATTTTATATAAATGAACAATAAAATTCAATTTTTATTTATTTAAACGTAGTTAAACATTGGAAGACAATCTCCCCCATGGGGAAGAAAAAAAAAAAAAACCTTGAATAATAAAGCAACAAAAGCCACAACACAAAAACTAATCAGTGTGCAAAAATCTGATTAAAAAAACAAAACAAAACTGGGGTTTAACAATTAAGTCAAATGTTCAATATGTGCTAATTAAATTTCATTTTAAAAATGATCTTTGGATGATTACATTTCCAACTATGTTTTCCTATAATTGACATTTAATGTTAGTTTTTGAAAAGTTAGAAAAGAAACCAATTTATATGAAGATTGCCAAATTTTGCAATTTGAACACTATTTTAAACTTTGAATGTCCTTAAAGTCTTTAAACTTACTTTCTAAAATAAATAATTGTTGGAATAAACCAAAAGACATTTCACATATTTGCACTGCATACGATAAAAATGATGTGATCTACATAAATAAATTTAAAACATTAAGTTATTTCATATAAACATTTTTAATTACAGCGTTATATCAATGGCTTACACAGTTGAAATCTGAGCACTTTAAAACAGGATTCACATGTTAAACTGCTGAGCACATTTATAGAACTGATGTACATCATATAATCCTTTAAACAGCAAGCTCTGGTGTTATACCTCAGTTTCAGAAAGCATTTTTCTTTCAACAGAATTTTGAACCTGCCTTTGTGAAAGAAAAAAATTAGAAAGCTATATTATACCCACACAGAAAATTTAAGTACGTGGAAGAAATAAACTTTTTTGGATGAAGAAAACAAGTTAATTTTGAGTGGTAAACAAATCTGGTTTACAAATACATGCATTAGCACATAAAATATTTCGTCCTAGACATCTTTACAGAAGACTTGGCAAATATGAACAATGGGATGCCACAGCTTTTTAAAACAACTTTTAACAGATATAAGATCAGTATCATTCACATTCACACAAACATACACACACTTTAGAAAGACTGTGTGCTTGGCTTCGGCATATTTAATATCATTAAAGAATATATAGAATCATCCTTTTATCATAAGGAATTTACATCATTGTTTTCTCAAAAGCTGCTATTTTAGATTGAAACAGCATTCAGAAAAAAAGTACATTTCAGATGGTCAGCATCAGGATTTACTACAGACTTTGTAAACAGATATCTATAAATAAATAAACTAGGGTGGAGAAAAGAATATCCTGAGGTGGCTCTGTGGCCAGGGTATTCAGTAGCACTAAGCTCCATTCTGGAAATCAAGGCATCTAAAGAAAGTGCAGGGCTGAATTTATTTTGTAAATGGAATATGTACAGGTTTAATTATTTTGCACCTTGAGGTAAATCAGTACATAGCAACTACTACTGCTTACATACACTTATTTAAGGCAACTTTATTTAAAAATCAATATATGTAGTAAATTATATCTGTCACTGTCTCTCAATGAATGCTATCTTTGATTATTTTTCAAAAACAGTGGAAGAAATATAATCACTTAAAACAAGCAGTTAATTACCTAAACATGAGTTACCTTTGCTCTTAAATGGAGTAGTCAGATCATTTTGTCAGTCAAGTAGTCAAAAGAAAGCAGAAACCAGTAACATTTAGAAGCATTGTAAAAACATTTTGAGTGCAAAGTATTTTGCAAGTGACGGTTTTTCTGGCACTGGATAATTACTATACACAATTAAATAAAATCACAGAAACACTATGATCCCAGGTAGTTTTCAGTTTTAAAATTTCTTCCTGTAAAGTAAGTACAGTTGTTACCCCTGATGTCCAGACACAAGGAAATGATGTGAGGAAATCCTCTTGTTCAGGTACATCAGGGGAGTTTTAAAAATAGCAGCAAATACTGGGGTCTTTGGAAATAATTATGCTGCTACAAATAAAAAGGAATCATTACAATGGAAGCTCATAAACAATAATAAGCACCGTGGGTAATACTCTATCAATTGCCAATAGAGTCTAACTCTTTTTAGGCAGTACCAAATGATGACAGCTACATATTTTCTAAAGAAAAGCAGCTACATTTCCAACCTCTCATCCGAGGCAGAAGTTGAATCCATCATTTTAACAAGACTCTTACAATATGGTCTTAGAGGAGGACATTACATTAGTTAATAAATAGTTTATAATGAATTTAAAACACCAGACTTGCTAAAATTTCAGCTTTTGGCATTCCTCATGATCCTTTATTAGATTAATTATGTATACCTTTGTAATTTAATTATATGGTTAAAGGGAGCATTGGAATTTCATAAAATTTTCATCCTAATAGTGATGTCACCATTTTTGATATTTCTGTGGCTTCTCAATACTCATTTGATTTTTGTAAATTATTCTCTTGTCAAATCAGTTTCACAACCCCATTCATCCAGTCCTACAGGCTTAACAACATTTATTTCATGTGGAACTAAAAGTATATAAAAGATGACTAAAAAGATTTGTTAGACTTTAAAAAGCTCAGAAAAGCAAAAACTAATACACAAAATAAAAATGTCATTAATCTGAGCTACATATAAAATGTCTAATTTCCTTTTAAAATATAAATATGGCAGTGCTTTATATCAAAGATGTAAAATCTATCAATTGCTTTAAGATAATAAACATAAATGAAAGTAAGCACCAACTATTTACATTAACAATTTACTCTATTTGTTACTTTTCCAAATGTTTATATAATATTTAAGCATCATATCAAAATAAATATTTTAAAATAAAATCACAGGTAACAAGCTATTAAATGTAATCTACAAAAGTGAAAGAATAACATAAAGAGAAAATGAAAGGTAATTCTTAATAAAGTAATACTGATCATAGACCCTTCTGAGAGAATTCTAACTCCTGATTATTTACGCCTACTACTTATAAGAGAATAATAGTCAAGAACTTGAACCTGATGGAAACTAAAGCATTTTAAGACAAAGAGAGACAAGGCAGAGAACAGAGTGGGAATCATTGGCTTTAAAAGAGCATAAGGATTCAGAAAAAATATTCTACAAAGGCATCAAAATCAACTATTGCAAACTGGCATTGTATAACTTTTTAAATTCAGAAGTTATAAATGGTATGGGTGCTTAATTATCAAATCACCTGCAATTTTACTTGTCTGTCACAATGGATACCTAGATATGAAGGTTTTAAGATTTAAAAAAAATTTAAACATAAAAGTTAAAAACTATCATTATTAAAGTTTCTATTGTTCTACAGTCATCTCTATGGCTAAGAAAACGCCAGTTAGTGAAACACGATGGACATCTACAGAAATGAAACACAAATAGAGAAGCCCTGAAATGTTACCATTTTTCCCACAGCACTGGTATAGACTCCCTATTCTTCCCATAAAGCACTAACAAAAGTGAAATAATATGTGAAAATTTCAGGAAACACCTAAAAATTATAAACATATAAACAAAGTATCACTTAAGGTTTTTACGAATTGCCACTGATGAACAGAGATTTAAGAAAAGTAGACTGAAAGCATTTCTCCACATCCTTCTATTGCAAAACAGAAAATTTTTTTTTCTAACAGAATAAATATTTGAATAGTTAAGAACCATGTACCTCACTTCAAAGAGAGCATTTCATTAAATACATAGTCTCCACGGTGCTCATTACAAACTCCAGACACTACTTTTAAAAACCCGGTAGTCACACATAAACAGCATGACATACAATATTCTTATATATAGTGACATGATACGCACACATTACATATGTATATATCTATATGTATAATGCCTCTTGGTTCAATTCTATAATGAAGTTTCAGCATCCACGTATTTCTTTCTTGGTTCATCTTCAAAACTTATTTTCACACTCACAGGTTTATCAGGACTATTTAAAACAAAGAATTAAAATAAATAATTTTAAAATATAAATATTCAATTCTAAACATGGCTAACAATGAGTATACTAAACCTTCTGAGATTACTATTAACACTACAAACTTATGACTTGCTAATTTTAGCTTTTCTAAATCAATAAACATAACTGGAAAAGCAAATATTAAAAATTGTTTTTTAAAAATTGCAAATATTAAAAATCCTCTTTGCAATTTAAATTCATGTTTTTCTTACAACTAAAGAGGGGGTCCTTAAAATAGGGCAGTATATGGTCAGAATCTGTTGGATTACTTTTATTTCACATATGAACAGTTATAGCATGAGACTTTTACTGAAAAATCTATTAATATATGAATCTTTGTTAATATAGATAGGTATCAAATAATTTCCAAGAAGGTTATAAATTTATAAAACTTCTCACCCCAAATTTGATTCATAAATACAAAACCAATACATCTATTCTATATATTCTATATACATATTGGTTTTGTATTTATGAATATGTATTCTACATATATATAGAACAAATATTTGAAATATATATATGTTTTTTTGAGAGACAGAGTTTTGCTCTTGTTGCCCAGGCTGGAGTGCAATGGCACAATCTCGGCTCACTGCAACCTCCACCTCCCAGGTTCAAGTGATTCTCCTGCCCCAGCCTCCCGAGTAGCTGTGATTACAGGCATGCACCACCATGCCCAGCTAATTTTTGTAGTTTTAGTAGAGATGGGGTTTCACCATGTTGGTCAGGCTGGTCTCGAACTCCTGACCTCAAATCATCCACTCACCTTGGCCTCCCAAAGTGTTGGGATTACAGGCCTGAACCACTGCACCCGGCCAACCTATTCTATATTTTCAAGTTAGTATCACACAGTGACTCCACATACATGGATTTAATTGATTAATTGTAACATATGAATATCTGGGTTCTGGAAAAAGTTTTCAGAAAGTGTAAAAACACACTATGGTTTGCTGTCTTCTCCAGACAAACTGAAGAATAGACCCCAATCCCCAAACATTTTCCTGTTAAACAACATAGCCAAGATATTCTCTTTCTTCCTATGTGATTTTGAAGTGCAGGGCAACCCAAACAAAAGGCAGAAGCATAAAAGATGTTAGTTATTATTGTAAGGCCTTTATTTTTTATGATAATTATACTAACAAGGCCAGAGGTGCTGACACAGTGTGAACAATTACTAATAGTAAAAAGAATATTTAGAAAAATTCTGGCTGTACTGAATGATCCAAAATTACAAAGAGTTTAACTTTAAAACTTTTTAAGATCAAAGACAGAAGAAAGGAAACAGCCAGCTGAGAAATTAGAACTCAGATGACAGAAGAGAAAAACATATGATAGAGAGTAGGTAGGAAAAAGGTTCTAAAAGAGGGTAGTGAAAGAATGAGAAAAAGCTAATCAATTATTGTCAGAAGACAGAGCTAAGACAGCAAGTGAACAAAAACAGCTATATGACTGAAGGCCTAGAAAAGTTTTCATCTGATGCCCAAGCAGAATATACAGACACCCAACATAGCATCTCACACAAACTGTACATAAAAAAGAAGAATTTTCTGAGTATGAATGACTGAGCACCCTAGAAGACAGTAATTCATTTCTCCAGAGGCTTAAGGGATTAAAGTACTAATGATTACCAAACAGAATCCCTGAGGGCTTAGTTCTTGAAGTGAGAACAAAAGAAAGAAAAAAGGTTACATAACAAGAAATGTAAGAAAGAGGTTACAAAATACTTTCAATACATGGTCCACTGTAAAACTGAATGGTCTTTATGTCAATGGATTTGATTTCTTCCAAATATCTCCAAGCAAAATGTTTACCTCACCTGAACAAATGGCATACTAAACCAAAACACAAGAAGGGAAACAACTTGTGTTTTTCTCTTTTCTTAGACCATCACAGAGCATGATTGAAATAGTATTCAATTACAGTATTTAATCCCTAATAGTTATCTAATCTTTATATGGTTTCTGATCTTTTTTATGTTTATTCCATACTGCTATATGAAATTTACTTTTATGATAAAATAGCTCAGATTATTATTACTATTTTTTGAGACAGAGTTTCACTCTTGTCCCCCAGGCTGGAGTGCAATGGCATGATCTGGGCTCACTGCAAGTGACCTCAGATGATCCTGACCTCAGATGATCTGCCCGCTTCAGCCTCCCAAAGTGCTGGGATTACAGGTGTGAGCCACCATGACTGACTCAAATTATTTTTTAAAATAGGTAACTGTAAATTAAAAGACAAAAACATAATTATTATTTATACCTTATTCCAAGTATACATTAAAATGATGGATGAAAGAAAGAAAGGAATGAAGCTATCATAAGTAAATGAAAATTGGCTACAGTTAGAAAACACACAAATAGTTATAACTACCTCATGTTAGATCTGGTTACTTTGGCATTCTCAGTATTCATGGAAAGTGCCTTCCACTGTGCAGTTTTGGCCATTTCATCTGATATGTTAACAATTGAGGGATCAACACTGAAGAACAAATACACTTTTTGGTTAGTATTCAGTACTTGCAAAAGCATTAATATTGTCATTCTTATTATCTGCTTTCATCAACTAAATTGAGAAAACCTTTGCCAGATATCAGAATTTGAATTCTGTTACAAAGTCCTTATGAAGAATTACGTCTTTCTTTCTAATCGAAACTAGGAGTAAGATTAAGATTAAGTAAGTTAGCAAGATTTATTTATGGAACTTTGCTTCAGAATCCAATTTGGGGTTTCAGTAGTACTTCGGCAGCACTCTAGCAATGATGCCCTCTGATCACCTTGGCTGAAAATATGTTACTGAAATAACATACGACTATGTTAATGTGCTTATACATACAAAAAAAAATACAATCTCAAGTCGACTAGAAAACGGTTATAATTGGCACACATTTAATCTTATCAAATAAATACTCAAAGTATGTAAGGAAAACTTAAGATTATGATTTTTAAAATCTTATTTTTCATAGCTTTTACAAATCATTATAAAGAATGCTTGGAAAGATAACACTCTGAAATTGAAAACAAAGCTCTGAAAATATTTCAACAGCTAACACAAAATAGCCTCATGAGTACCACTTTTACCTGTTATTCACATATTTAGTGTGATAAAGGTGGTATTTTATCAAGTTTATCAAAATTAAAAGAACAGAGTAGGCCGGGCATGGTGGCTCACGCCTATAATCCCAGCACTTTGGGAGGCCAAGGCGGGCGGATCACGAGGTCAGGAGTTCGAGACCAGCCTGGCCAACCTAGTGAAACCCCGTCTTTGCTAAAAATATAAAAATTAGCCGGGTACGGTGGCACTCGGCTGTAATCCCAGCTACTTGGGAGGCTGAGGCAGGAGAATCTCTTGAACCCGGGGGGCAGAGGTTGTAGTGAGTCGAGATTGCACCACTGCACTCCAGCCTAGGCGACAGAGCAAGACTCCATCTCCAGAATTTAAAAAAAAAAAAAAAAAAAGAGTACTATCCATTTATTACAATAAGAGAAAAATGTTTCTGTTTCTATATTTCTATGAAAATTACTTCAAGACCTCAAATCCAATAATATCCATAAATAATTAATTTGGGGCTCAAGATTGTCCATCATAAGTAATAGGAAAGTATCATAAAGTTAATACAAATACATTTGCAAGTCCTTTTTCTTGGATTAAAAAAATACATTCAGACAAACAAGATACAAATACAAATGTCAAATTAGGTAATGTTAAATTAACAGTGTGATGGCAACTAGTTTACAAATGACTAAACAGCAGTCATTTAGAAAGTGCTCTGTTCATACTTAAAATCAGAATGTTGTTTACAAATTTAAGATTGAAGAGAAGCGTGAGGAGGTCACTGAAAAGTCTCTATGAATGGCTTCTTTACCTTCACCAGGTCAGATTTTTAAAAGTACACAAAATCTGAATACCCAAGTTTATAATGGCATAGCCATCCAACTTGAAACTTTGCCTACCCCGAGTAAACATTTATTCACTTGGTTGCCAACTTCAAATAAGTGAAGAAAGGAATTCCTGATAAACCTTCTAGCTTCTAAATATCCTCCACTATGAAGAAGGTATATATTTTTTTCCCTCAAAATGAAATTAGATAGGAAAAAATTTGCCTGCATTACATAAATTATTTTCATCTTTTATAAGGGCTTTACAGTTTCCAAATACTTTCATATACTATCTCACTTGATCTTCCACACAAATAATCCAAAGCTATTTAAGATATAAAATTCTGGCAAATAAGCACATTAGCCATTTCCTGGCATTCCTGATGGAAAAAACTTTAAACACAGCCACATTAATCATGGCTTATGACACCACTTAAAAGACAAAAGGAAAACTACAGATATCCATCTTTTTCTTTATCAGACTATAGACTCCACTTAAATTTGTCAAGGTCCATATATAATTACACTGAAAAAGTGATAAAGCAGGATATAAAAATTAAGCACAAATACTCTCGGCAAATTGGTGATAATTACTAACAACCATCATGGTAGTTCCTATACTCTTTTTAGAAGTACATCAATGAAGCTAATATATTAAATCTTTTAACAAGTATTTCTAGAACCCAGCAAAGCAGATCGCTGTGGCTGGATATATTAAATATCCATATTAAATGCCTCTATGCTTGGCATTTAAAGTATATAAAAATTTGAGGGAAACATTAATACAGAATAATACCAATAGTGAAAATTAATAGCAAAACGTATAGAGCAAAATTAGTTGAATTCATTCATCACAACTAATCAACATGTACAAGTCAAATGTTACTCCTGTAAAAGCTATAAATAGCTAAAAAAAAAGAGAAAGAAATGGAAGTTAACTAAATACCAATAAAACATTTTCTATCAACTGGTCAGGAAAGAAACCTGTATATTTTCTAAGACTGATTTCGCTAACTAATCAGAAATGGAATAGATGTGTAGAAATAGGAGGGCCAGGCACAGTGGCTCATGCCTGTAATCCCAGCACTTTGGGAGGCCAAGGCAGGCGGATCACCTGAGGGCAGGAGTTTGAGATGACCATTGTGGCCAACATGGTGAAACCCCATCTCTACTGAAAGTACAGAAAGTAGCTGGGCGTGGTGGCAGGCGCCTGTAATCCCAACTACTCGGGAGAACCCAGGAGGTGGAAGTTGCAGTAAGCCGAGATCACACCATTCCACTCCAGCCTGGGGAACAAGAATGAGACTTCATCTCAAAAAAAAAGAAAAAAAATACAAATCAGGTGTGTACACAAATGTAAGTTGTTATTATTATCATTATTTTTGAGACTGAGTCTTGCTCTGTTGCCTAGGCTGGAGTGCACTGGTATGATCTTGGCTCACTGCAATCTCTGCCTCCTGGGTTCAACCAACTGTCCTGCCTCACTGTCCTGAGTAGCTGGGATTACAGGCACCACCACACCCAGCTAATTTTTGTATTTTTAGTAGAGACAGGTTTCCCCATGTTGGCCAGGCTGGTCGTGAACTCCTGACCTCAGGTGATCCACCTGCCTCAGCCTCCCAAAGTGCTGGGATTACAGGTGTGAGCCACCACACCAGGCCTCTAAGACTGATTTCTCTAGCTAATCAGAAATGGAATAGATGTGTAGAAATAGAAATCAGGTGTGTACACAAATATAGGTTAATCTTTTAAAACTACAAAAGTCTGCATTTCCCAACCTCTATATCTTTAGTTCTTAAATTTAAATATAAATCATCAAAATCACGAATAATGAATTATACATAAAATATTAATTCTTGCATCATATGAACCCTCACCGCCAATAATCAAATCACATCTTTGAAAACTAAGAGACTTCTAGGGCCTCTAAACATAGTTACATATTGGAAGGCTATCAGAAAATGAATTACTGGTATTTGAATGGACACTGACAAAGATTACTGAAAACGTTTATTTTCCAGCACCCACCGACCCCAGCCCTAATGAAGGGCACAAAGGAAAAAGCCACACTACTGGGAAAATGGAAATATTCTCAGACTCATGTACTGATTTTAAACTTCACTAAGATAGATGGAGTGATAGAAGACAAGCAAATTTTATTGGCTTGGCATGGAAGTTAGTTTAAGTCCAGCTTGGGTTAGTCCAAGTCCAGCTTGGGTGGGAAAGGAGCAAGGGACTTCCTTTTCAAATTGTGTGAAGCCCTCCTTTAGTTGATACACCATATGCAGATTGTATCATCTTTTATAAAATAGAAATCATCACTTTAAAGAAGCATTATATGACTTATTAATACATTTGACATGCATATAAAAGTTTTAGAGCATAAAGTCATATCTCACCTATATTTTAGGGCCTTGACTGGAATTTGCAAGAGACTTCCCCCTTCAAATGGAAGGTGCACAGTATCATCATCATCTTGAAGCATCCGTTCAGCTTCCTTTATAACACATGTGTGAAGAGGTTACTTTTCCCAGAATATTTTCCAAGAGAATTGACTAATTTATAACATTTTACAGACTTAGAAACCCAAACTGACATTATTTAAATATAACTGCCATTACTGAAAAATTTTATAATCATGAACACATACTTGTAACATAAAATAAAAACAACCACTTGTAAAACATGACTAATTTAACTTTCATTTCTTTATGTAAATCACTGTCACTTATACTATTTAAGATTTAACTACAATTTAACTACATAAATGTGATTATCAATTATTATGTAGGTTTATAATGAGAGATAACATTCTGTGAAACCTTATCACAATACAATATGGGCAGAATGTCATTTGGATAAGGCAGGGTTTCTCAACCCCAGCAATACTGACATTTAGGGTATAATATTTATCTTTTGTAGTAGAAGTCCTGTGTATATAGAGTATTTCACAGCACCTCAGAATTCTACCTATCAGATGCCAGTAGCAGCCCCTCCAGTTATAACAATCAAAAATATCTCAGAAATTGAAATACTCTCGGCAATGTCTCAAATACTCTCAGACTAACAACTGAGAGTTGTTTAATTCCCTCCAGCCCACCCCAGTGATAATTACTAATAACCATCATGGTACTTCCTATACTCTTTTTAAAAGTACATCAATGAAAGTACTATCTTAGATCATTTAGCAAATGTTTATAGAACCCAGCAAAGCAGACCACTCAGGCTGGTTAAGATTAAGGCTCAAGCTCAGGTTGAGACCAACTTGGACAGTGGACACGGAAGAAAATTATGATGTTAATAATGGCGGTGATCGATAGGACAGTAGAGGAGACACTGAGAGAACATTCATATTTCTTTTCCTTATTAATAGAAATTTGACTATTTTGAGGTGTCAATTTGCCTAGATCCTAAAAACAAACAAACAAAAACAAAAACAAAAACCCCTAAACTGAATCTCCCAGCATTCCTTACAAACTCAGTAGGATCATGAGGTGCAAGTAGAACTTACTGGATGACATTCTGGAAAGACTCCTTAAACTTGACAATATGGTGAAGCTATTTTGCCTTCTATCCCTTCCTTTTTCCTGCTGTCTCTAATGCTAACATGACAGCTGGAGTCTGACAGCCATTTTGATTCATGAAGTGAAGATGAGGATGGCAACCATATGCTGAGGTCAGGAGAAAAGTAACAAGGAGCCCCTGATAACTTTGTGGGGCTTAACACTGCATCACTTGCTTTCAAGAATTCTTTTACTTGAAACACAAGAATAACCTTGTGTTTAAAGGCCACTTTTACTTTTGTTTTTTGTTATATATGACGAACCTCATTCTAATTAATACAGAAAGTAACAAACAGGCAATTTGGCCCATATATTTTATAGGTAAATTATATTCTATTTGAAAAAATCATGAAAAACTCATACAGGCCAGGCACAGTGGCTCACGTCTATAATCCCAGCACTGTGGGGGACCAAGGCAGGCAGATCACCAGAGGTCAGGAGTTGAAGACCAGCCTGGCCAACATGGTGGAACCCTGTCTCTACTAAAAGTACAAAAATAAGCCCAGTTTGGTGGCGGGTGCCTGTAATCCCAGCTAGCTTGGACCCGGGAGGTTGAGGTGGTTGCAGTGAGCCGAGATCATGCCACTGCACTCCAGCCTGGGCCACAGAGCAAGACTCCATCTCAGAAGAAAAAAACAAAAAACCCTCATACGTATTTACATATATAACTCTGAAGAAAACCAAAATCTTAATTTTAAAAATCTGGTGTCTTAATTCAAATTAATATTCTAATTAGTATCTAGTTAAAGAATTTTAATTTTTGTTGAAAAATAAACATAAAATCAATAAAATTTTAATCTCTATTTAAACAGGACCATACATTTAAAAATATGTGTCTTTCTTATCTTTGATTTTCAAACAATACTCTGAATGGGAAAATGGAGCAAGGAACTACAATCAACAAAACCATCAATGCTATATACTCAAGTCTCTACTTTTCCTTCTTATTAACCGATACTATCGAGTTGGTTATTAAAAATCAAATTCCAATTCAGAATAAAGTTATTTATGCTTAAATCTCAGCATACAAATCAACTAATGGTGGTACACAGTAAGTGCATATAAAGACTAAAACTTTATTATACTTTTTAAAAAAGATAATTACTTAAAAATCCTTTTTGTCATTATGTATGCCAATTATTAAAACGCTATTAAAATTAAATATATGCTAAAATTTATGTTAAATGTATTTAAAGTTTTCTCAGATAATATACTCTGAGGTATAACTATTTTGTGTTACCTATATTTTAATATTGCTAAAACTCTAATTCTTCTAATTGCTGATTTAGTAAGCACATGATATGTAATTTTTGAAAAGTATTACTGTGTCAGAGCTATGGAGGTACAACACAGTGAAATGGTGAAGAGACTACATTTGGAACAGTTACCTAACCACTCTCTGCCTGCTTCCTCATTTATAAAATGGAGATAACAGCAGTACCTACTACACTTTTATAAAGTTCTTAGAAGGATGAAAGGAACTGATTCATGTAAAGTGATTATAATGGTGCCTGCAATATGGTGCAAAATATTAAATAAGGAAGTGGTGTAAGTTTAAAATTGTTATCTTTTTACCTCTTTCTCTTTTTTCTTTTTGTCATCTTCTTTCTTTTTCTTACTTTCTGGCATAAGATCATCAAGCCAACTAAGTTCTCTCTTCGTGAAACACAGGTCCATGAGTTTGCGCACAAACACTAATGCAAGAACCTTTAAAAAGTGGGGAAGGAAATATTAAGTAACACATAATACAAACTGTATCACTTAAAGAGGAAAAGCATATTTATTAAATCTTATAAAAAATGCTTCATATAGTTTAAAAATTATTCACACATCATTTTGTTTCAAAGGAATTGAGTCAATTATTTATCTTTTTTTACTTTGTGCTAAAAAAAAAAAAAAAACTATAAAGAGAGGAAAAAAGGAAATGGCATTCTTAACCTTCTCCTGAATAAATCCCTTGCACTACGCATAAAATTATGAAGCAGGTTAAACACTGAATATCAAAGCAAAAAACAATTAATTTTTAAGACATTACATATTATGTAAGTATATATAATTTTTAAAAATCTCTTCAGCAATACATTAGAGTACCTATTCCCAACATTAGGTTTTAACTTTTCAATCATATGGGAGAAATGAACTAATACTTTAATTTGCTTTAACTGCTGCTGAAGATGAGCATGTTTTTGAATGCTGACTGGCCAATAAGATTTCCACTTCTGTACCTGCTATTTCCTAAACTTGGACTGTTGGTTTTTATGACTTTTGTTTATGCATTTATGAGTTCTGTGTAGTTTGAATAGAAATTTTTTATCTGCCTTACATGTTACAAATATTTTCTCCCAGTTCACAGTCTGATTTAACTGTTTTTTATACTTTTTGAACATATAAGAAACATTTAATTATCACGTCAAATATAGCATATCTTCCTTTTACACTTGGGTTTTCCTATCTTCTTTGAAAAGTTAGTCCCAATCAATGGATTATACAATACTCTTTTACATTTTCCACTACAATTTATTTTACCATTTAAATACTGAATTCAATTTTGATTTCTGAACATGGTCTCAGATAAGGAGTACAACATTACTTAGCTTCCAGTATACATTTAAATCGTCCAATACTAAATTCTCCCATACAAAAGAAATACTACCTTTAATGAAATAACCTGCTTATGGTATTCAAGTGATAAAATTCCAATGTATTCAGATACATTTCTGGACCCATTTGTCTATTTTTCTGATTTGTCTATTCATATGCCAATTCTATATTATGGTGGCTACACTGACTTGTCAGCAATTTTTAAATATTTGGTTATTAAAACAGTACAGTATCAGCACACGAACAGTGAAGTAGATGGCAAAGCAAAGCCCTCTATGCTCAATCCTAGCCAGGAATCCTTCTTAGTTATAATTATCATTATCTTGTTATTCTCTAGTAGTTATGTCTTTCTTTCTAATGAATATGTAATTTACATACAGAAAAATTGAAAAATAGCATGTGTACAGTTTGATACTTTTGACAAATGTATATACTACTCATATAATGCACACCCAGACAAGATACAGAACATTTCTACCATCCATGTTTTTGAGTCAGGCATTTATTTTTTATTTATCCAGTTCCAAATTATTTATCCAGTTCACAATGACACCACCCCCCACCCCAACACATACATTCAGATAAAACTCCAGTAGAATCTGTACTTGGCACTATATTACATTTAAATGCGATTTTTCAGAAAACTGCAAGTTTTATAATATGAAATCTTTAAAACAAAGAACACAGTATTTGTTCAGGTCTTATTTGCTGTCCCTTAATACTGTTATTGATTGAATTTTGTTCCCCATTAAAGACAGTTAAGTCCTAACCTCCAGTACCTCAGAATATGAACTTATTTGGAAATAAGCTGTTGAAGAACACCATGTGACAACAAAGGCTCCAACTTCAGTTACCCAGCTGCAAGCCAAAGGAATGCCAAAGACAGCCAGCAAACCTCCAGAAGAGAGGAAGAGACAAGGCAGGATTCCCCGCTGGAGGCTTCAGAAAGAGCATGTCACTGCCCACCCCCACATACTGCCTCTGGTTTGTGGTACTTTGTTACAGCAGCCCTTGGAAGCTAATACAAATGCTATTATAAAGCCTTTTTCTTTAAAGGGGTCTTTCTTTTAAAATTTATTCTTAAGTACTTTATGGTTTTTGATCATTGAGAGAGACTGCCTACTAATTCATCAAGTTTTCTAACATCCAGCCACCCTAACACAATTCTTATTAATTCTATTAAGGGCTCAGTCTTTTTTGTTTTTAACTAAAATCACTTGGGTTAATAGGTATACAATGACATTTTCAACAAATATGTTAATAATTGCTTTGAAGCCAAAGTATCATTGTCTATCTACTTAAGATATATTACTCTTGGAAATTCTGCTAAATTTGTTTACTTGCTAATATTTTAGTTTAAGGTTTCTGCATTTATATTAGTAAGAAGGCAGCATAAATCTTTTGTGCAACTTAATTAGCCTTGGGTATTAATAACTTGTCAGTGTTTTTTGAGAAAAATTGCATAGGTTTCCATCTTTTCCTTTGGTCTAGAATAATTCAAGAGGGTACTGTAATTATCTGTTCTTTAAAATTAAGCTTTTAACCAATCTGACCCTGATACTTTAAGGACAGGTCTTTAACCACTTTTCCAGTTTCTTCTATGCAACTGGGCTATACACAAATTTTATACTTCCAGTGTCAATTTTGGAAATTTAGATATAGTATGAAAATAATCCATTTGTTCCAGGTCAGAGGTCAGCAAACCATAGCACCTGAGTTAAATTTCATCCACCATCTATTTTTGTATAGCCTATAACCTAAGAATGTTTTTTTACAGATAAACATTTGGAATTAATTTGATGGTAGAAAACAATAACCATGAATCCCAATTAAGTAAAATAATGTCAAATAAAAAATAATTCCATTCTTCTAATAGTCCTATATTTTTAAAATTATTTTTTAAATTTCATCAATAAGATTACATAAGTACCCACATAATACTCTCGTGACCTATAAAGCCTAAAATGTTTACTATCTGGCCCTTTACAGAAAAAGTTTATTGACCTCTGCTCTAGATATTCAAATTTATTGATATTCATGCAAGTGTTATTTTCATCAAGTCCCTTGAATCATCTCCATATCTCTGGTTATCGCTCTTTTCTCCTCCTTAATCTTGTATATCCATTCTCTCATTTTCTTCTTTACATGTGCTTGGGAGTGGTTTATCCATTATTGATTTTTTTAAAAAAAACAACTTAGTTGCATTGAAGTCTTCTTGAATAATAAAGGCAATGAAGTGCATACACCTTCCTCTCAGTGTAACTTTAGTTGTGCTCAAAGTTTTAGACAGACATTGTTATAATTTTCTCTCTTTCAATACCTCTAGATGGTTTTTTAACTGTTTTCTATTCAGAAATTATTTAGAACAGTGTTTAATTTCCAAATATTTAAGATTATTTTAGTGGCTTTCCATTATTTATTTCTAATTTAACTGTTTTTAGAAAATACTACTTGAGTAATTTTTATAGCTTTTTAAATTCTGTAAGGTTTTCTCTGTGGCCATGTACAAAACCAATTTTTACATAGCATTTACAGAAGAATGTACATTCTCTATTTGTAAAATGCAATATTCTGTGATAATTTAATGAATTATATTGTCTTATTAAAGTCATCGGTAGCCTTCATTACTTTTTAACTTCCACATCTGTCAATTTCTGAAAAAGATATATCAAAGTATTTTAATAATGAACCATGTTGTTTTGGTTCCTTTGCTTTTACATTTGAAAATGTATTTGTTCCATGAACGTCCTGAATTCTGAAGTTATTTAAAAATACAAAACCAAGTCCTATAGCCTAAGGACTAAAAAGCAAAACAAACAAAAATTTACAAAGTAATAAAATTGAAGCTGGGAAACAACTGCTTTGTATCTAGTAACAGCTAATTCACATTTTCAAACACCTAAGGTACTTAAAACGCATTATTCTTTTTCTCAAAATCAATTATAAATATTAATAAAAAATTACTGTAAACATATTATTAATTAGTGACAAAATAAGTCTGAAGAAATCTTACCATCATGGGAAAAACCACTGCAGCAGCTGAAACTTTTATCACCCATAAAAGGACCAAACAAGTAAGCTGAATGACTGTGAAAATATGGACCTTCCAGAGCGGCACATAACGGAGGTATATCAAATCAGGCTGATGCTTAGCAGGCATTCCAAATAATTTTATACGGTCAAATAACTACATATAGAATAAAAAACAAAGAAGTTTTCAATAAAATATTTCTGCTATTTAGGAGAAGAATCTATACTCAACTTTAGGATTTTGTGTATTAAATTGTAACTTCCTTGACATTTTCTGATAGTACAGGAGAATGTTACAGCAAGCATTCTCTGGATCCAAAGTGGGGTCGGGTGGGGGAGGGTGGCAGGTGGGAACCAAGCAACCACTTGCACTGCTGTAATTTATTTAATCAGAAAACTCAAGCCAAAATGTTTAATTCAGAGGATTAAAATATCTAGATAAACTTATCTGCTATAATTGAATGCACAAGTCATTTATCTCTTTGTTTTGTAATGTTCATGACAAAAGAATAGTCTGAGTGACTTCTAAGGTTCTTCACAAATTTAACCAGAAAATAACTTGAGATAACAATTACAATTCTTCACTAATTGAAAATAAAACTGAGCAAATGCCTTCATCTTTTTGAGCTTTAATTTCCTCATTAACACACTGTGAATAAGATCAGCCCTAATCATCTCACAAAACTCTTAAAAATCAGGTGAGATAAGGAAATAATTTCTTGACCAGTGAAGAGTAGGTCCTGGATGGTGTTGAAAAAATAAAGATGTTTTCCTGCCACTAGCCTATGAGTTGGAAACTTTAGACAACATCCTTTTCATGAGAAGAGGTGGTCATGTAGCGCTAACTGTGCTTTATGATCGTTTTTTTTGTGTGTGTTTGTTTGTTTGTTTTTTGAGACAGGGTCTCACTCTGTCACCCAGGCTGGAATGCAGTGGCATGACTACAGCTCACAGCAGCCTCAAACTCCTGGGCCCAAGCAATCCGTCTACCTCAGCCTCCTGAGTAGCCAGCACTACAAGTACACACACCACAGCCGGCTAATTTTTAAAGGTTTTGTAGAGGCAGGATCTCACTGTGTTGTCCAGGCTGGTCTCAAACTCCTGGCCTCAGGTGATACTCCTGCCTCAGGCTTTCAGAGTGTTGGGATAACAGACATGAGTAATGATAGCCAGCCTAAATGTTTTATACTAAAATTATATTAGTACAAATCTTAAGAAGTTTTATTAGGTTGTTTCCCAGTAACTATTAAAACAAAACAAAATAATGAAACCACTGGCTTAGCTAATAATCTTCAATAAGTCCTTCTATTTCTGTTTCCTGATTTATATTAGGATTTCTTCCTTTCCTCTCTCCCAACTGGTTAATGTTTTGAGGATCACAAAATGATGTATATGCTAGGCTTCATAAGCTGTATTGTGTTACACAAATGGCGGGTCTTGCTATTTTTATAGGAAACTAATATCTACCTTTTTAAGTACCAAAACTTTTTTTCAATACAATCCTTTTGATCCTCCCTCTCACTATTCTAGTCTTTATTGAGTTATAGGGCTTTTCATTGGCTTCAATTAAAAACAGGTAAGGACCATGTCAGCTCATGATCTCACTCTCTGGAGGAAAAAATGTACAGTAAGCAAACAATCACTTGGCAAATGTCTGAAGTCATCAGTTAGAAAACTAACCTCCCCTCAAAATGTCAGAGTTGAGAATAAATCACTACCATCATTAAAACAATCTTTGCATACTTAAAATTATCAAGTTTCTATAGAAAATCATTAAATACTTAAAACTTGCCTGGATTCCTTTTAATGAGGAAACTCCCATATAAAGGAAAACACCATACAGAACAGGCATTGGAATAAACTGTAAATAAAATGAACACAATTAGAACTCATGAGTAGTAAGTAAACAAAAACATAATCAGTGAGTAATTATAGGGCTAGAATTAAAAGATTTTTCAATCATGAGGATTAGACCGACCTAACATTTCCACACATAAGAAAATTGCTAATATACAATAACCTGCTTGAAAAATGACTCATCTTCTACATGCTGCTTCCTAAAAAGGGAGTATGTTCACTTAAGATCAGGAGTACTGCAGTCAGACTTAGTTTTAAGTCAAACTTAACTTTCTGTACCTCAGTTTCTATATCAGATTGCTGTAAAGATTCAATGACTTCAAATACATAAAACACTCAGAAAAGCTCTGATACATATTAAGCACACAAAAAGTGACAACCATTGTCATTGCTATCACTACCTGCTGCACTGAATATTAAGCAGTAGCCTTTACTGAATATAGTAAGTAAAATCCACCTCCAAAATAAAATCCTTACTACTTTGGCAGTTATGATGATCCCAAACTGTCTACACAGTTCACACCTATTCATCCTGCAAGAAAGTCTGGCTATTAACAGAGCCCATCCATTTACTCAAAACCACAAAAAGCACTCTGACCTAAGGGAGAAGTGTACTATAAGGAACAACAAATTAAAAAACTACAGAGGAAAACCACATCTACTACATCTCTTCTAAACAACCTAGCGTGTCTTTCTAAGGACACTGGAAAAAAAGAAAACAGTTTACGAAGCAGACGTATTTTAAAAAATCTAAGCAATGCCTGTAATCTCAGCATTTCGGGAGGCTGAGGCGGGCAGATCACTTGCGGCCATAAGTTCGAGACCAACCTGGCTAACATAGCGAAACCATCATCTCTACCAAAAACACAAAAATTAGCTGGGCATGGTGGCACGTGCCTGTAGTCCCAGCTACTCGGGAGGCTGAGGCCAAGAATCATTTGAACCCAGGAGGCAGAGGTTGCAGTGAGCCAAGATCATGTCACTGCACTCCAGCCTGGGTGATGGAGTGAGACTCTGTCTCAAAAGAAAAAAGAAAAAAAAATGCTAGGAAAAAGAAATAAGAATGGGAAAAGCTCATGAAAATTAAATCTATAAATATCAAAATAACTAAAATTTTGTAGTAATAATTTTCATAAGACTGAAGACCAATATAATGATATGAAAAAAGGAGAAAATTTTCTTTAATAGCAAGGGGGAGGAGGGATAAGAATATTAGAACAAATCCAAAAGGTCTGAGATCTGTTTAGCTGGAGTTGAAGAAATTTGTAACAGAGACAATAGACGAAAAGGGAAGTAAACAGGGGAAGAAAATTCTCACAGCAGAAGGCACAGGTTTCTCGAGAAAACCAACAGAGACTAAGCAGGGTAAATGAAAAGCCCCTAACTGCCTCCCTAAGTATCTGAATGAGTTTTCACAAAAACAAAAGTTAAAAAAAATTTTTTTGGTTTATCTTAAAGAGGGAAAAGGTCTCCATAAAAGTACAAAAACCAAATAGATTTCAGATTTCTCATTAGAAAATTGGTCTCCAGAAAACAATGACTTTAAGATCCAAAAGAAAACTATTTTGAATATCTAACTATGGATCAAATGTTGAGGTAAATAGAGACATTTTGAAATATGCAAGAACTCTCAATAAGTTCACCGCTAATGGTACCATGTGTAAAAAGAATTTATCAATACAAAAAATGAATACAAGAAAAAGGGGAACCTGCATATACAATTTTTTTACAGTAAGGGAAGGTAGCAGATATTAGAAAGACTTATTTGGTCTTCAGGCTTGGGCTGGAGTAAAATAGAGTATATTTCTGCCTCCCTGCAGGCAACTCACACTGCTTAGTCCTCACAATCACACTGCTTAGTCCCCAGCAAATACCATCGTAATATCATTTATGTGTTCCCAGAGGGTTTAAATTTCTATAATCTAACTTACAGGAGATGCAAGGAAGCCTTAATTATCATCATAGCACAAAATGTAAATGTTAATAACGACTTTTACAATAATAAAAAAATTAAAAATAAAAGCCAACAAGAGGGATGTGATGGAAGACAGAATGAGGATGGAGTCATAGGTGAAAGACACAACTTTAGGTCAGCAGCTCTCAAACTCTGTGGTCTCAAGACTCCTTTATACTCTTAAAAATTACTGAGGTCATTTCCCCTCCCCCACAAATACTTTTATTTATGAGCGTTTTATACATATATTTGCCATATTATAATTTTTTTTGTTTTTTGAGACAGGATCTCACTTTGTCACCCAGGTTGGAGTGCAGTGGCCCAATCACGGCTCACTGCAGCCTTGACCTCCCAGGTTCAAGCGATCCTCCCACCTCAGCCTCCTGAGCAGCTGGCACCACGGGAGCATGCCACCATACCTGGCTAATTATTTTTATTTTTATAGAGACAGGGTCTCATTATGTTGCCCAGGCTGGTCTTGAACACCTGGCCTCAAGCAATCCTCCTTCCTTGGCCTCCCAAATTGCTGGGATTACAGGCGTAAGCCACTACACCTGGTATACATTATTTTAAAAATATATACAGCTTACCACTGAAATGCTTGCTATACTAAAAACCTAATGAAATTATTTCCCAAGTAAACTGTGGAAAACAAACCTAATTTTAGGTATTTTAAGTATATTTTAATGTTTCATGTTCACATAACTAAGTATAAATGTTATAATAAGATTGTAAAACACGGCAATAAAGAAATTTTACCTTTAGGACTGAAGTCATGAACACAGAGAGGCCCATTAGAATAAAAATCATTAGCCCTGTAACCCGCTGTTCACGAATTCCCAAAAACTTGGGTTGTTCCCCTGGAGCAGAACATTCAGATTCAACTTTTAAGCTGTTGACATGACTTATTGACAACACTGTTGCAGCCACAAACCATGGAAGTCCCATGACAGAGCAAACTCCCAACATAACGCCAACCATGAGCAAATCAAGGTGATAGCCAGCTCCTTTCTGAAAAGTGAAATGAACATAAATATCTGTAAGTCTAAATGGTTCCCTCAATTTAAAATTCTACACGAATTATAAAGAGGGAAGAAGCTAATTTTCATCTTACATCTTTTAATGTTCTAATCATTACAAAAACAGCTCAAACCCTTGAAGAATCACAATGCTTAAGGCAAAATTCTAAAATTACCTTCAATTTGTGTTCCTTTCTGTTTATAATTACAGCTGTGATTTGTTGATCCATAAAGATGAGAATGGTACAAAGCAAAGCAGGAATAGCAGCTATTAATAAGGTCCACCAAGGATTATCTCCCAGTGGGCTTATGATCCACCCTCTCTCTGGATGAGTAGGCTGTTAAAAAATTAAATATAATTTTCAAAAAGTCTCCTTGCTGTATTGCACTAAATTTCCATAACATAGACTTGATCTGTTCCAAGAAATACCCAACGAATGGGAAATAACTTAAATCTTGAACTACATGGTGAATTATTTTCAAAGATGGCCACAGTAATTCTTCCTATCCCTATAACTATACCTCCTGTCATTTGACTCAGTCAATCTTTCCACCTAGAGGTGGAGTCTGCCTCCTTCCCCCCTGAAACCAGGATGACCCTGTGACTTACTTTAACCCACAGAATAAGGCCAAAGTGACACTATGTGATTTCTAAGTCTTAACCTTAAAGAACCTTGCAGCTTCTTCTCTAACCTGCTTTGAACCCTGAGATTATTACGCTGTCGAGTAAGCCTAGATAAGCTTTCTTGAGGATAAGACTATCCTCAATATAGTCTATATGGTAGTGGGTGTCGGGGGCGGTTCCCCAGGCAACTATTCCAGCTGTTTCATCCATCTGAGCTGAGGCCTCAGACATATGAATGAAGGCATATTGCCCCCATTGATGACTGCACCCCACAGAGCAGACCACAAACCAGCTAAGCCTAGTCTCAACTGCCACAGAATTATAAACAAATAAAGGGCTGTTATTCAAAAGTTTGTTATGTAGAAATTGATAAGCAAACTGGAATGTCATTTCCACATGTTCCTGCATAATTCATATAAGGTGAAATCAATCTATCCACTAAACTCCTAAACTAAACTGCTTTAGTCTAGTCCTGCAGACTTAGTGATTTTGACAGGGTCAGTACTAAATCAGAACTGGTCCACAATACATGGTATTTCCAAAGGAACTACTAACAAAAATCTGGCACTTTATGAGATACTAATACATTTTGACAGTACAATGTAAGATTTTATAGCAATTTTTTTTTAAAGATCAAGAGAGTTTAGTATGTTTGGGAGAATACTGCATATATAGAAACCTAAACATATGTTTTTATTACCTCAACTTGGTATTAAGCTTGTTTCTTCTTCATGAAAACATTTGTCAATATAAAAGGGAAATTTAATACTTTCAAAGTTCAGGTAATTCAATCTTTCCACACTAATATATATTAAACTACCTCACACTCAATGTTGTGTATGAACAAAAATATTTTATTCTACTTATACAATGCCATTTACTCTTAAGAGTTCCTTGATTTGCTTCCTCAAGTATATTTTATGCCCCTTGAAATCAGCCTATTACCTGAAAGCCATATCAGTAAATAAATAACAAGGACATATTTAAGAATCAGAATAAGGAACTTAGGCCAGGATTACAGGAAATTACATCACGTTTTGAACCAATATTAATTCATAGTTTCATTTATTTATATATTCTCATAAAATAAACCTAAAGTTTAATATTTTCATATTTTTACATTAAAAACATAAGACTTTCTAAAAATTGTTGGCAGATCATTTTCCACCTGTGTACCCTACTTTAAAGACCACTGATTTTAAAAATAACATTTTGGTCTCAGTGCAATATTATAAAATTAGATTTTATAATATAAAATAAAATGATCTTCATTATATTCCTTATTTCGGATCCCCTTTAAACCAGCTGCTTCTGAAAGAAGTCATATAACTTGTTAAATTAAATATAACCAGTGACACTATTCACAATGTCTTTCCTTTTAGCATAAGCAAAGGAGGATGGAAGAAAACAAAAACAGAGCAGAAGGAAAATGAATATATTCAAATCTGCTAATGAAAGCAGAAAATTCAAATGGATGCTCAGATCATTTTTCTTATAGAACACACTTCGTTTTCTCCTTATGCTACTGGAAATTGTTACATGGAATTTTCCAACTACTGTCAGATATACTACCCTTCTAGAAATTTAACTAGACCCTCTCTGCCACTCCTAGAAAATTGAATTTTAGGTTACTTTTTTTTTTTGAGATGGAGTTCCCCTCTTATTGCCCAGTCTGGAGTGCAATGGCATGGTCGCAGCTCACTGCAACCTCCGCCTCCTGGGTTCAAGCGATTCTCCTGCCTCAGCCTCCCGAGTAGCGGGATTACAGGCGCCCGCCACCACGCCTGGCTAATTTTTGTATTTTTAGTACACCATGTTGGCCAGGCTGGTCTTGAACTCCTGACCTCAAGTGATCCACCTGCCTCGGCCTCCCAAAGTGCTGGGATTACAGGCACAAGCCACTGCACCTGGCCTGGGTTACTTCTTTATAAAAAAATAAAGGCTGTTTCCTTCTCCCTGGAAGGTACAGCAAGAACTCCAGGTAGGAGAGCAAAGACTTTTTTTTTTTTTTAATGGCTCCCTACATCTTACCACAAATATTTTCATTCACTCTCTCTAATGGACCAGCGGTGATACTTTTAAGTTCACATGTCTCTTTTCTGTCCATATTGTCATTGTTTATATACATATGAAAAACACATATAAATTATTTCCTTTCAAAGCATCAGCCCTTCAAAGAGACTACATACTTTTAAAACAATAACTACTGAGAAAATAGTATCTTGCTTTAAAGTAGTGTGGTATTCCCAAGTAACAAATAGCCACTTGTTTTAATCCTTACCTCAAATTTTTCAGGAACATGAAGTTTAGGAGATGGAACTCCTACAAGGTAGTCAATTGTAACCATTATTACTATTGTGAGAAATACAGCAAAATCACTGATTGTCGATCGCACCTATGTTAAAGGGATTATGTTAATATAAACACAGAAATACTATGTGTTCTTTCTAAATAATTCACATCTTTTATTGATAAAATTGTCACTACAACGTACAAATGGAGCTTTTAACTAGTGACAATGTTAACAGTGAAACACATTTATATTTAATTCTTTCCAAAAATATAAGAAACACATTTCGCAACTAACCTAGCAACTCTTATGGTACCATCATCTTCCTACTGTGAGCTCAGGCACGTAATATACATTTTTCACTACGAATAATTTCTTTATTAACCAGTTGGCATGGAGTATTAACCTCAAAAAATATATTACTGTTTTGAAATAAACCAAGGAAATAAAAACCAAAAATATGAATATTACCAGAATTCCAAAATTATATCACAGTTACCTTGGTAGGAAAGTAACGCTTGGTCTTAAATTGCTTGAGGAATGAAGACAGAAAAAATGTTGTGAAAAACAAGATGACACACCAAAAGAGCACATCTGGAATATAAGGTCCATGATGACCACAAGCTGACCCCAAGAATACACCACGAAGTTTTTTACATTCCTGGAAAAAAGGAGAAAGAAAAAGCAGAATGGGGGATTCTTACGTATTCAATAAATTATTATGAGCTTCATTGACTCGTAAGATGCAACTGATTGTAAGAGGCACCATTACTTTGTATTCCTTATAAAGAAAAAACATTGTCCAGCCAACTATAACACACTAACAACTAATTGTAATACATATCCTGAGTTCAAGATATTATAATTTGAAAAATACGTGCATCTCAAATCACTAAAATACAGTATTTTGCCAAGTCACTTCAAATACTCCTTTCTTTCAATTCCATATTCCCTATACTGAAAGCCTTGTAGTGAGTATTATTTGTGAAATGTTTCTTCTGCATTCTTGCTTGTCCACAATTTTACCGCTTTTCGTTTCTGAACAAGTGGTTTAAAACAAAAGCAGCAGATAGAAAATTAATACTATGCTCTTTTATGATGCTGGATAAGAGATGGCTACAGTACCTAAATTAAAATCAGTAATAAAAATTGTCTTTAGCTTTTCTGACTTGATTCAGTACCTTCAGACTAAAAGCACAGGGACCATAAGCAGTAAAATGACCGTTAAAATATTTCCATTAATAAAATCAGTAACGTAATAATATAGCATAATAAAATGCAATTATAGAAACTACTGACTTCATTTTCCTTTAGGGAAAAAAAAAAAAAACTGAAAGGCAATCAGAGATTAATAGAAGCACATGCCACTAAAGTTCTCCTTTTTCTTACTTATAATCTAATGAAGCTCATTTTAACAAAACAAGTCAGTTGTACCCAAAGAAAAATAGTTAAATGTTCCATTATTTTCACATGCCATGTGCTGAGATTAGTAAACCTAATCCATTCCATGGATCATGAAAATAAAAGCTATACCATTACCAGAAAAACAAAAAAACCCACCCTGCATGGCCCTTTGGGATAACATGAAAACACTTATATCTATATATCAAGACATCTGACCCATCATGAAATGAATTATTTGTAACAAATCACTTTCATTTGAACACCTCTATTAACTACACCTCTTCCTTAACAAAAATGACTTTTTAAATATAAAATAGTAAAGCATGAATCTATGTTTTTTCTTTTATTTGTTTTTAGAGACAGGGTCTCATTCTGTCGCCCAGGCTGGTGAGCAGTGATGCTATCACAGCTCACTGTAATCTCCAACTCCTGGGCTCAAGTGATTCTCCCTCCTTAGCCTCCCAGTAAGTTAGCTACAGGCGCGAGTCACCATACCAGGGTAATTTTTTAATTTTTGTAGAGATGGTGCCTTGCTATGTTGCCCAGGCTGGTCTCTAACTCCTGGCCTCTAGCAATACTCCTGCCTTGTCCTCCCAGAGTGCTATGGTGTGAACCACCATGCTTGGCAATTTTTACTGCTTTAAATCAGCACTGCCCAATAGATATATTAGATGATGCAGATAATGTAACATTTCCATCACAGAAATAATGGAAATACAGGAGCCAGCAGTCACATGAATTGACTGAACACCTGAAATGTGGCTAGTTAACTGAAAAACTAAACTTTTAATTAATCTTAAGTTTAAATAGACACACGTGGCTAATGGCTACTGTATTGGACAATACAGTCTTAAATTATCAGTGGGATAAAATTTCAGATAATATCCTTCAAATTATATAGTTAGGAACTATCACCTTTAGTGAGAAAGGAATGACCTACAGTTACTTATATGATATAAAAAGCACAACGGTAGCTCAAGGGATCTTAGTCTTAATTCTAACTACTGGCAAACTTTACATATTTATTTCTAACTCCCAGGCTTGGAAATGTCAAAAATAAATATTCTAGGATTAGGACAATACTCCCCCAACAGAACACAAACATCTGTAATAGTATTCAGCACACAGTAGGTGTTCATTACATGTTTTTAATTCTTTTTCCTTTCTCTTCCCTTAATGTTCGACCCAGACTAGTCTTGATGAGTTAGACAAGGTTAACTTAGACATTAGGACATTAACACAGCACTTCATGATCTAAATTAGCTGTCGATGGAGCAGATGAACAGATAAAAAGGCAGGACAAGTGGATATAAAATATTGTAAAGGACAGTATATGTAGCCACAGTCCCAGTAAACACTTCCTTTGAACGTATCAATCTAAGTAGAATTAGAAAACAGAAGTATATTCACATCTTTATACTGTTCATATCTTGGAAGTCAAATATAATCCACCTTTATCTCTCGTGCCAGTTTCATTCTTTTCAGCCTACACTTTCGAGCGCATGATACATAAAAAAGTAGCAACTGCTATCTGGTCAAAATAACACTACATTCTGAAAACATACTACCGATCCATCAATCAAGAGAAAATGGATGTCTGATTAGAAAAAGCTAAAAGAACCAGATCAATATCTATTACAAAACCCTTTATTTCAAAATATACTCACAGAAACAGTAAGATTTCTCCAGGAAATATTGTGTGCTGTTATATTATCTTTCTTCCATTGTGCTAGAGTTTCATTGCTGGGGTTTGGAGGTTCAGTACATACACATCTGAGAAATTAGAGTAGGATACATTTTTAAGGATCCTGAATTTCATGCTTACATTTTACTAAATCAATTATACAATGTGGTAGATTTTAACTTCTTTTTTTCCCACATTGAGAAGCATGGAGACTAGAAAGTGGAAAATACATCAGAAACAACAGAATGGAATAAAGTTTGGGTTATAGAAATAAAATAAAACCAATACAAATATCAAAACGTTTAGTTAATGAAGCTAGTTATGTCCTTGGTGAGGGCACTATTTTACTTAAAAATCTAAGATGATTCCACCATGTTTAGCAAGATTAGTCTCCACTAAAGCTTATCTACTCAACCTCCATAGCAGTTACTGCTGTCTCCCTCCACTCCCCCATAGCACATATAGATTCCCAATAAGTTATACTACCATTAATTCTTTATAACTGACAAGCCCTACCTACTCACAGTCACCCTTTGTTGATCTTAAGGCTCATTCTTAAAGAAATAAATAAAAAATAGTTTCTCATCAGGACAGGACTAGGAGAGTCATAAGGAAATCAGAGTTCAGTTCATATCCAGAACTATTTCAACTACCTAAAGCTAGAACACACGTAAGCAAAGAAACTTTTAAATACGGACTTAAAAGATGAAAAGTAATAATCATGAATGTTCCAAACTAGGTTATGAACTGTTTGAGGAAAGGCAAGAAGACAGACTTTGGAGTCCATCCAGGCGCTTTTAGTAGATGACTGACCTCCAAGTTTTAACCTCCAAGGCCATCAGCTTCTTCATACACAAAAGGGGCTATGATGTGAATAAGTAACACTACAAATATAAATTTATAATATAAATTAGGCAACACTCCTAACACAGTGCCTGCAGACGCTCATAGAATGTTGGCCAAATAAATGTAATTCACATGTTAATTACCCAGTTAACCAGAAGGAAACACTGCTCTAACTGGCTGACACTAACTATAAAAGTCATGCTTTATAAAGGTCAAAGAAGCAAAAGGCAAGGAAAGAAAGATTTAAAAAATGTGTTTAAATTAAAGCTTCTAAGAGGAATGAAGATAGTATATAACAGATTCGGCATCATAGTGTCACTAGTATATTCAAATAGGTCAATGTCTTCCAGGAATTTTCATACCCTCTTTATTCTGTCCGTCAAAGTTGAGAGTGTGCAAGGAAAGGCAGCGGGGGAAGAACGAATGAACAAAAGAGGGAAGTACATGTATCTGGGGCTTAGGTGGGTAGAAAAAGAAAAACTGTATCCTTTTGTGTCTTTTGGTAACCATATTTTTCCCTGTAAATCAATCAAATGCAGTTCCATATTTACGCCAAGCGTGACTGCTAAAGACAGCAAATAAAGGCATCTACTTAAATATGTCTACTTTTAAAAGCCTATTTTACACTTATTGAATATACTTGCCAAACTTTTGTAACCACTACACATTCCTTTTCAAATCCTACTTTATTCTAGAATTTAAAAAGATTTTCATTGCACTTTTTTTTTTATCAAAACGAAAACACATATTGAATGTACTGAAATAACTTTCAGTAAAAATTATCAAGCTTCAGCCGGGCACAGTGGCTCACGCCTGTAATCCCAGCACTTTGGGAGGCCGAGGCAGGTGGATCACCTGAGGTCAGGAGTTTGAGACCAGCCTGGCCAACATGGCGAAACTCTGTCTCCACTAAAAATACAAAAATTAGCTAGGCACGGTGATACGTGCCTGTAATCCCTGCTACTGGTGGGCTGAGGCAGGAAGATCACTTGAACCTGGGAGGCAGAGGCTGCAGTTAGCTGAGATTGTGGCACTGCACTCCAGCCTGGGCAACAGAGAGAGACTCCGTCTCCAAAAAAAAAAAATCAAGCTTCAACAATATTAATGAAGATGCAAAATTTGAAAAATATATAAAAAAAAGTCTACATTCTATTATACATCTAGGATTTAAAGAATATAAGATCCAATGTAATAATTGCCTGATTCAAATATATAGTGGATCAGTTGCCAATCAAATTTAAACTGGCCAATCCAATTCAAACAGAAGACCAAAACATACACATGTGAATAAGCTATCTCAGTGAACAAAAAATACTGAATTTGATCAACTATATTTTTGTTCATTGAATGCTGTGACAAAATCTCATCTGAAACAACCATGTCACTATCACATGGCTAGTTAAGTAGTTATAGCTAGTTACACTATCACACTGCAAAAAAAATTCATTTTCTGAGGCTCTGACATCTCTGTAAAAACACATTTTAATATTAGGAGAAAAGAGAAATACTTACGAGTAGCTGGTCAGTTTATCTAAGTTGTTGTGCATATTAAATGCATATGTTTCTCCTAAATCAAAGAGCTTCTCCAAAGCCTCGTAGATGAATATGATGCAAATAAGGGCTGCAAAAGCCTCTTCTGTAAATCGAGTAATATAACACACAAGGCTGCTTGCATCTGTTGCAACCAAAACAATGCACAAAAAAGAAGTCCACAGACCAATACTGGTTCTTAAAGACAGATAAGAAAGTTGATAATCTCTGTTTAGAAAGAAAAATATGAATATGATAAACATATGTGGAATAGTATTTGTACCTAAAATTTTTCATTGCAAGCAATGGGAACAGCAAGAAAACACGATTCCTAAAAGAGAATGAATTACAGAATGACAAAATAACATCTAGAAATAACTCTATATCTTTTTCTGCTTCGGCTGAAGACTAGCTTATTAGTAGATTTATTATTAATAAATTAATTAGTATTAATTATTAATAGTTTATTACACTTATATAAAAGATTTACAGTGAAAATCTACCAGGCGATAAATATTTCAAAATCATTACAGCTCACTTTATAAATCAGTTATGAGTAAATGACAGGTATGGTGTCTATATGAAAAAACAATTGCATCTTACTCCCTCTAAAGATCCAGACATCATATGTATCAATACAGTAACCAGCTCCAACATCATTACCATCACTACCACTACCCTCCTCTCCCACCATTATCACCACAGAAAGTGATTTCTTATTTTAAACTTCAAGAAATTACCAGAATCTATACTTCGGGTCACTGCATTCTCTATTAGTCTATGTGGCATGCCAGATTGGAATCAGATTAAGCTTGTTTAGTGAGTACAGAATCAGAAAAAGAGAGCTGGATCCATCAAATATGTAATAGCATCAAGTTGTTTCAAACTAAAATATACAAACTTCATTTATGTCACAAAAGGAAGAGTACTAGAGGCTGGGAGCAGTGGCTCACGCCTGTAATCCCAAACTTGGGGAGGCCGAGGCAGGTGGAACACTTGAGGTCAGTTCGAGACCAGCCTGGCCAGCATGGTTAAACTCCATCTCTACTGAAAATAAAACAATTAGCCAGGTGTGGTTGCGGCGCCAGTAATCCCAGCCACTTGGGAGGCTGAGGCAGGAGAATCACTTGAACCTGGGAGGCAGAGGTTGCAGTGAGCCAAGATCGCACCACTGCACTCCAGCCTGGGCAACAGAGTGAGATTCAGTCTCAAATAAATGAATACATAAATAAATAAAATAAGGAACAGTATTAGCCATGCTGAATTCAAAGTCTAACAGCTACAGTACCCTATATTCATTTCTACAGTGTGAACAACCTCACCGATGGAAACTGACACTTCACTCTGATTGCTTCAACCCAATTCAGATTAACACCTTCTTACTGGTTTAAATTTGTTAGCACAAAGGATTTGTATTTAGCCCTCAAGTGATCTGCTTATCAGCATTCAAATCCACTGATTTTATACTCAAGGACAATCTTACTTTCTTCATCTCCAAGTTACTGGATTAAGAATGGAAGGGGCCAGAGGATGGTCAATCATACAGTAGCTCAAAAATAATGAGAATGCATATATTGACCAAATTACTTTTAAGCAATTAAATAATTCCCTTCTAAGTTAATAAACAATTTCATATATAACACATGTGATAAGTAGAGAGGGCTATTACTTACCTGCAGAATTTATATAAAATTTTTTCAAACACTAGAACTGGACCTGTGCTCCCCAATATTGTTAGAGGTTGCCCAGCAAACAATGAATAGGCAATCCCAGTTAATGATGCTCCAAAAAGAGACTCTATTGCACTCTGTTTAAGGAAAAAAGAAATGAATAAAAGCAATACATCATAAACATTTCTCTAACGTACTATAATACATGTAAGACATCTGGAAAATAAAAATACCCATCAAGCAGTTATAAAACCAACACCACTTTGAGTTTTTAATTTAAAATATAAAAAATTACAAATACATTTTAAATACACAAGAAAAAATGCTTTCTTTTTGCATATTAAAAAGAAACTTTTGTGATCATCCTTAATTCAAAACTCAATACAGGCTGAGTATCCCTAATCCAAAACTCCACACTCCAAACTTTTTGAGTGCCAATACGACACTCAAAAGGAAATGCTCATTAGAGCACTTCAGATTTCAGATTAAGGATGTTCAACCAGAAGTATAATCCTAAAAAAAATCCAAAATCTGAACTACTCCTGGTTCGAAGCATTTCAGATAAGGGATACTCAACCTGTGCTGTGGGATGAAAGGAGCAAAGAGTAAATGGGAGAGACACATACTAGGGCTTCAACTTTATCTATATATGTTTTATTTCTTAAGTCTGTGAGTACAGAAGGATATGTATTATTTTGAATACTTTTATATGGCTGAAATAGTTCATTTTAAAAATAAAAAATAGTAAATAATATGGTGCTACAAAAAAGAACTGCTATAAAAAGATCTTTCGAATAGGTGATAAATCAACATGTGACTATCTTTCTCAAACTGATTTCTAAAGAGCAAAACTTTCCACATATTTTAAAGAAATTAATCTAATATGATAGGCTTAATCAATTATCAAAACTGAAATATTTAACAAAATAAATGAGAAAAATCTCCTCAAAAAAATTTATAGCAACCATAAATGACAAAGTATCACTAAAGTTTGGCAAGAAAAGATAGAGAAAATGAAAGACTAAGAGAATTTAAATCAACGTTAGTATACTAATTTTGTACAACCACCACCATTACATTCTAACTAATTAGGCTATCAGATGATTAGCTATGCCACTAGAAAAAGGGGGAAAGAATCAGAAAGTAAGGAAAGAATAGTTTACCATATACAAACATCAAGGTCAACTGGAACGTACTATCCAGAAAAGCCAGCCCATTAATTGGTAAAGGGAAGGAGAAAAGAAGCTCGTAAGAAACAATCCTGCTGAAATGAGAGGCAGCGCAGCAACAGGCAAAGAGGAGGGCTTCCGAAACTAGATTTCCAGTGGGAAGACTGACTGCTACTAGGTGTTCAGCCATGGCCATATCTTAACCTTTCTAAGCCTAAGCTTTCTCACTTTGAAATGGCGGTGATGATAACTAGAACATAAATATTATTTGCAAAAACACCTAGCAAGCATGGTGTCTGGCACACAGAATATAGTCAATGAATAGGTAGCAATTCTCATCATCAGCTAGAACAGCATCTTCCAAAATCAAAAATCACAAAATGACAGTATGCAATGAAAGTATAATTCAACTATTAGAATAAAAACAGGATCAAACTCAAAGATAAACAAATTTATCTTTTGGCAGCATAAAGGAGAAGTGTCCGTGTTAATGACACATTTGTTAATTATATGGGCTAAATTTGTTTTCTTGTCTGTGGAGAAAAATGTTCTTAAAAGACACTGCTAAGCCATCATAAAATCCTTAGTTCAATTACAATAAGCATATTTAGGAATGAATTTATGCAGAGCTTAAGTCAAAGGAAAAAAATGGGCCGGGCACCATGGCTCACGCCTATAACACAAGCACTTTGGGAAGCCGAGGTGGGTGGATTGTTTTGAGCCCAGGAGTTCAAGAACAACCTGGGCAACATGGCAAAAGCTGGTCTCTACAAAAAAATACAAAAAATTAGCTAGGCGTGGTGGTACACACCTATAGTCCCAGCTACTCCGGAGGTTATGAGGGAAGTCCAGTGAGGTCAAAACTACAGAGAGCTGAGATCATGCCACTGCACTCTAGCCTGAGTGACACAGTGAGACCCTGTCTCAAAAAAACAAAAAGCAGAAACAAAGGAAAAAAATGTCTAAATGGTATACATACAGAGAAAAAAAGCAAAACATTGAGACATGAAGCAAGGAGATGTCAAAAAAGACATTAACACAGGCAAATCGGTATAAAATTAAGGTTCCCCTCTCCTAATCTTGGGCTGAAAAGCAGATATTGCCATATGAAGACCTTTTTTTTTTTTTTTTTCTAATTTTTGAACTGTTTCTATGTTCACTGCCATACTGTTACCTGTCTTTTCCCCTAAAGAAATCACAGCCTGGCTAGGCACGGTGGCTCACGCCTGTAATCCCAGCACTTTGGGAGGCTGAGGTGGGCAGATCACGAGGTCACATTATCGAGACCAGCCTGACCAACATGATGAAACCCTGTCTCTACTAAAAATACAAAAATGAGCCCGCCGTGGTGGTGGGCCCCTGTAGTCCCAGCTACTCAGGAGACTGAGGCAGGAGAATTGCTTGAACCCGAGAAGCGGAGGTTGCAGTGAGCTGAGATCGCGCCACTGCACTCCAGCCTGGTGACGGAGCGAGACTCCGCCTCAAAAAAAAAAAAAAAAATCAGCCTATTACCCTGCCTGCCTACCTCATTCTCACATTCAGAAGTTTCCATTGTACCCATCAGAAGGCCTACCTACCCTTACCTTCCCCTCACACACCTATAAATACACCTTCTCTACTGTACTACCCTTTCAAATCATCAAATACTCCTGCTAATCTTCCCTCCTCAAAACCTCTAGTTTGGTTTTCACAGAATTTCATCATTCTGATTCCTCTTCTAGGTCTGTGTGTCTAATTTGCTGAAATCATTTTCCTCCTCCATCCCATCCCTCCTTCATTCCATAAATCTGGGTAATTTCACACTTTTCCCCTCTCCTTCTCTCCCTGTAAATTATCTTTCTTGTTAACTTCCTCTATTCTATTTCAACCTTCACTCCTATATAAACGATTCCCAATCTTTACATTTCCTCCTCACCACTCTACACACTCTGGGACCGTATCTCCTAATATCTCCATTTCCACCTGAAGTTCTAATAAAGCACCTGATAACTAATACATATCCTTTTCACTTTCTTCTATAATATTTCTGCTTCCTCTATTTCTATTACTTCAAATCCTACAGCTCTTCCTTTATCTCACTCACGTGTGGCAAAGCACTATGTATATACTATTTTGTCTTTTTCACTTAATCACTTTTGTCTTTTTCACTTTTTTCACTTAGAATCCTTGAGGACAGGAGATACTGGCTCTTCTTACACTTATCTATATTCCTCCAATGCCAAACACATTGTCACATGTACAAGATATCAAATAGCAAGATTAGATGGGCAGGTAATGAATGACAGTCCACGGACAAAGAGGCAGCAATTCCATGATGGTAACAGATAAAACACATTTCCATGGGGACTAGCAGAGTGACATGCACAATTTGTGACAGCACATAAAGCAACTTACTAAAAATATGGACCTTTGATACAATGATTAAAGACTAAGGTAAAAAGATTTTACATAATCCAAAATAAATTCAGAGTTGAAAGAAAATTTCAGTTGTTAGGTTTATTTCATGTTTAGATCATGAAATATTTTAATTCGATAATTATCATGCCTTAGCTTTGGTTATTTTTTAACCTTTGATCTATAAAAAAATGAATGTTCTCCCAAGAATAAATACAATTAAGTAAAATGCACTTAAGAATTACAAATCGTCTCATTTAAATGCCATTAAAATGCATATCAACAACAACAAAGAAATGCCTTTCAAGATTTTACAAAGCACCATAGCTCTGAATACAGTATAACCAGGAACAGGAAAACATAAAAACTTTCATTTTAGTCATATCAAAGAATGGATGAAGCTTTCAATTATATTTTCCAAATAAAAGTTTTAGCTATTTTCACATAGACTTAATAACAGCAAAATTAAATGCCACTTCAAAAAGCCACAGTTTCCATAATTATGTTCTATTCTTCCAGTCGAGTATAGGCTTACCAGCCAGGACTGAGGAGTTAATATTCATCCTGTGGCTCTAACTAATCCTATGATACCTTACAGGATATGAAGTAGCCCCACTGATAAAAACCCCCATGACCCACCCAGAATCAGTTCAACTGTTGTCTTCTCCCAGTCCACCCCACCTCAAAAGACAATCCAAGCCTTTTACTCAATTTATAAAACCATTCATCCAGCAAGCCAAAGTAAACTTTTTTTTAATTTTTTTTTACCTCAACTGTGCATCTTCTGTTCAAATGGCTTCCCCATGTTTTCCACAGCAATTACCTTTGGGGAAAGTCTGCTTTGGGTCACGTTAATCATGCTGTGGGTAGACTCTTCAAATAAAAGTATGAATAGTGAGACAAATGCATACAGACACTTGCCTCTGAAGAGCTAAAAGCCTGGCCACTACCAATCTTTGTACTCACTATTCTGCCTTCTGTAGCTTCTCCAAGCAGCCCTCCAAAAGTGATTACAGGAGACATACAGGCACAGTATAGGAAAAGAATCGAGGCCAGGCACTGCAGGCTTAATGCATCCTTGAAGTCACTCAAGAAAAAAGGTGCTTTCCTTTTGATGTCAAGTATCAAACCACCAAAAAGCCTAAATAGGTGAGATGAAACTCGTCAAACTGTACACTAGAGGATTCTAGCTACTTCAAACTAAAACTATGGGCTACACAAAACTGCTGGTGCCTAGGTGTTTTGTCAACAAAATGTTAAATCCAATTTAACTTATAAATTACAGAAGATACACTCATTTAATCTAATCTAATGATAGAGGAATGTTATATTTCATTAAGAGACAAATATCTGTATTTTACGGACTATATAATGAAAAGACTGCAGGCAAATGATTTTATATGAGTAAATGTAATTTTGGACACAAATGTGCAAGGCAAGGTATAACAAAATAAACAAAACCCAACAACCCATTTATGAAAATGTGCATAAGCAATTCTATTAATTGTCTATATTAAAATCTTAAAGGCAACAATCACAAATACAAGGAAGGCAATTATTATCCAAATACACTTTAATATAAATGTAGTATGTTGTGCTTAGATGCACAAGTGGTATGAATTCAGTAACTTTAAAAACTTTCAAAACTAGTACTTCAATCGTATAAAAGGGGGAAAGAAATCCCTAAAAACTATTTCAGTATATTTAATTTACTGTGTATGTAGACAAACTAATATGTACATTAATAAAACTAACAGGTTTCAATTAGTAGATTAAAAATCTGTTTGTACATCAAAGCTGTACCATTTCAACATTTTTAACAATTAGTCTTTTGGATACATCTAACTTGAAGACATTCCAATAAAATATAAGCTCCATGAGGGGAGACTTTTTCTTGTTCACTGCGTTATCTACAGTGTCTAGAACACTACCTGGGAAATAGTAGGCACTCAACAAACACTGGTGACTAAATCAGTAATTCGTTTTAATACTCAAAAAACAGAAAATCATTCAAATCCCAACTGCAAGAAAATTGACCAAAAAAACTAACATTAAGCTTTCAAATGGATATTTCAAGCTTTACCGTTGTAATTTTTTTAAGTTGATACTGAAATCCTAAACACAAATTGACAAGTAGTACTCTGTTCATAATCTGACAGCAAGGGAAATCAGCTTGCAATAAAAAAGGTGCCATCAATAATCTAAAATATGAATCTACAGTATATCATCAAATTGATAATTACTTAATAGAGGGCATACAGATGCTCTCAGGTGACTGAGATCAGTGGAGGCCTGACACAGTGCTTCTCAATGACTAACCCTATCCCAGTATGAAGAAGCGATAATAGCTAATAATACAACAGTACTGTTCACACAGGGTCAAAATCTTTTCTCTATTGTATTCACAGAGACAAAAACACTTCATTAGTCAATGAATTAATTGTGAATTTCAGTTTCTCTAAAGTCTATATTCAGTATGCCAGTTACTTATTTTTATGATATAGTACCCTTTAAGGATGTCATCAAAATCCCTAAGATTGTATCTGTATAAGATTCCCTGTTTTTTTTACACAAAGATTTAATATTTAAGATTATTTAATTCCATACTGACCACCAGTGGACAATAAAGAATCAATAGCCACATGCTTTTCCACATTATGAAAATACTATAACATTTATCTACTTCTACAAAATATTAAGGCAATGTTTGCATCTGCCAATATTTCTATTTTTTGTTACAAAAATTAACTTCTTAAACAATTTTTCTAGCTAGGTTTCCAGAGAGCAATACAATGGTTTAATCATGCTTGTCCATGGAAGATTACCTCATGATATAATGCTCATTTAAGAGTTTTAAATCTGTGCACATATACAAAGAAATTATTAGTTGTAATTACTCTCTGTTCCCATAATTCTCTAACTCAATATGAAGAATTATAATAAGACTCTACACCTTCTTCAAGAACCTTCTGTATAAGCAATGGAAATTAACCTACACACTATATAACTGCAATATTCTGAATATACAGTCCATTATTTTCCTTTTAAAGCTTGATACATACTATTAAAATTATTTATAAATTCTTATATATTTATACATATAAATTTTCCTTATATATAATAATGCACATTTTTATACATATGAAAAAATACTGTACAAGATTAGGTTCCAAACACTTGGAAAAAATATAATATTTATGTTTTCATCAAATCATCCCCCAAACCCTTCAAAATATCAGTATTTGCACCCACCGTCCAGTCCTCTGTAGCTCAGGCCCAGCATGATGAGCGGCCTCTTTAGGAGTCTCACCCAGTGTGGGGGTAGATCCATTGTGAAACACAGGAATCTTTCTCTTTTCCTGAATTTCACAAAAAACATTATTTTCAGAATTCTATTTTAAGAAAACTTGAGATGGCATCTTCAATTAGAGTGAATATCAGATTTTATATTGATTATGTATCTAATCAGTTCTCCTAGAAAAGAATGGTTCCTAAAATAAACTCTCTTCTGAAATAGATTGCTCTTTAAAAATAGAAGCTAATGTCAGTTTCTATTAATATTTTAAATTTGCAATTAGCTTTTTGCATCTTATGTTCTAATTATCAATATACTATAAAATATATTCATACATACCATTTCAAATTCCTATTCACCAATAGCTACAAACGTAAGTAACCTCCAAAAAAGCATCTCTCCCACCAAAACTTTAAAAATACTGCTCCTATTAACTATTGAAAATTACGCTTTACATTAAGAGAAAAGCAAATGTCATTTTTCTTCTACTAAAGTATTTCCCTTAAAAAATAAGAGCTGTTTGATAAACATGTTCCCACAAAAATCCACTTCCCATTACATTTTATTACAAATTCAAGAGTACTATTCACATGATACAGGATTTCTCCCCCTCTGTTAAAGACAAAGAAATGAACTTTTAACTTGTTACATCAAGAGATGCTGGGGCTAAAAATATGTGTGAGCATGTGCACATACAAGAGGAAAGATGGTAGGAAAGATGGAAGAAAAGGAAACAGAGAGGTAAAGGGAAAGGGAGACAGAGATCTGACATCCCAGGAGGTTTACTGGGTCAAAGGCTCTAGGTGAATAAAAGACTTAAGCTACCTGGTTTACATGCTCCATATTTAGAGAGTAGCAAGGCTCATCTACAAATATAAGACTGCCATTTGAAAACGTCAAAATCTCACTTACAAAATTTCAATTTTCAAACTTACATCTTAAAGAGGAAAGGGATAAAATTTTAGACTCCTAGGAAACAAAAATAATTTTAAAAACTACAAATTATAAAAGTAATTGTGGTTTTGGCTATTATTTTTAATTTAATTAATCATTTAACTGATTTAATCATTTAATTGAATTGATTAAAAATAATGGCCAAAGCCACAATTACTTTTGTGCCAACCTAATAAAACCCATGAGACCCAGCCAAAGCACATTCAAGAAAATTAAGCAATTATATTAAGAGAAATGAAACAAGGAAAAAAAAGTGAATTAAACAACTTCCTCAGAAAATGTGAAAACAAAAAATCTTTCCTGGAAGAAAGTGAAAGGAATGAAATAAAACAGCTAACAGCAGAAACTAAGATACAAAATAAAATGCATTTTTTAAAAGTACTAAAATAACTTTTAAAGACTGCTGTTTGAAAAATACAATAGACCTTCAGCTAATAACAAAACAAAAAAAGGAAAGAGGCAATAATTTCATAGTGAGCACATTTTATATACATACACAAATACATACTACATATAACTCCATGCAAATAAATTTGAAACCTAGATGAAACTGGTAATATACTAGGAAAATGATTTACCAAAACTGACATCAGAAAAAACAGGAAGTTTTACATATACCAATTTCCAAAGAAGAAATAAGCTAATTGTTGAAGTCTACATGACAAAAGATTCAAGCTCAAAAAACTTTACAAAGGAATTCTTCCAAACTTTTAAAATCAAATTATTCCACACCATTTAAAACTGTTTAACAAAAATGAAAACTTACAAACTTGTTTATGAAACAAGTATATTGATGTGAAGTATAAAATGTGAAGATGGCACAAAAATCTATAAACCAATCTACAGTAATACAAACTAGTAGACACAGACCACTACCACTTTAAAGTCCAAACTGGGTTGACTCCAGGAATTCTTTCATATTCAAAAATCTATTCATATGATTTACCATAATAATTGATAAATAAAATTAATATAATCATTTGCCAGAGATGCTGAAAAGGCATTTGATAAAATTCTACATCAATTTATATTTTAAATGTCAATAAAAAAGAAATAATGTTACTTTCTTAACATGATGAAATGTATATTTTGGCTCCAATGTCATTATCTTACTTAATGGGAGAAATACTAGAGACATTTGACTACAGTGAGAAACAAGTTTAAAAATGCCTATTTAAAGCCCATGCTACTTAACACTGTACTAGAGATTTTAGTTAATACAATTAGACAACAGAAAACAATTACATGTATAAGATTTAGAAAAGGAGGAATAATACTATCTCTTACTTACAGATTATTTGACTGAAAAACTATTACAAACAATTAAGGATGGTAGCAGGATTAAAAATACACAGTTGAGGCCAGGCGTGGTGGCTCACACTTGTAATCCCAGCACTTTGGGAGACCGAGGCAGGTGGATCACCTGAGGTCAGGAGTTCAAGACCAGCCTGGCCAACATGGTGAAACCCCATCTCTATTAAAAATACAAAAATTAGCCGGACATGGTGGTAGGCGCCTGTAATCCCACCTACTCGGGAGGCTGAGGCAGGAGAATCACCTGAACCCGGGAGGCAGAGGTTGCAGTGAACTGAGATCTTGCCATTGCACTCCAGCCTGGGTGGCAAGAGCGAAGCTCCATCTCAAAAAAAATAATAAAATACACAGTTGACTCTTGAATAAACAAGGGAGTTGGTACCAACTCCCATGCAGTTGAAATTTTGTGTATAACTCCCTGAAACTCAATCTAATAAGCCTACTGTTGACTGGAAAGCCTTACTGGTAACATGAACAGTCGAACATATATTTGGCATGTTAGAGGTGTTATATCCTATATTTTCACAATACAGTAAGCTAGCGAAAAGAAAATATTAATGGAAATACATCATAATTTCTATTTCACTTTATTTCATTTCTCTAAAAATGTGGACAGTACCAATCCTTGTTTCCTTCAGTACCCAAACCATAGAAGGATCCATGTTGCAAAAGAAGTCAAAAGCAATCCTGAATAATCAGAACCCTTCTGCCAGATCAGCTGATATCAATTTGTTTTCTGGCACTACTACTTCTATATCTTTGTCCTCATCACCAGTACCGGTTAAGCACTCATCTCCATCAAGTTGTGTTCTGTTAACTCCTCTGATGTGGTGTTTACTAGTTTTTGAGCTTCTCCAAGATCCACATCTTGAAACCCTTCAACCTCCACCTTTTTTGCCATATACACAATTTCCTTGAGTGGCTCTGCTGTAAAACCTGTTAAGTCATGCACAACATCTGGACAGTTTTCTCCAAGAAGGAATTTATTGTTTCAGGCTCGATAACGTTCCTGGCTTTTTCTATAATAATGATGGTGCCTTCAACGGTGTAATCCTTGCAGACTTTCATGATGTCCTTGCTTTCCAAGGTTCTCTTCCACAGCATTAATAATCTTTTCTACATAGCATCTAATGTATCAAGACTTAAAGGTTCTCAGCCCCCTAATCTAGAGACTGAATTAGAGACATTGTGCTTGGGTGCAAGTAGACCACTTCGACACCTTTGGTGCTGAACTCACAGGTTTTGGGTGGCCAGATGCATTGTCTAATATCAAAAAGATTTTAAAAGGCAGTCCCTTACTGGCAAGGTACTTCCTGACTTCAGGAACAATGCACTGATGGGACCAATCCAGAAAAAGGGCTCTCATCCAGGCCTTCTCATATAACAAAAAGACTGGAAGCTGGCATTTATCTTTTCCCTTCAAAGCTCAGCATTAGCAGCTTTATAGAGAAGGGTAGTCAAGACCATAAATTGGACTGCATTTGCACAAAACAGTTAGCTAACCCTTCCTGCATTAAATCCTGGTGCTCACTAATCTTTCTTACTAATAAATGTCTTCTGTAGCATTATTTCCAGAACAGAGTATTTTCATCTGCATTAAAAACCCGTTCAGGGGATTTTCTTAACAGGATCTGATCTGGGAACTCATCTGCTGCCTCCTGGATGGCAGAAGCTGCTTCTCCAGTTATTTTGACATTTTTTAAGCCAAACTTCTTTCTAAAATTACCAAACAATCTTTGCTGGCACTAAATTATCCGATCCTTCGCTTTTCTTTTGCTTTATGTTGTCGTAAAATGACTGCTTTTTCTTGGTCGTATCAGAATCTATAGGTATGTCTTTCTTATAGTAATCTGCACCCACATAAAAGCTGCATTTTCAATATGAGATAAAAAGGCATTTTGCAAAAAAGCAAAAGTGTTCATGCCTGCTGGCATAGCTACAGTGACGACTTTACGTTTCCTTTTCTTTTTACAATGATCCTTACGCTGGATTCATTTATCTTGAAATGACAGGCAATGGCAGACTTCATTCTATGGTACATACCAAGAATTCAACTTCATCTTACATTTGTATGACTTTTCTCTTTTTCTTAGGAACACTTACTAGTATCACCAACAGGACTTCCTATGAGTCCCATGTTGTTACTCAAAAGTTTACAGTATTGCAGTAAACATGATGAAAAATATATGAGAACCTCATGATCACTTTTTAGGGTAAACACAATTTACTGGAGAGACAAACTGCTGATGTGGAGACGATGAGCAACACACAGCATTTTACGCATGTTAACTTGCAACACTTGAGCTCACTGCAATAGCAACAGGTAGTAACTATGAAATTACAATGACAGTGGTATGGTATTTACTATAGTTAATTTTATGCAGTTAGGATTTAATACTGCATCTTTACTTTTATTTACATTTCTCTCCACTGAGAATGGTGCCATGTACACTCTTAGTGTGTATAAGTTTTTGATAAATTTTAGCTTTTTAGAATAGATTTGTATATATCTTATGGTAATAAATTATTATTAAAGAAGACTAGTACATACATATATTTTATGCATTCAGGAATACCTAATTAATCTTAATTTTTTGATATTTCTAGGCTATGAAGTTTGCATGCAAATTTTTTCAAATTATCAAAAAACTTTCCAATGTTTATTGAAAAACTCCACATAATTAGAACTGCACAGTTCAAACTCATATTGTTCAAGGGTCAACTGTGTATGTATATATGCACATAAAAAATAACAAATAGCCTTCATTTCATATAAAAGCAACAAAGATACAATACTCATGAATATACTCACCAAGAAACATGTAAATTATAAGGAAAACTTGACAACATTCTTTAAGAATACAAAAACTTGCTTGAAATAGAAAATCAACTGGTGAGAGACACTCCATGTTTTTGAATAGAAAGACTCAAACTCATGAAGACGTCAGTTCTCCCTCAGTTGAATGAGAAATTTGTCATCACAACTTTTTAAAAACCATTACGCATATTTCTGAATATAGAAAGCTGATTTTAAAGCCTACACAGAAAGATAAATATGCAAGATAGCCAAGAAAATTCAGAAAAACAAGAGTAAGAAAGAGAGCAAGAACAAGTCTAGACCTACCAGACATTAAAATATACCAAAAAGCCTCAAAAATTGGAGTGTGGAATTGGTCCACGAATAGACAGACCAATGGACAACAAAACAAAGTCCAAAACAGGCCTGAATACAAATGGAATTTTAGCTAATAAAGGCAGCATCACCAACCAAGGGGAGCAATGTTTAGCTCTTAATGAACAGGGAGAACCAGGCAGGAACTTAGAAAAAAGATGAAGCTGGGTCCATACTCACATAAAATACGCTATCATAACCTCCAAAGGATCAATGAACAATTTAAATGTTAAAAAAAATAAAATGTAATGGGAAGTGGATTTTTGGTGGTGGGGCAATGAACAAAAGATAATCAGGAATATTCAACCTCACTAATTATACAAATGCAAATTAAAACCTCATTAAAAGGCCGGAAGCAGTGGCTCACACCTGTAATCCTAGAACTTTGGGAGGCTGAAGCAAGAGGATCACTAGAGTCCAGGAGTTTGAGACCAGCCTGCACAACAAAGTGAGACAGCATATCTACAAAGTATCAAAAAATTAGCTGGGGCTGGTAGTGCACACCTGTGGTCCAGGCTACATAGAAGGCTAAGGCAGGAAGTTTGCTTGAGCCCAGGAAACTGAGGCTGCAGTAAGCCATGTTCATGACATTGCCCTCCAGCCTGGGTGACAGAGCAAGACCCTGTCTCATAAAAACTCAATTAAAAACCTCATTAAAATACTTAAAATAGGAAGATAAAGATACCTATTAGATTGACAAATATCCAAAAGTCTGGCAACACACACTGTCGGTGAGGATGCAGGGAAATAGGCCCTTTCATACATCACTGCAGGAGTCCAAAACACTCCAGCTGATGGAGGGAATTCTGGTAATATCTACTAAAATTATAAATAAATTCCCCTTTGACCCAGCAATCCTATTACTGGGGATCTATTCTACAGATACATCTGCAAAAGACTAAAATGACATGTGATATTGTCATGCATGGTTTGAAATAGCAAAAGACTGGTAACATCAGAACCCAGGAATAGAATAAATTATGGTACATCCATGCATAGAATACAACAAAGCTGTGAAAAAGAGAATAAGGAATATTTTCATGATTTCTTATGTCAGATCTCCTAGATACAACTTTTATATGAAAAAAGCAAGGTACAGAACGGTATATGCAATACACTAACTTTTGGTGACAGAAACAAGACTACATGTTCATAGTTTCAAGTACTGAATGAAAAATGAAAAGGATAAACAAAAAACTAGTAAAAAATGGTCCACCCACAGGAGGTAAGTATGGGGGTAAGAAGGTAAACAGGACGAGGTGGGGATAAAACTTCTCTGTTTTGGTTTTTGAATCACACCTAATCAAAAAAAATTTTATTAAAATAAAGTAAGTCACAGAAGAATAGCTCTGGATTCTTACCTGAGAAGGGACACTTTTTGGTGGTTCTATGCGTATAGAAGGATCCCACTCTCCTGGAGGTAGGACAGTTACTTGATCTAAAAATTCATCAATTCCAGATAAGAGGTCATTTCTGTCTTTTGCTTTATAAGCTACATCATGGAAAATCTAAGTGAAAAAAATATTGAGTAAAAGATTTTAAAGTTGAAAAAAATTTCTACACATAGTAAATCCACTCTGGATATCATAAATAGCTTCACAATAAAGATAACCCCTAAACTCTTATCTCAGGCAGGTATTCAGCCCAGCCTGGGTAACAACTATAAAAGGTAATCCACTCAGTATTATCAGATGAATTAACAATAACAAACAATGAAAGAGAACAGTTACATGTTAAGACAGAACAATTTTTTAAAAATAAAATTTTGCCTGGGAAATAGTAATTGATTAGAAAATAAAACACTGTAGCGTGTCATTCTACTTCTATGACATTTAAATGTCATTTATCCTAAGAAAATAATCATGGATATGCAAACAACTTTACTTAAATAATTTATTTAATGACCAATATTTACTGGCTACCTACTAACTGCTAAAATACAATTCTAAGCATTGTGGATAATGCAATGGTGACAGGTAAGGCAAGGTCCCTATACTCAAGAACCTTTTTTTCTAGGAGGAAAAACAGTGAAACGCGTTATTAAATAAATAAATAATTATAGGTATTGATAGACGCTCTGATAAAAAGAAAGTAGGGTACAGAAAGGGAAACTGATGGGAAAGAACAAAGGAGCCAGGAAAATTCTCTTAAAGGAGGTAACTGACCAGGCACGGTGGCTCATGCCTGTAATTCCCGCACTTTGGGAGGCCGAGGCAGGCGGATCGCCTGATGTCAGGAGTTTGAGACCAGCCTTGCCAACATGGTGACACCCCATCTCTACTAAAACTACAAAATTAGCCAGGTGTGGTGGCGTATGCCTGTAATCCCAGCTACTCAAGAGGCTGAGGCAGGAGAACTGTGCCACCACACCCAGCTAATTTTTGTATTTTTAGTAGAGATGGGGTTTCACCACGTAGGCCAGGCTGGTCTCAAACTCCCGACCTCAAGTGATCCACCCACCTCGGCCTCCCAAAGTGCTGGGATTACAGGAGTGAGCCACTGCGCCCGGCCAAAAGTTTAAATTTAAATTTCACTATATGATAGGAAGTCATTAATATCTTTGGACTAAGGAAATGATACATTCAAATTTGCATGTTACTGAGAGTGTAGAGAAAAATACTATACAATAAATACTCATAAAGGCTACTTGAATCAACAAATAAAAGGCTAAGCCAGAGAAATGGCAGTAGAGATGGAAAGAATATGACAGATTAAATGCAAAACACATTGAAGAGGTAAAAAGAATCTGGTGACTGGCTGGTTGAAAGAGGACAGAAAAATGTGACAGGCGCGGTGGCTCACGCCTGTAATCCCAGCACTTTGGGAGGCCGAGGCGGGCAGATCACAAGGTCAGGAGATTGAGACCATCCTGGCCAACACGGTGAAACCCCGTCTCTACTAAAAATACAGAAAAATTAGCTGGGCATGGTGGGGTGCACCTGTAGTCCCAGCTACTCGGGAGGCTGAGGCAGGAGAATTGCAGTGAGCCGAGATTGCACCACTGCACTCCAGCCTGGCAACAGAGTGAGACTCTGTCTCAAAAAAAAAAAGAAAAGAAAAGAAAAAGAAAAAGAAAAATTAGGTCAGGTTCAGATATGGGGCATTTCAAATACCCTTGGGACACACAGCACTGATGTTTGGCAAGAATCTGATTACAAATCTCTCTTCAAAAGAAAGACAAGGTCCTGATTAGTATGTAGGTTATCGTCAAAGATCGGGACCCCATATCAGAGAAATTTACAGGAAAAAAAATGTTCTGAGGAAAACCTAGAGAAATGATATGCTGAAATCTAGGATAAAAAAAATCCCAAAATTTCGAAAGTTCAAGAAGGTAGTCAATAATTACAAATGTTTAAAACAAAAAAAAATTTTTAAATACCCACTGATCTTGATATAAAGGTCTTAAAAACCTAACCGAAGGCAAATAGGAGAAGCAAATATGAGATAAAACAGTATACACAGCAAGGAAAAGTTTTAGAGCTTCACTATGAAAGAAAAGAGAACTGTAATCTAATATATACTATATGCTGCATAATTAGTGTCTACTTCAAAGAGACTTGGAGTATTCTGATTACCTCATCTGTCATGAGAGTGGCTATTGATCGTCCAATTTCATGGTACTGTGGTGCCTTGCCCGCTGGACCCAATAACAAAAACAAAAACCTAAGGAAATATGAAAATACAGATTTTAAAATAAACATCATACACCCACAAAGCTAGGCAATCATAAAAAAGAAACCATTCAAATATAAACAAAGAAACAACACTCAGACATCTTTTCTACTCCCCCACACCAATCACTGAAAAAAGATGGCAACTCCACCCGGACTAAAGGAAATCAGAAAACTAGGAAAAGCAACCATAATTAACTACCAAATCAACCTTCTACCAAACTCCTGACCTCAGGTGATCCACCCACCTTGGCCTCCCAAAGTGCTGGAATTACAGCAGTGAGCCACTGTGCCCAGCCGATATTTATTTTATTGTACTTTTTAGTTCCAGGAAGAAAATGATTTTATGCCCTATTCACAGGAGTCTTATATTCAAAGTATTTGGTACAGTGGCTGAATATTAACTATTAAAATGAGATTTTGGCTGGGCACAGTGGCTCACGTCTGTAATCCCAATACTTTGGGAGGCCAAGACAGGCAGATCACTTAAGTAGGAGTTCGAGACCAGATGGGACAATGGCAAAACACCATATCTACTACAAATATAAAACTTAGCTAGGCATGGTGCTGCACACCTGTGATCCAGACTACTAGGGAGGCTAAGGCAGGAAAATCGCATGAACCTGGGAGGTGGAGGTTGCAGTGAGCTGAAATTGTGCCACTGCACTCCAGCCTGGATGACAAAGTGAGATTGTCTCAAAAATAAGATAAAATTAAATAAAATAAGCTTTTATTACATAAATCAACATGCTTGTTCATTCGCTGGATTAAAAACTTGTAGATTTTGAAAATGCTTAGAGAATGTTACTTGGAACTAACTCTTTACCTGGTTGGAACAGGGACCTCAGTCAACCCTGTAAGGAGGACAGCAGGAGCCAGTCTCACAAATGCAATTATTGGCCTTTCCAAAAAGTCTACTTCGCCCACCAGGACGTTGGATGCCTCAGCACCCGTAGGAATTTTTCTCATGAAATTCATATCAACCTATTGACAAATAAATAATTAAAAATAAAGTTTCCGTGGTATTTGTAAGACTAGAGAGAAACAGGAAAGAAAAACTGCTTTATAAGACTACTATTTGCTAATCAAAACTTGTGATCTAATGAATGTTTAAAATGTCAAAATTTTCACAAATATAAAGAATGGAGTAGACATACAAAAAAGCAAGCAAACTTATTTGAATCAATGCTACTGTTTTAACTGTCACAATCTTTATCAAACATGAACTTGAGAAATTTTTCAATGAATACTGCACTATTCATTAAAAACTATTAAGGACAAATATGTAGTTCACAAACTAACAATGGTTCATGAAATTATACACAGTGCTAAAAAATATTCATGGTTTTATATTACTTAACCTTAGAAAACCTTTACATTTTATGTAAAGTCCCCCTAAAAACAAACCAAAAAATTACTCTGGGCATTTCCCAGTCTTTTCATTAACTGGAAAAAAAATCATTACTTTTATTTCATTAGTAGTATTTTTGAGACAAGGTCTTACTCTATTGCCCAGGCTGGAGTGCAGTGGCAGGAACATAGCTCACTGTAAACCTCAAAATCCTGGACTTAAGCAATCCTTGCACCTTGGCCTCCCGAGTAGCTGAGACTACAGGCATGCGCTACCACGCCTGGCTAATTTTTGTTGTTTTTTTGTAGAGGTGGGGGGCTTGCTATATTGCCCAGGCTGGTCTTGAACTCCTGGCCAAGTGATTCTCTTGCCTCAGCCTCCCAAAACACAGGGATTACAGGCATGAATTACTATGCCTGGCCCCTTGTTTTTATTTAAAACAAAAATCTATAGCCCTTATTGGCACAGATATATGATAATGCTATAATAGTAAAATTTAGCTTTCTGTGTATAATTACAAGGAAAAGGTTACACATGATACCAAATTATGTGAACTTCATTTATATGCAGTTTCACACAAGTCACTAAACAACCACTTACAGGGCTATCTATGAAAAGTAAAACCAGCACTTACAGCGGGCCTCTTGAGTCCCACACCCAGTGTGCCACAACTACAGTGCCAGGAGGCAGACTCCTGCCCAACAGGAGACAAGGAAGTATACACAAAGATAGGCCAAGTAAAAAAAAGTAAGACTGTGACAGAGGAACAAAAATAAACGGCAACTGCCATGCCTAGAGGAACTCTATAATGTAAATTATATTAATTTATTCATTTAACAAGAAATAAATTGCAATTTTGTTACTAAGTACTTTGCACTATCTGAAATAACATGAGCACCAGTAAAATGTGATCAGGATAGATCAGAAAAATTTAAAATACAACAGCCTTTCTGCACAGCCAATGTCCGTAATGCTAGGCTTCCTATAGTTTTAGACTACAACACTCAACAAAGCTATAATGCAAACCATTTAAACTCCTTTTCTGTAAAATATATCTTGTAGACTTTTCATCAAAGACTAAAAGGCTTAAGAAATGAAATCAGCTTGACATAATTACATTTATTAAAAAGTCTTATACTGGATACAAAAATATTAAAATACCATGAGCATCTGGTATTTTACTATAGCAAATTAATACTACTAAAAAATTAGTGGCTAGATAGAATCAATTGTTCATAAGAAATACTCATAAAGTACATTTTACATTCAGTTACAATTTGAACTTAGTAGTCTTTTGCCCTGTTCTTTTAAATTAAGGTTTATCTATTTCAACAAAATACTCATTTACCAAAATAAAAAAATCATAGTTCACATAGGTATTTTTTTGTAATCCATGCCTTTAACCTACCCATGGGGAAGCACCAATATATTTCTCAGTGACATTCCAAAAGTACTGACACCATAAGACAGTAATTCTGGGATCGCATTACAGCCCAGGAAAGACTGAATCATTAGTGCTGTAACATCACTCCCAGAATTAACGTTCTAGTGGTGGTAGCTCCAGAACAAATGACTGTAGTTCAAAAAGTACTGACGTTTCACGATATCTATGGGTAGGTATGGATGGAAATATCGTATTATTCACATATTCTTTTTCAGAATTTCTAACACTAGTAATGGTGTAAAGTTATTCAAGTACTCACAGGTTAACTGTAACCCTTCTCACAGTTTTTACCTTAAATTAACATATCACAGACATCACATGCAGGTTTGTAAGCACCAGTCTACTAAAAAATTACTATCATCAATGTTAATAATATTAGCCACAAATTACTACTTATTTCCTCAGTAAGAATAATTATGAGAATTTTCAGTTAATGATAGAATTACCTTGCTGAAGTCAACAGTACTATTTTCTCTGCTTCCACCACTTCCATTACCTTTAATTTCTCCACTTTTACTATTGTCCAAGTTTCCAGGAGCAGACTGGGGAGAGGCCAAAATACCTATGTTTAAAGACAAATTCCAAATTAGTAAGGAGAAAATTCACTTTGCAACCTGATTCTGCTCACATTCTGAAAGTGATGATTTATGAATATTATAAAAGCAAATGTGCAAGGTTAAAAAAAATAAGTGCCCGGTGTTAGTAACATACCAGCAAAACTAGAACAACATTTTAAGCAATACCAAAGCTATACATTTTAATATTTAAAATAATACAATTAGAATTTACAAAAATTGTGGCCTTTTGCAAAAAGAAATAAAACGTGAGTTGGTGTGAACCACAAAAGATGGAAGACCTGAGTCTGATTATCATTAAAAATACTTAGGGAATATACTTTTAATTATCATAAACATGTGAAATGCATGGAACTTAATGAAGCCTAGCTGTACTTAGCATGCTTTCAACAATAAATTCTCTGACAAACCCTAAGTGTAACTCAGAAAAAAGCTACACTAACTAAATGCAGATTGAATTAACATAATCTCCCATAATCAGAAGTTTCCTAAAGACTTTTCATTTTTCTTTGTTAACATTTATGTCTATAATACCTATTGTCATTACTCCTAAGAAATCCAACTTTAAAATATAACAAGCAAGTTTTTTGCAATGAAATTGGCAGAGTAAGAGTTTTATAACCAAAGGGATCTGTGTTTAAATTATGCACTCTCTGCCACTTTGTATCTATGTGACTGTAAGAAACTCACTCCATCTCTAAGAGTCAGACAAACTCATAAAAATAGCTTATTTGGATTAGAAATGATACTTGTTTGGATTTCAAAGGACAGACACATATTGAAGCATTAGTATATTCATTTCAAAAGTGACATTCAACACCAACATTTCGCAATAATAAAAACACAGCTTAATATGAGACTAATCATTAACACTATGAATTCTAATTCTGCAAAAAAGTTAAAATTTAAAAAATTTCAAATTCAGCCGGGTGCAGTGGCTCATGCCTGTAATCCCAGCACTCTGGGAGGCAGAGGTGGGTGGATCACCTGAGGTCAGGAGTTCAAGACCAGTCTGGCTAACATGGTGAAACCCCATCTCTACTAAAAATACAAAATAAGCCGGGCGTGATGGCGTGTGCCTGTAGTCCCAGCTATTTGGGAGGTTGAGGCAGGAGAATCGATTGAACCCAGGAGGCGGAGGTTGCAGTGAGCCAAGATTGCACCATTGCACTCCAGCCTGGGCAACGAGAGAGAAACTCCGTCCTAAAAAAAAAAAAAAAAAAAAAAAGGGCCAGGCGCTGTGGCTCACCCCTGTAATCCCAGCACTTTGGAAGGTCAAGGCGGACGGATCACCTGAGGCTGGGAGTTCGAGACCAGCCTGACCAACATGGAGAAACACCCTCTCTACTAAAACTACAAAATTAGCCTGGCGTGGTGGAGCATGCCTGTAATCCCAGCTACTCGGGAGGCTGAGGCAGGAGAATTGCTTGAACCCAGGAGGCAGAGGTTGCAGTGAGCCAAGATTGCACCATTGCACTCCAGCCTGGGCAACAAGAGCAAAACTCTGTCTCAAAAAAAAAAAAAAAAAAAAAAAAAAAAAATTTAAATTCAAGTACACTACACAGATTTCTACTACTAGGTTGGTGCAATTTCCTTTGCTCCAACCTAATATTAAATGCATCTCATTTTTTTCAAAACATCCAAGGTTTTCTAGTGCAAGAATATAGACTAATAATTCCTAAAACACTGAACATTATAGGAGGAAAAGGTACTGAAATACAACAGACTTTACTTTTTGTTTTAACTGTCCCATGCACAGCAACACATGGAAGTTCAGTTAAAATCTGTTTTGTGGTTAGATTCTATAAGCTCTGAAGATGTACTGGTAATCAAGTTCCAGAATTTAAAGTACATCAGATATACCTGACACATCTAAAGGAGTTTTCACTTTTGTAAAACAGAATATACTATAACCAATGAATACTGAAACTAAGTCATCTGGGTTTACGGCTTACGCTTTATGACAGAGACTGCTGTCATCGTCACTTCTCTGTAAATACCTAAACTACAATGTTGATGTGACGAAAAATCTTAATTTGCAATCTATTTAGCCATGTGCTCACTTTCTGGAAAAGTTAAACAATTCCGAAATACAAACGATTTCCCAAGCCTCAACTCATTTCTTACAACCTTAGCTTGGCACACCAAGAAGATTCCTCTTCTTTGACCTTTGTCCCTAAACTTCCAGAAGAGTCCCTTCCTTGCTCAAGAGATAAAAAGTTAACCAGTGTTTTTCAGTGACTTCCAACTACTTCCACACAAGAAAACTGAGAGTACCATTTGGCCCTGGTGGCAAACGCAGCTGAGCATTACATACTTCCAAAGGCTAAATGTATTCCACCTGTGTATATATATCATCAAAAGCATACATAACGCACAGTTTTCCAGAATAGTCCTAGCTGCCAGATATGAGGGAAAAAAGTGGAATGATGAGAAGACTCTAAGGAAAAGTAAGGATATGCCAGCAATGAGAAGAAGAAATAATGAAGAACTCAACATTGACAAAGTTAGCAGGTATAACCTGAAGTCACATGGCTAACCTGGTCATCTTGAAAACCTGTCCCTTTTTCAAAACTGGCACACTGGATGCATGCTACAGTTCTTCATCATTATGATTTGTGTAGTCTTTCCCAACCTCAGCTAAACTAAAACTGTTTTCTCAATCAGTAAAGTCTCCCTGCTCCTATAATAAATTCCTAGCATTCACAATGAGCAAATTACAAAAAAATAAAGCTATCATTAGCACAAACACAGAAGGACTATATTACTTTGCTTTAAGGAAAAAAATATATGTATAAGGAAATCAAAGATATCAGCATTTTCTTTAAATTTTTCTTTAAATTTCAAATTTTAAACTTTTCATTAAAAATTTGAAAGTGAGGTAGTTACAGCAATGGTGCCCAACTAGGAAAGATTATGACCCCCAAGGGACTTGTGACAATGTCTGGAGACATATTTGGTTGTCACAACTCGGGGGTGCTGCAGGCAGCTAGCCAAGGATATTGCTAAACATCCTATAAAGCACAGGACTACTCCCCTGCCACCCAATCACCCAGCCAAGAATCATCCAGCCTAAAATGTCAATAGTGCCAAGATTGAGAACCACTGAGTTAGAAAAAGGTATTTACAAGTACTAAAAATAAATTCACTTCTTTTTTTTTTTTTACTTTCCCTAGAGATGAGGGTCTCACTATGAACTCCTGGCCTCAAGTGATCCTCCCCTCTTGACCTTCTAAAGTGCTGAGATTACAGGCATGAGCTACCATGCCCAGCCACAAGTTTTATACATATTAATTTATACAATTTATAATTTTATACATATAACTTTTATACATATAATTATCTTCTAAAAAGTAACTAATGGGAAATACCACTTTTTTATTATAGGTATGCACAAATTATGACTCTATGACACAAAAATCCATGGTGTTAGTCGCTTGAGACATAATGATGCTGAGGCCACTTTCTTCCACTAAGACAGTACCAGGCATCAAGGAAACTCCATTAGAGTTTCTAGATGCTTTAAGCACCGAAAGTAATTGAACAGAGAATCATGTATAGCTGTCCCTATTTTTCCTCAGCAGTTACATACTATCTACAGTCGTCTTTTTAACTGTAATTCTTGTCTTTAGAAATTCCCTCTCTCCTCTCCACTCTAATTTCTTCTGTTCAAAAAGGCCGATAAATCTCATCACAAAAACTCATGGGAAAAAATGTATGTTGGATTCTCAGTTAATTTATCTCCTTAACACGGCCTAAGAAGCCAATGTGAACCCATCTCCCCCTTCTTTCCTATATAAAATTTATAGTTCCTAATTATTTATAACATAGAAGCTGGTAAAACAAGACATGTTCATTGTTACTGATCAATGTAATATTGGAAAAAATGGAAGGAAGTAGCTTTTAAAATCACTTTTGTTCAAGGAAAAATAGTAAATCTTGTTAGTTCTTAAGATTAGAATGCTGATTACTTCTGAATAATTATTTTTAGGGTTGTTTTCCTCTTTTATGTTCAGTTACTTCATCATTAAGCTTTATCTTTTTCACGAACTGATAAAGTTCACAATGAAATACTCTAGTATAGATTTTGTTGTAAGTGGACCTGAGTTCAAATCCCTGCTCTGGTTGATCTTAACATCTCCAAGTCTTTTTTCACTGAAAAACAGGAATAACACCAACCTCATCAAATCGTTACAAGAATTAGAAATATGGTATTTGAAAAGCACTTATCGCTGTCTCTGGAACAAACTATAAAACAATGGCAGCCATACTACTATTATAACTAATGTCATAATGATTTAGCCATGAAGCTTCTATTTGTACTTCCAAAAGTATATCCTTTTTTGCAACTACAATGAGCTTTGGCTAAATGTAACTGGTGTGTTTCCATAAAGCCAATAGAAAGAGAGGTTTACTTCATAATGATAGGAACACAAGGATTTCCAGTCAGAGGATTTAGGCCATCAGTTACTAGTTGTATGATGCAGGGGAAGATGACTAACTTTTCTAAGTTTCTGAAAATGGGTGTGTCCATCTAACTTACCCATATTTGTATACACATTAAATAGGCTAATAACCAAGCTACCCACTGAAGTGCTGGATGTTGTATTTTGGAGAAATGTGATAATACTTATGTGATTAAAACCAATGGTTAGCATTAGTATCCATCACATTGAGGCTTAGCTGAAATAATTAAAAAGAAAAGTTACTAAAATATATTTATTTTATATTAGGCAAAAAGATATATGTACAAATGTACATGTAGTCAACATAAGGATAAACCAAATTTTCATACTTTATAGCCCTTAAGATGAGTTATAGGCTGGGCATGGTGGCTCACACCTGTAATCCCAGCACTTTGGGAGGCCCAGGCAGGCAGATCACGAGGTCAAGAGATCGAGACCATCCTGGCCAACATGGTGAAACCCCGTTGCTACTAAAAATACAAAAATTAGCCAGGCGTGGTGGTGCATGCCTGTAGTCCCAGCTACTTGGCAGGCTGAGGCAGGAGAATCACTTGAACCCGGGAGGCGGAGGTTGCAGTAAGCCGAGATCACACCACTGCACTCCAGCCTGGCGACAAAGCGAGACTCTCCATCTCCACAAAAAAAAAAGAGTTATAAACCTTTTCTCCACTAAAAAATAATAATTTTTTGCTAATTTTGCACATACAATTTTTTTTTCCCTAACTACAGGAACTCTGGTCCTGAAAATTTCAAGGTAAATTTGGATTAAAGATAAATAACAGCATGAAACAATGGACAACTAAAATCTATTCCAAAACATAAATCCGAGTCTGTATATGATTCCAGGCAGTCAGTCATTAGAGAACTTCAATCTTCTCAAAGGCAAAATGAGAAAAAGAACACTTGATCCTATCTTTATTTAAAAGACTAAAATGTGGCTGGGCATGGTGGCTCATGCCTGTAATCCCAGCACTTTGGGAGGCCAAGGTGGGTGGATCATTTGAGGTCAGGAGTTCAAGACTAGCCTGGCCAACATGGTGAAACCCCGTCTCTACTAAAAATACAAAAATTATCTGGGTGGTAGTGGCACGCGCCGTAATCCCAGCTACTCAGGAGGCTGAGGCAGGAGAATCACTTGAACCCAGGAGGCGAGGCTGCAGTGAACCAAGATGGCGCCACTGCGCTCCAGTCTAGGCAACAGAGTAAGAACCTGTCTCTCCACCCCACCCGCCCAAGCAAAAAAAAAAAGCCTAAAATGTACTACATTCTTTGGAGAAAAGCATTAAATAGAAAAAAAGGTATGGCTGGGCCTGGTGACTCACACCTATAATCCCAGCATTTTGGGAGGCTACGGCAGGAGGATTGCTTGAGGCCAGGAGTTCAAGACCAGCCTGGGCAACACAGCAAGATACCGTCTCTACAAAAAACTTAGCCAGATGTTGTGGCATGTGCCTGTAGTCTCAGCTACTCAGAATGCTGAGTCAGGAGGATTGCTTGATCCCAGGAGTTCAAGGCTGCAGTGAGCTATGATTGTGGCACTGCAGTGAGCTATGATTGTGGCACTGCACTCCAGCCTGGGTGACAGAGTATGACTCTATCCCTATTTAAGGCACATCACTTCACTATAATTTATTTGTATGTGTTCATTCACCTTATGAGTGAACTGCATGCACACACACACACACACACAAAACCAAGCTACCAAGGCAAGACGCAATCAATGGCCCACACCTGTAATCTCAGCACTCTGGTAGGCCAAGGTGGGTGGATCACTTAAGCCCAGGAGTTCAAGACCAGCCTGGGCAACATGGTGAGACCTGGTCTCTACAAAACACGAAAATTAACCAGGCATGGTGACACGCCCCTGAGTCCCAGTTAACTGGGAAGCTGAGGCAGGAGGATTGCTTGAGTCCAGGAGGTGGAGGTTACAGTGAGCTGAGATCATGCCAGCCTCCAAAGCAAGACCCCGTCTCCAAAAAAAAAAAAAAAAAAAGTTCACCCAGCCTGGCCAGCATGGTGAAAACATGTCTCCACAAAAAAATACAAAAAATTAGCCAGACGTGGTGGCTCAGTCCTGTAGTCCCAGCTACTCAGGAGGCTGAGGCCATGAGAATCACTTGAACCCAGGGAGCAGAGGCTGCAGTGAGCTGAGATCACACCACTGCACTCCAGCCTGGGCAACAGAGTGAGACTCGGTCTAATAAAAATAAATACATAAATAAATATAAAATAAGTTCATGGCAAATTAAAACATTATAAAAAATGACTATGTTTTACTGAAGTGTTCAAATGTCTTGACCTTTAAATCTAAGTGAAACTTTTTAAAAGGGCTTAAATTATGTGTAGTCTTCTTTGTAGTCTTTTTGTAACTCAAATTTTTAATAATCTTACTCTTTTTTATTAGGTTGGTGTAAAAGCAATTGAGTTCTTGCCACTGAAAGTAATTTTTGCCATTGAAAGTAAAGCAAACTTTCAACGGCGAAAACCGCAATTACTTTTGCACCAACCTAACACAATCTATCATAAAGAAAAAAAAACATGCAGAAGTCAAAATAAATTATAAGCATTATCTACATATGCTGCTTAAGCTATGTGCTAAAAGGCATTCCAAGTGCAAGTGACTCAGAGGCAGAAAGCACCACACATGGAGGATTTTGGATAGTTGCCTGGAGTTAAGTCAACATTTTCCTCATTCTTCTGCTCCTCGCCTTTCAGCGCTGCTTCTAAGTCTTCCTCAGGCGGATGAATTACTACTGTGGGAATATCATCACTGGCAGGTGAAACCAGTAGTTCTGGGGCCTGACGCTGACTCTCTTGGGAACTTCTGGAGGTCAGGCGGCTGATGCTAGGGCTAGAAGGAGGACTGTTTTGAGGGGTGGGTACTGGGGTTGTACACCTTGAGCCTGCAGGGGTTCCAGCTCTTGAAGAAGGAAGAAGATGACCAAGAAGAAGAGATAAAGGTGATTCTCCTCTCAAGGAAAGGTTTGAGGCAGACAGACCTGTTCGCAAAGAGTGGCGGGAGGCTGAAAGGCCTTCCCCTGAGATAAAACAAATAAATGAAAAATGATGAAGTCCACTGCAGAAGGCAAATAGAGACATTTAAAAAAAAATCAATTTACACTATAAATTGCATACTTCAAAGGCCCAAAATTTCAAAGTCATGTGATGGTTAGCATGTCAATCGGGTTTTTACATGTTAGAAAGTCACTAAAAAGTTGGTTAAAACTGTAATTAGTTCTCAGAACACATAAAAAAAAATTGTTAATGACAGATGGTGGGGGCAATATCCTGTTAGAAATTAGAATGACCAATAGCATGGCATTTTTAAAAAGGACAATATCAATACAAAGTCACTGCTTAAACAATAAATAGCAAATGAAAATATGTAATACACAATTAATATAACTCAAACCAAAAATAACCAAAACTAATAGCTTATATTTAGCGTATTTTTCCTACATTTTACCAAACAGCTACAGACAATTATCTCTTAGAGAAAAAGTTCATGTTAACATTAAGTAATAATTTCTAACTTAAAACTGGTATTAAATATTTACAATATTAAGTCAGTAAGACACCATCTACAGGTGGTGCTGCTCTGAAGTTTTAAAAAAAGACAAATAACAGAAATTTTTTAAAAAGAGAAACACAATGTCAATTTTAAAGGATACATATTCTTGAGCTCTCTAAAAATATTAATAAATGTCCTAAAGTATGCTTTTCATTTCTGATATGTAGCAGATACATTAAAACAAATACATATAATTTTTTATTTCACTAGCTAAGAATAAAGTACTTCTCACCAACAACAGCAATATAGCAGTAGGTCTAAAATATTTCAAAAGGTCATGCATACTTTTAATTAAACCCCTCATATTTGTACTAAGTGTATCTTAAAAGAATAACATTCTTTATGAAAAACATGCAAATACAATATTCAATTCCATATGGCCTAATCAAAGTTACATGCTCAAGAGGTTTCAGAAATAGTTAAACTATAATCCATTAGGAAACACCATTTAAACAATAAGCTACATGCAGGAAAAACTCAAATTATAACTATATTTCAACAAAAGAACATGCTAAAATGGCATTTAAAAGAAAACAGTCAATGTCTTCTGATGAGCAAATTACAATTGGACAATAGTGAGGAACAACTGCATACGAAGAGTAAAGACTGAATAGGGTCCCTCTGGATAAATGAACTTATTTCACCAAAGGAGAGAATATAAACAACAAATAAAAGACAAAAAAGAGAGTTAAAATGCGCTATACATTGGCTTGTTTTTACATTGCATTTTGGTCCATAAGAGGTATTCTTTTACTCTTAAGATTGCTTAAATACAACATGGCATAATTTTAAATGGATTAAAAAGGGTTTTCATGGCCAAGTGGAAGATAAAAAAGATGATTATTTTCAACTTTAGAAAAACTAGACCCTATCACCTATGCTTGCTTGTTGGTAGAACACTTAAAAGTCATACTATTATTTCAGGGGTAAAAAAGATGAGCAGGCACTGTGCCCCATACTCCACTAGTCCTCACTGTAATCCTCACGAGCTTTGGGTAATAGTAGCAGCTTACAGCAACTACTGGAGGCTACAGTGACTCTCCATAAGCCACTCTGATCCTTTGCACCCGGGTTTTCCAGACTCACTGTCAGAGTTCTCAACCCTACTGATGCATTCCTCTGCTTTACACAGAAGAATAAAGAAAGGCAAAACCTCCAAGTGTCCAGCATTAGGACACCAACAGAGGTAAACGACTGCAAAAACACTGTCTTCCCACATGCCACACAACCTGCCTGTAACCTAAGAATGAGAGTAGAAAGGTGGAATATGTAGACCTGGGTCTGAGCCATTCTCAATGGATTAGAAGACACCAACTAGGTCACCCTTAGTGTAAGACTGGAACAGTCATAAAAGCCTTTCACAAGTTGTACAAATAAAGAGCCGTGAAATCAGCAAACCAATCCAAAAACACTTGTTTATACCAGCAAATCAAGTATGTTCAGGAGAAAAAAAAAATTAGGAAAAATCTAAAATAAAGGTTCAAACCCAAGATTTAGAATTTCAAAAAGGTAATATTAAAAATTATAGATCATAATTTATGCCTCTTTAATTAATTATACAAGAGGCCTTGAAAAGAAACAAAGCAGGAAGGAGAAGTAATTCAGAGGTAGGTATAGTGAGTGTTTAAATATCCCCAAATGTTAATCGTAACATACTGGAAAGCTGTTACAGTAGAAGTGTTAGCAAAAATTGGATGCCACAACTTATCTCACCATTCCTTTCAAGCAAGTGAGGGTCAGAATGTTTCTTGCCTATATCTGCAAAAGATCGAACAAGAGGAATCCGACTGGTGAATCTTTTCTCATTCTGATGATGATGTCTCTTCAGAAGAGCTTCTCTGACATTCTCTCGTATGGACTCGTCTAATTGGCCAGAAGCTATCATGTTGTCTAATACCATATCTATTCAATGAAAAAAAAAATAAATTACTAAACACTCAGATGACCATAATATAGGAATAAACTGTGAGTGAAACCTTATGACAAAAATTAGAACCTTAAATAGCTCTAGAAAGTTTTATTCTGTCACAAATAATCAATGCAGAAATGAACATTATCCAACCAATAAAAATGAATTACAAAGACCGCCTTATTTTAATAAATACTATTATTTATAAAGAGGCTACTATTATATACTAATAGCCTTCCTATAGCTGAAAGTGCTTCCCTGTATGAATACAATAAATTCTATTAAGCTGAATATTCAATAATACTGGCTTCCTAAGATGTAAAGGTATTTTATTGCCAAACCTCATATTCTCCCCCAAAACTGTTCCAGCAGATGAATATCAGGACCCACTCAGTCATTAACTATTCACTGAGCGTCCGCTGTGTGTTGGGAATACAGCAATTTAAAAATAACAAAACAGAGCCAAGTTTCTGCTCTCTTCGAGAGGTAGAGAAACCAACATACAAACAGATAAAACGTCATGAGGTCATAAGTTCTAGGAAGAGGAGTAAAATCAGGTTGTGAAAGGGATGTGGGGAATGGGGAAACTGATGGCAATGCCATTTTATACATTACTGAGGTGATTAAACTTTTTAATTTATAAAATATATATTAATAGTTTTAAATAGTGGTACTAACTTGGAAGAAGAGGGTCAAATTTTCAAAACTACATGGTTACTCTAAAAAAAACCCTGGAAGGACCAGCCTAATAGGTAAACTGTTAACCTTAACACAACAGCTACAGTTTAGCAAACAAATGAACACTAGATTATACAACATATACTAAAAGTACTACATGGTATTATGTGATAATTGCAAACCAAAGTCTGAAACCCATATGTATTATACAAATTCAATATTCCCAACCTTAATTTTTCAGTTATTCATGTGAGACAAGAAAGTAAGGACAATTCAAATATTTGCAGCACACAGTTAAATCTAACAGTAGGCTAAAATTGAAGTATTTCTAGCCTGAGAAATTGTATTAAGTTCATGGTTCTCTTGAAGATTAAATACTACAGATTTTTTGTTTTTCCATGGGAGCAATCTACAATGGTAGTCCCACCATCAAATTCATTACTACCAAAGTTAATTTTGGTTTTTATTAATTTTAGTTAGTGGACAAAAAGCTGATTACAGCTGCCTTTTTCTACTTTCTACCTCCACATTATCCTTCAAATCTCCCCCTTTCATTTTCATTGCTCAACCTACCAGAGCTCTTTCTTTGCTTAGACTGTTCCTAGCCAATAACTGGCCTACTTGCTTCTAAACTCTTCCTAATCCAAAGCCACCCTACATTCTGTTGCCAGAATGATCTTCCTGAATGTGTATCTCATATCACACTATTCCTCAACTTAAAAACCATCAAGACCACCAAAATGCCTACCAAATAAAATCCTATTTCTTGGCTAGGCACCGTGGCTCACACCTGTAAACCCAAAACTCTGGCAAGCCAAAGTGGGCAGGTTGTTTGAGTTCAGGAGTTCAAGAACAGCATGGGCTACATGGCGAAAACCCGTCTCTACAAAAAATTCAAAAATTAGCCAGGCGTGGTGGTGTATACACCTGTGGTCCCAGCTACTCAGTAGGTTGAGGTGGGAGATCACTTGAGCCCAGGAGACGGAGACTGCAGTAAGCCAAGATCGTGCCACTGCACTCCATCCAGCCTGGATGACAGTGAGAGACCCTGTGATCCCCCCCTTAAAAAAAAAATCCAATAATTCAAGGCTAGTCACAATCTCATCTCTAACTGGGTTTCCCAACATACCTCCTAACACTACTGAAGAAATCTGTATATTCACACAGAACTGACTTTCCTGAGATTCCTGTCTATACTTCTCTAGACTTTTCTTTACTCTTCCTTAAAATACTTTTTCTCTTGTATCACCTACTCCTTGGTTCCCATGTGTTCACATTTTATGAGTAACTTGTACAATTAATGTTCTCTGTGGCTATTCCCCACATCCCCATTCCAAAAAACAAGGAAACAAAAAACTCTTTTCTGAATTTCCACAGAACAGACTCTGTATTCGCTTGTGCCACTATTCACTCTCTTACTGATACTACACTTATGTCGGTTTAATTTAATCTCATCTGCAAATTTATCAAAGACAAAAATTCTATCTTATTTCCTTATACTGCACTCCACAGAATAGAAGCTCAGCATATAGTTGTTAAATGAATGTCTAAAATTCCACTACACCTTACATATTTTTTAAAAGTCAGTTTACTATAACCTGCTATTTCATCTAGAGTGCTTGCTCTCATATCCAGCATGACTGTTCCATTGAGGATGCAACTCCTTAGTTCAAAAAGACTGTGCAAAGAGAGAGTTGCCACATAAGGTTTACTCCATCGGTCACCGCCATCTTCAACATCCTCTTCAAATTTCAGCCATCTGAATGCATAATGTATAAAAATATTTTATAAGTAATGAAGATTCCATTTGTTTATCTTAATGTGATAAAGAAACATTTGTTCTTTAAAGAAAAAAAAAAAAGAAATAAAGAAAACCACGACCAAACACGTTTTCACAAATTAGGTTAATGGTCTACAATATCTATAGTCACAAATTTCCTTTGTAGTTCCTCTTTCTATTCTAGGTATCATAATAATAAGCCTACAAAAACAAACTATGGAATTTCATATAGTTTCTACTTCTATTCCTCTTCTAAACTTGCAATACACAAAATTGTAGACATTAAAATCTATAATGACATAATTTCTTTATGAAAGTATAAAGGATTATTTAAGTAAACAAATTTGAGAATAAAGAGAAAAATTAAAGATAGAATTTCTATCAATTAATAAGGAAATTCTCTGCTCACTGGTTTAAAGCACCAGATATCTCATACTTTCAACTTAATATTCCCATTACAAAAAGAAATCAAGTAATGCCAATTTAAAAATGAGACTTAGGCCGGGAACGGTGGCTAACGCCTGTAATCCTAACACTATGGGAGGCCTAGACGGGAGGATAACCTGAGGTCAGGAGTTCGAGACCAGCCTCGCCAACTTGGTGAAACCCCATCTCTACTAAAAATACAAAAATTAGCCAGGCGTGGTGGCGGGCGCCTGCAATGTCAGCTACTCGGGAGGCTGAGACAGGAAAATCACTTGAACCTGGGAGGCAGAAGTTGCAGTGAGCCCAGATCGCACCATCGCACTCCAGCCTGGGCAACAAGAGCAAAACTCCATCTCAAAAAAAAAAAAGAGAGAGAGACTTAGCAGTATTACCTAGCAGTTTCTTTCCATTCATATTCTTCTCCATCTCTGTAACACAGTTCATCCATTTCCGTGAAGAGATCATGGGGAATATGTTCTTCATCATCATCTTCAGTACCAAGGATAAACTGAACTCTCTGGGATGGTGTATCTTTACAAAATAAGAATTTACATATACTCAAATTTTTCCTCAAGTCATTCAAAGATAAATTCACAGTTTTGAAAATGAAACACTTTTGTTACCTGTATAAACAAATATATTTCATCAAAACTCTCTTAATTATTGAACTATCACAATTCTGAAAGGAAACAAGAACCAACAATCCAGGAAAAAAAAAAAAGTCACAGAAAGATAATCTCTATAGAAAAAAAAGAAAATTATGTTGAAAATAAACAAGTCAAACTAACTTTATAACTGATCTAAACAAACAAAAATAAAAGTAACATTCCAAAACATGAACATAATGCTCAAAGGCAGCCCTTTTTCCTCACCAAAACTACATGGAAAAGTTAGAACAGAACATTTAAAATATAAGCTAAGGCCAGGCACTGTGGCTATGCCTGTAATCCCAGCACTTTGAGAGGCAGAGGCAAGTGTACCATCTGAGGTCAGGAGCTCGAGACCAGCCTAGCCAACATGGTGAAACCCCGTCTCTACTAAAAATATAAAAATTAGCCAGGCATGGTGGTGGACGCCTGTAATCCCAAATACTCGGGAGGCTGAGGCAGGAGAATCGCTTGAACCTGGGAAGTGGAGATTGCAGTGAGCTGAGATTGTGCCACTGCACTCCAGCCTAGGCGACAGAGACTCCGTCTCAGTCAATCAATCAATAAAATAAAATAAAATGTGGCCGGGCACAGTGGCTCACGCCTGTAATTCCAGCACTTTGGGAGGCCGAGGCGGTTGGATCATGAGGTCAGCAGTTGGAGACCAACCTGGCCAACATGGTGAAACCCTGTCTCTACTAAAAATACAAAAATTAGCCAGGCATGGTGGTGGACACCTGTAATCCCAGCTACTCCGGAGGCTGAGGCAGGAGAATCGCTTGAACCCAGAAGGCGTAGGTTGCAGTGAGCTGAGATTGTGCCATTCCACTCCAGCCTGGGCGACAGAGCAAGACTCCATCTCAAATAAATAAAATAAAATAACACAAAATAAAATAAAATAAAATAAAATAACATAACATAACATAAAATAACAAAATAACATAAAATAAAATAACATAACATAAAATAAAATAACAAAATAACATAACATAAAATAACATAAAACAAAATAACAAACATAACATAAAATAAAAATAACACAACATAACATAAAATAACATAACATAAAATAAAATAAAACAAAATACAATGTAAGCTGAAGAGTTAACTTTACAATGTAAAGTTAAAGAGTGAAAAATAGAAAATCTCCAAGTTCCAAAAAATGATGAGAAAACTCAAAGCTCCAACTATACAGAAACTGTCTTTTCCTACTATCATGGAGAAACAAAACTGTAAGCTTGGGGTTTTGGGGTGGAACAAGTCACTACGAAGAACAGATAACCCACTCATGGCGTCTGAAATTAAACTACTTGTGTAGTATAGGAACCCGAAACAGATGAATTAGCATAAATACTAGTCCAGGACAGTTGAAAGCCCTAGGGCTCCATATAAACAAATACACCACCACAAACAGTTACCCTGAATATGAGAGATGAGTTCTCACTCAAAATTTACACCTAAGTGAACAATCCTCCAAGTACTTGTGGATGCAACAAGGATATTTAAACAGGATAAAGAGTAGATTCAATGGAATTGTTTTCGTAAAAGTCAGATCTGAGAAAATTTCAGAGAATGCAGAAACAACAGATAAGAAGGAAGAAAACCAAAGATTAAGAGGGATGCAGAAAGTCAAGAACTCCAGGACAAGGAAAATAAAAGAATAGGAGGAGAAGCATATAAAAAACATATCTGAAAATTTTCCAGTATGTTTATGTCATGAGCCTTCATATTGAAGAAATAACCTAAGACCTAGGCAGGATTAAAAAAACACATATTGTGATTGAACTTCCTACTGTATTAAACTTTCCAGCATTTAGGTCTTGCACAAATCTTTGTCAGAATGATCCCTAAATACTACTTTTAGTGCTACCATAAGCAATAATTTTAATTCCAATTTCTCATTACTCATTGCAACTATATAGAAATATAATTGATTTTATATCCTGGGACCTGCTAAACTCACTTAGTTCTCTTAAGTATTGTAGATTGCTTAGGATTTGCTACCTACATGATCCTGTATCTGCGAATAAAGACCATTTTACTTTTTCATTCCAATCTGTATGCCCTGTATTCTTTCTTGTCTTATTACACTGGCTAGGTCTTCTAGTACAGTGTTATATAAAAGTCATCAGAGAGGACATCCTTTCCTTTTCCCAAATCACAGAAAATATTCAGTCATTAATTGTGAAATGTGATGTTGACTATATGGTGGTTTTCTTGGTTTTTGTAGATGCTCTTTATCAGGTTAAGGAAGTTTCCTGCTATTCTTAGTTTGCAGAGAGTTTTATCATGGATAGGTATTGAATTTTGTTAAAGGCTTACTTTGAACCTATTTAGATAGTTGTATTGCTTTTCTCCTTTGTATTGTTAATGACATTACTTAGTTACATTGACAGATGTTTAAGTTTTAAACCAACCTTATGTTCCTAGCTTGGCCATCATGCTAGTAACAAATTTAATCCACAAACCTGGTGGATTAAATAACACAAATTTATTCTCTTACAGTTCTGGATACCAGAAGTCCAAAATGAGTCTTAGAGGGCTAAAATCACGGTGTTGGCAGGGCTGGTTCCTTCTGGAGGCTCTAGGAAAATCAAATTCCCTTACTTTTTCCAGCTTCTGAAGGCAGCCTACATTCCTGGGGTCAGGATCCCTTCCTGACGTCACTGTAGCCACTTGCTTCTTTTTGTCACATCTATATCCAGTCTGATCGTCTGACCTCCTCTTACTAAGGATCCCTATGATTATATCAGGCCAACCTGCATAATCTAGGATAATATTCCCACTCCAAAATTCTTAACCCAGCCAGGTGTGGTGACTCACAGTTGTAATCCCAGCACTTTGGGAGGCCGAGGCAGGTGGATCACCTCAGGTCAGGAGTTCGAGACCAGCCTGGCCAGCATGGTGAAACCCCGTCTCTATGAAAAATACAAAAATTAGCCAGGCATGGTGGTACGCACCTGTAATCCCAGCTACTCAGGAGGCTGAGGCAGGAGAATCACTTGAACCCAGGAGGCAAAGGCTACAGTGAGCCAAGATCATGCCACTATACTCCAGCCTGGGTGGCACAGCAAGACTCCATCTCAAAAATAAAAACAAAAATAAATAAATAAAAAATAGGCCAGATGTGGTGGCTCACACCTGTAATCCCAGCCACTTTGGGAGGCCAAGGTGGGTGGATTACCTGAGATCAGGAATTTGAGATCAGCCTGGCCAACATGGTGAAACCCTGTCTCTACCAAAAATACAAAAATTAGCCAGCCATGATGGCAGAGGCCTGTACTCCTAGCTACTTGGGAGGCTGAGGCAGGAGAATCGCTTGAACCCAGGACGCAGAGGTTGCAGTGAGCCAAGATCGCATCATCGCACACCAGCCTGGGTGACAAGAGTGAGACTCCGTCTCAAAAAAATATATAACAAAAAAAATTAACCTAATCACATCAGCAAAGTCCTCTTTGCCATATAATGTAACATTCACAGGTTCGAGGGTTTAGGAGATGAATATCTTGCAGGCTATCACTCAGCCTACCACTCCCATGATATATTATCCTTTTTAAACATTGCTGGATACAATGTAATTTTGCTAGGAATTTTCTAATCCATATGCACAAAAATATTTTGTCCGTAGTTGTATTTTTCCTGTAATATCCCTGATTAGTTTTGGTATCAGGGTAATGCTGGATTCATTAACAAAATTGAGAAGTGTTCCCTCCTCTTATGTTTTCTAGCAAAGTCTATATTATTTCTTCCTTAAGTTTGTTTTATTTCATCCCTGATGCCATCTGAGAGTAAATTTTCATTGTCAGAAAGTTTTAGACTACACATTTAATGTCTTTAATCCATTTCTTCCTTTTTCATTTACTTATTTTTTAAGAGACGGTATCTGTTGCCCAGGCTGGAAGTGTAGTCACACAAGCATGGCTCACTGCGGCCTCAAACTCCTAGGCTAAAGGGATCAATCCACCTCAGCCTCCCCAGCAGTTGGGGAGATGCACATTGCCATACCCAGGTAATTTTTTATTTTTTGTAGTGACAGGGTTTTGCTTTGCTGCCTAGGCTGGTCTTGAACTCCTGGCTTCAAGCAATCCTCCTGCCTCAGTCTCCCAGTGTTGAAATTACAGGCATGCGTCAACATGTCTGGCTTCTTTAATGCATTTCTGTTTGCTAGTTTATATTCTTAGAGGAACTTGTCCATTTCATGTAAATTATCAATTTAGTTGCCACAAAGTCATCCATAATATTCTCTTATTAGTTTGACTTTTTTTTTTTTTGAGAGGGAGTCTCACTCTGTCACCCAGGCTGGAGTGCAGTGACACGATCTCGGCTCACTGCAACCTCCACCTCCCAGATTCTCCTGCCTCAGCCTCCTGAATAGCTGGTGGCACGTGCCACCACACCTGGCTAATTATTTTTAGTAGAGACGGGGTTTCACCATGTTGGCCAGGCTGTTCTTGAACTCCTGACCAGGTGACAAGGCAGGTGATCTGCCTGCCTCAGCCTCCCAAAGTTCTGGGATTACAAGCATGAGCCACCACTCCTGGCATTGATTGTAGTTTTGAAGAATGGACTAAAATGTCCCTAATATTTCACCCTTAATGAATTATCAGTTATCTTTTATATTAAATATTATATTGAATAGATCTTGTATATCTTTAGAGAAACATGATCTTTGTTGAAACACAGACTAACCTATTAATCCTTCTATACTTTGTAATAAACAACTCCCAAATGGGTTTTATCCCATGAAAATGTGACGTCATCCACATGAAATGTGACGTCAAAAACTACAGCTCATTTTCTTTTTTTTTTTTTTTTGAGACAGCGTCTCACTCCCAGGATGGGGTGCAGTGGCGCAATCTCGGCTCACTAGCTTCCGCCTCCTGGGTTCAAGGGATTCTTGTGCCTCAGCTGGGATAACAGGCATGCCTGGTTAATTTTCGTATTTTTGGTAGAGACTAGGGTTTCACTATGTTGCCCAGGCTGTTCTTAAACCCCTGAGCTCAAGCAATCAGCCCATCTTCGCCTCCCAAAGTGCTGGTGTTGTAGACAAAACCGGGTTCTGGTCACATGGCAGGGAAAGATTAGGCACGCGGACACTTTGAAAGGTGAGGGGTTACGAATTTATTGGGCAAAAGGGAAAAAGAACAACACAGCAAAGTGAGATGGAGTCCTGCTAACAGGCTGTCCATCTCACCAACTGAATTCCTGGTTACTATCCTGGAACAGCAGGGGCCAGGCTGTTCCCCTCTGCAAATGGTGTGAACATTTTGCTGCTGCACCCCATCCTCCCAGTGCTTGTAGATTGTCTTGGGAGCCGTTTTTACTTGGCTGTCTCACTAGGGTTACAGGCATTAGCCACCGCGCTGGGCATTCTCTTTTTTCTTTTTTTCTTTTTTTTTTTTTTTTTGAGATGGAGTTTCCCTCTGTCGCCCAGGCTGGAGTGCAGTGGTGAGATCTCAGCTCACTGCAACCTCTGCCTCCCGCATTCAAGCAATTCTCCTGTCTCAGCCTCTGGGTAGCTGGGACTACAGGAACGTGCCAAAACGCCTGGCTAATTTTTTATTTTTAGTAGAGACGTGGTTTCACCATGTTGGCCAGGCTGGTGTCGAACTCCTGACCTCAGGTGATCCGCCCGCCTCGGCCTCTCAAAGTGCTGGAATTACAGGCATGAGCCACCAGGCTTGGCCCTCTAATTAGTTTTCTAATTTCTGCGGGATGTGTATCGAAATTTTCTAATACTGGTGATTTGTGGGGGTTTTTTGTCCTCTGATCAATCTGGCTTTAGAGTTATCAATTTTAATAATCTTTTTTCAACGTACTAGATTTAGGTTTGATTGAGGTCTGCTATTGTTTTTTTTTCTGATTTTTACTTTATTCATTCTCCTGGAATTTTGTTTCCCATCTCCTCCTTACAATGTGCCCTATTTTTTTTCCTTAGTTTCTTAGCTAGAAGTTTAAGTCACTGATTTCAACTTTTTTCTGTTCTAATATAAGGATTAAATGCTACAAATTTTTCTCTAAAGTACTGCTTTAGTTGCATCTAACAAATTTGAATGTTAGTCCTCACTCTGCACAGTACCATGCATGAATCCTGTACATACCAGAACTGTCCTTACTTGGCAAAAATCTGTCTTGGTTACCTGCCTGTACTATTTTCATTTTCAATGAGTTCAAAATATTTTCTAACTTCTGTTGTGATTATTTCCTTAACCCATGATTATTGAGAAGTATTTTCTTCAATTTCCAAATACCTAGGAATTATTCTTGAGACATTTCTAGTTTAATTCTATTGTGATCAGAGAACATACTTTCACTTCTTTTAAATTATACTGAGACTTGTTTTATGGACTAGAATATGATCTTGGTAAATATTCCATTTGCACTCGTAGAGAACGTATTCTGCTGTCCTTGGGTGAAGTGTTTTATAAATGTCAGTATCAATCTGGTTGGGCAATGTTATTCAGGTCTTCCATATCCTTATCAATATTCTGTTTATTTACTCTATCAGAGAGGAGAGCTAAAATCTCCAACTCTTAATTGTGGACTGATCTATTTCCAATTTTATCATGTATTCTGCACCTGTTGTTATATGCATACACATTCAGGCTTATTACATTCTGATTCTGGCAATCTGATTCTTATGAGCCATTATATGTTTTCTTTATGTTTCTTCTTGGGTTTTGTTCAGCTCCTTGGATCTATGAGTTCAATGTTTTCCTTAAGTTTGAAAATTCTTCAACTATAATTTTTTCAAGTATCTTTTCTGATATCCTCCTTTCTGGGATTCCGCTCATACATATTAGACTACATGATATTGTCCCACAAATTACTGATGCTCCCTTCATTCTTTTTCAGTCACTTCATTCTCTGTGTTTCATTTTGGATAGTTACTATCACTGTCTTGAAAACCGCTGATTACTTTTCTTTCCTGCTGTAGTAAATCTTCAGTTAATCCTATCCAGTGTGTTTTCCATTTCAGATACTGTATTTTTTCCTCTCTAGAATTTCCATTTGGGGCTTCCTCCTATTTTCAATAGCTCTCTTTAACAGTCATATTCTTCTCTATCCTTTTGAGCATAAATATGCTAGTTGCTTTAACATTCTTATTTTCTAATTCAATCAACTCTGCCATTTCTGGATCTGTCTTATTATTTTTCTCCTGATTTTGGCTCATATTTTCCTGCTTCTTTATATCCCTGATAATTTTTGGATTCCAGATATTGTGAAATTTAACATGGTCAGGTGCTAGATTTTATCTTCTTTCTTTTAGTAGTGTAATACTTTGCCCTGGCATATAGTTAATTTAATTCTTTCAAGACCTGCCTTTAAGAATCTTCAAAGCAGATTCACTGCAGTCTTTGTTGTAAAACTAATCTAGACTCACTACTAAGGCCAGAGCCTTCTGAGAACTCTATCCAATACCCTGTATGTGTCAAAGTCTTTCCATTGTGGCTGAAGGGAACGCAAACTATTCCCAGCCTTGTGTGAAAGTACAGAAAGTGCTTAGCCTACTACTGTTTTCTGGTAGTTTTTCCCGGGCCACAGGTAGTTTCCTCTCACACATGGCCAGACCAGTGATCAGCCAAACATTCAAAAGGATCCTTTTTCAGATCTTTGGAACTCTGAGTACTCTCCACTCTCTTGAACTCTACACCTCAAATTCTAGCCTCTTTGACCTCCCCAAATTCCAATCTATGCTCCTCAACTCTAGGCTCTGTTTGGGTTCCCCTCCCTGTGCTGTGGCCTGGAAACTGTCTCTGGGCAATAAGTTCAGGTCATCATAGGTATTCTCTCACTTGCTTCTCCTCTCTCAGAAACCAAAGTCCTGTGCTGCCTCTTATACAATGTCTTAAAACTACTGTTTCATATATTTTATCTGGTTTTCCAGCTACTTTAAATGGGATGGCAGTTACAAACTTTCAGTTATTAGATAAATGAATTCTGGGGAACTAATAACGTACAACATGATGACTATAGTTAATAATATTGTAATGGCTGGGCGCAGCGGCTCACACCTGTAATCCCAGTACTTTGGGAGGCTGAGGCAGGCAGATCACTTGAGGTCAGGAGTTCGAGACCAGCCTGGCCAACATACTGAAATCCTGTCTCTACTAAAAATACAAAAAAAAAAAAAAAAAAATTAGCCGTGCGTGGTGGCGGGCACCTGTAATCCCAGCTACTTGGGAGGCTGAGGCAGGAGAATTGCTTGAACCTGGGAGGCAGAGGTTGCAGTGAGCTGAGATCGTGCCACCGCACTCCAGCCTGGGTGAAAGAGAGAGGCTCAGTCTCAAAAAAAAAAAAAAAAAAAAAAAAAAAAAAAAATATATATATATATATATATATATATATAGTGCCCTTGAAATTTGCTAAGAGAGTAGACTTTAATTATGTGTATTCTCACTATACACAATAAAAGGCAACTATATGAGGTTAAGGATGTGTTAATTAACTTGATTGTGATAATCATTTAACTATGTGTGTGTGTATATATATATATAAAAATCATACTGTACACCTTAAATGTATACAAATTTTATTTGTTAATTATACCTCAATAAAGCTAAAGGAAAACGCATTGGAAAACAGCCCCCAAATAGGAATAATTATTAAAATAAAATGGTGAGAAAATTTAATCCCCGTTATTCCATCCTGTTTAGAAGCAAAGTCCTGTGTAATCCCTTTAGAGAGCAAAAACGAAGAGACTTCATTTTTAGCACTTCCTTGGATACAAATTGGTAGTTAAGACAAAAACTTCAGGGACATAAATCTTTTCTAGGAATAGTTATTCCTTTGAAAAGTCAAATATTTTCTTCATTATAATCTATTTTTGAAGCCCCTATACTTAACACTTTTAATCCCATATCCTAGCTTAAAACATCAAACCACATACTTAGGTGAACATATCAATATACTAAGAGTTAAGTAAACAATATTTCTGTCCATAAAAATACTGTGTGCCTTTTTACTCAGTATGAATTAGAGAAGCATACTGATCCATTTACTCACAGAAGAACCTAGGATATCCTAAACTGAATGGCTGTGATGTATAGAACAGTTTTTTACTGTTTAAGTATTTTTTACTTCTAAATTACTTAGTATCACCAAAAAAAAGTTCACTAGTGACCCTTTCCAAATTCAGTGTTTGTTTTTCCTTTGCTAGCTACATGACCACTTAGTATTATATTTACTAGATTTACTAGGTCATCAGTATCTCTTAGTAGAGTTTTTTTTTGTTTTTTTTTGTTTTTTTTGTTTTTTTTAAACAGAGTCTCGCTCTGTCACCCAGGCTAGAGTGCAGTGGCACAATCTCTGCTCACTGCAACCTCTGCCTCCCGGGTTCAAGCAATTCTCTGCCTCAGCCTCCCAAATAGGTGGGATTACAGGTGCCCATCACCACAGCCAGCTAAACTTTTTTTTTTTTTTTCAGTAGAGACGGGGTTTCACCATGTTGGCCAGGCTGGTCTTGAACTCCTGACCTCGTGATCCACCTGCCTCAGCCTCCCAAAGTACTGCAATTGCAAGCGTGAGCCACCGCGCCCAGCTGAGTAGAGTTTCTTAATAGATTCCTGTCAGTCTCACTGGGCTGAAGTTTCCTCATCTATAAAATGAATTTAATATTTGTATTTTTAAAATGCTAAGATGGTTATATATTAAAAATACTAAGATGGTTAAACATAAGACCATTTGTCTAGGGCTTGGTAGAATGTTTAGACACAGAATTTGCACTTTAGATTTTACTATGCCATCAGTATTTTCCTTCCTATGTTCATGCAGTAACTATATTATACATAACAACTTTTTTGTTCTTTGCCTTTTCACAAAAACTTTCTTTTAGCATAGCATGCAACCGCCTATAGGATGTGGCTCACATAGCACATAGCTCTCTTTGCTAGAAAGCAAACACTAGGACCCATGATGTACAGATGGCCTTATACTAATAATGCCCTGTATGCTAACTAAGTATAATGCCTAAGAATCCTCCTCAGGTTTTACAGCCCTTTTTTTTTTTTTTTTTTTTTTTGGCTCTTTCCTTTCCCACTCTCAGGGCCACTTAAAACATGGCTATCTATGCTCGTCATCAGATAACAGTCTTGTTCCTGCTTTTCTTTCTGATTTCTATTGGTACCACTAACTTCTCTGCTTTCAAGTAACAAACAAAAAAACCCTGTCCTTTTATATAACTAATATTATCAAATAAGAGTACTCTTTTTTGCACAGAAAACCAAATAATCCAGCCTAGTGGATAAAATCTTCTGGCCAAAACTGTGGTGTAAGAAGGAAAAAAACAGCCAAGCATGGTGGCTCACACCTGTAATCCCAGCACTTTGGGAGGCTGAGGCAGGTGGATCACTTGAGGTCAGGAGTTCAAGACCAGCCTGGCCAACATAGTGAAACCCTGTCTCTACTGAAAATACAAAAATTACCCTGGCATGGTGGCGTGCGCCTGTAATCTCAGCTACTTGGGAGGCTGAGGCACAAGAATCGCTTGAACCCTGGAGGCAGACGTTGCAGTGAGCCGAGATCGTACCACTGCACTCCAGCCCAGCCGGGGTGACAGAGTAAGACTCCATCTCAAAAAAAAAAAAAAAAAAGAAGAAGGAAAAAAACTTTAATCACTTCCATGACAGCCTTAGCATTCCCAATGTCTATCCATTGCATATGTAAGTAATTAAAAATTTAGTACAGGAAATGAAACACTACTAAATTTGAGCCTAAGTGACTAGGCATAACTTTTACAATTTCAAGGATGGGATACAATGAAGAAAACAAAGCCCTTTATTTTTTCACTTACATGAAAGAGATCTTGACCTATAAAGATTTTTCTTATAAAAATTATAAAAAAAAAATTATTACTTCAATTGATATTCCCCAATACAATACATTCCCCATACAATGTGACTACATTAATGCATACATACAATTTTTAAAAGAAATATTCAATTAAAAGAAAATACTTTCCAGGAAAATAGGAACTTTAAACTGCTAAAGAAGAACTGTTTTCTCTTACCATAAGAAGGAGATTCCCGTCCATCTTCTTTATCTGATTCTTTATCTTTTCTTCTCCGGTGGTGATGTTTGTGTCCGCGATGCCTATGACGCCGACGACTCTCTTTACTAAACGGGACGTGAACACCAATATATACAGCTCTATGACCTATTAAAAGGTTCAGAAACATATTACTAGCTTTCCAAAAGAGAAAAAAGTGATATATACAAAAGTACTCCAAAATCTACTCTGATAAAGAATATAAGTTCACGTAATTAACAATGGTAGTCTCCAGTTACTTCTCTTATTTTATAAAGCACTACACAGAATATTGTGCCCAGGGCTAATATCACTGACAGATGATTACACTAAATCTACAAATCACTTATGTAAGTATTTGCACATCTAAAAAGATATCTTTTTTTTTGTTTTGTTTTTGTTTTTGTATTTTTAGTAGAGATGGGGTTTCACCATGTTGGTCAGGCTGGTCTTGAACTCCTGACCTCCTGATCCGCCCACCTCAGCCTCCCAAAGTGCTGGGATTACAGGTATGAGCCACCGCACCTGGCCTAAAAAGATATCTTAAGAAAGAAGAGCTTAGCCCATCTGAGATCATACTATGTAGACATATATTTATTCCATCTACATTTATGGCCAACCATAGTTAGTAGAGGTCCTTAAGAGATATATTTTAATAACAATTAAATACTTTATAATAAATATAATATATAAATAACATTTTAGTAACAATTACTTTATAATAAATATAATGTATAAATATTTACAAATATTTATTTACTAATTTTTGAGTTTTGAAAAAAAAATCAATAAAGACCAAAATAAAAATAAAGTCCAAATTACTGAGAGCTACATTAAATGTAAATAATCCAAATAAAGGTTAGAAACTGTCAGATTAAATAAAAAAGCAGTAAGTAAAGTTATTGCATGCTTTTAAACTAGAAAAAGCTACTGCTGATATTGCATTATCCTAACTTTGCAGTATAATAACAAAATAGTTATGAAAGGCAGTCTGTTTTTGACCACTAGATGAAACTGAATCAGGAAAGCTACAGAGCTAGGAGCACTATGTCAAATATCAAATGAGTGTTGAGTGAAGAGGGATGTGAAGTACAAGGTCAACTAATCTGCAACTATGTACACAATTTAAAAAGTTAATAGGCTGAAATACAAATGATTAATGACATTCCTTTCCTAAAAATTCCATAAAATGCTCAGAAAATAAGTATTTCAAGAAACTTAGGACTGCCATCTTTATATGTGACTTGAAAGTACAGTTGATCCTCATTATTCATGGGATTCCATATTTGCGAAGTTGCTGACTCACTAACATTTACTTGTAACCACAAAATCAATACTTAGGGAGATTTCATGCCATTTTTCGGACAGGCACAGAGCAGCATAAAATTTGAGTTGCCTGACACTCATGTTCCCAGGTAAGGCTTAAAAATGTGATACTCTGACATCTTATTTCAGCTGCCAATATATTAACCTCATAAATAATCACCTTTTAAATTAAAAGAGGGACAACTTAACAAAACATACTGAACTATTTGTTTAAACTTCTCCCAGTACTCAGCCTAGCACATGGTAAGTACTCGATAAATGTCTATGGAATTAAATCTCAACTACTAGAAAACAAAAATTCCAAATGTAAAAGCTAATTATACAGGGTTTATTTTTGGAATTATAGATATGTTTCGAGAATTAGACAGTGGTGTTGGTTGCATAATATAGTGAATACATTTAAAAAAGTGTGTAATTTAAATGGTTAATTTTATGTTATGTGAATCTCATTTAAAAAGTAATAAGAAATAAATATAAAAAAACTCAATTTTATTTTAATGAAACTATTTCCTTCAAAACATAAAGAAAAGTGGAAATTAAAGAGTCAAATTCCCATCACTGCACTGGGAATTACAAAGTTGTTCCTCCAATTAGTACTAATGGGTCTTGGCACAGAAGCCCCAATGCACCAAGATAAAAATAAATGCTATGAGTGTGCAGTTTAGAAAGAAAGGGATAGATAAAATAAATAAAAACACGCTAGAATCCAAAGATTGGTAGATTAAGCTTATTGTGTTTTCTTCTTTTACTATTGCCTCTAGTGTCCTCTGTTTTAATCTTTTTCTTTTTCTTTCCTTTTTCTTCTGCCCTTACTTTATTCTATCAAAAGCCTATTTACTCAAACTCTCTTAAACTTAATCTCTCCCTCAAACTTGATACCAAACTTGAAGATGTGTACAAAGTATGCAGAGCTTAGGGCCTGTGATAACCAAAGGAATCGAAGGAATATCCAGGTTATGTATAGGTGAGGGTTGACATTAAACATTAAATGTATGACTGTACATTTGAATTAGTAAAATTACCGCTAAAAATTTTAACCTCCCTAGCTCCTATAATTCACAGGATCTAACCATAAGCTTCTAGATAACTGAGGTTCTTTTTGGAAACCCTAACAAGCCTAGGCTCTTAAAGCCAATTTTTAGAGTTAAAAAAAAAAATCGTTTAGAGTTTAAAAAAAAGTCTTAGAATATAAATGAAAACATTTACAACATAAATCAAACTTTGTTTCTCTGTCCATCTCTTTTTTATTAAAATAAACAATAACTCAATATAGTACTAGCTCTCACAGAAGAGTTTAACTTAAGGATGTAGTTCCTATAAACATCCCCCAAAAATGTCTATCAAAATATTTGCCTTAAACACCACTTTAACCACATGTTCATAGTTAACATCATCAATAATAAGTCATGTTGATATCATATTGTCCACAGATATGGTGCACTGAAAAGGGAACATTACTTCTGTGGTATGCTTCCCAAATAACCATAACCTCCACCTACTCATGCCAAAACATCAGACTAAACCCAAACTGAGAAACACTGTACAAAATATCTAACCACTACTCTTCAAAAGTGTTAAGGTCATGAAAAACAAAAAAAGAATGAGAAACTGGTATAGATTAGGAGACTGAGGAGACTTGCAACTAAATGTACTGTTACAGATCCTCAACTGGATCAACTGAATCCTAGAACAGAAAAAGGCCATTAGTGGAAAAACTAGTGAAGCCTAAATAAAATCTGTGGTTTAACAGTAAACTAGTAATTAGTCAGATTCTAATTAAATTTGTAATTAACCAATGTTAATTTCTTCATTTACACAAATGTATGATGGCTGCGCAAAATGTTAACATTAGGAGAAACTGGGTGAAGTGTATGGAGGAACTATGTGCTGTCTTTGCAGCTATTCTGTAAATCTAAAATTATTTTCAAAAGAAAAGAAACCATTTGCCAGGACTTCTTCCTGTCTAAGGAAGAAAGATGGGCAAATAACTCAGTTGCTCTACAACTCTATGGAGAGGTTATTGCAACATTTTAAAAGGCTAATGTAACACCTATAAAATGAATGTTGAGATGACAATTAATGATAACTGTGGTTTATTAGTCTGGCACTCTAGTGTACTCATAACACAAATTACTCAGCCTGCTAGAAATGAAAAAAATAAGAGTTAACTAATTTTGTGACTGTGTCCTTTCAGTTTTCCAAGTTAAGGTAATTAATGGTAACCATCACTAAATTTTGAGAAGCATTATGAACTCTATCTTTTGCCAATACTTTCAAATGGCACTCTTCTCAATGTACGCTTTACCTTACAACAATAACAAAAAAACTCAACAAATACTAGGTAAAACTTAAAAGGATACTTAAAAACATTAATTAGTAAATTATCCTACTAAGCGAAGTAAGTTATTTTAAACCAACTTACTTTCTAGTTCTTCTTTTTCAAACTTGGTGTTCACAGTTGAGCTAGTTTTGCCAAGATCCACAACAGCTTCTTCATCAGGACCCTAAAAACAAATTATTCTCATTGACTCATGAGATCACAATCTATTGAGGACCTATTATATGCATCCTTTGAAATGGCAACAAAATATAAAACAGACTGCTTTCTCTCAAATAACTGAACTCATTACAGCTAATTGCATTCTTTTAAAATTATGTTTACAAGCTTTTTAAATCCACAGAAGACCATTCAAAAATCCCAGAGTGAGAAGTGAAATGGCAAAGATTTTTAAATGGTTTTCCATGCAAATTACCAAATAACTGGTAATATATTCATTTCATCCTCAAAAGACAGACCTTCTAGGGTCAGAGATTAAAGAAAATGTGATGTGAGAGGAATCCTTAGATGTCAACATGTAATGCTTTCTTTCTTGATCTTTGCTCTTAAGTCTCCTAAATAACAGGAAACAGCTATACTGGACTGAATTATGGTCAAACATAAAATTGTCAAAAATAAGCAGACTCAACATGCAGTACCACTTTAACTGATTAATCAAGAGCTAACAAAAGTTAAAAGAACTTTTTCTTTTCCCCCAAAGTAAAATTCATGCCAAAATTTAACCTCTAGGGAAATTCTAGCTGCAGTTGTGAAAATCCCACCTTCATAATTTTGTTCTCTTTTCAGTTCAACAAAAAGACTAAACATATTTATTAGAAAATGTTGTATAGGCTATTTTTAAGAGGATAAAATTTTAGCTTTAACTTCCCTTCTCAACTTGTAATAACTTTCAAAAGGACATTCTAATCATCATTAACTACTTATTATTAACTTATTATACACAAGATTCTATGCCACTGCTAGAGAGAGAACAAATACCCTTCCCTCAAAAAGTCTTTGAAGCCGGGCCTGGTTGCTCACGCCTATAATTGGATCACTTTGGGAGGCCAAGGTGGGCAGATCACCTGAGGTCGGAGTTCGAGACCAGCCTGACCAACATGGAGAAACCCCATCTCCACTAAAAATACAAAATTAGCCAGGTGTGGTGGCACGCGCCTGTAATCCCAGCTACTCAGGAGGCTGAGGCAGGAGAATCACTTGAACCCGGGAGGCAGAGGTATTGGTGAGCCAAGATCGTGCCATTGCACTCCAGCCTGGGCAACAAGCATGAAACTCCGTCTAAAAATGTATACAAAGTAAACTGACATACAATTGTTGCTGCTATGGAAACCCTCGGTGTCCAAATTCTCAGTAAGTAAACTCAGGAACTGAACTGATTTGATTAAATTTTCAAATAAATTCCTTGCTATCCAAACTACCACTATTTGTTATCCAAAACTCAGAACAGGACACAGTATATTAAGAAAATGCAGATCTTTTGATATCCAAATTTACTTTCTAAAGGCTAGATATCCAAACTGTAAATCAAATATATTTGGATATCAGGAGATACATGTATATGACTCTGAATGATTGGTGTTCAATTTAATATAGGTAACAGAGATATTAAATGACTTGGCTATAGTTCCATATTTAAAGGAGTGGGAGCAGGCCATGTAGACCATGAGACAATTTCATACAATGGACTAAGAAGATGGGCTAGGTGTGGTGGTTCACACCTGAAATCCCAGTACTTTGGGAGGCTGAGATGGGAGTATCACTTAAGCTAGGAGTTTGAGACCAGCCTAGACAACATAGCAAGACCCCCATCTCCATTTATTTAATAAAATTTTTAATTAAAAAGAAACTTAAGGCTAGGCACGGTGGCTCACATCTGTAATCCCAACACTTTGGGAGGCCGAGGTTGGTGGATCACCTGAGGTCAGGAGTTTGACACCAGCCTGGCCAACGTGGCAAAACCCCATCTCTACTAAAAACGAAAAAATTAGCTGGGCGTGGTAGCGGGCGCCTGTAATCCCAGCTACTCAGGAGGCTGAGGCAGCAGAATCGCTTGAACCCAGGAGGCAGAGGTTGCAGTGAGCCGAGATCACGTCACTTTACCCCAGCCTGGGAGACAAAGCGAGACTCCGTCTCAAGAAAGAAAAAAATTTTTTAATAAAAAACAAGACAGACAAATTAATCAAGCCGCCTTACAGCATTCACTTCCTCAGTAACAAGGAAAAGCCAAAGTAGGAAACCAAACCAAACCCCAAAAGTGCAAGAATGAATAATAATTTCCATCCATCAACCAAGTCATATTCTAAAATCTTGAGCTACGTGTTCCAATGACTTCATGTCATTTAGTCTCTGAACATGCACAGGTACAAAAGATAAGCTCTCCTAAGTAAAAGGCACAGAAGTTGTATCCTGAGAGGTAGCATACTGCCTATTCTAAAAGGGATTAACTGCTCCCATTCCAAACTTTCATTTAGGTCGCACAATTGCCAGGATATGAAGCAAAACAATTAACCCTCACCTTCAAATAACAACAAAAAGGACTCAAAAACAGCTTAAGTTATATAATCTCACAATACTTATAAATATATTATTTACTATACTTATTTAAAATACACATACCCTTTGACCTCTAAATATCTATCATAGATAAATGCTCCCACATGTACCAAACATGACATGTTAAAAAAAAAAAAAGAGCACATCCTCTCATGGTCTACACAGGCTGCTCCCACTATATACTGTCTGTGAAGTCTTGGGCAAGAGAAAGTTCAACTTCTCTGAACTTTCATTTTCACTGAGGCATTGTTTCCAATATTTAAAAAAATGAAACAAAAATGTGTGTCAATAGTAAGGAGACAATCTCATACCAAGGAGTGCTAGGAAACAGTTTGAGAAACCAGACCCAAAAAATGGAAGTAGATCTATGTGTCCTGGTAAGAAAAGGTCTCAAAGATAGTTGTTTACTGCAAAAGCACATTGTAGTGAATAAGATCAAGTTTATGTTAAAAATATTTACAAGACTAAACCAAAATTTTATTTCCACAGACATGTTTTCATATGTATTTATTTGTATTAAGTAAAAAGCCGGGGAAAAGGCTTGATGGGATACACACCAAATTCTTAACTGCTCCTTTCTGGAAAGGGAACTGGGTTTGAATGGAAGTCAAGTTAAAATATGAATTTATTGTTATTGTTTCAGTTTTCAATGAGAGTGTTTTCATGCGTAACTTGCATAACTAAATTTTTTTTTTTTTTTTTTTTGGAGACAGAGTCTCATTCTGTCGCCCAGGCTGGAGTGCAGTCTTTGGGAGGCCGAAGCAGGCAGATCACTTGAGGTCAGGAGTTCAAGACCAGCCTAGCCAACATGGTGAAACCCTGTCTCTACTAAAAATACAAAAATTAGCTGAGTGCGGTGGAGCATGCCTTTAATTCCAGTTACTTGGGTTGAACCCAGGAAGTGGAGGTTGCAGTGAGCGCATAGAGCGCCACCGCACTCTAGCCTGGGCAACAGAACGAGACCTTGTCTCAAAAAAAAACACAAAAAACAAAACCTAGTTCATAAATTTAAAAACCCAGCATCAACACATTACAAAATCAAAATTCAATTCAACATGAAAATCCCAGCAAAATCAAATCTAGTTTTGTTAGAAACAGATTTATGCCTTCATAAGATATTTTACTAATTCCTCTCATAGTTATTTATCTTGCCTGAAAAAGCAAAATCCACAATTTATATTTTTGTTGGTCAAATTATCAAAAATGACACTTAACATGCCAAAAGCAAAGTATTAGAAAAAAAGGATGTTAAAAGACACCTTTAAAATATAGTGTCTAATATCCTTTTGACACCCTAAGGTTTACAAAAATCCATTAAAACAGCCATCAGAGATCCCTGTCACAAATTAATTTTTCCATTATATAAGACATATGGCTATAGCCTAAAGTAATGCCTCCCATAAATTATGATGAACCATATGGAGTAAATTCATAGTTATCGAACACTTTAGCTTCAAAACACACTTAACTATTAAGATAAAGTGATTTCTTTCCTAATATCTTAACCAAATAATTTTTAAAGACTCGTTCAAGTAATATTAACTATCCAAAGAGTTAGTTTTATAGAAGAATAAAGATGCTACAATTATTTTTAACTTTACACAAGGAATTACTCTTCAACAGATGACTTCCACAGCCAAGGACACAAAGGATGATACTATTCTAAGCCAGTGCTAATAAGCCTGACATTTCTTCAAGCTTCACTATTAAACTCTGATTCAAATTCGTTTGTAAATAAAAGACAAGATCATAATTAGGTACATACAGGTAACTTCTTCTCCAGACGAAATCTTTCCATAGTAATATAGAAATGCCTTGTTTCTGATGATGTAATGCAGTAACTCCCTTGAAGATTCCAGGGACAGTGAGCACATATCTGATTTAGGTCACTGTGCTTTGCAGAGATGAATTCTTCTAAGTTACTTTTATGGTACAGCCAATCACTGTGTTCTAAGTTACCTAATCTTCCAAGCTAATAACTACAACTTACACAGGGTCACAGCATAACAGATTTGGAAAGTAATATACACATTTAGTTATAAGTAAAAATACCAAGAGGAATGCAGCAATCCGTTTTCAACTGAAACCTTTCTGCAATGTTAGTACAAAGAGTGCATACTCTAAGAATATATGTGGATGGATGTGTGAGAGTATGGTTTATAATTATCATTGTAACCAAAAAACAAAGTATTAATATGGACAATAGCTAGAAAAAAAAAAGAGTAGCACCCCTCTAACTACTGGACTTGGGATTCTCTACATTCTTAAAAATTCCTGAAGACCGAAAAGGACCTTGGTTTATATAAGTTACCACATCAGGATTAAAACAGAAAACTTCAAAGTACTTATTCAGAATTATTTACACAATAATAAAGCCATTACATGTTAATATACATAACATTTTAATGAAAATAACTTTTCAAAAACAAGACAAAACTTAGAGGAATACCTCTGTTTTACATTTTTACAAATCTCTTCAATTATCTAACTTAATAGAAGACAACTGGATTCTCATATCTACTTCTGCAGTCAATCTGATGTGATCTGCCCTTGGTTAAAGTATATTTAAAAATCCATATTCACACAGATATTCTGCTGGAAAGGGGAGGCATATTTCAATATTCTCTTCAGGTAGTTATGGACATTCCTCTGATAGTTCATCAAACTCAACAAGTATATTGTTTCTTAATAGTTGCAACGTAGAATCTGAAACCATTCCAAATGAACATTTTACACATTGTTACATCAAAATCCATTTGTCTACTATGCACTTTGAATGGATCTCTCACATTTTTGGAATGTATGTGTTCACAGGGTATTAGAGCTTTTCCAAATGTCACATTTCATTAAACAATATCAAAAATTTTTTTAAATCACACTTGTTAATAATATCACCAACAATCTCATAAGTCCAAGTATTGAGAAACTGTCAAAGTCAGGTTAGCAGATGCAAGTTTTCCAAAATTCTAAGTTTTGCCTGAAAGTCTGAATTATTATCATGGGTAACAAACACTATCAGTTGTTTTTCTTGAAGTGACAAGTTCACTTCATTCATTTTTGACAAAATATCTGTCAAATGCCCAAGTATGATTAACCAAGTCTGTCATTTTTTCTTTCAGGTAAAAATGGTGTTCCATGAAAATAACAGCTAGTTGAGTTCACAATTCAGGCAATTAACCAGTGATTTTTCTCCAAACAATCATTCTATTTGGATATGCAGCAGAAATGTTTTTACAAATGCTTATTTTGTCATTCAGAATATTAAAGCAATACACAAAGGCAAAAATTTAATAAGATAACTAGTTTTTACTGCTTCATCAAAGTGCTCTTTGTGTATACAGATTTGTTTCTTGGTACCCTCAATTCTATAAGCTAGCAAAATAGATGATATTTAATATTTTCTATAAAAATATTTATATCCCACAGCTAAAGTCTTACTACCCAGCTCATCCTGGAGAATTCACTGATGACGTGCACTAAATAAGTAGCAAAATAAGAAATAAATCTTTCACAACTTTACATAGGGAGACTGACTGTACGTAACAGGTGATAGACATGTCATACACTTCAAATACAACTAAGGCTTCTAAACTTCTCCAAGAACAGAAATCCCAATAACACCAACAGCTAAATAACATATATAATTAATTACATATTTGAAATCTTCACCCTTGTTATGTATGATATATACTTGGCAAATAAACATAAATCTAAAGAATCAAATACAAGAATAAGACATATGTCAGTCAATGATTTTTTTAAATTCTCAATACATTAAGCCCCAAAGAACATCTGCAAACAATCAGGTTAAAAACCAATTTCTGGCTGGGCAAGGTGGCTCATGCCAGTAATCCTAGGACCCTGGGAGGCCGAGGTGGGCAGATTACCTGAGGTCAGGTTCAAGACCAGCCTGGCCAACGTGGTGAAACCCCCGCCTCTACTAAATACACAAAAATTAGCCAGGCACAGTGGTGCCCACCTGTAACCCCAGCTACTCTGGAGGCTGAGGAAAGAGAATTGCTGGAACCCGGGAGGTGGAGGCTGCAGTGAGCTGAGATCATGCCACGGCACTGCACTCCAGCCTGGACAACAGAGCGAGATTCCATCTAAAAAATAAAAAATTAAATTAAAAAAAATTCCAAAATGACCTCTTGAAACATACTTCCTATGGAAAATCTTGGCCCTCCCCACCAGTACTTAAGAGCTTAACCTCCTGGTCAAGCACATGTCCTTTCCTCCCCCACTGGATTATAAAAACCATAAGCATAGGGATTTGAGTGGGACGAAGGGAAGGTTAAGCAACCCCAGAGGGAAAAGAAGAAGAAACTAGGTGCACGTAGACTTTTTAATTTCCCAAATACAAAACAAAATATTATACACCAAAATACGAAAGACACACTTCTCCAACGTTTCCCATTTAACACTATCATGGACACTACCAAACCAATATTCCAATAAAATTTTAAAAATCAAGGTTTATAGGTGAAATGGTGAAGTTAGTTTTAGTTTAATACATTATTTGATAAAATAAAAATATAAAGTAACTCAACAAATAAACTTTAACCAATAGGCTTTCGTTTGGCTAATTCTTTAAAGATTTATTTTCAGTATAATTTTATTTAATAGCAGGCACACACAAACATCTCATTTGATCCCTTGGTCTCTTCACTCCATTTTCAGCCTTCTAATATTTTTATGCAAATGGAAATATATATATTCTTACAAAAAAGATAGCATTCATTACACACTTACTGTTTTATATATAACTTGCTTTTTTCACTTAAACTACATTTTTAAGTAATTTATCAAATTAATCTGTAAACAGTAGGAAAATCCAAGGTTACAGAAGTGCCCCCAAATAAGCAAGCATTCCTCCCATTCCCACTTCCACTCATGAGATATAATTACATTCTGTTGTGTCTTGTAACTCTTTAGTTGCTAGAGTTGCCATTATAACTTTAAATACTTTATTTTATGTCTTGGTTTATCAATTTTAAACAGTATCTTTCCACAAAAAGAAAAGAATTTTCTCCAACACACCCATATCCTTTCATTTACAATCTCTCTTCCACATCTCAGTGTTATTTATATATATATATATATATACACACACACACACACACACGTGTATATATACACATATATATATATAATTTTTTTTTTTCTTTTGAGACAGGGTCTCGCTCTGTCGCCCAGGCTGGGTGCAGTGGCAATCTTGGCTCACTGCAACCTCCGCCTCCCAAGTTCAAGCAATTCTCATGTCTCAGCCTCCCTGGCAGCTGGGATTATAGGCGTCCACCACTACGCTCAGCTAATTTTTATATTTTAAGTAGAGACCAGGTTTCTCCATGTTGGCTAGGCTGGTCCCAAACTTCTGGCCCCAAAAGATAACCACCCACCTGGGCCTCCCAAAATGCTGGGATTATAGGTGTGAGCCACTGCACCGGGCCTATATTTTTTTGTATCAAGGTGCATAACATTTACATTCCATTCAATATTTATAATAAAGCCTTCTAAGCTCTGTCCTCTGGTTAATTCTAAAACTGAAAACTCATATTAAAAAGCATCTGAAGTACTAGAATTAAATACTGTATTGTCTGTGCAGAACCAATAATTAAAATTGGACCATCTGAATCAATGTCACCAAATCCCTACTGCTCACAAGAGACTATTTCAAACGCTAAAGTAAAGTAGATCCCTCTATTAATTTATTATCAAGGGTGTTTTCCCCTAGTTTGTCTGAGTGATGTTCAGCTCATATTATTCCTTTCTCATTTTCATTTAAGAAGGCCTTGAGAAATATGCTTCACGATGAATATATGGGTGATAAAGAAAACCTTTTCATGTTCAAAAATCATTTTACTCGATACGTATTTTGGATAGATACCTTCTCTCAGGTACTGCGCCATGGCCTTTAAGAATCTAGTGCTGTTGACCAGAAGCCTAATACCCACCAGGTTTTTGTTTCTTTGTTTTTCCACTTCTGGCTCAATAATTTCATCAAGATGTGTCTAGATGTATGTCTTTAATTATTCCTTCAAGACTCCCAGTAGACCTTTACAACATGACTCAAGTATAATGAAAATAAAATGAACCTGTTCAAAAGTAATAAAATTATAACCAGAAACCAAGAGCAAACATACTAAAGTGTAAAACACTAAAGATTTCACTTGTTACGCGAGCTGCAAGATTCCACTGTCTATAGGAAAATCCATCAATTTGAATGTGGAGCTAATGTAATGAAAACAGAACAAAAAAACAAAATTATCTTTATTTGCAGATGATGTGACAGTGTACCTAGAATGACAGATTCATCCAATTAGCACACACACACACACACACACACACACAAAACACATTCATTTGGCCAGGCGTGGTGGCTCACACCTGTAATCCCAGCTACTTGGGAGACTGTGGCAGGGAGAATTGCTTGAACCCAGAAGGCGGAGGTTGCAGTGAGCCAAGACCACGCCACTGCACTCCAACCTGAGTGACGAAGCGAGACACTGTCTCAAAAAAAAACAAAAACAAAACAAAACAAACAAACAGATTCATTTGAAGGCAGCCAATTACAAGATAAATTAAAACCAATAGCTTTTCTTTAAGCAGTAACAGGCCAGGAATGGTGATAATCCTACAACTTTGGTAGACCAAGGCTGGAGGATGGCTTGAGGATAGGATTTTGAGACTAGCCTAGGCAACACAGAAAGACCTCGTTTACAAAAAAAAAAAAAAAAAGAATAAATAAAAAGGAAAAATGGTATATAAAAATGGATTAGGAATATGAACCATGGCTGGGCACAGTGGCTCACGTCTGTAATCCCAATACTTTGGGAGGCCGAGGCGGGCAGATCACTTGAGGTCAGGAGTTTGAGACTAGGCTGGCCAACATGGTGAAACCCCATCTCCACCAAAAAAAAAAAAAAATTAGCCGGGCACTGTGGCATGCTCCTGTAGTCCTGGCTACACGAGAGGCTGAAGTGGGAGGATCACTTGAACCTGGGAGGCAGAGACTGTAGTGACCCAAGATTGTACCACTGCACTCCAGCCTGGGAAACAGTGCGATTCCATCTCAAAAAAAAGATGATGAACCAAGTAATTCCCTTACGTAAAAATACCAATGGCCAATAACTAAAGGGACACTCTCACTAGATATTCAACAAATGGAATTTAAGACCCATCAGATTAGCAAAACAAATTTTTTAATGGACCGTACATGAGATTTAATTTTTCTTTCCATAAATTTTTTTAAATTCACATTTAAAACTAGTAAAGATAGGGAGACACAGACACTTTTGTACTTCCTACTTGGGAATGTAAATTGCCCAAAACTTTGGAGAGTAAACTAGCAAGAATTCATTTACAAATTTTTCAGCATACATTTGGTGCAGCAATATGACTTCTGTGTATCTACTCAACAGAAACAAAACCAACAAAATATAAAGTCAAGAACGTTTGGGGTTTTTAAAGAAGACACGTTCGCAGGTACTGGGGAGCTCTGGTCAACCCACTCCTGCTCCTGACTCACATTATGTTCCTGAGTCATTGATGTTTGGTGTCACTGAGGAACAAGTTGATCAGGAAGCAATACCATAGCCATGCTTCTAAAGATACTGGAAAGAACCAGAGGTGGAGATTTGACAAATCGGAATTATGCTAAGCAGTCGCAATGTAAAATCGCCGAAGATGATGTGTGCTGGCTTGAACAGAGGCGCAAAGGAAAGGAATCTTAAAAGGACCAGTTCAGATGCCTAAGACTTTGAGAATCACTACAAGAAAAACTCACGGTGAAGGTCCTAAAACACGGGATCGCTTCCAGTTGAGAATCTAAAAGCAACTCAGACTTGGAGAATCCTTCTAAGATTGTTAAACAGATTACTTCCATCACTACTGCATTAGTAATTGAGGCTGAAGTTACCACTGGAGATGCTTAACTATTTAATAAACTGATTACGAGTTGGGTTTAAAAAGTGTTTACTGTTCAAACCGGGAAAAACAAAGAATCTGAAAGCAAAAAAGAAATGGCTGATTACCATGGAATATTATAATGATATTATGAACAACGAGTTACAATTACAAAGTCCCATGCAACAGATGTCGGTAAAATATTAAGAAAGCAGGGACTGGGCGCAGTGGCTCACGCCTGTAATCCCAGCACTTTGTGAGGCGGGGGCAGAGGTGGGCAGATCACCCGAGGTCAGGAGAGACCAGCCTGGCCAACATGGCGAAACCTCGTCTCTACTCAAAATACAAAAGTTAGGGCCGGGCGCGGTGGCTCACGCCTGTAATCCCAGCACTTTGGGAGGTCAAGGAGGGCGGATGACGAGGTCAGGAGATCCAGACCATCCTAGTTAACACGGTGAAACCCCGTCTCTACTAAAAATACAAAAAATAAATTAGCCAGGCGTGGTGGCGGGCGCCTATAGTCCAGCTACTCAGGAAGCTGGGGCAAGAGAATAGCGTGGACCCGGGAGGCGGAGCTTGCAGTGAGCTGAGATCGCACCACTGCACTCCAGCCTCGGCGACAGAGCGAGACTCCGCCTCTTAAAAAAAATACAAAAAATACAAAAATTAGCCGAGCGTGGTGGCGGTTGCAGTCAGCCGAGATCGCACCACTGCACTCCAGCCTGGGCAACAAGAGCGAAACTCCACCTCAAAAAATAAAAAATAAAGCAAGCCCAATGCGGTGGCTAATGTATGTAATCCTAGTGAGACAGCCAAATAAAAAGGGCTCCCAAGAAAATCTACGAGTGGCCTGCGCACTGGGATGAGGATGGGGTGGAGCCGCGAAGTTTGCGCCATTTGCCGGGGGGAAGAACCTGACCCCTCCTGTTCCCATTTGCAGCGGGGAAGAGCCTGACCCCTCCTGTTCCGGGATAGTAACCTGGAATTCAATTGGTGAGATGGGCAGCCTGTTAGCAGGACTCCATCTCACTTTGCTGTGTTGTTCTTTTCGCCGGCTAAGTTCATAACCCCTTACCTTTCAAAGTGTCTGCGTGCCTAATCTTTACCTGCCGTATGACAAGAACCCGGTTTTGTCTACAACACCAGCACTTTGGGAGGCCAAGGCGGGCTGATTGCTTGAGCTCAGGGGTTTGAGACCATCCTGGGCAACATAGTGAAACCCTGGTCTCTACCAAAAACACGAAAATTAACCAGGCGTGCCTGTTATCCCAGCTACTTGGAAGGCCGAGACACAAGAATCGCTTGAACCCAGGAGGCGGAAGCTAGTGAGCCGAGATTGCGCCACTGCACTCCAGCCTGGGAGCAAGACTCCGTCTCAAAAAAAAGAAAACACACTGTTGTTTTAATATCACATTGTCATGTTTTCGGAAGGATAAAACCCATTTGTGAGTTTGTGTTTATATGAACACAAAATATAGAAGGATATATAAGTTAGTCTGTTTCAACGAAGATCATGTTTCTCTAGAGAGATTAAAGATCTATTAATTCAATATAACATTAAATATAAAAGATAACTGATAATTCATTAAGGGTGAAATAGTGACATTTTAGTCCATTCTTCAAAACCACAATCAAGGCAGGGAGCGGTAGCTCACGCCAGTAATCCCAGCACTTTGGGAGGCCGAGGCAGAGGTCAGGAGTTCGAGACCAGCCTGGAAAACACAGCAAACCCCTATCTCCACTAAAAATACAAAAATTAGCCAGGCGTGGTGGCGGGCGCCTTTACCAGCTACTCGGGAGGGTGAGGCAGGAGAACTGCTTGAACCCGGGAGGCAGAGGTTGCAGTGAGCCGAGATCGCACCACTGTACTCCCGCCTGGGCAACAGAGCGGGACTCCGTCTCAAAAAAAAAAGCCAGCCAGCCAGCCCAGCGCGGTCGCTAATGCCTGTAATCCTAGTGAGACAGTCAAGTAAAAAGGGCTCCCAAGACAATTTACGAGCACTGGGAGGATGGGGTGGAACCGCGAAAAGTTCGCGCCATTTGCAGTGGGGGAAGAGCCTGGCCCCTCCTGTTCCGGGATAGTAACCTGGAATTCAATTGGTGAGATGGACAGCCTGTTAGCCAGGACTCCATTTCACTTTGCTGTGTTGTTCTTTCTTTTTCGCCCAATAAATTCGTAACCCCTCACCTTTCAAAGTATCTGCGTGCCTAATCTTTCCCGGCCGTGTGACAAGAACCCGGTTTTTTCTACAACACCAGCACTTTGGGAGGCCAAGGTGGGCGGATTGCCTGAGCTCTGGGGTTTGAGACCAGCCAGGACAACATGGTGAAACCCTGGTTTCTACCAAAAACACGAAAATTATCCAGGCGTGCCTGTAATCCCAGCCACCCGGGAGGCTGAGCCACGAGAATCGCTTGAACCCAGGAGGCGGAGTTTGCAGTAAACCGAGATGGCACCACTGCACTCCAAGCCTGGGCAACAGAGCAAGACTCCGTCTCAAAAAAAAAAAAAAAAAAAACCCACAAACCTACAATCAATTCTTGTTTTAAGTAGATACAACTTTAATAAAAAAGCAAGTAACATTTTTGAAAAAGCATTTCACAAGGTCAGCTACCTACAGAAGATGGTTCAAAATTTTCCTAACCATTTTCCCATGTTCTAAAACTGAACTGGTAGGCACAGTAAAAAAAAAAAAAAAAAAAAGTACTAACATTTTTACTGCTTTACAATCATTACATTATATAATCAAATTAACTGATTTTTTGAAATCTTAAATTCAGGAAAAAGAAATACTACACAGCTTAAAATTCTAATTGTGAATTTCAATCAGCCAAAGCAGGGGGAAACCGAGAAATTTTAAATTAGGTAGAAAACTGTACAGGAATTAGGCCGGCACCGTGGCTCACGCCTGTAATCCCAGCACTTTGAGAGGCCGAGGCGGACGAATCACGAGATCAGGAGATCGAAACCACCCTGGCTAACACGGGGTTTTCTCTACTAAAAATACAAAAAATTAGCCAGGCGTGGTGGCTGGCACCTGTAGTCCCAGCTACTCGGGAGGCTGAGGCAGGAGAATGGCATGAACCCGGGAGGCGGAGGTTGCAGTGAGCTGAGATCGCCCCACTGCACTCCAGCCTGGGCGACAGAGCAAGAGTCCGTCTCAAAAAAAAAAAAAGAAAGAAAGAAAGAAAGAAAACTGTACAGGAATTAAAGTGATTAAGAAAGCATATGTAGTATCCATTTAAGTTCCTTTACAGATGGGAAATTACTTTTTCTGTACAGGAACATAATACAGGAATGTAACTAGATGTAAATGATACTGCTGACAAAGCAGAGGGCCCATGTTTTCTCTTTATATGACAGAAAAGGGGGTACATTGGCTGGGCGCGGTGGCTCACGCCTGTAATCCCAGCACTTTGGGAGGCCGAGGCGGGCGGATCACGAGGTCAGGAGATCGAGACCATCCTGGCTAACACGGTGAAACCCCGTCTCTACTAAAAATACAAAAAATTAGCCGGGCGAGGTGGTGGGCACCTGTAGTCCCAGCAACTCAAAAGGCTGAGGCAGGAGAATGGTGTGAACCCCGGGGGACGGAGCCTGCAGTGAGCCGAGATCGCGCCACTGCACTCCAACCTGGGCGACAGCGAGACTCCGTCTCAAAAAAAAAAAAGAAAAAGAAAAGGGGGTACATTAAGGTGCACAATTTTAATTATGAGAAGATACGTTTTAAATTCTTTAAAATTTTTACTTTCTTGGACAGCCGTGGTGATTCACACCTGTAATCCCAGCACTTTGGGAAGCTGAGGCAGGTGGATCACCTGAGGTCAGGAGTTCGAGACCAGCCTAGCCAATATGACGGAGCCCCGTCTCTATAAAAAAATACCAAAATTAGCCATCTCTATAAAAAATACCAAAATTAGCCCCGCGTGCTGGTGCGCGCCTGTAGTCCCAGCTACTAGGGAGGCTGAGACAGGAGAATTGCTTGAACCTGGGAGGCAGCAGTTTCAGAGAGCCGCGATTGCGCCACTGCACTCCAGCTTGGGCAAAAGAGCAAGACTCCATCTCAAGAAAAAAAAAATTTTTTTAATTTTCTTTATATTTTCCTATACTCTTTAGAAATATAAGTTGGGAAGAATAATCTCCATTAACAATGGATGAGTGAGGAAGTTAGTTTTATTTAGTATTCCACAGTCATACACTGTGGTTGTTACTAGCTTTTATAATAGTCTTACACTAAACAATTTTAGGAGCAAGTATTACTCTCCCAAATATGTGAAAGAAACTTGAGGCTCAGAAAAGTTAAATAGTTTTCCCAAGGTCCCATTGCTTCAGCTTGGATAAGATATAATTTAAAATCATGTCCCACTTCCAGGGACAATGCACTTTTCACTGGGCCACTTACAAACATTATTTTTAATTCTCACAAAAACTCCTTATGGTAACACAGCTGATCATTATTTAAATCAGGGGTATCTGATTTCAAAGAGCTCATGTTCATTCCACTAGGCCACATACCTTCCCCTATATTAAACTACATATAATTTTACTTATATGCCTTATTTATGGAATTCTAAGTAAAACATAATTAATCACAAAAAATTTCACTTCATTATTTTAAAACACTTTACTAGCAATTCAGTAACAGCTAATTAAATTGAAATCGCAGCAATAAGCAGCACAAATGTCAACACAATAAATCAGCTTTAATACTATAACAAACATGAAGGTTTTAATTTAATTTACACATAAATTTGAAGCAAGTAGCCAAGAAAAGAGGAAGAAGAAATCCCGTAAAACAAATGGAAACCTGTCTCACTTTAAAACATATGTTTCAGTGAGGAGCACAGCCAGTCCACTCCTTTCACACTGCTAAATATCACTGCCGAGTTCACACTGCTTAATTTGGGCGACCATTTCAGTATTTAACACCACTAAAATTTAGGCTTCACCAATGTATAAGATCACCATCTAGTGGTTATGATTAGAACCATGGAATTTTTCTCTCATGCTGTGATTATGGTTAAGAGAATGACTCTAAAGGCAAAGAAATTCAGTTTGAAAAACTTCTCTAGCAGTTGCTTTAAGAAAGCTGTACATTTAATTTCATTCAGAAAAAAATTATCAAGGCAAAGTACTATTAAATATTTCATTTTTATACTAGCCAAATTTAGGATATAGTAGAATAGTATTCAGATATGCATTTTATATGTAAATAAAATCCTCTCAGGTTCAAGAGATTCTCCTGCCTCAGCCTCCCAAGTAGCTGGGATTACAGGTACACATCACCACACCCAGCTAAGCTAACTTTTCTATTTTTAGTAGAGATGACGTTTCACCATGTTGGCCAGGCTGGTCTTGAACTCCTGACTTCAAGTGATCCGCCCGCCTCGGCCTCCCACAGTGTTGGGATTACAGGCGTGAGCCACCAAGAGCAGCCTTATAAATTCTTATTAAGAGATTAAAACAATTTACACATGTTTGACAACAGCTACTAATTAATGACATAATCCAAAAAATTATCTCCATAAGTTGTATATTAGGATAAAATTAAGACTAGATACTGAAAAACTGTACATAAACATATGCAATGCAATTTGTCAACCAATTTATTTTGGCTGAAGATAATACATGATCTAAGCTGAGTGCAGTGATACACACCGGTCACACTCAGTCAAGAGACTGAGGTGGAGGATTGCTTGAGCCCAGGAGTTAGAGCTGCACTGTGCTATGAAGCCACCTGTTAATAGCCACTGCACTCCAGCCTGGGCAACATGGTTCTAGGAAGAAATTAATAATAATTGTAATAATATAGGTTCTAGATCTAGTAAGATTGTCTGAATTGAAATCCTGGCTCTTCACTTACTACGCTGGGCAGATTACTTAGTCTCACTGGATCTGTTTCCTCATCTGTAGAATGGGGATAACAATATTTATACAAATGATAGGCTAAAAAAAATTAAACAAGATGTTGCATGCAATGAATACAGTTTAGAAACATTTCTGGTACAATATAAGCATTCAATGAAATACTAGGAGTGGGGCGTGATGGCTCATGCATATAATCCTAGCATTTTGGGAGGCCGGGGTGGGCGGATCACTTGAGGTCAGGAGTTCCAGACCAGCCTGGCCATCACGCAAAATGCTGTCTCTACTAAAAATACAAATATTAGCCAGGCTTCGTGGCACACACCTGTAATCCCAGCTACTTGGGAAGCTTAGACAGGAGAATTGCTTGAACCCAGGAAGCGGAGGTTGCAGTGAGCTGATTTTGCACCACTACACTCCAGCCTGGGCGACAGAGGGAGACTGCGTCTCAATAAAAGAAAAAAAAAAACTTAAATACTAGGTATTAGTACTCTTTGGAAAAAACTCAAATCATTTTTCCTGTGCTCTCACAACAATCATCACCGTAGAAGATGACTTCTATGACCAAATGTCAGGGGATTTCTCCCCACGAGCAAGCCAAGTAAGCAATCAATTCTGCAGCAGACACCAGCTGGGTGTCCTCTAATTAATTAATTCCAACACTACCTGGAGATAGTGTTAGATCCCACAGGTTGAGGGCTCAGTCACCAAGACTCTTCCCCACCACCCCATCCCCTACTAATCACAAGTCCAGGCCTCTGGAACTTTAAATTGGGGTTTCCACAATCCCCTCTTTGGGTTTAATTAATGTCCTGGAGCAGCTCACAGAACTCACAGACACACTTACTTATGTTTACTGATTTATAAAGGATATTATAAAGGATACAAATGGAGTTCGAGACCAGCCTGACCAACATGGAGAGACCCTGTCTCTATTAAAAATACAATTAGCCGGGCGTGGTGGCACATGCCTGTAATACCAGCTACTCAGGAGGCTGAGGCAGGAGAATCACTTGAACCCGGGAAGCAGAGGTTGCAGTGAGCCTAGATCATGCCATTGCACTCCAGCTTGGGCAACAAGAGCAAAACTCTGTCTCAAAAAAAAATAATAAAATAACAATAATAATAATTAAAGCCATTGCTGAGGTGCTAAGATGATGATACAGTTGATAGTCTTAGAAAAGCTGACCATTTTGTCCAATCACTGCAAAATAAGTTAACTCTTTTAGAAATAAACATTCAACTAACCTTTGAGAAGTAGCTGTAACAAAATAACTAAGAATGTCTGAGGATTATCCTAAAAAATAAATACTTGCCTTCTTTCAAGCCTCCTTTAACCATGTATTGGCATACATATAAAACATAAGAATTACAGTTTAGTGTAATTAAACATTCCATGTATCTTATCTTTCTTCTTATAAAATCTAGTAATTGGCTCAATTGCCATAGCATTAAAGATATTTTTCTCAATAGTTTTGCATTAAGTCCTTTCCAAATTAAACACATTGCAATATTTCAAGTTATTTCTGAGTCGAACTGACTAAACAGTCTTGCTAGCTAATTGTAGATCTTTTTTTTTTTTTGCTCATGAGCTTAAAGGCTTAAGCAGTTGATTTGAGTTTGAAATTGAACAGAAGATAATCTGTCGGCAGTTCTTTCTTCTCATTACACCTCAATTTATTAATATACATGGAACAAGTAAGCTACTATTAATGAAATATGAAGTTAAATTTGCCAAAATAAAAACTTTTTGATGTACTGTTAATTTATAAGCCAAATAACAGCATTTAATCTAAATACTTGGGTGTTAACATTTTAATGAATATATATATGACTGATACATATATTGAATATATTAATATATAGGTATGTATTATTTCTAAAAGAATGAAATCGAATGTTTATCTATAGCAATGGTTTTCCAACTTGTTTTAAGAAAAGGAATAAAAGGGTGGCTACCTCATGGGCAGAGTAGCTCCAACTTTAAAAAAAAAAAAAAAAAACAGCCAGGCACGGTGGCTCACGCCTGTAACCCCAGCACTCTGGGAGGCCGAGGCAGGCGGCTCACAAGGTCAGGAGAATGAGACCATCCTGGCTAACACAGTGAAACCCCGTCTCTACTAAAAATACAAAAAATTAGCTGGGCGTGGTGGCATGCGCCTGTACTCCCAGCTACTCCAGAGACTGAGGCAGGAGAACCCCTTGAATCCAGTAGGCGGAGGTTGCAATGAGCCGAGATCGCGCCACTGCACTCCAGCCTAGTGACAGAGCAAGACTCCGTCTCACAAAAAATAAAATAAAATAAAATAAAACAAAACAGCAAACCCTGGAAAGAAACACATTTTGCATCACAACCCAGTACATAACATACCTCTTCACTTGATCTTAGCCAAATGGCCGGGAAGCAGAATATACCTCTTTACATGTCATGTATGTATGCATGTATAAAATAAAAAGTTTCACAAAACAATATATGCCCCTACTATTTGCAACGTATTGTTTTAATTTTCTATTCTGTTCCTTTCTTTTCTAACACTTATAATCCACTAAATTGTTTTTACAAATTATTAATAAATCACAACCTGCAGTTTGGAAAAGATTCAATCTGCAGTAAGGAAGAGATTCAGGAAATGAATATTTGGGGTATATCCTTCCTGAATTTTATTTAACAATAACTACGTTAAAGCAGGCAGAGGCTAGTCAGGATTTCAGCCCCATAGCTATTCAGATTGGAGAACAAGGTGAAAGGGGGAACATTTTTTTGAGACGGAGTTTCACATTCTTGTTGCTCAGGCTGGAGTGCAATGGGGCAATCTCAGTTCACCACAACCTCTGCCTCCCAGGTAGCTGGGATCACAGGCATGCACCACCACACCTGGCTAATTCTGTATTTTTAGTAGAGATGGGGTTCCTCCACGTTGGTCAGACTGGTCTCAAACTCCTGACCTCAGGTGATCCGCCCACCTCGGCCTCCCAAAGTGCTGAGATTACAGGCGTGAGCCACCGCGCCCAGCTTCCAATTTGAAGCTTTAATACACTATCAACAAAGTGAGTAAAAAATTCCCATTACAAGTCCCAGGCCTGCATTTTATAAACTGTGGTTCACGCTAATTTGTTTCAGATGACAAACTAAAGCAAAAGCTTTAACATTTGAGTGATTCAAGGCATTAAACAGTAAATGACTGCTAACCAACAGACCCAACAAAAATTTGTTAGCCCATGCTCATTTTTTACACTTTATATGCCATTCCTGTGAGGCCGATTGAAAAAGCTGAAAATATTATCATTCTGGCTTTACATGAAAATCTTCTCAATGAACAGTATTTACTCCTCCAATCAGCTATTTATTCTAGATTAGCAGAGAGGCAGCCATCCCCCATCATCTGAAATTCACTGCTACCAAATTACAATCTTAAACTGCCCCTCCCTCTTCAAAGCTCACAACCATAACAAAGAAAGCACTGGCATGGTATAAAACAATCCCTCAGAGCTAATCCAGTCAATACTCATTTATTGACCTTTTAAGCCATTTATTGCTAAACCAATGCAATTAGCAGATGATAGCAAATAAGTTATATAAAAATTGAATACATGAGCTTAAGTCAGTGACAAGATATTAAATTTTAAAATGTCTTTTTAAATTGAATGCAGCTGGTTTCCGCAATGCACGCCTGTAATCCCAGTGCTTTGGGAGGACAAAGTGGGCTGATCACCCGAGGTCAGAAGTTCAAGAACAGCCTGGCCAACATGGCGAAACCCCATCTGTATGGGTTGCGTCACTGCACTCCAGCCTGGGCGACAGAATGAGACTCCATCTCAAAATATATACATATAAATAAAAATATATATAAAAACAAAATAAAATAACTAAATTGAATGCAGTGATATAAAGTGTATAATTTGCATTTTTCAGCTGTGATCTGAAATGATGAAATTTAATCTAAAAATCATTTCCTCCACTCCCTTTATGACCTTATCTCCCACCTCTTGCCTCACACCTCCAATATGAATTCAAATTCTGATGGGCTCATACTTTGCTATGGAACCATATTAAAATACTGTTTTGATTTCTAATCAATGAAACAATTTCTATTTGTATCTTACCTCTATCAAAATTCCTTTTCAAAAACGAATTGCATCAGGCTGGGCACAGTGGCTCATGCCTATAATCCCAGCACTTTGGGAGGCCGAGGCGGGCAGATCACCTGAGGTTAGGAGTTTGAGACCAGCCTGGCCAACACGGTGAAACCTCAGCTATACTAAAAATACAAAAATAAGCTGGGCGTGGTAGCGCAAGCTAGTAATCCCAGCTACTCGGGAGGCTGAGGCAGGGGAATCGTTTGAATCTGGGAGTCGGAGGTTGCAGTGAGTCCAGATCACGCCACTGTACTCCAGCCTGGGCAACAGAGGAAGACTCTGTCTCAAAAAAAAAAAAAAGGATTAGAATCAGCTTAAAAAATGGAAGAAAACATCTATCTCAAAAATTGATAAGCTGGGCATGGTGTGTGTGTACGCACCATTAGTCTCAGCTACTTAGGTGGCTGAGGCCAGAGGACCACTTGAGCCCAGGAGTTCAAGGCTCCTGTGCACTATGATTATGCCTGTGAATAGCCACCACGTTCTCGCCTGTGCAACATAGCAAGACCTCATCTCTTAAAAAAAAATGTAATTAATAAAGTCAGTACATATACAACCGGCTCTTTAAAACAAGCTGAATTACTTTAAAATTCCTACTTTAACGACCCCTTTGAGAAATCACATTTTTGTAAAATAGAAAGGCAGCTTGAGGCCAGGATCATGCCCATAATCCCAGCACTTTGGGAGGTCAAGGTAGGCGGATCACTTGAGCTTAGGAGTTTGAGACCAGCCTGGGCAACATGGCAAAACCAAAAATACAAAAAATTAGCCAAGTGTGGTGGTGCGTGCCTGTAGTCCCAGCTACTCGGGAGGCTGAGGTGGGAGGATTGTTTGAGCCCGGGGGGTGGAGGGTGTAGTGAGCCGAGATCATATCAGCACTCCAGCCTGGGTGACAGAGTGAGACCTCATGTCAAAAAAAAAAAAAAAAAAAAAAAGGCAGATTGAGTATATTAACCCAATAAAATTCAATGCTACATAGTTATTCTCGAAATTTGTGAACATCTTTTAAGTTATCTAATAATACAAATACATACATAAAATCACAAAGAGCGTATGTGCACAAATTGTGTGTGTACCCAAAACAAAATTTAGAAGACTATCACTTTACCCAATAAAATTCATGGTAATTATTTCATATTACAGAAAAAATATATAAATGGTAAATTTAAGATGAAACTATGAATATGAACCCTTTATAAAGTATAATTTATTATCGTCCTGCCTCAACAGAATAACAACTAGAAACTATCTTACGCCTATTCGACTGAACACTATGCTAAGCTCTCTGACTTTCTATACTCTAGAGACTAAATTTTGAAAGTCTAACATTATCAAAAAGATACAGTAAGATCTCATCAAAACAGAATTAAGCTATCTACAACAAGAATCAGAAAGCAGTCTTAGGAGGTAAAATTTGTGTCTCAGAGAATAAATAAGTGAGATAACAGAGGCCTCCATCATCATCTCCACTAAATAACTGTCATTTCATTTGTTATCAATAACAAATCTACAGCAGATAAGAAATTCAATGATAAAACAGTTAAACACAAGGTAAGTTTTAAAAACAGTATAAAGCTAGTTAGTGATCAGTACTCTATTCTTAAAAGGAGAGATATATCACATTTTAAATATTTTGTCAAAATGGTTAAATCATTTAAAGGTAATCCCAGCACTTTGGGAAGCCAAGGCAGGCAGATCACGAGGTCAGGAGTTTGAGACCAGTCTGGCCAACATAGTGAAACCCGGTCCCTACTAAAAATACAAAAAATTAGCCTGGCATGGTGGCGGGCACCTGTAATCCCATCTACTCGGGAGGCTGAGGCAGGAGAATCACTTGAACCCGGGAGGCAAATGAGATCACGCCATTGCACTCCAGCTTGTGCAACAGTACAAGACTCATGGAGACAGTGACTCCAGGAGACAGTGCGAGCCTCTGTCTCAAAATAAATAAAGGAAGACAATTATGCTTTAATTAGGCTTTTAAACAATTTTGTCAACACATCATATCCTTTAAAATGTGAAGCTTTAGGCAACAAACCAGTATCAGGCCAGGCGCGGTGGCTCACACATATAATCCCAGAACTTTGCCAGATCACTTGAGGTCAGGAGTTCGAGACCTGCCTGGCCAACATGGTGAAACCCCATCTCTACTACAAACACAAAAAAATTAGCCAGGCATGATGGCGCACGCCTGTGATCCTAGCTACTTGGGAGGCCAAGGCAGGACAATCGCTTGAACCTGGGAGGTGGAGGTTGCAGTGAGCCGAGATTGCACCACTGCACTCTGGGTGACAGAGCGAGATTGCGTCTCAAAAAGAAAAAAAACCAGTATCAAATCCCTGCCCACAGAGTTATCTAGAATATCTAAACACCAGGGGTTTAAGGACAGTCAAGATTTTTTTCTCTGTCCTCATTCTGTACACAAACTCTTCTACAATTTTATTATGTAGGATACTCCATAAGAACACAGGCTGATTATTAATAGCAAGTTTCCAAGAGGCACATTTAGCATTTTATACACAGTATTCTACCTGATCCTAAGACGAGCCCTACGAGATAAGTTTAATAGAGTAATTCCAATTTGCACATGAGAAAAATGAGATTCAAAGCTGTCAGTTGCCCAAAGCCACCTAAGTGGCATATTAGAAATAGGGAACCCAGGTATATCTGAAACCCAAACATGTACTTGTTACATCTAGGTTAAGCCACCTCCAAATTTTACCTTGTTTTGAAAATGAGGATTAGAGTGTATGATTATTTACTGAATTTCCTATTACTGAATAAAATAGCTCAATAAGATAAAATGAAAGGCCAAATGAAGGCCAATTTTAGACTGAATGAATCCCTTATTCCTAACAAATGACCAACTTCCCCAGATACAAACAGGCTTATAACAAAATCTTATCCCGAGGATACTGCTAATGGCATATGCAAAAATGGATAAGGAAGTTCCTCTTGGACATTTTATAATTAAGGTCATTTGGGAATAATTATGAACAAAACAAAAATAAAGACAAAATATTACTGAAAGGACTCTACTGAGTTGGTGCATTGGCTAATTACAGCACCTGTATAAACATTTATGCATGGATTGGCAAGCTAGGGTGGCAGAGTTCAGGAAGGAAGAGGGTCCACAAACCTCAAAATCACAAAATTAAAAGCAGATGAACAGAAAGAAATTATATTATGTAAGTAATAATTGTAAAGAATAGAATAGCATAATTTCAAACCAATACATATAACGGCTGACATCTGGAATCTGAAATTGCTTGTCATTGGTGGTTTTATAATCATATATATCAAAAGTCACTGCTTTTCATAAAGCAAAATTACACAAGTATTAAGATTTAAGTAAAATACCCAGTTTTCCAACAATCAGTGTAAATGTATTTAAAAGTGGTGAAAATAGGATAAATTTTCTTAAAATTTTCATTTTAATGGTGCTTAATATTCACTTGCCTAAAATTTTCTCTCAGGTTTAAAAAATGTTATGTATTCTTTGGAATCAATCCAACTTGCATTTACTGCATTTACTCAACATTCTCACTCAAGGAACCAAGGCAAGAAATATTCTCTTCTACTGGCAGTTGTATCAAGCAAAGTAGCATTCTTTTTCTTAATGGTTAATACCATAAATAAAAGCCATATAACATATTACTTGACTAAACAACTAACTAGCAGTATATTCAATTTCAAATCTTATTGAGTCATGATATCATCTGCTATCGTTTGGCTCTGTCCCCACCCAAATCTCATGTCAAACTGTAATCCCCTCATGTTGAAGAAGGGGCCTGGTGGGAGGTGACTGAATCATGGGGGCAGATGTCCCCCTCATTGTTCTCATTAGTTCTCATGAGATCTGGTTGTTTGAGAGTGTGTAGCCCTTCCCACTTCTCTCTCTCCTACTGCCATGTGAAGACTTGCATGCTTCCCCTTCCACCATATTTGTTTCCTGAGTCCTCCTAGCCATGCTTCTTGTACAGCCTGCAGAACTGTGAGTCAAGTAAACCTCTTTCCTTCATAAATTACCCAGTCTCAGGTAGTTCTTTATAGCACTGTCATAACAGACTAATACATCATCCTAACATTCATCCATTGAACAAATATATTTGTTCAATGTGTAAAACCCTAGGCTAGACTTAATTGAGAATTTAGCAATGAATGACCCAGGAAAACTCTATCCCCAGCCATCAGGGAATCTGGAGGCAGAGAGGCAAATTTCAGATACTTAATTTCTGTAACATTAGCAACTTAATTCACAAAACTTACATAATAACACCTTTTAAAAATAGAAGGAAACTACTACAGCTAACTCTGAATTAATAACTTCAGCATTATTCTAGGCCCTCAGAAGAAATAATGAAACTCCACTGAAGGTTCTACCATACTCTTCCTCTAATCCTAGCACTGGGCAGGAGAAATGTCATGTTTCTTGCATTGATGCAAATCCTAATGCAAGATTTATGATTTTGTCCTTTGCTGTGTGGCAAGTTGGTGAACAGCAGCTAACTTTTTAGAGAAAGCCTGCTCTGAACAATGCATTGTATTAGGTCTCTCATTTAATCACTTATTATTATCTCTGTGTTAAAGATGTGAACTCACGGGCAGAGATTTTCTAAAAATTTTCAGGCCCTACCATTGGAGGCTAAGCTAAGATCTGAACCCACGGTTGATACCAAACCACTGCTCGTCCCCTTCTCTTCTGTTTCTCATTAGGCTGGAATAATCAAAGATCTCTGTTTGGCAATACCACGTAATATTAAGCTGCATTCTCTCCCCATCAAAGTTTAATGTCTTTATGTATTATAAGGTTTCTCAGAGCCTTTTTTTTTGGAGATGGAGTCTTGCTCTGTTGCCCAGGAATGCAGTGGCGCGATCTTGGCTCACTGCAACCTCCACCTCCTGGGTTCGAGCGATTCTCCCGCCTCATCCTGCCTCAGCCTCCCAAGTAGCTGGGATTACAGGCGCACAGCACCACGCCCTGGTAATTTTTTGTATTTTAGTAGAGACGGGGTTTCACCGTGTTGCCCAGACTGGTCTCGAACTCCTGAGCTCAGGCAATCCACCTGCCTCAGCCTCCCAAATTGCTGGGATTACAGGCATGAGCCACCGCGCCCGGCTTTCATGCTCTTTTGAAAACCATTCCACACTCCTTTCTGTAACGAAATAAAAGAGGCATCTTCCAAGTGTGAATCTACTGTCAAAAGTATAACCATTTCTCATGTTCCTAATCAGAGATGATACACAATTCGACAGCTTTTCCAAATTGGGAAATCTGACTGAAAAGAAGCAATACAGTCCTGGAATCCAGAGAGAGGGAGAACACAACTTCTCTACTGCCTAAAATGTGAGTGAACAGAATCAGAACCAAATGATACTAGTTCACATAAAATTCTCTGAAAAATGAGGAAAAAAAAAAAGGTCATTTAAAACATTAAAGCGGGCAGGGTGCGGTGGCTCACACCTGTAATCCCAGCACTTTGGGAGGCTGAGGTGGGCGGATGACCTGAGGTCAGGAGTTCGAGACCAGCCTGGCCAACATGGTGAAACCCTGTCTCTACTAAAAATACAAAAATTAGCCGGGCGTGGTGGCGTGCGCCTGTAATTCCATCTACCTGGGAGGCTGAGGCAGGAGAATCGCTTGAACCCGGGGGACGGAGGTTGCCGTGACCCAAGATCGTACCACTGCACTCCTGGGCAAAAGAGCGAGACTGCCTCAAAAAAAAAAAAAAAAAAACCCAACAACATTAAAGCATCCTCCCTATTTCACAATTAACAGTGGACTATGCTTTAACCCCTTGATACTGAAAACTGCTTAAGTACGCTCACTAAAATGGCTTAAGAAAAATTAAAACATTTTAAAACATCCTCTTTGGAAGAAATCTGAAAATCTGCTTAAAACCGCCAAACTAGGCCAGGCACAGTGGCTCCTGCTTGTAATCCCAGCACTTTGGGAGGCCGTGGCAGGTGGATCATTTGAGGTCAGGAGTTCAAGACCAGCCTGGCCAACATAGTGAAACCCTGTCTCTACTAAAAATACAAAAAAAAAAAAAAAAAGAGAGAGAGGGGGGCGTGGTGGCACACCCCTGTAATCCCAGCTACTGGGGAGGCTGAGGCACAAGAATCTCTTGAACCCAGAAGGTGGAGGTTGCCGTGAGTCGAGATCGCACCACTGCACTCCAACCTGGGTGACAAAGTGAGAACCCTGTCTCAGGAAAAAAAAAAACAAAAAAACACCAAACTAGAACCTGTCTGTATTGGCATATCAGCGCCAGATAAAATGCAAATCTATATTATGAACACATTAACTTTCTAAACCAAGTACTGAAAAGATGTGTTGGCAAGATGTAGCGGCTCACGCCTGTAATCCCAGCACTTTGGGGGGCAGAGGAGGGTGGATCGCTTGAGCCAAGGAGTTCGACATCAGCCTGTGCAAAATGTTGAAACCCTGCCTCTATTAAAAATACAAAAAATTAGCCAGACGTGGTGGTGTGCCTGTATTCCCAGCTACTCAGGAGGCTGAGGTGGGAGGATCACGTGAGCCCAGGAAGTTGGGGCTGCAGTGAGCCATGATGGTACCACTGCACTTCAGCCTGGGCAACCCTGAGGATGAGACCCTGCCTCAGCAACAAAAAAAAAAAGGTATTAGGCCACTCTCTTATTTTAACAGTCATTTGAAAATGTCTAGTCCATGAAAGGAAAGAGTCACTAATTTAGGCAACCTAGTCTACTCTAATCAGCTAGCCCTCTGCCTTAAGGAAGATTGTCAACAGCAACACTGCCAAACACTACCATAACACTATATCAACCAAAGACCTTTTATGATTTGTCACCATTATAATTGCAAATAGTCCTAAATTTTTCCAAACTGCAAAAATGCAACAAAATACACAATATTGCCTGCTAAATGAAAATAGAGGTAAAATTCACTGCTTATTCTAAAACTAAAAATACTGTATGCATAAAAAGTGATAGCTACAGAGGAAATTGTAATCATCAGCAAGAAACTATAGTACAAATCAAAAGCTATACTGATCTGTAACTAATCTTTAACATTAACCCTATGGAAATATCTGTAAGCGCCTAAATGGCCCACACAGTTTAGTCAGTTGCAGATCCTATCCACTTTAAGATCATATTTGTGGTAAGATACAATAAGAAGGAGGGGGAGGAAAAGAGGAAGAAAACACCCATTACAGGATGTTGACAATTATAACTAGCAAAGTTTTAGAATATATTGGTTAGCACACCACATCCCACTAAAATAATACACCAGGTTCCTCCAATACCAGGTTACTTTGGCTCTGTATTCTAACCTATTCAAATAACAAGAGTCTAATGTAACAAAATTCTCTAAGCTCTTAGAAGAAAACCTGTGTACTTCCCAGTCTCAATTACCAGGCAAAACAATTCATCAATCTAACTCAAATGTCCTACAGCTTTGTTTCATCTTGTATTGAGGCAGGGCTTCACTCTGTCACCCAGGCTGCAGTGCAATGGCATAATCACAGCTCACTGCAGCCTCAACCTCCCAGGCTCAAGTGATCCTCCTGCCTCGGCCTCCCAAGTAGCTGGGACTACAGGCTAGCACCAACACATATGGGTAATTATGTTTTGTAGAGACAGGGTCCCATTATGTTGCCCAGGCTGGTCTCAAACCCCCTAGGCTCAAGTGATCCTCCCACTTCAGCCTCCCAAAGTACAGGGGTTACAGGCATAAGCCACAGCACCTAGCCTTGTCCTACAGTTTCAGATTTGCTCTCTCCCTTTATTACAACTCCATGGATTGCGGCCCAGAGATACTTAGAATAAGGCAAAAGGGTAACTGAAACCCTGATACTATTCCTAGGGTGCCACATCAATACCTAGTATCAATACGTAACTGTGATTCCCCAAACAGAATGCCTACTTACAGACCCACAAAAAAAAACTTCCATTTGCCAATCACTACCGAATTCATACTGGGTTGTCCGGGTCTGTCATTTATTCTAATGACTATTTTTTTTTAATTTCTTACAGACTGATGAAATGTTTTAACTGGCACTCACAAATGGAAAGCAGAAATGTAAATGCCATCACTGTGTTCACACCATACGCCAAAATAAACTCAGCGAAGGCAGTATGCTGTCTACCTTGTTTGACTATATCCCCATTACCTGGCACCTATAGGATATTTAATAAATATGTGCAAAATGAATAAAATCATAACAAAATCATGGAAAAATATCATGGTCCCAAAATGTCAGTGGTATCAGAATTGTGTTATATCATGCACTGCTTAAAAGAAAGTAGATTACCTGCTAAAACTTAGAAACCTTCTAAACCATGCTATTTATAAAAGGATTTAACCTATACTGGAAAATAAGACTGACAACAACAACAAAAAAAGACTCACAAATCAATTCCAAGTGAGGCTTACAATTATGAGGCTTTATAGCAAAAGCAAAAGACAAGTTACATTTTTTCAAGATTAATGACTTTCCTCTATCCCAACACCCTGATCAGTGAAAATTAGAGAATTTTAGGAGCAGAAGCAACCATAGAGGCTAAACTATGAAACAGATGGGCTCCAATTTCAGAGTAATATAAACTGCCACCAATCTATTCAACATTTTTTTGCATAATTACAAATCTAAGATGGGATTTTATGAATATTAATTTGTTCTACTTTTTTGGCTATGCTGAGCAGTCTGCTGCGAGTTAGAGTTATGACTGATGAATATCATGATCTCTCACTTTTACGACTTTTATTTACCAAAACTGGGTGAGCGAAGATTTAATTTTATCAACGCCAATAGTTCCTCTTTCCTGTTTTCAAATCAGTTCAACCTACAGCTTTACTATTCTCCCATTCTATTCGTAGACTATATGCTAGTTTACTGTATTTGATTTCTATTATTGATTTATATATGTTAACAGTAGCCAAGCCTTATCTTCTCAAAGACTTAGGAGGTTTACCCTTCTAAAGTGCTCCCCTACCACGTCATTAACAGCAGTGTTTAATAATTCCTTTGTCATCTGTCTCCCAACTCAAATATCACTTCTATTAGGATAGAGTTGGGTAGGGTGCCATGGCTTACACCTGTAATCCCAGCACTCTGTGAGGCCGAGGTGGGTGGATCACCTGAGGTCAGGAGTTCGAGACCAGCCTAACCAACAGTGAAATCCCATCTCTACTAAAAATACAAAATTAGCCGAGTATGGTGGCACATGCCTGTAATCCCAGCTACTCGGGAGGCTGAGGCCGAAGAATCACTTGAACCCAGGAGGCAGAGGTTGCAGTGAGGCGAGATCAGGCCATTGCGCTCCAGCCTGGGTGACAGAGCGAAACTCCGTCTCAAAAATAAATAAATAAATATTAGGATGGAGTTGGTTCTGCCTTGTTGGCCACTACAGTAAATAGTGTAAATAATAGTTTAAATAGCATAAACACTAGTCTAAATAAGTGTTATTACAATGAATGAATGAATAACTTGGAGGGCAATGGCCTTATCACATGCTTTCTCTACTAGCTAGGCAGGCAATATTTGAGAACACACCATAGTTTCTATCCAGCTCCGTGAAAACTCGAATGCACTTTACTGCTCAATTGAAAATTTGCAAATAAATTTAAGAACAGACAACATCATACTTGAAATACACAGAGAAAGTACTATAAAACAGTTTATTCAAAGGCTACACAAAGAATTACAGAAGGCCAGGCGCGGTGGCTCACGCCTGTAATCCTAGCACTTTGGGAGGCCGAGGCGGGTGGATTGCCTGAGGTCAGGAGTTCCAGACCAGCCTGGACAACATGGCAAAACCCCGTCTCTACTAAAAATACAAAAAATTAGCTGGGCATAGTGGTGCGTGCCTGTAATTCCTGCTACTCCGGAGGCTGAGGCGGGAGAATCGGTTGAACCTGGGAGGAGGAGGTTGCAGTGAGCCGAGATCGCACCACTGCATTCCAGCCTGGGCGACAGAGCGAGACTCTGTCTCAAAATAATAATAATAATAATTACAGATTATTTAGGATGAGTTTCCAGTATTCCATTACCATCACTGTGAATTATCTTCCAATAACCACTGCTAAATGACTTCACTGTCTGGTGACTGAGTTTTCTTCTATGTTAGAGAACTTATATGAACGTACTGAACTAATGAATGACTACTTTCCATAACCTTAACTATAATCCTAAAAGTTAAAAGGGAAAGCCGGCAGGCAGTTTTAAAGACAACTCTTGAATAAAAACATAGGAGAAGTAATTTTCCTCTTAGTTGTGAAAGACCGGACAATTTTCCCTGCAACCTTCCCGCCTTTGCTGGTTGCATAGTAAAAATTAGAAGTAGGAAAATTTAGAATACTTCCATCTCCTTTGAGTCACGAACTTGGAAAGGAGAAAGAGACAACTGCGGGGACGCATGTGCTCTAAAGAAAGCAGGAAGTCCGCTTCTTGAGCATGGGCCGTTCACCCATCATCACAAATGGGAACACCGGCCTTAAGTCCATCCCCATTCTCTTCTAACCCTGAAATCAAAGCCAGTCTCAGTAGGAAACGCGATCTTGCTAGCTGAGTTAGAGAAGGAGCACCAGACAGCTCAGGACACCCTCCTCCTTCTACTTGGCCTGCGGCAGGAGGATACTCCCCGGGTCCCAGCCAGTGGAGAAGGCGGACCCGGCAGGCAACAGCGAAAGAGCCTTGGCCGGGAAGGAGCGCGGCCAGTCCACGCGGCCGGAGAACTCACCGAACAAAGCGCACCGCGGAGCGGGAGGGGACACTCGGAAAGAGGGGGAAAGATTCAACCAGCTCTTCACCACTGCCTGGGGCTAGAGACAGGTGGAGCCGCCGTCCTCCTTAGAAGGAGAAGAAAGATAGGTTTTCGAGGGCTAATCTGAAACTCCTGCGCCAAGGCAACCGGAACCGGGACCCCGCCTGGGGAGCGCGCTAAGAAACAGGGGAGGCGAGCGCTGAGGGAAGGGATGGATGGTCGGGGTCACAGGCGGCCTCTGCGGGGATGTCGGGGTCCCGCCTGAGCCGCGCAGAGGATGCCCGCGGCGCGCCGCCGGCCGCCCCGACTCGGGCCTCCCGAGCGCAGCCGCTGGCCCCCTCCCACCCGCGCCCCAGGCCGCCACACAAAGGGGATGGCGAGGCGCGCCGGCCGCCGGGAGGTGGAGGGGCGACGGGCCTGGGACGAGGTGGCCGAGCCGCGACGCCCGCCGCGCCCCCCGCCTTTGTCTGCCTCGCCCCGCGCCCTCCCCCTGCGGAGGAGCCCCACCGCCGCGGCGCCCTCACCCTGCTCGTTACCCGGGTGAGTAGCGGTCTCATCTGCTCGCCGGCCCCATCAGCCTCCATGGCCGGCCGGCCAGCCCGTGACGGCCGCTACGGTACTGCCCCGCGCGGTCTGCCTGCTTCTGCCGCTGCCCCTGCCGCCGCCGCCGAGCCCCCGGCGCGCGAGGACAAACGTGGGTGCGTCCGTGCGCGAGGTGTGCGCGCGTGGGGAGAGCCGGGCGCCGGGCGCGGGAGACGCGGGGCGTGCGTGTGCGCGCTGCGACTGCTGGGCTGGCTTTAGTAGGAGAGCGAGGCCGCGGCGTGGAACCTGAAGCTAGAACTGAGCGAACCGGCGGACCGAGCGGGAAGGAGGAGAGCCGCGTAGGAGGAGGGGTTCGGGGGCGGAGCCGCAAACCGTGACGAGCCCGGCGCCGGGGCCAGGCAAGACACGCCCCCCCGCCCCGCCTCCTCGGGTCACGCCCCCTGCCAGTCTGGCACCGCCAGCCTCCTCAGCGCGCCCGCGGGCCGCGCCGCTAGGCCACCGGGAGATGGGGCGGGAGGGAGGCGGGACGGACATTTGTCCCAGCCAATCGGCGGCTGGCGGACTTCCGCTCGCCTCCCCCGTGCCACCTCCTCAGGACGCACCGCCCCTCTTTGTATAAGCTTAATTGACCGAAGCTGAGCGTCTAACTAGTTTTTCAAGTCGGAAGCTCCCCTGACGTTCTCAATGGGGTGGGGGGTCACCACCTCCCTTGGCTCCTAACTACATTCTTTAGAGGCTGCAGGGAAGGAGGACGCCACCTCTGTCAAGGACGCCCAGGATAACCCTCCGAAGCAACTAACGAGTCTTCACGACTCCTGGAAGTTTCTTTTCTGTCAATCCAGTAGGCACGAACCCCAACTCAGGGACCGTGAAAGATGGGGTACACTTGACCAGGTGTCCTCCTGTGCTTGCTCGCCCACTGAGCACCACGACAGCTGCCACTTTTTTTTTTTTTTTTTTTTTTTTTGAGACAGAGTCTTGCACCAGCCCAGGTTGGAGTGCAATGGCATGATCTCGGCTCACTGCAACCTCCGCTGCCTGGGTTCAAGCTATTCTCCTGCCTCAGCCTCCTGAGTAGCTGGGACTACAGACGCGCGCCACCACGCCCGGCAACTTTTTGTATTTTTAGTAGAGACGGGGTTTCACCATGTTGGTTAGGCTGGTCTCGAACTCCTGAGCTAAGGTGATCCACCAGCCTCAGCCTCCCAAAGTGCTGGGATTACAGGCATGAGCCACCACACCCGGCCAGCTGCCACATTATTGAGTCCACCCTGTAGGCCGTCTCTCAAATATCCCTTCTGTAACGGGATGATTGTAATACCTGCCATGCAGGCTCATTGAAGGATTAAGGGGATTTATATTCATAAAAGTGCCTGGCACATAGCATGCTGATAATTTTCATTATTGTTAACAGGTTTCTCTTGAGTGTTTCATAAAGATGAGAAATTTGGCCGGGCGCGGTGGCTTACGCCTGTAATTACAGCAGTTTGGGAGGCCGAGGCGGGCGGATCACCTGAGATCAGGAGTTCGAGACCAGCCTGACCAACATGACGAAACCCCGTGTCTACTAAAAATACAAAAATTAGCCAGGCATGGTGGCAGGCACCTGTAATCCCAGCTACTCAGGAGGCTGAGGCAGGAGAATCGCTTGAACCCAGGAGGCAGAGGTTGCAGTGAGCTGAGATCACGCCACTGCACTCCAGCCTGGGTGACAGAGCTAGACCCTGTCTCAAAAAAATAAAAAATAAAATAAAAAAAGATAAGGAGAGGTTTAGTTGGGAAGAACTGAAGCCATGCAATGGAAGGATATATAAATACATCAGCGGATCCAGAGCTCACATCCTATTCATCTCCAACTGGGTATTAGTAAAGCTTTTTGTCAGCAATAGGTAGCTAGGTATGCTGGATGACTCATTCCTTCTTTGGGCCCTAGTCCCCTTTTGTCCTAAATTTCCCAGAGAGTTACTTCCAGTCCAGCACACATTGTTCACTTACTTGTACAAGAGCAGATGTGCCTCTATTAATAGCTACTATGTAAAGAGGCCTACAATTAGAGACTGTGACATTTGGCAAACATATTTCATTTCTAATCCTCTCAATACTGCAAAATATCTGCCGTCATCTTTTTCTTCGGCAAGGCAACTGAGCTGCAGACGCAGAGACGCAGATCTTTGTGAAGACCCTCACGGGCAAGACCATCACTCTTGACGTCAAGCCAAGTGACACCATTGAGAATGTCAAAGCCAAAATTCAAGACAAGGAGGTATCCCACCTGACCAGCAGCATCTGATACTTGCTGGCAAACAGCTGGAGGATGGCCGAACTCTCTCAGACTGCAACATCTGGAAAGAGTCCACCCTGCACCTGGTGCTGCGCCTGTAAGGTGGCATTATTGAGCCTTCCCTCTGCCAGCTCTCCCAGAAATACAACTGTGACAAGATGATCTGCCGCAAGTGCTATGCTTGCCTGCACCCCCGTGCTGTCAACTGCTGCAAGAGGTGTGACCACACCAACAACCTGTAACCCAAGAAGGTCAAGGCTCTTCCTTCCTCGAACGGCAGCCTCCCTGGAGCCTCAATAAAGTGTGTCTCTTTCGTTGACTGGAGCAGCAAAAACAAACAAACAAAAAAACAATACTACAAAATATGTTATAGCTCCATTTTACAGATGAGGAAGCTGAAGCCCATAGAAATACTGGTTTTGAGTTCTGGTGAGTGGAACTGCTCTTACTATTGGCACCATTCTTTTTTATTTATTTATTTTTGAGATGGAGTCTCACTCTGTTGCCCAGGCTGGAGTACAGTGGCACAATCTCGGCTCACTGCAACCTCCATCCTCCAGGTTCAAGCAATTCTCCTGCCTCAGCCTCCAGAGTAGCTGGGATTACAGGCGCCCGCCACCACACCTAGCTAATTTTTTGTATTTTTAGTAGAGATGGGGTTTCACCATGTTGGCCAGGCTGGTCTAGAACTCCTGACCTCCAGTGATCCACCTGCCTCGGCCTCCCAAAGTGCTGAGATTACAGGTGTGAGCCACCGCATCTGGCTATAACATTCTATATATTTTATGATTTATTATGCTTATTGTCTACACACACACACACACACACACACGCACAAATGTGAGCTCCATGTAAGCTTCATGTGTACAGCAAATTTGGTTTTTGGTTTTTGGTTTTTTCTCAGATATCCCTATGCCTACGTGAGTGTTTGGCCCCTGTAAACTCTCAGCACATGTGTTAAATGAGTAAATGTACAGGTGGGGCATACATCTGCTCTTCTTAAGATCTAAGAGCATCTTAGGTGACAGCTGAGCATGTGGCCATAGTAACAAGAACAAAGTAGGAGTCAAGAATCATGGTGCCAGAGTTGAAAGTGTTAAATAGTCAGCTTCAAGAAGGTCTTAAAAATGTATGCTTGGCAGACCTTGCTAAACAATGAATTTCTGTTCATCTATCTTGCAAGAAGAAAAAATTATTGGTTTATTTAATCCACAAATATTTTTTTAGTGACGTCTTTGTTGCCATGCACTTTTTCCACTCCTCATTTCATCCCAACTGCTAGAAGAGGAATGTAGCAAAGATCTGAATTATTAAATTTATCACTCAGTTGCCCACTTAATTCAACCTCAGCCAAAGTTCATTCAAGAAGATAATGTGTTAAAATTGCTTTTGTGCAACCAGAGATGGCTATAAAGTGTTCCAAGGTGCTGAAAGGTAAATTGTATTCTTGAATATTTTAAATATTCATCTGGGGCCAGGTGCAGTGGCTCATGCTTGTAATCCCAACACTTTGGGAGGCCAAGGCAAGTGGATCACCTGAGGTCAGGAGTTTGAGACCAGCCTGGCCAACACGGTGAAACCCTATATCTACTAAAAATACAAAAATTAGCTGGGCATGGTGGCAGGCACCTATAGTCACAGCTACTCAGGAGGCTGAGACAGGAGAATTGTTTGAACCCCGGAGGCCAAGGTTGCAGTGAGCCAAGATCACGCCATTGCACCCCAGCCTGGGGCACAGGTCCAGACTCCGTTTCAAAAAAAAAAAATTAATTTGAAATATGGCACAGGGAAACATTTGCTAAACAAAGGTAAATGTAAACCTAAATTCATCAGTAGCAATGAAGTGGTAGTACCTAAAGTTAATGAGTTTTAGCTGTATCCTAAATTCAGAATACTTCCTGAGTATCTGGAGCAGTAGATAATCCTAAAAACCCCTTGGCAAGATCCCCATCCTGAGGAGTGAACGGTCTTCCCAAGAACAATTCTCTATAGGCCAAGGTATAGTTTATAAAGACAGAGAGCAGCTTCTTTGGTATTTTGAAAAGTGTGAAACCATTCTTTTTTTTTTTTTTTTGAGGCGGAGTTTCACTCTTGCTGTCCAGGCTGGAGTGCAATGGTGCAATCTCGGCTCACTGCAACCTCTGCCTCCCTGGTTCAAGCAATCCTCCTGCCTCAACCTCCCAAGTAGCTAGGATTACAGGCACGTACCACCATGCCTGGCTAATTTTGTATTTTTTAGTAGAGACGGGGTTTCTCCATGTTGGTCAGGCTGGTCTCAAACTCCTGACAACATCAGGTGATCTGCCCACCTCAGCCTCCCAAAGTGCTGGGATTACAGGTGTGAGCCACCGCACCTGGCCACGTGAAACCATTCTTAACTTTTAGCAGAGGGTTCTTTGGCAATTATATGTATCTTCATTGCCTCTTCTTGGTTATAGCTAATATTTAAAGGTTTTCTATCATCTGATCCTATAAGGAAAAGTAAAATCATTGGAATAGTGTTTTCAAGAGTACCAGAACAGCCTCAACGGGACAAAGACACAAGGAAAATTACTTCATTGTTCTTTATTTCTATAGGCTAGGCATACAGATAAATATTCAAAAGATGAGGAAATAAAAACAAAAACAGAACTTGTCCCTGATCTCATGGAGTTCAGAGTGCAAAACACCAATATATAAACAACTGTCAACAATGCAATGCATGTAGTTCTGAGTCCACCACGCTCAGCCAAAAGCCTCCTTTTAGAAGATGTTTTAGGGATAATAGTGGTACCCTCCTCAAGGGAATTGCAATAAATATTAAATGAGGGCATCAAATATAGCACCTACATGCAAGAAACACTCAATAAATGCTTATAATTATTATCTGATTGGGAAACCACAAGGTGGGAGAAAGGTGGGCTCAGGTTCATGTAAAGGGAAAGGCCTTGTATACCGGGCCCCTGAGGAATTTATATTCTCATTAGAGTGAAAACTCCTCAAGTGCGGGATGTTCCTTGTCACTGGGAACATCCCAGAGTGCCTGGCACATAGTGGGCATCAAAAATATGTTGAATGAATAAGTGCTAAGGAAATTGGATTTTTTTTTTTACACAAAATTGCAGAACCACCATTAGAGGGTATTAAGGAGGGAAACAACTTGAAATGTAGCTAGTCTTTTTTTTTTTTTTTTTTTTTGAGACGGAGTCTCACTCTGTCACCTAGGCTAGAGTGCAGTGGTGCGATCTCTGCTTACTGCAACTTCCGCCTCCTGGGTTCAAGTGATTCTCTGCCTCAGCCTCCTGAGTAGCTGGGTTTACAGGTGCTCGCCACCATGCCTGACTAATTTTTGTATTTTTAGTAGGGACGGGGTTTCACCATCTTGGCCAGGCTGGTCTTGAACTCCTGACCTCGTGATCCACCTGCCTTGGCTTCCCAGAGTGCTGGGATTACAGGCGTGAGCCACTGCGCCTGGCCGAAATGTAGCTAGTCTTAATTGAGATATGCTTAAAAGATTTAACATACACACCAAGAAAGTAATCTCGTTCATAATCTTATATTCATTACATGTTGAAATGACAATACTTTGGATAATTTGGGTTAAATAATGGCCTCTCAAAATATCCGGGAGTATACCAGCCTAGGTATTTTGTTGTCTCCACTGAAGCAACAAAATACCTAGGCTAGTATACTCCCGGATATTTTGAGAGGCTGTTATTGATCAGATATTCATCCAGGGAGAGAGACAGAAAAGAATGTAGATCACTAAGATCAAGCTACATAACATGGAGTCTCTGTGTACATGTATAATTCACATAGAGTGTAACACCACTATCATCACCATTCCTTGGGGTACCTGTTCCTTGATAGTGTGAACCCCAAAAGTCTGACGCAGGTTAATTTAGAAAGTTTATTTTGCCAAGGTTGAGGAGACACACAGGTGACACAGCCTCAGTAGTTCCTGACAACTTTGCCCATGGTGGTTGGGGCACAGCTTGGTTTTATACATTTTAGGGAGACATGAGACATCAATCAATATATGTAAGATATACAGGTAGGTGAGAGACAAATGGTTGCGTTCTTTTGAGTTTCTGATTAGCCTTTCCAAAGGAGGCAATCAGATATGCATTTATCTCAGTGAGCAGAGGGATAACTTTGAATAGAATGGGAGGCAGGTTTTCCCTAAGCAGTTCCCAGCTTGACTTTTCCCTTTAGCTTAGTGATTTGGGGGCTCCAAGATTTATTTTCCCTTTACAATAGGAACACATCCCCTTCCAGACTTAAGAGGCATTTTCATCTCTTTTCACTTATAAAATATTGTGGGTAGAGGCCGGGCGCAGTGGCTCACGCCTATAATCCCAGCACTTTGGGAGGCCGAGGCAGGCGGATCACGAGTTCAGGAGATCAAGACCATCCTGGCTAACACGGTGAAACCCCGTCTCTACTAAAAAAATACAAAAAAATTAGCCGGGCGTGGTGCCGGGCGCCTGTAGTCCCAGCTACTGGGGACACTGAGGCAAAAGAATGGCATGAACCTAGGAGGCAGAGCTTGCAGTGAGCCGAGATCGCGCCACTGCACTCCAGCCTGGGCGACAGAGCGAGAGTCCGTCTCAAAAACAACAACAACAACAACAACAAAAAATACTGTGGGTAGAGTATATGTTCACTTATGGTCACTGAAATATTTTTGATAGAAAAATATACTGGTAATCATCAATATGTCAGTCAAGGGAGATTGGTACTACAAATGATGAAATGCAATTTACGATTAAAAAGAATGAGTTAGGTGTGCTGAGAAGGGAAGGGTTTCAAAATATATTATGAATATTATTAAGTTACAAAAAAACACAAGGTAAGTAACAATGGCTGTACTATGATTCTTTTTACAAGCTAAAAGAATTATGTATCTATGTATCTATTCCCTTCTGGAAGTAAGTTAAGACACTTCTAAGAGTGGGTATCATTGGAGAAGGTGAGGGTATCTATCTTATTGTACTTTTAACTTTTTTGAGACAGGGTCTCGCTCTGTTACTGAGGCTGGAGTGCCATCATGTGATCACAGCTCACTGCAGCCTTAACAACCCAGGCTCAAGCAATCCTCCTAACTCAGCCTCCTGAGTAGGGACCACAGGCACGTGTCACCAACTCAGCTAATTTTTTTTTGGTAGGGACAGGGGTCTCACTATGTTGCACAGGCTGATCTAAAACTCCTGGGCTCAAGAATCACTCCTTCCTCAGCCTCCCAAAGTGCTAGGATTACAGGTGTGAGCCACCACACCTGGTCTTTTTTGTTGTTGTTGTTTGAGACAGAGTCTCTCTCACCCAGGCTGGAGTGTGGTGGCGCTATCTCAGCTCACTGCAACCTCTGCCTCCCGGGTTCAAGCGATTCTCCTGACTCAGCCTCCTAAATAGATGTGACTAGGGGCATGCACCACCACACCTGGCTAATTTTTTGTTTTTTGTTTTTTGTTTTTTTTTTCTGAGATGGAGTCTTGCTCTGTCACCAGGCTGGAGTACAATGACGTGATCTCGGCTCACTGCAACCTCTGCCTCCCATTTCAAGCTATTCTTGTGCCTCAGCCTCCCAAGTAGCTGGGATTACAGGTGCCCACCACCACATCTGTCAAAATTTTTTTTTGTGACAGAGTCTTGCTCTATCGCCCAGGCTGGAGTACCATGGCGCAATCTCAGCTCACTGCAACCTCTGCCTCCTGGGTTCAAGTGATTCTCCTACCTCAGCCTCCTGAGTAGCTGGGATTACAGGCATGCGCCACCACACCTGGCTAATTTTTGTATTTTTAGTAGAGACAGGGTTTCACCATGTTGCCAAGGCTGGTCTTGAACTCCTGACCTCAAGTGATCCACTCGCCTCAGTCTCTGAAAGTCCTGGGATTTTTTGTATTTTTAGTGGAGATGGGGTTTCACTATGTAGGCCAGGCTGCTCTCGAACTCCTGGCCTCAAGTGATCCACCTCCCTCAGCCTCCCAAAGTGCTAAGATTACAGGTGTGAGCCACTGCCTCCAGCCACCTGGTCTTTTTATACTTTAATATTAATGAAAATTGTATCGACAGTAAAACCAAAGGTCATATATTGTTTCTTTATATTTGAAAGCATTTTATGGCTGGAGGTGGTGGCTCATGCTTATAATCCCAGCACTTTCAGAGGCCGAGGAGGGCAGATCACTTGAGATCAGGAGTTTGAGACCACCCTGGCCTACATGGCAAAACCCCATATCTGCTAAAAATACAAGAAAAAAATTAGCTGGGCATGGTAGCGCACCCCTGTAATCCCAGCCACTGGGGACTCTGAGGCAGGAGAATTGCTTGAACCCAGAGGGCGAGGTTGCAATGAGCCGAGATCGCACCACTGCACTCCAGCCTGGACGACAAGAGCGAAACTCCATCTCAAAAAAAAAAAATTATTAAAGAACATTTAATTTTAAATGTTATATATTTTTAAGTATAATGTAGGTAAGTTATACAATGAGATTTGATTTATCCTTACCTTCACGTTTTAAAAAATAACCTATTTGATAGAGTCCTCTATTGGTACTTCAAAAATTCCCTTTTACGACGGGCACAGTGGCTCACACCTGTAATCCTAACACTTTGGGGGGCTGAGGCAGGCGGATCACCTGAGATCAGGAGTTCGAGACCAGCCTGGCCAACATAGCGAAACCCTGTCTCTACTAAAAATACAAAAATTAGCTGGATGTGGTGGTGTGCGCCTGTAATCCCAGCTACTCTGCAGGCTGAGGTAGGAGAATCACTTGAACCCAGGAGGTGGAGGTTGCAGTGAGCTGAGATCTCACCACTGCACTCCAGCCTGGGCGACAGAGCGAGACAGTCTCAAAAAAAAAAAAATCCCTTTTAATCATTTCCCAGTATGCTCTCTAATCAACAAAGTTCTCACTCAAGAAGAATAGAAATTTTGTATTATCACAATATAAAACATCACCTTTTTTTTTTTTTTTTTTTTAGACGGAGTCTCACTCTGTTGCCCAGGCTGGAGTGCCTTGGCATGATCTTGACTCACTACAATCTCTGCCTCCCAGGTTCAAGCAATTTTCCTGCCTCACCCTCCAGAGTAGCTGGGATTACAGGTATGTGCCACCACGCCCAGCTAATTTTTATATTTTTAGTAGAGATGGGGTTTCACCATGTTGCCAGGCTGGTCTTGAACTCCTCATCTCTAGTGATCTGCCTGCCCCAGCCTCCCAAAGTGCTGAGATTACAGGCGTGAGCCCCCATGCCTGGCCACCATTTTATTTCTTGATCATGATGTTAGTTACACAACTCTATAGATGCATTTGTCAAAACTCACAGTACTGTACATTAAAAATGATGAATATCACTGTATGTAAATAATACCCAATAAAACGGACTTAACACAAAAAGTGGCATGTATAAAACTGATCAAGACACATTTTACAATCTGTGAAATACAATTCTCTTTGACATTAACTTGATTTTTATATCAAGTGATTATATAGCAATTCTATGTTGCTGTGGTTTAAAAGAGTATGTCACAGTGTATTAGTTTATTTTCACACTGCTGATAAAGACATATCAGAGACTGGGTCATTTATATAGGAAAAAGGGTTTAATGGACTTACAGTTTCACGTGGCTGGGGAGGCCTCATAATCATGGTGGAAGGCAAGGAGGAACAAGTCACATCTTACATGGATAGCAGCAGGCAAAGAGAGAGAACTTGTGCAGGGGAATACCTCTTTATAAAACCATCACATCTTGTAAGACTTATTCACTATCACGAGAATAGCAAGGGAAAGACTTGCCCCCTTGATTCAATTATCGCCCACAACATGTGGATCTCAAGATGAGAACACAAGATATCAAGATGAGATTTGGGTGGGTACACAGCCAAACCATATCACACAGCATCCTTAATAAAATAATAATTTTTGAGTTCTCTTCCATTTTTTTATGAATATATACCAAACTATGTGTATGTCTGTTTCTGAATTCTATTATGCATATACTTATTCAGAAGAAACTATGTTTATCAAAACTAAAGTCTCACCAGGCATGGTGGATCTCTACCTGTAATCCCGGATTACAGGATTACGTGACCCGAGGGCAGATGACCTGAGGTCAGGAGCTCGAGACCAGCCTAGCCAGCATGGTGAAACCCCATCTCTACTAAAAATACAAAAAATTAGCCAGGCACAGTGGTGGGTGTCTGTAATCCCAGCTACTCGGGAGGGTGAGGCAGAATTGCTTGAACCCAGGAGGTGGAGGTTGCAGTGAGTTGAGATCGCACCATTGCACTCCAGCCTGGGCAACAGAGCAAGACTCTGTCTCAAAAAATAAAAATAAATAAATAAAATAAAGCCTGGAAGCACTGTCATGGTCAAATAACACAGGTAGGAAGGGTTCTGGAACTGACCCCTAGACAGGCTAACATTCATCTCATTGTTTCTTTTGCAGTGCTGACTTTTTCCAAGTCAGGTTAAAGTCATTGATCACCACATAGTTTGCTCAGGCATCAGGCTCAAATGCTATAATCTACCATTGAGTAACAGGTGGCAAGTACTGAATAGTGTACATTGCACTCCAAGATGTGCCAGCAAATTTCTTTTAAAGATCATTACATGTTTTGATTTAGGCAATGTTCTTTAAAAGTTAGAGTCCATATCAGTCACACCTAGGTACACCTGGGTGTGGTTTTTTTTTTCAGTTGTTTCAGAAGACTGTTCCTCTTAGTACTTCAGCTAGGGAAGCATTAGACAACAGATCCCTATTGCTCATTTGATATAAAGAGAACCACTCTTTATACAGCCCTCAATTACAATAAACACTTCTTTTAGGAAAATGGTCCCTTCAGCCAAGTCCATGACTAGGACTGAGATGAGTTTTGGAGAAGAACCCAAGTGAACCAAAGAGGACATCTAAAATCCCAAGGTCCCATTTTAAGAAGCACAGAAAAATAATAGACTTTTAAGGAGCCAGAGGTGGAGAAAAAGATTTCTTGCCGTGGGATCAAAATTATCAAAACAAAGTGTTTTCATGCAATCATGTTAAAATAATGGCTTGAATTGGTTTGAATCATCTTGAAATATTCATAATTATTTTATAATAATCTAGAACTGGCAGAAAAAAGGGAGACTTGGGTTCTACATGACACAAGACATGTCACTTAACACCACTGGACTTCTATTTTCTCATCTGTAAATGGGAATAATTCAGGCCTCAATCTCTTCTCCTCAATTATAAAATCTATAGAGCCCCAAAAGACTAATAGTGTTTTGTAACTCATTTGACTGCAAAAAAAGCCTAACCAAATTGACATAAGGTTGTTTATAATCTTTATCCCATTATTGTGAATATTCATAAATCTCCTTGCAGAAATATCTATCTGATAAAAAGATATTGTCGGCCGGACACAGTGGCTCAAACCTGTAATCTCAGTACTTTGGGAGGCCGAAGCGGGTGGATCACAAGGTCAGGAGTTCAAGACCAGCCTGGCCAAGATGGTGAAACCTGTCTCTACTAAACATACAAAAATTAGCCGGGCATGGTGGCAAGTGCCTATAATCCCAGCTACTCGGGAAGCTGAGGCAGAGAATTGCTTGAACCCAGGAGGCAGAGGTTGCAGTGAGCCAAGATCACACCACTGCACTCCAGCCTGGGCAACAGCGTGAGACTCCATCTAATAAAATAAGATACGTCCCAGACCCTGTTGTGTGACATTACATACATAATTGTCATTATACCACCTATCTAAACTTTAAAAAGTTCTGAAATCTGAAAATAGCAAGCCCTAAGTGTTTCAAATAAAGGACCTCAGACCTACAATACTTGTGTTTATTTCAAAGACATTGGAAAGGCCAGTTAAGGTAACAGATAAGAAAATACCTGGCAGAATAAAGAGGGAGCCGTAGGGAGCCATGGGGAGCCGTGGGGATCCAAGTGTCTCGAACTCCTTGGGTGGGGAGGCTCTCTCTTACACTGGAAGCAGTTTTCAGCTTCTACTTGTCCTATAGCTCCTTCTGTCCCACACCTATGTTCTCTCTCCCTCTCCTTAAAGATCTGTTTAAAAACAGCTCCCTATGATGGGGGCCAGTCTGGATGTCCTTGTTCTGTAGCTTTGCTAAACTCCAGCTCATAAAGAATTGGCAACAGAGTAGAAGACAATTAAATCCAGTGGGAACTTAAGCCCTGGGATGCTTCCAGATGCTCTCTAGGAGTCGTGGAGCCTTCTATAGTCTTCACTGCTTGAAGCTAAGTAAGGAAACAGGTACAATCTGTGCTTTGTGCCTGCATGTGAAACAGGGCACATACTTCCTCCCTCTCTCCCTCACACACACACACACACACACACACACACACACACAAGCAACACAAGCCCTGTTCTGTTCAAATAAATTATGGCCTTTTCTTATACCAACAGATTCATTTGGTGGTAACAGCAAGTTCATTACATGTTGGTGTGCACGCTGACCCACATTATACTCCACTTAAATATAATGAATGTAGCTTGAGGTTAACTAGGACTCAGAAGTGGTAAGTTTTCCTTTCACTCGTTTTTCATAGTTGAGGTCTATCGAGACATCCTGCACAACTGAAAGCTGAGAATGGGAAGGGAAAGATGAAAAAGATATTTTCATACAAAGTTATAAGCACCAGCATTTTGTCTTTGCTTAAAGACAAGTAATCAGAAAAAGCACTGAGACTTTTGAAATGTTTCCATTTGAGGACTGAGAGTGTATCCCTTACAAATGGGATACGCTGGTATTATCATTCACCAATGGACTCACTAGCTATATCTCCCTTCTATTTATTTATTTATTTGTTTGTTTGTTTATTTATTTCGAGACAGAGTTTCACTCTTGTTGTCCCGGCTGGAGTTCAATGCTGTGATCTCAGCTTACTGCAACCTCCTCCTCCCGGGTTCAATCGATTTTCCTGCCTCAGCCTGCCGAGTAGCTGGGATTACAGGTGCCTGCTACCACACCCAGCTAATTTTTTGTATTTTTAGTAGAGATGGGGTTTCTCCATGTTGGTCAGGCTGGTCTCGAACTCCTGACCTCAGGTGATCTGCCGGCTTCGGCCTCCCAAAATGCTGGGATTACAGGTATGAGCCATGGCGCCCAGCCTATATCTCCCTGTTAAACACCAATTCACAATAGTGCTTATAGGCCGACACGGTGGCTCATGCTCGTAATCCTAGCACTTTGGAAGGCCAAGGAAGGCAGATTACCTGAGGTCAGGAGTTCAAGACCAGCCAACATAGTGAAACCCTGTCTCTACTAAAAGTGCAAAAATTAGCTGGGAGTTGTGGCGGGTGCCTGTAATCCCAGCTACTTGGGAGGCTGAGGCAAGGAGAATTGCTTGAACCTGGGACGTGGAGGTTGCAGTGAGTTGAGATGGCGCCACTGCACTCCAGCCTGGGTGACAGAACAAGACTCCCTCTGGCAAAAAAAGAAAAAAGGAACACAATGAAGCATCCATAATTAGGTACATCCATAAATCATATGCATTTTCTAGGGTTTATTGGTCCCAATGTATCCATCAGTCATGAATAATTTTTAACCCCTCCCTCTAAAGACACTTCCTGAAACTAAATTGGTACAATCTTCCTGAAAAGCAATTTGGCAACATGTATTAACAATCTCAAAAAAGATATTGCAGCCTGGGCAAAATAGCAAGACTCTGTCTCTACAAAAAATTATTTGTAGATAATTCTTATAACCAGCAAGTTTGAGAAACATTATTTAAAACTTTCATTTCCTTTCTAGCACTTCTTGCTAGTTATCATTACATTCCGTCCTTACCTGTTTAATCATTTATTTAATGTCTCCCCCTACCATCAAACAGTAAGTTCCATGAAAACAGTGATGGTGTCTATTCAAGGACCAGTATGCACATTTTTTTGTTTTTTTGTTTTTTTTTGAGACGAGTCTCACTGTCACCCAGGCTGGAGTGCAGTGGCGCCATCTCAGCTCACTGCAACCTCCGCCTCCCAGGTTCAAGCAATTCTCTGCCTCAGCCTTCTGAGTGGCTGGGATTACAGGCGCCCACGACCACACCCAGCTAATTTTTTTTTTTTTTTTTGTATTTTTAGTAGAGACGGGTTTCACCATCTTGACCAGGCTGGTCTTGAACTCTTGACCTCGTGATCCACCCATCTCGGCCTCCCAAAGTGCTGGGATTCCAGGCATGAGCCACCGTGCCCGGCCAGATATTTCAATATAGATATGCACAAACTTGATATAGAGTGTATAATACCGCCATATAATAAGAAATATTTACTTGGTTGCTGACCCCAGTTCCTGTCATGCAGCTCCTAAAACTCTTGTAAAATTTCCTGAGCAATAAGAGCGCTGAGTGCATCTTTTGTTCTAATATTTGGTCTTTGACCTCAATCCCTGACACAGACCTACTAATCCCTTGAAATTTCCTGGGTGATGATAGGACCATCTTTTGTTCTAGTAACATGACTTGATGCATACTCCTGAATGGGGCTGGTCACCAGTAAGTCCAGGTCATAATTAGAGGATTGAAACTTTCTTTCTTTCTTTCTTTTTCTTTTTTTTTTTTTTTTTGAGATGGAGTCTCAGTCTGTCACTCAGGCTGGAGTGCAGTGGCGCGATCTCTGCTCACTGCTACCTCCACCTCCTGGGTTCAAACGATTCTCCTGCCTCAACTTCCTGAGTAGATGGGATTACAGGCGCTTGCCACCACGCCTGGCTAATTTTTGTACTTTTAGTAGAGATGAGGTTTCACCACGTTGGCCAGGCTGGTCTTGAACTCCTGACCTCTGACCTCAGCTGATCCTCCCGCCTCAGCCTCCCAAAGTGCTTGGATTACAGGCGTGAGCTACCTCACCTGGTGAGGCTTGAAACTTTCAGCCACAGTTCTCATACTCCAGAGAGGGGTGAGGGACTGGAAATGGACTTAATAATCCAGAATTCTTATAGAATCCAGAATTCTATAAAAATTCAAAAAGTATGGGGTTCAGAGAGTTTCAGGGTTAGCGAACACATAAATATGTCAGGAGGGTGGTACAACCCAACTCCACAGGGAGAGAACCCTGCCAGTCCTCGCCCTATGTATCTCTTGATCTAATGGTTCTTCTGTGTCCTTTATCATATCCTTTATTAATATAATAAACTGGTCAATATAAGTATTTCCTGAGTTCTGTGAGCCACTCTAGCAAATTAATCCATCTGAGGAGAGGATTGTGAGAACCTCCAACCAAGTGGGGGAGAAGTTGTAAGTAACCAGAAACCTACTGCTTGGGATTGGTTTCTCAAGTGTGGGACAGTCTTCTTGTGGGATTGAGCCCTTAACCTGTGAGCCCTTAACCAGTGCAGACTCCAGTTAGTGTCAGAATTGAATTTAATTGTCGAACACCCAGCTATTGTCCACTAGAGAATTGCTTGGTGTGTGGAGAAAAACCCACACACATCTGGTGTCCAGTGTTCAGTATGTGAGAGCAGAAGGAAAAAAGTTTTTTTTTTTTTTATAGAATCAATTGTAGCTATCTATACATGATCAACTGAAGGTAATACATAAAAAAGTTAACAATTAGATGATTGAAAGGAAATAAACTAAGATGCTAACATTAATATACTTCCTGAATGAATCAATCTAAGCCTTTTGTTATATATCATAAGAGCCCAACTTAAGTCTGGATCATCCTCAGGATTGTAGGAAAAGCTCTACCCCTGAAAAGTACAATGTGAATCCAGACTATCTGGTACTCAAGCATGGAAATCTTGTTATCTTAAGGAGAGTGCCACACAAAACTGGCAGACTGTTGCAAAACAAGACATGCTGACTGCCAAATGCATTAAGACATCAAATTCATAGAGAAAACAAGTATATATCTGTCTAGATCTACTTTACTATCTCTACTTAGGCAATCACATGAAGCTTAACTTTCTGGTTCCTTTGAGGCCAGTCCTGAGGGAAGTAATTGCCAAACAGGTCAGGGGCCAGTATAACTAAATAGGTTCCAGTTTCTCTTATTACTTAGGTTCACCAAAAACTGTAAGAATAAAGAATGTAGGCTGGGCACAGTGGCTCATTCCTGTAATCCTAGCACTTTGGGAGGCCGAGGCAAGTGGATCACTTGAGGTCAGGAGTTCGAGATGAGCCTGACCAATATGATGAAACTCCATCTCTACTAAAAATACAAAAATTAGCCAGGTGTGGTGGCATGCACCTGTAATCCCAGCTACTCAGGAGGCTGAGACAGGAGAATCTCTTGAACCCGAGAGGCAAAGGTTGCAGTGAGCCGAGATGGCACCATTGCACTCCAGCCTGGGCAACAAGAGCAAAACGCCATCTCATTAAAAAAAAAAAAAATGTTATAGAAATCTGGGGACTGCAACACCCTCAAAAACCTTTCTCTAGTTTTTAATAATTAAATTAGAGATGGCTACTGAATATTAGCTGGTTGAAATATGGCATTTGCGTAGGTAGATCAACAGTAAACTTCTACATACATAGGCACTGAGTAGGTGTTTATAAAATGCTCACTGAATCAATTTGTCAGGACAAAACTAATTCTGGAAAGTGAAATACATGGAGTCATCTTCCTGTTTTCCAGCTGTAGCCTGTCAGCACCACTACCTCCACTGTCCATGGGGATGCCAACTCTGCCCTTACTTTTGGCCATAATATCTACAGAGGCCTGTTACTACTGTGACCTGGGCTTCAGATGACTGGGGTCCTGTTGCTCCTCCATTCTTGACTCCTGGCTAAGCCTTTCCCAGCCATCCACATGCAAACCTTAGTTGAAAAGGCCTAGTCAGGGATCAGCAAATGACAGCCCATGGGCCAAAACTGACCAGCTGCCTGTTTTTATAAAGTTTTATTGGAACACATCCATGCTCATTCACTTATGTATTATTTAAGGCTGACTTTGGTGTTACAATGGTGGAGTTGAATAGTTGTGACAGAGATCATCTAACCTATAAAGCCTAAAATATCTACTATGTGGCCCTTCTGAGAAAAACTTTGTTTACCTCTGACCTAGATGCATAAGGCCAGATAATAATAATTATTGGGACCAGGCATGATGGCTCAGACCTGTAACCCTGGCACTTTGGGAGGCCAAGGCAGGTGGATCACTTGAGGTCAGGAGTTCGAGACCAGCCTGGCCAACAGGGTGAAACCCTATCTCTACCCAAAATACAAAATTATCCAGGTGTGGTGGCACGTGCCTGTAATCCCAGCTACTTGGGAGGCTGAGGCAGGAGAATTGCTTAAACCTAGGAAGCGGAGGTTGCAGTGAGCTGAAATCGAGCCACTGCACTCCCCTGGACAACAGAGTAGTGTGCAGTGACACAATCATAGGTCACTGCAGCCTTGCGCTTCTAGGCTGAAGCGATCCTCCCGCCTTAGCCTCCCAAGTGGTTAGAACTACTGGCACATGCCACCACACCTGGCTAATTTTTAAATATGTTTTTGTAGAAACAGGGTCTTGCTATATTGCCTGGCTGGTCTTCAATTCCTGGTCTCAAGCAATCCTCCCACCTCGCCTCCCAAACTGCTGGGATTACAGGGATAAACCAACACACCCCGGCCTATAATAAAGTTCTTGTGTGGCATTTACCATATGCCAAGCAGTACGCTAAGGTCTTTGCATATGTTAATTCCTTAGTCCTCACTACAATCCTATGAGGAAGCTGAGGCATAAAGAAGTTAAGGTAACACAGCTAATAAGCCTGTGTCTGGCCTAGATAGAGAAGGTATTGCAAAATAAATAGATTATCACAAGGATTCAAGAAATGAACAAAATCATAATTTGGAAGCTCCAATAAATCAGCAAACAAGTCATGGTGGAAATTATGAGAATAATGTGATTGTGGAAATAGGTTATTCCTAATAACCACATTCTGGCCAGCTGCAGATTCCTTTTGTGTCTGGGATTATGTGAAAAAGTAATGTTTAAGAAAATAAAAAACCAGGCCGGGTGTGGTGGCACACGCCTGTAATCCCAGCACTTTGGGAGGCCAAGGTGGTGGGGGGGATCACTTGAGGTCAGGAGTTCGAGACCAGCCTGGCCAACATAGCGAAAACCCATCTATACTAAAAATACAAAAATTAGCTGGGTGTGGTGGTGGGCACCTGTAATCCCAGCTACTCAGGAGGCTGAGACAGGAGAATCACTTGAACCCAGGAGGCAGAGTTTGCAGTGAGCTGAGATCTCGCCACTGCACTCCAGCCTGGGCAACAAAGCAAGTCTGTGACTCAAAAAAAAAAAAAAGAAAGAAAATAGAAATGACAATATAGAAAAATGGAACTGACCAAAAAAAGTTTTTTTTTTAAAAAAAGATATTTACTATAGAACTTCTACATTTAAATTGTAATTTCTGCATCAAGGTAGTAACCTTGGGATACTCTACATTTATTAAGAAATAATTTTTGGCCAGGTGCTGTGGCTCACGTTTGTAATCCCAGCACTTTGGGAGGCCGAGGCAAGTGGATCACAAGGTCTGGAGTTTGAGACCAGCCTGTCCAACATGGTGAAACTCCCATCTCTACTAAAAAGTACAAAAATTAGCTGGGCATGGTGACATGCACCTATAATCCCAGCTACTCGGGGAGCTGAGACAGGAGAATTGCTTGAACCCAGGAGGCGGAGGTTGTGGTGAGCTGAGATCGCACCACTCACTCCATCCTGAGCGAGAGAGTGAGACTCCGTTTCAAAAAAAAAAAAGGAAAGAAATAATTTTCAATGTTTGTTTAAAATAATTTTATAAATTCATATAAGGACCCCATATATATATATATATATTTTTTTTTTTTTTTTTTTTGAGGTGGAGTATCACTCTGCCACCCAGGCTGAAGTGCAGTGGTGCAATCTTGGTTCACTGCAACCTCCACCTCCCCAGCTTTAAGCGATTCTCCTGCCCCAGCCTCCCAAGTAGCTGGGAGTACAGGAGTGCGCCACCACACCTGGCTAATTTTTTGTTGTGTTTTTTTGAGACGGAGTCTCGCTCTGTGGCCCAGGCTGGAAGGAAGTGGCATGATCTTGGCTCACTACAACCTCCGCCTCCTGGATTCAAGTGATTCTCCCACCTCAGGCATCTGCCACCATGCCCGGCTAATTTTTGTATTCTTAGTAGAGATGGGGTTTCACCATGTTGGCCAGGCTGGTCTTGAACTCTTGACCTCATGATCCGCCTGCCTCGGCCTCCCAAAGTGCTGGGATTACAGGCATGAGCCATTGCGCCCGGACTAATTTTTGTGTTTTTAGTAGGGATAGGGTTTCACCATGTTGGCAAGGCTGGTCTCGAATTCCTGACCTGAGGTGATTCACCCTGCTCAGCTTCCCAAATTTCTGGGATTACAGGCATGAGCCACCATGCCCGGCCAAGAAACCCAATATGTTTAATTTGTGGTTTCATTGTTATAAAGCTTATTTTAGTCTCAAGTCATATGATTGCTATTATTTAGCTTTATAGTGCACTTTATTCGCCAAATGTGATCCCCAGAGACTTCTGGCTACTTTCAAAAAGTAAGTCCACTCCAAAGTAATTCCAAGAATAGATTTTCCAGTCTTGTCTGAATAATTCACTGCTTAACACCAGAATCTGGCACATAGTAGATGCTCAAAAAACTGTTAAACAAAGGAGTGACTTTCTCAAAAGTTCCAAAGTATTTTAAGAAATGACAACACTGTTGGAAAATCTCTCTAGGTGACTGCTTTGAAGAAACAACATGCAGTTGGTTCATCAAATTACTCTGATTAATCTTTTCAACAAATACTCATTGAGAACCAGGGCTTGCTACATAGTTTGTGGGGCCCAGTGAAAAATGAAAATGGAAAACTCCTTGTTCAGAAAGCAAGAAAAAAGTATTTTTCTTTCTTCTGCAGTCTCCTTCTCAACCTGAAATTATGTTTTATATTTGCTAGTCAATGTCGTGTTCCCTTGGGCATGTGGATATTTGCAGACCCTTGCAGACATTGCAGACTCTGTGAGTGACTCCACAGGTGGTCATAGTGCTCCTCCTGTGCCCAGATTGTTGGTGGGTGTGTGGGGATGTAGAAGGATGGCAGTAGTCACTGAGTAGGGGCAGGAGAGCATCCAGTGAGGTGGAACCAGGCTAGAGCCTAGACTTCAAACCCCTGGTGCATGCTCCATTGTTCCACTGGTCTTCATTTACAAAACACAAATTCAAAAATAAATTATTAAGTATAAGAGGACAACTGCTGAACATTAAATCCCAAGCCCACAGCTCCCTTCTCAGTGCTCATGAAGGTGGTTCTGTTGAGAATCTATTACGTGCTACTCCCTGAGGGTACTATATGAACAAGGCAAAGACTGGTGAACCTTTCTGCCTAACAGGGAAAGCAGACAAGAAAACAGGAAATTACTCTGCACTGGGTAAGGGCATTGATGGGAGTACAGGCAAACCCTGGTAGCTTCATTCCTGGGGTCAGGGAAAGAGGCTCAAACATAGAAACTGCTAGGTGAGACCTAATGTACAAAAAGGAATAAAACTAGAGAAAGTGTGCAGATAGAGGAAACAGCACTCGAAGAACCAGGGGTAGAAGAGAATGGGACATTCCAGGAACTAAAACAAACTGGCTAAAGTGGAAGGTGGGGACTTTCTCCATTATGTTAATGAGTTCCAACATTTTTTGCATTTTTTGAGGGCAGTGAGAGCCATTTGGAGGGATTTAAGGCAAAGTGACTTGATCAGTCTTGTGTTTATGTAAGATCACTCAAACTGCAATGGAGAGAATAAAAGTCCCAAAGGGCAGAATGAGAAAGTTTGGTAGGAAGACCCATCAAGGGCAAAGAAGAGGAAGCAGAGATTGGTTTGGGGATGTATGGGAGGCACTAGATAACTAGAGGGGCTTACACTGGGGTAAGAAAGACCCAGGATACTAAAGATTAAGCCATGAAGAATTCATTTCAATATCAACTGCTGGTAGGCTGGGTGCAGTGGCTCACAACTGTAATCCTAGCACTTTGGGAGGCCGAGGTGGGTGGATTGCTTGAGGTCAGGAGTTAGAGACCAACCTGCCAACAAGGCAGGAGAATTCCTTGAACCCTGGGAGGTGGAGGTTGCGGTGAGCTGAGATTGCACCACTGCACTCCATCCTGGGCGATAGAGTGAGACCCTGTCTCAAATAAATAAATAAATAAAATGAACTGCTGGAGGGGGACAAAATATATCAAACAAAACAGGCTGAAGCCTGCATTGTGTGTTTTACTTTGCGGGGGAGGACTAGGCTACATTAGCAGCAGGCTGTCACCACGCATGTACTGTTCTGGAACTGTTACACAGCACTGAGGCTTAATAGTTGTTCTGGAGCCCATGACCAGCACTCAGTTCCACACCCTTTCTTACAAAAGAACTTACTCTGCAAAGCAAGTATAATAACCCTGAGGGCGGGCATAGTGGTACATACCTGTAATCCTAGCACTTTGGGAGGCTGACGCGGGTGGATCACCTGAGGTCAGGTGTTCAAAACCAGCCTGGCCAACATGGTGAAACCCCCTCTCTCTGAAAATACAAAAATTTAGCCAGGCGTGGTGGTGGGTCCCTGTAATCCCAGCACTTGGGAGTTTGAGGCAGGAGAATCGCTTGAACTCAGGAGGCGGGAGTTGCAGTGAGCCGAGATGGTGCCACCGCACTCCAGCCTGGGCGACAGAGCAAGACTCCATCTCAAAAATAAAATAAAATAAAATAACCCAGAGGAAATGTTAACTGAGCAATTCTGTGGAGAGACCAGAGTTAAAATACAAAGACACATGTTTCATCCTCTTTAAAAAGTGCAGGATAGGCCAGGCGCAGTGGCTAACACCTATAATCCCAACACTTTGGGAGGCCAAGGAGGGTGGATCACCTGAGGTCATAAGTTTGAGACCAGCCTGACCAATAAGGTGAAACCTGTCTCTACTACAAATACAAAAATTAGCCAGGCACAGTGGCGTGTGCCTGTAGTCCCAGCTACTCGGGAGGCTGAGACAGGAGAATTGCTTGAACCCGGGAGGCAGAGGTTGCAGTGAGCCAAGATCATGCCACTGCACTCCAGCCTGGGCAACAGAGCAAGACTCTGCCTCAAAAAAATAAAAATAAAATAAAAAAAGTGCAGGATATGTTCCTATGTTTAATCTTTAGGCTTAGTGCACAGAGAATAGCACCAAGAGGGTAAATGTTGGAGAGACAGTATTCTAACATATCCAATTTGCCCTATAATTTGTTGAGCACATGAAGTATCTACCGTGTTTTGAGAACTTCCTAACTAGTTTTCCTGGTGCAATAAGAGTGATTGATAGTTTCAAAATTAATTTTGCAATCTTGAATCTTCAGGTGTTTTCTGAACAGTGTGGCCAAAGCTACAGGGGACAAAAGAGATGATCAGAGGACCAGCAGTCTTGGCCTCTGGGAGATTGCTGGACATGCAGAATCACGGGCCTTTGTATACACTTAGGAAGCACTGCTCTGAAGATCTGCTTCCTGATCTTAAGTAAATTATCATTTGAGTTGGAAAAACCATAGGGAACTACTGAAGGTAGAATTTAAAAAACTTCTATATAATGTATTATGAAATATAAGGGCTAGAAGGGTTAATGAGAGAGGGGCTATTAGCAGCATTAATGTTCTCACGTGATATTAGAACACTAATTCTACTTTGGGTTGTTACAATTAATTGCTTTCGTGCCTTCTGAATTCAAAATTAATACACTCCATAAAGTTTAGGAGCATGGACTACACATTTCTGTATTCCTCTCAACAGTCTGTACATAGTATATGAAGTACATAAAGATCTGTTAAATAAATTTGATAATATGATCCTGGCTGGTTGGTTGGGATTTTACAGATTAAATTTTTAGGGGGATTTTCTTAGTAAAAACATAAGAGAATGTTTAGGGTCATGGCATTTCTTGCTCTAGTCTTTATTTCATTTTGGGGGAGACACAGAATTGTTCTTCAGTCAGCTCTGTGTCAGAGGAGAGAGTAAAGCTGTTCCTTCATCATGCAATAGTAATCTGAGTCAAGGATATGAAACAAGCCCTTCAGGAAGTGAGCCAATTAAATGTTATTCTTCAGATATGAAGTTAATAAACAAAATATAGCTAAAGCATCAAAACTTTGGAGAATCTTATATTCCCTAAGTGGTAGAAATAAATTGATGTCCCATGATAAAAATAAACGAGATCCATGGGAAATTTTTCTTGTTCTTCCCCATCATGTTGTCTCATCTCTCACACATTATGCACAATGATATGAGAAAATCAGCAGAAGAACTTTTCTCCTTTCTTTCCTCTTTTGTTAGATGGTAAATACCAGCTGGAGCTTTGTGAGCAGTGAGTAATCCACCTGGCACAGAACCAAGGTAACTGCTACCTGAAAACGTTCCACTCTGTTGTTATCCTTCTGTTCAGGAATCATATAGTCCAAATGAATGAATGGAAGAAACCACCTCTGTGGGCTTTCATACATAGGACTTTTCCAGGAGCATTGAGTGCCTGGTTAAGCTGCTGTCAGCTTTCAGTTTTGCCCTTGTACCTAGTCCACACTGAAATGCTTAATCTCAGAATGGTTTCCTCTTGTTTCTCAGCACCCATCTGGGCACCCTCTCCTGGCCACAACTTGGTTTGTTCTCAGGGGATGGAAACTGACTATATCATAACAAGTAAAATATATTTAGGACTGCCAGTGTAGCAGAGGCCACAGTGACAGGTCCTTGCTCATATCCCTCAGGTCTTCTCTGCAAGCTTCCAGCTGTCAGTACGTGCCTCTCTGCCCTCAGGCCATTTCCCCAAGCCCAAGGAGCCTGCTCTACCTGTGCACAAAACAGGCCTGAAGTTTAGAATTACTATGCCCAGGAGGAGCCATTACCAATGACCAATAAGTGCTGGTGATTGATACCCCAGCTTCCTAGTCCTTGAGCCAAGGTAATTCTAAAGTGTGTGTTTTATTTCACGGTGGGGCTAAGCTTCTAACGTACTTTTGAGTGGCTGCATTTTCTATCCCTGTGTCGTACACCTGCCATACCAGTGTTTCCTGCAACTTTCAAATAAACCACTAGTCCTCGAATCTTTGTCTCAGGGTCAGCTTCTGGCGGAACTCAAAGTGTGATGGTCAGTAGGCAAACAAAATATTCTCATAATGGATTCCAAAGCCAGATATACATAGATTTTGAATTTCCCAGGAGACAATTAAAAGTCAGCAATTCATAGATAAGCCAAGACTCAAAGTTGCTAAATCTAAATTCCTTTACTCACAGCATCAATATTCATCATACTGCCTCTTCATGCTCTGAGAGTGTTCTTCTGACTCAATGACCTCTGCTGGTAAATCGCTTAACAGAATGCATTTCCAATCATTTTAATGTGCTTTGAAGGTTACAGCCCAAGCCGCCAAACATGATTCACAGGTGTTTTCTATAACTCTAATTCTGATGTACCAAGTGACCTTGGCCATTACAATGCCTGTTTTCAACTAGAATGCACTGTGTTGTGAAATGATTGTTTATGACAAATAATTTTATACTTTAGTGTTATTTAATTATTTTTCAATTTCTTCTATATTTTCCCTTTTCCTCAAATACTGATTTATGCTTTTTTTCTCTTTCCTTTTTACTCGAATTTCTCCCTATTTCTATCCTGCTATTATTCTTTTTGTAACAAAATAATACAGTCCATCTAATATGCATACAGTGTATGTTATGTCCCTACCAGATCCCTTTCGGATCAAGGAACTCACCCCTCCAGCTGCTGGATATTGCCTGCTGATGGCTCACAACTCAGTTTCTCTCAAAGAATTGCCCTGGGCTGAAAGAAGTTATCTAGCCCAAAGTTATACTTCTCGGCCGGGCACAATGGCTCATGCCTGTAATCGCAGCACTTTGGGAGGCCGAGGCGGGTGGATCAACCGAGATCAGGAGTTCGAGACCAGCCTGGACAACATGGTGAAACCTCGTCTCTACTAAAAATACAAAAATTAGCTGGGTGTGGTGGCATACGCCTGTAATCCCAGCTACTCGGGAGGCTGAGGCAGGAGAATCACTTGAACCCAGGAGGTGGAGGTTGCAGTGAGCCAAAATTGTGCCTTTGCAATCCAGCCTGGCGACAAAAGCAAGACTCCATCTTAAAAAAAAAGTTACACTCCTCCCTGGGGACAGCCAGCATCCAAAATGGCCCAGACACTTTGCCTCCATTTGGAACAACTTTGAAGGGCTACCACAGCTTCAAAGCTCTCTGTAGGATCAGCAGAGGCCTCTTTTGCAATTGCATAGGAGTTCAACTTCTGCTTTTGCCTAGTTCTGTTTTTTTTACTCTTCACAAGTGCTGATCCTGAAAGTGCACCGCAGTTAACCTTCTGCACAAAAATCTCAGACTCTCAGACTCTGTTTCCCAGGAAGGTCCCAGAAACTTCCAGATAAAATTAGAAAATTATGAGGGGATCAGGTGCAGTGGCTTACACCTGTAATCCCAGCACTCTGAGAGACCGAGGCAGGAGAATCACTTGAGCCCAGGAGTTCAAGACCAGCCTGGGCAACATAGTAAGGCCCTGCCTTTATTTATTTATTTATTTATTTATTTATTTTTTCTTTCGAGACAGAGTCTCACTCTGTCACCCAGGCTGGAGTGCAATGGTGCAATCTCGGCCCACTGCAAGCTCCGCCTCCTGGATTCAAGTGATTCTCCTGCCTC